>NC_000003.12:13760000-15010000 GCF_000001405.40 Homo sapiens | reverse complement strand
GAGGTAATACTGCATTAGGGTGGGCCCTAATTCAATGACTGGTGTCCTTATAAGAAGACCATGTGGCAATGGAGGCAGAGATTGGAGTGATGCAGCTGCAAGCAAGCGAGGAATGCCAAGGACTGCTGGCACCCACCAGAAGGTAGGAAGAGGCAAGGAAGGACACTCTCCTAGAACCTTAAGAGAGCATGGCCCTGCTGACACCTTGATTTCAGACTTCTGGCCACCAGAAGGTTGGGAAAATAAATTTCTATTGTTTTAAGCCACTAAGTTTGTGGTAATTTATTGTGACAGCCCTGGGAAACTAATACAAGAGGCAAATTTTATTTCTTTACTTGGAACAAAAGTTCTTAAATTCCTGTCTGTAAACTATAACAAACTGGGGGGAATGAAGTAACGTTAAGAAGATATGTGTTGTTTTCTGTGATTTTTAAGGCCCTCAATAGCCTACCTATACACTCAGAGCTGCCATAATGCTTGTTGTGAAAAGATGAATTTGTTTGAACATGATTGATATGTTAGTAAATAATTTGAGTATAATGCAAATTTTGTGTTTATGCATGGTTTCTTCCATGAATAAACACTGAGGTGAAGTGATCCATGCAGGGATACTCAGTGCACATGGTATGAGTCACATTCAATCCATCTGGTGATTTCAGGTCACCCCATGTCCACCACTCACAGTAACTCATGAGACGCAATCCTCCCTACACCTACCTCCACAAAGAATCTACAAGGCTTTTTCTAGGTAAAGTGCCGTATTTACTTATTTATTTTTGAGACGGAGTTTCGCTCTTGTTGCCCAGGCTGGAGTGCAATGGCACGATCTTGGCTCACTGCAACCTCCGCCTCCCAGGTTCAAGTCATTCTCCTGCCTCAGCCTCCCGAGTAGCTGGGATTACAGGTATGCGTCACCATGCCCCGCTAATTTTTTGTATTTTTAGTAGAGATGGGATTTCTCCATGTTGGTCAGGCTGGTCTCAAACTCCCAACCTCAGGTGATCCGTCCACCTCGGCCTCCCAAAGTGCTGGGATTATAGGCACTAGCCGCCGCGCCCGACCAAGTACCATATTTATTATAGTCACTATGTATTTAACCACTTGCAGGTTTTATTAGATTCACTATCTGTTTTTTAATACGTTACTGACAAAGTTTTTGAGTGTCACTAATTTCATTTTTTCCAATCAGTCCTGTGGTTTTCATCACACAATTTGGCAAAGTGTGGGAATTTTCAGGAACACACATCACATTATAGCAGAACTGACTTTACTAAGCTAAGGTCCTCTCTAGTTCTAATCCCAAAGGACCCTGGAATGATCTCATACACCACCATTCTCCCCCATGTTACCCACTCTGTTCCAGCCAGTTCAACATCTCTGTTGCAAAGAAGAGCCTGCCAATGAATGGCCTGCAGGCAAAAACCAGCCACTGGATAACTTTTGTTTGAGTACCCAAAGTTTTTGTTTTTTTTTTTTCTTGAGACCAGGTCTTATTCTGTCACCCAGGCTGGAGTGCAGCAGCACGATGTTGGCTCTTTACAACCTCCACCTCTCAGCCTCAAGTGATCCTCCCATCTCAGTCTCCTGAGTAACTGGGACTACAGGCTCGTGCCAGCACGCCTGGCTAATTTTTGTATTTTTTATAGAGATGACGTCTCACTAGGTTGCCCAGGCTGGTCTTGAACTCCTGAGATCAAGCGATCCACCTACATCGGCCTCCAAAGTGCTGGGATCACAGGTGTGAGCCACTGCACTCAGCCCCCTAATTTAAAAAAAAAAACAAACAAACAAAAAAACTGTTTGCTAACATCTAAAAATTGAGTATTTCCCATAATCAAAATCAAATTTATAGTTCTCTTGACAAACTGGAAGCTCAGGTCATCCTGGGCTCAAGTTCTCCCCATGGTGCCAGGTGGCTGGAGCGGGTGTGGGTTGGCTACCTCTTTAGATGAGGTAGCCTCTCCAGTTTATCCCTATCCACCTTGCCACCTCTTTCACTGTAAACACCCGAGAAAGGGCTTGGTAGCTACAGACATGAATAGGAATGCTTGCTCTTCTACTTCCCAGCTGTGTCAACTTGGAGCAGTTACATAAGCCCTTGAGCTCCATTTATATATCTATGAAAAAGGATGACTAGGAAAGTGAAATGATACGATGTGTGTGAAACTGTTTGGTACACTGCCCAGAACATGACAGGACCTTGGTAAAGTATTTCTTCCCTCTAAGCTCTCACATACTCCTTTCCTCACTCAGTCTTGTCTTATCCCTTTCATCTTATCAAATCGCTCCTGAGGAAAAAGTCAAGACTTTTTACCATGGCTTACTCATTCTTTCATTCATTCCTAAAATATTTACTGAGGGGCTACTCTGTCAGACACTGTGTTAGACAGTGGCATATGAAGATGGCTCCTGCCCTCATGAAACTTTTAGTTCAATGGAAGAGACTGGCAATACACAAGGAAACAAACCAGTCAGTAAACAATTTCAATTTATGGTACATGTTATGAGGGAAAAGATCAGGTTGGGGTAACCCTGAATAACAAAAGTACTTAACTTTAAAAAGAGAGGTCAGGGGGCTGGGCACGGTGGCTCATGCCTGTAATCCCAGAATTTTGGGAGGCCGAGGCAGGCGGATCATAAGGTCAGGAGACCGAGACCATCCTGTCTAACATGGTGAAACCCCGTCCCTACTAAAAATATAAAAATTTAGCCAGGTGTGGTGGCGAGCACCTGTATTCCCAGCTACTCGGCAGGCTGAGGCAGGAGAATGGCATGAACCCGGGAGGCGGAGGTTGCAGTGAGCCAAGATCGCGCCACTACACTCCAGCCTGGGCGACAGAGCGAGACTCCGCCTCAAAAAAAAAAAAAAAAAGAGAGGTCAGGGAAAACCTCTGTGACAAGGTGACATTTAAGATGAGATTTGGGCTGGGTGGCACAGTGGCTCGCGCCTGTAATCCCAGCACTTTGGGAGGCCGAGGCAGGCTGATCAGCTGAGGTCAGGAGTTCGAGACCAGCCTGGCCAACATGGTGAAACTCTGTCTCTACTGAAAATACAAAATTAGCCTGGCGTGGTGGCGCATGTCTGTAATCCCAGCTATTTGGGAGGCTGAGGCAGAAGAATTGCTTGAACCTGGGAGGCAGAAGTTGCAGTGAGCCAACACTGTGCCACTGTACTCCAGCCTGGGCGACAAGAGCGAAATGCCTTTAAAAAAAAAAAAAAAAAAGATTCAAGGCTGAGGAGACAGCAGCCAAATAAATGTTTAGTGTTCCCAGCAAAGAGAAATGTTCTGGTATATGGAAAGCCCTGGGAGGAACAGTTTCTTGGGAACTGCTATCAGGCCCACAGACAACCAGCATGGCCCAGGAACCTAGAGAGGGAGGTGGAACGGCCCTGCTGCGAGTTTGGATTTCTTTCTGAGTACAATGAGAATCCCTTCAAGGGTTTGTCCCTCAACCCAAAACCAGCTCTTCAGATTTCCTATACTATTTATATACACACACATACCCACCTGCCCACTCACATACCTACATATACACAATTTCCTATAGTATACATAGAATTTACATATAGCATATATATAAAGTTTATAAGATAGGTCAGGGTATATTAGAGCATACCAAAAGATAATAGCAAAGATTATTGACTAAAAATAAAAAGGGTAAAAAGAACCTGCTTTAAAAAAGGTTTGCAAAAAGGTAAATAAATCCTGACCTTTGCAAAATGGTAAATAAATCTTTTACTTAAGTATAAATTTTAGCTCATATGAATAGTTCTGAATTACTATTTTATTTTTTTGAGACAGGGTCTCTCTGTGGCCCAGGCTGGAGTGCAGTGGCATGATCACAGCTCACTGCAGCCTCAACCTCCTGGGCTCAAGCAATCCTCCCACCAAAGCCTCCCAAGTAGCTAGGACTACAGGAATGCATCACCATGTCTGGCTAATTTTTTAGTTTTTTTGTAGAGATACAATCTCACTTTGTTGCCCAGGCTGGTCTCGAACTCCTGGGCTCAAGTAATAAGCCTTCTTCAGCCTCCCTAAGTGCTGGGATTACAAGTATGAGCCACTGTACCCAGCCTAAATGGAGGATATTAATCCAAATATATCAACAATCACTTTAAATATGAATTGATCCACATCCACCAATGAAAAGACAGATTGTCAGCTGGGTAAAAAAACAAGACCCTTATGAAATTATGTAGGAAGTAGGAAAAAAATGGGAAAAAATCAAGACCCCAATACATATTGCCTACAGGAGACCCATTTTATAAATAAAGACACAGACAGATGCAAAATAAAGGGATGGAGAAGCTGACAGTGGTGCACATTTGTAGTCCCAACTACTTGGGAGGCTGAGGCAAAAGGACAGCTTGGGCTCAGGAGTTTGAGGTTGTAGTGCCCTATGATCCTGTCTGTGAATAGTAAATGCACTCCAGCCTGGGCAACAGAGCAAGATTCTCCTAAAAAAAAAAAAAAAAAAAAGTTGGCCACGCACGCTGGCTCACACCTGTAGTCCCAGCACTTTGGGAGGCTGAGGCAGGTGGATTGCTTGAGCTCAGGAGTTTGAGACCCACCTTGGCAACATGGTGAAACCCCATCCCTATTTATAAAAAAAAAAAAAAAAAAAAAAAAAGCATTATGCGTGTGTGTATCCAGGCATGGTGGTATGCACCTGTAGTCCCAGCTACTTGGGAGGCGTAGATGGGAGGATGGCTTGAGCCTCTGAGGTAGAGGCTGCAGTGAGCTGTGTTCACGCCATTGCACTCCAGCCTGGGTGACAGAGCAAGACCCTGTCTCAAAAAAAAGAAAAAATGTCAAAACATAGAGAAAGTTATACCATGCTAGCAACTAACACTAATAAAAAGAAAACTATAGTAATTTCAGACAAAGCAGACTTCAGAACAAGGAAAATAAACATAAAGGGAAATGGTACATAATAAGAAAGGGGTGGCTGGGCATGGTGGCTCATGCCTGTAATCCCAGCACTTTGGGAAGCTGAGGCAGGAGTATCACTTGAGGTCAGGAGTTCAAGACCAGCCTGGGCAACATAGCAAGACTCTGTCTCAAAAATAAATAAATAAAAAGAAAGCAAGCAACCAAGAAAGCAAGCAAGAAAGGGGTTAATTCTCCATCGCTTCTCGACCTTTTGGCTAAGATCAAGAAAGGGTTAATTCTCCAAAAAGACATAACAATATAAAACATATATGCAACTAACAACAGAGCATCAAAGTGAGCCAAAAAAACTGATAAAACTGCAAGAAGAAAAACAGAGAAATCAACCGTTATAATTGGCTTTTTGATTCAGCTTGTTGAGATAACAATAAATCTTTGTCATCAATATATTATCCCTTCCTCCCAGCTTTTTGCCTTCAAGCTTGATACACCTACCTTCTCTTTGTTCAAAGATGTGAAAACACTCAATGGGCCAGAGGCAGGTTCAGAGCCCTAGGGAAGACAACTTCCCATAAGTGAATATCGATTAGTTAATAACAATATTAGTAATAAGTTATTATATAATTAGTAAATATTGAACATTATTATGTGCCAGGTACCATTCTAAGCACTTTATAAGCAATATCCCTTTGATTCTTCATAATAACTTCGTGAGGCAAATACTACTATTATGTCTATTTTCCAAATGAAGAAAGTGAGGCATTAAAAAGTTAATTGACCAAGGTCAACAAAGCTAAGTGGGGCACTGGATTTGACTTCAAGTAGGGGCCCTTGCTCTTAATTACAGTACTAAGACATACTGCCTCTCAATTTAGAAGCAAATAAGTAATAAAATGGTACTTTATCTCAATGGTTTGAAACAACAGTTTAGGCTTTTGCTTTAAATGTAAGTTGGTTAAATAAATGTAAGCATTTTTTCTTTATTTTTTTTAAAGAATTGATGAAGTTGTACTGTATTTCATGCCCAAAAGGCACAACTCTTTAGTGAAACCCTTAGGAAGGTTTGTTTTTGGAAAGAGTTCTTCTGGAAAGGCAGGGTTGCCATTGGCAGGTTGCAGGTACCTGAATGCGCTGAGGTGAGGCTACAGCAGAGTCGGTGGAGATTATCTGGATGCGTGGGGAGGGGCTGGTCATCCCTGGAGATTCCGGCCGAGAGGTCTGTGTACGTGTTACCTGTGGGTGAGAAGTGGGCTGGATCACAAGGGGGTTCAGAATGATGCCCAGAGGTGGCCTGAAGACCACGCCTCTTGCTTTCACTGTGGCCTGGAGTGATGAACTTGTATGGTTCTGAGGTATGGACCCAGAAGGATGATGACAAAGCAATCAATGAGATGTTGCTACAGGATGCCCCCCAGGAAAATACAATCTTAAAACAGCTGTTTCAAATGTTGAAAATGTAAGAAGAAACCAAAGGAATTTGCAGTTGTGCTCTGCACACTTTAATAAAGTAAAAACCTACCAAAACAACATTTTAAAGATGATCTTTGAATGTTATCCCTGTCTCCAAAGCCACCTGTAAAACATTCCTTTAATATGGTTTCCCGAGAAAGGCTCTCACAACACAGCAGGGGATGACAAACAAAACCAACATTACACTGAAACCTACTGGGATTAGTACTTATAAAAGCGTCCTGGTAATTTCTCAGCCCCAATGGGATGGAGCTGGGAAAAGCCTGTCAGGACCACAGGGTCTGAAATTTAGTCAATACCTATCCCAAAGGCAAGGTACAAGGTGCTGAGTGGTCACCTGGGTATCTGAAGCAGGCAGATATATTTTTTCTTGATAGAAAGTGTATTGTGGCTGGGTGTGCTGGCTCACACCTATAATCCCAGCATTCGGGAGGCCAAGGTGGGCAGATCACTTGAGGTCAGGAGTTCGAGACCAGCTGGCCAAAATGGTAAAACTCCATCTCTACATTAAAAAAAAAAAAAAAAATTAGCCAGGCACGATGGTGCGCACCTGTAATCCCAGCTACTCGTGTGGCTGAGGCAGGAGAATCGCTTGAACCAGGGAGGTGGAGGCTGCAGTAAGCGGAGATTGTGCCACTGCACTCCAGCCTGGGTGACAGAAAAAAAAAAAAGTGTATTGTGGGTCGGCGGCGGTAGCTCACGCCTGTAATCCCAGCACTTTGGGAGGCCGAGGTGGGTGGATCACTTGAGGTCAGGAGTTAGAGACAAGCCTGACCAACATGGTAAAACCCTGTCTCTACTAAAAATACAAAATTAGCCAGGCATGGTGGCCCGTGCCTGTAATCCCAGCTACTAGGGAGGCTGAGGCAGGAGAATCGCTTGAACCCGGGAGGCGGAGGTTGCAGTGAGCCAAGATCATGCTATTGTACTCCACCCTGGGCAACAAGAGTGAAACTTTGTCTCAAAAAAAAAAAAAAAAAAAAAAAAAAAAAAGTATATTGTGAACACTTCACAAAAAACTCTTCCTAAAATTAGAAGAAAACACTTCCCAATTCTGTGAGGCCAATATTACCTGATACTGAAACCAAAGACATCACAGGAAAAGAAAACTACAGACCAATATCTCTTATGAATAGAAACACAAACAATCCTCTACAAAACTCTAGCAAACCAAATCCAGTGGTATATAAAGGATTATACACCACGAATAACTGGGGTTCATCCCAGGAAAGCAAGCTTGTTCAAATATGAAAATCAAACAGTTCTATACATTGCATTAAAGGAATAAAGGACAGAAGCCACATAATTATTTCAATTGATGGCGAAAAAGCATTTGACAAAATCTAACAACATTTCATGAAAAAAACACTCAATAAACGAGATATAAAAGGAAAGTTCTCAATCTGATAAAGGGTCTCTATAAAATACTCACAGCTATACAGTATACTTAGCGGTAAAAGACTAAAAGCTTTCCTTCTAAGGTTAAGAATAAGATGAGGATGTCCATTCTCTCTACCTCAACATTGCACTAGGGGTTCTAGCCAGGGCAATTAGGAAAGAAAAAGAATAAAAACATTCAGAATAGAAAGGAAGAAAACTATCTCTGTTTGCAAATAACATGATCTCATATAGAAAAAAATCCCACAGAATCCACAAAAAACCCATCAGAGCAAGTAGACGAGTTTCAGGGTTGCAGGATATAAGATCAAAACACAAAAACTGGCCAGGTGCAGTGGCTCAAGCCTGTAACCTTGGCACTTTGGGAGACCGAGGTAGGAGGATCACTTGAGGTCAGGAGTTTAAGACCAGTCCGGACAACAAAGCAAGACCCATCTCTACAAAAAAATCAAAAAATCAGGTGTGTGTGGTGGTACGTGCCTGTAAGTCCCGGGTACTCAGTAGGTTAAGGTGGGAGGATTGCTTGAGCCCAGTTGTTCTAGGTTGCAGTGAGCCATGATTGTGTCACTACACAGCCTGGGCAAGACTTTCAAAAACAAAAAACAAGGCCAGGCACAGTGGCTCACACCTGTAATCCCAGCACTTTGGGAGGCCAAGGCAGGCGGATTACCTGAGGTCAGGAGTTCAGGACCAGCCTGGCCAACATGGTGAAACCCCATCTCTACTAAAAAACACAAAAATAAGCCGGGTATGATGGCGGGGCCTGTAATCCCAGCTACTCAGGAGGCTGAGACAGGAGAATTGCTTGAACCCAGGAGGCGGAGGTTGCAGTGAGCCAAGATCACGCCATTGCATTCCAGCCTGAGCGACATGAGTGAAACTCTGTCTCCAAAAAAAAAACCAAAAAAAAAAAAAAAAAAAACCCAAAACAAAAACACAATAATCAATTGTATTTTTATATATTAGCAATGAGCAATCTGAAAATGAAATTAAGGAAGCAATCCCACTGACCATGCATCAAAAAGGATAATATATTTAGAAATAAAATAAATTTAACAAAAGAAATGCAAGATTTGAATACTGAAAACTATAAGATATTGCTATGAGAAATTTAAAACACCTAAATAGGCTGGGCACGGTGGCTCACGCCTGTAATCCCAGCACTTTGGGAGGCCGAGGCAGGTGCATCACAAGGTCAGGAGATTGAGACCACCCTGGCTAACACAGTGAAACCCTGTCTCTACTAAAAATACAAAAAATTAGCCGGGCGTGGTGACGGGTGCCTGTAGTCCCAGCTACTCAGGAGGCTGAGGCAGGAGAATGGTGTGAATCCGGGAGGCAGAGCTTGCAGTGAGCCGACATTGTGCCACTGCATTCCAGCCTTGGCAACAGAGCAAGACTCCGTCAAAAAAAAAAAAAAAAAAAACCTAAATAAATAGAAAGACATTTGTGACTTAATATTGTTAAGATGGTGATATTCCCCAAATTGATCTAAAGATTCAATGTAATCCCTATCAAAATTTCAGGTGCTTTTTTGCATAAATTGACAAAATGATCCTAAAATTCATATGGGAATGCATGGGACCCAGAGTATCCAAAACAATCTTGAAAAAGAACAAAGTTGGAGGTCTCACACTTCCTTATTTCAAAACTTATTTACAAAGCTACGGTAATTAAAACTGTGTGGAATCCAGCAATCACACTTCTGGGTGTTTACCCAAAAAGATTTGAAATCAGTTTGTTGAAGAGATGTCTGCACTCCCATGTTCTCTGCAGCACTGTTTGCAATAGCCAAGTTACATAATCAACCAACAAGTCCATCAATAGATGAATGAATAAAGAAAATGTGGTATATACACACAATGGAATACTATTCAGCCTTTAAAAAGAAGGAAATTCTGTCATTTCTGATGACACGGATGGAACTGGAGAACATTATGGTAAGTGAAATAAGCCAGGCACAGAAAGACAAATACCACATGTTCTTACTTAAATGTGGAATCTAAAAGAATCAAACTCATAAAACCAGAGTAAAATGGTAGTTAACAGAGGCTGAGGGGCAGGGGGAATGGGGAGATGAAAGTCAGGTCAAAAGGTACAAAATCTTAGGAGGAATACTTTTCTTTTTTTTTAGACCTATTGCACAGCATGGCGAATACAGTTAATAATAGCCTATTGTACATTTCAAAATTGCTAAGAGTAAATTTCAAATGTTCTCATGGCAAAAATAAGTATTTAAGGTGATGGATATGTTAATGAGCTTGATTTAATTTTTACACATTGTAGTCACGGATCATAACATCACTTTGTACTGTAAATATATGCAATATAAACTCAATTTGTAACTTAAAAAAATTGCAGTACCGGCATAAAGACAAGACATACAGACCAATGGAATATAACAGAGAATGCAGAAATAAACCCTCACCTATATGTTCAAATTTGATAAAGGTGCCACGATAATTCAATAGGCAAAGAACAGTCTTCGACAAATGGTGATGGGACAAGTGGAAATCAAATGCAGGGGAACAAATCTGGACACCTACCTTGCACTATTACAAAAAAAAAAAATCAAAATGGATCAAAGATCTAAATGTAAGAGTTAAAACTATAAAACTCTCAGAAAACACAGGTGTAAATCTTCGTGAACTTGAATTAGGTGATTGTTTCTTAGATGACACCAAAAGCAAAAATAGCACAAGAAAAATTAGAAAATAATCATTAAAACTAGAAACTTTTTTTTTGGGGGGGACAAGATCTCTTACTCTGTTGCCTGTGCTAGAGCGCAGTAGCACAATTATGGTTCACTGCAGCCTCATCCTCCTGGGCCCAAGCAATCCTCCCAACCTCAGCTTCCTGAGCAGCTAGGATCACAGGTGTGTGCTACCATGCCGGGCCAATTTAAATTTTTTTTGTTTGTTTTTGAGACGGAGTTTCACTCTTGTTGCCCAGGCTGGAGTGCAATGGTGCGATCTCGGCTCATCGCAACCTCTGCCTCCTGGGTTCAAGTGATTCTCCTGCTTCAGCCTCCTGAGTAGCTGAGATTATAGGCATGAGCCACCACACCAGGCTAATTTTGTATTTTTAGTAGAGACAGGGTTTCTGCATGTTGGTCAGGCTGGTCTCCAACTCCTGACCTCAGGTGATCCACCCGCCTGGGCCTCCCAAAGTGCTGGGATTACAGGCGTGAGCCACTGCACCTGGCCTTAAAAAAAATTTTTTTTTTGTTTTTTGAGACACGGTCTCACTCCTGGATGCCCAGGCCAGAATGCAGGGGCACAATCTTGGCTCACTGCAGCCTCAACCAACCTCCCAGGCTCAAGTGATCTCCCTACCTCAGCCCCCCATGTAACTGGGACTATGGGCGTGCGCCACCTAATTTTAAATATTTTTGCAGAGATGAGGTCTCCCTATGTTGCCCAGGCTTGTCTCCAACTCCTGGCTCATGTGATCCTTCCTCCTTGGCCTTCCAAAGTGTTGGGATTACAGGTGTGAGCCAGCGTACCTGAACTCAAATTAATGAGTTTTGTGTTTCAAAAGACACCATCAAGGAAGTGAAAAGACAACCTATAAAATGGGGGAAAAAAAAAGTGCAAATCATATATCATTACAACTTAATAACAAGACAAAAATCCCAATTTAAAAATGAGCAAAGAGTTAAACAGAAATTTCTCCTAGAAGATATACAAATGGCCAATAAGCACAGGAAAAGATGTTCCAAGGTCATTAGTTAGGGAAATGCAAATCAAGACCATGATGAGATACCACTTCATATCCACTAGGATGGCTACAATGTTAAACATGGACAATAACAAGTATTGGTGAAAATGTGGAGATGGGAACCTTCATACATTGCTGGTAGTAATGTAGAATGGTACAGTTACTTTGGAAAACAGTCTGGTTGTTCCTCAAAGGGTAAACACAGAGTTGCCATATGACCCATAATTTCACTCCTAGGTATATACTCAAGACAAAGAAAAACACATGTCTACACAAAAGCTTGTATACAAATGTTCACAGCAGCATTAGTGATAACAGGCAAAAAGTAGAAACAACTCAAATATCTCCCAAATGATGAATGGATAAATAAAACATGGTATATCCATGTAATGGAGTATTATTTGGCAATAAAAAGGAATGAAGTGCTGATACATGCTACAACATGGAAGACTCAGCCACGAAAGACCACCATATATTGCATGATTCTATTTATTTAAAATGTCCAGAATAGGCAAATCCATGGGGACAGAAAGTAGATTAGTGGTTGCCAGGTGACAGGGGAACAGGGGTAGCAAGAATAATTGCTAAGAGATGTGGGTTTTTTAGTGGGGGCATGATAAAAACATTCTGGATTTAGATAGTGGTGATGGTTGCATACTCTTGTGAATGTACTAAAACCCACTAAGCTGTATATTTTTAAAAAATGAATTTTATGGTATGTGAATTATATCTCAATTTGATAAAATATTATCAATTAATTCATTACTGGGCTATTAAATTTTTTTTTCTTTCATAAGCATACATTTTAACAACAAATTCACTACAATGAAGTCAACAGAATCCAGTATTTTTACAGTGACTTTTAGCTTAAAAAATATGGATTAGCTCTCTCTTGGCTAAGAAATAGGCAGGACAAGCACAACCATTTTATAGGAGGTATGGTGAGGCTGAGATCCTGCAAGGTATGTCTCCCAGGATCCATGTACACATAACTGCTAGCTCTGTTTATTTATAACTGAAAAGAAAAGGCTGGCCAATCACTTTATCAGAGCATATTCATTGCATCCTTTAATAATGAACATTTAAAATTTTGGTTGAGTCTATTAGTCTGCAAGTTAATTCTGCCAGTTTTAGATACAGTTATGTGTTGCTTAAAGACAGGAATATGTTCTGAGAAATGTGTCATTAGGTCATTTCATCATGTGAACATGATAACATGTACTTACAACAAACCTAGATGGCATAGCCTACTACACATTAGGCTATGTGGTATGGCCTATTGCCCCTAGGCTACAAACCTGTACAGCATGTGACTGTGGTGAATACTATAACCGACTCTAACAGAATGGTAAGTATCTGTGTATCTAAACATAGAAAAGGTACAGTAAAAATACAGTTATAATCTTATGGGACTACCTTCCTTCCTATAGGCACTCAAGCACTGACAGAACCGTCATTATGTGGTTCACATTTGGTTTGTGACTGTATTGAAAATTCTTCACTGGCAGAATAACAGGCCAAATTTTGGCTCAGGTCCTTACTTTATTTGCAAGAAGTTTTAAAGCCATCAACATTATTGGAGTACCCACAGGCTATGGAATCTGACAGACCTGGGCTCTGAAACTTGTACTGTCACCTTAAACAAGTCATTAACCCTCTAGCCAGGCGTGGTGGCTGACACCTGTAATCCCAGCATTTTGGGAGGCCGAGGCGGGCGGATCACGAGGTCAGGAGATTGAGACCATCCTGGCTAACACGGTGAAACCCTGTCTCTACCAAAAAATTAGCTGGGCATGGCGGTGGGCGCCTGGAGTCCCAGCTACTCGGGAGGCTGAGGCAGGAGAATGGTGTGAACCTGGGAGGCAGAGCTTGCAGTGAGCTGAGATCGCACCACTGCACTCCAGCCTGGGGGACAGAGCGAGACTCCGTCTCAATAAATAAACAAATAAACCCTCTAATAGCTAAAACGTGAAACTTCAAAATTTCCTCAAATTCAACATGGACATATTGTTACTACTTTATGGCACTGGTGTGAAGGTTAATGAATAGTAAGTTAAACATCAGTTACATTCAGCAAATGATAACTGATACTGTCACAAACCTGAAAATTTTTCTAAACCTAAGTTATAAAAACTATATAACTGTCTTTGCTACACATGATACAATGTGCTAATGTGTCTCTCAAACAGAAAATTCTTTGTATTTTATTTTAAAATATTAAATCCAAACTCATATACAAAAATTAAAAAACACAGGTGCAAATCTTCATGACCTTGGATTAGGCAATGGTTTCTTAATGTATTACACTTGAAGCAAAAGCAACAACAACAAAATACATAAAATGGGTTTTACCAACATTAAAATCTTTTGTGCTTCAAGACGGTAAGAAAGTGAAAAAGAAAACTGATACAATGGGAGAAAATAATTCTCAAATCACATTTGATAAGGGACTTTTATTCAGAATATATGAAGAACCCTTATAACTCAATGAAAAGAAGACAAAAACCAATTACAAATGAGCAAAGGGATTGAACAGACATGTCTCCAAAGAAGATATACAAAATGGCCAATAAGCACTTGAAAAAATATTCAATATCACTGGAAATACAAATAAAAATCACAATAAGATACCACTTCACACCCTCTAGGGATGCTACAATAAAAAAGATGCAGGATAACAAATGTTAGCAAGGTTGAGGAGAAACCAGATCCTTCATACACAGCTGGTGGGAACATAAAATGGTGCAGTCTCTTTGAAAAACAGTCTGGCAGTTCCTCAAAAGTTTGAAAATAGTTACTATTTGACCAGCAATTCCACTCTTAGGTGTACACACACACACACACACACACACGTAATGAAAACGTGTCCACAGAAAAACTGGTACACAATGTTCACAGCATTATTCCTAATAGCCAAAAAGTAAAAACGCCCAAGTCCATTAACTGATGAATAGATAAAATGTGGTATATCCATACAATGGCATATTATTTGGCAATAATGAAACGAAGTACTGGTACATGCTACAACATGGATAAGCCTTAAAGACATTATGCTAGGTAAAAGAAGCCAGTCACAAAAGACTATATGATTCAATTTATATGAAATGTCCAGAACAAATATAAAGATAGAAAGTAAAGTAGCAGTTGCCTAGGGCTGGGGGGTGAGAGCTAAGGAGTGTGGGGTTTTTTTTTTTTTTTTTGAGGGGGTAAAGAAAATGTTCTGAAATTAGGTATTAGCGATGGCTGCACAATATTGTAAATATACGAAAAGCCACAGAATTCTACACCTTAAATAGGTGAACTGCCAGCCTGGGCAACATAGTGAAACTTGGTCTCTATTAAAAAATTAAAAAAACTAGCCAGGCGTGATGGCGTGTGTCTGTGGTCTCAGCTGCTTAGGAGGCTGAGGTGGGAGACTCACTTGAACCCAGAGGGTTCAACTCGACCGGAGGGTCAAGGCTGCAGTGAGCTATGATTGTGCAAATTCACTCCAGCCTGGGTGACAGAATGAGAACTTATCTCAAAAAAAAAAAAAAAAAAAAAGTGAATTGTATGGTATATGAATTATATCTTAATAGAGCTGTGAATTTTTCTTTTCTTTTTTTAGAGACAGGGTCTTGTTCTGTCACCCAGGCTGAAGTGCAGTGGCACAATCATAGCTCACTGCAGCCTGGAACTCCTGGGCTCAAGCGATCCTCCTGTCTCAGCCTCCTGAGTAGCTGGGACTACAGGTACACTCCACCACAGCTGGCTTTTTTTTTTTTTTTTAAAGAATGAATAGGTTGGGTGTGGCAGCTCACATCTGCAGACCCAGCACTTTGGGAGGCCGAGGTTGGCGGATCATGAGGTCAACAGATTGAGACCATCCTGGCCAACATGGTGAAACCCCACCTCTACTGAAAATACAGAAATTATCTGGGCGTGGTGGTGCGCATCTGTAGTCCCAGCTACTCGGGAGTCTGAGGCAGAAGAATCGCTTAAACCCAGGAGGCAGAGGTTGCAGTGAGCTGAGATTGCACCACTGCACTCCAGCCTGGCGACAGGGTGAGACTCTGCCTCAAAAAAAAAAAAAAAAAAAAAAGAATGAATAAACAACAACAACGAATTCAACCCATGGTATAAGGGGCTGGGGTAGAGTTCATCTTTAAGGAAGAAGGTGCAGGTAATGATTGGGAGGGGGCATAAGGAGAGCTTCTGGGCTGCAGGAAATTTCTATTCTGTTCTTAACTTGGGTGGTGAGTATATAGAAATGTTTTCTCTGTGATAATTCATCATAAGCTGATGAATTTTAAACTTAGGTATGTTATACTACAATAAAAAGTTTATTTAAAATCAGTACGCAGATGAGTGGATAAAAAAACAAAAATTTAAAAACACTATTCAAAAAGTATTTCACATATCTCAGAAAGTTTTCTATGTCATTAAAACAAAGTGACAGTGGTCTATGCTTTACCGGAACCTGGTAAGCACTTACTCTGTGCCATGTTGGGGTTGTGCGCACAGGGCAACCAGATGTGGCCCTGCCTCTAAGCTGCTGTGGAGGACAAACAGTTACTGGAAAGCACAGGTTGGGCGCTGAGACTGCTGTCCCTTGGCTTTGCTACCTTGCCTGAGGTACAGTTTAAACTCCCTGGATTTTGGCTTCCTCACCTGTTCAGGGATACATCTGCAAATTTTATTTATTCCCTTGATATGAGAAGCCCAAAAGACCTTTTACCTGAGAGGGGGCATGGGTCACACTGGCAATGGGCTCCCTGTAGGCTCAGTAATAAATTTAGATTGAGTGAATAGCCCTGAGATTCAGTGAAAAGACGACTAACTCTGGAAGTGACAGGTTAAACAGAAAATGTTTGGGATCCCCTACTCCTGAAGCCATTAGAAAAAAGGTATGTTCTAGTGGCACCAGAGGCAGCTGAGATATGGTCTTGCATGAAGGCAAAGTGATGTTATGATGGGACCGCTAAGAAATTCTTGCAGTTGTATGAATTTACAGTCTGATAATTATGAATAGACATCAAGGAAGGAAATTTACTTTTTTTCCAGAAACATTTCTTTTTTTTTTTTTTGAGATGGAGTTTTGCTCCTGTCGCCCAGGCTGGAGTGCAGTGATGCAGCTTCGGCTCACTGTAACCTCCGCCTCCCAGGTTCAAGCGATTCTCCTGCCTCAGCCTCCCGAGCAGCTGGGATTACAGGCACCCACCACCATGCCCGGCTAATTTTTGTATTTTTAGTAGAGACGGGGTTTCACCATGTTGGCCAGGCTGGTGTCGAACTCCTGACCTCAGGTGATCCGCCTGTCTTGGCCTCCCAAAGGGCTAGGACTACAGACGTGAGCCACCATGCTTGGCCTTTTTTCCCAGAAATATTTTATTGAGACTCATCAGCACAGCAATAAAAAGTCAGTTTGGTAAAAAGGATATAAAAATATTAGATGCATTTCTGACTAGTTGAAGCATTTCCTTTCTATTTTTTCCTGCCCACACCTCAGTGCCTAATGTCAGTCTTGGCTTCTGCCTTATCCTATTTTCTACCCTTTCAACCTGCTCAAGTTGCAAAGGACAGGATCACTTAGTTTACACTGTATAAATGCCTGACAACACCCAGGTGTGTGTTATACCTTGGTTAGGGCATTTTACCTTGACAGGAAAACTGCCAGTCCAAAGGACTCAATTAAAACCATGGGCAAGCTGGGTGTGAAATATCTTTAGACACAGGCCTTCCAAGGCTTGGTCTCCAAACTCATACTTAGAGGGTAAAATCATCTGTTCCATTTCACATCCTTTGTAAAGGTAACCACGCTTGCAGAACACACAAATGTTTTATTAAACACTAAATAATTTAATAAAAGCCATGCTCCTCTGGCCAGCCTTTCCTGACACCCCTCAGGTTAATACAAATGCCCTCCTCTGGGTTCCCACAGTCCCTGCACCTTAGTACTCTCCACAGAACACCACATTTCCTATTTCTCTGTTTATTCCCAAGGCCAGGCACATATTAGGCCCACAATGAATGCTTAGTGAATGAACACTTAGGGAATGAATACCTTAGGGGATGAATAAGCAGTCTCTGTCTTAAGCCTTTGATCCTGGGACTCTGCCTAGACTTTGCTTTGCTTTACTCTACTCTTGTGCCTGTCTGCTAATTACACACCCTGGAGGTACAGCACAACACCTGCCCTGGCAGTTCATTATATAAACCAAGGAGTACTGGCTTCCACCGACACAGGGGGGTTTATGAGGCTGCTGAGGAAGTTCATACATCTTCACCCTGGAATGAGAACCTCCTCTATTCCATAATGGCATGACATTGCTTTGGCAGCAGGGTTTTTGTTGTTGTTGTTTTTGTTGTTTGTTTGTTTTATAAGGAAATAATTGTCAGGAAAAATTTCTGACGTTTACATGGAATCACTTGCTGAAAAATGAACATCTAGGTTGAAGAAGATGCTCACAGGCCAGGTGCAGCGGCTCATGTCTATAATCACAGCAGTTTGGGAGGGCGAGGTAGGAAGATCACTTGAGGCCAGGAGTTTGAGTACCAGCCTGGACAGCATTGCAAGACCCCATCCCTACTAAAAATTAAAAACATTATCCAGGCGTGGTGTCGCATGCCTGCAGTCCCAGCTGCTTAGGAGGCTGAGGCGGAAGGAGCACTTGAGCTCAGGAGTTTGAGGCTACAGTGACAGTAAGCTATGATGGCACCACTGTGCTCCAGCCTTTGAGATAGCAAGACCCTATCTCCAAAAAAAAAAAAAAGAAAAAGAAAAAAAAAAAAGAAAAAAGGGATTAAAAAAGAGAAAAAGATGCTCATTTCATTGAATTAAATGTGCAATATTAAGAGTTTCCAAATCTATAACTTATTCTGGATTTTGGCTACAAAAATTCTCATGGGTTACTAATAGGATAACAGAGTTACACTCTGTGAAAAAACATTGTGCAGATCTAGTGTTACAAATCTCAAACAGGAACTCAGTACTTCTCAACACTTCAGTGAAATCATGAACAATGTAAAACCCTTAAGTAGGGTAAAGGGTGTTAGGCAGGGGACACCTCCAGCTTGAACTGAAATGTACCACATACCCTCCTTTAGTTTATTTCAAAGGACCATTAAATAGTAAGTGTGTTGAAGGGCCAATGGGCAAAGAGATTAACCCCCTTTGTGCAGCAACTTGCATCAGCGAGAAGAATCCACAGGAGGCTGCTGACTTTTATGTGCAGTTCCAGTCCTCAAAGGACTGGAACCTTACAATAACAGTGTTAGTAAAGAACTACTTCTCTTGATGACATATATATCCAGCTCTTCTTTACAGTAAAGCTAATGAGGGAATGAAACCTAAATATTATAAACCAGCATCATTTATATCAGAATTCATTAGCCAGTTTTGAATTTTACAGTTGGCAATAGAGATTTTAAAAAGGTAAAACTTAGCGCTAAATTTCTTGTCACAAAAAAACAAAAATCCCAAGTCAACAACCACTCCCCACAATTATGTAAAACAATGAGATATTTAAGAGCAATATGGTTCATAAACTGTTCACAGGCAGAGTAACCTGCCAAAAACAACAAACAACTTTTGCCCCACCTGAATTTAGCCAGCATATTCAAATACAAGTTCCTATTAAGAAACGATTTGCTAAGAGCTTAGCATAGCAAGACATTAAATTGAATTTCTTCAAATATACAATAGGTGTCTAAATCCACTGCTATTATACTAACTGCTGTAAAAATAAGTGACTACTGAAATACATTGCATTACAAGGCTTCTCCCCCAGAAACACAGGGAAAGAGAATAGACTTCAATACTGCAGTCTTGTTTTCTTTAGGACACTCACACTTACCATGCCAATGGCTCCCTGCAGCTTTATTTATATTTTTCCTCAGCAACCTCCCAGGCCAAAGAGAGTCCAACCCAAAAGGCCAGAGGTTGGTTGAGGGAACTCACAGGCATTTGCTTTCAAACCCTGCCAGTGCAGATTCCATTCACCCAAACCAGACAGGGCTGTTTAAAGATGCCCTCTCTGTGACCCAGCTCTGCGGAAGGTCAAGTACACTATCACTGCCTGTAACCAAGGAAGCAAAATCGACATGTTCCTGCTGTTTTGCCAGCTGCTGAAACAGTTTGTCTAATAATATGACTAATTGCTTCTAGGGAAGATGTACTCTGCTTTACAAAGTTCTCCCTTCACCTAGATTGCTGCCACTGTTAAACTCTCTCTCCCTCCACCCCTTTCCCCTTAAAGATCACCTTTCCTCAACTGAAAGTTCACAAGAATGTTACCATGGAGTCCAACCAACTCAAAACATTTTTAAACCTACAAGGAGAGGAGGAAAGACCTGGAGAGCCCAGAAACACCATGTTCTGCATATAGCATCTTCAACCTAACGGTGCAGTAATCTAATATTCTTCTTTTTATTAAATAAAGACAAGGTCTGGCTCTGTCACTCAGGCTGCAGTGCCAGTGGTGCAATCATGGCTCACTGCAGCCTTGACCTCCTGGGCTCAAGTGATCCTCCTGCCTCAGCCTCTCAGAGTAGCCAGGACTACAGGTATGTGCCACCACACCCAGTAATTTTTTTTTTTTTTTTTTTTTTTTTTTTTGAGATGGAGTCTTGCTCTTGTCGCCCAGGCTGGAGTGCAATCTCGGCTCACTGCAACCTCCATCTCCCAGGTTCAAGCGATTCTCTTATCTCCACCTCTCGAGTAGCTGGGATTACAGGTGCCTGCCACCACACCCTGCTAATTTTGTATTTTTAGTAGAGATGGGGTTTCACCATGTTGGCCAGGCTGGTCTCAAGCTCCTGACCTCATGTGATCTGCCTCCCTCAGCTTCCCAAAGCGTTGGGATTACAGGTCGTGAGCCACCACACCCAGTCAAATTTTTTCTTTAATTTAGTTTTTGTAGACACAGGGTCTTACTATGTTGCCCAGACTGATACCTGAACTCATGTGATCCTTCCACCTGGGCCTCTCAAAGCACTGGAATTACAGGTGTGAGCTACCATGCCTGGCCCTAATATTCTTAAAGATAGGAGGTCTTTACAAGTTCCTCTTTCACTTAAAGTGTAGGCAAGAATATATGGACTGTGTTACATAGAAAAGACCCACAAGAACAACAAAACTGGGCTCATTTAACCATATCCACCCAACACGCACCGGGCACATGAATACAAGATTGAGTTCTGGACTCAGAAGCCTCCCATTCTGGCAGGAAGATACGCAAATGTAGTCAGAGCAAATGAAGAACACTGTAATAGGTCCACAGAATGACTTCAACTCTAAGTCCCACCCCTTCCCCAAAGCCACTGAGGGGAGGGAGCTCCTGAAGTCACAGTGCATTAGTGGTGAGGCTGAAACTAACACCTAGGTTCTCTGGCTTTGAGACAAGAGCACCTGCCACTAAGGCAGGCTGTAGCCCCCTGATGGACATGGGGACTCATTACTTGGTTTTTATACCTCAACAACTGATATGAAGTGAATGCTGACCAATCAGCAAAAACAAAACAAAAGCCTAGGGGAAGAGTAGGAGAAAAGAGGTATTACGGATATTTACTTTTACATAGGGTGGAGAAGGAGGCTGAAAGAAAACATTTGAGAATAAATTCACACTGCTATAAATGATGAAATTTCCACTCCACACATACAAACAGAAGTTTGCATGTGCACTAACATAAAACAATTTATGGTGAAATAAATTCACCATATGTGATGAATGGATGAATATGTCATCCATTTTCAGATTCTAGCACAAACCCAGGCACCGCTATCTAAAAGAGAAAAAAAATTAATCAAGAGGGGAAAAAAAAGAGATGATGATTCTCCTTTGACTATAAGTCCCTTCACCTCAACAACTATTTAAAGTTCTAAGAAACAAAACACTCTATTCACTAAGTGAATAAGTACAGCCAATAAATGTGCTTTACGTATGTGTAAAAGGAAAGATTAATAAAGGAAGCAAAAAGTTCCAAGACTAAACCATTGAGGTCAAGAGATCTGGTCCTTCATCATCAGAATTTGCTCCTGCCCTCTGGCCTGATAATTATACTTCTGGGAACCCACGTTATATAAATTATCCTAAATATAGAAATGGCTTTATCAGTGTGTGGTCCTAAATTATTTTTCTAGGAAATATAAGAATTCCTTCTCCCAGTGGTTTGGGTGAGGCAGTGCCTCTCTCTACCTGTAAAAACAGACAATACCAGATATTTGCAGTCCTGCTTCCCTTGGAGGAGAGCAGGGGGTCAATAAGATTCACTGGTCTGAGAGACTTGGCACTGGAAGCTGGAGGTCCATCTCCAAGCTTTGTGGTACTGGCTGTACAGCCATAGCTTCACGAGACTGGCTCTGCAGTGTGATTCTGGGTGTTGTTCCAAGCTGCAGAGCTACTTCTCCAGTTCTTCCACTGTAAAGTTTACCTGTCTGTCTATATATACATCTGTCTGTCCATCTGTGCATCTTTTCATCCTCACATGAATATACTATTAATTTATAATACAGAAAGATCAAAAGCAATTTATATGTCCCAAACTAGGAGACGGGTTAGTAAATTATGCTATGTTTCCGGGATACAGAAAAATAATGATCAAAGCAGGTTATGTGGCAACCTGGGGAAAAGATGATATTTATTCTGTGTAATAACATTTTATAAAAACACAAGACACAAAGTTATATGCACACTGTGATTACAACCAGATGATATGCACGTGAGAAAAGAGCAAAAGATTTATTCATTCAATAAACGTATCTTGATTGCTCACTGTGTTCCAGGCACTGTATTTCAGGCACTGGGAACACAACAGCAAATGAAATAAAGTTCTGGTCTTCCTGGAATCTACATTCTAATGTGATAAACAAATTAAGTATATATGTTTGTAGATAATGAGAAGCATTATGGAGGAAGACAAGTACGAGTAAGGAGATTAAGAAGTGACAGAGGTAGAGGTGGAAATGACTATTTTTACATAGTGTGGTAATAAAGAAATTAACAACTTTTATAATTAAAAAAAACTTTCAAATACAAGGCTACCTTTTAAAACCAGCAAATATTGCTAGAAATTAGCAGTATGAATGATCTTATTTTCTACCCCACATCTGAAATTACTGGTGTTCTTCATATTTTTCTTCACTTTTAAAAGAAAAACTTGGCAGGGCATGGTGGCTCATACCTCTAATCCCAGCACTCTGCGAGGCCAAGGCGGAAGGATTGCTTACGCCCCGGAGTTCAAGACCATCCTGGGTAACACAGAGAGACCTCATCTCTACAAAAAATAAAAAAACCAGCTGGGTGTGGTGGCATGTGCCTGCAGTCCCAGCTACTTGGGAGGCTGAGGTGGGAGGATTGCTTGAGCCCAGGAGATTGAAATTGCAGTGAGCTGTGTTCCTGCCACTGGACTCCAGCCTGGGTGGCAGAGTGAGAATCTGCCTCAAATAAAATAAAAAATAAATAAAAACTCTTCTTACCCATCTAAGAAATAACACAGAAACTTTTTTTCTTGGTAAAATGAGGTATAAAAGTCTACTGTGAAACATAATTATCAGTCTCCTTGCCTATTAATTGCTACTAAAGATTTAAAAAAACTAGGCTGCTTCTGCAATTACAAAGCTAACCTGAATCATCCTGGTGGGCAGCTGATTACATGGAAACACACTACACTTAGAATTACGTTCACGTTTGGGTGGCACTCCTATTAACAATTTCCCTGAAGAAATCAAGTGCAATGCTCAACCTGTGACCCTGAATAAGATGTTATCTTCTCCCATAGCAGATGCTAATTTTTGATTTTTTATTCTGGTAGACAAAATGCTTTCATTTTCTAATTCTCTATTTTCTGTGACCAATAAAAGGATATGCTTTCCAAGGTCTTTTTTAAAGTATCAGACACTAAAGGTATACCTCAGACACAGATTTCAAGAAAGGAGATGTTCTCTATGACAGAATGTCATTACTCTGTGGCAAGACATACCGTAAGAAATCATTTTGGCACAACACTTCCACATAAGGTATGGATCTTTTGCAAGGACATCATCCTTCCTCAATTTTCTCCTTCTTAATAACTCCTCCTGTCAACCGTTTTTATCATAAGTAAGTCTAGTCTCACTTATTCTAACATTAATTCCATTTAACATTTATTCCAGCTGACTCTACATTTCATCTACAAAACAATTGTATCTTCTTAGTACCCTTATTTAAGTATGTACTTACTTAAGAAGTATGTGACTTGTCATATCATCTTTGGTAGTTATTCCTAAGCATTTACATGAAATACACATTATTTCATAATAGGCTGCTTTCCTTTTATTTCTCCTGAATATAATTATTATTATATATTGATTTTTGTAAGTTATTTGCATATGAATGCTTTTATTTTCTATGAGTATCACCTTGGTACAGTAAAAGGGTCTTTAAAAAAATACTGTTTAAAAAGGGGGCACTGAGTCTGAAGGAATTGGAAACCCCTAAGAGGAAGGTTCTCACAGTATGTACTCGATGCATACCTGCTGAATTAATAACTGATCTAGTTAATGGTGCTACTTCTTGCATATGAAGTTATGTGACTGTTAAAAAACTGTTGGGAAAAAAAAGAAAAACCCTTAGAAGACACACTTTGACCCAGATAGCTTTTAATTTCAAATTCTACTTCTAGTCTACAGAGATACTCCCACATATGAGCCCAAGGAGGCATATATAAAGATGTCCATCACTGTACTATTTATGCTTGAGAAAATCTGGAAAAAACTTAAATGTGCATCTAATTGGAAAATACTTCAATGTGCAAACTTAAATGCACATCTTAGAGGAGTAGCTAAATAAATATAGCTCTAATCTATAAAATATGAGAGTAAAAAGGAATTATGTGTATCTCTAAATCTGAGACAGTTAAAAGAATCAGCTTTCAGAACATCATAACCAGTGTGATTCCATTTAGTTTAAATTTTAAAAACCTATATATTTCTATAGCTACATAAACATGGATGTAAATACTTAACAAAAATTCTGGAAGAAAACATAAACTAAAAATAAATTAAGCCAATTTCAAAGAATCAGTATCATAAAGATCAGATCCTCTGATTACATTGTGATTAAATTAAAACGTAACAAAAAGGTAATCACAGATGTAAAACCTAGAGCTATAAAACTTTTAGTGAAAACACAGGAGAAAAATGTGACCTTGGATTAGGCGAAGATTTTAAAATATGACATTAAAAGCATGATTCATAAAAATTTAAAACAACCACTATCAAAATAAAAAAATCTATTCTTCAAGAGACTCTGCCAAGATAATGAAAATATAAGCCATAGATTGGGAGAAAAACATTTGCAAACCATATAGCTCATACAGGACATGTATCTTATCCAGAATATATAAAGAACTCCCAAAACTCAAGAAAAGAAATAACTCAATTTTAATAATAGGCAAAAGATTTGATAAAACACTTCATCAAAGATGATGTATGGATGGCAAATAATCACATGAAAAGATGTTCAACATTATTAGTCATCAGAGAAATGCAAATTAAAATTACAATTAAGAGCTAGTACACATCTATTAGAATGCCTAAGAGTAAAAAGACTGACAATATTAAGAGTTGGCAAGGATGTAGGGCAACTAGAACTCTCCTGCACTGCAAGCAGGAATATGAACTCATACAATGACTTTGGAAAACAATTTGGCAGTCTCTTTAAAAAAAAAAACCACCATATGATCCAGCAATTCCACTCCTAGCTATCTACCCAAGAAAAAGAAAAGCATATGTTCTCACAAAGACATACACAAATGTTCACAGCAACTTTAGTTGTAATAGTCAAAAACTGGAAGTAACCCAAATGTCCATCAACAGGTGAATGGATTAAGCATATCTATACAATGGATACAACGTAAAAAGGAATTAAATACTGATATATGCAACAATACGGATGAGTCTCAAATAACTTCGCTAAATGAAAGAAGCAAGACAAAAAAAGTGGACACATGATTTCTTTAATAGAAAATTCTAGAAAACGCAAATCCATCTAAAACAATTAGAAGATCAGTGGTTGCCTAGGGATAGATGTGGCTAGAGCTATACTCAGAAGACAATATACAGCCTAATGCTTATATTAGAAAAGAAGAAAGGCTGAGATATCAATAAGCTGAGTATCTATCCTAAAAATTTATAAAAAGAATAGCAAAATAGGTGCAAAGAAAGTAGAAGGAAGAAAATAATAAAGACAAATTAATCAGTGATAAAACAACTCTGGTGAAAATGACCAGGGAAAAAAAGAGAGATGACAAATAATACTAGGATTGCAAAGGAGACTATAACTGGAGATACTTCAAACATTAAAAATAGAAAACAAGGCCAGGCATGGTGGCTCACGCCTGTAATCCCAGCACTTTGGGAGGCTGAGGCAGGTGGATCACCTGAGGTCGGGAGTTCGAGACCAGCCTGACCAACATGGAGAAATCCCATCTCTACTAAAAATACAAAATTAGCCAGGCGTGGTGGCTCATGCCTGTAATCCCAGCTACTCGGGAGGCTGAGGCAGGAGAACTGCTTGAACCCGGGAGGTGGAGGTTGCAGTGAGCCAAGATCGCGCCATTGCACTCCAACCTTGGCAACAGGAGTGAAACTCCATCTCAAAAATAAAAAAATATAATAATAAAAAAATACAAAACAAGGATGTTCTAAAAACTAGATGCCAATAAATTTGAAAACTCAGACAAAATGAACAAATTCTTTGAAGAAGGTACAACTTATTAAAACTGAGTCAATCACAACTAAAAAATCCGAATAGTCTTAACCATTAAAGAAATTCTATCAGTAGTTAAAAATTTTTCCAGGCACCAACAGTTTTACTGGTGTGTTCTATAAGCATTTAAGGACCAAATAATTCTCATTTTATATACATTATTATAGGAGGGAGGAGAAAAGGGAACCTTCTCCCAACTCATTTTATGAGGCTAGCATAAATTTAAGAAAAATTAAAAGTTAATCTCACTCATGAACACAGATGCAAAATCCCTAAACAAAATGTTAGCAAACTAAGAATGTGTGTGTGTGTGTGTGTGTGTGTGTGTGTGTATAAAGAGTATAATCCAGATTAACCTATCAAGTTGAGATTAACTGCAGAATACAAGATGGGTTTAATATTACAAAGTCAAGCTAATTCACATTACCTGATCAAAAAAGAGAAATCATATGATCATCTCAGATCATAAAAAAAAAGAGCATCTGACAATCGAACTCATGGAGATAGAGAATGGAATGATGGTTATCCGAGGCTAGGAAGGGTAGTGGCGGGGATGGTTAATGGGTACAAAATATAGTTAGATACAATAAATAAGATCTAATATTTGATAGCACTACAGCGTAATTACAGTCCGCAATAAGTTGTACATTTCAGTATAACTGAGGGAGTACAACTGGAATGTTCATAACACAAAGAAATGATGAATGCTTGAGGTAATGGATATCCCATTTACCCTGATGTAATTATTATGCATTGTATACTTGTACCAAAATATCTCATGCACCCTACAAATATATACACCTACTATGTATTCACAAAATTAAAAATTAAAAAAATTTTTAAAAATAGCATTTGATAAAATTCAGTATTTGCTGAATATAACAACTTTTATTCCAATGTCCTTAATCGAATAAAGGCTCATAGCAAATTGTTGAAATCATTCCTTTTAAGATGAGGAACAAGGCAAGGATGCCTGCTATCAACACTTCCATTCAACACTGTACTGGAGCTCTCTGCCAGAATAAGTCAAGACAAAAACATAAGGATTAGAAAGAAAAAGATAAGACTGTCATTAAATCATAGATAACATAAAAATCTAAATGAATTTATTAGAATTCGTAAGAGCAAGATTGTTAAAAAAATCTATAAACAAAATCATTTACATTTCTATATACCAGTGAGAGAAAATAAAATTTCAATAAGATATTTATAAATAGCATCATAGAACATAAAACATTGGGAAATAAAGACGTGCTTAATTTTTGCAGAAAAAAAATCAAAGAAAACTTAAATAAATTGAAAGATTTTCCATGATGGATCGGAAGACTCAATATGATGAAGAGATCAACTCTCTCTAAATTGATTCATTTAAGTATTTGCAATTCCAACTCTGAAAAGTCAGCAGTCAGCAGGTTTTTGTTTCCATATGTGTATAACCCTAACAAGCTAATTTAAAAATTTAGAATGGGCACAGTGGCTCACAACTGCTTGAGCCCAGGAGTTGCAGACCACTCTGGGCAACATAGCAAGAACCCATCTCTACAATACTAAGTAAGTAAATAAATAGCTGGGTATGGTGGCGCACACCTGTAGTCCTAGCTACTTGGAAGGGTGAGGTGGAAGGACTGCTTGAGCCCAAGAGTGAGGCTGCAGTGAGCTACAACCCTGTCGTTGTACTATAGCCTGGGCGACAGTGTGATGTTGATATTAAGTGTCAACCTGATTGGACTGAAGGATGTAAAGTATTATTCCTGGGTGTGTTTGTGAGGGTGTTGCCAAACGAGATTAACATTTGAGTCAGTGGACTAGGAGAGGCAGACCCACCCTCAATCTGAGAAAGCACCATCTAGTTAGCTGCCAGCCCAGCTAGGATAAAAGCGTACAGAGGAACATGGAAGGACTAGACTGCCTATGTCTTCTGGCCTCCATCTTTCTCCTGTGCTGGATGCTTCCTGCCCTCGAACATCGAACTCCAAGTTTTTCAGCTTTCAGACTCTTGGACCTATACCAGTGGCCTGCCAGGGGCTCTCAGGCCTTTGGCCACCGACTGAAGGCTGCACTGTTGGCCTCCCTACTTTTGAGGACTTGGGACTCGGACTGACTTCCTTGCTCCTCAGCTTGCAGATGGCCTACTGTGGGACTTCACCTTGTGATCATGTGAATCAATACTCTTTTTTTTTTTTTTTTTTTTTGAGACAGAGCCTCGCTCTGTCGCCCAGGATGGAGTGCAGTGGCGGGATCTCGGCTAACTGCAAGCTCCACCTCCTGGGTTCATGCCATTCTCCTGCCTCAGTCTCCCACGTAGCTGGGAGTACAGGCGCCCACCACCACACCTGGCTAATTTTTTGTATTTTTAGCAGAGATGGGATTTCACCGTGTTAGCCAGGGTGGTCTTGATCTCCTGACCTTGTGATCCACTCGCCTTGGCCTTCCAAAGTGCTGGGATTACAGGCGTGAGGCACCGCGCCCGGCCTAACTTTTTAATATTTTCATAGAGACAAGGTTTCACCATATTGTCCGGTCTGGTCTTGAACTTCTGGGCTCAGGATATCCGTCTGCCTCAGCCTCCCAAAGTGCTGCGATTACAGGTGTGAGCCATTGCACCCTGTGGCTTTATGTTAAGACTAAATAGGATGATATATGTACAGTGTTTAGCAGTGCCAAGGCACAAAGTTTAATAGCTATTATTGTTACTATGGTATGATCTGTTGCAAAGTTAGTTCTGCAACGTGAATTTGATTCTATAAAATTGTCAATAGAGACCTGATGCCAGTGTAACAGTAGAAATCAGTCTGATTCACAGGTGATAGCTCCCAATTCCTTAATGCTTTGTATCACTAAGTAACAGCCACAGAATGCAAAGTATACTGGCCAGAAAGCTACAGGGAACCGTGTCACACATGATGCCTATTCAACCAGGTTCTTCCTCTTTTCTCAGTCTGGCCGTGTGCTGTCTTGAAAATGCTCATTGCATGGTTCCCCTCTATCTTTATGCATTTCTCCCAAAGCTTTATCCATTTATGCAATTACTCAGCATCGTTAACCTTTCTTCACAACCCCTGCCATAAAGCTACCTTCACTTCATTTTTAAGATGAAATCCTGTATTTACTCTGTTTATTAGGAATTTAACATGTTTTGTTAACTAGGTATTTAACTAGTATTTTTATTAGGACTGTTATTATTTTTGTTAGTTCTCTGGTCTATTCCAAGCCCCATTTTTCCATGTGGCTTTCTTATTTTTAGTGGGTAGAAGTACGAGACTTTTCAGAAATACATGTATCACATAATAGTAGAAGCACTTGCTTTCCCATTCTTAAGAGTAAGAATTTTAGGCTGGGCACGACAGCTCACACCTATAATCCTAACACTTTGGGAGGCCGAGGCAGGAGAATGGCTTGAGGCCAGGAGTTTGAGAGCAGCCTGTACAACATAGTGAGTTCCTGTCTCTACCAAAAAAACATTTTTTTTTTTTTTTTAATTAGCTGGGTCATGGTGCACACCTGTAATCCTAGCTCCTTGGAAGGCTGAGGCGGGAGGACTGCTTGAGCCCAGCAGTTCAAGGTTACAGTGAGCTGTGATCACACCTCTGCTCTTCAGCCTAGGTGACAGAGTGAGACCCTGTTCCCTAACACCCCCAACCCCAATGCCGGAAAAGAGTAGGAATCTTAACAACTCAGCCCATGAGGTATAAAACCAAGGAAGCCAGAGTTCACGTAGTATATAATATGGCCACCTAAGGAAATTCTACAGTGGGGACTACGGGTGGCAATGGTTTTAAAATAGGGAGCAACCCCAAATTTGCCCACCATCAAGGAAGAGAGCTTGGTCTGTCAGGGCAGGAACTGACTGTGGCAGTTTACATTATCGGTAGGCTTGTGATTCAACCCCCAAAGATAGGTCATTCTCTTGCTGAAAACTCTCCAATACCTCCCCAAAATATATTTTATGTGAAATAAAATACAAACTCTTGACCATGGCCTATAATACCCAGAATGATCTGGCCGCACCTCCCACTCTGACCTCATCTCCTATGACCTTCTTCCTCCCTCCCTCCCTGCACTGCTGCCACACAGGACTCTTCATTATTCCTTTATTGTACCAAGCATGCTCCTCCACTTCTTCCCTGTCTGGAGTGTTCCCCACCTCTGTAACCCCCAACCCCCAGACACTCACGCAAATAATTCTCTCACTTCATTCAGGTTTCTGTTTAAATGTTGCCCTCAGAAAAAAATCTCCCTGAATGTGCTTAGACAGTAATTCCTGTCACTTTTGATCCCTTCCCTTTTCTTTATAGCATTTACTGCTCTCTTCACATTTTATTTTTGTTTAGCTGTTTATTGTCTGTTTCCTGATAGAATAAAAGCTTCATGCGAACAGAATATTTATCTTGAAAACTATAACAATGCCTAGTACACAGTAAGCACTCCTTAAACAGTTGCTGAATGGATACATTAATGAAATATTTCTGGAATACCTTGCAGTCCATCAATGAACAATTTCAATTTGGTTTACTAATAGTAATACTTTCCCTGAATTCCAGTTAAGTACAGAAAATACTCACGCATTTATCTCTATCCCTTTACCAAGCCACCTTAAACAATGAGTAAAGGAACAAAAACAAAAATGTACAAACCCACAAAGACAAAAAGAATAGTCAAGGAGATATAGTGGATCACAGATGCTGACATACTTTTGGAGGACAGAAAGCAGATGATGAAGTGGAAACTAATTTAGGAAAATGGACAAAGCCCCAAATGACTATGGGGGGATATTAATGAGAAGCAAGCTAATTTTCACCCCAGAACCTTGGAAAGGCTCAGCCCCTGGTCCCACAGAAACCTGGGTTGAGAAGCAGGCCCTAAACCAGAGGACTGGTTGAATGTGGTACAGCCAGGTAAACTCACCATCACCACCACCTCTCATATCACTGCAGAAAAAAGGAGGTATAGTCTGTGGATAACTTGAACCAAAGAGTGAACCAAAGAGGTCCCAGACCCTGAGACATCAAACACATCTTCATATGAAGGAGGGCGGCCCTGTTCTTCGGTTTTCACAGAAGTAAACCAAGTGAAAGTATCGGTATTGCAAAGTGAACCTCCAACCCCCATGCTGCCAACCCTATCCCCTGTGCCATAGTTTTAAAACAAGCAAGGACAAAAAGACTGGCAACAAGACATGTGGTACCCTGCAGATAGGAAACTGAAGAATTTTTGCTGGAAAAAACTGAATAGGTTTCCAGAAAGGAAACCTATGGACGAACAGTCCTCAACTTACAATGGTTCAACTTACTTTATGATGGTACAAAAGCAATACACATTCAGTAGAAACAGTGCTTTAAATACCTAGATGACCATTCTGTTTTTGACTTTCAGAACAGTATTTAATACTAGCATGCTACATGAGATATTCAAGTTTATTATAAAATAGGCTTTGTGTTACATGATTTTGCCCAACTGTAGGCTAATATAAGTGTTCTGAGCATGTTTAAGGTATGTTCGACTAAGCTATGAGGTTCTGTAGGTTAGGTGCATTCAACAGATTTTCAAGCTATAATGAGTTTATTGGGGCACAACCCCACTGCAAGTTAAGGAACATTTGTACTGAAGCTTACGGTGTGGGTGCTTATCCAATCAATCCACAGTAAAATCAAGCTAGCTGATGAGGCTTACACATGTACAAAAACACTTTTTTGGGGTTTTTGTTTTCAGTTTTAAGTCCTTCATTCTTTTTTTTTAATATTTTTATTTCTTGTGTCACCCAGGCTGTAGTGCAATGGCATGATCATATTTCCCTGCAGCTGAGCTGAAGTCTGTTCTTCTTCTTCTTCTTCTTTTTTTTTTTTTTTGAGGCAGAGTCTCACTCTGTCACTCAGGCTGGAGTGCAGTGGTACAATCTCAGCCTCCCGGGTTCAAGCAATTCTTGTGCCTCAGCCTTCTGAGTAGCTGGGACTACAGGCACACACCACCATGCCCAGCTAATATTTTGTATTTTAGTAGAGACGGGGTTTCGCCATGTTGCCCAGGCTGGTTTTGAACTCCTGAGTTCAGGCAATCCGCCCGCCTCGGCCTCCCAAAGTGCTAGGATTATATGCATGAGCCATTTTGCCCGGCTACATTACTCTTAAATATGGACCAACAATGAGGATCATTAGCCATTTGAGGAAAGCTTCCATAGGAAAGAAAGGAACTAAAAGAAACAAAAATGAATTTGGATAAAAGCAACTATGTAAGAAAGAAGAAAACTAAACAGAATAAAAAACTGCAATTAACACTCAAAGAGAATTACAACAAGCTACTGTACCCATGAAGAAAAAGTTGCTATAAAAATAGAGGGAGAAAGAGTTCCCAAAATTAAAAATAAGATATCAAAAATGAAAATAAAATTGAAGAAGCAATAACAGCCAGAGCTGAAAGCCATCTGCCACAATGTATTACTTTCTATGTGCTATGCTTTACATGCAGTAAGTCATTTAATTCTCACAATAATCCTCTAAAATGAGTTCAATAATTAATCCTACAGTTGGAGAAACTAGCAAAAGACATTAAGTAACATACTCAAGCACTAGTCAGTGATGAAGACAGATTCTAAGTCAGGAAATCTCACTAAAAGTAGAAGCTGGAGGCAGATGGAAACACAAGAGAAAACGAGAGGAAATGAAAGGATTAGTTCAAGAGACCCAAAATCCAACTAATTAGTTGTTCTGAAAAGAGACTAGAAAAAAACTGAGGGAAGAAATTATCTAAGAACTAGCATAAAACAATTTCCCAGAACAGGAGGACATGAACTTTGACTGAAAGAACCCTCTGAGTGCACGGTATCATTTATGAAAAAATATATATACTACAGGACATGACTGTATATTTCAGAACAGAATAGAAAAGATCTTAACAACCAGATTGGGAGGGAGAGGAAGAGAGGTCACCCATGTAGATAAGGAATGACAGTGGCACTGACTATTATACACAAAAGCAACACTAGAAAATGGAAGACAATAAAATGATGCCTTCAAAATTCTGAGGTAAAATTATTTTCAACTTAGATTTCTATTCCTCATCAAACTATCAATTAGCCATGTAATGTAAATGAAAATATGTTCAGACATATAAGATTTTTGAAAATCACCTCTGATGCACCCTTTCCTAGGAAGCTAATACAGCATGCTGTCCATCAAAAAAAAAAAAAAAAAAAAAAGGAAGGAAGGAAGACAGACTCAAGAAAACAAAGACTCCAAACAAGAGAGAAGTAAAGGATGACAGCTGTGCACAGTAAGTTCAAAGAGCAATCAGTAGGGACTACAGCAGGAGGTCAGAGGCTTTTAGAAGGAATGTTTTCACAGGAAAAAAAGGAAACTAAAAATGCTTCTGATTTGAATAGAAAATAGTATCTGGAGAGTTTTACAACTATGTTGGAGACACTAGGAAGTATCTGTAATAGTATCATAATTATATAACCAGAACACCGATTTATACAAACAGGATATAATTTTATTGGGAGGGAAGAGATGTGGGAGTATATGGCACTGAACGAACACTAAAGTCTCTTCATCTAATGGGAATAAAAGTGGGGGCATTATTACAAATGTTAACAGAAATAAGAAAAGATTATAAACTAGTACTATGAACAATTACACACTGACACACTGGATAACCTAGATGAAACGGACAAATTCTCAGAAACACACAACCTACCAGGACTGCATCATGAAGGAACAGAAAATCTGGACTGGGTGTGGTGGCTCATGCCTGTAATCCCAGCACTTTGGAAGGTGGAGGTGGGAAGATTGCCTGAGCCCAGGAGTTCGAGGTCAGCCCGGGCAACATGGCGAAACCCTGTCTCTAAAGAAATAAAATAAAATAAAAATTATATTTTTTAAAAAAGAAACAAAATCCAAATAGACCTATAACCAGTAAGAAGATAGAATAAGTAATCAAAAACTTTCCAAAAAAGGAAAGTCCTGGACCACATGGCTTCACTGCTAAATTCTACCAAGCATTTAAAGAAGAATTAACATCAATCCTTCTTAAACTCTTCTAGAAACACTGAAGAGGTGGGAACATTTCCAAACTCCCATGAGGCCAGTATTATCACACTGATACCAAAGCCAAAGACACCAAAAGAAAACTATAAATTATTCTCTTCCCTGTGGACAATGGTGCAAAAATCCTCAACAAAATACTAGCAAACTGAATTCAGCAGCATATTAAAAAATACAAACCATTACCAAGAGAGGTTTGTCCAAGAAATGCAAGAGTGGTTCAACATATGAAAACTGATCAATGTAACGTACCTCTCATTAAAAGAATGAACGGAAAAAAACACATCATCCTCTGAACTGATGGAAAAAAGCACTTGACAAAATTCAATAGCCTTTCATGATTAAAACACGTAACAAAATAGGAATAGAAGGAAATTACCTCAACATAATAAAGGTCACATATGAAAACCACCTGTTTCATCAATGAAACACTCATTGATAGAAGACTGAATACTTTTCCTCTAAGATAAGGAACAAGACAAGAATGGCTACTTTTGCCACTTGTACTAGAAGTCCTAGCCAGGGCAATTAGTCAAGAAAAATAAAAGGCATCCATAGAGGAAAGAAAGAAGTAAAATTATCCCTCATTCACAGACGACAGAACCTTATATGTACAACTCTAAAGATGACCAAAAAACTTTTAGAATAAAACAAATTCAGCAAAACTGCATGTTATTAGAAATAAGAATCAGTAACGTTTCTATACACTAACAATGCACATCCCATAAGGGAAATTAAGAAAACAATTCCACTTACAATACCATAAAAAAGAATAAAATGTTCAGGATTAAATTTAACCAAGGAAGCAAAATTCTTAAAACATTTAAGTATACACTTAAAACGTAAGTATACACTGGTTGGACGCAGAGGCTCACACCTGTAATCCCAGCACTTTGGGAGGCCAAGGTGGGCAGATCACTTGAGGTCAGGAGTTTAAGACCAGCCTGGCCAACATGGTGAAACCCTGTCTCTAGTAAAAATACAAAAATTAGCCGGGCATGGTGGCACATACCTGTAATCCCAGCTACTTGGGAGGCTGAGGCAGGAGAATTACTTGAACCTGTGAAGTGGAGGTTGCAGTGAGCCTAAATTGTACCACTGCACTCCAGCCTGGGTGAAACAGTGAGACCATCTCAAAAAAAAAAAAAACCAACAAAAAAACCATAAGTATACACCGAAAACTATAAAACACCATGGAAAGAAATTAAAGACAACATAAATAAGTGGAAAAACATCCTGTGTTCATGGATTGAAAGACTTAATACTGTTATGAAGTCAACACTATCCAAAGCCATCTACAAACTCAATGTAATCCCTGTCAAAACCCCAATGATGTATTTTACAGAAATAGAAAAATCCATTAACCTTCATATGGAATCTCAAGGGACCCTGAACAACCAGAACAACCTTGAAAAAGAACAAAGTTAGATATCTCGTACTTCCCAATTTCAAAACTTACTACAAAGCTACAGTAATCCAAACAATGTGGTACTGGCATAAAGAGAGACATACAAACAAATAGCCTGAACCGGGAGGATATTATGCTAAGTGAAATAAACCAGTCACAAAAAGACAGGTTCTGTATAATTCTTACAGTAGTTATCAATAGTCAAATTCATAGAAAGTAGAAGAGCAGTTGTGAGGGTGGGGGAAGGGGGCATTGGGGAGTTGCTGTTTAATAAGTATAGAGTTTCAGTTTTAGCAAGATGAAAAAACTGTGAAGATCTGTTGTACAACAGTATGAATATACTTAAACTACTGAACTGTATACAGAGACGGTCTCTGACTTGATGATCTGACTTGTAATTTTTTGACTTTATGATTGGTTTACTGGGTTATAAAATGCATTTCAGACTTGTGATGTTTTCAACTTGTGATGGGCTTACCTGGATGCAGCTCCACTGTAAACCAAGGAACATCCGTACTTAAAAACGGTTAAGAGAGTAAATTTTATGTTATGTGGTTTTACCAATATTAGAGGAAAAAAAAAGGAGAGAGAGCCAGAAATAAATCTGTGAATATATGTCAAATGATTGTTGACAAGCATGCCAAGACCATTCAATGAAGAAAGGACAGTCTTTTTAACAAATGGTTCTGGGACAACTAGATATTCACATGCAAAAGAAAGAAGTCAGACTCCTTATACAATACCGTATAACTGGATCATAGACCTAAACTCTAAAATTTAGTACTAAATGTAGAGCTAAAACTCTAAAATTATAAGGAGACATGCACGGTGGCTCATGCTTGTAATCCTGGCACTTTGGGAGGCCAAGGTGGGAAAACTGCTTGAGCCCAGGAGTTCAAGACCAGCCTGGGCGGCATAGCAAGACCCTGTCTTTAAAAAAAATTTTTTTTTTTAAATTAGCCTGGCATGGTAGTGTACACCTGTAGTCCCAGCAGTACTCAGGAGGCTGAGGCATGAGAACTGCTTGAGCCCAGGAAGTCTATGCTGGATTAAGCTATGTTTGTGCCAATGCATTCCAGCCTGAGTGACAGAGCAAGACCCTGCCAAAAAAAAATCATAGAGGAAAATCTTCATGACATTGGACTTGGCGATAATTTCTTGATTATGACACTAAAAGTACAAGCAACAAAAGAAAGAACATAAATTAAACTTCATCAAAATTAAAACTTTTTTTACATCAAAGGACACTATGAAGAGAATGGAAAGGCAGCCCACAGAATGGAACAAAGTACTTGCAAATCATATATCTGTGATATGGTTTGGATCTGTTCCCCCAACCAATCTCATGTCAAACTGTAATCCCCAGTGCTGGAGGTGCGGCCTGATGGGAGGTGATCGGATCATGGGGATGGAGTGCTCATGAATGGTTTAAGACCGTCCTCTTGGTGCTGTTCTCATGATAGTGAGTGAGTTACCATGAGATCTGGTTGTTTAAAAGTGTGTAGCACCTCCCCCCACTCTCTTGGTCCTGCCCCTGCCATGTAAGACACCTGCTCCTGCTTTGTCTGCCACCATGAGTAAAGCTCTCTGAGGCCTCCCCAGAAGCAGATGCTGCCGTGCTCTCTGTACAGCCTGTGGAACCGTGAGCCAATTAAACCTCTCTTCATTATAAATTACCCAGCCTCAGGTATTCCTTTATAGCAATGCAAGAATGGACTACTACAATCTAATAAGGGCTTAATATCCAGAATATATAAAGAATTCCTACAGCTCAATGACAAAAAACCTCAAACTACCCAATTAAAAAGTGGGAAAGTACTTGAATAGACATTCTCCAAAAATATATGAATGGCCAACTAGCATATGAAAAGCTGCTCAGCCTGGTGTACTGGCTCATGCCTGTAATCCAGCACTTTCGGAGCCCCAGCCAGGTGGATCACTTGAGGTTAGGAGTTTGAGACCAACCTGGCCATCATGGTGAAACTCTGTCTCTACTAAAAATACAAAAATTAGCCAGGTGTGGTGGTGTGCGCCTGTAATCCCAGCTATTCAGGTGGCTGAGACATGGGAATCTCTGGAACCCAGGAGGCGGAGGTTACAGTGAGCCGAAATGATGCCACTGCACTCCAGCCTGGGTGACAGAATGAGACACTGTCTCAGAAAAAAAAAAAAAAAAGAAAGAAAAAGAAAAAAAAAAGAGAGAGAATGAGAACTTTTTTTTCTTAATTAAAAGAAATTTATGGCTGGGCACGGTGGCTCATGCCTGTAATCCCAAGCACTTTGGGAGGCCAAAGCAGGTGGATCACCTGAGGTCAGGAGTTCGAGACCAGCCTGACCAACACGGAGATACCCCGTCTCTACTAAAACTACAAAAATCACCTGGGCGTGGTGGCGCATGCCTGTAATCCCAGCTACTCGGGAGGCTGAGGCAGGAGAATCGCTTGAACCTGGGAGGCGGAGGTTGCAGTGAGCCGAGATCATGCCATTGCACTCCAGCCTGGGCAACAAGAGTGAAACTCTGTCTCAAAAAAAAAAAAAAAGAAAAAAGAAATTTAGGTAAATTAATTTTTTAATGTGAACAACAACAAAAAAAGAAAAGCTGTTCAACATCACTAATCATTAGGGAAGTGCAAGTCAAAACCACAATCAAATATCACTTTACATCCATTAGGGTAGCTTTTATCAAAAAACAAAACAACAAATAACGTGTTGTTGAGGATGTGGAGAAACTAGAACCCTTGTGCACTGCTGGTAAGAATGTAACATGGTTGCAGCCGCTGTGGAAAACAATATAGCAGTTTCTCAAAAATCAAATGTAGAAACCTAAGATCCAGCAATTCCACTTCTGGGTATACAGATGCTCTTTATGATGAGGTTATGTCCTGATAAACCATTGTAAGTTGAAAATGTCATTAAGTCAAAAATGCATGTAAGACTAGGCACGGTGGCTTATGCCTGTAATCCCAGCACTTTGGGAGGCCAAGGCAGGTGGATCACCTGGGGTCAGGAGTTTGAGACCAGCTTGGCCAACATGGTGAAACCCCATCTCTACTAAAAATACAAAAATTAGCAGGGCATGATGGTGGGTGCCTGTAATCCCACCTACTCAGGAGGCTGAGGCAGGAGAACTGCTTGAACCCAGGAGGCAAAGGTTGCAGTGAGCCAAGATTGCGCCACTGCACTCCAGCCTGGGCGCAGAGCAAGACTCTGCCTCAAAAAAATAAAAAATAAAAAAATGCATTTAATACACTTAGCCTATCAAACAGCATGGCTTAGCCGAATCTATCTTACATGCTCAGAACACTCACACTAGCATACAGCTGAACAAAATTATCTTACACAAAGCTTATAATAAATTGTTGAATTTCTCATGTAATTTATTAAATACTGTACTGAAAAACAGAATGGTTATATAGGTACTTGAAGTATGGCTTCTACCAAATGCATATGGCTTTTGCACCATTGCAAAGTTAAAAAATTGTAAGTTGAACCATCATAAGTTGAGTACCAACTGTATACCCAAAATAACTGAAAGCAGGGACTCAAGATACTTGTATACCTACGTTCACAGCAGCATTCCTCAAAGCCAAGAGGTTGAAGCAACCCAAATGCCCACTGACAGATGAACAGATAAAATGTGATACATAAGTAGAATATTAGTCTTAAAAAGGAAGGAAACTGACATATACTATAACATATGACACATGCTACAACATGGATTAACCTTGAGGACATTATACTAAGTGAAATAAGCCCAGTAACGAATGACAATTACATGATTCTATTTACATAAGGTACCTAGAGAAGTCAAATTCAGAGACATGGAAAGAATGGTGGTTGCCAAAGGCTAGGGGAATGAGGGGAATGGTAGCTGGTGCTACATGGATACCGAGTTTCAGTCTGGAAAGAAGAAAAAGTTCTAGAGATGGATGGTGGTGATGGTTACAGAACAATGTGACCAGTACTTAATGCCAAAGAACTCCACACTTTAAAACAGTTAAAATGGTAAATTTTATATTTTACCGCAATTAAAAACAAAACAAAACAAAAAAAGAATTCATTACCACCCCCCCACCCCCCACCCCCGGCCCCCAAAAAAGACAGTATCTAAGCCCGATAAATCAAGAATTAGAAATAGTGGGGTAAGGACATTTTTTAAAGCATGAAGTTAAATACCAGAAGAAATCAAATTTAGAGGAGGCTTGGTGATAAAGGGTAAGAGTGGTTCAGAAACCTGCTGTTTTCTGCTTTAAGCCTAATATTGTATTGGTCAACTTTTAAATGTATGTATATGTACTACTTTGACAAGAAAATGAAAATTTAAACATCCAGTTAGAGGGCAGGATTAATCAAATTCAGTCCTAGTGAGTTAGGCATTCCAGCACACTGAAAACCCAACTTTGCTTTTCCCTCCTTGAGGACACGGCCTTGCCAATACTGCATTTTGTTCAACAACTGGGAGAGCTCTATGTTTTTAAACATTCCCTTACATGGAAATGTTAGTGTAAGTTTTCTGCAATAATGATGTAAATCCTGTTGATAAAAAGAATAAAGAGGTCATAAGAATTTGGCTATTTTCTCAGCCATGGCAGGCCTTATTTGATGGCTGAGAGCCCCTTACATAGCCCAGGGATCAAGGAAAAGGGTTGTAAAGCCACTTCATTTCTATTGCATAAACATACATGCAACTTATAGTTTAGGTGTATGAGTGATTTCTTTCTGCCAATCAGTAAGCACTCAAAATACTTCAGCAAGTTAACTCCTAAATTTCTCCTGACTCAAAATATGGAGTTTAAAAAGTATCTTTATTGGCCGGGCATGGTGGCTCACGCCTGTAATCCCAGCACTTTGGGAGGCCAAGGTGGGTGAATCACAAGGTCAGGAGTTCGAGACCAGCCTGGCCAACACAGTGAAACCCCATCTCTGCTAAAAGTACAAAAATTAGCTGGGTGTGGTGGCACGTGCCTGTAGTCCCAGCTACTCGGGAGGCTAAGGCGGGAAAATTGCTTGAACGGAAGTGGTTGTTGCAGTGAGCCGAGACCACACCACTGCACTCCAGCCTGGGTGACACAGTGAGACTCTGTTTCAAAAAAAAAAAAAAAAAAAGAATCTTTATTTAGGCAATGAAGAAATACATAGTATATGTATCTATATGTCTGCTTTAAATTTCCAGTTATAGAGGGAAATTTTTTTTTCTTTTTTTAATTTATTATTACTATACTTTAAGTTTTAGGGTACATGTGCACAATGTGCAGGTTAGTTACATATGTATACATGTGCCATGCTGGTGCGCTGCACCCACTAACTCGTCATCTAGCATTAGGTATATCTCCCAATGCTATCCCTCCCCCCTCCCCCCACCCCACAACAGTCCCCAGAGTGTGATGTTCCCCCTTCCTGTGTCCATGTGTTCTTGTTGTTCAATTCCCACCTATGAGTGAGAATATGCGGTGTTTGGTTTTTTGTTCTTGCGATAGTTTACTGAGAATGATGATTTCCAATTTCATCCATGTCCCTACAAAGGACATGAACTCATCATTTTTTATGGCTGCATAGTATTCCATGGTGTATATGTGCCACATTTTCTTAATCCAGTCTATCATTGTTGGACATTTGGGTTGGGTCCAAGTCTTTGCTATTGTGAATAATGCCGCAATAAACATACGTGTGCATGTGTCTTTATAGCAGCATGATTTATAGTCCTTTGGGTATATACCCAGTAATGGGATGGCTGGGTCAAATGGTATTTCTAGTTCTAGATCCCTGAGGAATCGCCACACTGTCTTCCACAATGGTTGAACTAGTTTACAGTCCCACCAACAGTGTAAAAGGGTTCCTATTTCTCCACATCCTCTCCAGCACCTGTTGTTTCCTGACTTTTTAATGATTGCCATTCTAACTGGTGTGAGATGGTATCTCATTGTGGTTTTGATTTGCATTTCTCTGATGACCAGTGATGGTGAGCATTTTTTCATGTGTTTTTTGGCTGCATAAATGTCTTCTTTTGAGAAGTGTCTGTTCATGTCCTTTGCCCACTTTTTGATGGGGTTGTTTTTTTCTTGTAAATTTCTTTGAGTTCATTGTAGATTCTGGATATTAGCCCTTTGTCAGATGAGCAGGTTGCGAAAATTTTCTCCCATTTTGTAGGTTGCCTGTTCACTCTGATGGTAGTTTCTTTCGCTGTGCAGAAGCTCTTTAGCTTAATTAGATCCCATTTCTCAATTTTGGCTTTGGTTGCCATTGCTTTTGGAGTTTTAGACATGAAGTCCTTGCCCATGCCTATGTCCTGAATGGTAATGCCTAGGTTTTATTCTAGGGTTTTTATGGTTTTAGGTCTAACATTTAAGTCTTTAATCCATCTTGAATTGATTTTTGTATAAGGTGTAAGGAAGGGATCCAGTTTCAGCTTTCTACATATGGCTAGCCAGTTTTCCCAGCACCATTTATTAAATAGGGAATCCTTTCCCCATTGCTTGTTTTTCTCAGGTTTGTCAAAGATAAGATAGTTGTAGATATGCGGCATTATTTCTGAGGGCTCTGTTCTGTTGCATTGATCTATATCTCTGTTTTGGTACCAATACCATGCTGTTTTGGTTACTGTAGCCTTGTAGTATAGTTTGGGAAATCTTAAATGCTTAAAAAATACTGAAGCCCCTTTAGAAAATTTCATTCCTTTAATATATGAAAAGCAAAATTAATTCCAGTGTTAGACATGATTCAAGCTCTCACTGCTTTGGTTACCAATTATCATCTGCCACCTTATCTCTCCCATTCTCAGCTATTCCTTTTTTTAAAAAAAAATGAACCACATTGTTTTTTAAAATCAAATTTCACAGTCATTTCATTGTTAATGGACATTTGGCTGACATTCCCACCAGCAACGTATGAGGTTTCCAATTTTTCCACTTCCTTTCCAGTGTTTACTATCTGATTTTTATATTCTAGCCATTCTAGTGGATGTGAAATAGTATCTCACTGTGCTTTTTAACAAAAATTAAAGAAACAGAAAATAGAAAAACAATAGAGAAAATCCATTAAACCAAAAAGCTGGTTTGTTGAAAAAAAATCAAGTTGACAAACCTTCAGCTAGATTGACCAAGAAGAAGAGGGCAGACTCAAATTACTAGAATCACAAATGAAAGAGGATAAATTACCACTGACCTTACAGAAATAAAAAGGATTATAAAGGAATGCTATGAAGAACTGTACACCAACAAATTAGATAACTTAGATGAAATGAACAAAGTCCCAAAAAGACAAATTACTGAAACTGACTCAAGAAGAAATGGACAATATGAACAGACCTGTAACAAGTAAAGACTGAATTAGTAATCCAAAAATTACCTGAAAAGAAAAGGCCAGGCCCAGATGGCTTCTCCGCTAATTCTACAAGATTTTTAAAGAAAAGTTAATATCAATTCTTTATAAACAATTTCAAAAAACAGAGAGGTCACACAGCTTTCAAGTGGCAGGGCCAGGATTTAAATCTAGGCAATCTGGCTCCAGAGTCTACACTGTTGACCACTATATTCAACTGTCTCTCTGAATTACTAAATTTGAGCACATTATAGGACATCAAGTTATTTCATATCACCCAACTTTTGTAGTTTACCTTGGTATTTGCCACTTAGATGGTCTATGGAGAAAAAAGCTGAATGGGTACTCTAGAGAACATCATTTACATAATCCACAATGTTGCTGTATTTCATGAAGCAAAAATGCATGGCACTTACTAAAGCTCATTTCTAAAAAGACTTATTTTAGAGACAGGTTCTCACTCTGTCATCCAGGCTGGAGTGCAGTGAGGGACATCATAGCTCACTGTAGTCTTGAACTCCTGGGATCAAGTGATCCTCCAACCTCAGCCTCCAGAGTAGCTGAGACCACAGGAAGGCGCCACCACGTCCAGCTAAATTTTTTGATTGTTTATAATAGAGACGAGGATTTAAACCCCAATCTGTCTGATCTCACGGCTCACAATCTCACTCGATAGAGTCTCTTTCTACCAAGATCCTATCTTTCCTATTCAACTAGTGTAGCCTATCTCGGGCTTATCCCGTTAGAGAGCTCTGGGAGAGCAAAAGCCCTGTCCTATTATCCACCAGCATATCCTCCCTGGCCTATGGGAAGGAAACTGGTATGCTCCTTCATTATCTGCTGATTGAGTAAACAATTATCCAAAACTGACTATTAATTATCTCTCAATTTGGATACTTTATTCCCACTCCATTACTACTTAGCATTAAAATGATAAAGTGTAGGCCCTCTTACTCATTTAGCTAATCAAATATTATATATAGTTATTATATGCAGTTTAAAATTACTAAGCTCAAAAATTCAAAGGACACAAATACATACTTATTCCTCAAAATAACACTAAGGGGCCAGGCATGGTGGCTCACGCCTGTAATCCCAGCACTTTGGGAGGCTGAGGCAGGCAGATTACCTGAGGTCAGGAGTTCAAGACCAGCCTGCCTGGCCAACAAGGCGAAACCCTGTCTCTACGACAAATACAAAAAATTAGCCAGGCATAGTGCCCCACGCCTGTAATCCCAGCTACTCAGGAGGCTGAGGCAGGAGAATAGCTTGAACCCAGGAGGCGGAGGTTGCAGTGAGCTGAGATCACGCCATTGCACTCCACAGCTTGGGCAACAAGAGCGAAACTCTGTCTCAAAAAAAAACAAAAACAAAAACAAACAAACAAAAAAAACAGCAAGGAAATCTAGGAAATATTTTAAACAGGAGGATTGCTTTTGCACTCAAAATTGAGACTGACTTTCATTATTTTGAGTCTCTAAAAATGCTTTTTTTTTTTTTTTTTTTTTTTTGCCATGGGAAACAACAGTTGTACTAAGTTAATACATGAAATTCTACTGCCTGAAGGAAATAAGGTATTTGGCAGAAAATTTTAGCTAGCAAACTTCTTGAATGCATACAAAGAACTTACATTAGCCTATATTAACCTCTTTCCTAAAGAATTAATGATGTTGCCTGACGACTTGTGATATAGAAAGAAAAAGAAAGAATGATGGCCTCTTAGGGCAGCAATCCACATAGCAGTTTCCAAATCAGCCTCAGGTGGAAACACAGATATTTGAAAAATTAACAATTATTTTCAAGGTAATTATTCCTATCACAAAATAAAGCAACAAATAAATATGGGAGTCCTCAAATAATGTTGTTTTGTTATAATGTTGATGAGAAAAAAAGTGATTCCAGGCCGGGGCCACTGTCTGTGGGGAGTTTGTATGTTCTCCCCATGTCTGCATGGGTTCTCTGCAGGTATTCCGGCTTCCCCCACCACATGCCAACGATGTGCATGCGAGGTGACTTGGTGTGTCTAAATTATCCCAGTCTGAGTGAGTGTGGGTATGTATGTGAGTACACCCTGTGACAGGATGGTGTCCTGGCCAGGAGTGTTTCTGCCTTGTGCCCTGAGCTGCCAGGACAGGATCCAGCCACCTATCACCCTGAACTGGAATAAGTGGGTTGGGAAATGAATACAAATTATTGTAAAATAAAAATTCATGGCCGGGCACGGTGGCTCACGCCTGTAATCCCAGCACTTTGGGAGGCCAAGGCAGGCGGATCATGAGGTCAGGAGATCAAGACTATCCTGGCTAACACGGTGAAACCCGTCTCTACTAAAAATACAAAAAAAAAAAAAAATTAGCCGGGTGTGGTGGCGGGCGCCTGTAGTCCCAGCTATTCGGGAGGCTGAAGCAGGAGAATGGCGTGAACCTGGGAAGCAGAGCTTGCAGTGAGCCGAGATCGCACCACTGCACAATAGCCTCGGCACAGAGCGAGACTCCATCTCAAAAAAATAAAAAATAAAAAATATAAAATAGAAAATAAAAAAAATAAAGTCCACAGTAATCATACCAAATGCATGACAATAAACTACGCAGTAAGAAAGCACTCAGTGGGCCTGTCATACTTGTGATTGACTGCATAGTGGTAGGAGGTACTCCTGACAATTTTTGCTTTGCAATTATTCCTTAATATAATTCACCACCATGACTGCCATCACTCACTGATTCACCAAATATTGGGTAAATAATTTTGTTTATATTAGTCTTTAATCTTAAAAGTATGTATAGCTCACATTTATTTCAATATTTAATATTAGAGGTGTTCTGTATCTTTATTTAGAAATTTGATTTTTTATTTTTTGACCAGAAATATGCCATAGGAACTTAACTCTTGATTAGCCTAGGGTAAAACTGGTTTTGTTATATGTGGTTTCACCTAAAGCTGGTTTCCAAGAACCCACTGATAACGTTAAATGAGGACTTGTTTTACAAGCATTTTAATCCCAATACTTCTGTAACTCTGATAGCCCATTCAAAAATATAATAATAAAATATTTGTCAAATCTATCTTCTTTCATTTTCAGTTAATATTAACCATTATTTGCTGGGTGGGGAGGGGGGTAGGTAACTAGTTACATTGTTGCATTTCAGTTAATGGTTGATCTAAAAATCTGAAAAATCTGCTCACCATTTTTATCGGTTTAAACTGGCATATGTATACTTAGTTTTTGTTTAAAAAAATCCTCTCTTTGAACGTAAATTTGTGTCTTTGCCCTAGATATATGAGCATTATTAAAAAATGCGACTTTGGGAGGCAGAGGCAGGCGGATCACGAGGTCAGGAGATGGAGACCATCCTGGCTAACACAGTGAAACCCCATCTCTACTAAAAATACAAAAAATTAGCCGGGCGTGGTGTGGCGGGTGCCTGTAGTCCCAGCTACTCGGGAGGCTGAGGCAGGAGAATGGTGTGAACCCAGGAAGCGGAGCTTGCAGTGGGCCGAGATCGCGCCACTGCACTTCAGCCTGGGAGACAGCAAGACTCCGTCTCAAAAAATAAAAAATAAAAAATAAAAAATGCGAATCTCAACCTTTTGGCTCCTGGTTGCAGTAGGACCCATGGTTAATTGGAAGAGCTTTGGAGGTGAACGGACCTGCGTCAGCATCTTGTCCTGCTATACAGTGCCTTTGGCTAATTACTTATTTTTTGAGACTTGGTTTCCTTACCTACTAAATGGGAATACTGACAGTACCAACCTCAGAAAGTTATTGTGAGGATTAAAGCCCTTGCATAGGGCATGGTACAGAATGAATGCCCAAAGTATGCAATTAGTGTTTTAGCTTTACCATGCATTTCATGTCAAGTTGCCTGCACATACCAAGCTACTTAATGCCTACGTCCTTTTACATAGGTTTCTGACTTAGGATGCTCTCCCCAGAATCTACCACAAAGTTCCCCACCCCACTTACTTGGGTCTGACAAATGCTTACTCATAATGGAAGATCCACCTCCAGGATCAAATCCCTCACATGGAATTATACTTCTCAACCTATTTTATAATAACTCCTTAACCAGGCCTTGAGATCACTAAAGGAACAACCCATGACTCATTCACCCCCATATAACTCAGCACTTAGTACAATCCCTGGTCCATGGCAAATGGTCAATGACTGCTGAATGGACATAATCACGTCTTCTACTATTCCATAATATTAACGAAGAATCAAGCGTACGAGAAACTAAGAGATTTGGAGTTTAAACTATACCCACAAGGTTCAATAATAATCAGATTCTACTAGTTTTCGGTTTAAAGTAAAAGTTCAAGTCACCTTATTAAAAGCAGATAGGCCACCCTACTCATGCAAAAAAAAAAAAAAAAAAAAGTTACAAATAAATGTTCTTGTCATTTTTTTCTCCCATGACAGCACCCTAGGACGTATCACATGCTGACCTCCAAGGGACTGTTTTGAAAAAAATGAGCACACTGATTTTTCTTTTCTTTCGAAAGTGAGGGTGCCAGCTACTGTGCTAGCCCCTGTCACTCACCTCAGCCACCTGCTGGGTCCCCACTCTGTGCTGAACCAGCCCCTCCATATTTGTAGCCATGGTGAACCAAGATCATTAGAGAACCTGTTTGGAAAGATGTAGCAACCTCTATCAGGTGGGGAGAAACCAGACTACTTGAAAAATATTAGTAATCAAAATTCATCTTTGGTACTGTCTTGTGTGGATTTTGCCCTCTATAGCAGACAGACCTAGCAAGCTAGACCTATCTGTATATGCTGCACCGCCTCCTTCAGTTACAGGTACCAAAATTAATTTGTAGAAACATTTCAATTTAGAAACTTCCACTGACAAATATAGACAAAGATGAATTTGGAAATTTAATTATCAGGTCTCCAGGGTTGTAACAGCTTGGTTTACCTCTCAGGGAGGTGGGAATCACACCTTTTTGGATAGTTCCCTGTCACAGTATGCTGAATAAGAAGGTGGGTATCTGAGAAAGGTGTGAGATCAACTCTGGATAGAGCCCTAGATGGCTATCATTAACCATACTTCTTTTGCTAGTGGCAAAGTGAGAAGCAAAACCCTGCTTGGTGCTAACATACCTCACTCACAGGTTGAAAGGCAAATACTATCACTAACAAAGCAAGAAGCGAAGAGACTGCATTACTAAAGAGTGCTAACAAGAATATGGTACCCATACACATATTAATTTATATTAAGTCCTCATTAAATTACAAAACCAGATAATTCGGCTTTCTACTAGTAGCAAAAATAGATTTGATGTCATTATTCGTAAAAATTGAGAAAGATCACCTAAAGAGTGATCACCTAAAGATCAAAGAGTGTGCTAGTTTCCTGGGTCAAGACATTTGAGTACCAGCATTGCTGAAGGAGCAGACTTCCAGTCTCTTCTGGTCATGAGAAAGCTCTCCTGAATATTTCCTAAGCCCTTTCAAAGGCTCTACCACAAAGAATTCAGTATAATCTAGACCCAATTTCTGGACATTCACTATTGACTGTATAGGTCCCAAGGTCCACAGGAGAACAAAGCTCAAATCTATTACCAAGATTTACATATAAAAACTATACAGTATTATTGAGTGTGCAATATAGAAAATTACAGTTCATTTGCCTGCCCTCCCTCAATCACAAAGTGGATTATCTTGCAATACAATTTTACAAAATATTTTTCTGTAGTTCCTATCTAAGGTATTATAATCACTGATCTCTATGAAGCTTTTTAACTCTCTGGTAACTTTCTACATCATTCTATTTATTATTAGATAGCCACCTCTATTATGATAATTCTAATTCATATTTTATTGCCAGAATGCTAAGAGAAAGAAACAGGAGGATGAAACTGTGACTGACAAATATGAAAGACCTGGCTCCTGTCTTCAAGGAGTCAAAATTCTGTGACAGCAGATACTGCACCAACTTCTACAATGACATGAGACCACCAGTATCAGTTACTCATTTTCACAAAATATGATTAGGTCTGAAACTGAGGAGATAAGTTTATTGTTTTAATAGATGGTAAAAACTTAACTTTTACTTGTTTCTACAAGAAAAAAACACAAAGATACCTTTTGGTCTTTTTTTCTTGCTATAGTTTGGTTACAACTAATGGAGATGGAAGGAAAAGGCGTCTTTAAGTCTACCAGAAAAGTCAACTGACTTGTTAAAAATACAAGTATTGCATGTAAAAGTCTAGAGTCTGATTCTTCCTCAAAACAGAAAATAAGAATTTTTAAAGAAATGGATAGCCAATAGGTACTGTACATTAAAAAATAAATCTAAACATGTGGCTGCAACTAATAATTTTTATCACTTTTAGATGTCAACAGAATTTCTCCTCTGTTATTAACTATAGTTCAATGTAAGAAATATGTGAATTTGAATTATTACAGGAATATTGTTAGGAAAATATTATTGAATAGTATAGAAACAGAGTACTAGAAAGGTGTATCTTTCTATTGGGTTCCCTAAAAGAGGTGGCTTGATACATCAAATTATGAGTAAAAGTGGATTTTATAGATGACAATCTGATTTAATAGAGGCCTAGTACAGAATTATTTCTGTAATAATTCACTTTAAATTTGCAGGATCAATCAACTTCAGGTAGGGCTGGGGATCCCAAGATAAATCTAACAACAGGTGACTACAGATATGAAGTCACAGAGAAGCAGCAGTAAATCTGTTTAAGTTTAGAAAAGCTAAGTATTCTGGACATTAATTTTTTGTTGATAAGTTATAAATATCTTCACCCACTCTGTGGTTCATCTGTTTACTTTCTTTAAGGTGTCTTTTGATGAACAGAAGTCCTTAAATTTAATAAGGCTAAATTTATCCCTATTTTCTTTTACAGTTTGTACTTTCATTTATGAAAATCCTGTCCTATCCCAGGAATGTAACTGTAAATATTTTCTTAGAAATGTTCCAGTTTTCCCCTCATATGTAACTCCTCAATCCATCTGCAAATTGATTCTTGAATCTGATGAGAAGTAAGGATCCAACTAATTTTTTTCCCATGTAGATAATCCATTTACCATTTTCTATTCAAGAAATAGTTCTGGAAAATGGATTATCTATATGGGGAAAATCTATCCTTTTCCCCACTGATCTGAAATGCCATCTCTGCCATATCTGTTTTTCCTATATATGTGGATATAACTGTAGGTTCTCTATTCTATTCCACTAAGTTCTCTGTGTCTTTCTCTTGGTCACCACCACTATCTTTTTACTGCAGTGTTAGCGTAAGTCTTGCTCTCTGATAGGACAAGTGCCCCCCACCTTGTTCTCCCACACCAACTTCCTGGATCATCTTAAACGCCTCTCTTTATACACTTGAATTGAGCAGCAACCTTTCTTTATACACTTGAATTCTTACAATTCTTGATCTCACTGTTGGTTTTCTGCCTTCAAAGCAGCATCAGGCATCATCAACAGCAGCTTTGGAAGCTGCTTAAAAATGAACAAGGAGGAATGTGCACCTTCTGGAAAAACAAGCAGAGACAAAAAAATGAGACTAAGAGTGAGAGAGAAATTGAAAGAGAAACTATGTTAAAGCAAGTGCTTTCAATAAAGACTTAAATCCAGTCAGAGGAGGAGAGAAGTAGTTTCAAAAAATATTTTCTATTACTTTTGAAAATAAGTCACAAACCATATAGCCTATTCTCATATAAAAAAGGAAGACAAAGGCTTTTTCTTCCAGGATATCACAATGTAAGAAGTAAAACAGAATCTTCAAGTAATGTAAGGAAGTGGGGCAGCGTGGACATTTAACCAAAATGCACCCAGACAAAAAAGGTAACATCAGGGTATAAGACTCTCACCTGAGAGCTTCTCTCACTGCTACCGCAGCCATAGGCGGTCCTAGAGACAGAAAGATCACACAGTGAGAAGGTCATACATCTTTGAAAAAGTACCACCAGAAAATGGTTATCAATTAGGAGATGTCCCACTAGAATAAGAGGCTCCAAGGAACAGTGGGTTGTGTCTAGATGTAGTTTGAAAAACTATCTTCACTAGCACAATTTTATATATATATATTTTTTGAGACGGAGTCTTGCTCTGTCGCCAGGCTGGAGTGCAGTGGCACGATCTCGGCTCACTGCAACCTCCGACTCCCTGGTTCAAGCGATTCTCCTGCCTCAGCCTCCCCAGTAGCTGGGATTACAGGCATGCGCCACCATGCCCAGCTAATTTTTGTATTTTTAGTAGAGACGGGGTTTCACCATGTTGGCCAGGATGGTCTGGATCTCCTGACCTCGAGATCTGCCTGCCTCAGCCTTCCAAAGTGCTGGGATTACAGGCATTAGCCGCAGCACCCAACCAATCTGGAACAACAACAACAAAAAAATCCTATTGTTTTGATACTACAAAGTATAGAAAAGAAATAAAGCTTTTAAAAACAACCTTCTTGGCTGGTGGAGCCAAGCATAACACTAATAGCAGCAACTAACACTAAGTGGTTACTATACACAAGGCATTATATTAACAACCACTGTGGACAGAACACTAAACTCGCTCTTGGTACAGAAACCTGAGTCCTAAAGGCTAGTACTTCACCCATTCAGCTTGTTAACCTTCAAAGATTGCCCCCCACCCCCACAATAATGTTTAGGGGAAAGAACCTGATTAGCTGCCAAAAGAAGTATAATACTGAGTACCTTAAGTTAAAAAAAAAAAGTGCTACAGAAGATCTTCCTCTGGTGATTTTACTAATCAAGTCCAACCACCTCCATCAGTTCTTATTAAGTAACTGCTATGAACTAGGCAATGAACTGACTGCTGAGAATTAACAACAACAAGGAGGAGAAAGAGGAGAATAAACAGTCCTTGTCCTTGATGAACTTATGAAGGAAACTGAAGTATCTATGCAAAGCAAATGCTATGAGTGTCCCAGGGGAAGACACATTGCTCTCTGCCTGTGAGAACCAATGAAAACGTTACAGGAGAGGAATTATTTAAACTAGGTCTTGAAGGAAGAATGGAAATGTAGCAAGGAAAGACAGATGGATGACAAGAGAGTTCTAAGCAGAGAGGACAGCTCATACAAAACTGGCAGGTATGAGGAAGAGTGGCATATTTGAGGAATGGCAATGTGGTGTGGAATTATTACAGAGACCAGGGAAGGAGAGAGGCTGACACTGTAGACAACAGAGAATTATCAGGAGTTTGGCAGAAAAATGATGCACTCAAATCTGGATCTTAAAAAAAAAAATTTAGACTGCAGTGTGGAAATGATAGAAAAGACAGAGACTGTAGATGGGAGGCCAGTTAGGAAGTGGTAGCAATAGTAAAGTCTAGAGATGAAGGCAGATTCTTAAAGTAGTGTGTTTTTCCTCGATAGCACACAAATGACAACAGGGCACAGTATATAAAAACTATTTCATATCCAGCCTGGGCAACATCGTGAGACCTTATCTCTAAAAAAATAAAAAATTGTAATACAGACCATAGAATGATAGTAGTAAATCATACTTGGTTGGCCTTATGTGACAGGTTTTATAAGAAATTCTTTCAAATCCAAGTGGATCAATATCACCCCACCAACAACAAAGAAGCAGAGAACAGAACAATGACTTTGAATTAGCTCTTCCAGGCTCACAAAGTGATAGCTAACTAAACCTTGCAACCAGAGTTTCTTTAGTGAAGTAGGGCACAGACTTCACTGCAGTGAAAAGCTGGGCTCTGGAAACACCTGAATCTCCAGTTTCAGATAACAATGAACAAGTCCTGGGACAAGGAGACGCTGCCTTCATTAATAGGAATGAGTGAGGCTGCCTTTCCCTCCACAATCAACTGATTCAAATCATCCATATTTATGTGTTACATGGCTTATAAATATAACATGCAAAGTATCTACTGTCTTGGTATTTCCTTAGCTAAACAACTATATTGGGTTCTGAGGCTCAGGCACTAAGCTCATCTCTCAGATACTGACCATATGAGGTTATAGTGAAGATTTGATCTTAAATGTGTATACGTTGTGCTTGGGACATAGAAATGCAACACATGGTAGCTATCATTGGTGAAAGGTGATGGTGCCACTTTTGCTTTCTCAAAGAAATCTGAAAGTAACTCAAACTGTAAAATGTGTATTATGATTAGGAATAGGTCTGATTTTCACATAAGGCTCACATGAAATTTAACTATATACACATGGAAGTAGTGTAAACACACACACAGCCGGGGCGGTGGCTCATGCCTGTAATCCCAGCACTCTGGGAGGCCAAGGCAGGCGGATCACCTGAGGTCAGGAGTTCGAGACCAGCCTGACCAACATGGAGAAACCCTATCTCTACTAAAAATACAAAATCAGCCAGGCATGGTGGCATATGCCTGTAATTCCAGCTGTTTGAGGCTGAGGCAGGAGAATGGCTTGAACCTAGGAGGCAGAGGTTGCAGTGAGCTGAGATTGAGCCACTGCACTCCAGCCTGGGCAACAAAAGTAAAACTCTTGTCTCAAAAAATAAATAAATAATAAAAAAACAAACACCCACACAAAGCATTTGTAATTCGCCCTGTTAAACTGTACAACTGGGCAAAACAATGGGGCTAAATTAGGACAAAATCTTACAAATATTTAAAAATAAACCAATACCTAATAACTACTTGCAAAATACTACTGGGCATAGAACTCTTGATAGGTACAAGGCATTCAGTATAAGTCTAATTATTCTGATTGTTAGAAGTCTGTTCATATTCATGGGAAAATTAAAATGGAAGGATTTAGATAGCCTGAGAGAGGATAAAAAATAAGAAATACATAGCTTGAAACTTGCAATCATAGATCAAGACTTGAAAGTAGAAAATGAAATTCAAGTGGCAGGTTTAGTGTAATACAAATGTTCATCAACAGAAAAGATACTCACTGGGATGCCTCTAAGGTTAAGTTTAGGTATACTTCCTGTCAATGGAAAGCCAATTATTTATTTAGACTCCAAGTTTACTTAGCTTTAGGGTCAGGTAATTTCCTTTCCATTGTGACCCTCCATAGGAAAGTTGTTTCTTCCATATTCAAAGCAACTGTAAAAAAGTGCAGCAATGATATGTATATGGTAGAAGTAGCAAGGCTGGGTGAGTGACTAGTAGGGAAGAGAAGTGGCTTTCACATAAATGAAGTTCTTACATATTTATAGTATCAGAGCAGTTCTACAATTTTCTGTGTTGACACCTCCCCTAAAAAAGTCACTACATACTGTGGATGATTTTTTCTTATCCTACCAAGAGCCCAAGTGTAAGGGTGATGTGGACTTTCTTCATATCTATCAGTAAGAGCCAGGGTAGATGGATGGAAGGAAAGCAGGATAAATTCTCTTGACATCCACAATGTGCTTTAAATCAAACTAGGCATGATTTAATCCTTAGCATACCTTCTGAGTATGTAATATTAGCTCACCAATGAAGATGGAAAAAACTGAGACTCAGCACTTGTAACTCGTTTCAAATCATCCAGCTACTAAGCGATGGAGCTAGGATTCCAACTGAGGCCTCTTTGACTCTAAAATCGCAACATTCCCTCTAGATCACAGTGCCCTTCAAAATAATTTCCCAGAAAAAAGGAAGTCAAGGAGAGAATGAAAAAAAAAAGTGACAGGAAAGAATTATCTAAGGGAACAAAAATTGCTTACATCAATAAGCTAGATCATTTAATAACTGATATACACAACCACTAAGTCGTAATATGTGACTTATGTTTCAGTATTGCTAACAGAAATTTCTGAGGCTGCTCCACCCAGGTAGTACCATGGCAGTTCTTTTAGAACTTTGAACACATTCTTCCCTTAAAACTTAACCTACACAATAATCACATTAATTAAAATAGTGAGAACAATTTTACTAAGTAAAACTTTTTACTTAACTACAACACGCAGATACAAAAGGGCACAAACCAGCCAGGCTCGGTGGCTCCTGCCTGTAATCCTAGCACTTTAGGAGGCCGGGATGGCTGGACTGCCTGAGCTCAGGAGTTCAAGACCAGCCTGGGCAACATGGTGAAAACCTGTCTCTACTAAAATACAAAAAATTAGCTGGGCATGGTGGCACACGCCTGTAGTCCCAGCTACTCGGGAGGCTGTGGCACGAGAATCCTTTGAACCTGGGAGGCGGAGATTGCAGTGAACCAAGATCGTACCACTGCACTCCGGCCTGGGCGGCAGAGGGAGACTCCATCTCAAAAAACAAAAAAAGGCACAAATCGTAAATGAACAGTTTGATGAATTTTCACTAACTGAACACACAGAACACACATGTAAATGCCACTCAGATCAGAAAACAAGACATTACCAATACCCCCAAAAGTCCCTCTCACACCCCTTCCCATAGTCAATAACTTCTCTTCCCTCTCCTGACTTTTATACTACTGGCATTACTTTATAATATTATTGCACTGTTTATAATACACTTTTTGGTATGTCTGGCTTCTTTTGCCCAACATTATTTTTGTAATAACCATGAGAAGTGAATCCATTTTCACTGTCGTACAGTATTCTAATGTACGACTATGCCCAATTTATTTCTCCATTCTATAGCTGATGAACACTTAGATTGTTTCTAGTTTGGAGTCCTTATGATTAGTGCTCCTATGAACATTTTCACACATGCCTTTTGATGTACTGCTTTCTTTTCTTCGTTTGAAAATTTTACTATTTTTAAAAATTAACTGTTTTACTTTTATCTATTTTTAATTTTTATTCTCGAGAAAGTACATTGTTTATTTCTTTAGAAAAGACATATTATAAATTTATTTTATTTTTAAAAATCTGTATTATATTAAATAAGTCAACAACACAGTCTAATTATTAGCCTTTCCAGTTAAAAGCTGATATATACTTTGTGACATCTGCTTTTAGTCTTGGTAAAGCAATCAATTAAAAAATGATTTTTCAATTCCAGGGTTAGTCATCTTATCAACCTAATAAAAAGATGCATCATTACAGACACCATAGTGGTGGGACAGGGGACAAGAACGAGTGTGGTACAAATGACATATCCAAAATGTTCTAGAAATAATACCTAATCAGATTCACTATACAACAAATACACTGGGGGAAATGCAGCATGAAGCCCGCTAGTATTGTGTAACTTCTCAAGAGCCATCCAGCCTCAGTTGTTTTTTTTTTTTTTTTTGAGATGAAGTCTCGCACTGTCGCCCAGGCTGGAGTGCAGTGGCGTGATCTTGGTTCACTGCAGCCTCCACCTCCCGGGTTCAAGTGATTCTCCTGCCTCAGCCTCCCGAGTAGCTGGGATTACAGGCGCCTGCCACCACGCCCAGCTAATTTTTTGTATTGTTAGTAGAGATGGGGTTTCACTATGTTGGCCAGGCTGGTCTTGAACTCCTGACCTCATGATCCGCCTGCCTTGGCCTCCCAAAGTGCTGGGATTACAGGGGTGAGCCACCACGCCTGGCCATACGTGAATCTTTCTTTTTAAGGAACATGGGTGGGCAGTCAGGTAGGAAACTTTTTCCCCTGCATAGCTTTTATCAACATATGAACAACAAAGGTAAATAAAGCAGCTCCCTGTAAAACCAGGAAGCCTTCAGGCTTGAGTCTAGCCCTACCAGCCTCTCATTTCTCTTCACTTTTCAGCAGCAGTCACCCCATTTTCCAGGCCCCAAGACCTTTTCTCACACCTCTCACTAACGCAAACAGGGGGGAAATATTCTTTTACACTTGGGCACTTGGAATGAAATTCCTCTCCATCTACATGTTAACATTTCAGGGATTAGAATCTTTGAGGTAACTGTTAATAATTATGGAATAGAAAGTTTCACCTCCTATTAAAGGACTTCAGGCCTCTTATTACAGTGAAGGAGGTACTTTTTATTGCCCCTAAAAAATCACACTTGCCTCTGAGGCTGACTTTCATCATTACAGGCCAACTGGAGTCCAAGGGTAACACAGAAAAAACAGTTAAGTGTCTGAGCTAGCCTATTCCCTTTCTGTCCTTAACAATTCACCTCCCATCCTTCTATTCTAAGACTTCCAGGTACCAGGGGTCTGCATCTGCATTTATTGTACCTTTAACAAATGCCTACGCCAATGCCCTGATCTGGCTTTCATCCCTCTAGTCATTCCCACTCCTCATCATTGTTGAGCTGTGCTAGTTGAGCTGTTGTTCTTGGGCAGTTCTTCCTTTTGGTATAGAGCTCCTGCTGCTTTACTCTCTAGCACTCAGGACCTGAAGTGAGCAAGGGGAGTAGGACTGCTACCTCGGGTAGCAATAGTGGGATATGGGGAAAGAGTGGCAGGATGGGAGAGAATGACAGAGAATCTCAGCCTCTGGCATATTAAGTTGAAGGCAAGCAAACCTCCAACGAATAAGGAAGAACATATCTTTTACAATGTGTAACAGGAGCACAAATGTATCCATTAAGTTAAAGATGATGATCACACAGGGAAGAAAAAAGGCATCATTTAAGGCCCTCATAATTAGCAATAAAGTAAAAAGAGGTAAACGAAAATCTAGCAGGGGATCCTTACATCAAGGCTGGACTTGGGGTCTAGACCACTTCCAATTCTGAGATTCTAAGATTCCTTCACGGACTCCCCCCGTGTGGTATTTTTTAAGATGATACTTGTACAGGAGATGGTTTGGGACTAAAGGAGCGTATGGCTTATAGGTAAGAGAACTCAACAATAAAAATCCCAACGGAGGGCCCTCGATATGTGGAGACACTCAGGCAGCTAGACACAGACCAGTGGCTCAGTGCCACGGCTGAAGACAGGGCTGCTCCACAAAGACTCACCTCCCTTGTTCTCAAAGTCATTCAGACAACAAGTATCCGCTATCCCTGGCCCCAATCTCAATGCTGGCTCCCACCTCCCTGTTTGACAAATGGGGAATTATAAGCCTCAGAGAGGCTACCAACTCCAGGTTCTGAAGCCAGGCCTTTCTGCCTTCATAGCCCAAGCTCTGTCACTGCACTGCCCTTGCCATGTTACTCCTTGGAGACAGATGCTAAAAACTTCCCAGTTGCTGGGCGCAGTGGCTCACACCTGTAATCCCAGCACTTTGGGAGGCCGAGGCAGGCGGATCACGAGGTCAGGAGTTTGAGACCATCCTGGCTAACATGGTGAAACACCGTCTCTACTAAAAATCCAAAAATTAGCCAGGCGTGGTGGCGGGCACCTGTAGTCCCAGCCACTGGGGAGGCGGAGGCAGAAGAATGGCGTGAACCCAGGAGGCAGAGCTTGCAGTGAGCCGAGATCGCACCACTGCACTCCAGCCTGGGTGACAGAGCGAGACTCCCAAAAACAAAAAAAAACACACAAAAAAAACTTCCAGCCATCCTCATAAAGTGAGGAGGTTGTTACGCACAGGGATTTTCTATAAAAGAATGATCACGAAACAAAACTTAAAAGTCACTGTGAATACAACTACTGAAAGCAATAAATAACTTAACGATGTAAGACAACATATAGCTGTTTTACTAAACTAGCAGTTCTTTGGTTACCCTGAGTAATTAGCTTAAGGAATTGAACAAGTGATACCAAAAATCTTTGAGCAAGACAGAAAAAAAAACCCAAAAATAAACAGTTAAACTATTATTATTTTTAAAATACCATAACAATATCTTATTTTAAAAGTTTTACAATATAAAATAAGTTAATACAAATGTTTTATTTACCACACTTTCGAGTAGAAACTTGATGTATACTTAACAAAATTTGCTTTTAACCTTGGTAAAGCAATTAAAAGGTGATTTTCAATAATTTCATTAAATGAATCAATTTATCTTTAGAAAGATAAATATCCCGAATTAATGGCTACAGAGACTTTCAACTCCCAATTCCCTGTGAACCCACTGGAGGCTTGTTCCTTCTCTCCAATCCCCTGTGATGGTGAGACAAAAATCAGAATATTTGATTTCAAGAAAATCATGGTAGCTTAGTGCTTCGTTTCTTCAGCTAAAGTAAATAACATAAGTTATGTTTGGGCTATTTATTTCTTCACATATGAACTTATTAACTTTCATGCACTTAAACTTGTAATTCAATCATAAAAAAATGAGTGGGAAAAACTATTGAAATGGGTCATTTTATCCATATTTATGTCTCCAGAAAGTGGCATATCTGTCAGAAATCACTTGCTAAATTCAACCAAATACCGTAACAGGCTTATTATTGCTGGCAGTGCTATCTGAATTGCCAAAGAGGCTCACACAAAAGGTATCCATCAATGTACAGCAACTTAGTTATCAGTGACATCATAAATTATCAACAATTCATTCAACAAATAGTGCCAGGCACTCTTCTAAGTGCTGGATAAGTAATGGTAAACAAAATGTATTCCTGCTCTCACAGCTTACAGTGTGGTAAGGACAGACATTAATCAAATAATCACATAATAGAGTGTGTAATTATAAAGTGAGATAAAGATTATAAAGAAAAGAATAAAAAGAATCTGATTTAGACTGGCAATGGGAATTAGGACTTCCCTGAAGAAGTGATGCTTGAGCCAATATCTGAGGTAGGGTGGGGGTGGGGGGTAAGCTTACACTGTAAGCTACACTGGTCAAGGAAGTTGAAGGTAGGCCAGTGTGTCTAGAGCACAGGAAGCTAGGGGTACCACAGATAAGAAAATAATGAAAAGCCTTGGAAAGGTTTTTAAACATGGAACAGGAAGCCTCTGCCATTACGTGGGTTCTAGTGGCGCCTGAACAACATACTGCCTGTAAGAGAGTTCTGTAAATCATAAAGCACCCTATACTTTGGTTAGTACTATTTAGTTCCATTATTTTGTTTTCCAAACTTTTGTCCTGGATGCCATGTAACTAGCTGCAAGCACAGAGCCAAAACTAGAATCTCGGTGTTCGAATCTATTGTTTTTGCCCCTACACCACACTGCATAAAAATTTCATTATTTATATCACTTAATTAGTCCAATGTCTATACCAGTAGTTCATAATGACAACAATAACTCTATTTACACAGTATTTGCTACATGTCAGGCACTTTTCTAAGCTCTATTATTTACATTAACTCATCTAATCTTCAGTTCAGGAAGGAAGGCTCTATTATTGTCCAGATGAGGACAGTGAGGCTAGGAAAGGTAGCTTACACAAAATCACACTGCTAGTAAAAGTTGGGGAGTTGCTAACCACAACACTAAAACATTTTATGTCTGTGTATGTATGTGTATAAATATCTCTATCTCGAGAGAGAGAAAGAGAGAACTCACACACAGAGAATTATATTCAACTCCAGCCTGGGCGACAGAGTGAGACCTTGGTCTCAAAAAATAAATAAATAAATAAATAAATCATATTCACATGTTTGAGGACCAGTGTCTTACTTTTTTGTATTCCCAGCCTAGCACATAGTGCCTGGAGTATTCGTAGCACTCAGGAAATACTTGATGAACTGAAAATGTATATAAGAGGCTGACGAAGGATTTGAATCTGGAAGTAAAGTGAGTTTCTGAGGCCCTCCTCCCAAGTCATGTATTCATCAGTAATTCATATGAAGGCTGTATTTTCCTCGACTTTCTTATTACATTGAAGATTTGTTCCTCACTACCGTTGCTATATTTCACAGCCTTTGGCTTGGAAACAAAGTGGGATAATGGACAATTACTAGTTCCAACCAACTCTCCAGCCACAAGCAGCCAGTTCTCGATCACATCAAATGCTCTTCCTCCAGGGCCGTTACACGGGATGTCCTGTCTGGAATGCCATTCCTCCCTTGGGTTCCTCTGTTCAAACATCACTTACTCAGAGAGGCCACCCTGACCATTCCATCTAAATTAACGCCTCAGGTCTTCTTCAGCAGGTCATTTGGCTTCTTTTCTTTCACAGAACTTATGACTCTCTGGAATTATTTGTCTATTCACCCCCCAGCCCCCAACTCTAGTGAGGGCAGGGGTCTTGTACAGCTGGTTCTCCAGATGTGTCCCCAGTGCCTAAAAAACTAAGTCAACATGTATTCAGCGAACGAATGAGAAGAGAATCACTCCCGAATTGTGCTCTCTCAAACCCCAAATACCCTTAACGCTTGCCTCTCCTGGTGGCTGTAATCCCATTTTTAACAATAACACCATTTTCAAGTGACTCTGAAGCTCGCAAAGTAGCGTTGCCTCCATTTTCTGAGTAGAGCCCCACAAACAATGCTCAGAAGGGAGGTCCGGCCTGGCAAGAATGCGCATGCCCCCCATTTACAGTCGATAAAATTGAGCCTCATTAGGGGATTCGCCAAGGCCGCTGCGAAATAACGAGCAGGAGCCCTGAAAAGTGTCCTGGTTCCGAAAACCTCTTCCCACGAGAGCGCATCGTGGACTCGAAATGCTTCATCACCTTTATTACTATTGTTCCTCAGTACTCATTCGAGACGCGTTCCAGGCGGAGGGAAGCAGCCCACCTGCTGACCCAAGACCAGGCGCCGGCCTCTCCACCCGGCCGCGCCCCTCGCGCCCCGCCCCCGGCCCCGCCCCCGCCGACCCGGCCCCACTCTTCGCCCCGGCCTCTACTCCCGCCCCGCCAGGGCTCCCGCGCCCCATAAGGACCACCCTCTTCCGCCTCAGCCAATCAGCAAAGCTTAGGGGGGCGGTGCCACAGGCCCCGGCCCTCCTATCTGGGCGCCAATTAGCCAGCCCATCCGTCGCTCACGAGGTCGCGCCTCGCACCCGCCTTCCTCCTTTTCTTTTACCCTCCCCTTCAGAAAAAACGGCGGTTGGGCTGCGACGGCCGCCAAAGGCGGACTAGAAGCGGAGGGGTGAAAATCCCGGCAGAGAAGGAAGAAGGGACTGCAGGCGGGAGGAGGAGGAGGATAAGGAGGAAGGGAGCCCGCCCAGCCGGAGCCATCTCCGTCGAGAACAAAATGGCGGCGCTGGCGGAGGGCCAACTATAAGGCGGGGCCGCGGCCATTCCCCCTCCACCCCCACCCTTGCGCCGGCCGGGCCGGTCAGGGGGAACCCGCTCGCTTCGCCCGGCCGCGGGCGGGGAGGGGAGGGGAGCGGCCCGGCCCACTATGCAAAGCGCCGGGCGCCGCCGCCGCCACCCCGTGGCAAAGGTAAAAGGGTCGGGTTCAGCCGCCGCCGCGGCGCCTCCATGTCCGCGCGCCAGGCCCGCCCCCTCCGCCGCCGGCCCGAGCCCGCCCGACCCTCTTTCAATTTTACCTCAGGATTTGGCGCCAAAGCGGCCTCGAAGCGGGTCCCGTGTCTGCGGCGGGCGGCCCCCGGCGCGGAGGGCAGGGCGCGGGGAGCCCGGGCTCCCGGTGTCGGCGGATGGCGGGAGCCCGGGGGCCGCGGGCTCGCGGGGCAGCGGGCGAGAGACGAGACGCCGAGGTGGGAGCGGGGTGGCGGGGACGGGCCCGGGGGCGCCGCCGGGGTCGCGGAGAAGGGGGGGTTTGTTATTGTTTTTGTCAGTGAAAGGTCAGAGTTCGTGACCCCGGTGCCGCCGCCGCCGCCGCCCGCGCGCTGGTAGGAGGAGGGCGAATGTTCTTCTTCCTCTTCCCAGCGCCAGCCTCGCCGCCGCGGCGGGGGGCGGGCGAGAACGCGATTGGCTGAGGCGCGCGCGCGCACCGGAACGCCGCAGCCGGCGCTCGGTCCATCCGGCCCGTGGGCTGTGGGGCCCCGGGCGGCGGCGGCTACGTAGCTGCCGCCGGCCTTGGCCGCGGCCGGGCGGGCGGATATGTGGCTTAAATGGCGCAGGCGTCGGGGCCTAGAGGCTGAAGGGCTGGTCGTCCTAAAAACTCGTGGACGTCGCGCACGGTTACCCGGACGCAGGCCCGCCCCTCTGGGGAACCGCGAGCTCCTCGCAGCTGGGTGGGGACCGTCCTCGCAGTGGCGGCCTCCACCCTGCCTTCTCGCTTAGCCAAGGCTTCTGGAAGGCTCGCAAAGTGTCTGTTGTTGGAAGAAGCCGGGCCCTGACTGGCGCGACGGATTCTCCCAGCCGCTCAGCAGAGCGTCTGTAGGTCGGAAGTGGGGGTTGTATTGGGTGGGTATTGAGCTCTTCGGCCCTTCCTCGGTACTGATAGTTTTTAATTTAGGTTTTAAAGGTCTAAAGATGCGCCCGTTCTGGCCATCTCAGGTGAAATGTTGAAACGCCCCAGAACCTATAATTTTTGGTTTCTTAGTAAACATACGATCCAGATCTTGTGTAATTCCATGCCCCTCCTCCTCGAAATTTGGAAGTAGTACATGGTAATAGGGATGTGTAAAGCAGCTTTTAGCAGCATTGCTTAAATTTATTTGAAGAAATTGGCCTGTCTTGCTCTTAAACTCTTGGGCTGTAGGTTTTCCTTACATATTTCTCTGTTTTATGTCGTGGTTTTGACTTGCCTGGGAAGGTGCAGGCGCTTATTTATCCTAAATGCCCTGAAGTGTTTAGGCTACAGGCTGTAGATCTTATACTGATTTTTTTTCTTCAGTTTTCTTGCTTATTAAGAATAAATATTGACTCCAGAATGGATGGGTTAACTTTTTTTCCCACACAGTATCCATTTGGGTTTTTATCAGGATGACTCCAACATTTAGTATTTTTTTTTCCATAATCTTATAATATTTCTATTTGGTAAAAAATGTTTTAAACACAGCTATTTCCCCTTCCTCCTTTTTCTGACGTTGCAAAATTGGGAAAAGAGCTAGGTTCGTTTTGTCATGGTAAAGCACAGCTCTTGAAATTGGAAGAGGCCTTAAGGGAATGTGGTCAAATTTTTTTCTTGCAGAAAGATTTTCCGATTTTAGGGGTGAAGTGGGTGAGAACTAGAAAGGTCAAGTGATGTACCTGAGAGGCAAAAGCAATTGCGTTTTTGCATTTTTGAAATTTGCTGTTTGATATTGGAATACATTCTTAAATAAATGTGGATCATTTTAATGCACATTTCTCACTTTATTTTTTTGCTAATGACTTATTGCTGTTTATTTTAGAATATGCTTTTTGTCTAATGATGTTAGATAAAAAGCAAATTTGGAGCAGTTTTCTTATTCGAGTTCAAAATGGTTCATAAAGCAGCGAAGACAACTCAAAACATCAGTAACACATTTGGCCCAGGAACTGCTAACAAACATACAGTGCAGTGGTGGCTTAAGAAGTTTTGCAAGGAAGAGAGCCTTGAAGATGAGGAACGTGATATGGGCCATGGGAAGTTGACAACGACCAATTGAGAGCAATCATTGAACTACATGAAAAATTACAGAAGAACTCAGCGTTGACTATTCTACGGTCATTAGGGTCGTTCAGCATTCGAAGCAAATTGGAAAGGTGAAAAAGCTTGATAAGTGGGTGCCTCATGAGCTGAGCGGAAATCAAAACTATCGTTTTGAAGTGTAGTCTTCTTTTATGCTACGCAACAACAAACCATTTCTCAATCGGATTGTGACATGTAATGAAAAGTGAATTTTATACAACAACCAGCTCAGTGGTTGGACCAAGAGGCAGCTCCAAAGCAGTTCCCAAAGCCAAACTTGCACCAAAAAAAAGGTCATGGTCACTGTTCGGTGGTCTGCTGCCCATCTGATCCACTACAGTTTTCTGAATCCTGGTGAAACCATTACATCTGAGAAGTATGCTCAGCAAATTGGTAAGATGCACCGAAAACTGCAATACCTGCTGCCTGCATTGGTCAACAGAAAGGGCCCAATTCTTCTCCACGACAACACCTGACTGCGTGTCGCACAACCAGTGCTTCAAAAGTTGAAGGAATTGGGCTACAAAGTTTTGCCTCATCCACCATATTCACCTGACCTTTCGCCAACTGACTACCACTTCTGCTAGCATCTTGACAACTTTTTGCAGGGAAAACACTTCAGCATGGTGCAGAAAATGCTTTCCAAGAGTTCGTCAAATCCTGAAGCACGGATTTTTATGCTACAGGAATAAACAAACATTTCTCATTGGCAAAAATGTGTTGATTGTAATGGTTCCTGTTTTGATTAATAGAATATGTTTTAGCGTAGTTACAATGATTTAAAATTCGCAGTCTGGAAATTTAATTTTTGCATCAACCTAATATTTCTATGGTAAATCCTTGCAAACATGGAAACAATGCATTTGGCCCAGTGCTTTGTGGTTGTGTACTCTTTTTCTTTGTTTTTTTAATAGATGGCATTGGCCGGGCATGGTGGCTCATGCCTGTAATCCCAGCATTTTGGGAAGGTGAGGTGGGTGGATCACCTGAGGTCAGGAGTTCAAGACCAGCCTGACTAACATGGTAAAACCCCATCTCTACTAAAAATACAAAAAAATTAGCTAGGCGGGGTGGCGGGCATCTAATTCCAGCTACTTCATGAGGCTGCGACAGGAGAATCATTTGAACTCGGGAGGCAGAGGTTGCAGTGAGCCGAGATCACACCATTGCACTCCAGCCTGGGCGATGAGCGAAACTGTCTCAAAAAAAAAAAAAGTTGGGGTCTCGCTGTGTTGACCAGGCTGGTCTCGAACTCCTGGCCTCAAGTGATCCTCCCATCTTGGCCTCCCAAAGTGTTAGGATTACAGGCGTGAGCCACCACACCCTGCCTGGTTGTGTACTCTTTTAAATACTAAGTTTTTAATGTTAAATGCTGCTTTTAGATACACTGTAAAAATACACCTATCAATGAGTTTTTTTATTAAAAACATTGCAATTGTACTAGACTTTAAATACTAAGCAATAATTCAGGCTTCAATGTTGGTTTATAGTTTTCTCATTTCTTTCATTTAATACCTCTGTAAAATGAAGCAGTTACTTCCATTTTCCTGAGGTGAGATAAGTGCCCTGCACAATGTTATAGGCCCAGTAAGTGAGACTGGAGCTCTGATCTAATCCCTTTGACATTAAAGTTTGTGCAGTAAACCAGCTATGTCAGTTTGCCACATTTGTAATAGTGTTCAATAAATTTTCACTTAAAGGTTTAATATTAAAGTAGTAGCAAGAATTCATAACCTTAATTGGCTTTAACAGCTTTTCTTTCCCTGAAAACAGATGCATATGTACACATGCACACAGATTGCTTACAATATCAGCACGTAAAAGGCCTTTGCACATTGAAGTCGGCACTGCTTTGGTGCCTTTTTTGTTTTTTGGCTCGGTGTTTTGACTGCAAGTCTTTTTGGATAGAATTTTATAGTTAGAAAGTAGCTAACACTTGGGTTTTATAGGCACAAAAAACAAGTCTTATACTAGCTGTACTTTATTTTTTGAGTTCTTATTAATGAGGAACATCCACTTTTGCATTGACAGTGATTTCAAGATTGCTTTATCAGCCTTTAAAGGATTCTTGACTAGTCGTGCACATCAGAACTGCCAGGTCCCCAGTGGTTCTGAAGCAGTAAGCTTTGGGTGGGCTCTGGCATCAGCACTTTCACTAAGCTTCACAGATAATTCTGATGCATACTCCAGGCCTGAACCACTGATCAATTTGAAACATGCATAACAAAGCAAAAAAAGTTTTGTTTCACCTTTTGAAATACAGTTAACTCTTTTACCATGCCAGAGATCATTCAGAGAGACAGGTCGTTGCTCCGGAGTGATACAGATCTGGCAGTACCCAGCCCTTGTGTGTGTGCGTTAGCTCAGCACCTGCCCACACTGCGAGCCCCCGTAGGATGTGCCTTGTCCTTCCCTGTTTCAGCACTTAACACACTACCTGGTACAGAGTATGTAGTGGGCATCTGTTGAATGAATGCTTTTCCCAGTAGCAGTGTATTCATACAATATTAATATAATTGTCCCCTGGCTTACAGATAAAAATGAAAGCATCAAGTGCCCAGTGAGTGAGACCCAGGTGTTCTTCCTCCACCCCTAGTGGTCCCCTGGGCAGGTCTTTTTTTTTTTGTAACACTCACCAGTCTGTTCTGTAGTCAATCATTGATTGACTTGTCTGTGAACTTGGAGGAACTGTTTCATAGTTTCATTAGCACAGAGTAAACATGTTTGCCATGCAAGGTTATTTTGCATCTGCATTTAAGTGATAATGTTGAATCAATGAAAAGTGTTGATTAAGCAGTAGTTGTAGATATGCTAAGTTTTTCAAATTACTAATATCAAGTGGAGATTGTTTTTACTTTTAAGGGTATTGCTTTTGTGATAGCATAAATAATGGTTTTCCTTTTTTGTAATGTAAATTAATTGCTGGCAACTTTTGTATTCCCATAGACTGGGGAAGCTTAATTGCCTTTACAAGTACTTATGTACAACTTTGTATCAAATTTTCTGTAATAGTTTATGCTTTAGTACTATATATGTACTAATAATTTTATCTGACTTCTGTTTATATCATTTGTACAATTACATGGTTGTAAAATAAACTTTTAAACCTCACGTAATTGCTGTTAGCCACCTATCCCCACCCCCTTTTTTTAACTGTGGAATCTGAGTCAGGTACAGTGGCTTACGCCTGTAATCCCTGTGCTTTGGAAGACTGAGGCAGGTGGATTGCCTGAGTTTGAGACCAGCGTGGGCAACATGGCGAAACACTGTCTCCACTAAAAAATACAAAAATTAGCTGGGGTTGGCCTGCCCCTGTAGTCTCAGCTACTCAGGAGGCTGAGATAGGAGGAATGCTTGAGCCTGGGGAGGTAGGGAAGTCAAGGCTGCAGTAAGCCATGGTTGTGCCACTGCACTCCAGCCTGGGTGACAGAGCAAGACCCTGTCTCAGAAAAAAAGTATGGAATCTGGACAGATAGATATAATCTCTGAAGAGCAGATTGCACATTCCTTACACTTAATACCTTATCCTGTTTAATCTTACAATAACCTTGTGAAGTAGATGGTATTATCCTGTTTTTGCAGCTAAATAGGCCGAGACCTAAACAAAGAGGATGATTCCTCCAAAGTTGCCTGGCTAGCAAGGGGTGGAACATTTATTAGTAGCTCTCTCTGCTTGTTTCTTCTCTTCTGTCCTTGAGGGCTGTGAGAGGAAGAAAACTCTTCTACGCATCTCCATGCTGTGTCAAAGTCAAGCTCTAGCACAGCCTGCCAGGCTATTTGGGGAGGCCTCAACTTCTATATAAATGGCCCTTGTTCTTCCCAAGAGGAGAATAGAGAAAGGCTGTTTTCCCTGTGGTGGATTAATGGTATGAGAATGCAGGGACACCAAGAATGCATTTCCTAGCCTCTTCCTGAACTGCTTTTCTGAGACTCACACCCCTTTAGTCTCTGGGGCTTCCTGGGCCTTGAAAAAGTGTTACTTCCAAGTTGTACTTGGCTCAAATATCTCAGAATAGTAGTTCTGTCCTTTGAGATAGGCATGAACCTCTTTGAGAATCGGATGGAAAGTTACATTCTCAGAAAAATGCACTGACCCTTGATCCCTGTTTTTAGAGTATGTGTTGTTCCAAGGGAAGTTTTTTGTTTTTTAAATGTTACCTAAGTAGGAACTGTCTGTGTCAATCTTAAGGATAAGAGGTGGAGGGGAGAGTTCTACTGGTGAGCATGTAGACTTAGCCGTTTGTTTTCAGTTAAGTATAATAACCTTGGTATTAGCCATGCATGTGTCCCTGAGTCCCCAGCCTCTTCTAGTTCTTTTGTTCCCCTCCATTGCCCCTCCATCCCCCCACCAGAAAGAAAACTTATTTTCTGCTAGCATGGCATTAGGGAATCTTAGGATGTCATGATCCCTCACAGAGATTCCTAACTGATCCCCGTCTTCAGTCCCATCCTGGCCTTCCAAGACACCTGTGCCTCCAGTTTGTGAGCCTCCAGGGGCAGAAGCCCTTTTGTGTCTTCACTGGCATCCCCGTCTGAAGCACTTTGGTGATTATTTTCTTGTGTCTGCATGTTATATCTTCCAAAAATGGGTTGACATTTTCTATACCTTGTGTCTCCTCTAGAACTATCCTTTGGGTTATATCTTTTTATTCACTTGCTGGCTTTAGTGAATTTGAAGAGGGAGCTAAGAAATGCATGTTTTCTAGTCATCTATTGCATAATTAATCACACCCAAACTCAATGGCCTAAAGACTAACAGTCACTTTTTTTTTTTTTAATGAAAATCTTTTAATTCTAGGGGAGTCAAGTTGTTCTCTCTTGGCATCCCTCATGGTCACATGGCTGGAGTCATCTGAAAGGTTCCCTTATATGTCTGTGATTAATACTTGCTGTCAGTGTGAACACCTACATGTGGCCACAAAGTAAGATTCAGGGTCACATTGAGTAGTACTGTAGCTGCATTTTTAAAAGAGCTAATTTTATGCCTATAATAACTTTCATAATTATATGTGTTAGAATAATCAAGTCTCATGCTTTAGGGCATAGCCAATTACTGTAGCCTTCAAGAAGTAAGTTATTTTCTCATGTATGCTGCTCACAACAGGATAGCTCCATTACACATTCATGAATTCTAGTGTGGCATCATTAAGGGCTGGTAAGTACAGGCCACTGGATTTGAAGGACCACAGACTTACTGGAGATGACAATTCTTGAACATCCTGGTCTCCTGCTTGTATCTGTTACTTAGTTCTAAGGAGCATAGGGCTTATTGACTACACTTTATCACAAGATAGATTTTTGGATACAGCTGTTGATGAACATACCGAAGATGAGATTTGAATATTGATGAGAACTTGAGGTCATTTAGGGCAGTTTACATTTGAGTGGGTAATCTTTATATATAAACAAGGGTAGTCATCACTGTTGAAAATGCTTTAGGGCCACTTGGCATGAAACGTTTTAAAGTTCTACAATAGAACTTTAAAGAACTCTCAGTTCCTGAAGGATTTTTATAATGTATAATTTACAAATACAGATAAATGGGGTTTTCTCTTAATTGCTACAGTATCCATTTCCGAATCAGAAGAATTTGTGTAAACTTTACCATGAATTTTATATCTTTTTCCAAAACCTTGTTAGTTTTGAAGCCAGCCAAAAAACAAAACTGGAAACGTCATTACATTTCCATCCATTTTGCAACCCATTCCCAGAGTTTGAAAAACATGGCTCCAAGCTAAAACAAAAAACAAAAACAAAAAAAAAAAACTTGTTTTCAGCTTGCTTCATACAGATTTTATTTTGTGCAAGCCTCTCTTTTGCTCTTGTGGAAGTGCTGCCTCTCTACACTGGCTCTATCACAACAGCAGCATGAAAGACCATCAAAATTAGAGAATGAGGCATGTCATTCTGCTGTCAACACAGAATGCCCCTTCCGGTATGACAGCTTCAAATGATCTGGACAAGGAAGATCCCAAGTTCATGTAGAGAATTTGTTCTGCAGAATCTCATGTGATCACTAGGATATTATGAGGGTGGTCATAGGGTCATCAAACTTCTCCAGAGGAAAGTTTTGTGGAAGGAGATGTTTAACCGGCTGGGTGCCATGTTGGTGTAGTGCTGTTTCTACCTCAGTTAGTTATACTGGTTTTCCTCCTCAAATATTACTGTGGGCGTGTATTTCTCCTGTAATGTTTGGCATACTGTCATAGTCTAAAAGGCTTCTTATAATCTTGTCTGATGATACCAGTGCCAGTTCTCATGCCTTATAACATTTTCAGATACTCTTGGGTCTCACTTTCTTAAGCTAAGGATCTGAATATTCACTGCAGATACACCTGTAAACTGCCACTTCTACCACAGACTCAGTCTGGTGACAAACCGAGATCACTGCCAATGACTGAACTAAGTTTTTATTCGTTATTCATGGTGGCTGAGCTACCACCTCCTCTATCTTCCCTCCTACCTCCCTCCATCCTGCCTGTGCACAGAATCTCCTGAGGTGCTTGTAGAAACTGAAGATGCCTGGATCCCACCCGAGACTACCTACCCAGAGGGAACCCCAGGAGGTGAGGTGTGGGCCACAGGAGGAGCCTTGAGGAAGTCCCCTCTAGCTCTCGTAGAGGAACAGCCAGAGAGCCAGAGGGGACTTCCTCAAGGCTTCTCCTGTGGCAGGGAGGAGCAGCTTTGGTAGAGTGGGGCACTACCAAGGATAGGGCAGCCTTGGTAGAGTGGCCTCATTCTGGTTGTAGCATGTTGCAAATTTGTGGTCTCTTGCCCCACACTGCTTTGACTTCACATGACCCACAGGCTCTGGAGTGTGCATTGCTTGCATTGCCTTATGTTTCTGAAAATAGTCCCCCCTCCCCGGGAGGCGCATCCCCCAGGACACAGAGGTGTTCTGTGAACATGCACATCCTCTTCTTGGAACTGTTGCAACAACGGTATGATGGCTGCCTTCCCAATACAAAACTTGTCAATTCACATAGCATACATGTTAACCATAATCTTCAGACTTGTCATATACAATACAGATTCTTAAGGGTTTGAGAATGTAGGTTGAGCATCCCCAATCCAAAAATTTAATCTGAAATCCTCCAAAATCTGAAACTTTTTGTGCACCTACATGACGCTCAAAGGAAATGCTTATTGGAGCATTTCAGATTTTCAGATTAGGGATGCTCAACTGGTTAAGTATCTGCAAATATCCCAAAATCTGAAAAAAATTCTAAATCCAAAATACTTGTCCTAAGCATTTTGGATAAGACGCTCAATCTGTAGCAAGTAACTAAGAATTTATGAGGTTATTGTTGTTTATAAATTCATCATAGAAATTCTGTTTCCTCATACGAGAAAAATGTGCTAAATCCATGAAGTCACTTAGACTCCTCATATTTGAGTACGCATCTTAATATGTCAATGAATAACACTAGGAGTGTACGTTAAAAAAATTTTTTTAAAGCATGTATGCTTAGGGTTTTAAATATCTAGATTCCCACATTCAATTGAGGTAAATCTTGTGCATCTGATTGTAGAAAAAATAGAATTATATTCATTTTTACAATATATTGAATTAAAGTTGGGTTATGTGCATGGATTGTAAACTGTGATAAAATTTAATGATTTTTGCTTGGATAATGAAATGCAAAATTGAGTTTGTCTTAGTGTCCTATTTATTCTGACTTCAGAGGAAAAGGTCCTAGTGATTGGTCCTCTGCAGCCAGAGATTTCTGTCAAATTTAGGAAATAATTCACATTGCAGGTGTCAGAGAATTGCTCCTAGTGTCAGCTCATACACATTCAAAAGAGACATTATAGTGAAGCAGTTACAAAGGTGGGCTTTGCCAATTTTGTGTGTGACCCTGGACAGGTGACTTCATATTTCTAATCCCATTTCCTTACGTGCAAAATGGGTAATAACTTACCTCAGCAGGTCCCTGGGAGAATTAAATGAAAGAACAGGGTTAAAGTGCTAGACACTTCTTTGTTGCTAATAATCATACAAAGGTCTCCTAAGAACCTGAGAGGTCAGTACTGTTTTGCTACTGATTTAACAATTGTCTTTCATTAGGAGCCTAAAAGATCAGTGATATCAAATCAGCTTTCCCCGTGCCACTTACCTTAATACTTAGCAAACATATATAACAGATGCCTAAATAATTGCCCTGTGAGTATTCTATTACAGATCATCCCCAAAATATAGGAAAAAGCATAGCCCTTGCACTCTGTTAATCCAAACTATAGTCTTTCCAGAAGATTTGGTCCAGAGAGTGGACATTGGTGAATCCCCAGCAGCTGCCCCCACAGCTGACTGTTCGGTGCCAATCATGGTGGTCCCTCTTACGAAGATTAAGCTCAGGAGTTGGCAGGTGTAAGTAAGTGTGAACCTGGAGAATGGGAAGGGCCTGTGGGTGCTTCTAAGAAAAAGCTAGCTACACGAAGCCAAGCTGTCCTTGGTGGCTGTGAACAGGGAATTTTATAGTGTAGCCCCAACCATCAGTGGCAGTCAGCAATAAACTGCTTGGGAACCAACCCTGGAATCAAGCTGACACTGCATGGCAAGTCAGAAAAACCAAATCCCCCTGCTTTTGGATCTCCTTTTAACTGATTTCCAAATTGTTTAAACCAGATTGAGATTGGTTTCCATTTACCTGCTGCTGAAAACAGACATCTTAGTGTAGATATATCTGTCCTCTCCTGACCATGAATGTGTGGAGGCACAGAAGCTTCCATGATCATAGAAACCACAAAACAGGCTGGGGGGCAGTGGCTCATGCCTGTAATCCCTGTACTTTTGGAGGCCGAGGCAGGTGGATTGCTTGAGCCTAGAAGTTCAAGGCCAGCCTGGACAACATAGTGAGACCCAATCTCTACAACAAAATAGCTGGGCGTGGTGGCACATGCCTGTGGGCCCAGCTACTTTGGAAGGCTGAGGTGGGAGGATCGCTTGAACCTGGGAGGTCGAGGCTACAGTGAGCCATGACTGCACCACTGCACTCCAGCCTGGGTGACAGAGTGAGACCCTGTCTCAAAAAAAAAGAAAGAAAGAAAAAAGAAAAACCAAGAAACACAGGCTGAATCAACAGAAGAATATTTGAGCACATTGTTGACTGACCTGCATCAGAAAGAAACTCAGGTTCCAAGCCTGGTCCTACCACCTTAGCCCAGGTGGCCTCAGTCACCATCTAGGGCTTGCTTCTGTGTTCAGTGTATACTGCTGCTGAAAACAGAGCAAATGAAAGGCTGGACTGGAGGGAAAAAGGACTCTGTCACCCTTCAATTGCTGCAACAGGGTTGCTGGGGTCCTCAGCACTGGCCTGCATGGTGCACGCCCAAAGATCAGAGCAAGCATCAGCCCATCGGGCCACACATTTTCCCAGAACCAGGCTGCATACAAGGGAGAATAAGTCTATTAGCTAGTCAGCCTGCTCAGAAAAACTTAAAGCATATTTCTGATATGTAAAGGAATTATTATTATTAGAGACAGGGACTTGCTCTGTTGCCTAGGCTGGAGAGCAGTGGCATGATGATGGCTTGCTGTAGCATCAACCTCCTAGGCTCAAGTGATCCTGCCTCAGCCTCCCAAGTAGCTGGGACTACAGACGCGCATCACCACACCTGGCTACTTTTTGTATTTTTAGTAGAGACAGAGTTTCTCGCCATGTTGCCCAGGCTGGTGTTGAACCCCTGGGCACAAGCAATCCACCAGGTGTGAGCCACTGCGCTCAGCCAAAAGAATTATTACGACCCAGGAACATACACTACTGTTTATGTTTCTGGTGTGCTTTGTATTAGTAATAAGGAAAAGAATTCTTCCTACTTACTAAGACTAACCCAGACTCAAGAAACACATTCAATCTGCAGGGAAAGTGTGAAGCCAGTATTCATGTGAAATAGGTGCTGCTTGTTTTCAGTAAAACTTTGAGTTTTATTATAAACCTTTATTGATTCTGAGAAGCAGGCAGAGGCCAACCCTGTGAAGGTCTGTGCTTTCCTGAGGTAATTAAAATGAAAGAGAAGATTAGATTCCATGACCAAAGTTCAGCCTTACTGTGTTAGGGTTTCTCTTCCTTGCCATTTTTTTTTTTTTTTTTTTGAGACATGATCTCACTCTGTTACCAGGGTAGAGTGCAGTGTCATGATCATAACTCACTGCAGTCGTGACCTCCTGGGCTCAAGCAATCCTCCTGTCTCAGCCTCCTAAGTAGTTAGGACTATAGGCATAAGCCACTATGCCTGGCTGATTTTTAATTTAGAGTTGGGGTCTCACTATATTGCCTGGGCTGGTCTAGAACTCCTGGACTCAAGCAGTCCTCCTGCCCCAACCTTCCAAAGTGCTGGGATTACAGGCATGAGCCATCACACCTGGCCCCAATTTTCATGGATAAGGAAAAAGGTCTTCTGTGTATTGTCTTCATTTTGTGCTGTTAAAGAGCAGGGCCCACGACTTTGATAAACCAGTGGGGAAGGGCATGGTGTTATTATACAAAGTAAAAGTAAAGTTATGGGCCCTGCTCTTTTCAGACCACTTTCACAAACATTCCATTTGTGCCTTTTCCCCTGAACCTGTGGGAGAAGCTAGGATGATCTCCATGTAATAGAAGAAGACACCAAAGCTCAGAGCAACTTAAGTGAGTGGCTCGTCTATGCTGCTTCTTCCTGATAAACATGGCCTTTGCTGGGGGTGCACAGTAAAGGGGCTGCTCTGTGCCCAGTGAGCAGAGGGGCAGAGCAGGTATTATGGGGGACTTCGAGCAGCATCTCCGTGGTGTCATGGCTGGTCATATCCCCAGCATCTGGGTCCAGTGGGAAGGAGCACCCTCTGACCGGGTGGGATGGCTTCATCCCTAGTAGAAAAGGTAGCAGAAATTGGCCTGAAATGAGTACACAAAGAACCACAGGAAGGACTTGTAATACAAGGTCCAGATAAAAAGGTAATCCCTTGCCCAGTCACACATGAGCCCCTGCCAGTTTCCTTTTACAAAACCCATCCAGTGTGTTTTTCATCTATAACCCAGACATTTTTATTAGGGTAACTATTCACTGAGAAATAAAAGCCCTATTACCTCTTTACAGAGCATCCAAAATAGGATGATGATATAAAGTAAAAGAGGCCTTCTGATGACTTTCAGACCCGTGATTCTATCTGGAACTCAGAAACTGACCATGGGCAGCAATGTGAGCAGACTGGGGAAACTTCCCCCTGCCTGGTACTGAAGTCCTGCTCTGCTCAACAGCTCTAGGAAGCCCATTTCAGTGTCTGATGATGAAAATGATTCAGTTGGAATTAAGCCCTCAAAAATTAACAAGAACACTGTCTAATCACTTAGTGTGAACCATTAGTTACATGTTTAATGCAAACATTTTAAAAGAACTGCAAACTGGAAAAAAAAATTCCCCTGAAAATATTTAATGCAAGTAAGTCCAGAGATGGTGCTTTTTACAAAAAGTTTGTCAGCAAATTCCCTTTTTTGTAGGGGACAGGGCAGCAACAGAATGGGGACAGGATATCAAACAATTGATTTTTATTGCAGTAAGAGTAACAAGGAATCCCACCCCTCACATGCCCTTTGCTTTATGTAAAAACCTGTCCAGCAGAATAAGCAACAGTCACCCTCAGGAGGCGATTTAGCCCCAAGTGCCCATAGAACAGCCTCAGGCCACGACTTCTGTGCTCCCTCGCTGTTCCCAGAGCCATCTGCCAAGACCAGGAATTCACCTTTGGAGTCTAACTTGTTTTCTCTTTTTTTCACCTCTCAAAAAATAAAAAGCCTTCAGTAATACAGCCCAAGGATTACCGTGTGTCTAAAAGAAGGATAGATTCCCATAAACAATGTTGTCAGCTTGAGTGAGGTAAACACAGAAAGGCACACAATAAATTAAAGCAGACCTTGACTCTTCAGAGGCCCTGCGGTGACGTCTGGGGGGCCAGATCTGCCAGTGGCTGCATTTCCAGCACTGACATAGTGTTGAGGACTGCTCTGGGGGAGGAGGGACCCCTCCTTTAATAAGTTATGTTAGTATACAGGTCACAAGGTCGACTGGAGGAGAAAATCCTCCCCTTCCTATCTGGTGGGGCGCAGCCCCTCTAAAGTGATGTGTGCTTGCACACCAGCAAGCCACAGCCAGGTCTGCACAAATCCATTTTATGTACACCCTTGTTAGAAAACTGGTGGCACATTAGTCCACAGGATTCCATCTGTTATTGACTTAAGTAAATCACTTAGAAAACACAAAATTGGAGGTTGCAGCTCCGTAAAATAATAAAGTGCTTTCGATGAGAGTAGCTGTTACTGATAGCTTCTCATTTCACCTGAGGCACCACAATCAATTTTTGAAAGGTGATAAGATTTATCATGAGTAAAAACTGTAAGAGCTTCTTTCTACTAAAAAGCCTGCATTTCTAAATGTACTTTTCATTGGTTTCCACATCTTCATCTTACTAAATTTTAACTCACTGCGGGGTAAGGAAATAGTTTATTACTGGGTGGCGGGTGGGGGTAGGGGTGGAAAACACAGAAAAGGAGAGGTCCATAAATATCCCTTAAGGATTCCATTCATGAAGATGTTGGCAAGGGCAGGGGAGTGGTGGGGCGGTTATAGCAAAAAAGGTCAGGCCTCATTGCTGAATCCAGGTGTGTGTCCGGATGAGTTGAGCCACAGCTTAGCTTCTAAAAGCATTCACATATTGACCTAAGAATTTGTTACAAGTCCACATGCTTGATAACTGCTATAACACACTCGCATCTTCCATGGCCTCGATCCACCTATAAAACAAAACAGGGAGGACATTTGGTTTTGCGGCTCTGCCTATGACTCTGGTCACAGAACCTAGAAAAGACTGGACTAGTAGATTCCTCTTAGTTTGAAGTCAAGGACCATGTCGTAATTGTATTTGTTTCTCAAACATGTTTTCTATATTCAGCAAAAGGCCTGGAACACAGGGCAAAAGCTTACTGAATCAATGCATCCTTGATTCATGAATGAATCAAAACAGTCTAAACATGATTGTGACAAAGAACAGGTAGTTCTGCAGTTCTGCTATGGCCCAAAGGGACCTAATGGGATAGGATGAATGGAGCAGAACAGAAGCCAAAGCCCCAAGAAACAACTTGTTGCCTTCTGAGAGAACAAAAAGCTATAAGACTAATTAGTTCTTTTCGTACCTCTGAGCTGAATTGGTATCTTCTGCTTTGAAGCTATAAAATAGGGTTTTCTTGTGGTAAAGGTGAAAAATAGGTCCTACTTCACTGCTGCCCTCTTCCTTTTCTGGAGCAATGGTGAAGCCTAGCAGAGGCATACTCTCCAAGGCCACTTTGTCCTGCAGAGGACAGAAGGAAAAATTGACATTAAACACCACACTCTGCATAGTCATTTACTGTTATCTCCAATCTGAGATGCGTGAAGAGTGCCTCTGTGTGGGGTGTGCTTTGGCACCTTCGGGCTCACCACACACAAACTGTTGACCCTCGCTTCCCCCCAGAGCCAGCCCTGAGGAAGGAAAGAAACGACACTGGCTGGGTGTGGTGGCTCACGCCTGTAATCCCAGTACTTTGGGAGGCTGAGGCGGGTGGATCACCTGAGGTCAGGAGTTCGAGACCAGCCTGGCCTACATGGTGAAATCCCATCTCTACTAAAAATACAAAAATTATCTGGGTGTGGTGGCAGGTGCCTGTAATCCCAGCTACTCGGGAGGCTGAGGCAGAAGAATGGCTTGAACCCGGGAGGCAGAGGTTGCAGTGAGCCGAGATCGCACCATTGCACCCCAGCCTGGGGGGCAGAGTGAGACTCTGTCTCACATATTGTCTCAACATATGTGACGTATGTTGAGACAATATGTCTCAACATATTGTGACAGTTTATCAGGGACCAGGCAGTTACATCTTCATTATATTTAATCTTCACAACAATCATAGAAGGTGTCACTCCCATTCTAAGAAGAAACCAAGGCTCAAAAAAGGTTAATTGCCCAAGATCACACAGCAGTAAAGAGCAGATCCAGAATTTGCACTCATGACCACCTTCTAACCCCACATTCTTTCCATGGATTTCATCAGTCAGTGACTCAGTTTTGCAGTTACTTCTGATCACATATTCTATACTCATTCTTCCAAAACCTCATTTACAGTATTTCAATATGGAGCACTTGCACTGTCTGTGCTATAAAGTTGCTAACAATTTGATGAGATATACCCAAAGAACACAGATGGATCTTACACACATAGTGCTCAGTGGAAAAAGATTTTTATATATAGGTAAAGACATTTTTATACACAGTTATGTAAAAACATACATGTTCATAAACAATACAGACTTTGTAAAAACACATAAAGAGATATAATTAAGCATATTAGAATGGTGGTGGGAGGAAGAAGAAGGGGAGTACGGTTTGTGTATAGAATAGAATCAAGCTGGGCACAGTGGCATGTACCTGTAGACCCAGCTACACTCAAGGCCAAGGCAGGAGGACTGCTTGAGGCCAAGAATTTGAGTCCAGCCTGGACAACATAGTGAGACCTCATCCCTAAAACCCCAGAAAACTAAGAAATATTTTTTTAAAATAAAAGGAATCAATTCTCAAGGATTGCTAGATCAGAAAAAGCCTTTGACAAAATTCAATATCCATTCATGGTAAAAACAAAAACAACAACAAAAAAACAAACCTCTTAGCAAACTAGAGTAGAAGGAAACTTCATTAACTAACAAAGGGCATCTATAAAATACCTACAGCTAACATCATACTTAATAGTGAAACACCAAATGCTTTTCCCTTAAAATTGGAAACAAGGCAAGAATGGTGTTCACTCTCATCAGTTCAATTCAACATTGTACTGGAGACCATAACTATTACATTAAGGAAAGAAAAAGAAAGAGATAAAGATCAGAAAAGAGGTAGAACTATTTGTGCTTGCAAAAGAAAAAAAACAAAATAACTACTAGAACTAAAAATCAATTTAGAAAGGTCACAAGATAATCAGTTTTTATGTGTATATAGTAGCAGCAAACAACTAGAAAATAAAATAAATGCCATTCACAATGGCATCCAAAAAAATATTTAGAAATATATTAATAGAAGTATAAGATGTCTACACTAAAAACTACAAAACATTAAAAGAGAATTCGAGGCTTAAATAAATGAAAATTTATGTACCATGTTCATGGATTGAAAGATTCAATATTACAATGCCAGTTCTCCCCAAATTGGTCTATAGATTCCATAATCCCTATCATAGAAATTGATAAGTTTATATGAAAACATAAAAGGCCTAGAATGCCCAAAACAATTTTTTTTCTTTTTTGAGACAGAGTCTGGGGAAAAAAAAGTCTGACTGGAGTGCAGTGGTGTGATCTCGGCTCACTGCAACCTCTGCTTGCTGTGTTCAAGCGATTCTCATGCCTCGGCCTCACAAGTAGCTGGAATTACAGGTATGCACCACCACACCTCCCTAATTTTTTCTATTTTTAGTAGAGACGGGGTTTCATTGTGTTGGCCAGGCTGGACTTGAACTCCTGGCCTCAAGTGATCTGCCTCCTTGGTCTCCCAAGTGCTGGGAGTACAGGCGTAGGCACCTTTCCAGCCTTGAAACAGTCTTAAAAAAGAACTAGGTTGGAGGACTTACACAACCTGACTTCAAGACTTACTATAAAGTTACAGTATTTGTGACAGTTTGGTACTGGCATAAGGATTGGTAAATATATGAATGAAACACAATGGAAAGTCCAGAAATAGACCTCTATTTATTCAATCATTTGAGACTTAACAAAGACACTGAAGCAATCCAATAGGGAGAGGCAAGTCTTTTCAACAAATGGTGCTGGAACAACTGGATATCCATAATGAAAAAAAGGAACCTCAACTCCCATGTCATACCACACACAAAAATTAATTTGAGATAGACCTAGAAGTAAAAGCTAAAACATTAATGCTTTCAGAAAATAGAGGAAAATAACTTTGTAGCTTGCGTAGACAAAAATGCCTTAGCACACAGAAAGCAACAGTCATAAAAGGAAACACTGACAAAGTAGACTTCCTCAAAGTTATAAACTGCTGTTCACCAAAAGATTCATTCATTCATTCATTAGAAAATGAACAGGGAAGCCACAGACAGGCAGAGAATATTTGTAAAACATTTATCTGACAAAAGCCTGGTATACAGGATACAGAAAGAAATCCTATAACTTAATCACAGTACAACCTACTTTAAAAAAAGTGGACAAGAGATCTGAATAGACACTTCTCAAATGGAAATATGAGTGGCCAATAAGCACATGAAAGCAATCATGTGCTTAATATCAGTAGTTACTAGGGAAATCTAAATTAAAACAACATTGAGTTACCTCAACACTCCCCACCAGAATGGCTAAAATTTTAAAGCCTGACAACACCAAGTGTTAGCAATGATGTGGAGCAACCAGAACTCAAATTCACACACGTTGTTGGGGGAGTGTAAAATGGCACACCACTTTGGAAAAAGGCCTCACAATTCCTTATAAACCAAATATATGCCTGCCTTATGATCCATCAATTCCAATCCTAGGTAATGACCCAAGTGAAATAAAAATTTATGTTCCCACAAAAACCTGTATGAAAATGTTTAAAGCAGCTTTATTCATAATCACCAAAACCTAGAAGCAATCCAAATGTCCTTTGACTGGTGAACAGCTAAACAAAACTGGTATATTCACAAAATGGAAGACTACTCAGCCTTAAAAAGAAGTGAACTACTGCTATATGCAACAACATAAATGAATCTCAAAAACATCATGGTTAATGGAAGTCACACATGATTCCATCTGTTTGAGGATCAAGAGGCAAAACTAATCTATGGTGGAAAAGAATTGGAACAGGGTGTTGCCTCTGGGGACAGGATGATAGTGGCAATTTGTAGGTGTGTGCATTAATCAAAACTCACCAAATAGTATATTTGAGATTTGTGCACTTCATTATATATAAATTAGACCTCAAAAGGCAAAAAAAAGGTACAAAAACATTGAATTCATAGGGTTAAGTATATTTTGAAAAACATCAAAAAGTAAAAGGTATAGAAGGATGAATAGATAGGTACTTGATAAAAGAAATGTAGGAAATGTTAATTGTACAATCCAGTTAATGGTCATATGATAGTTCACTGTAAAATTATTATTATTATTTTTTAAGACAGTCTTGCTCTGTTGCCCAGGCTGGAGTGCAATGGTGTGATCTTGGCCCACTGTAACCTCTACCTCCCGGGTTCAAACGATTCTCCTGCCTCGGCCTCCTAAGTAGTTGAGACTACAGGTGCGTGCCACCATCCCTGGCTAATTTTTGTATTTTTAGTAGAGACGAGGTTTTGCCATGTTGGCCAGGCTGTTCTCTAACTCCTGGCCTCAAGTGATCCTCCTGCCTCAGCCTCTCAAAGGGCTGGGATTACAGGCATGAGCCACCATGCCCGGCTAGTTCACTGTAAAATTCTTTCAACATTCCTTTATGTTTGAAAATATTTATAAACAATAAATATAATAAAGAATAAAATGTTGAAAAAAATAGGCTGGGCACAGTGGCTTACACCTGTAATCCCAACACTTTGGGAGGCCAAGGTGGGAGGATCACTTGAGACCAGCAGTTCGAGAACAGCCTGAGCAATATAGTGAGACTGCCCCTACAAAAAATAAAAAAATTGGCCAGGTGTGGTGGCTCACGCCTGTAATCCCAGCACTTTGGAAGCCAAGGTGGGTGGATCATGAGGTCAAGAGATCGAGACCATCCTGGCCAACATGGTGAAACCTCGTCTCTACTAAAAATGCAAAAATTAGCTGGGCGTGGTGGTGGGCGCCTGTAGTCCCAGCTACTCAGGAGGCTGAGGCAGGAGAATCACTTGAACCCGGGAGGTGGAGGTTGCAGTGAGCCAAGATTGCACCACTGCACTCCAGCCTGGTGACAGAGTGAGTCTCCATCTCAAAAAAAAAAATTAAAAAAAAAAAAAAAATTAGCTAGGCCTGGCGTCACACACTTGTGGTCCCAGCTTCTTGGGAGGCTGAGCTGGGGGGGATGGCTTGAGTCCAGGAGTTCAAAGCTGCAGTGAACAGTGATCACACCACTGCACTCCAGCCTTGGACAACGAAGCAAGACCCTGTCTTGAAACAAACAGAAAATGTTGGAAAAAATAAAGATTCCTATGTATTTTTGATAGTCGCTTTTTCCCAGGACTGTTACTAAATAGCAAGTTGCATCAGCTCTGGGCCACCTCAGGGTACATGATAGGGGTGCACAGTGGTGTAGACAGTGCAAACCAGCTATCCACTTCATCAGAACCTTTTTTTCTTTGATGGTATTTGAAAGCTTTATTCCATCGCTGGAACAGGTTGAGAAATTATGTAAATTCCTCTTTCTAGAAGAAACTGTTTTGGAGTCATACTTAAGTCCATCATTCATTCATTCATTCATTCATTCATTTTATTTTTCGTTGAGATAGGGTTTCACTATGTTGCTCCGGCTGGTCTCGAACTCCTGGCCTCAAGAGATCCTCAGCCTCCCAAAGTCCTGGGATTACAGGCGTGAACCACCATGCCAGGCCCCTAAATCCACCTTTTAAAATAAGCTTATGCTGTCACTTCCATGACAACTGTTCAGTTTGTTTTGGAAAGATAAAAATCCCCCACAGTGTGGAAGACCCCACCTGTGGACACAGGCAAAGGCCCCTCAGGGTGGGGTGCAGCTTACCGGGTACCCAAGCCGCTCAGGCCTATGGCAGATCCCCTGTCTGCCTGCTTTGCTTAGAGTAAACAGATGTGGGGCCTTGCTAAGTGTTTAAGTATGGCTCCAAAGCAATTTCTTCTAGAAAGCCATCCTCTGTGATCCCTGGGAATGGGCACACGGCAACCTTCACAGTTGCAGGTCCTTCCAGAGGGAAGCTTCATGCCCCAAAGAAGGAAGTGCCTTTTGCACATTTGCTAGCATCTGTGGCCAGGGGAGAAGAGCCAGCCCTGACATGCATATCCCAGTGGAGCAAAGCACCCACCCTCTGCAGCTCGTCAGAATACATTTAACTCCCATTTTCAAAGCTGAAACTATGCCTGACCACCTAGAAGCCACCAGCTGGTGAAGCATGGAGATAGAAATGTTTCACATTATCCAACAGGTTCAGCCTGGGTCAGGGCCAGACAGCACCCTGCTACACAACCATGGCCACACATCTGTCTACTCTGGAAGTAAGCTTGATTTCCAAGGCTCTCTCACCTAAAGTAAGATATTCTATAAAATATAGATTTCAGTTTTCTTTAGAAGAATTACTAGAGTTACCCTATAAAAGAAATGGACAGACAAAAAGGGAGTAGCTTCCTCCACACTGCTGAATTTTGCCCCAAGCAATCTAAGCAGACAGTAGGAAGGTGTTTTCTTTTGTGGCATGGCTGGCTTGTTCCATCTTTGTCCTAGATGCTGGGCCTGTGCCATTTAAACACTTTGCGGCACAGCTTGGCATGTCCGTACCTTCTTATATCCACAAAGAAACTGCAAATTCCTTAGATTTTGAAGTGATATGTGGTTGTGTAGCCACAGCAACATTGAGCACATGGCATTGCTCACTAAAGACTTGACTGCCACCAGAACTGGCTCAGCAGCCAGGACTCACACAGCTTTGCAAGTGACAGGATGTGTGCAGGCCCCAGGGGGTCATTTCACAGGAGAGAGGAGAGGGGAGAGAGTGCAGATCACTACTACCTCACTGGCCATGTAGGTGTAGAGAACTTTGCCTTTGATGACAAACCAGAGCTTCTTCCAGTGCCGCTTGCCCCTCTTACACCGGCTGAGATAGCCACTGATGGCAGAGCCCTCTCCAGAGGCAGCCACCTGGCAGGAGGGAAGCAGAGCGGTCAGCCCACCCCGGTGGTCAGGCACAGTTCAAACAGAGCACAATTCAAAATGACACTGCAAACCATTTGGCTGACTACTTATACTGCTTTGACACTGGATAAGGTCTCAGGATCTATCCAGTACCAAAGTCAGCAAGATAGTGCTTCATGCTTTGAGAAACAGGATTTAATGAATGGACCCAGCTGACTTTGGGAATGCTGATGCTGCCCTCTAGTGGTTTTTCAGATTCTTGGTTCCCTCTCAACCTAAGCCCCTCAACTCAAGAAACTTCGTTCAGGTACTTCGGCGAAAGGTTCTTCCTTCTAAAATTAACTCTTGCACTTTCAACTTATCTCTTCCTCACATTTAGGGAGGGATCCTCTTTGTACTGTTGCCTAAAAGGTATTATAGTCTCCTGCCTAGTGGGGTGTGTGCAGCGTTAAGTCCTTTTATTATTATTACTACTCTTTGTGGTGGCGGGGGGTAGTAGTATTCTGTCCACAGGCTTTATGTGGTGAGGAACGCAGGCTTGGAGTTAATACCAACCTGGATTTCCCATTCAGGCTCTACCAATTACTAGGTGGTTAATGATGAGCAATTTGCTGACTTCTTCTAAGTCTCAATTTCCTTACTAGTAAAAGAGGAATGCAATGTAAAAAATGTGAGGTTTATACATATATGTGATTATGAAATGATCTCTAAGACAAATTAAGTGGAGAAAACAGAAGAGATTCTGTATAATATGTTGTCTTCTGGGTAGAAAAAGAAGATCTATGAATGTACATCTGTATTATGTATGTGCATGAAAATTTCCACAAGGTTCCATAAGAAACTTGATGGCAGTGGGATTGAGGGAGGCTGGGAAGGATGAGAAACTCACTTTTCATCATATGTGCTGTTTTGTACTTTTTTGGGAAAAATGTTTAACCATGTATGTGTTTTTTTTTTTTTTTTTTTTTTTTTTTTGAGACAGAGTCTTGCTGTGTCGCCAGGCTGGTGTGCAGTGGCGCCATCTCAGCTCACTGCAACCTTCACCTCCCTGAGGTTCAAGCGATTCTCCTGCCTCAGCCTCCCGAGTAGCTGGGACTACAGCTGCATGACACCACACCCGGCTGATTTTTGTATTTTTAGTAGAGATGGGGTTTCACTGTGTTAGCCAAGATGGTCTGGATCTCCCGACCTCGTGATCTGCCCACCTCAGCCTCCCAAAGTGCTGGGATTACAGGCGTGAGCCACCGCGCCCGGCCGTATGTGTGATTTCCAAGATTTTTAATTTGCAAAAGGAACAAGTTAATGGATAAAACTGTACCTATTTAAATTTTCCATTCCCTAACACTTTTTTAAACCCTTGCTACCTGCTACTTGATATTAATGGACTAACTTGGAAGCAGCTGATCACACTTGTGGACTCCTTGTGTATTCACAGACATACATTGGTCTGTGGTTGTGAATGGAAATACAGACATACAATCTGGTCCTATTTGTGGGATACAATTGAGTTTAGCCAGTTCTGAAGTTTCCTGCGGAGCCCATGGCCTCCAGGGACGTCAACACCTGAGCCGGGTTGGGACCCCTAGGATGAGGGGATGACATGGAAGGACCAACACAGGAATTTGGCTCCTTTAGAATGAAGAGCCCCCGTGATCTGTGCAGTCTGCTTGGGTACTAGATCTAAGCTATGGGGCAGGAGAAAAAGGAGAGAAAAGAAAGAGGAGGAGGGGAGAGGTAGAGAGAAGGATGGGAAAGATGTCGCCTAGCACCATCACTGTCAAGTCGGTCCTCGTAGCTGGGATGCTTCCATTAGGAATGCTCTGTCTGGAAGAGACTGGTCAGGCTGGGACAGGGCAGGGTCTGACTCCGTCTACCCAGGATGACCATGAACCTTCCAAATGCCCTACTTCCCACTTGGGTAGCCCTGCCTGCTTTACCTCTGTCAGGGCTGAAGGGACTTTCTTCTGCTTCTTGAAGGTCGAGGGGTTAATGCTCTGGAAGACGGATGAAAAGGCACTGCCCGAGAAGCGGGGTGAAGACAGCGGGAAGCTCATGCTCACAGGCCGCTCTGTAACTGAAAGAAGCCACATGGAAGGGAGGTGAGAGGCGTGCCTGCGGCTTGTCTTTGGAACACTGATTCCTGTAAAATCCCTCTAGGAATGTGAGCCATGGGGGTTAAGTGGGACCTGAAAGTCAAGCACTCTTCCTCCCTCCCTCCTGCAGGAACAGACAAAGGCTATGGGGGCTGGGGAGGGGACGCTTTTCCAGGGCGCTGGACAGCCCTTCACCTCCAGGCCTCCAGGTAGCAGGGACTGGGCTGTCTTCTCTGATGACCTTAGTCCAGCCCCGTGGAGTGGAGGCCAGGGAAAGACTTTAGTTTTAGGCCCAAGATACACCTGCTCTCCTTCCTGGGAACTTGACCCTGCTTGGGCAAGGCCTGTCCCTTCAGCACTGACCAGGTCTCTCAGGGGCCGGCTCAGCTTCCCAAGGCTCCTGTGTGGAACAGCTTCACCCCTCCCTGACCCCAGCTCCTCTGCTGCCACGCTTATATAGTCCTTAGTCCCAGAAAGGCGCTACAGGCACAGGCCTATAGGATACTTGACAAGAGGGCCTCTATGGTAAAGGACACAGGAGCTCCCTGCCTCTGTCCCCTTACACACACACTGATTCCTAAGCTTAGCTACCCACAGAGCTCTTCTTCTGGGGACACCGATCAATTTTCCACAGAATCCACATATTGGAAAATGGTGCCCGAACCTCTGTTTCCTCCCTCCATGGAGTGAATAACTCCCTCCAGGGAAAGCGGTTTCAGGCATGAACCATGGACCACAGAGAAGCCACTGGAGCCTGGGGAGAAGCCACCAGGCCACTTGGAAGAAGGCAAGTGGTCCCCAGGTTACCTCTCATCAGGCCCGGGACAGCCCTGCCCCGCTTCTTCAGCTCCCCGAAGCAGCCGTCGCAGACCTTGGCCATCCTGTCCTTCAGGTACTTCAGCGGGTACTTGTTCCGCGAACAGTTCCGGCACACGATCTGCAGGCCCAGGTGGGAAGATTCTCACCCCTCTCAGTGCATGCAAAGGAGACCTGCACCCCTCCCCTCCGCTCCCTCTGCTAATCCACCCACAACTGCCCCTAGGGAGCCCCAGGTTCTGATCATGGAGCTGTGCGTGTCCCCTACTTTTCCGGCAAGGCTTCATCTTGTTTCTGAGCCAGCGCCTATCTGCTTTTCTGATGAGCCCGCGCCCTTAACCACTACATGATACTTTTTTCTCCAAGCACAATAGCCACGTATGCTACGGTTTTCTGTTGAAAACGTGGTGGTGTGGAAGAGGCCTGGGACTTGGAGCTCTGGTTTGATGATCTATAAAATGGGAATTAGCAATCTGTTCCTCTCGGGTTGGTGTGAACATGCCTCACTCTGGGGCTTACAGTAGCTGCTGGACATCCCTGAGCCCCCGGCTGGGCAGGGACATGCCCTTCCCCCACCCCACCCCCATGCACACACTCACCCCAGATGCAGCGACTCACCTTGCCACAGGCGTGACAGTGATGACGCCGCAGGGTGAGGGAGAAGTCGCAGCCGCAGTTCATGCACATCATGACGTGTGTGACAGGCACCAGGGTGGGGGGCCTCTCCCCAAGGCTAACCCCCAGCCTCTCTCGTATCTGCAGCAACAGAATTGGCTGAGTAATGTGGAATGTGGCCAGGAGACCAGCCAGATGCAGAGCCCAGTGAGCCCTGCCCTGCGTCTCTGTGCAGGGTGTGTGATGTGTGGGTGAGTGGGTCTGATGTGAAAGGCCTCTCCTGCACCCTCCAGGATGCTCACCCTTGGTTGGGAAACAGCCAGACTGTGAGAACAAGACTGTGGGTGCTGGGCTCCTAGGTTACACGGAGGCCGCCCCTGACTAGGGTGGGAGCATGGCAGGGGTGTGGGGGGAGCCAGTGCCCCAAGACAGGAGCTACACGTCCATCTGGGTGTGAGTGGCAACAGCAATGCCCGCCCAGGGAACCCCAGGTCTCTGAAGCTGGTGGCCCGTGGGCCCTGCCCACCCACTCACCTCCACGCTATGGTGGAATGCAGCCAGCGCCTGGGCCTTGTAGTCCTCAGGGAGGGCTCTGCTCAGACAGCCATACCACTCGTCCCTCTCTGCACAGGAGCTGCGGGCATGGGCTGGAGTGAGCAAAGGCAGGAGCAGCTCTGCCTCCCACCCTCCATCTCGGCATGGATGAGGTTCTCACTCAGATGCCCCTTGAGCCTGCACCTCTCACACTGCCCAGAACCACCAGCAAAGAAGAGATCACCTGCCAGACTAGGTTTACGAGCAGACCACTGGTCCATTAGCTGTCCTTGGGTCTGTTTCTTCTTACACTGGAATAATGATATTCCCCTAACTCCCAGGGCTGCTGTGGGGATGAAGGGAGATGTGGGACGTGGAACCACATTGTCAACATTGTGCAAAAGCAAGAGACATTAGGAAGGCCCAGAGGGTCCCACACTTCAGGAGAAACGGGCTGGCAGGGGACAGAGGGCTGGGTACCTGTGGAGGATGAGGGGTAGGTGGGAGCTGGCAAAGGTAAACATCTGTGTCTCCCACCTTCCTCATCTCCCCACATAGCTTCCCAGACAGTCATCCAACAGGCACTTTCCAAGTCCCTGCTCTGCACCAGGGAGGGCTTCCTGAGTGGCAAGAGCTACGCCTGGGCTGGGTGCCAGCTAGCTGGGTGAAGTTCTCACAGTGTCCACTAGATGCCGCGCCTACACCACAGGTAAGTGTGCAGCCTGCCCCGGAAAGCAAGCATAAGGGCCCGCTGGCCTGGGCGGGAGCAGTGCTGCAGGGCAGAGGCTGAATCAGCATTGTGGGCAGCAAGACACCATGTCCCTAAAATGTGATGAATGGGTCCTGCGGTCCCCTGGGAGCTTCAAGTGTGAAGGGTCTGGACTAGCAGGAAGGTGACTGGCATGCTAAAGGCCACTGTCCTTGCCCTGGGAGATGGGCAGCCCCACCTGAAGGCCCACGTGTGGATCGTCACCACCCTCAAGTCATGGCCGGACTAACAGAAACTATTTGCTGGCAGCCTCCTGCCCTTGATTTTATCACAAGGAGAGGTGAGGCCACGACCCCCACCCAGGCATCACCTCCTCCAGGAAGCATTCCCTCACTCCTCCAGATGGGGCAGTCCCTCCTTTGGGTTTCCAAGCCCTTTTCTACTCCCTCATGCAGTAGACTGTAACAGATAAGAGCTCTGGTCCACACAGTCCTGGGTTCAAACTCCAGTTCCACCTCACCTGGCTGTGTGACCCTTTTGCAAGCCTCAACTCCCTATGCATGGAAGGAGCCGCAAACCCCAGCTCTAAGGGTGGTGATGAGGATCACGGCGGCGTCTGGGGCCTGACAGGTGTCCAATGCCTGTTACTGCTGTCATTACCACTATTAATTGTTACAGCAGTTACTGCCCTGCATCTGAAGCAGTTTACAACTCTCCTACCTGTAATGTGGGCTCCTGGAGAGCACAACAACGGCTAAATTGTTGCCAGACCTGGCACTGAGGTGTGGCTAATAAATGCTTAAATTTTTTTTTTTTTTGAGACAGGGTCTCACTATGTTGCCCAGGCTGGTCCCAAACTCCTGGCCTCAAGTAATCCTTCAGCCTCAGCCTCCCAGATTGATGGAATTACAGGTATAAGCCACCATGCCCCACCTAATAAATGATTTTAATGAGAAAATGCATCTATGAGAGTGCATGTGCATGAGTGCATTTAGATCCCATTTCACACTCAGAACCGCCCAATGCAGGATAAACCCCCATGTGATAGGCACTGCTGCCATCCCATCTCATGTGCTTGCTGAGAGTAGACACCCAAGCCCCAGAAGCCTTGCTGACCCCTGCCATGCACGTCCCTGGCTGAAGAGCTACTCTTGGCTGGAGGCATACCTCCCTGGTTTCCAAGCCCCCGAGAGCTTGAGCTTACCTTGCCCTGAAAGAAGGAAAAGGGGATGCTCTTTAAGGTCATGGTCTGAAGCCAGAGATGAGGATCCCAGGCAACCCGAGGGCCTGGAGAAAATGCAGACCTTTCTGATAGAAATGCCATGCCCCACTGTGGTCTAAATGTTTGTGTCCCCCCAAATTCAAATGCAGAAATCCTCTTCCCAAAGGTGCTGGTGTTGGGAGGCAGGGCCTTTGGGAGGTGATGAGGCCATGGGTGTGGAGCCCTCACGAATGAGATTAGTGCCCTTATACAAGAGGCCCCAGAGAGACCCTTGCTCCTCCCACCACATGAGGTGGCATTGTCTATGTGAGAAGGCACCGTCTTTGAACCAGGAAGCAGAACCTCACCAGACACCGAATCAGTCAGTGCCTTGACCTTGGACTTCCTGACCTGCAGCCTGTGGGAAATTTCTGTTGTTTATAAGTCACTCAGTTTATGGTATTTTTGTTTTTGTTTTTGTTTTTGTTTTGAGACGGAGTCTTGCTCTGTAGCCCAGGCTGGAGTGCAGTGGTGCAATCTCGGCTCACTGCAAGCTCCACCTCCCCGGTTCACGCCATTCTCCTGCCTCAGCCTCCCGAGTAGCTGCGACTACAGGTGCCTGCCACCACGCCCGGCTAATTTTTTGTATTTTTAGTAGAGACGGGGTTTCACTGTGTTAGCCAGGATGGCCTCGATCTTGTGACCTTGTGATCCATCCGCCTCGGCCTCCCAAAGGGCTGGGATTACAGGCGTGAGCCACCGCGCCCGGCCTGGTATTTTTGTTATAGTGGCCTGAATGGACTAAGACACCACACAGACAGGGCAACATAAGTGATGAACGCTCACTTATTATTTTTTTTCTCTCATCTTCTAGACAGGAACGCAAAAAGGCAGGCCACTTTATGAACAGCAGCACACAATACATTTTTTACTGGCCTTAACTTTTCGTGTTGCTGTAGAGACCCAATCATCCATAAAGAGCTCCACAAACATGAGACATTGCTATTGCCATATTTAAGCCATGGGCTCTAGAAACCCCTGAAGTTATATATAAAATTTTATGAGTGTGTACATTTTTTGGGGGGAGAAAAGTTTTTATCAAATTCCCCAAAAGGTTAAGAAACACTGAAAAGAAAAAAAGTCCTTTGACCCAGAAGGATACTTTGACCCAGAAGGATACCAAAATAAAAACAGCACATCCTTATCTGTTGTTCTGAACCTTCCCATGCTCACACCTCTGCCTTGTGCGCCATCCTCCCTCCACCTGCCCGTACCTCGCAGACAGCATCAGGCAGGACTCGGAAGTCTCAATCTTTAGAGCGTAGGGCACTTTCTCCATCACAGGGCGGCTGACCTGGAAAACCAACAGCAGCCTCCTTCAGGGTGGGGCAGGGAGGGGCAAGTGTAGACCGGCTTCTCCTGGCAGCAGATGAACAGAGGGACCATGTCCACCTACTGCCGTTCTCTAGCCTCAGGGCATACCTTTCTGTGATGGTAGGTGCTGTGGAAGGTGCCTGGCTGCCAGCTCCATCATTCTTGGCCACTCACCCACCGCTGGGAAGGCTGCAGAGCGTCATGCTCAGGGCCCAGCCCGGGCAACCCCAGGTGCACTGTCATGTTGGACAAGTACCTGCCAGTGACCACGTCTCCCATGCCTTTTTCTAACAGGCTCCTCGGTGGAGCCTTTGGTTCCAAAAGGGAACAAACCTCCATGCTGAGAAAGGTGCTTCCTCCTTCCCCTTCCCCATGGTAAAGAGCCTACAGGATCAAGAGAGATTGCACAGTGCCTCTCTCAGCTCTCCTGGCCATCCCTGCCTCTGCCCTTGACAATGACAACCGCCTGCGGCTCCACTGTCCCACCTCAGTGTTGCCCTCTCTAACTTCAGCCTCCTGTTGCACCAGAATTAACTTCCTAAAACCTCCTGCTCCTCAAAGTCCCCAACAGCTCCCAAGTGTTCCCATCTTCAGGACCAAGTTACACGGAGCTAAGCCCCACACATATGCCCATATTCACAGCAGTATTACTCACAACAGCCTAAAGGTGGAAGCCACCAGTGTCCATCGGCAGAGGATTGAATAAACACCATGTGGTCTATCCACACAATGGAAGGAAAATTCTGACCCATACTACAGATGACAGGGATCAACCTTGAGGACACTGTGCTAAGTGAAACAAGGATCAATACTGTGTGACTCCTCATTCGAGGTACCCATAGTAGTCAAATTCATGGACATAGAAAGTAGAATGGTAGGTGCCAGGGGCTGAGAAGGAGGGGAATGGAGAGTTGGTTTTTAATGTGGGCAGAGTTTCAGTCTGGGGAGAGGAAAGAGTTCTGAGATGGATGGTGGTGCTGGATACACAGCAATGTAAATGTGCTTAGTGCCACAGAACTGTACATTTAAAAATGGTTACTTTTAAAATGATATGTGTATTTTATCACAATTAAAAAAATTACCAACCACCTGCTTGTTCCCCCAACCCAGGCCCTTCCTTATGCATTTTCCTCCTCATAGGATGCCCCTCCTTCCCTTCCTTCCTGATCCGACCAAATATTATCCACTCTAAGGGTTCAGTCTCCTCTTCCAAGAAGCCCTCCATCCCCCTCCCCTTTCCCTGGGCAACTTACAGCACAAACTTGCTGTAGCCCAACACTGTTTCCGCAGGGCCTCCCTCTTCCAGCTGGTCTGGGTGCTCCTGGGAGCAGGATGCTGTCCCCTTCTCCCCTGGGGTCTCCCTGTCCCCCAACCCGGGGGTACCTGGCACCAGATATTTACCTTCATGTTGGCCACAGCCAATGTGTTCTTCAGCCGGTACTTCCCATCCTTCTGGGGATAGGTGTACAGGAGCACATCGTTCATCTGGAGAGAGGGAAACCCTATGAGAGGACCCTGGCCCCAGAAGGCTGCGCCAGGCTTCTGTCCTCAAAGGATCCCTGAGCTCCGCTGTGCACAGGCATCTTGTATTCCTCAGTAACCCCCACAGGTGAGCAAAAACGTTGCGGCCAAAATGTGAGCCCCTTCCTTGCCACTCTACTCCTGGTTCGATGCTTGAGAGGAATAAATGCATATGCCCTCAAGAAGTCGTGTGAGTATGTTCATAGTGGCTTTATTTGTAACAGCCAGAAAGTAGGGACAATTCCAATGTCTATCTGCAGGTGAATGGATAAACAAACTGGTCTATCCATATACCACAGAATACCTTATAGCAGCCAGAAGGAACATGCCACCAATACACACCACCACGTGGATGCATCTCAAAATCATGCTGAGTGAAGAAGCGAGGCACAAAAGAGTATATGCTGTTTGATGACATTTCTGTGACACTCCAGAATAGGCAGAACTAATCTAAATAGGGACAAAAGTCAGGCCAGTGGTTGATGGGGGCCCCCAGGGTTGGGAGAAATGAACTCCAAACGGGCACAGAGGAACTTTCTGGAGGTTGGAAATGTTCCACATCTCGACCCAGGTGGTGGTTACACTGTGATATACACTTGTCAGTACCAACTAACACATATGCTTAAGGTTGATGCATTTCACTATAAAAATAAAGCTCGATAAAGTATAGCTAAGGAAGGGTTGGGAGACACCCTGAGGACAGGGAAGTGGTGGGCCCTGCTTGCTGCTGTACTTCCAGGTCCCTTCACAGAGTAGGTGCTCAATTAATATTTGTTGAATGAACAACTAAAGCTCTCCCCACAGCAGGGCAGACAGAAAGACATGTAATGAAAGTCACTTTATCTCCTTAGGAGAGAGTATTTCTGGTTAGCTAAACGGTTTCAGGTGTGAGAAGATGACATCACGCTCAGGGTTGTAAATCCTGACCATATTATGGACCAGCGTTGAGACTATGACCAAGCCCTTTCCTCAGCTGAGTCTCAGCTTCCTCTGGGAAATGGGAGACACCACCACCATTACTTTATCGTGGACACAGAGAGAATGCCCTCTCTATATGTGACCAACATTAACCTGGGGTGAGCCCTTTTCACATGGGGCCAAATGAACCAGAATAAGCCCACTAAACATGGAGCCAACATGAACCAGGGGAGTCCTCTACACATGACACCAACATCAACCAGGGGGAGCCCTATGCACATGGCAACATCAACCAGGGCAAGCCCTCTCCACATGGCAATAACATGAACCAGGGTGAGCCCTGTACAAATGATGCCAACATCAGCCAGGGTGAACCCTGTACACATGGTGCCAACATGAACCAGGGTGAGCCCTGTACAAATGACGCCAACATCAGCCAGGGTGAACCCTGTACACATGGTGCCAACATGAACCAGGGTGAGCCCTGTCCACCTGGGAACATGAACCAGGGTGAGCCCTGTCCACCTGGGAACATGAACCAGGGAGAGCCCTGTGCACATGGCACCAATGTGAACCAAAGTGAGCCCTGTACACACGATGCCAACATGAACTAGGGTGAGCTCTGTACACAAAATGCCAACATGAACTAGGGTGAGCCCCGGACATATGGCGCCAACATCAACCAGGATGAGCCCTAAACACATGGTGCCAACATGAACCAGAGAGAGCCCTCTACACATGGTGCCAACATGAACCAAAGTGAACGCTCTACACATAGTGTCAACATAAACCAGAGTGAGCCCTGGACACATGGCACCAGTGTGAACCAAGGCAAGTCCTCTACACATGATGCTGACATGAACCAAGGAGAGCCACGCAGGCATGGAGGAAAACATAAAGTAGGGATGTGTAAGGATGGAACAAGACACTGCATGTGAAAAGTCAGAATGAATACTTCTTTTCCCTGGATAGACAGAGCCTGCTGAGGGAACAGAATGAGTTTTCCCACAGCTAGCTCTTCTCAGGACTCCAAGGTTCCAGCCATGGCAATGCAGGAGACTTGGCCCACCAATGACCCCCTCCATGGGACCTCAGGAACCCCTCCCTCTCTCCGGGCCTTGCTGTGTCCCAGTAGAGTTGGAGTAGGTGGGGGTTGGGGCACTGTCCTGTAGGGGCCAGGTATGGAATGCTTCAGGCCTCCGCCTCCAGCCCTCAACTCTGCTGCTGTGCAAAGCAGCCACAGACAACCCATGATGGAATGCATGTGGCTGTGTTCCCACAGAACTTTATCAACAAAAATCGGTGTCTGGCTGGCTTTGGCCTGCAGCTCTAGTTTGTGAAGCCCTGTTCTTGCCCTGCCTTCTAAGAGTGACAGGCACTACAGTGCATTGACACCGATTCTGCACCAGGCGCTGGACCAAAACCCTGACTTCACTCCCACAGTCCTAACGTGCACTCCCACAGTCCTAACGCACAGGCACCATGATCATCATCCTCATTGCCAAGAGGGAGAAACTGAGGCCCAGAGAGGCCAGAGGCCATGCCTGAGGTCACAGCTAGCAGGTAGTGGAGCCAGGGGTATGGCTTGATGAGTGTCCCTCCAGTGTGCTCGGGAGGGAATGTCAGGGCTGCTCTCACAGTGAACCTGTGCACAGGTTCATGAACCTTGCCCATGAACCCTCCCAGACCCAGGGAACTGACCTATGTCACTAGGGAGAGCAGCCCCAGCCTCTCTGTGATGGCCCCTCAAGTTCCTGCTGCCATGGCAACTGCCATGAGCACCCCGAGGTCTCCTTCGCCTTTCGGGACCAGGCTACGTCCTAATTTGCCCATGGCTCTCCTGCCTGCTTCAAAGTATATGCTTTACAGCCCCAGCTTGGAGGAAGGAGGAAGAGCCCATCATGAATGGGTAGGGGGGCTTCCCACTGTAAGAAGCCACCAGGGGGCAGCCCCACCTGCAGCTCAAGGACGTCGCTGCCTGGTAGACACTTTCCGCAGTCTAACAACACTGCTGGGCGTGGGCGCCCAGATGCCCCAACTCTGTTCTGCAGTTCAGATTATTTTCTGAAACTGGCACCTTTGAGGAAGAAAAATTCTTCCTAAGTGTGTTTGTTCACCATGGCACTCCCTGGCTTGAGCACCTGTCGGGCCGCCCTCCTCCCATGTATCCCTCCATTAGAGAGTTATCAACACTGCTCAGTGGAAGGGCTGCGCTGAGCCAGAGGAAGAAGAGGACCCAGCTTCAGACTGTGGGGCTGATGGCCTAATCACAGCAGGGTAATCAGAGGGATGCAGGCCTATCCCTGAGGGAAGGAGATGTTCTGATAAAGGGCCATGCCAGACGGGGGGAGTGTGGGGAAGAAGAGAAGCAGGGCTAGAGGAGGAGGAGGGAGAGGGGAAACGGGGGTGGTGGCTAGGCTTCCATAGAAGGTGCTATCTGAGCTTGGCTTGAAGGGGAGGAGCTGGCACCCTTCTCAAAGAGCTTCAGGTGTGTGAGGGCCAGTGAGCCAAGACCAGGGACAGATGAAGTGGAGGACGAGGTGAGGACAGATTGGGGAAAGCCAGGCTGTTGTGTCTGTTCCTGGCATTCAAGGTCCCTGGGAGAGGTGCAGAGATCAGAGGGGCATGGCCAGAGGAGGTGGCCAGATGCAAATGGCTGAGGGGCCAAGACAGAGCTCTGCCCTGTGCCATCTGCCGCCTCACTGCTTCCCTTGTTTTAAAGATCAGGGAGCTGAGGCTCGGGGAGGTAATGGGATGTGCTCATGGGTCTCACACCAGTAGCTGTCAGAGCTGGGGTCTGCATCTGGGGTCTGCATCTGGTCTGTCTGCCTCCCCATTGCCATCCGGTATGGCCTCCCTTTTGCGTCCTGAAGAGGGGGAATTCACGGGGACCCAACTCCCTGCAGGGCTGTGCTGGGGCAGGGAGCTGATGAGATCTATAGCTCTAGATAGAGAGGGAGGACCTGTGTCCCATGGAACAACTGTCAGCGGGAAGGGAGAAACTGTTACAACTACTATCAGATAAGCGGCTTCTACCTGCCAGGCATGTAATTAAATGCCAGGAATTTAATTCTCAAAACCACCCAGTCTTTCCACTTTCCTGGGGGGAGACTTGAGGCTCGCACATGTCTGTGAGTTGTCTAAGGGTCACAGAAGTAGTAAGTGTACCATGGAGCAGGATCTAACCAGCTCTGTCTGGCTCATTACCTGCCCCTACATTTGGGGATTTCTCTCAATGGAGAGAATTTTTTTTTTTTTTGAGATGGAATCTCACTCTGTCGCCCAGGCTGGAGTGTAATGGCGCAATCTGAGCTCACTGCAACCCCCACCTCCTGGGTTCAAGCAATTCTCCTGCCTCTGCCTCCTGAGTAGCTAGGACTACAGGGACACGCCACCATGCCTGGCTCATTTTTTGTATTTTTAGTAGAGATGGGGTTTCACCATGTTCACCAGGCTGGTCTTGAACTCCAGACCTTGTGACCCGCCTGCCTCGGCCTCCCAAAGTGCTGCAATTACAGGCAAGAGCCACCGTGCCTGGCCAAGAATTTCTAAAATTTAGACTTGTCTAACATGGAATAAAAAATGTCTTCCACTATTGGACTCCAAGACCCACAGCAGGGCAAAGGCCATGTCTACACACCAGCACAGTTCCTGGCATGCAGAGGAGATGGATAATAAGCTGCAGAATGAATGAATGTTACAGCAGGCAGTGAGCTCCCCAACACTGGAGGTGTGTAAGCAGAGGTTAAAAAAAACGACCTAGAGAAAAGGACTCAGGCATCTGTGGGGGCTTTGAAACCCTTCTGAGAACCCAAATCTAAACCACGCACTGCTTGGCTCTCAGATCTCTCTCAAAATCCCCCCTGGGGTCCACTCTCCTCTTGCCTGCAGCTAAATCTCGCCCACTGCAGAACCGACCAGCCAGAGTGAGGGGTTCTCATGGGAGGAAAGAAATAGCTCTTAGGAGGGAGGGAAGGGAGGGAGACTCTGGACTTGGGTCACCTAGTGCCTCATGCAGAGCCTGAGGCCACCAGCCATCGGGGCCCAGCACACCCTGCCAGCACTGCAGGCTCCACACTTCTGCCCAGGCTCAGGATTTCTCCACCAGCACCACCAGCTCTCTCTGGAATTCAGTCCTCAAGTGGCCCCTCTACGGGTAGGGCCTATTTGGGGCATGGGGAAGACCCCACTCACGAGCAGAAGGGTCTGGCTGCAGACAAAGACTTCTTGAGGCTCACAGAACTCCTCCAACACACCACACTCCTCATGCCTCTATCCTCTGCTTAGGCCCTTACCTCTCCTGAAATGCCCTTCCTTGGTGCACCTGCCAAACTCCCATCCTTCCTCCAGGGCTGAACTCGGGTAGAATTTTCTTCAGAAAACATATGAAACACTGAGCACAGTGTGCGCACCCAGCAGACACTCCAGACACGGCGGCGCTGCCGTGGCTGTGGCTCCTCTTCTCTTCACCCCTGGCCCTCCTTAGTCCTCTTTGCTTCCACGGCACCCGAGATCCCTCCATATCGCGCTCATAACTCTGCATTTACAATGGGCTGTCTGCTTGCTTCTCCCTCCCATTGGACTCTGAAGGCTGAGGGCAAGACCTGGGATTTTTCTTTGTTTCCAGCACCAGCACACACGAGGTGCTCAGTCAACGCCTGGAACAGAGAGAGCTCGTAGACTCTTACCACAGCCTGTCTCTCCCACTGCACACGGTGCTTTGACGAAGTATGAGGAAGCTGGGAGAGGCAGCCATGGCGGACAGGAACAAGGAATGAAAGCAGAAATGCAGGAGCAAGAGAAAAACTGTGCCCAGCAGAGGGCTTAAAAGGCATGGCCACTTGGAGGTCTCAGGATTGGGGCACTCAACAGCCACTAAGGCCGATAAAGATATACCCTAGGCCTGGACACTCCCTGGTATGGAAGACTCCAGTTGTCCATAAGCAAAAATGTTATCTTACATCCTGTCTCCTGCACAGTAGAGAAAGTGCTGGACTTGGGTCACAACGCTTGGCTCCTCCTGGACTTCTGCCACCATCCCCCTGGGAGGCCTAGCTACAGCGACTTTCCTTTCTGGACCTCAGTTCTCTGAGCATTAGATAAGGTGGTTGACAGATATTTAAGGTGGGGATGTGGGTAACTACATCTTGCCAACATTCCACTCAAAATCATTCAAATAACAAATGAGTGGTGGGCGTGGTGTCCAAGGGTGAAGCTCTCAGCTGTCCAGAATGATCCTCACCCCCAAATGTCTGCTCTGTTCTACTCTCCTCTCACCCTATTCCACTTGTCCTTGAATAATGGCCCTAGAAAACCTCATAGAACTTGGCAGTTCCTGAGCTGGGCTTGGGGACCGGGCACTTACCAGAAATAGGTGCCGGGGCCGTCTGTTTTTCCCTGTTACTTTCATCAGCGTCCCTTCCTTCAGAAACTCCTGTGGGGAGAGAAGCAGAACTTGGCGGTCAGGCTGATGCCCCCTGAATCCCAGACAAGGGTGCAGGGGAGGCCCCTGAGTGGAAACTTAAATCAATCCCAGACAAGGGTGCAGGGGAGGCCCCTGAGTGGAAACTTAAATCATAAAGCCTCCCAGAGAACCCGAGAGCAGCTAGCAGATAAATCCCTGCTCATGAGAGAGGTGCTGTATATGCTAGAGCAGGGCTTGGATCATAGTCCTGAAAGACACCACCCTGAATATCATAATCCCTAAAGTCTAAATCTCAGAAGTCTAAAATCCTTAACATTAAAAATTCCAAAAATCAGGCTGGGTGCCATGGTGTGTGTCTGCAGCCTAAGACACAGTTGAAAGGATCACTTGAGCTCAGGAGTCCAAGACCAGCCTGGGCAACTTACTAAGACCCTGTCTCAAAAAACAAAACACTCACAAAATTCTGAAAATCACAATCACAGGAAAGCTGCATTATGTTAGGTGGAATTATTACCCTGTTATTGTCTTTGTTTGGAAATTAAGTATGATTTAAGGAGATGCGTGCGGGTGCCAAGTTGACAAGCGTTGGACTTGTGATGGTTAATTTTTAGGCATCAACTTGACTGGATTGAGGAACACCTGGAAACCTGGCAAAGCAATTCACCATGCTCTGTATTACATTCTGCATCATTTCCAATACTGGAGGTATAAATTGTATACAGACTTTTACAGGTTTCTAATTCATTTTATGTATTTTTTATTTTTATTTTTTTGCAAATTTGGCTTCATGAAAAGTGCATTATCACAACCAGGCGTGGTGGCTCACGCCTGTAATCCCAGCACTTTGGGAGGCTGAGGCAGGCAGATCACAGGGTCAGGAGTTCAAAACCAGCCTGGCCAATATGGTGAAACTCTGTCTCTACTAAAAATACAAAAATTAGATGGGTGTGGTGGTGCGTGCCTGTAGTCCCAGCTACTCGGGAGGCTGAGGCAGAAGAATCATTTGAACCCAGGAGGCGGAGGTTGCAGTGAGTCTAGATAGCCACTGAACTCTGCACTCCAGTCTGGGCAACAGAGCAAGACTCTGTCTCCAAAAAAAAAAAAAAAAGAAAAGAAAAGAAAAGAAAAGTGCATTATCACAATGTTGAATTTGTGTGTAAGCACTGTGTATGTACTTAAAAACACAAACTTCCTCAATGAATGGAGATATCCTCTTTGTACATTTGCATTTGTGAAAGATAAAATTTCCTGAGATCTTTGCTCTGTGGGTGGCTGCATGTACTGTGGTGACCCATCACAGTTTTTAACTGAGCTCATCAAAAGACTTCGGTTATCTGTCATGGTATTTCAGATGACCACAGTTATAAGGCTGGGCGCATACAATTACTAACCATAGTGACATACACTGATACATTTCCCTGTTTGACCTTCTTTTTTATGAATATGGTTTGTGTGCTCATGACTGTTTGACCCGTGGAACTATTGTTAGCACACAGCAGCATTTATGCTTGCAAAATTATATATGTTCGTAGTGCCTATTTTATTGTATAAAGTGGCCTATGAAGTATTCTGTTGTGTTTTTGTGTTTCTTAAATAAATTCCCGCTGGGCACAGTGGCTCACGCCTGTAATCCCAGCACTTTGCGAGGCTGAGGCAGGCTGATCACCTGAGGTCGGGAGTTTGAGACCAGCCTGACCAACATGGAGAAACCCCGTCTCTACTAAAAATACAAAATTAGCCAGGCATGGTGGCACATGCCTGTAATCCCAGCTATTCGGGAGGCTGAGGCAGGAGAATTGCTTGAACCGGGGAGGCGGAGGTTGCAGTGAGCCAAGATCGCACTCCAGCCTGGGCAACAAGAGCTAAACTCCAGCTCAAAAGAATGAATGAATGAATGGATGAATGAATGAATGAATGAATAAATAAATAAATAAATAAATAAATAAATTCCCTTTTTATTTATTATTTTTATTTATTTATTTATTCTTTTGGGAGGGAGTCTCGCACTGTCGCCCGGGCTGGAGTGCAATGGCGCGATCTCGGCTCACTGCAACCTCTGCCTCCTGGGTTTAAGCGATTATCCTGCCTCAGCCTCCCGAGTAGCTGGGACTACAGGCCACCACATCTGGCTAATTTTTTGTATTTTTAGTAGAGAAGGGGTTTCACTATGCTAGCCAGACTGATCTCGAACTCCTGACCTTGTGATCTGCCTGCCTCAGCCTCCCAAAGTGCTGGGATTACAGGCATGAGCCACCACACCCGGCCCCATAAATTCCCCTTTTAAAAATATAAATATCTTTAAAATATTTTTCTAAATTATTTTTTCCAGAATTATATTTTTGGGATTTTGATCTTTTGGGATTTCAACGTTTGGGATCATGGTGCTCAAGACTGTGTCTTTCAGGATTCTGGGTGGTCCAAGCCATGACTCCCTCCTTGGTTTGTACCCACGAGGAGTCCATTCAGAACAGAGCCTCGGAAGGTCTACTAAAACAGCTGAAGACCTGGGAACAGCTGCTATAGCCCCCGTAATTCTGGAGATACAAATAGATGTTTAAGAAACAATTTACCAAACTCATGATCACTAAATGTAACTTTACAGAATCTCAGTCCCATGAGACACCTGCTAATCTTGAGTAAAATTCCCCTGAGCATGTACTTTCATTCCTTTGTCTCTTGTCCTTTATGGAGCACAACTGGTAATGAACATTTTTTACTGTTTTTAAGCTGAGTTTTACATTTTCCATTTGGAAGCTTTAAAGAGAGTGGATTTATCTCCTCAAGAATGTTATTTTTAAGAAAATTTCTAAGGGTTTGCTCTTGGGAGATCATTTTCTGTTTTCCCAGCAACTCTGCACTGAAAATATTTGGTGCTTCCTCTCCTTGGAGGTGAGGAGAGCCACAGGGAACACAGAAAAAACCTGGCGCTGAGTCTTTAACTGCTCTGCAGGCAACACATGGGGTGGAGAACCCCAGGGAAGGCAGCCTAGGACTGCGGCCAGGAGAATCCAGTGAGCCCACGCCCACCCGCCTGCCTGCCCTCCATGGGTAGACAGCACCTGCAGCCAGGCCTGTCTGGGGCCAGCCCAGTGAACAATGGGGCTTATCGGAGCCTCGCCCAGCCACCCTCTGCCCCTACCCATGGTGGCGGCACTCACCCTTCCTGGCTGGAGGAGATCCCCTTGGCCCCGGACGCTGTGCTCAATGTGGACCAGCTTCTGCAGGTTTTCCTGTGGGTGGGAATGGGGTGAGGGAGAGATGGTCAGGGCCCCTACCAGGCGTCTTATCTCCTCTGTAAGGCATGGCGTTGCTTCTGTTTCAGACAAAAATGAAGCCCGGAAAGGCCTGCCCCAAATCCAACCTCCTGTACAAGGCAGGACTGGGATCCGAGCCTGGGTCTGCAGGGAGCCACCACCATGGCTCTATGTGCTGTGGAGCCGGCTGCCTGGCCTCACTGTGCTGTCCAGCATCCCTGTGTTTCTCTGGACAACTGCTCCTACGCTCTCTAAGCCTATGTCTCTCATGAGGTCTGGAGCATGGGGACTTCATCGGACCCAAGGCTGGCCTCAGGCCCTCCTGGCTTGTAGCCCATGAAACACAGCACCTGCAGAGGAAACTGGATCCACACTCTGTGGAGCCTCGTGGTTAGAAAAATAAGTGTGCCTTGTCAGTACTTCACTGGGTTAGCCACAAAATGTAAAGTAACAGCCCCCTGTCTCCTCTGCACAGCACCCCACAATCCTAGATACAACAAGCGCCCACCCTGTGGGCAGGTGCCCCTTGAACCTTACACAGGGCAGGTTCTAAAGTTGTAAGGTGAACATTGTGGGTAGAGAATTTGCCCTGAAAAGTCCTTTCCATTATCTATGGTTTTGGGCATAAAATCCTATGTAGTAAAAAATGAGTAATTGTGGTTCCATTTCCATTTAAGATGTAGGAAGTACAAGAGAACACTGTTCTCATTGTAGTGTGAAAAAGCCAGATAACCTTCAAAATCATAACTATGCTTCAGCCTGTGGGAGAGCTGGGGTCACAAGGCAACCGAGTGAACTGGGTTCCACCTGGCAAGCCCGTCCACAAAGGAATGAGATGCAGGAACTGCCGCACCTTTGGTGACACACAGGAGGCAGAGGTGGCTGGTGTAAAGGAAGGTAAGAAGAAAGCAGCGAAAATGTTAATGAATTCTCAAAGGACAGGTGTGGGCTGGTGCCAGTTTAGAGTAATGGGGAGCTGCAGACGCGAGGGAATCTGTCCTCACTTGCAAGCTCTCATCCACGAGTCTCTGCCACGTGCCCACGAGAAAGGCAGGGGCAAGGTGGGGCCACATGCAAAGCCCTGCCCACTTCCTCAGGCCTTCTCTCATGCAAGGCTTCAGTTCCAGGAGGAGGCCAGGAGACCTCCCACCCCCACAGCCCAGGCAAAGGTCTGCTCCTCTAGGGAAAGAGAGGAAAGCTGCACCCTAGGACGGGGGCGATAACCCCTTGGACCCAGTACTGTGCACCAATACCTTGCTGGGGGATGGCCAGAAACCTGTCTAAGGCCAGCCACAGAGCCACAGAGCTCAGCCGCCATGGAGGGGAGGGACAGGAATGCTGTGAGAGCCCGGCTCACAGGCCCTGCTTCAGATGTAGGCATGTGCCCACCATAAGTCCAGCACTGAGTAACACAGGGCAGTAGCCTGCCTCTGAGAAGAGCAAGAACATGGGGAGAGGGCCTTCCTGTGGTGCAGGGAGGGCTAAAAGCTGAATATGGAGCAAGAATGAAAGAAAAGCTCTCTGACCTACCCCACAGGTCACAGCAGCACCCACGGGAGAAGCATGAAGCCTGGCAGTCACTGAAGGTTGATGACACGGCAGCAAAACCCAAACCCAGATCAGGTGCCGACTGGACTGACCCGACTGCCCTGTACCCTACCGTGAACAGCCATGACCAAAAAAGAGGCTTACCCCACCTTGAGGGGTAAATACGATTTACCTCAGTCTCTACAGTGCTTCTACACATAATGCCTGGCCTCCAATAACAAGTTATGAGGAACACAAAAATGCAAGCAAAAAACTCCCCAACCCCAACTCATTTTCAAGAGGAGAAAGCATTCCATCAAACCACAGTGAGAAGGGACACAGGTGTCTGAGCCATCAGACCTTGAAGTAGCTCTGATTGGTGGGTAAAAGGACCTGGTGGGAAAGGTGAACACCACCCGCAAGCAGATGGAGGATTTTGGCAGAGATGGAAACCATACGTGAGCGTCCAATGGAAATTTTGAAAGTAAAAAATCAGTATCAGAAACAAAGAATTCCTTTGACAGGTTTAGCAGCAAACGGAACACAGCTGAGGAAAGACTCCATGAGCTTGAAGACAGATCAGTGGAGATGATCCATACTGAAACACAAAGAGCAGGGAAAAAGAACAGAGCATCCAAGAGGATTTCCCAAAATTAGTGAATGACAACAAACCACAGATCCAAGAAGCTCAAGAATCACAACTGGATAAAGAGCACCCCATCCCCCACAACACACACACACAGACGCATCACAGCCAAACTTCCCAAAATCAAATCAAAAGAGAAGATCTTAAAGGCAGCCAGAGAAAAGGGACACATTACACAAAGACAGATACTCATGAGTATCACAGCAGACTTTCCACCAGAAACGATGTACACCAGAAGACAGTGGAGTGGCAGCAAAGAAAAACTGTCCATCCAGGTTTCTACACCCAGGAAAAATATCTTCCACAAATTAAGGTAAATTGAACAATTAAATTAATGGGTGGTAGGAACGAGGCTTCTCACTGTTGGAGTGAGAATTTACAGATAAGCAAGGGAGGAGGCTAGTGTGGTCATGATTAGAATGGGAAACATTGGTAAAAACTCATGGTAAAAAAAAATACATAAAATACAATAAAATAAAAATAAATAAAGGCCAGCCATGGTGGCTCATGCCTATAATCCCAGCAGTTTGGAAGGCTGAGGCAAGAGGACTGCTTGACACCAGCCTGGGCAAAATAGTGGGACCTCGATCTCTACAAAAAAATAAAATAAAACTCATGGTTAGTTTAATATTCAGATACAGATGGTTATGTATGGAAATATCTACAGATATGGGTATATGCAAAAGCTGGTATACACATATATTTCTTTGCTGTCAGCTAAGGAGGTGTAAAAGAAATGATACCACATTACCAGTAAGTGCACCTAATGCCTGTATCTTGGCTGTTAGTATTATTATCCAATTAATGCAAACAGGGCTCCATGGAGAAATGACTGATTCTAAGACTGGGGCAGGAAATACACAAGGTGAGTGATCCTGGAGCACCTTGCACTGCCAGAAAGTAAGGAAGTTCTCAAAACACAAACACACACACACACCCTGAAATCTATATTGATGACACCATGTGAAAAGGGCACAGAAACCAACTGAAAACGCTCCCAATAGCCAAAGCTGAAACAATTTGAGAAATAAAATAAATAAGGAAGTGTTGGATTATAACAGTCCATACTGATATAAATGACTTCTTTATATATAATGACTAGATACACTAGCCAATGAGGGAGAAGAGACAAATCTCCCAGGCAGAGGAATTCCACATAACCTAGGTAGATATGGTGCCCTCAAGAGGAGGGAGCATAACCCCCCGCTCCTAAGAATGGGCTGCACAAACTGACTTTCTTCCAAAGGGCATGGAAAAGGCAGGGGTGAGACAGAGCAGCTTCACAGTGGAGAAACCTGCCACCAGGTGACTTCAGCCAGGTGACCAAGGTCAACATCAACAGTGGTAAATCCTGTTGCTAGTATGTGCCCTTCATATGATGGGATGAAAAGTACCTTGCTCTGTGAGCCTCTTCCCAAATAGCCATATACCCAGTCTAATCATGAGAAAAACACCAGACATTTCCACCAGAAGGGCGTCCTGCCATATACCTGACCAGTACTCCTGAAAACTGTCAAGCTCATCAAAAGCAAGGAAAATGAGAAACTACTGCAGTCAAGGGGAGCCTAAGGAAACAGGACCACTAAACAGCATGTGGGGTCCTGGAAGGGACCCTAGAACAAGACACCAGGCAAAACTAAGGAAATCTGAATGAGCTAGGGTCTTCGGTTAATAATCCTGTACCAATATTTGTGTGTTAATGTAACACATGTAGCATACTAATATACCATGGAATACTATGCAACCATAAAAAATGATGAGTTCATGTCCTTTGTAGGGACATGGATGAAACTGGAAATCATCATTCTCAGTAAACTATCGCAAGAACAAAAAACCAAACACCGCATATTCTCACTCACAGGTGGGAAATGAACAATGAGATCACATGGACACAGGAAGGGGAACATCACACTCTGGGGACTGTTGTGGGGTGGGGGGAGGGGGGAGGGATAGCACTGGGAGATATACCTAATGCTAGATGACGAGTTAGTGGGTGCAGCGCACCAGCATGGCACATGTATACATATGTAACTAACCTGCACATTGTGCACATGTACCCTAAAAGTATAATAATAATAATAATAATAAAGATGTTCATAACAGAGAACACTGTGTGGGGGACACATGGGGACTCTCAGTACTATCTTCTCAATCTTTTCTGTAAATTTAACATTGCTTTTAAACATTGTTTTAAAAAATAAAGTCTATTCAGAAAGCAGAATGATGGTTACCAGCGGCTGGGGTGCAGACTGGAATGAGGAGTTAGAGTTTAATGGGGAGAGAGTTTCAGTCTGGGAAGAGAAGTTCTGGAGATGAATGGGATGACAGCTGCATGACAGTGTGAATGTACTTAATACCTCCAAACTGCAAAAGAGTAAATGTCCCAGGCAGAGCTCCTCCCCAATCCAAGCAGGCATGGGCTAGGGGCCTCTGGTCCAGAGCAGGCCTGGTGCAGCTGTCCACAGCTGGCCCCTGCTTCCCAGCACAGCGTCCAACTTCAGCCTTGGAGAAAGCCAAGAGGGTGTCTGGCCGTCGGCTGCTCCGGTTCCTCCTCTGGGTGGGGCTGTGTGTGCAAGCTCCCCGTAGGAGGGAAGATGTATCCCTGCCTGACCTAGTTTTTCTCTCTGGAAGCAGAGGCAGCCCCGGCTAAAGGGAAATGTGGAGAACCCAGCCCATCTGCTGCTATTCCTCGACAGGGTGCTGGACCCCAAAGCACCTCTAGTTTTTGGCTGTGTTGAGGGACTCTCACTGTATGTACAAGATGCCAAAATGAGGAGGGGCAGGGAGGTCAGTGCAGAGCAGAGTGAGAGAAGAGAGGACCTTAAAGATTAAAAGGGCATGTCTGACCCACATGGAAAACGGCCCGGAAACTGGCCTGTGTATTCATACCTAGCTGATTCAGCCTCCACTCTCAGTCTACCCTTCACCAGCCAGCCCGACCTCTCTCCCTGGACTCTGATGCTACCTTGCCATCCTGTCCCCAACGCCTAGCCACCTAGCAGGTGGCTCTCTGAACTCCAACATGCACCGTCCAACCTCCATGTCTTTGCCCAGGCCAGCCCCTCTTCCTATCACCCCTTTTCTCTCTCTGCCTTCCTGGCATGTGTGCAAATCCTCCCTATGGGGACACCTCCAGGTCAACTTTTTTTTTTTTTTTTTTTAAGATGGAATCTCACTCTGTCACCCAGGCTGGAGTGCAATGCCATGGTCTCGGGTCACTGCAACCTTCGCCTCCCAGGTTCAAGCGATTCTCTAGCCTCAGCCTCCCAAATAGCTGGGACTAAAGGTGTGTGCCACCACACCTGGCTAAGTTTTGTATTTTTAATAGAGACAGGGTTTCATCATGTTGGCCAGGCTGGTCTTGAACTCCTGACCTCAAGTGATCCACCTGCCTCGGCCTCCCAAAGTGCTGGGATTACAGGCGTGAGCCACCACACCTGGCCCGTATCATCTCTTCTGGCAACCTCGGCTGGAAGGGCCACCTCCCTTCTCTGAACCCTGTGGCATTCTCTCCCATGACATCTATCATGGTCATTTGCATCCACATATTTAGTTACTCCACTAAGCGGAGGTTTCCTCAAGGGCTTGTATCTCCACTCCCCAACACAGCACAAGGTCTGACACATAGCAGGTGTCCAATAAATGCAATTTCCCTTCCTCTTCTGCCTGTGGATGACTCACTGTGTCTCTGCCACAGCAAAGTATAGCACCTCCTCGGCACACATGGCCATCATCTCCCTTCTGTGCCTGCAGAAGATGTGACTACCTGGTCACTGAACTCTTTTCCAGTGACCTAGGACTCGGGCTTGGAACCATTGTCAACACAGAGCGCTGGCATGCCTACAGCTTAGCAGGACAGTGAGCATGTGGTGACCACCTGAATGGAGCTGGGATGCGGGATCAACTCTGCCCTCTAGCAGACAGAGTCACACAGTCAGAATCAGATCTGTGCTTAGAGCCACATATTCTAGTGGACTAGTGATTCTCAAACTTTTGTGGTCCTAACATTTACCCAGGGTGCTTGTTAAAAATGCAGCTCTCTAGATCCTACATGCAGAAGCTCTGACTGGGAGGATCCAACGTGTGCCCAGGAACTAGGAGTTTACAAAGCACCCCAGGTGCTGATGGGGGTGGCCTCAGACCACAGTCGGGGCATTCCTCTCATTGTTTGAACAGTGAACTGGAGGCGCAGAGAGGGGCACACAGCGCCTGAGGTCACACATCAAGAGTCAGAGCCAGAACCCACGGCTCTCTGCAGAGTCCCACAAGAGAGACGGTTGCCTGCAGCCCCTAGGAGTGGGGCATCAGAAGGCTGACCGGAGCTGGTGGGGAGGTGCCTGGAACCTGTGTCTGAGGAAGGGGGCCGCCAGGCCGCACTCACCCCTTGCTCCATGCTGTCGTTGGCACGGTCTGTGACTTTGGAGATGAGGCTCAGTGCACCTGGGGAGGGACACAGAGCAGGAGTTGGGCCATTGCAAGAGGGGCATCAATTTTCCCCACTGTAGTGTCAGGTCACAGGCCTCAAGCCCAGCTTGGCCACTACTGCCTAGGTGACCTTGACAGTGATTTGACCACTGTCATGCATGCCTCAGTTTCCCTGGCTGTAAACTGAATATGTTATAATAGTGACCACCCTGGCAGGTGATACACAGGGACAGCCACATCGAATTGGGAGGAAACAGGGAGACTGTGGTGAGCTTTTCAGACCTGGCACCACCCCTCCTATCACCAAATTCTGGTGACTCCCCCATCCCCTCTGACGGGATGTCCTCCCGTCCTAGGATGTCCCCACAGCTGAGGTGACAGGGGACCCATCTCAGAAGAGCTGTGGGCTCTCACAGAAGTCCAAGATGTGTCATATGCAGAACCCACCCAGCTGGTGGGGAGGGGACTATATCCTGGGCCTTGGAATTGGGGCAGGGTCCAGGCTTTGGCGCAAGGAGGCAGAGCAGGCTTGAGTACCTCCCTCCGCATTCACGCTGGACTCACCCTGTGTGTTGTCGTACTCGGCGGAGTCCGGACAAAGGTTGTTTAAATAGTCTGTTGGCAGGATAAGAACCAGGAGTCAGCTACTGGTGAGGTCAGCCCCTCCTGCCCACAACTGTGGCCACCCCCTCTCTTGCCAGAGTTGGAAGAATGAAGCATCCACCCTCTCTCCCCTGCTGGCCCCATCACAATACCACATTAGCATGAAACCAGGCCCCCAGGACCACTGTCAGCATTGCTGCCACAGCTGCTTGTCCCTCACTTATCCAACAGATACCCATTGAGCACCTGCCTGGCACTGGGCCATGCCTTGGAGACAGACACAACAAGGTGAATCCATCACAGCCCACTGGGGGCGACAGACATGGCAATCAGCACAGCCGAGTGTGTTGTGTGGAACCTGTAGTGCATTCATACTCTCCAGGCTCCACATCCTCCAGCCCCTCCCCAGTGACTGCTCTTCCATCTGCTCGTTCTATTCTGGCCATGATGGCTTTCTTGAATGTGCCAAGCTTGGTCCTACCCCAGGGCCTTTGTACTTGCTGTTCCCTCTGCCTGGCACTCTCTTCAGATCTTCATATGGCTCATGTCCTTGCTTTACTGAGATCTCTGTCCAATGCCGCCTCCTCAGAGAGGTCTTCCCTGATCGCTAACACAGCAGCCCTGTTCCCTCTGTCTCCTTAACTTGCTTTATTTTTCTTAAGAGTTCTTAACAGACATTATCTTTTGGCTTTCTTATTTGCTTGTCTAGGGTGTAAGCTCTACAGTGTCACTGAGTTTGCTGTTCGATTTACTGCTGCATCTCCAGCATCCAGCATGGGACCTGGTACATAGTAGGTGCTCAATAAATAGTTCTTGGATTAGATGAATGAATTCTCTAGTCCTTGGCCCTAATGTATTTTTGAGGAGCCCCAGTTGCTACCTGGAATTACATATCCATGCCTACATATGTACTGTCTGTCTCTCTCATTAGGACATCAGGGGTCTTTGTCTATTTGGGAGGCAGCTGAATAAATGGGTCTGGAGCTCAGAACAGAGGAGTGGGTGTTTCCAGCAGGCAGAGATAGGGGAAAGGGCATAAAGAGAGAAGGGAAGGGGACCCAGGACTGAGTCCTGAGAAGCTCTGACGTTTATGGAGCAGTGGAGGATGGGAGGCCACCAACACAGACAGAGAAGGGACAGAGAGATGGGAGGGAAGTGGGAGAGAGTATACCACAGAAACCCGCGGAGGAAAGGACTCGAGAAGCAGGAAGTGGTCGTGGGTCCAGCAGGTCCAAGGCTGAAAATGTCCACTCATATGGCCAAGAGGACTTTGATGACAGGCGTGGCTTCAGTGAAATGAGGAGATGGCCAGCTGAGGCAGGGAGGAAGTGCAAGCTGGGGAGGGGTGTCGTTGGGTTTTTGTGTTTTAGGATCAGGGGTGGCCACTGGAGGGAGCGTTCTAAGGTGGCAGGAGGTGGTTCAGAGGGCTCAAAGCTCAACTGGAGGGAAAGGTGATGGCAGAGGTCACCCTTCCCCAACACCTGCCTGACATGGTCAGAGGCAAGGTCACCACAGTCCCCTCCACCCCTCCTCAGGGGCCTTCCCTGCCCTGCCGCCTCAGTCCCCATTGATCTCCTGTGGGGCCCACCTGTGAGGAGCACTTGGTACTGGAAGAGGCGTTGAACCACCCGCAGCAGCCGATGCTTCGCAGTCTGGCTGCCTCCTTGTACACTCTGCTGCTCTCAAGACAGGGAAGGAAAAACCTTATCAGAAACCCCTCCTGAAGGCACCATGCTCACAGCAGCCCATATACACTGTCCCATCCACACCTCTTCCCGGGCCAGCTGAACTTCTCCCTCATCTCCAAAACCAGGTTCTCCTCCTGCGGGAAGCCCTCCTGGATTAGCCCGGCCCTGCTGTAACTGCTCACTCCATCATGCTCCCAGTTGGTGCTACACTCAGTATCAAGCCTCTCCTAGTCCCTGCCCTGCTCTTAATGTTAGCAATGGAGGAAAGCTCCCCCTTTTTCTGCCCAGGAAAACTAGATCCCCAGTTTGTGGCTAGTGTTGGGAATTTCCTTGAACACTCCACGGCTGGGGCTCTGGCTTGGTTGGTGCTTTTCAACTGAGACAAGAAAACTACCCTGAGACCCTTACTGGGTGGCACTCACTGCACTGTCATCTGCTGCCCAACAGCGGATGTTCTGAATTCTGGGTTCTCCTCCCTGATGGGTCATCCTCTCATCCCTCTGGCCAGGTCTTCCCTGTCTGCTCCCCAGCCCCACACCTACCAAGATGTCCCACTGATTTGCATTAAGCCCTTCGCCCACCTCAACCCCTGCATCCTTACAGCAGGGTCTCAGAGGACCAAGGGACCCACCTCAAATTCACGGACAGCAGCTGCCAGCCGGGGAGAGTGGAGGCAATTCTCACTGAGCAGACCTAGGTACCTGTCGAACTGCAGGATGTGAGTGGCGTGGTGATCAAACCCCTGCTCCCGGGCCAGGAAGACGTCAGCTACCTTCTGCTGGCTCTCCCTGCAGCCAGGAATGGGGATGGGACAGTGAGAACTCAGCCTTGTAACCAACGCAGGGTTAGAAGCAGGGGGCCTGGAGTCACATCCCTGGGTGCAGATCCCAGCTCAACCCTTGCACAGTTGTTTTACTTTGAGCAAATGACTTAACACTTCGGAGTTCGGCTTTCCCATCAATCAAATGGAGATACTATTTCATATGGTGGTGTTTTTATCCGTCTCCATTCCCCCAGTGCAACAAAAGTGGAACCCGGGGGTCCAGGGACTGCTCACCAATTTGACAGCCTTTCCTCCAGCTCCTCCAGGATGCCTTGATGAAGGTCGTGGATGGCTGGGAGTTCACTCAGGCCCTGCCTCAGCTCCTCCCGGGCCAATGTGTCTCTGCCTTCATGGTCCATGTCATCCAAGGCCCTCATGACAGCTCCATGGAAATCCTGAAACACCAAAAGGTCTGTTACCCACAGGTTGATAGGACTGAGCACAAGTCCTCCTTGGCAGATTTCCCCTGGGGCTTTGGAGCCCTGGCCTCTGTGAAGACAGCAGTGAGGACTTAAGCCAGTGTCTCCAGACCCAACAGTCTCACCTACAAAGCAGAGATGACCACATGCACCTGGCGACCATAGGGCTGCCTGAGCTGACACCCAAAGAGCACCCAACCCAACGCCTGGCACAGAGCAGGGCTCAACACACACTCACTCTCCTCTCGTTGTGGCCACGTGGTGAACACTCTTCTTTTTCAAGATAGGGGAGAGATTGGGTAATTCCTTCTATAACGAAGCAGAAGGTTTTGCTTTCTCATTATTCATCTTTGAAGAGGTTCATGAGCTATGTTGTTTCAAAACGAAGTCTAAGGAAATTATAGGCATCCACCCTATGGTATATTAAGCTGTCACTAAAAATGATAAAGGTGGTGGCTATGTAGAAATATTCACATCATAGTGTTCAGCAATCAAGAAGGGGTGCAGAGCTGTTTCCACACCCTGATATACTGTGTAAAAAGTGAGCAGAGGAGAAAGCTCAAAGAAAACAGGACGACATGCAGAGTGGCTGGGTCACGAGTACAGAATTAGGAATGACTGTGAATCTTCTTGTTTCTATTTTCTAAAATCTATCATGATTAATGTACTTCTAAAACTAAACTCAATTTAATAAATATAAAAATTATATCTGGGAGCTGGGCACAGTGGCTCACACCTATAATCCCAGCACTTTGGGAAGCTGAGGCAGGCAGATCACCTGAGGTCAGGAGTTCAAGACCAGCCTGACCAACATGGAGAAACCCTGTCTCTACTAAAAATACAAAAATTAGCTGGGTGTGGTTGCGCATGCCTGTAATCCCAGCTACTCGGGAGGCTGAGGCACGAGAATCGCTTGAACCCAGGAGGCAGAGGGTGCAGTGAGCCGAGATCGCGCCATTGCACTCCACCCTGGGGAAGAAGAATAAAACTCCGTCTCAAAAAAAAAAAAAAAAGTTACATCTGGGTTCTCTAGTCTGTTCCATGTATCCTGTTTTTAATGCAAGTACTATGCTGACTTGGAGACTAAAACTTCGAAGTAAATTTTGAAGTCAGGTAGTGTGATGCTTCCAGCTTTGTTCTTTTTGTTCGGGATTGCTTTGGCTGTTGGGGGTCTTTTGTGGTTACATATAAATCTTAGGACTTTTTTTCTATTTTTGTGAAGAATGTCATTGGTATTTTGATAGGGATTGTATTGGATTTATAAACTGCCTTGGGTAGTATTGTCATTTTAGCAATATTAGTTCTTCTAATCCATGAGCATGGAACATCTTCGCATTTTTGTCTGTGTCCTCTTCAATTTCTTTCATCAGTGTTTTATGGTTTTCCTTGTACAGATCTTTCACTTCTTTGGTTAAATTGATTCCTAGGTATTTTATATCCTTTGTAGCTATGATAAATGGGATTGCTTTCTTGATTTCTTTTTTAGATTGTTCACTTTGGGTATATGGAAATGCTACTGATTTTTGTATGCTGACTCTGTATTCTGCAACTTTGCTGAATTTGTTTATCAGTTCTATTAGTTTCTTGGTGGCGTCTTCAGCTTTTTCTGAGTATAACATCTTGTCGGCTTTTATATCAGCACTTTAATATCAGCACTTAGGGCCAAAGATGAGGGATCACTTGCACCTAGGAGTTTGAGATCAGCCTAGGCAACATGGCAAAACCCCATCTTTACAAAAAATACAAAAATTAGCAGGATAGGGTGGCAGGTGCCTGTGGTCCCAGCTATTTGAGAGGCTGGGAGGATCACTTGAGCTTGGGAAGTCAAGCCTGCAGTAAACTCTGATTGCACCACTGCACTCCAGCCTGGGTGACAGAGCAAGACCCTGTCTCATAAAACAAACAAACAAAAAAACAAAACAAAAAACAGATCTTGTTGTCTGTAAACCCAGATATAAATCCACACAATCACAGCCAACTCATCTTTGACAAAGGTTCCAAGAATATACACTGGGGAAAGGACAGTCTCTTCCATAAATGGTGCTCGGAAAACTAAATAACTAAATGCAGAAGAATGACACTAGACCTCTATCTATCACTATACACAAAAGCCAAATCAAAATGGATTAAAGACTTAAATCTAAGACCTCCAACTATGATGCAACTAGAATAAAACATTGGGGAAATACCCTAGAACATTGGACTAGGGGAAGATTTTCTGCATAAGACCTCAACAGCACAGCCAATCAAAGCGAAAATAGACAAATGGGACTACATCAGTCTAAAAAGTTTCTGCACAGCAAAGGAAACAATCAACAAAGAGACAACCCACAGAATGAGAGAAAATACGTACAACCTATTCATCTGACAAAGGATTAACAACCAAAATATATAAGGAGCTCACACAACTCAAATAGCAAAAAAGCCCAAATAATCCGATTTAAAAATGGGCAAAAGATCTAAACAGATATTTCTCTAAAGAAGACATACAAATGGTCAATAGGTATATGAAAAAAGCTCAACATCATAATCATCAGAGAAATGCAAACCAAAACTACAAGGTATCATCTCACCCCTGTTAAAATGGCTTTTATCAAAAAGACACGCAATAACAGATGTTGGCAAAGATGCAGAGAAAGGGGAACTCTTGTCAGTGAGAATGTAAAATAGTACAGCCACTATGGAGAACAGTATGAAGGTTCCTAAAACACTAAAAATAGAACTACTGGGAGGATCACTTGAGGCCAGGAGTTCAAGACCAGTCTGGGCAACATAGCAAGATCTCGTATCTAAAAAAAAAAAAAAAAAAATTAGCTGGACCTGCACCTGTGGTCTCAGCTACTCAAGAAGCTGAGGCAGGAGGATCGCTTGAGCCCAGGAGGTCAATCCTGCAGTGAGCCATGATTGTGTCACTGCACTCCAGCCTGGGTGACAGAATGAGACCCTGTCTCAAAAAAGGAAAAAAAAAAAAAAAAAAAAGAACTAACAAATGCTCTAGCAATTCCACTACTGAGTAGATATTTAAAAGAAAGAAAACCAAATACATCAAAAAGATAGCTGCACCACCTTGTTTTTCACAGCACAATTCACAATAACTAAAGTATGGATTCAACCTAAGTACACCTCAACAGATGAATGGATAAAGAAAATGTGGCAATATATACACAATGGAATAGTATTCAGCCATAAAAAAGGATGAAGTCCTGTCATCTGCAGCAACACGGATGGAACTGAAAGTCATTATCTTAAGTGAATAAACCAAGCACAGAAAGACAAATATCGCATGTTCCCACTCATATGTGGTAGCTAAAAAAGTGGATCTCATGAAGATAGAAAGTAGGCTGGTGGTTACCAGAGGTGGGAAGGGGGTGGCAATGAAGAGAGGATGATTAATGGGTGCAGATATACATTGTGATAAAAGAAACAAGGCCGGCCACAGTGGTTCACACCTGTAATCCCAGCACTTTGGGAGGCAGAGGCAGGTAGATCACCTGAGGTCAGGAGTTTGAGACCAACCAGACCAACATGGTGAAACCCTGTCTCTACTAAAAATACAAAAATTAGCCAGGTCTGATGGCCGGTGCCTGTAATCCAAGCTACTCAAGAGGCTGAGGCAGGAGAATCGCTTGAACCTGGGAGGCAGAGGTTGCAATGAGCTGAGATTGCATGGCCACTGCACTCCAGCTTGGGCAACAGAGAGAGACTCTGTCTCAAAAAAAAAAAAAAAAAAAAGAAAAAAGAAAAGAAAGAAAAAGAAATAAGACCGAATATTAGATAAATCAGTACGGCAACTATAGTTTACGATAATGGACTATACATTTTGAAATAGCTAGAAGAGGCCAGGCATGGTGGCTCACACCTATAATCCCAGCACTTTGGGAAGCCAAGGCCGGAGGACTACTTGAAGTCAGGAGTTCAAGACTAGCCTGGGCAATATATTGAGACTCCGTCTTTACAAAAAATTTAAAAGGTTAGCTGGGCTTGTTGGCGCATCACTGTGGTTCCAGGTATTTGCTGAAGCAGGAAGATTGCTTGAGCCCAGGAGTTCCAGGCTGCAGTGAGCTATGGTCGTGTCACTGCACTCCAACCTGGTTGACAGAGTGAGACTCTGCCTCTAAAAAATAAATACATAATAAATAAATAAATAAAATAACCAGAAGAGAATAATTTGAATGTTTCCAGCATAAAGACAAATATTTAAGGTGATAAATATTCCAAGTACACTGATTTGCTCTTTACAAATTATATAAACATATTAAATGATCACATACCCTGAAACTATGTACATCTATGATGCATTTTTTAATAAATTAAAGAATAAAAATTTATAAAGATTTCTTTCTCACAAGAAAAATATTTTATCTTCAAATACATTTGCTCTTGCATGAGGCCTAGCTCTACAGCTGTAAATACACGGCTTGGGTGGGGGCAGGGAATCCTGAAACCACCTTGAGCTGTGGAGCAATGCATATTGGGAAAATCCCAGGGTCAGAGATCATGCACTCTTGCCCAAATGGAGAAGTTCAAATCACCCTCAACACTCAGGAAAGATGATTCCTCTACCTTGTTGGATTGTCTCCCTGATGGGGAGCTGGACTATGGGGCAAGACATTTCACCCCGCTACTAGACAGTTTTCTTTCTTTCTTTCTTTCTTTTTTTTTTTTGAGATGGATTTTTGCTCTTGTTGCCCAGTCTGGAGTGCAATGGCATGATCTTGGCTCACGGCAACCTCTGCCTCCCAGGTCCAAGTGATTCTCCTGTCTCAGCCTTCTGAATACCTGAGATTACAGGCACCTGCTGCCACGCCTGGCTAAATTTTTGTATTTTTAGTAGAGACAGAGTTTCACCATGTTGGCAAGGCTGGTCTCAAACTCCTGACCTCAGGTGATCTGCCCGCCTCGGCCTCCCAAAGTGCTAGGATTACAGGCATGAGCCACCGCGCCCGGCCTGCTGGACAGTTTCTACTGCTGGAAAGATCTTCTTTAGGCCAGATGCAGTGGTTCACATCTGTAATCCCAGCACCTTCAAAGGCCAACACGGGAGGATCGCTTGAGACTAAGAGTTGGATGGAGACCAGCCTGGGCAACATGGCGAGACTGCCAAAAATATAAAAAATTCTCCAGGCATGGTGGTGCACGCCTATAGTTCCAGCTACTTGGGACACTGAGGTGGGAGGATCATTTGAATCTGGGAGGTCGAGACTGCAGTGAGTTGTGATAGCGCCACTACACTCCAGCCTGGGTGATAGAGCTAGACCCTGTCTCAAAAAAATAAAAAAATAAAAAAAAAAGGTCTTTTGTATATAAGGATTGAAAAGTAGAAAGTGCCTGAGAGAGAGGATGGACAGCCCTTCCTCCAGGAAGCCTTTCTGGCCTTCTCTCCCCAAGTGAAGGCCAGAGGCTTTTCTACCCCTCCCTGCAGGGGAACAGTGAGGGGTAGAAAAGAGGACAGGGAGGTGGGATGGGACAGAGAGGGAAACGGGGAGAGAAAAAGAAAAACAAGGAAACAGATCCAGTGAACAGGTATGAGAGAGAGGGAGAAAGAGAGAAAAAGAAAGAGAGAGAGAGAGAAGGGGAGAGTGAGAGGAAGAGAAGGAGGGAAGGAGGAAGGGGGCATGAAGGGAGATGGAAGGAGGGCTCCAGGGTGAGATGTAGAGACTGAGAGACCCCCTCGCACTGTGCCTCCAACATCTGCCCAGAGGCGTGTGCCTGCGCCATCAGACAAGAAGAGCAGATGTGGAGTTTAAAAAGGTCTGTGCTTCCTGAACAACTCATCCTGTCCTGTGCTCACCTCCTGCTGATAGCCTGCTCTGCCAGGAACTACGGGGAGGACACGAGGAGGGTGGCCCACTCTGGCTTGCAGTCCCAAGGAGGGAGGATGAGCTGGTTCCTGCCCGAGACTGGCCAGCCCCAGTCCAGCACAATTCAAGGTCTTGGGAAACCTCTAGCCCCAACGTGAAGGTCAGAAACCCTCAAGGGGCTGAGTCTTGAACTAACGAATGGACTCTCTGGGATGAAGGTATGTGTGTTCCTATGAGGAAGCCACATGGCTAAGCTGTAAAGAGAAACTGAATGTCCTTGTACAGGAGCTATCAGAGCCTTTCCTGAAAGCATGTTTTAGAGGGCACAGGAGGTGAGGGTTGTGAGTAGGGCAGCAGGTGCAGAGGGCGGCTGGATGGAGGTGGTGGGTAATTCTGACTTCTGCCACAGCTGGCTCTGGGGTACTGGGGTCATTCTGAGCCTGGGGTGGAGGTTTCCCTGCCGACCTGGGGCAGGAGGACTCCCAACTCTTTCCCCGTGAGTCTCCATATTTAGGACCCAGCCTCCAGCCCTGCAGGCTCTTCTGAGCCCTGGCATCCCAGGAAAAGAAAGAAAAACAGCCCTGTATACTGATGAGGGCAACGATCTCTCTTGTGTGGGCATTGTCTGACAAGGGGCTTTCAACACACTCTCATTTGTTCTGGGCTGGGTTCAAGCCCAGATGCTAGATAGGGTATTGGACGACTGGGCAAGCTGTCACCTGTCTGAGTCTCAATTTCCTCACCTGTAAAATGGGGATAACAGTACCACAAAGTATAGCAGGAGGCTGCAGAGAGGCTCTTCCTGATGATTACAACTGCTTTGTCAATTGTACAGTGCTGGGAGAGAAAAGGAAGAACAGGCAAAGACAAGACCGGCTGTATTTGCAACACTCTCCAGGGAGCTTAAATATTAATTGCTCTGCAAGCTGGTTTCTCGTCTGTAATTAATTCTCACTGAATCGACTCAGTCCCAATGGGCAGGATGGCCACCACCAACATGACTCATTTCAAAAACTAGAACGTAATCAGAATTGTCACAAACATCCGTTCTTAAAACTCATGCACCAGCTGGAAGTGCTGAGTGCCAGCCTCACCATCCATCACTCCCTGAAAGGGTTCTGCTGTCTCATCAACTCATCAACTTGGGCCCATCATCATACCTGGGGGTCCTGGCAGCCATCTGAGAGGGAGGAAGTGGGTAGGAGGCACCCGTCCTCATTCCTTTATTCATTCAGCAAATATTCGGAGTGCCTGCTCTGCACCAAGCCCGGAGGAAACAGTGGGAGCATGGAGAGATGCACTTCTGCCCTCAGAGAGTTTGCAACCTGGGTAATTCTTCCAAAGCCAGGAGTAAAAAGACTATTTCAACACAGGAGCCTATGTTGTGATGGGGAAAAGCATAGGACCCAGCAAACCAGAGAAGGGAGACCTGGCTTGGCCGTGGGAAAGCCTTCCAAGGAGGCAGTGCCTATGCTGAGACAAGAGGTAAGCATCCCAGGCAGAAGGGATGCCAGGTGCAAAGGTCCTGAGGCGGAAGAGGAGCTGAGGGGTGGAGTACGGTTCAGGCGGAGTGTGTGGCCGTGTGTGCAATGATCGTGTAACGCTGAGAATATACTGAAAACCATGAAATTTTACACTTTGAAGGGCTGAAATGTACAATATGAGATTTATATCTCAATGAAGCTGTTAAAAAAAACTGGGTAAGGAAGTCACAGATTGAGAGAATATGCGTAATCCCCAGATGTGAAGGTGGACTTGTGTCCAGAATACTTAAAGAGCTTCTAAGAGCAATACAAAAAAGATACCTCAATTTTTTTAAAAAAAAAGCAAAAGAAACATTCAAAAGCGTTCCCAAATGGCTAATAAACAGAACGAAGGATTCCGTTTTATTAATCATCAGGGAAATGCAAATTAAGCCACAGGGAGACACCACTACACAATCAGCAGAATGGCCACAAGTACAGAGGCCGACAATACCAACATGTTGGCAAGAGTGTGGAACAAACACTGGTCTCATACACTGGAGGGGGAATATATATTGTTTTAACCTCTTTGTAAACCTATCTGGCAGTATCTAGTAAAGCTATGTCTATGCTTATCCCGTGACTCTGCAATTCCTCTCCTGGGTAAATACCAAGGAGAAATGACTTCAGGTGTTTATGGTGATGTTCACAGCAGCTTTCTAAAACTGGAAAGCCATCCACGTGTTCATGCACAGGAGCACAGACAACCCGACTATAGGCTATCCCTACCAAAGAACACTGATACCCGTGAACAGCTGGCTAAATCTCACAGACTGTTGAGCTAAAGCAGCCAGACACGTAACAGTACCTAATTTATGATTCCATTCCATCCAGGAACAAGCTAAACCACTCTCATGTGACAGAGAGCAAAACAGTGGTAACCTTTGGGAGGGTATGACAGGAATCTTCTGGGATGATGGAAATGTTCTATCCGGGCGAGAGTTACAAGTGTACAAACATACGCCCCTGGGGGAGGGAAGACAAGCAAGCGCTCCCCATTTTTTTCACCTCTCCTCCAAACTCTTCGTGGCCCTGCCTGCCCTCAGCACCAAGTTAAACTCCTTGGCCTGGTGACCATGTCCCTGCAGGAGCTGGTGCAGCTACTACTGCAGCTGACTGTTCACTTCTGTGTAACAATGGTTCCCCAATTTGAGTGTGCATCCAAATTACCTGCCAGGCTTAGGAAAACATAGATTGCTGCCCATCCTCCATTCCGCCTGAGTTTCCATTCAGCAGGTCTTGGCTGGGGCGGGATAATTTTCATTTCTCACAGTTTCCCAGGTGATGCTGACGCTGCTGGTCTGAAGACTATGCTTTGAGAACTACTGCTTTCTATGAATCCCCTTCTCCAGCCTCTGTGTCTTTGTTCTGCACTTCCATCATCCAATACACATCTTGCTGATCTTTCAAAGCTACTTTAAAGACCACCTCCTTCATGAGGCCCTCTTGGGTTACTTCAGCAGTCAGTCCTAAGGGCCTCTCAAGTGTCCTACTCCAGAAATTTGGGGTCAGAGCCTGAAGGGCGCTACTCTAATCTCAGAAATGTCTTTGAAGTCTATTATTTTAACTTTAAAAAAAGAATGCATATTTTACATTAGTCTCTGAAATATATCCATATCTAGTTTAATTTATTTAAAATTATGTATCTGGAGCAAAATGGAGGTTCTTAGAAAATACGCCATGTTTAGCCAGAGGCCTTTAGCCCTCCTGGGCACCTACTGCACAGCTGGGGCTGGGTTACATGTATGCCAGTCTGAAAAAGCAACAAAATACTGCATTGTCAGACTATTCACGTATCCTGTATGTTTCTGTTACCTCCCCTCTAACTAAGAGAGAGCAGTGTGCCTCGTTCACTTATTTTCGACTTCAGATTTGCTCAGCTTTGTTCAAGACTGTGCTTAATGTCTGGTACGTCAATGATTAGGCTGTTACAGATCAATTAAGTAAATATCTCTGAGGGCGGAATCTGAGCATCTGTATTTTTTTTTTTTTCGAGAAAGGATCTCTCTGTCACCCAGGCTGGAGCATAGTGGTATGCTCATAGCTCACTGCAGCCTCAAACTCCTAAGCTCAAGTGATCCTCCCACCTCAGCCTCCCAAGTAGCTGGGATTACAGGCATGAGCCACCATGTCTGGCTAAAAAAAAATTTTTTTTTTTGTAGTGATGGGGTCTCACTATGTTTCCCAGGCTGGTCTCAAACTCCTGGCCTTAAACAATCTTCCCGCCTTGGTCTCCCAAATTGTTGGGACTTCAGGTGTGAGCCACCATACCGGGCCTAAATGTGCCATTCTTAACTGACCTCCAGGCCTTTGCAAATGTTGATCCTGTTGCCAGGCACAGCCTTCTTCACTGCACCCCCACCTGGCTATTCAACACATTTTCCTCTGGGCATCCCTCTCTAACTCCAAGAAGACTGGGCTGGATGCCTCCTTCAAGTCCCTAAACCTCTGTATACCCTCCACCACTGCGTTACTATTGTTCTTTTTCCTGCCAATCTCTCTCTCTAGACCATCAGTGCCTTGAGGGCGGAGACTTTCCCTGCCATCACTCCCTGATATGTCACCCAGACCAGGTGCTCAGGAAGTTTATTTTCTTATTTTAATTTTTTTTTTTTAGGGACAGGGTCTTGCTATGTTGCTCAGGCTGGAGTGCAGTGGCTATTTACAGGTACGATCAAGGTACACTGCAACCTAAGCTCAAGTGATTCTCCTGCCTCAGCCTCCCAAGTAGCTAAGACTACAGGCATGCACCCCCATGCCTGGCAGGAAGTTTTTTTTGTCTGAAGAAAGGATAGGACTGCTGGGAGGAGAACTTGCTCCACCATCACTCATTCACTGGATACATACTGAGCATCAGCTGTGTACCAGGCATCACAAGCCACTGGGAACAAGGGTACGGGTCCAGCTCTTTGCCCTCAAGGAGCTCAGAGTTTAGTGATGAAGGCAGACAGCAAACAAGCACCTAAAAAGAGCCCCAAAACACATGAAGCAAAACCTGACAACTGACGGAGAGACATACAACCCAATAATCATGGCTGACAGGTCAATACGCCTCTCTCAACAATAGACAAAAAGTGAGGATGCAGAAGACTCAACAGGATCCGTCAGCTCGACCTATGCAGCATCCACAGAACACCCCACTCAACAAGAGCAGAGGGCCCATCCTTCTCAAATACACATGGAACATTCTCCAGGTAGGCTAGGGCGTATGCTGGGCCATAAAATACATTTAAGTAAATTTAAAAGGACTGAAACCATAAAAAATATGTTTTCCAACCACAATGGGATTAGCAGAAGGATAAATTAGAAATCAGCAGCAGGAGATGTGGGAAACACACAAATACTTGGAAGTTACACGACGCAGTTTTAAATAATCCATGGGTCAAAGAAGAAATCACAAAGGGGATTATTAATAGAAAGTATTGTGAGCCGCATGAAAATGAAAACACAACATAACCAGTCACAAATACATAAATTAGGTAATTTCAAACAGGGAAAGGTGGTGTGAAGAAAACGAGGTGTGAGAGGGAGTGCAGAGGAGGGAAGTACACCTACAGTGTGTCACCCTCCCCGTGTCCACACCCTTGCCACAGCCTCATCGGAGGGGAGAGCACGTCCCTGCCCCTTACGCCTTTGGGTCTGGCCATGGCACCTGCTGCTGCCACTGGGGTGTGTGTGGAAAGGATGATGTGCCAGTTGTGAACTTGATTCTAAGAAGCCCTCTGCTGTTTCTCCTGCCATCGCCATGGGAAGAGCTTCCCGGGGTGCGTGCTGCCCCTTCAGCCCAGGTCCCAGGATGAACACACAAGAAGCAGAGCCACCAAGATGAACCCAGCTTTCACTCAGCTTCCTCTGCAACTAGGAGTACCCAAGGAGATGAAAGGAGAAGTTTGACAAGTGAAGCTTTCAGGGGACTAACCCAGCTGGGAGACATGACCTGTTGCTTTTCTACCTTTCTCCTTCTTCCTGCCTGGGATATAGATGCAATGGTTAAAACTGCAGCAGCCAACCTGTGTTCATGAGAAACCTTGGAAATGGATGCTGCAGATGGAACTTTAGTCCCTGAGACTGCGTGGAGTTGCCAGATTTGACCTGGATCGCCTGCTTCTGGATTTATTTCACAAGAAAGAAGAATCTCTAAATTACTTAAGCCATGGTAATTGAGTTTTTGTTACTAGCAGTCAAACACAATTCCTAACCAACACAGAATGTTTAGGAAAAACTTCTGTAGTAGACTGTCTTTTCCAAAAACACCCACAACAATCTCTCCTATCTCAATGGTCTTTATACAATGTGAGCTCAATATTCCTCCCATTGAATAGGAGAGACTATGTCCCCTCCCATTGAACCTGGGTAGACCTTTGTGACTGTCTTAACTCATAGGGTATGGTGGAAGTGGTGCTATAGGACTTCCAAGGCCAGATCATAAAAATGCCATTCACTTCTACCTGCTCTCTCGGGACACTTACTCTTAGAACCCAGCCACCATGCTGTGCAGAAGCCCAAACTCGCGTAGGCAGAGACCACATGGAGTGGCCACAGATAAGTGTTCTGGCCAACCTCCCAGCTTAAGTCTCGGACAACAGCCAGCCTCAACCACCTGATGTGTGAGTGAAGATGTAGGGAGCCGAAGGCCCGTGGGACGTGACCAACTCAGCATTCCGCTGGAGGCTATATGATCAAAGAGCAAACTGTTTATCATGAATGCAGGATGTGGGCAAACTCACGACTGCACCTGCGGACAGAAGGTTTGCTGGAGGCAATCACTCCCTGGCACTGAGGTTATCTACCGCGACATCTAGAGAAAGCAGTCTTGCAAGCCTACTCTGGACCGAACAGCTGACCCCTTCTTCCACCTCTCTTCTCACTATCTGTTTTGCCTAATAAATACAGAGGGCTGTGTAAAGCTCTGGACCCTTGTCCACTAGAGGCAAGGTGCCCCCTGACCCCTTCTTCCAAATATACTCTTTTGTCTACTATGTAACCTGCACAGACCTAGAGGAACTGAACAAAGGGGGCGAACGTGGGAATAAAAGATAAGAGTCAAAAGAGTATATTTGGAAGAAGGGGTCACCTTGCCTCTAGTGGACAAGGGCCCTAAGCTTTACACAGCCCTCTGTATTTATTAGGCAAAAGAGATAGTGAGGAGGGAGGTGGAAGAAGGGGTCAGCTGTTCGGTCCAGAGCAGGCTTGCAAGACTGCTTTCTCTAGATGTCGCGGTAGATAACCTCGGCGCCAGGGAGTGAATGCCTCCAGCAAACTTTTTGTCGGCAGGCGCAGTCGTGAGTTTGCCCACATCCTGCACTCATGATAAACAGTTTGCTGTTTGATCATATAGCCTCCAGTGGAATGCTGAGTTGGTCACTTCCCATGGGCCTTCGGCTGCCTACATGAAGACACCTCCGGTGATCCCAGCTCCTAGCCATCAGGTCACCCCCGGTCTTTAAGTCTTCCAGCTGAGGCCCCAGACATCATGGAACAGAGACCAACTCCCACCACCGTGCCCTGTCGAAATTTCTAGTCCAGAGAGTCTGTGAGCATAACAGCATGGTTGTCTTATGCCACTAAGTTCTGGGGCACCAGTAGTTTGAAGTGGTAACACTTGAGCTGAGACCTGAATGGGAAGATCGGGGTAGGACCTTCCAGCAGAGGGAAGAGCAAAACTGTGAGATGTGAATGCATTCGCAGTATCTGAAGAACAGAAAGAAGGCCAGTGTGGCTGAAGGCAGTGATGAAGTAAACGGTAAAGGAGGTACTGCCAGAGAGGTGGACAGGGGCCAGGTCATGTGGGCCTCCTGTGTGGGGAAACTTATCCTGGGGCAGGATGGTGACAACTTCCAGAGTTATCTCCCAATCAGCAAACTGGCTTCTGAACAGGCCTTCTGAATGGCTTAGCCCAAAGGAGGGATTGGTAGGAACTTTTGGCTTCCTCTAGGAGAGACTTGTTTTAGATGAAAAAACAGAGGATAGAAGGTGTCCAGGTGCCACACCTGTTCAAAATCTCTAGCTGTTCACCATGTACAAGGAAAGGCATAAGGTCCTTGGCCCAGCATTTTTGGTACTTCTCGATCTGGTCCTAGCCTTATTTGGGGATCCATTTCTTGATCCCTGATCCTACCTCCTACCTGGCTTTCCAAAATTTTCTATGTTCTAACCATGTGCAATGATGTGTCATTCTCCAAACATACCATGAGCCTGTGAGCATTTGCTCATGCTGACTCCCTTACCTTACACGCCCTCTTCCACCACTACCCTGGCCTGGTGAACTCCGAGAGTCCATCTCAGTGGCACCTCTTCCGCAAACCTTCCTGCATATGTCTTTCCCTCCCTCATGCCCCTGCAGATTCTGCACAAAACTACAGTTCTGCAAATTATACTTACATGGAGTAATGTAAATTGTCTGTTCACATACTGATTTCTCCTCCCCACCTCCACCCTCTCTCCCTGCAAAAGGAAACCTACTCAAGGGCAGGTTCAGAGCCTTATTCAGCTTTGGGGCTCCAAGGCCTATTTCAGTGCCTACAGTAAACATCCTGTGATGTTTCCAGAATGAATGGTCAATTCAGATGGATAGATGAATGGATGGATTGCTGTTTGGATGGGTAGATGAGGAATGGACGGATGGTTGGATAGGTGGGTAGACATCTGAGTAGTAGATTAATTGAGAGTGAATGGGTGCATGGTTGTGTCACTTGATGCATGAATAGATGAAAGGACAGATGAGTGGGTGAAAGGCTGGCTGGCTAGGTGGACGGGTAGAGATTGACAGATGCGCAGGTGAGGAAAGTTCTTATGACTGGGTTCCTGGAAGGATGGAAGGCAGCCGTTAAACCAGAAGTCAGTAAGCTTTTTCTGTAAGGGGCCAGATGATAAATATTTTAAGCTTTGTGACCCACATGTGGTCTCAGTCGCATATTCTCCTTTGTCTTTTTTCACAAATGTTTAAAAATGTAAACTCCATTCCTATGGAGCCCATAGGTTACACAAACCCAGGACTGTGGCCATCAGGATGACTAGAATTCATGGCAGCCACTGAGTTAGCTATAACTACCATGTGACAAGCACAGAGCTACACCTCAAACACAGAAGGCCACTCCGCGCCCCCAACAACAATAGCACAATGAACCCAGGACCCTTCCTGCTGGGGAGATTTGGGGGACACCGTCAGCTCCTCCTCATCACTGGACAGCCTTGGGATCTCGACAGCACCAATCTCTAAGAGGAAATTCTGAAGAACTTGCCAAGCTTAGCAACCAGGGATAGATTCGAAGCCAGGGAGTGGTGGAGAGTGCCCCAAAGTCTATGGGTCTCCTTTAAGACTCATGTCCCTAGCTAGGACCTGGAGTCACACTGGGAGATGTCTGCCCCCTCTATCCCTGTAAGCACTGATATGTTAAAATACAGCTCCAGACCACAACTTCCTGCAACCAACTTCTAAGTGGTGACTTTTTTTTTTTTTTTTTCAGACAGAGTCTCCCTCTGTCACCCAGGCTGGAGTGCAGTGGCACGATCTCGGCTCACTGCAACCTCCTTCTCCTGGGTTCAAGTGATTCTCCTCTCTTAGCCTCCTGAGTAGCTGGGATTACAAGCGCCCACCACCATGCCTGGCTAATTTTTGTATTTTCAGTAGAGATGGGGTTTCACCATGTTGGCCAGGCTGGTCTCGAACTCCTGATCTCAGATGATCAGCCCACCTCGGCCTCCCAAAGTGCTGAGATTACAGGCATGAGCCATCGCGCCTGGCCTGAGTGATGACTTTTATGGGCTCTCCCTTCACCCCATCCTCAGGATCTTATTATGGATTACCAGGGGCTTCAATGTCTTTCCAACTGGCAGGAAGCAGGGCAAACATAGATGCAAGTTTCCCAGTTAAAACCCTCTTATGAAGTCATAAAACAAAATTGCCCAGCCCCTCTGTCATGCTGTCAGCCCAGAAATAAGGGAGAGAGAAGTTAAAAAAAAAATGGGAAACTGATCCTTCAGGCCTTTGCCAAATAGATCTTTTAGGTATAAAAGCTGAATGGGGGCTGGTACATTTCATACTTGAGGGCTTTGGGGTTCAAGAGTGCACACAAGGCTTTCATCCTGAGGGCACAAAAATGAGGGGCCGAGAGCACCAGACCAGAGTAGTGCTCTATCCGCCCTCCTGGGGTCCTGGCTGCTATCAGCTCATGTGGGGATGTGATGCCAGGGTGACATTGCTGACAGGGACCTCAGCTGGGTTCAGCAAGAGGCCTGGCTTGATGTTGAGTGCTCTGGTACACCCAGAGATGGTCCCTGCCCCATGGAGCTCCCAAGGCAGCCAGGAACACCCAGTGAATGCGAGGGGAGTGGCCTGGGAGCCAGGAGACCTGGTGCTTGTCCTGGCTCCACCACTGTGTGACTTGGGCCATGTCACCTCCTCTGGGCTTCCACATCACCACCTACAAAATGTCCAGGTGCACATTCCCAGCTCTGACATTCTTAGAGATGGTGAATGATTCAAAGCACCATAGAACCCAGTGCTCAACCATGGCAAGAGTGCAAATGGCCCAGAGAGAGCTCAAGGGAGCAGGAAGCCTGAGACTGCCATGGTTCCCTACTTCCCGAGTCTTTGCTGTGCCCTCTTCTCACGCTTCGCTATGGCCTAGCCCTTAATATCACCTCCTCAGGGAAGCCTGCCCAAGGTTGTTGGTCACCCCCTCATCCGTCCCCTTTGCTGGCCAGACAGCTCCTGGGGAAGGGCCCTGTCTGACCTGTCTTCCCATTCTCCAGTTCTTGTTATGCAGCGAGAGCTCAAAACAATGTCTGCTGAACTGAACTGAGCTGACTGCAAAGGGACACTCTGCAAGCTGTCCTGTGAGTTACGAAGGGGAGCAGTGCCTGTCCCCAAGTCTGGCCTCCTTTCCTCTGAAAGCCCAAAGGAGCCCCTCACCACCAGCTCAGGCACTACCACCCTGACACTAAGGAGACTGAGGAAGACTCTTGATACCCTCAGCTGCTCTGTCACCAGGCAGACACCTTCTCCATACGAACATAAACATCACACACACACAGGTGCACAAACTCACATACACAAACTCACACATAGCAATCCCCAGAAACACTCCACTGTCCTCTTCCTGCCTTTCTCAGCAAGAGGGCTAAGGAAACCTCAAACAACCTGCACAAAACCTCAGACCATGCCCCCATGCACCCCATCCCTGAGCAAGGAGACGCATCCGCTGTCTGCCCCCGGAAGCACATTAATCAGGAGACGGACTTCCCTGAAAAGCGTCGGTGAGTGCCTGCCTGCTGCCAGGCCTCTGTTAATGGAAATCACCTCTGTCTCCACATTGCTTTCCTGCCTCTTATATCACAGACTTGTAAAAGGGCAATTAGTTTTGGACAATTAAAATGATTAACTCACCAGATTTAAGTGCTGGAGCATCTCCACGTATCTGCAGAGGGAAAGAGGGTTGAGGCTGCATTAATCCCCATCCTGTGTAAGCCCAGGAGGGTGACGTTTTGTTTATAAGCTCAAGGCCACAGGCAGCTCCTTGGGGACTCACGCTTTCTCTGAAGATAGCAGTTCCTGTGCGATGACAAGGGCTCTGGACTGTCCTTCCACCTGTGGGAGGAAAGAGAGCAATCAGGTGGGACAGGCATCAGTGGTTTCTAGAGGAGGCCACCATGCTGCTGGAGGCAAGTTCCAAGCATTTTGCAGACCATTTCCTGGCACTCATTACTTGTATGTTCTTCAACAACTTATTTAACCTCTCTGCACCTCAGTTTCCTCATCTGGAAATGTGGATTTTATTTTATTTTAAAAATGTATTTATTTTATTTGAGACAAGGTCATGCTCTATCACCCAGGCTGGAGTGCAGTGGCGTGATCTCAGTTCCCTGCAGACTCGAATTCTCAGGCTCAAGCGATCCTCCTACCTCAGCCTCCTGAGTAGCTGGGACTATAGGTATGTACCACCACACCTGGCTAATTTTTAAAATTTTTTGTAGAGACAGGGTCTCATTACATTGACCAGTTCAAGGCTGGTCTTGAACTCCTGGGCTCAAGCAATCCGCTCACCTTGGCCTCCCAAAGTGCTGAAATTATAGGCATGAGCCACCGAGCCCAGCTGTAAATGCAGATTTTAACAGCACCTAACTCTGAAGGTTGTTGAGCTAATGCCCAGCATGGCACCTGCCATTTAGTAAATGCTCAATGGCCATGATGATGGCATGACCTTTATATCCCACTTCATGACCCCACCAATCTTGAGCAACCTGTGGTTCCCTGTACTGAGGAATTCTCTCTTTTCTCTTGCTTTTGTACATGCTGTTCCCTCAGCATCCTTTCCCCCTCCCTCTACCTGGCTAACTCCCAGTCATCCTATAAGACTTAGCCACGGCAGCACCTCCTCCAAGAAGCCTCTCCTGATCCTCCCTGCTCAACGGGCTGGGCTAGGTATCGTTTCTGAGCATCCCCCTCTCACGACACTTATCATTACTGTGAAACAATTACATCTCTCCAGGAGGGCAGGGACCAGGAACTCCCACATCTGCATGACCAGTGCTTAGCATATGGTAGTTCTCTTTGTTGACTGAAAGAGTGAGTGAGGAGTGAGTGAGTGAGCGAGCGCACATTCATTCCCCTTGGGAAGCACTAACTCTGCAGGCTGACCTCAGATGGTGAGCCCCAGCTTCCACACCTATATGATCTGGAAATAGACTGAGATTATGTCTATAAACAGGAAGGATGGGCTGGGCTGAGACAGATGCCTGGGCCTTCTGCCACAAGCAGGCTCCTGCTGGGTGGCCCCAAACCTGCCGGATATCAGACACAACTAGTGGCTGGGATCCAGAGATGCAAAGACACGCTGTGGCGGCCTGATGAAATAGACGGGGGAGGCTGTGAATGTGCAGGCGTGGCTGGCAGCGGTGGCCCATGGCAGAGCAGAGGGCACTCAGCTGGGAACACCTGCCTCCTGGTACAACTCTATACAAATCACTTTCAAGGTCAAGCCTCAGTTTCCTCATATGTGGACAAACTAACCTCTAAATTCCCTTCTGTGCTGAACCTTGTGTGTTACTAAACTTAAGAAGCCACTCGTCAAGTGAGTGATCCACTCTAGTGATGAGAAAATCACTGCTGAGAAAGTCACTGCATAGTGTTGTGGTTAAAAGCATGGGCTCTGAGGCCGGGCACAGTGGCTCACGCCTGTAATCCCAGCACTTTGGGAGGCTAAGGCGGGTGGAACATGAGGTTAAGAGTTCGAGACCAGCCTGGCCAACACAGCGAAACCCTGTCTCTACTAAAAATACAAAAAGATTAGCCGGGCATGGTGGTGGGCGCCTGTGATCCCAGCTACTCGGGAGACTGAGGCAGGAGGCGGAGGTTGTAGTGAGCCGAGATTGCGCCATTGCACTCCAGCCTGGGCGACAGTGTGAGACTCCGTCTCAAAAAAAAAAAAAAAAAAGCATGGGCTTTGGAACTAGGCAGTTTCCTGTCTCTAACTCTTATTTGTTGAACAAGTCATTTAGCTCTCTGTGCCTCAATTTTCTTACCTGTGAAATGGGCACAGTAGGAGAATAGTATCCAGCACACATGCATGTCATAAGGATCAGATGAGTGTCTATATAGAGAATCTCTCACACTTGGAACTGTGCCTGGCACACAGCAAGCACTATGGAATTATTGGCCATCATTATCCTTGTTGTTTTTGTCACTGAGGTGGTGCCAGGAACAAAACCAAGTAACCAGGGATAGAAGAAGAAAAAAAAATTTATAGAATCGAGTAAGGGAAAGGCCTTAACTGCAAAATGAAGGCTGGGCCACTCCTCTGACAGTAGCAGCAGAGACAGTGGAAAGCAAATGGACTCTGGAATCAATCACATCCATTTCAAACCCAGCTCCAGCACTGTTTCATGGTATGACCTCTGGTGAGCCCTTATCTCTGAGCCTCAGTGTTTTCATCTGAGATCTGGTAGAGAATAACCAACCCGGTCTCACACACTGGCTTCTTGAGGATGCCTTCCTGACTCAGGGCCTCTGCATGTGCTGTTCCCTCTTCTTGCAATGCTCTTCCCCAGATCTTTTCATTTGTATTTTCTGGTTCCTTCAGGTCTCTGCTCAAAAGTCACAACCTCAGCACAGTCATCCATGACTGCCTGACCTAAAGAACACCCCAAATCATTTTCCACCCCAGGGTTTCTCCATCTTGGACTGTTGACATTCTGAAGAATAGTTTTTGCTGTAGAAGCTGTTCTTACGTATTACAGGATAACTAATGGCATCCCTGGCTTCTACCCACTGGATGACAATAGGAGCCTCTACTCCCTCAACCCCCACTGTGACAATCAAAAATGTCTTTAGATACTGCCAAATGTCCTAGGGCTTGGGGTGATGCAAGACGTCACCCCTGGTTAAGGGCCCCTGCCCCATCTTTATCCTGCTGTGCTTTTCATCAGAGCAGACACACATCAGAGCAGCCTGGGCTTGCCCCTCTGCACTCAGGCTTCCTCACTCCGGATCCTCAGAACGTGGCCACAATGGCACAAAGACAACTATGCTGGAAGTCAAGATGCCTGGATCCTCCCCCAAACAAGGCCATGGGTGGCTGTGTGACCGTGGGCGAGCCCCTCTCAGATGCCTCTGTTTCCTCATCTGGCAAACAGGTGGGCGTTCCTATCCTGCCAGGATGAGGTCAGATGATGGATGGCAGCCGTCACACCATACCCAAACTTCTGGAGTTGCCATCATTACCACTGTTACAATCTCCAAGCTGTCGAGGACAGGCTTTTGGTAGGGTCCAGACACGGGCCCCTCTGCACGTCCCACCCAGCCCCTCCTGCCAGACGTGCAGATTCTGGGTGGGACGCACGGGGCAGTCCTGCTTCAGTGACTCTGCGATGATGGATGTGTCTTCGCCAGGCGGCCAACGGGGAGGCCTGGCAGGCTGTGTGCCCGAGGCACGCAGAAACTGCTTCTGGGCGTTGCCCAACTGGGCCATTTAATATAGATGTTTGTTTAACCAGGAAATGAACTCCGAGGCTGACGGCAGAGTCCAGGGACAGGCTTCTGGGAACAGGGCTCCTCCCAGGAGCTTGGGGGCTGGGGGTGCCAAGGCCCATGCTATTGCTATGGCATTTCTCAAGCTGAAGCTATGGGTGTTAACATCAGGCCACCTGCCCCTGCCTGAGGCTGTCCCCAGGGCTACTGGCCTCCTCCCTGGTCCCCAGCAAACCAGCTGGTTCAACACTTGGCTATTCTGGGACCCGGGCAGGTCGGGAGGGGTCCAGGGAACCTCAGTGTTAGACAGCGGGTCACACAAAGAGTCAAGAATCCGGGTCCTCTGTCTCCATGCCTTAGTTTTTCCAACTGTAAAACTGGGTGCTCAGCCTCCTTCGAGGACATCAGTTCCCAAAATATAGCCTGAGAACCTCTGAGGTATGTAAAGTCCTACCTTTTCCAACTACATATCTGTATGAGCCTAGATATTATTCATTTAAGTCAACCAAAACAATTCCAACCAACCGAGTGGGGAAGTGGATAGGTGAATCCAGCTACCTTCTGTTCAGCCAGACATTAATATTTGTAAAAATGTAAAAATGTCACTCTTTTGTTTTTTCTTGATTGTTTTAGAAAACAGGGTGGTTTATTTATTTATTTATTTATTTATTTTTTGCATAAAAGTGCTACTTGTATTAACATGTAATGGGTTTGTTATTTTAAAATGCATTAAAAGATGTTTCAAAATTTTCTGATTTACTTTCTAATGTGGTAAACATTGCAGAGATGTGATTCACAGAAACAAAAATTCTTTGGGGCCCTCGATCATTTTTAAGAGGGGAGGTGGGTCTGAGACCAAAAAGTTTTGAGAACCACTGTTTCAGAGGCTGTCACACAAAGACAGCAAAGGGTTGTGGATGGAAAAGCTCTTCATAATCAGTAAAGAGCTACAGGGGAGTGAGGCATTAGCATCGCTTTATTATTACAGAGGCCAGGGAACCCCAGGCCTTTTGGCCTGTCCCTCAGGATGGTCCCCAAGTATGCCCAGGGTCCACACAATCCTTCCCCACCATGTCCTACCTGTGGGAGAGGAAGGAACAACCTCAAGATGCCTATCTCGTCGCCTCCCCTCTCTGCGTACAGGCCTCCTGGGTCCACACCTGCTCGGCCTTTAAGATGGCGCAGCCTGATGTTAACAGCCACCTCTTTCTTTCACTGGTCTCTGCCAGTCCTTTGCCAAGCTCCTCGCCCCCAAAGCCTCTGTGTCTGGCTCGGCACACACCCCCATCAGTTCACACCTGTCCCCCTGCACCTGTGGTCACTGGGCACTCCAATCTGAATGCCCTGTGCTCACCTCCTTGAGACCTCCCTCCTCCTCAGATGTCTCTCAGCAGTGTCTCCCTCCACTCCCTCCAGCCTGGGCCTCACCCACACTCCACACTGCTCTACCTCTGAAGTCCAGGCTTCCCATCCCTCATCTTGGACCCAAGCTCTGACCCTCCCTGTACCCTTGACTGGCCTGTCTCTCATTCACTCTGAGCTCCAGCCTCCTAGCCATTCCCACAGCCTCCTTCTGTCACCTGCACCCTTGAGTGGCTGCAGAGGCTCCCAGCGCTTACAGAAAGGGGCCCCTGTGGCTCAGCTCAGGGCTGTTCCCAGTCCCCTCCACCACTCCTCCATGCCACATGGAGCTCCAGGTGATCCCTTAAGCCCACTCTATTTTTTCCTACCTCTGGGTGTGTTTGGTTCACACAGTTTCCTGTGCCCAGAATCCCCACACAGCCTCAATAAACATCTCTAGGTCACAGGCTACATCTGAGGTGCCCCCGATGCCCCGTATGCGCCAGCCTCTTCAGCCACGCAGCCCCCCTAAAATAACCCACATCCACACACAAGGAAGGGGCCACCTTCCATGGCTGTTTCAAGCCCTGGGGAAATTTTCCTTGTGAGTCTTCCATGTGTTGAGGGTCCCAATGAAGGGGCCAGCTGGAGAATTCTGAAGTCACATCTGGAGACGGGAGAGTGCTCAGAAACCCAGATACATGGGGCACTAGGCTCCAGGAGAACACAGTCTCCAAGTCCCCTGGGGACCACTGGGGCAGGCAGGGAACACAGGTGGGGGTTTCCAGCACAGCCTTCAACAGCTGCTGGAAAACTCAGAGACAGGTACTCAGGGAGAGGTGGCTCACTCTTTATCCCAGCTGTCACCAGGAGCAGGAAGAGGAGGCGGAGGAGAGTGAGTGCCTGCCAGGACAAGCGAGGGGAGAAGGAGGGACGCAACAGTGGCCCCCTGGCTTCCCCAGGACCAGCTGGTCAGTTTCCAGATCATGCTGACTAGTCCAGTTCCTGAAGTTAGGCTGGTGTGACTGTGGGTTTGGCCCAGCTACTTAAAAGACCTTTAATTTTGGAGAGATCTTTGGTTCTGGCTACAGTGTGTAACAAATTTGCAGAAGCAGCATGCTATCTTGGAACACCCTGAATGAGGGATCAGGAGGCCTGATTTCTACTCCTGACTTGGCCTCCAACCTGCTGAATAGCCCTGAGCAAGGAACAAGTGAGAAGCTGCAGTTTTCCTTCCAGTGATCTCCTATATCACTGAAACTTTGTTGAACAGTAGCTTGCCACCTCTCCCTCCCTCCACCCCCGGCAACCACTATTCTACTCCTTGCTTCTGTGAATTAGGCTATTTTATTTTTTAGAGACTTAGGGATCTCATTCTGTCACCCAGGCTGGAATGCAATGGCACCTGGGCTCAAGTGATCCTTCAGCCTCAGCCTCCTGAGTAGCTGGGACCACAGGCATGCACGCCATCACACCCAGCTAATTTTTTTATTTTTTGTAGAGACGAGGTCTCATTATGTTGCCCAGGCTGGTCTCCAACTCCTGGCCTCAAGTGAACCTCCTGCCTTGGCCTCCCGAAGTGCTGGGAACACAGGCATGAGCCACCATGCCTGGCCCTATATTTTAGACACCTCATGTAAGTGCACTCATGCAGTATTTGTCCATCGGTGACTGGCTTATTTCATTCAGCATCAAGCCCTCCAAGTTCATTCACATCGTTGCAAATGGCAGAATTCCCTTCCTTTTTATGGCTGAATAATATTCCATTGTATACACAGACCACATTTTCCTTATCCACTCACCGAAGGATGGGCATTAAGAGTGTAGGTCTGGCTGGGCGCAGTGGCTCACACCTGTAATCCCAGCACTTTGCGAGGCCAAGGCAGGTGCATCACCTGAGGTCAGGAGTTCAAGACCAGCCTGACAAATATGGTGAAACCCCATCTCTACTAAAAATACAAAAATTAGTCTGGCATGGTGGCGTGAGCCTGTAGTCCCAGCTACTCGGAAGGCTGAGGCAGGAGAATATCTTGAACCCGGGAGGCGGAGGTTGCAGTGAGCCAAGATCGTGCCACTACACTCCAGCCTGGGTGACAGAACTGTCTCAAAAAAAAAAAAGAAAAAAAAAAGTGTAGCTCTTACGTTAAACGTTCTTGCCACAGTGAAAAGAAACAGTGGTCTCTAAATGCTCCTTTCAGCTCTCTCACCTTCTGGAATCCTAAGAGAGTGACTGTGATTGTGATTAGCAGCTCCCCATGTTTGATGGCAAGAAAGGGCCAGTGTTGGCTCAAACAAGACACAGCCCTCCCCATCGCACTTAATTCTGGAAAGGTCCAGCCATGACTTCAAACAGCCGGCTAATGGCTGGATTCTATGCCTTCATCCCATCTGTTTTTGCCTCCTATAAACTTTTCTCCTCCTTTCTACTTAACTACGTCCTGCTCTCTTCCAAGGAGCACTTAGGCCTCACCACCTCCTGGAAGCCTTCCTGACTGCTCTGACTCTTACAACATAGACCCCTTCCACTGCTCATGGTTTAGTTCACACAGCTGGGCATGAGGGCTGCCCCTGAGACCTAAAAACAAAATCCTAAACTCCTCAACTGACTGAACAAGCCCCCTCTTGATCAAGGGGATCCCAGAAAAACCTTAAAGATTGAGTTCCCAGTCATGATGTGATGGGAGGTTGGACACACATCATTACACTCCTTCCCTCTTTCAGTTTAGACACAACATCTGACCAGCACTAATGTTAAAATAGAGATCATAAGACTTGACAGAATGGAATCTGTGGCAATACGATGCCAAATTATAAACAAGACCTAAGGCTGTGCCAGGCAAGGGTTAAGCCATGCACCCCACACTTAAAGAATGAATTCTGTTCTCACTGCCATGAGGTTTTTCTTTTTCACCAGCAGCTAAACAAGCACTGGCCTCAAGATAAGCAATGTCGAAACAATTGCAGCTCAGCCACCGTCAGACACTGACTAACTAAGCCCCCTGTTCTACCAGCCAAGCTACAGCTTTGATTGGATTGACTGGACAAGAGACTGATTTCTATGACTTTCTCCTAATAAGAGACCACCCACCATGGACTGGCTCTGGCTGGTTTGAGGAGGCTGTGCACTGAGTGCCTTCATGCCGCCCCAGCTTCATCTTTTGACATATAAGGCCTAACTGTAATACATTTAAGTCTCCACCCCAAGGTGAACATGGGACACATGCAACATGCACGCTTGCTTATCACACGTGCACACTGCCTTCTTTTATGAATATCCACAGCTCCTCCTATAATTTGCTGAATATGTAAACTTGTCCACCCCTGCAAGCATAAATTCCTGTCTTACCCCTCCCTCCCTCAAACAGGTGCTTTGAGTACCTGCTTTGAGCACCTGCTAAAGGCTTTAGCCAGAGGCTATACTTCCCAGCCCATGAGAACAGCCACCTTACAGGCTGTAACCCCTTATAAGAAATAAAGTCTCTTCTCCAAATTTAAAGATCTTGCCATTTTTCAGTTAAATTCCATAACCCTTCCATCTCATGTGAAACCTTGGTTTATTTTTTTAAAGTGTGACATACAACATTCAGAGTACAACATTCAGAGAAGTACATAAAATATGAATATAAAGTTTAAAGATCATCACATGAATTGCTTTTTCATTCTCCAACTCAACTGTTAAGTTCCCCAAAGTTGGGACCCCATTAGCTTCTTCTGTGGCATCTCCCAGAGCCGAGGGCACCACAAGTGCTCCACATAGACTGGGTGATTGCTGCACATGGGCCAGAGTTCAGACTTAAGTGAGCACACGTGAGTCACTGAGGATCTTGTCAACAGGCAGATCTGGGTTCGGCAAGTATGGGGTGGGACCTGGGATACTGTGTTTCTAATGATCCCCCAGATGCTAGGGTGCTGTTCGTCCACATATGGCACTTTGGCCATAGGCCATGAAGAGCGAGAGAGAGTGACCACTGCCAAGTCAGGAAGGAGAAAGCAAGACTGAGTATCATCTGTGGACCACATACCAAACACTAGGGCAAAGGGCATGTCTGAGACTCCCCTTTTGACTGAGGAAACTCAGCCACAGAACAAGCTGTCCCAGGGCCAGGGGATCCTAACCTGCCCAGCCCTTTGGCCCTGGCTGCCTTCAAGCCCCCCAAGGACCTCAGCAAGGCGTGTGAGGCATACACGTACCCAGGACGCCCTCCAGAACCTTGGAGCCCCTCTTCTCTCCCGTCCCCTCTGAGTTGTGTCTGCCTCCCTCCCTCTCCTCTGTCACCCGCCTTGCAATGTCTCTTGTGTTACTGTACTGAAATGCAGCACTCTCTGCATGGCTATGGGGGAGCCAGGGTGAAGCAACAGGAATATCAAAAATGCAGGTTGGACTCCCAGCTCCATCACTCACTGTGCAGAGTAAGTTACACAGAGCCAAACAAGTGTTTTCATTTTATTAAACTGTCAGACATTCGAGTTTGTTTTTCTTATGTAAATGCAGGAACTGGGCCTAATGTATTCTTTTGTTTATTAACTTATTTGAAGATATTCATTGACTATATCTTAATGTACTAGGCAGCAAGGACGCACCCATGAACAGGATAAACACAGTGTCTGCCCTCCTGGAACGACTGCCAGGGAAAGGCAAACGATGGGCAAGAAAACAGAGGAATGAAGAACAAGACTACAGCATAAGGAAATAGCCAGGAATGCTGTGACAGAGTATGGCAGAAGATCTAGGAGCCCTCTCTGAGGAGGTGACATTCAAATTGAGACCTGTAGCCAGCCAGGCAAAGGGCAGGGAGCACACTTCTGGTGGAGGAAACTCCAATGGCAAAGGGTCTGAGGTGGGTTTAAGGAGCAGACAGAACTCGTTTTGTATCTTGCATGATGTCTGGTCGAAGAACTGGGTGTCTACTGAATTTTCTCTGATCTGTGATTAAGACATGGCAATAAGAAGATGACACGTCAGGAATTCAGATCTTCCACATCTGGTGCTAACATCCAGAATAGCAAACACAGGAAGCAGGCAGGCCGGGGATGGGAAGAGGATGAGCTTGGTATGGGATGTGTTGAGTTTGAAGCATCTATGGGGCTTCCAAGAAGGTCCCTAAAGGGCACCAAGAAGCTCAAGTCTGGGGTCAGGCCAGATGGTGTGCTCTGGGATGCCACCTGCGTAGGGCTGGCCATGGCTGGAACGGGCTGCCGGCGAAGAGGGCACAGAATGAAGGATGGGGTCTGGGGGCGGTGGAGCCTTGGGAAATGCCTAAGACAGCAGAGTTGACAGAGTTGCACAGTCAGAAACGAAGGAGAACCAGGAGAGGACTGTCAGGCAAGCCCAGGGAAGAGGATGTTTGTTCCCAAGGAGGTGAGGCCACCAGGGCTGAGGCTCAGGGCTTGTGTAAGAGGGGTCTGAAGTGGACGGCGGAAGGGAGCCTGGCTCCTGGGTATCAAGAGGGTTGTGCAGCACCAGCGACAGCAGTAAGGGAGGTGGAGGAGTGAGGGAGGCTTCAATATGGCCATGGCCTGAGGGAAGACCTGACGAATCTCTCCAGCTCCCGCTCCCCTTCTTTCCCCAACCTCACCTTGCTCCAGCCACAATGACCTCCTAGGCTCTGGCTCACAGACTCTCTCCGCCCTCCTGCCCTTGCACTGCTCTCCTCTGCCTGGAAGGCTCTGCCCTAGGGCTTCACAGTGCGGGCTCCCTCATGCCATTCGGGCTCCCTCATGCCATTCCGTTCCCTCACAGATGTGTCTTCCTCATCCAAGAGCCCCTCCCTGGGAATTGGAACCCTTCTGCGCTATTGGCAGGAATGTTAAGAGGGTGTGGCTGCTGTGGAAAACTATATGGCAGTTCCTCAAAAAACTAAACACAGAATCGCCATATAATACAGCAATCCCACTTCAGGGCATATACTTACAAGAACTGAAAGCAGGGTCTTAGAGAGATCTGTGCACCCACGTTCACAGCAGTACCATTCGCAACAGCCAAGAGGTGAAAGCAACCCATGCATCTGTCAATGAATGAATGGGCAAACAAAATACAGTCCACCCATACAACGGAATCAAACTCAGTATTAAAGGGGAAAGAATTCCAACCCATGCTACAGAGTGGATGAACCTTGAGGACATTATGCTAAGTCTATAAGCCACTCACAAAAGAGCAAATACTGTAGGATTCCACTCATGTGAAGTCCCTAGAGTAACTGAACTCATAGAGACAGGAAGTGGAACGGTGGCTGCCAGGGGATAGGGGAGGAGGAATGGGGAGTCAGTGTCTAAAGGGGGCAGAGTTTCAGTTTGGGAAGAGGAAAAAGCTCTGGAAATGAATGGTGTTGATGGCTGCATGGCAATGTAATGTGCTTCATGCTACTGCACTGCACACTTAAAAATGGTTACGATGGTGGATTTTATGTTATGTGTATTTTCCCACAATTTTTTAAAAATAGAAAAATGAAGGCATTCTGTGTCTAAGATGCCCCCACCCCCAATCCCAGGAGCTCTGTTCCTCACGACCATAGCCAGTTTTGTTTGTTTGTTTGTTTGTTTGTATTGTTGTTGTTGTCTTAAGACAGAGTCTTGCTCTGTCGCCCAGGTTAGAGTGCAGTGGCTCGATCTTGGCTCACTGCAACCTCTGCCTCCCGGATTCAAGCAATTCTCCTGCCTTAGCCTCCAAAGTAGCTGGGACTACAGGCACGTGCCACCACACCCAGATAATTTTTTGTATTTTTAGTAGAGACGGGGTTTGACCATGTGAGCTAGGATGGTCTTGATCTCCTGACCTCGTGATCCGCCCACCTCAGCCTCCCAAAGTGCTGGGATTACAGGTGTGAGCCACCGTGCCTGGCTGCCAGTTTGTTTTTTATAGCACTTGTTACCACCTAATCCCATCTTAGGAGTTTTCTGGTTTACCTTCCATCCCCTTCTCTAGAATGTGAAACTCCAACAGGGCAGGCAGGGACTGGTCTGACTTGTCATTGCTGTGTCTTCAGCCCTTGAAAGGGTGCTTGCATGTTGGTCCTCCCTGACAATGAGCCAGGCACAGAGTAGACGCTCAGTATATATTTAATAAATAAGTTTCTGTGGAAGAAGAGGAGGGACTGGGAGTAACTGAGTGAAGATACAGACAGAAGAGAGGCAGACAGTGGAGAAAGTTCATGTTCACTAGGAGATGAGTATTGTTTTCTGGGAGTGGGAAGCACAGGCTGTGGTTCAGAGCCCCTTCCCCGGGGCCCAGGAGAAGCAAGAGTTTGCAGTGGAGCCAGTGTGCAGCTGTGAATCTAGCTCTAGAAGTCCATAGCACAGAGAAAGTGCATGGTGGTGTTTAACCCCAGCTGGGGACTGGTCCAATGGCAACAACCAGGGCTCAGGTGGACCCTTTAATTGGGGGCGGATGGTCAAGGTGAGGCTACAGGTGCAAGGACCAGGGACACCGGTCAGCCGGCCCGGCAAGAGCAGAGCTCTGGGCATGTGGGCCCTGCTGGGCAGGAGCAGACCTGCCACAGAGGGCGTGAGGACAGGAAGGGTCTGTTCCAGAAACAGGCCAGACTGGGAAACAAATGTGGCCATGAGACTCAGGTGGGGGAGGGGGTCCCTGGGAGGGGCTGCTGGCTACTGGGCTGGTCTCGGGGGAGCTGGTATTTAGCCTGAAAAGGCCCCATTAGACTCATTGTCAGGGAGGGCCGACACGTCAGCGAGTCTTTGAATGTCTCCTTTCATAAGGAGAGCTATTTTTAAGTCTTTCTTGCTTTCCTTCTCTCCCTTCCTCTTTCCTTCCACCTACAGCCTTTGTGTGTCTACGAGTGGGAGCGAGGAGAGGTCAGACATGTGGGTGGACCAGTGGGGCTCAGCCTCCTGTCCTGCTCCCAAAACCTCTCCTATCATGACTTGGCTGCTCCAAAACATCCAGGAAGGGTAGGCCTCACCACTGCACCCCCAAAAACACCTCCCGGGGCCCACAGGGTGACCACTCCTCAATCACACCTTCCCTGGTCTGCTCTTCTGAGGTGGTGGAGACAGAAAATCTTGCTCCCACGTCCCACACGATGTGACTAGGGCATGGAGATGAGAGGTCTTTGCCTTTTGGAGAAACTGAATTCTAAACCACAGTGGAAGACAAATGAGGATGGAGACATGACCCTTCTCCCCACCCCCACCCTACCAAAAATCTTCCTGCAGAAAAGTGGGGAAGGTCACTCACTTGGGAAACCTCCCTTCCCATCTCCACAGTGGTTCCGTGGTTGGGGAGCTCTGGGCACCAAGGGTGGCCAGGGAGTCTGCTGTCACAGCCTCTTGGGGGACTGTCACATGGTAGTGGATATGGAGATTTAAAATATGCCTGCTCTCTGGTCCATTGATTGCCTTCTGGGATCTACCCTTCAGAAAACCTTTTATGTGCATAAGGAGGTATGTGAACAAGTTCACTGCAATGCTGATGAAACTAGAAACACTGTAAGAATACTGCAGTGAGGAGATGGCTAAATAAACCATAGCACATCTGGAAAATGGAATACTATGCAGCCAGAAAAACATTTAACTCAGAACTCTATGTATCAATGTGGGAATACCTCTGGGATATTACTGAAGGAACCCAACTAAGTTACTTCAGGTTTCTTATAGTTTGATATCATATATGTAAAAACAACAAATCCACAAAACAATATACTGTGTGTTTAAGGGAATGGGGAATAGGAATGAGAGTTCGAGGGGACTTTCACCCTCATCTGCAGTGATTTACATATTCCGTGGTAGAGCATGCCTTGTGCAATTAAAGTGTAGGTTTTGACTTCAATTCTGGTATATAATGCAAGCCTTATAAAGAAGAATGAGGGGGAGGAGGGCACGGATGTCCAACCCTATAGCTGATGAGAAGTCTGGACTCTGGTGAGTGAACTGACCTGCTGGAAAGATGAGCCTAGACTCACCCACCCCCTCCCTGCTCTTGGGATGACCGGATGGATGCTCCTGCCTCTGACCCTGGCCTTGCTCTGGCTGGCCACAGGCTCTGCCTGGCTCTGGCCCCCACAGGACACATGAAGGACCCCTGTCCATGGCAGGGCTGCCCCAGCTTCATGACCCCAGTGCGTCACTGCTGAGTCCCGGCTGAACTTGGGCAGATTGCTTCCCTGTTCAGGCTCCTAGTCTCAATCAAAAGCTCTGACCTTGGTATGCTTCTTTCCTGAGTGGCATGCATTGTTCTAGTTCTCCTTAGACTTATTTACCTTCGTAACTATTCTGAAGCAGGTACTATTACTACTATCCCAACCTTACAGATGGGGAATCCTACGAGCAGAGTGGTCAGGAAGTTGCCCAAGTCACTCAGCCAGCAAGGGACAAAGCTGAGTCTGAACTTCTTAGTCCCTAGGCTGCTCTACCTCTTGCTAGCTCCTTAGTCCTGGGAGTGTCCAAGCAGTGGCCGGGAGACCAGATCCTGGGTAATAGCCAATGTCCAGGGCCCCAGAATTGCACATTCATACCTTTAGAATGGTTCTGAGCAGGACAGGCCCTCTCTTTCCATACTCCCCCTCTGTCTCAAGGATTCAGAAACAACAGATAATTACTACACCCCTATTGTATGGCCGGCACTCTCACATTTGTGTTCCCATTCAACCCTCCCACAGCCCCGCAGTTACTATTAGTGCTCTCTTTCAGAGATGGGGAATGACTGGCCTGCAGTGACATAGCCGGAAGAAGAGATGTGGGGGGTCCCAGAGGAGGGTTTAAAAGAGAACTCAGTGACCGTGGTGGGGTACATCACAAGGCGGGTGGGGACTCTGAGGTACAGAGTTGTGCATGGTGGGCTCCACTGCTCCATCAGCCCTCCGACGTTCTCGCGGCCAGTACCCAATTCCTGGTTTCAGGGTGGGGACCAAATCTCTGATGGCAACTATCTCTTTCTGCTCCCAGATTCCATGACCTCAGGGATGCCCAGAAAAGCCAAAATCATCTCTAAATGGGCACGACTAACTCAAGGCTCTCCTCCCTTCTCCACAAGGAGACAATACTCCTTCTTGGGAGAGGAGGAGTGGAGAGGTCAGAGAAGGCCCGCAGTGATAGGCAACACTGGACTTGGAGCCAGCCAGAGCTGTGCTTGAGACCTGACCCCTTCATTCACTAGCTGTGTGGCCTTGGGCAAGTTACTTAACCTCTCAGAACCTCTGTGTCCTCAACTGTAAAACAGGAGTAATGGTGCCAACTTTGAAGTTGTTGTAAGGAGTCAAGGAGATGACAAACATGGACAACCTCAGGACAGTGCCAGATACGTGGCTCAGTACCTAGAGAGGAAGAGGCAGCGGGGAGATGAGTGAGAGGGGAAGGGGGTGGGGAGGGTGTGAAGGAGCCACTGGAGAGAGAAGGGACTGAGGGGGAAGAGGCAGGAGAAGAGGGGAGTAACTCTCTTGAGGGCTCCTGTAGCACTTGGTAGGTAACTTTATGAAAACACAGTCCAGAGAGATCAATGGACTTTTAAAAGAAATCACCTTTGTGGAGAGAAAATGAGATATCCCCATTTGGCCAATGCTTGGTAAGTGTCAGGCACCTGTGCTGAGTGCATTCACTTGCAATGGTCTTTAATCAATGTAGCAAAACTAACCTAGGCTTGGAAGGGGAGGGATGATGGAGAGTGGGAGGCAGGTGCCGAAAAAGGTGCTGAGGTCTGCTGGGAAGCGGGCGAAGGGGGCGCTTCACTCTTTGCCTCTCCAGTCACCTCTCAACATGCAGGCATGGCCTGGCAGATGGGTGGGTTGGGTGGGGGCATTTCACCCTTCCTAGCCCATTTCCCTGCAGTGGTTGTGTCCCCCGCAGAACAAATGCCTAAGCCCCATATCACCCCGTGATGCTTCCTGGGATGCCACCTACCAGTCACATGCCTAGGCCTGCTCTTCACCTCTGCCCATTTCTGCAAATGTACATTGTGGGAAAGGATTCATGACTCTGAGAAGGGGTGTATGGAAAGGCTGGGACTTTGTCAGTGAGTAGGTGAAGGCCGGCTCACCATGAGTGTCCAATAGAGAGTGTATATTATCCCCATCAGCACTGATGCACCCGTGCCCAGCAATGAGGTCTGGGTCTTCACTGTGACGTGGCCCCCAACTCACCATCAGCCTCTAGACAGCAACCTCCCTCCAGCAACTCCATCCCCTCACAGCACTGCTGCAGGGCCAGGGAAACCAGCTTTCATCTAAAACTTTTCAGTTCACAAAATTCCCTGATAGCCTTTAACACATCTCACCCTCATGATTTCCACTTCACAGATGAGGAAACTGAGGCCCAGGGTGTCCAAGGTCATTAGAAGCTAGGCTGGTCTTCATTCAAATCAGGCAGCTCTATTCCACATCATCCACAAAGCCTCCAGAAAGCCCCAAACTTCATCAGACTCCAGAGAATACCGGCATGAGCAGTTGCCCTTGCATCACTGAGGCCAGTCCCCAGAAGGCGATGCTTCCTAGCGCCCTGATGCTGCGTGTCTCAGCCCCTGCATCCAGCTGGGGCCAGCTATCTGCAAACAGCTCCGTCCGCACCAAGGGAAGGAGCAGATCTGTTACAGCCATCTCTCCACCCTCACGTCTCCGATGCCCACGGCCTACCTGTGGGGTGCCCTACCTTGTGGGTGACACTGGGGTCTCTTGAAGCACTGTCCTCCTCCTCCGAGCTTCTCTGCTCTTCATCCGACGTAAGGTCCTCTTTGGGGGCTGCCGACGAGATGGGACAGACTTTGTAGGGCTCTGTGTAGGCGCTGGGTCAAAGCAGGGGAAAGAAGGGTTAAAGCTTTTTGTTTAGCATAGGCAAAGTGAACCTACCAGGGGTCCCATTCATGCCATGGGGACAGAAAACAAGTAGTAAGACTCAGGCACAAAATTCCTACTTCCCCACCCCCAGCCACACTGGCTTCCATTTGGAGCCCTGAACACACCAGGCTCTTGCTGCCCAGTGCCTTGGCACACGTTAAGACAGACTCACTTCCCTGCAGACAGGGGGCAGGCTCCCCTGCCAGAGGAAGGCCCGAATAACTCAGGATGCGGGCAGAAGATGTTGAATCTGGGTGGTCTGGGATCTGGACTGGCCTGGTCAGGCGGCAGGGTTAGTCCTTAAGGTGGCCGTGTGCTCTGGGCCTGAGTAAGGGATGCAATGATGTGGTGGACAGAATCCAGGACGTGTGTTCCAGCCCCTAGTCCCGGCCTTGCCATCGGCTAGATTGCAGACAAGACATAGCTCAGGGCATCAGTTCCCACTCAGCTGCATAGCAACAAGGATTCCTGTCTCACCTTCTTGGCAGGTGCTGTGAGCATCACAGCTCATTTAGGTGTGACAGTCTCATGTCTCTATGCCTGTGACTACTCTCCACAGGCGTTGCCAGTAAATAATGAACATAGCAGTCAGCACATATTTACTGACTGTCTGCTTTAAGCAGGCATGGGCTAGGCATCGAGTAAAACACTGGTGAGTGAAGCAGACATGGTCCCTGTCCTCAAATGTGAACTCATGCACAATCACAAACTGTGATCCCCACAGCAGGGGCTCTCAGCCCTTCTCTCTACACAGCAGACTGATTATTCCACAAAAGACTGTGCCCTTCTCCTGCCCAAAAACCTTCAGTGGCTCCCTCTTGCCATTGGCAACGTGGCCCCAGACAACTCACAAACCTTTCTTCCTACTCAAAATTTGGTCTTATTAAATCCTTACCAAATACTCCTGCCCTCTGGGAATGCCTGGATGAGATACTGGAATGACTGACGGATGGCAGGACGGAAGGGAGCAGCCACTTCCTGAACTGCCTGGGCCAAGCTTTCCCTCAGGCCCTGGCCCAGGCAGGGGGAAGTGAGGCGGGTGGGGGACATCAGGGGAGGAGAAACAGCCTTAGGGAATAGCTGAGCTAGGAGCCTATCCTGGAGCTCCTCAAGTATCTTTCATAGGAGCCAGAACCGCAGGTACCCAACCCCAGAGTACCTGTAGCCTAAGCAGCTTGGGGCTCTGCCAAGGCCAGAGCAGGGTCCCCTGCTCCACAAGGGGCTATAGGGCCAGACAGAGCAAGGACAAGGTGGCCTGTCTCTGCCTGGGCCTCCACTGACATAATGGGTTGGAGGTGGGGACTGTGGCTGCACACTTGTGTACAGAGGCAAACCCAGTCCTCACCAAGGTTGAGCCACGACTCAACCTACTAGCCAACAGGCTACCCTCTGGTCAGACCTCTTTCTTCTTCCTTTTCAAAAACATTGCTTTTTGGCCTTCTCTTTCAAATGATGAGGTGTTTTACAACAAGCCATATACCTACTACCAAGGTATACAAAGAAATAACACCCCGCCAGGCTTGCTGAGGTGTGCCAAAGCCTCCCTCCTGTCTCAGGGTCACCTCCACCTCCGCTGCAAGTCACCGTGCTGCCAAGGGCCACCAGCTCCCTCCACTGAGGAGTGGTCCCCAGCCTAAAGGTCAGGGACAACTCACCTGTTCGGCAGAGCTCAGATCAGGCTCAGTAAAGTGACTGCATGGACTGGTCTCACAAAACCCTCACTCCCCTCCCTCCAGAGCTGCCTGCATCAATTTGCAACCCTTTTTCCAGCAGACTTGGAGTGGAGTCCTGCCCTCCTTCTGAGAGAAACAGCCACCTCAGGCAGCAGGAGCAGGTGGTGCTCTATCCAGGATAAGCAGTAAGGATGAGGGATGCAGCAGTTAGCAGCACTCCTACCACTCCTCCTCCACATCCAAAAGGAAGGTGCATGCCAGGCAGAAAGCCAGAAACCCGAGTGTCTCCTAGCACAGCCACTATGTGAGCGTCAGGCTTACCTTCCTCCCAGGCTTACCTTCAAATACCTCCCAACCATACATCTAGCATCTCTAGCACAGCCTCTGCTGGCCAGGCCACCTCCTGCCTGAACATTTGTAACTGGTGCCTTCCTGAGCTCTCTGACTTCACCCTGGCTGTCACCCAATCTGTTCTCCACCCAGTGGCCATAATGACCATCTCAAAACCCAATCTGATCATGCTGTCCCCTGGCTTAACTTCTTCAGGGGCATTCCAGGGCTGCTGGGATTTGGCCCCAAGAGCTCAGCCTGTCCAGCAAGCCTGCGGGACCTGGGGAGGGCAAGGTGGGCACCCTCAGCTCCTGCTGCTGCTGCTGTGGTCTCCCCAGCATCAGACGCTGCTGGGCATCACAGAACCTGGGGGCTCTGCCTCAAGCCAAGCAGGGGGTGGTTTCCATGAGTCAGAGCCATGGGTGATACAGGGGAGAGGGCTCACGGAAGCCAAACCCCTGGAAAGGGGAAGGAGATAGCTCGAGGTCACGCGGCAAATCTGAGCTGACATACACTGCCTCTGAAGGTGCCTCTCTCCATGCTTGGTCCCTTTTAGAGACCTGAAAGCAGATGCAGTTGGGCCTGTCACTGCAGTGATATGTGGAGTTGGGTCTTGGGTGGGCCTTTGCTTTTGTTGTTATTTTACTTCTGTAAGTCAGTGGAGTGCGGAGATGAGAGCTCATGCTCTTGAGTTAGGCTTCCTGGGTTCAGATTCTGGCTTGGCTGTTTGTTGGCTGTGTTTAACCTCTCCAAGCCTCAGCAGTGCTCAGTTAACAGTGAGTTACATAACATCAGACATTCAGAATAGTTCCCAACACATGACAACTCAATAAACGTCAGCTTTCTTCACGATCAGCTCTGTATTCTCCTGTCCCTTCCTGTCTTTGTGCTTCCCAAACCCGAGCCACTCCCCCGTCTTCAGCGTGGCCGTTGCTGCCTCCAGCTGTTCTATCATTTGCCTCATGTTTTCTTTAAGTTAACTCATTTATAACACTTGCTACCAACTCTGGCCTCATCATCCTAAGTGATAATACCTGTGAGGTCATATGCTGTATTCTTTTAACACTGTATTTTTAAATGTATTATTATTTTTAGACACAGGGTCTTGCTCTGCTGCCTGAGCTGGAGTGCACTGGTATGATCATAGCTCACCGCAGCCTCAACCTCCTGGGTTCAAGCAATCCTCCCGCCACAGCCTCTCCAGTAGTTAAGGACTACAGGCACACACCACCATGTTCAGCTAATTTTTAAATTTTTTTTTTTTAAAAAAGGGGTCTCACTATGTTGGCCACACTGGACTCTAACTCCTGGGTTCAAGCAATCCTCCCACCTCAGCATCCCCAGTAGCTGGAATTATAGGTATATGCCACCACACCCGGACCCTTTTAACACTTTAAAATAAACCGTATAATTATTAAATTATAATAACGTGTTTGACTAAAGTTATCTTGCTCATATTGGAGGTGCACAGACCTCACAGATGAACCTGGTTACTTCTGATCCTCAATTCAGCCTCAGCCATGGCAGTCGTGGAGCCCATGCAGATGGCCCTCCTCTTATTCTACTTCTTTATCTGATTCTGTTTTCCAGAAAGATCACTAAAACAGATGTTAGGGGCAAAGGTTCAGGTGCTCTGATATTTCTGGCTCATTTATTTCACTGTCCTATATAGGAATTATGAGTACAACAAATGGGGATAAGTCACCATTAGAAATGTGCTGGTTCCTGCCTTCAGGAAAGTGAAAGACGTTTAGGCTCTCAACACTTAAAGGAAGCCCCGCTGAAGCCCAGAGAGTGGACAAACCAGACTCATTGATGGGGCCATTGGGCCACGGTCCACGACAAGACATTCCTGTGGGCCACAGCCACGGCATACCTAGGGGTGTCAAAATGTGGACTTGTGGGGCCTCATCCCCTGCCAAAAGCCAAGCCAGTCCCACTCCTGTCATTGGGCGTTTCTTCCCATTCCCTGCTCCCAGATGCACTTCACCTCCTCCCTTGACCCCCTCCTGTGTTTTGAATTTCTGTTCACTCAGAATTGTAAATGTTTAGTTGTGACCATGATGTATTGTTTGGGTCAGTGTCCCTTTCCAATGCATACTAATATATTATGGTTATTATATATGAATATATTTAATGACATGGAAACAGTTGTTGATTTTCTAAGTTTCTTTCCCTTTTTGGGGGGGGAGTGGTTCGAGTTGTAATGGACCCAGATGGAACTTGTAACATGGGCCATACATGATAGAACCAAATTCAGATATCACTAAATAAAATCTTGTACACTGAGCTGTAAAAACAAAACAAAACAAAGGAAATGTGCTTTTACTGTTGATCAAGGGGTACAAAGTTTCAAACAGGCATGAGGAATGGGTTTTGAGACTACTGCACAGCAGGGTGACTGCAGTCAATAATAAGTATTACATATTTCAAAATAAGAGTAACCTTTCTTCTTTCTTTCTTTTCTTTTGGGTAAGGGTAACTTTTCTTTCTTTCTTTTATTATTTTTTTTTGGGGGGAGGTCTCGCTCTGTCACCCAGGCTGGAGTGCAGTGTGATGTGATCTCTGCTAAGTGCAACCTCTGCTTTCTAGGTTCAAGTGATTCTTGAGCCTCCGCCTCCCGAGTAGCTGGGATTACAGGTGCAAGCCATTATGCCCAGCTAATTTTTGTATTTTTTAATAGAGACAGGGATTCACCATCTTGGCCAGGCTGGTCTCGAACTCCTCACCTCAAGCGATCTGCCCGCCTCAGCCTCCCAAAGTGCCGGGATTACAGGCACGAGCCACTGTGCCTGGCCAACTAACAGTAACTTTCAAATGTCTTACCATAAAAATGATAAGGCGATGGATATGTTAATGACCTTGATTTAATTATGCCACATTGTATACATATACTAAAACATCACATTGTACCCCATAAATGTATAGGATTATGATTTGTCAATCAAAAATTATAGTAATACATTTTTAAAGGTCTAGAAATGTCTTTAAAATATGCACTTCCACAACATGAAAGAGCAAGTATGATACAATGCCTTTGCAGAGTCAATGAAAAAATGGCAGCAACAGACCCTATCTTAAACAGAAGTTAGCAGTAAAATAAACAAATCAAAACGTTCTGATACTAAAACCAAGGCTGTCAACATGGCTGCTCCCATCGACCCTGGTATTGCTACGAGGTTGATTATACACAGGGCAAGGAAACACCTCTGACAGATACATGTTAACCTCTTCCCAAATGCTGTGACAGACCTGGCAGAACTGTGTCCTGGGCAAGTAACCACGTCTTCCCTTGGGGAAAAAGATTGGGAACACTTACATATCATATCTATCTCCCCAGTCTGCCAACAGAAACCTCCGAGATGAGTACTCTGCTCAGTATGGTCAAAGGAAGCCTGCAAGGCTCTATATTTTCAGCTATCTGGTGCCTGCCTGGTTTTTCATTCATTCAAAAAAATTCCTATTACGAGCCGTCTGTTCTAGACTCTGTACTACAGGTACTGAGGGTACAGTGTCTATAGTCTCTCTAGTAAAAATGCCCATTATAATCATAACTGGATGAGGTGTTATCTTCAGGTGGATTCCTTGAGCATACCAATATACTACATATGAGAAAGCCCTCTAACCCAACTACCTACCCATCCACTCATTCACCCATCTATCTATTCATCTATCTATCCATCCATCCATCCATCCATCCATCCATCCATCCATCCACCCACCCACCCGCTTCAGGACACTGGACATCTGACCATCCACTCACCCTTCCAGCCATCCTTCCATCTACTCACTCAGCCATCCCTCCTTCTCACCCATCCCCTCACACTCACTCACCAAATATGGCTCAGCTTCTACTTCATGGAGCTAACACAAGGAGGGATCAAAGATGACTCAAGTACTCTCTCTGGCCTCAGACACAGTACAGTGCAAATTACTTCTGAGCCCAGAGAGAGTACAGAGTGAAGTCTTCTGAGCCTATCCTCTTCACCAGCACTTTGCACTGTACTCTGGGTACTTTACTGTACTCTCTGGCCTCAGAGGTGGAGAGGGTGGGCTCAGACAGACTGCCTGGGTGGAATCCCAGCTGTGCCACTTCAAGCAAGTTTCTTAATCTCTCCGTGTCTCAGCTTTTTTTTTTTTCCAGTTTCATCTATAAAACAGGGGTGATAGTAATATAGGTATAGATTATTTAGAGGATTCATTGAAATAATGCAACAAAGGCACTCAGAAGTGGCACAAAGAAGGTCCTCATTAGATATTAGCTACTGGTGGTGTTTCCATAGCCTGACAGCAACAGACGAAATAAGTTTATCAGAATAGCCCATCAGAACAATGAAAATGCAGACTGCCCCATCCTTCCATCAGCTGGTATCTTTCTGCTCTCTAGCGGACACTAAGGGTGGTTCAGAACCAGTAGAAAGGCCCCCATCTCTACAGTACCTTACAACTTATAGGCAACTTCATATCTGTTTCCTTGCTGAAGTCTCCCGGTTGCCCAGGGCTCAGTGCCTTTGTTTTCTCAAGCCCCAAACCAGGACCAAGGATCTGAAACTTTGCTGTATGTTAAGTGAGGAAGGACATTTGAGAGATAGTTTGGAGGCCAAAAGGATGAAATTTCAGTAGGGCTCAGTGGCTCAAGCCTGTAATCCCAACACTTTGGGAAGCTGAAGCAGGAGGATCGCTTGAAGCCAGCAGTTCAAGACCACTCTTGGCAACAAAATGAGATCCCGTCTCTAAAATAAAAAAAATTAGCTGAATGTAGTGGCTCATCCCTATAGCTATTAGCCTCAGCTACTTGGGAGGCTGAGGCAGGAGAATTGCTTGAGCCTGGGGGGGTGGAGGCTGCTGGTCACACCACTGCACTCCAGCAGCCTGGGTGACAGAGCAAGGCCCTGTCTCTAGAACAAAAAAAAAAAAGGATGACATTTCTAACCATTATTTCAAGAGTTTAAAGGACAGAAAAATCATTTGATAATATTCAACATCCCTTCGTGATAAAAACTCTCAATAAATTAGGTGCAGAAGGAAAGTACCTCAACATAATAATGGCCATATATGATAAATCCACAGCTGACATCTTACTGTTAGCTTTTATCTTTTCCTCTAAGAACTGGAGCAAAACAAAGGTGTCCACTCTCACCACCATTCTTCAACATACTACTGAGAGTCCTAGCCAGAGCAATAAGGCAAGAGAAAGAAATAAAAGGCATCCAAATTAGAAAGGAAGAAGTCAAACTGTCCCTGTTTGCAGATGACATAATCTTATATATAGAAAACCCTAAATATTCTACCAAAAACCTCTTAGAGCTGATAAACTCAGTAAAGTTGCAGGATACATAATCAATATATAAAAATCCGTAGCATTTCTATACATGAACAATAAACTAGCTGAGAACGATTTTTCAAGAGCTACAAAAAAAAAATCACAATACTACATTTACAATAGCTACAAGAAAAGCCCAATCTAGAAATAAATTTAACTAAGAAGGTGAAAGACTTCTACAAGAAAAAACATAAAACACTGATGAAAAAAATCAAAGAGGATACCAACAAATAGACATTCCATGCTCATGGATCAGAAGAATTACTATTGTAAAAATGACAATACTTACCCAAAGCAATTTACAGATTCAACATAATCCCCATCAAAATACTAATGACATTCTTCACAGAAACAGAAATTAAAATTCTAAAATTTACATGGAGCCACAAAAGACCCAAATAGCCAAAGCAATCCTGAGCCAAAAGAATAAAGCTGGGGGCACCACATTACCAGACTTCAAAATATACTACAAAGCTATAGTAACCAAAAAAGCATGGCACTGGAATAAAAACAGACACACAGAACAAGGGAACAAAATAGAGAACCCAGAAATTAATCCATATATATACAGACAACTAATGTTTTGACAAAAGTGCCAAGAACATTCACTGGAGAAAGGACAGTCTAAATGGGTCTGGGAAAACTGAATATCCATATGTAGAGGAATGAAACTAGATCCTTACCTCTCATGCTATAAAAAAAATCAACCTCAAAAGGGATCAAAGACCTAAATGTAAGACCCAAAACTATAAAACTAGTAGAAGAAAACATAGGAGAAATGCTTCAGGGCATTGGTCTGGGAAAATATTTTATGACTAAGACCTCAAAAACACAGGCAACAAAAGTAAAAATAAACAAATGGGATTATATCAAACAACAAAGCATCTGTACAGCAAAGGAAATCATCAACAGAGTGAAAAGACAACCTACAGAATGGGAGAAAATATCTGCAAACTACTCATCCGACAGGGGATTAATATCCAGAATAGATAAGAAACTCAAAGGTCTTAACAGAAAAAACATACACACACACACAAAAACCCAATCTGATTAAAAAGATGGGTAAATGATATGAATAGACATTTCTCAAAAAAAAAACATACAAATGGCCAACAAGTATATTTTTAAAATGTCCACATCACTAATCACTAGGGAAATGCCAATCAAAACCACAATGAGATATCATCTCACACCTGTTAGAATGGCTATTATCAAAAAGACGCAAGATAACAAATGCTGGCAAGGATGTGGAGAAAAGGGAACTCTTCTACACTGCTGATGGGAATGTAAATCAGTAGAGCCACTATGGAGAACAATATGGAGATTCCTCAAAGAACTACAAATAGAACTACCATGTGATCCAGCAATCCTACTACTGGGCATTTATCCAAAGGAAAGAAAATCAGTATATGGAGGAGACATCTACACCTCCATCTTTACTGCAGCACTATTCACAGTAGCTGAGATACAGAATCAACCTAGGTATCCAACAACAGATGAATGGATAATGAAAATACATACACAACGGAACACTATTCAGCCATAAAAAAGAAAGAAATCCTGTCATTTGTTGCAACATGAATGGGATTGGAGGACATTATGTTAAGTGAAATAAGCGAGGAACAGAAAGTTAAACACTGCATGTTCTCACTCATATGTGGAAACTAAAAAAAAGCTAACCTCATAGACGTAAAAAGTGGAACAGAGGATACTAGAGGCTGGGAAGGATAGGAGTAAGGTGAGGATAGGGAGAGATCTGTAAAAGAATAAAAGATACAGCCAGATAAGAGGAATAAGTTCTAGGGTTCCATAGCACTGTAGGAGGACTACAGTTATCAATCATATATTATATAGTTTCAAATAGCTAGGAGGAGGATATTGAATGTTCCCAACACAAAGAAATGATCAACGTTTGAGATGATGGTATGCTAACTATCCTGATCTGATCTATAAATTACATATATCAAAACATCACTATGGACCTAATGAATATGTACAATTATTATTTGTCAATTTAAAAAATAAAAGAGGGCCAGGTCTGCTGGCTCACACTTGTAATCCCAGCACTTTGGAAGGCTGAGGCGGGAGCATTGACTGAGCCCAGGAGTCTTTGAGATCAGCCCTGGCAACACAGCAAGACCTCCCATACCTACAAAAAATTAAAAAACTAGCTAGGTGCAGTGGTGCACACCTGTAGTCCTAGCTACTTGGGAGGCTAGGGCAGGAGGATCACTTGAGCCCAGGAGGTCAAGGCTGCAGTGAGCTATGATCACGCCACTGCAGTCCAGCCTGGGCGACAGAGTGAGCTCGTCTCAATAAATAAATAAATAAATAAATAAATAAATAAATAAATAAATAAAAAGAAAAGAAACAAAAAATAAAGGACCAGTGGTCTGTTGTACCCTGAATGGGATCTTTCCAGGAAATTCTGGGCATGTGGTCATTACAGGAGTACTATGGTCCCACCACTCAATAAGTTTACCTGGAGAGTCACATTCTGGGAAAACGGGAAAAGGGCCAGGTGGTCAGCATTTTAAGTTTAGTGACCAAGTAGCCCAGAATGTTGGCATCACACAGAAAAGAGTCACTGTGTGACCTCAGGCAAGCCACTCAACCTCTCTGTTTCTTACCTATAAGGTGGTGATAACTATGGAGGTTCACGGTGGGAGTCAATAAGAACACGATGGTGAAAGCAGCCAGGGGCTGACATACAGCAGGTCCTTTCTGGCCAGCTCTGAAGAGCCTGCAGAAGGGCCAAATTCTAAACCCCCCGCCTAGTCTCCCTGGGACTGTATCCACCCTCTGAGTCCACTTGTGCTGTAAAGGGAATATCAATTAAAGCTGCTCAGAGGCTGTTACCTTAAACGACCTTCCAAATGTCCTTCCAAAGGACTAGGCTCCAAATGAGCCTAGTCCTTTTCGGCAGCCTAGAGTTGTAAGAGGATATGTGCCTCCACGTGGGGAGATGAACGCTGTGTAACCCGGCCTGGTGCTGTCCAACTCTGACCATTTAATTCCGTCCTATGTAACGCTGGTTGGGAGCCATAACTCTGAGCACAGCCAAAAGGGCCTAATAACTCGTAAAAAAAAAAAAAAAAAAAAAAAAAAAAAAAGGAACGCTTTTCCCCCTGGGAATCTCTCAGTGGGCACTCCAACCTCAAATTCCATCCTCACTGGTGTGGAGATTCATGCAAATGGGGCCAGATTGCAGACGTAACTTCTCCCAGCCCCTCCGAGACAGGCTGGGACCTTTCTGAAGCTCACCAGCCCAGCAGGGAGGGGAAGGGGGCTTCGGGGCTGAGCTCTCTGGGAGCTGGAAAGTTTGAAATGGAGGAGACAGGCTGGTGAGAATGAGTATCCCAATTAGCAGAATAGCTGGAAGAGCTTGTAAGTGGGCGGAGGGGAGGGCTGGATACGGGATAGGGATTTCTAAACCCTCAGACATTCGCTCCACTCCTTTGCTGAATCCTTCACCCCTCAGCACCCCAGCACCTTCCCAGTACTAAACAGTCCCTCCAGGACTTCCCCTGGTGACCCCTTCTGCTCTGATGCTTCCTTGTCCTCACAGGGACATTGCAATCTTTGCAGATGGAGCTATCATTTGCACTGTAACTGGGACCACGGAAGACAAAGCACAGCGCAAATGTGATACTGTGGAAACAGCCCAAGAGGACTGGGGGTCCTGGATTCCTCAGGAAACCCTGCGTCATCTGGGCTACGTCGTGGCTGTCCTGGGGAGGCTAAGTTTCCACATCTATAAAACTGAGGTGGAGGCTGGACTCATGGGTCAAAGCACAAAACACCCAGACATATGAAACTGTGTGCTGAGACCAGACACACACATCCCACAGCCTGGGGGCCAGGCCCTGAGAACGCTGCCTGCCTGGTGCCTCGTCGTGTCTGAAGTGAGGCTCCCTTTCACGCCTCTCGGAGAGAATGCCTCCTGCACCCAGGGTCAGCCAAGGGATAGCATTGTAATGGTTCCCAGAAACATGACCGAAGGAGAGACTTTTAAAAAAATTCAATTTCCATTTCTCACTAAGTAAAAACAAAAGTTCATCCTTGTTTTCTGACCAGAGACATCCCCACCCCTCCTCTTAAAACGCAGCAGCATCAGTGGTTTCAGAGGGGTTTGCTTTCTTTTTATAATAGCATTAATGAGATATGAGTCACATATCATGAAATATGCCCCTTTAAAATACAATTCAGTGCTTTTTAGTATATTAGTATATTTGAAAGAGTTGTGTGGCCAACACCGTTATCTAATTTTGGAACATTTTCATCAATCCAAAAAGAAACCTCACTCCTTGCTAGGCCTCTCAGCCCCTGGCAACCGCTAGTCTACTTCCCGTCTCTACGGATTTGCCTATTCTGAACATTTCATTACATGAAATCATACAGTATGAGGCTTTTTGGGTCTGGATTCTTTCACTTAGTGTGTTTTCCAGGTCCACCCATTTTGTAGCATGTGTCAGCTCTTCATTCTTTTTCATGGCTGAGTAATATTCCACAGTATGGACAGATCATACTGCTTATCCATTCAACTGATAGACATTTGAATTGTTTCTTTTTGGCTATCATGTATAATGCTGCTGTGAATATCTGTGTACGCATTTTTGTATAGCCATATTTTCCTTTCTCTTGGGTATATACCTAGAAGTGGAATTGCTGGGTCATATGATAAATCTATATTTAATGTTTTGAGAACTACCAGACTGTACTCCAAAGAGGCTGTATCATTCCACATTCCTACCAGGAGTGTATGAGGGTTCTAATTTCTCTACAGTCTTGTCAACACTTGTTATTGTCTGCCTTTTTTTTTTTTATCTTAGCCATCCTAGTGGGTTTGAAGTGGCTTTATAAGGATTTTCAAAGAATTTTGTTTTTTTCTGATTCCATCTCAGCCTCCTCCCAACCTGAGCAAACACTATTTTTCCTAGCCAAAGAGAAAAAGGGAAACACAACTGTGACCATGAAGGCTTTATTTTCAGATAATCAAGTGAGGCTCAGAAGTCTAGTGGGGGTGGGGGGGAATTTAAACTTTTAGAAGATCTTCAGGAACCTCATAAAATTATAACATAAAGAGGTAACATTCAAGAACAATATGTAAGCCGGAGCCACAAACCTACCACTGTGATGGTGTCTCAGGCTCTGTCTTTGGGACACTGGAAGTGCCTTGGGCAACCTGAGGTAGTGATGCTGGCAGCAGAGGCTGGAGCCAGCATTTCTGCCACACTGTTGGGTCACAGGCCTGGCCTAGCCATAACCACTGGCTCTAACATTTTGGTCATCTCTGGGACTGCAGTAAAGGACAGTGGTAAAGGGCATACATTTTGGGACCTGACTGTCTGATGCCAAGACCCAGTTCTGCCACTTATCAGCCCAATGACCTTGGGTAAGTTGCTTAACCTGCCTGCCTCAGTTTCCTCATCTATAACATGGAGATGATATCAGTCCTTAAATTCCCAAGGTCTATGAGGGTCTATGTAGGGATCAGATGAGATGACATCTGTAAATGAGGTATACGACCTGTGTAACACAGTACCTGCTGGTTTTATGTTACTAGAGTCCGTCTGAGCTACAGGCAGTCTGAATTCAACAGGCAGAGCTCCTCAACGCTTACAGACCTGGGTTCTGGTCCCACCTCTGTCACCAGTGTGGGCCCCTTCCCCTCCAAGGGCCTTAGTTTCCCCATCTGTAAAATAAGAGAACTAGAACTAGAAGCCCTTCTCACCACGACGCGCTGTGGCTTTATTTTATGTCCAAAGCTGAGGAATTTTGCCAGAGTGATTCCTGCCACATCTTTGGCATTACCGACCAGCCTACACAGCCAAACCAACTCCCTGGCCCATGCATACATTTGCAGTTTCCCATCTATCCCCCTTCCAAGACTGTTACAGAATTCCTTCCCACCCTCCCCTGCACTTGCCCAACACCATCCCTCCCACCCACCACTGCCCCCCCAACCAAGGTCCAACCCAAATACCACCTCTTCCAAGAAGCCTTCTGTCTCTCCAGCAGGAGGGGCTCCCGTTGCAGTTTACTACAACGACTCCAGTTAATTTACGTTCCTATATTAAAGTTCCTTGAAGGTAGCAGTCATGGGCTTGCTATGCATTTCTGTGTCCTCCATGAAGTGCACACAGTAGGTGCCCGACAAATGACTGTCCTATCCCAGTTTCCCCATCTCATCCCAGCTGATGGAGGTGACTTCCTCCCATCACCCAGGGGGAGGGCGTCTCTCTGTCTGCACACATAACACAGTACCTGGCTCACGCTGAAATGGCATCACAGGTGCTGCCACTGCTGAGAACACTGTGGCCAGACAAGTATTAGGAGACAAACGAGCTTCCTTCCTCACCAGGCCACGCTTTTAAATCACTAGGAATATGGCCAGGGGTGGGAGAGGGAGAAGCACCCCAGAGGCTGGATCTGGTTCTCCCACAGGTTCAGCTGATACTGAAGGATGGGTGGTGGGGACTGCCTTGGTTTCCTCATCTGCAAGATGAGCTCTACAGTTGTGGGTCCTGAGCACCTAACTCCAGCCCAAAGCAGGAGGAAACTCAGACGCATCTTTCTCCTGCAACCTCCGCTCTGGGAGTCAGAGGAAGCCAGACCACAGGCGAAGCAGGAAGGGCCGGGGAGTCACTGCTCCTGCCCCAGGCAGCTGGGGAGGATGCAGCAGCTGGAGATTCACAGAGGACACTATAATTTAATAACCACACACCACATCTGAAGTTGCCAGGAGCTATGAGAGGGGCAGCCTGTGGTTTCCAAGTGTGGTGGTCTGAATAACAATCCCCTTCTCCCACCCCTCCCTTCCACACAGACACAGCCAGCCAATACTAACAACAGAAGCAGCAGCAACAGCAGACACAGAAGCCAGCATTTTTTTTAGGGCTTACTAAGTGCCAGGTGCTCTATGGCTTCTTCCCAACCACTGTATCCTGTAGACATTAACACTCCCATTTTACGGATGGAGAAACAGGTGCACAGAGGCTAAGTTCAGGGCCAGGATCTGAACACAGGGAATGTGGTTTCAGAGCTCCCCCTCTGACAATGAGTCTATGCAACCTCTACTGTATTTATTCATTTATTAAGCACTGAGCTGAGCACGTCCCAGGGGCTACCTCGTTTGATCCTTTCAACCAGCTTAGTGAGGGTTAGAAGCACTTTCAACCACTTAGTGAGGTAAGCACTATTATTATACTCATCTTTCAGTTGGAGAAACTAAGGCTCTGTGAAGTTAAATGACTTGCCCAAGGTCCACTCTGCTATATTCCCCTTCCATCAACCTCTCTCAGACAAAACCACAAGCAGATGGCCCATGGCTGGACCCACACACTGGACACATCCATTCATTCGGTTCACTGTCACCTCCTCTGTGCTGGGCAGTACCAGGGCAGAGCAGGACTCCCAGCCCACAAGGCATGAAAATGTGTGAGAGGTGCCAGGACACAGAGGAGTGTGCACAGAGCACCTGTAGGGCAGGTGGGCGCAGGCCTTTTGACGCACATGAACAGGAGCGTCACCTGTGGCAGGAGTGGGATGCCTGGATGGGGGACGCAGAGGGAATCCATCACACAGGGCCAGACAGAGACGGACACACTGAGGCTCAGGCCCAGAACGGAAGGGCCTCACACTTGGACCCAGACACGTGATAGTGCACACATGCTCTTGTCATGTCACTCATGTGGTCTTCCCCAACTCCATCTGCCTCCTCTACTCCAAACACAGAAGAAGCATTTTCAGAGGATGCCACCCTTTGCCAAGGGCTCTAAACCCTATAAATCCACGCTGCTCCTGAGGGCAGGGGCTGCATGTGATTCTGCTGGTCCCTAGAGCCCAGATGAGAATGGATGCCTGGAAAGTGTTTGCTGACCTGAGCTGATCTGACTTCTCACACCAGCCAGGGCCCAGGGTCCTCTCCTTGCCAAGGCCAGCTCAACCCTTACATCCTACTCTAGGAAGCCTTCCCTGACTACTAGCTAAGCTAATGGGGCTGAAGCTTTAGGTCCTACACTTGCATGGGTGGGTACCTTTCAAGGTTCAATAAGTTAATTTATAATCTTTTTTATTTGCATAAATTTAAAAAATAACCTATATACTATCAGTATAATCAACATAGAGCCCATTTCTTACAAGATTTTAATTTTCACACACTTCTTAAGGAAGCTTTTTGTGGTATAAGTGAGGTGCCTAACCTGTACCCCATGGGTTCCAGGGCTGCATGGGGCTGGCCTGGCCTTTTTGCATCTTGGTTCTCCCATTTGGGTTCTGTACTCCATGAGGGCAGTGAGCCCTGCGGTGTTAAGGCTGCAGCAAGTTACCTACTTAACAGATGGGGGCAGTGAGGGCCAGGGGGAAGGATGAGAAAGCAGACCAGATTTCCATGGCTCCCAGAAGCCTCCCTGCAGAGGGGGTCAGCTGTCCTGGGGTTCAGGCGTTTGGGGTGTGGCAGTCTTGGAGGGAAGAGGCGCGGGGAAGGGCAGGGCTGCCCAGGAAGTGGGACTTTTGCCTCCCACAACAACGAAAAGCCTCGTCCAAAGGGTGAGAAGAGAGGCACCGCCCTCAGCCCCACATGTCTTCAGGGCTCACAGTGGCTGGCTGCCCCTCCTCCACCCACCTCCCAGGACTTGTCCTGCATTTCCTGTAAACACCGACACTTCCTCCCTGGGGAGGACCTGGCAGTGTTGGGGCCACACCCCGCGGCTGACAGAGCCCGGCAACAATGGCTGGCCCGGGGCTCCAGCTGGCCACTCCACACCTCAGGCCTTCCCAGGGACCCAGAGAAAGGCTACCCTTTCCTAGAGCTGGGGAGCCCAATGCCCCCATGCCACAGATGGACAACTCAAGGCTCAGAGAGGAGGGGAGGCATCTGTCCTGGGCTACACAGCAAGTCTACAGCCAAAGGCAGGGTTATGACTTGCTCATCTCTACACCTCAGCGCCTCATCTGCTGACCATGACACACTGAGCTCTCGAAGGTGAGAACACCCGGGAGGAGCTCAGTCTCCAGCCAGCCTGCCTAGATTTCCAAAACTTGGTTCTTTGCCACTTATCAGCTACACAACCCTGGGCAAGTTTTCTGTGCCTCAATTTCCTCATCAGTAAAGCAGGGATAGTAACAGTACAGACCTCATTAGGTTGCTGTGAGGATTTAGTGAAGTGATACATACAAAACAACGAGAACATACTGCAGCTATGTTGCTGTTCCTGTTTTTAATGTTTACTGAAAGCTCCAACCAGGACAGACTCTGAGTCTCCAGACCTCCATCCCACCAGGGATGCTAATTGGGCTCGGCTTTCCAACTTCAAAGCAGTTCAGGGTTAGAAGCACTGTTCTAGGAGTCAGGAGACTCTTGCTCTGCCAGTAACTCACCCCATGATCTCGGACAAAAACACTTCCCTCCTATGTGCCTCAGTTTCCTCAGCTATAAAATGGAGACTAAAACCCTGCTCTATCTCATGGGTGGCTGGGAGGTAAAATGAGACAACAGACAGAAAAGCACGTAGAAAAGTTCCAGTTGATACATTAGGTGTTTCGGGTGGGGGTCGGCATTTCCAAACAAATTGTCACAAAAACTCATCTTCGAGGATAAGCCCTGAAAGTCTTTATCAGTATGGTGTTAATAATCTGGCTACACTGACAGCTTATGTGTGCCAAGTCCTGGCCAAGTGCTTACCAGCAGGATCTCATTCACTCCTCGGAACAACTCTCCCAGCAGGCTATTATCATTCCCATATCACAAAACAGAGGGATGGAGGGGGACCACTAAGTTCAGTCTCCCTTGATTTGTCCTAAACCTGTTACCTTCAGCTCTAAGAACAGGCTGAAAAGGGTTTCCTTACAGCCCAGCTAAGATCTGCACAGCACTTCACAGTCTACAAACACCTCCACATATTTCATCATGGTTCATTCTTCCCGCAAACATGTAAGGTAGGCATTGTCACCTCCAACAAAGAGAAGAAAGCAAGGCCCAGGGGGGCTGAGTGACTGCCTGCGTCCCACAGTTACACAGTAAAAATGGGGTCTCTGGTCCCACGGTTGGGAAGTTTCCCCTTTGTATGACAATGCTTCTTCATCTTCTGCATGAACCAAGAGGACCTGGACAGTGGCTCCTGACTCTGGACCCAGCACAGGGACATGTCAGGCAACTCCCCCGTGGACCTGGGGTGCCGTGTGAGCAGTTTCTGAGGCCTGTGGCCGGGTGTCTGGAAGTATTTATGAGCTATGCAACTAAGCCTGCTTTTTCAGTCAGTAATTGCTTTGAAATATGGGTTCTGAGAGTTTGGCTGCAGTGCTAGCTGGCACAGCCTTCTCCCCACATGCCAGGACAGAGACCACGACAATAGAAAGCTGGGAAAACCACCCACCCCACAGACAACTCTGGCTTGGGATGAAAGAAAGCATTGGAAGAGAGGCAATGAGCTGAAAAATAGAGCCCCTGAGGATGGCACCCTCCTCCCTCAGCCCCATCCTCACTAGTACAATCTTTTGGCTCCCCAAAGAAGCCCCTGAGCCCCCAAACCACACATGCCTCTCCCACATTTCAAGCATTTTCTTCTTCCATGTGAAGATTGCACCAGCCACACGGGTTCAATTAACACGACAGGTGTGCCCCTAGTTAATGACTTGGGAGATAATTCCGACATGAAACAAGCTTGAAGTTTCATCAAATAGGGAAGAGGTTTTCTAACAATCAGTCACTTTTATGTCAATAAACCACGGGGCTTGGTGAGTTTGAGTTCTCATCCCTGTACTCACACCCAGTCCCAAACCCAGCCTCTGAGCAGCACATACCTCACTCCACATCCTTCATGTCTACCTGTTGGGCCACCTGTCCCCCAACTTCAGTCATAGCCCCTCTCCAGATTCTGAAATTCACACTGCCACTAGTCAGGGAGGACCTGAGGAACTTGCTTCTGTATCCCAGGGTCTGAACATAAAGTGTATTAAAGGCAGTTTTCAAACTGTAAAGTTCTATAAAACAAAGCACGTGGCAATGAACACTGCTCTAGACCTGTGGGGGGATGACTATGAAGCCCACCCCTGGGGATCTTGTTTCTGATGCAAAGTTCACCTTCAAGTGTTACCAGGCTCCAGGGTCTGGGTCTCTGTCTTGATAAACTCTCCCACATCCCAGCCTCAGTAGATGGAGTCTTGCTACCTCCACCCTGCCTGCATCACCTGTTCCTAGACTTCTTAGTTCAGGGAAACTTCTTAACGTTTCAGAGTACGGAAAGGAACCAAAAACTAAAACTGCAACAATGCAACAGCCTTGCAGCAGGAGCAAGAACCCTGCCCCAGGAGGTATTCAAGCACTGGCTTATTGAGAACTGAAGCATCTGGGAAGGGGAGGGGCATCCCCATCACTAAAGGTCCCTTCCAACCTCAAAGTGAGTAACTTCAGTAGTTTCAACTTAAACCTTTCAGAGTAAAATAAGTTAGGGGTCGATGTGGCCAGCAAGTTGAGGATGATTTCAGAATGCAGCTGGATGAAACCCTTCCTGCTGTCTAGACTAAGCCCAATCCAAGGGTGCCTTCAGAACCTTTACAATGGAAAGGACCTGCAGTGGAGTGAAGGCATCAGGGCTTTTTTTTTAGCATGTACAGGTGACAGAAGAGAACACAAACACCCAAAACCCAGAAGCTGTAGGCATTTTCTGAGTGAGTGGAGGCAGAATTTCTGCTAACTCTCAAATCCCAGGAGGCACAGAAGTTAGAAGCTGAGCTGAGGTGGCCACCTTTCCCTGCTACTCCAGAACCGAGGCATAGGGACTTCCTTGCACACCTTAGAAGGTAACGGGACACCAGCCATGGGCTACTGCACCTGACCAGACCAGCAGCATTTAGTTAAGAGGAGAGATGAGGGCAAGACTTTCCAGGAACAAAAAAGATTTGAGTGCAGTCTATTGAGGAGAGACTGGGGCTTATGATTCGAGCACAACACTGGGCTAGCTCCTTCTAGACATTGTCCAATTTAGCTTTCCTAACAAGTCTATGAGATAGGAATTATCAGCTCCATTTCATAGATGAGAAAACTGAGGCACAGAGACATGAAGTGACTAGCCCAAAGTCACACTGTCAGTGAACTATGCAGCCAGGGTTTTATGCCAAAGCTGACTGACAGGCAAGATATTCAGCACCGCAACCTACCTCTGCCTGTCTGGTCTGGCTGTCCCCAAGGGACCCTTCTCCCTATCCCTTCCTTTGCACAAACACAGCAGTGTCAGTCGGGTCCCAAGGCTATTTCTCCTCTGCCTTCAGCTTGGCCCCAAGATTCCTGGAATGGATCTGACCAAAGGGAGGTGACTTTTCCACGCAGCTAGTTAAGAAGCCACACGGTACAGGGCAGTGTTTCTCTAAGGGGGAAACTGGGAGTGCCTGGGGGAGTCTGTTACAAATGCAGATTGTGCAGCAACACCCCACACCCAGTGAATCCGAGTCTCAGGGGAAGGGCCTGGAAACCTGCATTATATATATATATATATATATATATATATATATATATATATATATATATATATATTTTTTTTTTTTTTAATGCCTATTAAGATGTGAGAAATGTTACAGCTGAAAGGGTCAGGACATTCAGGTTCAAATCCCAGCTCCCCTAGCTATGCAACCCTGGACAAGCCACTTCGCTTTTGTCAGCCTCAGTTTCTTCACTTGTCTGGTTGGGATAGGAATCCCGTCCTTCCAACTCACAGGGTTGCTGTGAGTTTCAAAGGAAGTTAGAAAAGCGCCCTGGGAGCTGGGCGCAGTGGCTCACGCCTGTAATCCCAGCACTTTGGGAGGCCGAGGCGAGCAGATCACCTGAGGTCAGGAGTTTGAGACCAGCCTGGCCAACATGGCGAAAACCCATCTCTACTAAAAAATACAAAAATTAGTTGGGTGTGGTGGTGGTGCATACCTGTAATCCCAGCTACTCAGGAGGTTGAGGCACGAGAATCACGTGAACCCAGGAGGCAGAGGTTGCAGTAAGCCGAGATCACGCCACTGCACCCCAGCCTGGGCGACAGAATGAGACTCTGTCTCCCCCCAAAAAAAAAAAAAAAAAGCACCCTGGGGATGCACAGGTATAGAGCCCAAGCGTCCAGGGTTCCTTCCAGCCAGCAGACTGGTGCCTTGTCCATGGAAACCACTCCCTTGGTGGGGAGGGGCTGGCCGTGACCTTATCAACAGTGAGAGCCCACCTGGCATACCAAGCAGGGCTACCTGGCATCTGGATGGCACACTGCAAGCAACGCCTGCCGCAGAGCCTGGGGTGGACTCAGTGGCCGTCCCTGAGAGAGCGTCTAAAGGGAAGGGGGTGCCCAGCCCCTGATTTCAGGGCTAAGAGGAAAAGACCATGGCAGCAAGGGCATCTGACACAGCACATCAGCCTTGACTTTCCCGAGCTAAAAACCCACTCTTGCCACACGCAGAGGATGCTCTCCAAGCTGCAGAGACCCAGGGGGCTCTCATGCTGTGGATCACAGTGCAATTCCGTTCACTATATATGGAGACCCTGCTATGTGCCAAGTACTGTGCCAAGTTTGGGATGGGGACCCTTCCTTTCATCGAGAGCCACAGCCTAAAAAAGAAAAAGATAAATCAAGCAAAATGTCAAACATGAGAAAATAAGCAACTCAATTTAGATTCTCTTTTTCTTGAAGAAATATCAAGTATTCAACTCTCGGGATTTTAAAATTAAGAACAAGAAATATAAGGCTTCATTTGATAAATATAACAAACACTTAAAAATATACTTCTGTTTTCTATTTCAACAGTGAGGAGGAGGCCCAGCTCAGAGGTCTCATTGCAGCAATCTATCTTAGACAAGGTGACCGCACAGACAGAGGGGCCAGGGTTTGACACCCACCTTTCTGTCCACCCACCACCCACCCATTCTCACACCCAACACACAGTATCCAACAAGCAAGACACTTGCAAGACAGTGAAAGAAGGAGAGAGACAAGTCCCTGCTCCCTAGGAGAATACAGTCTAGCAGGAATTGCAACAGGAAAGCATACACACAGCCACCAACAGGGAAGATGGCAGAGGGTTCCAAAAGCTATCCGAGAAGGACAAGGAAGCTGCTGGGAAAATCCAGACAACATCAGAGCTATCACAACCTGCCCACAGATAGCACAAAGTCTTCCGGGAGAGGGTGTGCCCTGGGGAGGACCTGAACATGCAGAAAGAGTGAAGGGACATCAGGGTACAATGCAAAGCATGGCCAGGGGCATGTCGAGGAGAACAGAGGGAAGCTGAATAATGGGTCCTGACCAGTGTGAGAGGCCTGAGATGGGCTCTGGAACCCTGTCTAGGAGAGTTGGCATTGAGGAAAGGGAGTGTGCACCCTCCCAAGCCTGAGATGCACAGGGGTGGGGATCCGGTGGGGGTTTAGACACCTGCACCAGGTTGGTCTCTGTGACCATGCCTGTGCCTAGGCCCTGGTGATCTGGGAGGAAGCCACACTTAGAAGTTCCTGGTCCCCCAGTAAAGTCACTTCCAGCCACCAGGCAGCTGGCCACATGTTGAGGGAGCAAGGGACGTGGCTGTGGTCCTGAGGTCTGAGGTTTAAGGAGAAGCTCCCCTTGGACTCCTCAGAGGGAAATGGTAGAAGGGCCTGGCTGTGAACGCCACTGAGTTGGTTTGAGGACAACTTGGCATTTCAACATGGGGACGTGTAGTTCTATTTCGCTGGGTCCCAGAAAGCTGCAGCTGCCCAAGCTGGGATGCCTTTTCAGGACAAAAGCACACCCCAGACTTTACTCTCAGGCACAGCGTTGTGCCGAGCAGAGACGGAAGCCAAACATCTGGATCTCGGCAACTGCCTGAGTCCTCGCTGGAAAGAAAGGACTGCAGAGGGCCAGGGCCTGGACCCTGCACCCTGGGAGAGAAGGTGGGGGGCTTCTAAACCCCCAGGAGCAAGCACTCTTGAGGGAGTGAGTGGAAATGTGCAGGAAGCAGGCAGGAGAGGTGTGTTCTGGGGGCAGGAACCCCCCACTCACACTGTCCAGTGACAGGGCTTCCTTTTGCACCCAGATCCCAGCCTGGCAGACTGCTCCAAAGCCCTGCCCCCACCGATGTCCTTTATAGACAGGGGAGAAAGGACAATTGTCAGTGACACCCATGCCCTATAGCTGTGACTTTTCCTGTATCTTTTCTGAAATCTTATCCTTAAAAAAAAAAAAAAAGCCTGATCCTTAAGTCTGTTCATCTCCTTCCTCTCTCCAGTAATCCATTCTGTGTCTCGGAATCTTGAATTATTCATACTGACCCATCTCCACTCATCAATCCTCCATAATTTGATACAAACCAGGACAGGGCAGCATTTAACCCAGCGGCTCCCCATGTTCCTAAGCACATGCCAACCTCATCTGAACAGAGGTGGCTCAGAAATAGTAAATGCTCATCCTGCATGTAACACTTTAAGACGGTAACTCCATCTGTCTTCACTTGTCTTAATCATCTTCACAATGATTCCTCACCACCCCTGGGTGACAGCATAGTTCCCATCTCAGATGGGCCCGGCTGAGCAGGATGGCCAGGCAGCCCCTCTGCAGAGCACTTTGGCAACACACAGCACCTTTCTGACCCTGCCATCTCACCCATGGAAACATACTCAAACGCTGGAAAAGCTTCAGTTACAAATGGGTGCATCTGAGTGTTCTTTACAAAACAGCCAAATATCAGAAGCACTCTAAATACATCATGAAAGGACAGGAGCACACTGATCGGGGGCACAATCATTCAATGGAGTATTTGCAGTCACCTGCTACTGCTGTGTCTGCTGAGCCTACCACCGCCTGGCTGAGAGTAACTTTTATTAATTTAGTAAGTTATTTTAAAATATAGGCATTTATAATACACAGTTAAATAAAATAAGCAAGAGATCTTGTGCACGACAGGACACATCCATGTAACACACACACTATATACACTCACACATGGCAAAAACAAAACACAACCCAATGCTCATCATGATTATGTCACTGTGGTGGGGTTGGTTGGTTGGTTTTTGTTTTTACCTCCAGATATGTTCACAAATGTATGTAAATATGGATAAAGCTACTGATTGAGCCATTTTTAGAGTAGCAGAAGGCTGGAAATAACTCAATATCTACCAATAGGTGACTGGATATTGGAATTCCTTGCAGTCATTAAAAAGAACGGGAGTGGATCTGCCTGTGCTGACAGGGAACAATCTGTAAAGTAACAAAAGCAAGATCCAGAAGAGTATGCTCACTATGCTTCCATTTATGTCTAGAAAAAGTAGAGGGTTGGGGGGAGGGAGATAGAAATATAAATGTAGGCTGGGCGTGGTGGCTCATGCTTGTAATCCCAGCACTTTGGGAGGCCAAGGTGGGCAGATCACTTGAGGTCAGGAGTTCGAGACCAGCCTGGCCAACATGGTGAAACCCCGTCTCTACTAAAAATACAAATATTAGCCTGGCGTGGTGGCACACGCCTGTAATCCCAGCTACTCAGGAGGCTGAGGCAGCAGACTCGCTTGAACCCAGGAGATGGAGGTTGCAGTAAGCTGAGATCGCACCACTGCACACTGTATCCTGGGCAACAGAGCGAGATTCCATCTCAAAAAAAAAAAAAAGAAAGAAACATAAATGTAAATGTGTAAATGTGTGTGTGTGTTACCTGTGCATGTCTGTACATGGATGCAGTAACTAGGCAGGGGGCTGGAGAACCAGGACTCAGTGATGTGAGAATGTGAGATTTGATTTTTCCCTGCAGATCTGAATTTTGGGAGTGCCTGTGGCTTTTTGTAAAACACTGTTTGTTTGTTTGTTTGTTTGTTTGTTTGTTTTTTGAGACAGTCTTGCTCAGTTGCCCAGGCTGGAATGCAGTGGCGCGATCTCGACTGACTGCAAGCTCTGCCTCCCAGGTTCATGCGATTCTCCTGCCTCAGCCTCCTGAGTAGCTGGGACTACAGGTGCCCACCACCACGCCCAGCTAATTTTTTTGTATTTTTAGTAGAGACTGGGTTTCACCATGTTAGCCAGGATGGTCTCGATCTCCTGACCTCGTGATCCACCCGCCTCGGCCTCCCAAAGTGCTGGGATTACAGGTGTGAGCCACTGCGCCTGGCCAACATTCTTAAAAAATGGTTTTGAACCAAAATGGACTGCCAAATTTCTCTCCCTCTGGACTGTCCTAGCAGCACCATTCCCCTCCTCTGTGGCAGAGCTCCGCATTGTTGAGACCTCTGTGCCCCTGTGCTGTGCCCCCGGGGCAGGATCTCTATACACTCAGTAGTTAATCAGATTATCTTGGGGAGGTGAGAGTCATTCCAAAGGGGGAGGGGAAGGTCTGACGACAGTCAAACCTTCTGGGACACCCCCTACCCTCACCAGCTGGCATAGCAGGTTCCAGACCACAAATAGAGCTACTATTTGTACACTGGCTGTGGTCTACGAAACACCCTTCACATAACATGACCTTCACGACAGCTCTGTGAGGCACCCAGCAGCATCTCCACGTTACAGCCGAGGAGGCTGAGGCTCAGGAAGGTTAAATGAATTCCCCCAATTCCTCCCAGGTCAGAAATGACGGGTCAAATGTCCCCAGAAGCCTGTGCATTTCCCACTTCCTAGTGTTGAGAAACAGACAGGAGGTGCTGGAAGCATGTGCTTTTCCTTTCTTGGTGCTAACAAACCCTTTTCAAATCAAACACTACCCTTTCAACCTAGATCCCTTCTGCTGCATTTCAATTAAACTTCCTGTTGTTTCTAACCCACTGGTACAAAGCTGTGCAACTGTGTATTCCTAAGACCCCAAAGACAGGGCCAGAATATAACAGGTGGACTTGTAGCCAGTGAATGCCCACAGAGGTAAGGAGGGGGCAGAGGGGGTAGGAAACTGCTGGTTCTATTGCATTTTCTCCCTATAGTTTTGGGAGAGAGGGATGTGAGGCCCCAGCAATGTCATCTGACTTTGTTTTACCTTCCATTTTCTCCCTGTTTGGACTGGAAGTCTATAACTGGTCCCATTATATTTCAAGAGCAGATAACTTATTTCTTTAGCTTCCCAGGGTCATAGATGGAGAGGAATTATGCCAGAATGGGTCATACCCAGAACCTCACCCAATACTGGATTTAAATAATGGGACTTAGGACTTCTGAGCTGACAAGATTCAAATAAGATTTGTTGAGCTGATGCTGTCACAGGATGAGACCTCTGGGGACCTTGGGATGGACTGAATATATTTTGCATTTGGGATAGACCTGAATCACTGGGGGGTCAGATGGCAGTGGCAGAATCAAAGACTGTAATAGGCAGAATCAAAGCCCTCAAAATGTCCACTCCCTAATCCTGGAAACTACAAATATTCTGCATCATTTAGCAAAAGGGGCTTTGCAGACGTACTTAAGGTTGTGAAGGTTATAACGTGGAGATTACCCTTGGTTATCTGGGTGGGCCCAATCTAATCACACAGGTCCTTAGAAGCAGAGAACTTGCCTGGAGTCAGATTCAGAGCACGAGAAAGAGTCAACTCACAACCCGCCATTACTGGAGAAGTCCATGCAGAAAACAGGGGAAGGAGTGCAGGCTGCAGCCAGGGCAAAGATCAGCCCCGTGACAGCCAACAGGGAAGCAGGGCCCTCAGTCCCACAGGAGTGGACGTCAGCTAGTGACCTGAATGGGCACAGCCTGGAATCTCCCCACAGTCTCTAGATGAGGGCCCAGGCCAGCCCACACCCTGACTTTGGCCTCCTGAGACCCTCAGTAAAGGACCCAGCTGAGCCCACTAGACTGCTGACCCACAGAGCTGGGAGATGAAAAACAGATGTTGTCTTAAGCCACTAAATTTATGGCAAATTGCCATGGCAGCAACGGAAAATAAGTATGTCACGTCAGACTCAGAACAGCCCTACGAAATCACTTAGCTCATCACTTCATTTCTGGGGAAACCGAGGCCCCGAAAAAGAAACACAAGAAAAAGGCTACACAGCAAGAGGCAGAGAGCAAAGAGCCTTTTCTGGGCCAGTTCCACGCTTAGAGACTCAGGGCTCTAAGCCCAAAACCCAACTGTGGAACACCGTGAGCACTTTTGTGGATGAGCATAATCACTGCTGATTCAGAAAGCCTGCAAATACTTCGCAGCCTATCCCCCTCTCCGTGGGAGAAGCAGGATCCACACAGAGCTGGGCTTTATACAAAAACCCGGTAGTCCTCAGGCCAAAGAGTGAGGACAGATGCAGGATTCTGAAAAGCCGCAAAACCTAGAGAAGGCTAGTCCTCCAGCCAATGCCATCCAAATACATCCCCCCCAGCCCCCGCAACCGTTAGCTCTAATTAGCAGGTTCGAAGGAAACTAATTTCTGCCTGTCACCAAGGAATGGTGGATTAGAAGCAACTGGATAATGAATGACTGCTCCGTGAACTGAGCAACCGCCCCTCCTGGGGTTACAGGCAAGCCAAACTCCAGCCTCAAAAGACCTTGTTACACTCACACCTTCCCCTTCTCCAGCCATGGAGACAGCAGCCTCCTATTTAACCTCAAATAGTTTCAGTGAGGGCTGAAAGAGTCAGGGACACGCCAATAAAGATGGCAAGGGCACGCAGGGCCCCAGGCTGGGAGTCTTGGCACCACCGCTGACCAACACTCTCAGCCTCTGTTTTGACTCTCTGCACTTCACACCCTCAAGCTTGGGGCTTGAACTCTCACCTCCTTTCTGTCCCTCCCTGCTGCAGTCTGGTCACTGTGTGTGTGTCCTTGGTCTTGGTGCACCCTAGGTCCCTTATACCCGGGTGCTTCTGTGCATGTGGTCCCCACTGTCCCTTCCATTTGGAATGTCCTTCCTTCCCTTCTTCAGGTCGCAAATTCTTACTCGCCCTTTGAGCCCTGCTCAAATGTCCATGTTAACCCTGCGAGTGCCTCAGGGAGGCCTCTTCTTCAAAGCACGTGGCTGCTCCTTCTGTGCTGCCAGAATATTGCTCACTTTCCTATCATATTTATTTTAATCACATCTCATCAGCAATCGGGGTCTGCCTCTCCCATCTCTCTCCTGGGCCTTTCTGAGGGTGGCCACTTGGTTACTCAAGGAACCAAGTCCCAGCACTTCTCTCTTCCCCTCTTGGCCTCAGGTTTCTCCTCTGTAAATGAGGGGGTTCAGACAGCCTGGGTGGAATCCTGAACCTCCCACCCTCAAGGCTGAGGAACACAGGAGAGCCAGAGAAAACTCAAAAGTCGGGCAAAGGCTGGCAAAGCATGAACTCTCCTCACTCACGGTGCTGCTGAATGCAGACCTCAGGGCCTCCTGGAGTCTGGAGACCATTTGCGTTTGGGGACCAGGCAGGTCTCCTCACCCCAGAGGCTGAGCAGCTGCCTAAGTTCTCTGATGTTGCTAAGCCATTGACTCACTCTGCAGCTCTGAACCCAGCCTTGACCTCTGGCCTCCAGCCGGCAAGCAAACTTGGGCTTGAACCAGGGACCTCCCTGGAAACCAGATGCAGCATCTACAAGGAGCTTCCCGGGCGGGGAGCGTGGCCCAGAACAATCTCTCGCCATATGACATCACCCTTCTCTCTTGTTATCCCTCAGAGCAGGACTGGGGTCATGGCCTGCCACACCCTGACCCAGGTCAGCCCCAGGGTCTCCGTGCTCTCACCACGGCTCCTTGTGCAACATGTGGCATGGAGGCTTCACAGCAGATGCCCCTGGGTTCTACGTCTGACTCTGCCACCTGCCAGCTATGTGATCCTGGACAGCGCTCTGGAGCCTCGAGTTCCTTTCTGCTCTTCATCTCTGCCCCTTCCCTGGTATTTCCCAGACCCTCAGTCTTTCAGAGGCCCCTTTTCCTGCCCTCCTCTGATCCCTTCTTCATATCAGGTACAATCAAAATAACAATTACCAAGAACCTTCGCTGAGAACCTTCTGCAGGCCAGACCCTGCACCAAGCAACTGGCATGGGTTCTTAGCCACTGCACACTTGCCACCACCTGTTATCTCCATTTTACAGTCAAGGAACTGAGAGGCATTCTAGAAAACGGCTCACCCATGGCCTTGCAAGGAAAATAACTGCCTGAATTCTCCCTGTTCTTCTTCAAGTCTTTGCTTAAATTTTGCTGTAACTGGTGTCTTCCCTTTTCCAAAGGGTGCTTACTGGGAGAAAAAAGCTTTGTAAGCTGTAAAGTGCAGTGCACAAGTATGCGGCGGCTACGTTAAGGTTTCACGACCTCCTGAGCTTTCTGGGTTTTGTAGTGCAGCTTTCTTTTCTTTTCTTTTCTTTTTTTTTTTGAGACAGAGTCTCACTCTGTCATCCGGGCTGGAGTGCAGTGGCGTGATCTCGGCTCACTGCAACCTCCACCTCCCAGGTTCAAGCAATTTTTGTGCCTCAGCCTTCCAAGCAGCTGGAACTACAGGCATGCACCACCACACCAGGCTAATTATTTTGTATTTTTAGCAGAGATGGGGCATCACCATGTTGGCCCAGCTGGTCTCAAACTCCTGACCTCAGGTGATCTGTCTGCCTCAGCCTCCCAAAGTACTGGGATTACAGGCGTGAGCCACCTCGCCCTGCCTGTAGTCCAGCTTTCTGACCCGCAGGACAGCCTCCCTGCTCACCTGGCCTCTCTGTGCACACCCACTGTGAGAGTGGCTCGCCATTTCCTAAGGCGGGGGCAACGCTTGCCAGGGGAAAGCACCGCTGGGTCCTTGTGTGTGCCTTGTGGGGCCTGCTCTGGGATTTCGGACTGTCTGTTTGCCTCCTCTGCCATGTGATGTCTCAAAGCCTCAGTTTTCCTGCCTGTAAAATGGGGCTGATGATCCTGGTCTTGCACGGCGGTTGGGAGGATTAATGATATCACATATAATGCAGTGGCAGATCGCGGGGTCTGCTGAAGCTTGCTTCTTTCACCATTTACATTGTTAACTTCATTTCCGTTCTTGTAAAATAGAAGGCAAGGGACAAAATACAACCCAGGAATTTAAGATCCAAAAGCTATTTACCCCTTAAACTGCTTCTTACATGCCCCGCCTGTGGCTTCTCTCCCTCTACAGAACAAAAAATGAACAGGAGCCATTTTCCACCTCCCCTACTGTGTGTGGCACAGGGTTCTGCAAACGTCTGATTAAATTATTGGTAAAAAAGACTTACAAATATGTATACCTGACAGATAGCTCTTATCAAAAGCCCGACTATGTGAGATGACGTAGGGTGTTCAAACTGCATTCCTCAGAAACCCTAGGCTCCTGTGAGTGAGGACTCATGAATGTCTAGTTTGAATCTCATGGATACAGACAGTGCTATAGTGTTAGTAATAACGGCTCCAGTGCAGTGAGCACTTGCAAACTGCCAGGCTCTTACTAAATTCTTTGCAAGCATTAACTCATTCAGTCCTCACAATAACTCCTTGAGGTAGCTATCTAGTGTCATTTCCCCTCTTCTAACAGATGAAGAGACTGAGGCACAGAGAGGTTAGGTAATTTGCCCAAGGACACACAGCTAGTAAGTGGCAGAGCTGGGATTTGAACTCAGCCATCTGACTCTAAGAGAATGCATTCTCCCATAATATACTACTTCACAAAATCATTGCCCCTCAGCAGGCTCTTCGGGCAGCACTGCAATCCGTAACTCCCAATTTTCAAGACTTCTATCCACCATGACAATCTCATTAATTGGCATCCTATTCATTGTTAAAAACTTGAACTTATGAAAAAGAATTACAATAACAGACCCTTGGTTTCTATGTTGGGGTTCCAAGTAAGATTTGAAAAAGTATCCCGCTGCAACAGAAACTGAGAAAACCACCAAGATTAAGCATGGGAGGGAACCCCAAGGAGGACCCCATAACCACCCTTCCCACCCCTTCTACCTGGCCAGGCCCTTGACTCAGGCAGGACTTCACACCCAGGCAGACTTCACACACCAGCACCCAGGGGCTGCTGCCTTCTGAGGCTGCTTGTCGGCAGGTGTGTCTTCCAGCATTTCAGAGGATCTGGATGAAGCGGGCACTCTTCATGAAAGCCCTGCTGCACTGTGCCAGGAGGGGCCTTTTAGAACTGGCCTCAGAGCTGGTACTGGATCTTCCTCTGGTCACCTCGGGCCTCTCCAGCCTTGGGGTCTGGAAACCCTTCAGGGATCATTGAGGCAGTATCTATAGCGGACCACCTGCTTCCTCAGGATGCTATCTGCCAGCCAAAAATGACCCCAAGAGCTCAAACTTCCTGGCCTGTGCAAGCCTCATGTGCTTAATTACTGATCATGATGGGGAGCTCACTACCTTACAAGACTACCCTGCTGGACACATCTCTCAGTGCGAGAAAGTCTCACTGTATCAGAGGAGGTTCCTGAGCAGATTCTGTAAGATAGAATCGTTTAATGTGTGCGTGTGTCGTTTTCTTAATTAAAATCTTACAAGAAAGCCTCAAACTTCAAGTTCTTGGGTTATGCCTTGACCTGGAGATTTTGGGCCCTATCCAGGGCTCTAACCCAACCCTGTGCATGCAGAGAATGGGTCTGTTTACATAGAGACCAGTCACATCATCCCGAAAAACAACCTCAACTCGGAGACACTCATCTTGCCAGAAAACAGCCAAAGATCAGGCCTCTCCAACACAGGGAAACACCACAATTCTTAGATGCAAGCTCGGAATTCCCCGACACATGGCTCAGTGGCTGCCTTCATCTGTGGAAGGCTGGACAGTCTTGGGGCATTCTCAGGAAACGAGATGAAACACATTAATTCGTCGCTCAGAAATTATTATTAGTTTATTGTCCTGCTGACCCTGAGTATTATAAGCACGGATAATAAATTCTCCAAGGGCCAATCCCGAGCATAGCCAGGCAATCTAAGGAAGCGTAAACCTTCTGCATAAGATTGTCCCTTTGTTACTGCAATAGTGTGTGCCGTTCTTTTTCTCTACAGTTTTTCATCATTCCCTGGCCATGTGAACCCAGGCAAATGGACAGTCTCTGTAGGCTGTCCAAGTCTGAACACCTGCATTAAGAAAATTTCCATCCTGAAGTTTCGTACTCTACTGTGTACCCTTATTTGACAGCTGGAGAGTCAGGAAGCTCTCAAAGGGATGAACTAGAAAGAGGCAAGAACCATTCCTATAGACATCCTCCCTCTGGTCCTACCTCCATCATTCTTACTGGCTTAAAAGTCATGCCGCCACTCTGAACCTCAGTTTTCTCTTCTATTAAAAAAATAAAACTGGATAACTATGCCCAAAGGGACGTTCAGCAAATTGCACACAATGAGGCACATAAAGAAGGAACCACACAGCAGAGCTGAGAGCCTGGGTGCTGGAAACTGCCTGGGTTAAAATTCTCGCTCCGTTGCTGACCAGCTGTGTGACCTTAAGTCCTCACCTTAACCTCTTTACACCCTAGTTTTCTGATCTGCTAAGTACAGACAAAAAAACAGCATCTATGTCTCAGGGTGGTTTTTCAGATGAATTGAGTTAACACATACAAACGGTCTGTGACAACACCTGGTGCAGGGAGAGCTCTATGAAGCCTCTTACGTAAAAGTGTCTGTTTGCCTCAGCTCCCAGCAGAAAGTACAAGGTTGACAATATTCTTTTTGAAGACCTGACTCAGCCCTGGTGTCTGCATTATCTCTCAGACTCCTCACGGTGCTCAGTGATGAAGAGACCGTCGCCACCACTTGTACAGGTGAGAAAACCGGGGCTCAGATCAGAGGGCGGGGTCAGGGTGGAGGTAGACTTGAGCTCATTCTCTCTTTTTGCTGTGCCATGCTGCCTCTCTGGTTCTGCCATCTGTGTCCACCAAATATCACTGACCACTCTGAGAACCGTGACACTGGGAAGTTCCAGACTAGCAAGAGCTCTGGTTTATTCTGCACTGAGCCACTGTGTTGCAGCCACAGCTGGAAGGCCACCACACTACACAGGCGAACAAGAAGCTAAGCCTGTTGTCATGTCTTGACCCCTTGATGTTCGGGCACCTTTCTGTAGTGGCTTCTTCACCCCACACAGCTGACAATAATTGTACTAGAGTACTAGCTGATCTTGGCACCTCCCACCCTTTGCTCTAAAACTTTGAATAGCTCCCTACTGCTTACGGATCAAATCAGTTCACCTGGAGGTACAAATCCAAATTCAACACACTCCTTTTCAAGAGCCTTCCCAACCTTATTCCCTCCTACCCTCCCTCTGGTGTGGCTGGGCCAGTCTCCTCTTGGTTCCCTGGACTAGCATGGTCTTCTGGGAAGAGCACTCAGATGGGGGACCTCAGCGCCACTGGTTCCAAACCACTCCAGAGCAGTCATGGGTGGGAGAGCAGCCTGAGACCCAGCCGCTTAAAAATCACACAGCTTGATGAAGACTTGCAATCTAAATCCAAGCCTCTCTACACCCCAAGAACCACTTGGAAGGGCAAATACTCTTAGCTACAGTTTTGAACTACTTGCTGATCCTACCCTAAACATACAAGTCCAGAGAAATGATCTGAAGTGCTTAGATAATTCAAGTATCTTTGGATCGTAACACTTCTCTCCAATGGCATCTCTTTCAAGTAAAATCCAAATCTTTCACAAGGTCCCTGCCTACCCGACTTCCCATCGCCTTCTGCACTCCACCCACACTGGCCTCCTTACCTCTCTACGAACCCCACAAAGGCCTCCAGCCTCAGCACAAAGGGCCTTTGCTCCTGCTATTCCCTCTGCCTCGGATGCCCTTCCCCTTGGGATGTCTGATCATCCTTCACGTTTCACTCAAGTTCACCTCTTCAGAGAAGCCTTCCCTGATCACCCTGTCTAAAGTGTGTCTTCCACCAGTCACTTTGTATCACATTGATTTTTTTATTCTTCTTTTCCATAAACTATAATTATCGTGTTCACTTACTAGTCTGTTTACTGTCTGCCTCTCCCCAGCACAAGGAGTCTGTTCACTGCTGTATGTGGAGCTCAGAGAGCAGCACCCGGCTCAGAATAGGTACCTGATACACATCTGTCCTCAAGGAATGCATGGACTACCAACACAACTCTCCTCTTTGGCTGCATGCTATGCCTGACAGCCTCATCCCCATTTGAAAAGCTGGGGAAAGTGAGGCCCAAATACCTCAAGGAAATCCAGACTCAAGCTGGAACAAAGACTTCACTCCTCTTCTGGGGCTCAGCTGGTCAAGGAGACCTGCTGCTGACATTTCACCGAAGAACTCCAACAATAAGACTCTCTTCTATTAGCGAGAATTATATTCACACCTCCTACGGGGAGAAACCCTGATTTTATGAAGGTAAAACCACATTGTGATTAACACTTAATCAGGATCTTATCTACATTACAGCTCTGCAAGGTAAAAAAAATAGTTGGGGGTCTTAATATCATGCTAGTAATGTTACAATGAGTGCGTTCCTGACACGATTTTCTTATTAGGGTCCTTCCCTGTAAATTTTATTGCATTTAATTAAAAATTATTGCTAAAAGAAACAGCTGCAGATGGTCTTATTTTAAGTCAGAAAATTAAAAACTGAGTATTCTCATCAGTCAATTTCAACAAGAAGCACAGCCACATGCATTAGGATGTGATGGTTTTGAGATTATAATAATTTTCATGGCATTTCTAGGTCCTTTCAATGAAACTTAATGAAAGCTCTGCATGAGTTCATTTGTCAAAAACATAATAACAGGAAGGCTCCTGGCTTACAGGCAGATATAAAGATACCAGTGAATACCACAGCTAGGATATGCCAAAAATCCAGCCACGCGGCTCTCAGCACCAATGGAACCAGTCAGCAGGAGGCTTAGCTGCAACTCTGTCACATTCCCACCGAGCATTGATAGCTGAGGCTGTAAATCACCTTGGTTTTACAAGGATGTGTTATTTGTTGCTGCAGCGCTGTCTACGGTAGTAAAAAAAATACATAAAAGTCAGGTTTCACTCTCTTAGAGAATCACTTCAGCAAAATATTTATGCATTCTAAGGAATCTGGGGGTGCACTGACAGGTGGGGAGGAGGAAGGAGGGGATGCTTATGCTAGATTTTGCGCTAGATTCCAGAACTGCAATGGCAGTCGCTATTCTCGGTCTGGATGGCCCATACAATGACCTCCCCCCAACTTCATTACTCGGCTTGTCTCCTTTACTCTTAAAGACTGAATTCCTATTATTTCTTGCTATGTCTTTTACTGGAAACCAACTCAAATCTTTTATTTGGGACCAGACTGTAAAAGACAAAAGAATGAAAAGAGAAATGCAAAGGCAGATGCAATCTAGCCCTGGAGTTCATCAACGCTGGAGAACTAGGGTTGCTGTGTACATCCTGGTGGCAGAACACCACTCCTCCCCTGGCTGCAGCCACAGCCCCAGGTTGGTCATCCTCTCTTAAGGGGACCACTACAACCATCTCTTCACGAATCTCCCAGCTTCCCATCCCTCCATCCCCTCCGTTCTCCACCTGCCAGCAAAGTATCCATGCAATGCACCACCCACACGACGGCGTTCCCCTGCTGAAAATCACTATGGACTCCCCCCTGCCCAGGGGATGGCGTACACACTTGTCACACTGATATACAAGGCGTTCTCAACTGGGCCCACCCTGCCTTCCCAACTCCATGCACCTAAGCTCCAGCTGAACACTCCAAGATCCTTTCGACTCTCCAGACTCAAGCGCAGGCTTTTTCTCTTCCTGGACTGTCTCCATCATGAACTCCTGCTCCCCATCAAGACCCACCTTGGCCGGGCGCAGTGGCTCACACCTGTAATCCCAACATTTTGGGAGGCCGAGGCAGGTGGATCACCAGAGGTCAGGAGTTCAAGACCAGCCTGGCCAATATAGTGAAACCCCATCCCTACTAAAAATACAAAAATTAGCCAGGCAAGGTCATGAGTGCCTGTAATCCCCTGCTTGAACCTGGGAGGCAGAGGTTGCAGTGAGTCAAGATCATGCCATTGCACTCCAGCACAGGCAACAGAATGAGGCTCCATCTCAAAAAAAAAAAAAAAAAAAGAGACCCACCTCAAATGTCCTACAGATACTGAAGGCTCCCCTACTGCCCACTCCATAGCCAACTGGATATACCACTAACCAAGCTTTATCACTTTATCACCCTAGGCTCTAATTGCCTCTCTATCCATCTTTCTCCTCAGCCAGCCTAAAAACTCCAGAGGGCAGGGATTTGAGTACCTCTACTACCTAGAACAGCACAGACAACCAGCAGATACTCCGGGAACGCTAGCGGACTGAGTGAGGGAACTGGCTAGGCTCACTCACAATGTCCTACTGTTACACTCAGAAATGAGAGAGAGATGGTATTTGTGTTTAGTCCTCAAGCCTTTCAACCCCATCTCCTCCATATAATCCTCCTCCCTGTCTGCAGATGATGTGACCTATTTTCCAGAATAAAGGTATTGAGGTACCTTCTGAATGAAGGAAGACATTTTCATTGGAGTCTTATTTCTTGTACGTTCTCTCCTCTTTCTCCTGCCTCCATGTCAAAAGCCTACTTTTCCTGCAATGTCTACTCAAGTGCCACTTTGTCCATGAAGACATCCTGCCCGCCTCTGGACTCCTACTCTTTGGGTCCTGGGCCTTTTCTACCTTGCATTTCAGTGACTTGGGTCTAAGTCCTCTTCCTACCCCCAGACTCTCAGTCCACTGAGGCCAGCAGTGGTACCTGGTCCCCCTCTCTCTCCTTCCACACATCACTCCATGCAATCCTTGCCCAAAATGAGTCATTTCACAAACAACCATCACCAGTTAGCCAACACATTCACTCTCCTGGGTCTTCCTGCTCCCTCTCCTCATACGCATGCTGCACAACGTGGCCCAAACACAAACTCCTGGGCATGTAATTCGAGCTGCATTTCAACCATAAGCAGCTCTGTAACAACCCTGGGCTGGCGGAGCAGAATCCTTAACTGCTCTGTCTGCAATGCACAAGCACTCATGAGCTGCTGCCCCGGGCGGGTAGAATCTTCTGAGGTTCTCCTAATGAGCATTCCATTCCAAACAGACGGCATGCTCCAAACCGAGAACTTCTGGTTGCTCCTCAGGCACAGCTGGCCACACAAGGGCAGGGGTACCCACTGTGGCCTGCAGGAGGGAAAGACATCTGAGTACCTCATTAGCAAGTTCCAGGAAAGCTCGTCTTATTGATGAGTTGCCAACAGAGCGACAAACCCACCAGCCAGCAGAAAAGAAAGGTGTCCTTTCACTTTTCCTTGAGTCTCCTGGACCAATAAGCAATGTTAACACTTTGGGGGTGGCTGTGCCACCCTGTCTCTTGCAAGCAGGACACTCAACAGGTTTGGATTAAGAATACCAGAAAACATCCTGGCTAATATGGTGAAACCCAGTCTCTACTAAAAAATACAAAAAATTAGCCACCCATGGTGGCGGGCGCCTCAGCTACTCGGGAGGCTGAGGCAGGAGAATGGCATGAACCTGGGAGGCGGAGCTTGCAGTGAGCCGAGATCGCGCCACTGCACTCCAGCCTGGGCAACAGAGCGAGACTCCGTCTCAAAAAAAAAAAAAAAAAAAAAAAAAGAATACCAGAAATGTGGCAATTTGCGACCACAGAAAACAGGTAGTAGTGGAAACAGCATTGGATTGAAAGTCAGACAGACTTGGGTTCTGACCTTGGTTTGGCCACTTATCATCCATGTGACAGAAGAGAGTTCATGTCATGTCACCAAGCCTGTTTTCTCACCTGGAAAATGGGAGCTGGAAATTCCTACCTAACTAACTGTAAGTTATAAATGAAATAACAAATACAGTCATAATAATAGAGACAGGCAGTTTTATTATGATTATGGAATCATAAAACCCCTAGTCTTGCTGTCTTTGGTGTACGAGGCAGCTAATGACTCCAAATCAATATTGCTCAGATGTTGCCTGCAGCCCTGAACCCATCTCATGGGAAGTCAGAGGTACAGTTCATGCCACATCCTATGGCAAAAGCTTGCAAATTCATGATCCTGGTTTTACTGATGTGATGTAAAGCCCTAAACGTTAAGTCAAACCCATGCAGAACAGTCGTTGTGTGTGTGTGTGTGAGAGAGACAGACAGACAGACAGAAATACACAGCAAGAGGAACGAGATTCTCCCTCCCAGGTTCCATGCCTCAGGAATCAAATTCAAATCCTGCATCCACCACTATGTGACCTCGGTCATGTCACTTAATAACAGCTAATGCTTACTGATCATTTTACCATGTACCGTATTAACTCCTGTAGTCTTAATGACATTCCAAGGCAGGTACAATGATCGTCTCCTTTTACAGATAAGGACACTGAGGTACAGAGAGGTCAGAAACTTGTTCTAGGTCACATAGACAATAAGTGTAGACCAATACCCAGGCAGCTTGGCTCCAAAGCCTATGAGCTTAGCTGTGGTGCTTTCACAGGCTCTCCTCGGGCCACGGTGTCCTCATCTGTAAACAGAAAAAGCTACCATAAATGTGTCAAGAACAACATGCACTAATGGATGAGGGCAGTGGGGAGAGGGGCAGAGGAGAAGAGGGGAAGAAGAGGAGAGGGAGAGAGGGAGAAAGGGAGGGAGAGGAAGAAAGAGAGAGCGAGTGAGAGAGAGAGAAAGCCAGTGCAGCAACATGTGCACGGTATAATCTGGGTGCTGGGCACATGGGTGTTCACACTAAAACTCTTAACTTTTTGAACATTTTCATAACAAAATGTTGGGGAAAAGTGGCCTCAGGGATCTGTGCTGATGTATAATGCTGACTGCTATCATGCAAAACACAAACATATGATGATGAAGATTTAAATGAGATATTTAGGACAAGTGAGTCTGTGTCATGTTTTGCATAAAACAGGTATGTAATAACTGTATACAAAGCATCCAGCACTGTGTTGCTAAAAACAGGTATTTAATAAATGATATTTCTTTCCCCTTGTGAAGCTCAAAATCACCAACTCATCAGTATACATTTATTAAGCTTCTAGTGTGTAACCAACATATCAGGGTGCTATAGGATATTCGGAGGTGAAGACTGGGTTCCCCACGCCAAGACTACTGGTCAGTGACTTAGGACATAAGACAGCCTATCTGGAAACTAAGGGTGTTGGACTAGATCTCTGCTGAAAACTTTTTTTTTTTAAGTGAGCATCAATTCAGGGAACAAAGAATGCTTCAGGGATACATTTCATTTCATTTTTCTTTTGAATCAGGGTCTGCTCTGTCAGCCAGGCTGGAGTGCAGTGGCATGATGACAGCTCAATGCAGCCTGAAATTCCTAGCTCAAGTGATCCTCCCGCCTCAACCTCCTGAGCAGCTGGGACTACAGGTGCGTACCACAATGCCCGGCTATTTATACACGTGTGCGTGTGTACATATATATATATATATGTAGAGATGGGAGTGTATATGTAGAGATGGGAGTCTCACTATGTTGTCTAGGCTGGTCTCAAACTTCTGGCTTCAAGTGATCCTCCTGCCTTGGCCTCCCAAAGCACTGGGATTACAAGCGTAAGCCACTGCACTCAGCCCAGGTATACATTTTAAACTAAAGAATGATAAAACCTTCTTTTGTATACCATTGAAAAAAATGGACATAGGTAATAAATTTATAAAAGACTGTTAACAGTATTACTATAGCTACTAACATGCTACTATCTATGCAAATCTCAAAGGAAGTAACTACACAGAAGAAACTTTACAATCATCCATTAGACCCTGAGCTGCTACTCACCCAGTTTCAGGGTCGCTAAGGGCTCTCTGAATTCTATTATATGCTGTTTCTTGAAGGGAGATACTTTTAGCAGAAAAAGGGCTTGGATTTTAAATAACACTGAATCACTTCCCTTCTTAGTCCTTTTGGATTCTTCTGGTTTTGCCAGGTAGAAAGTCTCTGTGTGGTGCAAGCATGTCTTTAACACCTCTCCCTGTTTAACAAAGAGATCAGGCTTCCAGCTCCTAGCCTTGGCAAGGAATCACCTCAAGCTAGTCTTTACCCATGTTGTTTTACCGTTCTATCTTATTTTTACAATTGCCTTCTATTTACGGCAACTGATACTGTTTTTCCATTTCCCAATAGTGAGAAAAAGTTTCCATTACATTTTTCTAAATAAAAAAGATGGGCTGATTTAAAGAAAAGTAATGAGTCAAAGTATAGGCAGTATAATGGAAATGGTAAATGAAGTCCAGGAAAGGTGAATGGTTGAGAAATACACAACTGCTCCAACCTTACCATTTTACAGATGAGCAAACTGCGGCCCAGCCTCTTCCAAGGTCCCATAACAAGTGTTGGGACCTTAGGCTTTGAATCCATGTCTGGAGCACTGACCTGCCCTTCAGTCAGGGCTATGGGTATTTATTTTGGCTTCTGCCTCTAATCCTCACACTATAGCAAGGTATGGGGCAGGACAAGTAGCAGGCGGAGGAAGGAACTGCCTCCCCACCCTCTCATCCCGTCCAACCCCAAGCACCCCTAGGCAGAGGTCTCAGATCAGCAGCATCCCCTCCACTCTGTACTCAAAGCCCCTATTCAGGCAAACAAGCAGGGTCCCCCAGCCCCACGGCAGTCACTCATGCCTCTTGGCGATATGCGTCTCAAACCTCCCTTGCCCAGACCTGCTCCAGCCCAAAGTGGGGATTTTTCTCCCCCTTTGCTTTCATCTGTTTCATGTAGGAAAGCGGAAGAAAGCTTTGCTCACTGACTGATGTCCAAGAGGATGTGGTTCCTGTATGGGAGATTTATTCCAGTCAGTCTGGCCTTTGGCGAAATAGCATCAGAGTGGTGCAACCGTGCTTTTGAAATTCAGTCTGACAGTTCAAGACACTCAACCAAGGCCCTAGGCTGTAGCATCAAACGTGAGCTAATGCAAAGAAAGCACCTAGCACAGTGCTTGGCACGCAGTAAACAGTCACGATCCAGGAGCTTTAGCGTTGTCTTAGATATTTTATTCCCTATTGTCATAACTGTCCGGATGAAAAGTCCTTTTTGTTTGGTTTTTTTGCACAAAGTACAGATCAAGGCAACAGGTCCTTCACATATAGCCAAGCAGCCTGTGCACTGCACACCCCAGGTGGCACCATACATAGATGAAAGGTGAAGGACTTGCTCTTGTGATTGTACAATGCGCAGCCTGCACAACCAGACCTGGCATCCCCTCACATAATTCACTACAAATTCCTGATCCAGAAGTCAAGAAGTCTGGGTTTGGACACTGATTTCTCCAGTAACTTACTGAGAGATCTTACGCAAGTGCCTTTTCCTCTCTGTGTCACAGTTTCCTCTTCTGTAACAGGACTTGTGTCTGAAGTTTCCTCCAGCTATAAAACTCTGTGATTCTACAGAGGCAGATTTCAATTTTTGAAGGGCTATTGTAAAAAAGATGAAATAAGCTCCCTCACCTGGCTTGAGAGAGAAGAACCATGAGTAGGGGAGGGATATTAGAGGGGAACAGTATATGCCTCAGTCACAGAGAAACTCTTCCTCATGATCAGAGTACCCAGCACCCGATGAGGCAGCTCTGGGAGTGACGGGTTCCCTGTGGCTGGAGGATTTCAAGTACACTGGGTAAGCACCTGTTAGAGGTGGGCGGTCTCTGACCAGCACGGAGAGTTTATTGTTGTAAAGCTTGGTTCTGCTTTCCTCAGTGCTAGGAGGCACTCAGCTGGGGGATGGGTCTTGTCCACCCCTGCCGATTGTTATTAATGTAATGAACTTGCTGACTCTGCCTCTCTACCCCTCTTGCAGCTCGCACGAGTCCACATTCTCCAAACTAAACTCAGTCCCTCGGGCTGTGCTGGTGTTTACCTTTGCTCTGGCAAACAGATCTTCTCATCTTAGAAAGAACTAATAAATAAATCGCCTTACCCAGACTTGGGATAGTGAGAAGATGGAGCCAGGATGGCGAACCATGCAAAATACTCAAGAGAATTATCCATGCAAACACTTCCTAGCAGCTCTACTCCAACAACAGCTAATGCTAATTGCAAATCATCCTTATCTAGTCAAGACTGCGGGTCCCCTAGGAATTCCTAGCAGCAACAGCTGAGTAGGACTGGTTTAAGTTTCTGCACATGAGGGAAAAGAATCAGAGGGTTTCTTTTAAAATCACAACCACTTTTGTTTCTCGTTAATTCAGATCAGGTGCCCCCAAACAATGAGGATGGTTCAGGGCAAACTGCATCACCTTTAAGTTGTGTCCACAATTCCATAAGGAATGGCAAGATTTGGCAATTATCCACTCGGGATGATCAATGAGGGGCATTCAGAGTCTTGGGAAGGTGAGGTCAGAACACCCCCACTGCTGTTCAATAACTTCAGTGTCTCACTCTCACTTCCAAAGTGAATCAATTAAAAAAAAAAAAAAACAAGCTTGGATGTAGCTCTTAAAGACTTCCATTCAGTAATTTAGCTCAGGGCACCATCAGCTCTTTAAACAATTTAAATAGTCTTTTCTAGTTCCCTGTTGAATACAGTGTATATTTACTCAATAAAAAGGTGCCAATCTCAATTTAGGGTATTTTCCTGATGTGAAAGATATTTAGTTTGGCAAGATTCCAGAACCTTCTGTCTTGGTGACTGTCTCAGAGGCGAGTAGCAAAGCCATCTACCTAGGAGATAACGAGAACTGTCTCCCAAATAATGTAAACAAAAATGCTTTCACATGTACCGTATTTGGCATCTTATACACTGCTTTCACACAGAATATCTACTCTGATTTTCTTTTTTCTTTTTCTTTTCTTTTTTTTTTATTTTTTTTAGACAGAGTCTCGCTCTATTGCCAGGTTGGAGTACAGTTGCGTGATCTCAGCTCACTGCAACCTCCGCCTCCCGAGTTCAAGCAATTCTCCTGCCTCAGCCTCCCGAGCAGCTGGGATTACAGGTGCATGCCACCATGCCCAGCTAATTTTTGTATTTTTAGTAGAGACGGGGTTTCACCATGTTGACCAGGATGGTCTCGATCTCTTGACCTTGTGACCTGCCCGCCTCGGCCTCCCAAAGTGCTGGGATTACAGGCATGAGCCACTGCGCCCGGCCTTACTCTGATTTTCTTAAACTCTCTACCATGAGGTAGCATGAGTCCCATTTCACGGATGAAGTAACCGAGGCTCAGAGATATAAAGCCACTCACCCCAAGTCAACACAGCTAGTAAGAAACAGAGCCTGAGGCTGGAAAGCAAGTCCATCTGTCCCCCACACCCACGCTGCCTCCTGGACAGTTACAGCTGCCGAACAAGAAAGGAAATAGAATGTCAGGTACCTTTCTGCGTCCTGGTCTGCACTCTGCTGTTTGCTCTCAAAGGCGTTGAAGCTGCTCATGTCCACGTAGCCATCATTTTCGTTTGCTGTGGACAGGGCTCTGCTCTGATCTTCAAACAGCTTCGTGAACGCGCCAGCCCTGGCAGGTCTCCGGGGTGGAATCTGGATATTCTCATAGTCCGAGTTCATGGCTGGAATGTTCTCATAGTCTGAAGTGTCAGCGCTGGGGAAGGAGATGGACCGTGGCTTGGTCAGTGGCAAGGGCAGGAAGGGCGGCCGGGAGCGGTCTTCAAAGGACTCCACTCTGGACACCGTCCTGCTGAAGGGGACACCTTTCCTCTTGCCATCTCTATAAAAGATGAGGGAGGAGGGGGATTCAGAAGCCCGGAGCTTCCCAGTCCGAGACTTAAGCTGAGGGGAGTTGCTGAGGCTTCTCCGGTCAACTTCCAGAATCCTGGAAGGCCCGTGGTAGCTGGACTCTGAAGAGGACCTAGAGGAAGACACGTTCACATCCACATGCAATTTGTTCTCCGTCTTCTTCTTAAACGTCAGTGCCAGGAAGCGCTTAAAGGATGACTTCTTCTTCTTGTACTTGTCCGGGGAGTCGCTCTCGATCAGGAGTGAGGGAGAGCTCTTTGTGATGGGCTTCTTGGTGATGCAGGCCAGGTCGAAAGGAGGTGGGATGTCGACCATGGAAGAAGGCGTGGAGGTGCCGCTGGACGGAAGGTGGTTTCTCTGGGAGAAACTCCCAGAGGAGCCAATTACACACGACAGAGAGAGATTGTCCTCTTTCCTCTTTATCCTGTGGTCATCCAACCCTGACCCCTCAGGCTCCTGGTACACGGACACTGGAATCTCTCGGCCTTCCACGGAGAACGACCGAGGGTATAAAGTAAAGGCCCTGGGCTTTGCTGGCAAGGCCCTGCTGGCTTCCAAGGGCTTCCCCTCCAATGACAAAAGCGTCTTTCCCACCTCCTCTGCGGCACCTCCAATGCCAGGGGCTGACGAGCCCGCCTCAGGTCCGGTTTCTTCAGGGACGGTTTCTGGGACATAGCCGGCCACCTTCCCAGAGTGGGGCCGGACCCTCGTGCTGGTGTTCTTCCTGTCCGCGGGAACCAGGCCACCCTCTGCCTCACAGTTCAATTCTTCTTTCGAGCCATAACCACCCAGGGCGTCCGATGCAGCCTGCCCTCCTTCTCCAGGGGCCGCCTGACCGGGCAGGCCCACTCCCATCACATAGGGGTTGGCCAGTGCATCATCCAAGGCCTCCTCCTCCAGCACGACCACCACATCAGGGGCTGCGGGACCCTCGGCCGCTCCACCCTGTAGGGAGCCACACTGGCCACACAAAGCCCCCACCATGGGGTTCTCCTCCGCACGCAGCCCCAGCTTTGGTGCCTGCTCTGATTCTAAACCTTTCGCTGATTCAGAAAGAGGAGAACAGCTCTCGCTGCAAAAAGAGGTGCTCTCAGTTGGGAAGAACTCATAGGGGCTTCCTGTGAGGGAAGTCACGAAGTCCTCCATGCAGTCATTCTCAAAAGGGACAATCTGGCAGCTCTCCTCGGCGGACTCATCCTGTGCATGGTCCTCCAGGGTGGCGGCTGCCACTTCTTGGTTGGTTTTCTTCTCGTGGTCAGGTGGTTCACTGAGGTCAACCTGTTCCCCACCTGTGACACCCGTGGCCTCTTCACATCCCTCCTCAAGAACTTCAGGGCAGTCTGTGGCTGTCTCTGCCTCCTGGACCCCGGCCAGCTCCTCCTTCTCAGGGGGCTCCTCACTGGTGTCCTCAGCATCCTGTCCCATGTCCTCCGTGGGCCTGTCAGGACCCGAACCCTCATCTGCCCCTGCTGGGTCTGTGCTGGCACAGCCTTCCTCATCATCCTCCTCTGCCTCCCCGGGGGTGTCGGGGGGCTCCTGGTCCTCTCCATGGATGTGAGGCAGGAGGAGGTCGCTCTGGAAGACCCCCTCTCCAGCCCAAGGCCCACTGTCCTCCAGGCTGCACTCCCTGTGTGGCTGCACTAGCTTCTCTTCCTCCTCACTTCTGGACACCTGCTCCAGTGTCCCTGGCTCATCAGCGCAGCCCTCCCCTTCATCCTCAAGAGCAAGGTCTGTGCCTTCCTCACCCTCCCTGCTCAGCGCTCCTGCACCCGGAGCAGCAGGGGCCACTGAATCCTCACCAGCTCCTGTACCCTCCAGGCCACATGCCTCGCCTCCCTCTTCACGCTCCTCTTCCTCTTCCGCAGAGGACTCGGGAGACACCAGGGCTTTGTTCCCCACACTGCCCTCGTCCTTGGGTTCATCCTCCCTCAGCGGAACCCTGGGGACCACGATGTAATCCTCGTCGGTCTCCGACTCAGAGCACTTTGGGATGGACCGGGGCCCCTCATCAAGCCCCCTGTCTACACAGGGCAGCCGCCCGTTGCTGCATTTGTTCAAGCTGTCATTCAGGTACACACTGGCTCTCCACTCGTTTGGGGCAGTCAGCCTGGGCTTGGGGGCAATGGGGGGCTTCGGACCCCTGAACATGGAGTTTGGACTGTGAAGACTCTCGGGCCTGGCTGAGGAAGGGAATTTGGGCGCGGTCACTGGCGTCAGTGGACTGGTAGTCTTTGGCTTGGGAGCGACAGGTGGTTTTGGTGAATCTAGATGACAAAAATAGAGAAAAGGAGAAAAAGTACAATTAACTTTATTGCCATTCAGAGTCTCCTACACACCAGTTGCAGGGGACGCCACAGATGGTTCCGTCCATCCATGTGAAGCCCACCTCCCGTGCTTTGTCTTAGGCTTATGCCCTCCACCAGAATCTTTAAAACCCCTTGATTTTCCACTAAAGATTCATTCTGTAAACAAAGTGAACAGACCTTTCTTCTACACGCAGCCCAACTAACGAAAATCAACCAAATGAAATCCTGTGCTCCTCAAATGAAGTGTCCAGGTCAGTGCATTCATTCATCCAGCAGCTACTGATAAACACTTTCTATGACCCAGCAACCATGGGAAAAGGCTGAACTTGCTGTCACCCTCCCTGCTGCCCTCATGGAGCTTACATCCCCCCTTCTACAGCTACTCCATTGGGTACCCACTAGCTACACGCACAGCACTGCAGATGGCAGGGTCTCCTAGGGTCAAGAAGAGAAAACAGACTCTGCTGAGAACTCACAGTTGAGTTACAACAACTGGAGGGTAGAGCCGGGGACCCTTGGAATATTATGACTGAATAGCTGCCATTTCATCCCTTCATGAATGACACGCCAAAGGTTTGAAAGAGTGATGTGTGCTTCTGCTGGGGGTCACGTCTGGAATCTGCATGCTTCAGGACTGTGTCCAGCCAGGCCTACACCCAAATTTCATGGGCATGCAAATTTCATGGGAGAAATTATATAGTACGTGCCAACATGGATCTCTGGAAAAGGATGTACTTGCCACATGGATATCTGTGGATGCTGAGGACCTTCTGACCATGGCAGAATAAAAGATGTGGTGCAGACTACAATGCAACTGGAATTAGAGAAGCATGGGCTGCTGTGGCCAGGGAAGACCTCTTAAAGAAGGTGATATTTTAGCTAAGATTTGCAGGATAAGAAGGATCTAGAGAAGGGGAACGGTCAAATGAGTGGTTGCCAACTTTTGAGCTCAGCATCTCTCTGCTACAAGACTGCCCATGCCTCCTCCCTGGCTTCCTTGTCACCTGCCTGGCCCCCTAAGCTCCCTTGCATACTGCGGGCATAGAATCCATCTCCATCCCAACATCTCTGCTTCAAAAGTACTGCATGGATCCCTGCCACCCATAGATTAGGACTCCCACGTTTCTCCTTCAGCCTGGTCTAATCTCCCAGCTCCATTCCCACTAAGGCTTGGGTATGACACAAGTGGCCTCAAAATAACAGCCTGGCTCCTAACAGGAGGGAAGATGAAGCAGACTGCCGGGAGATCTCTGCCAGCAAACTCTTCTCTTCCCACTCATGTTAGGCCCAGTGTTGTCCCTGAAACATCTAACATTACTAATCTCTAATCCAGGGCTGTCCCTGGAATGTGAGCCACATGTATCACTACATAGGCAATTTTAAATTATCTTGTAGGCACATTAAAAATAAATAGGTAAGGCTGGGTGCAGTGGCTCACACATGTAATCCCAGCACTTTCAGAAGCTAAGGTGGGCAGATCACTTGAGGTCAGGAGTTCGAGACCAGCCTGGTCAACATGGTGAAACCCCGTCTCTACTAAAAACACAAAAATTAGCCGGGTGTGGTGGCACACGCCTGTAGTCTCAGCTACTCAGGAGGCTGAGGCAGAGGAATCACTTAAACCTGGGAGACAGAGGTTGCAATAAGCCAAGATTGAGCCACTGAACTCCCGCCTGGGTGACAAGAGCAAAACTCCGTCTCAAAAAAAAGTAAAAGTAATTTTAACGATATATTTTATTGGACTCAATATATCCAAATATTATCATTTCAATATGTAATCAATATATAAAATGTATTAATGAGGTGTTTGACACTCTTTTTTCATACTAAGTGTCCCAAATCTAATATGCATTTTACATTTGCAGCACACTTCAATTTAGACTAGCTACATTTTACCTGCTCACGAGCCACATGCGGCTGGTGGCTACGGTACTGTCCAGCACAGCTCTAACTGGTTTTAGACATCTCCATGGGACTGTACCACTGGCACCTCAATTTCAGTATTTCTGAAGCCAAAGTTGGTATCAGTGCCAATGGGTTTAAAGGTTAAAACAGCCACTGCATCAGACCCCTAATCCACACCATTTCATCCACATCAATGCCCAGGCCAGCCACTGACATCCATACAATGACCCAGAATCTTCTAGAAATAGTGACTATCAAACTCCTTGTTTCCGTACACAGTCACGTGTGTCCTAGTTTAGAAAAGCGTCTATCCATATTAGTGAAAAACAAAACATGGGAGCTTAAAAAGATATGCTTCAGCTACCTGTTAGAGTAGGGTAACAGAGGGAGCCTTTGGAGCCTGGCTGATCTGGGTCAAATCCTGACTTTGCTACTTATCAGCTATGAAACTCAGCCTCAGTTTCCTCATCTGTAAAATGGGTACCACACAGCACCTACCCTCAATGGATTGTTTTAAAAATTAAAGGCTACATATCAAAAGGGCTCAATAGCAGGCCTTCACATAGAAATACTCAATAGTAGCTGTTGTTCAGATAAAGTCCATCTTTGCCTACCCCAGATCTTCCCTTGGTTGAAGTCTTGCTCTACACTGATACACTGCGTAATATGAGCTTCACACTGTCAACATTGGGTGGCAGGCATTGGCACGAAATTATTCTTTGGGGGTGGGACTCTCATTTCTTATCCTTAACAGGTGGGCATTTCACATGGGTGCCATGAGACAGGACAAAGGGACAGGTGGGCCATGAAAAATGACCATCACCTTGGCTATATCACCCCCGTCCCACCCAATCCTTCATCCAATCAAGCTATTGATCTGAAGGCACTGTCTCCTAGGGAAAGGTTATGGTGGGTGTCTGAGGCATGATCCTGCAAGAAAATGACTTCCCCACAGGAGCCTCTGGGAATGGCAAACACTCAGCGCCTGTCCTGTGCTCCCAGCCCCAGGCGCAGAGTGCTTCAGCCACATCCCTTCTGAGATCAAGGCAAGCCAAAAGAAGAAAGGCTTCATCTGACCCTCACTGAAGGAGGAGGAAACTAAGGCACAGAGAGGGTGAGTGGCTGGTGTGGGGCTACCCAGCGAGTCCAGAGCAGGGCCCTGGTAGAACCTGCGTTTCCGGCTTTCTAGTGTTGTCACCTGACCCTCTGCCATCCCCTTTTTGCCACAGAGTGTTTCCTCTATGATGGAGACTCAGAGGTCCCAGCATCTGGTGAAGCAGAGAAGGGTAAAATGCAGGGAAACTAAGGCCACGGTGACCAGAAACAGCTGGGCAGTTAAAAAATGTATGTAAGGCTGCGTCCAGGGCTCAGAACTACTAACTGACCAAAAAGTGAACAACTAGCTTTAATTTGCTCCCATTCAATTTCTCTTAGTCTAATTCCATTAAATACATATTTATTGAGTACCAACTATGTGCCAGGCCCTAATCTAGATTCTTTGGATACATCAATAAGTATAACAAAGCCCCCAGACTCAGGGACCTTGTATTGAGAGGTGGTGGGAGATATGCAAGAGAAAGGGTAAGTACATTACATATCATATGCTAGATGATGATAAAGTCTATGCAAAATGATTAGGAGTATTTTTTTTTTTTTTGCGATTTTAGATAGAGTGACCAGCATAGGCTTCACTGAGAGGACATGTGAGCAAAGACACGAAAGTGGTGAGGAAAGCTAGGACTCACTTGGCATCCAAGAAACAGCGAAGAGGCCGGCAAGGCCAGATGGGACGGAGTGATCGAGCAGGAGAAGCAGATGAGGCGAAAGGAATCATAGGAGGGTGCAGATTATGCAGGGCTTTGACTCAGAGTGATGTGGGAAGCCACTGCAGGGTTTTGAGCAGAGGGACATGCACATTCTGGCTAATGTGTTGAAATAAACTGAAATGGTGAGGAAGAAAGCAGGGAGACCAGTGAGGAGACTCCTGCAATTATCCAAGCAAGAGATGATGGAGGCTTGGACCAGGCTGAGGTGAAAAGAGGTCAGATTCTCAACAGGAAGGGAGAGCTGAGGGGATCTGCTGACCATATGAATGTGGGGTGTAAAAGAAAGAGAAAAGTCAAGAACGACACCAAGGTTTTGAGTCTGCGCAACTAGAAAGCTGAAGTTTCTGCCAACTGGAACAGGAAAGACTGCAGGTGCTGGGGAGGGAAATCCAGAATTTCAGTTTGCACGGGTCAAACTCCATTCACAGTCACCTACTACACACCCTGGTGGAGATGTCAAGCAGCTGGAGATGTCAAGCAGGCTCTGGCTTCTGAAGAGAGGTCTGGCCGGAGGTCACCATCATAGAGATGGAATTTAAGGCAGGAGCCTGTTGAGATCACCAGAGGCATGAGTGTGGACAGAGAAGAGGGCAGGGCCAAGGAGGGAGCTCTGGGGGCCCCAGCCAGCAGAGATGAGGAGGGTGCAAACAAATCAAGAGTATGAGAGCATCCAGCTCTGTCCCCTCCTACTCACCCGCATCACAAAAGGGAGCCAGATGGAGCTCCTGACCTCAGCATCATGTTATCTAGGTCTAAGGGCAATTCTGCCTAGAGAAGACCCAGAAAAGAGAGAGCACTGAGTGCAAGTTGAAGGACAGGAGGATTTTCACAATTAAAAAATAGGCTCCACCTGGATAGAGCATTCCAGGGAACTTTAGGGTATGCTGAGCTTTAGGGTATGGTAGGGCGAAACTATAGGCTAAATCAGAGCTGTGGTTTCCTTCTCTGGATTCCCTGTCCAGAACCCAGCATGGATGTAGCTGGTGGACCTTCTGGGCCCCCTGAGTTCCTCTGGAGAAGGCTATGGTGTGAACCTTCTCTCTCCTTGTATCACGGAGCCTGGGGGTCGGACCCTCCTCACCCTAAGTTACTAATGCCCAGGGCCTCCTGGCAATTTGCTATGCCCGAGGATGACTCAAACTCCAAACACCCTTTGAGCCAAGATGGCAGGAGTTAACTAGGGGGTGGGGGAATCGCACTGACAGGAGGAAGAGATTTTTAACAGCTTCTAGTGATAGAAATCATCCCCAGCCAGCCCCCTGGCACCAGTTTATATTTTCTCTCTCTATTTTAATTAAATATCTGTCACTCACATGTTCATGCTTGCTGCTCCCTTGTTGGCTATGTAGAAGTTCAATTAGCAGGGGTATTGGGAGGAGCACTGGATGGGGAGCCAGGAGCACTGGATGGGGAGCCAGGAGCCCTGATCTTCACACCTGGCTCTGCCTTAACTGGAGGTGTGATCTTGGGCAAGTCCCTTCCCCTTTTCGGGCCTCGGCTTCCCCATCTGCAGAGTGAGGGGACGGGACCAGTCAGTCAGTCTGGTTTGCTCTGGCCGACCACAGCCTTCTAAACTCCTGGCTCTTCTTAAGACACCCTCTGACATCCCATCTTCAGTTACAAAGTCTGTTTCAGCTGCAGTTCACTATACTCCCCCTGGAACTCTCATAACCATATGTTACAAGAGTAATTATCTTCCAATTTCACCTTCCAATTACATCTTAATTTAACTTTCATTCCTGGGTGCCTGCTGGAATGTCCAAGCCAAGCCTGATGATTTCTAATTAGGCTGCTGTTAGGCTGGTCCAGTGATCCACGACAGGGCACTACCAGGAAGACAGCACAGGACAGTGTGGGAAGAGCATGCTCACGCTCAGGAAGGCTGGGCTCCCATCCCATCTCTGCTATACGTCAGCTCTGTGATCTTGGGCACATCATTTTGCCTCTCTGAGCCTCAGTTTCCTTTTTGGTAAAATGATGAAATACCCCCTTTTTTTTCATAGGGCCGTTGAGAAGTTCCGGAAAATAACAGACATGATGCCTAATAAAGTCGACTGGCAGACATTTCCTACACCCTACTACGTGTTAGGCACTGGATAAAAAAGCAGGCTCTCAGGCTGGACAGCCTGGGTTTCAATCTTGTCTCAGCCCTTCAATAAGCCAGTGACCATAAAATCTCCGCACCTCAATTTTCCCATCTATAAAATGGGGATGGCAATGGTACTCAACTCATAAGATGACTGTGAAAACTAAATAAACTGATAGAAGTAAAACACCTAAAAGCAATACCAAGTCATATTAAGTACCCAATAAATATTAGCTGGTATTTACTGGTTGCTCTGCTACAGACACTGTTCTTTCTAGGCACCTTACGTGTTTTAGTCTATTTAATCTTACCAACCCCATTTTTCAGATAAAGAAACAGGTGTAGAGAGGTTGAATAACCTGCTTAAGGTCACATAACTAAGCATATGATGGTTCTGAGATTCAGTCCTATGGAGTCTGTGAACCACCATGCCATGTGATCAGGAAATTCAGACCATGGGGCACGGCCTGAATGTGAGGCTGGTATCATTACCATCACATTGAAAAAGGAACCAGGTTTACACTGGAGACAAATTACAGGAAGGCTGAACCCAAGAGCGACAACGGCTAAGATTTCCTGGGACCAAACCTGCCTCTAAGTTTATTCCGACTCACTCCATCCCCCAGATTCTCAGAGAAGGGAGGGTCTGCCCAAGCCTCATGCAGGAAAACGTGGGAAAACTGGAAACGCTCTCACCATTGTTATAAAGCGAGTTTTATTAGGAGTGTAGGAAAAAGCTAGCCTGGCTCTGTTCAGCCACGCCAGCACAGGCAGGAGGCAACCCCCTTTCCAAGCAGTGGCTGGCTGGGCTCTGGGCCTCTGTTTCAGCCTCTTCCATTCCCACAAAGTGGCACCCCCGATCCTGCTCCCCAGTTCTGTGACCCACACTCACTAACTGTCCAGGGGCCTGTATGCCCAGCAATAACAGGGCCTGGACATGGAAGGTGGCTGCCACACTCCCAGACTGTCTAAACGCGCAGCCTGCACCTCACTGCTAAAACAATGACTTTTTTTCATTAAAAAGATTTTTAAAAGAAAAAATCCTACACACACACACACATACATACACACACACACACACACACACACACACACCAGCAGGATATGGTTCCAAGACAGCCAAAATGGTGGCTTCCTGTTTCTTTAGGGATGTGTGTTTTGGAGTATGGCTTTGGACAAGGGTGTTGGTCGGGGAGCGGGCTGCCTTCTACTAAATTCTGTGAGAAAAAGAAAATAGAGTGGTGATTGCTCCTTGGCAGGCAGATGAAGTTAGCTGGGACTGTTCCCTTGCAAACTCTCATCTTAAGGGAACTTTCTGCCCTCCCCTTAGATGGCGTTGGGAATCCCGAGGACTGGGTTCCATGCACCACCCATCTCCGAGTCTCGCTTTCTAAATCCGTTAAATGGCACTACTCTGGAGGGATCCCTGCGATTTCAAACACATTTTGATTTCACGGAATCTCTGAACTGCAGGGATGAGCTGGGGGAGTCAAATTCATAGAGCAGGAACGCGATGGACTGGGGGTGGGGGAACCTGGAGCGGCTCAGCGCGGCGGCGAGGAGCGTCCCCTTGGCATTGGGTCCCCTAGGGGAGGCACAATGGAGGCCCCCGACCAGGGCGCTGCGAGGGAGGGGTGCGCTATAGGGGGATTAATTTAGGGCTTTTTAGTCTCATCTGGAGAGTAAGCTCCAAGCCTCGGGGTCTAGGAGGAGAGAAGGGAGCAGGAATCCTCCTTCCGGTATGCCGAGTACTGAAGGGCTGGGAACTGGTCCCGGAGTCGAAGAGAGCTCCGGGACGGGCCCCGTGGGTCAGGTGTTGCCCCTGAGAGATGAGCAAGGACCGGTCCGGGACGCTGGGGAATGGAGGGCAAAGGTTTTGGGGCCAGACGAAGTCGCTTTTGCGAAAGGGGCGTCTTTCTTCGTCGTGGAAGGGACCCTCACTCCGGGGAACGCCGTGCGAGTGGGATACTGGCGCGCACGGCCAGGGCGCGGCCTCGCCAAGGCTGAGAAGGTCCCTGAGGCAGGGCGCTTCGGACGGGGACCCCCGGTTCTCAGCCTCCTCGGCGAGAGGACCCCGGAGCCGCGCATGCTTTGGCCGAGGCCGAGCGGCACTGGAAGGTCGGAGGATTTCGGGCAGCTAGCCCCGGGCTCCCCGGGAGCTCCAACTTGGAGCGCCCGGCCGGGGTCCCTCGCGCTCGTGCCTCGGCGCCGGAGGTCGCCGGGCCTCCTACCTGCTCTGTTCATCTTCAGCGCGCGGGGCCCGGGCCGCCGTCGGCGTTTCAGTCCGTCCGCGGGTCCCAGTGCGACTCCGCACACCGCCTCCCTCCGCGGCCGCCCCGCGGGGCCCGCACCCCCTGGCGCCCGCCCGGCCCCGGCGCGCCTCGGACTCCGCGCGGCGCGCAGGGCAGTGGGGGCGCGAGCCGCGAGCCTCCGGGGCGGGGCCGCCGGGCGGGGGCGCGGGGCGGGGGAGGAGGAGGGGGCGCGAGCGCGGGGGCGGCGGCTGGGGCAGCGCCGGGCGTCGCGTCCGCTCCCGGCTCCGGGCGCGCTGCGCTCTGGCCGCCGTGCCTCCGCCTGCGCCTCTGCCTGCGCCGCAGCCGCGCCTCCACCCCCTCCTAGACATTTCCTCCGCTCCCGAAGAGGAAGGATTTTTTTTTCCCCTGCTCGGTCAGAGATTCAGGGAGGCGAGGGCCGGGGCGTCCCTGCGCACATTTAAAGGGGCCGTGGCCATGGGCACCGCGGGAGGCGCTGGGGGTTCGAAGGACGAGAACTCAGCGAGTTGGGTTTCTGGGGTGTTCCTGGCTCCTTCGCCCAGCGGACCATCTATCCCTTTATTTTTAACTCTGGGTATTCGTTCAGTGCCGCGCCAGCCTCTGCGCTGAGCACGGAACAAGACAGCCCCAGATTCTTGCCCTCATGGAGCGTAGACGGGAGGAAGTCGCTGGAGACACCATTTCAAAGCGAGGGAGGGAAACCAGGGCAATAGGGCTGAGCGATGGCTCTCAGATGGCGCCGCACATTCTTGGGACCCTCCCCAGCCTCACTGAATCAGAAACCCCGTGTTTTATCAAACCCTCCAGGTTTGAGAACCACCGGAGTAGAGACTGGGTGATCAAGGAAGGCCTCCCTGAGGAGGTGACATTGGAAGGGAGACCCAGTTAATGAGAAGCCTTTCCTTATCCACTCAGCACACACCGCGTAGCCCCTCACAGGTACCTGCCTGGCGACATAGATGACTCAGACCTGCCAGGTGGAGGAGTCTCCACCTCCCAGGAGTTCCCAGTCTGCTTGTCCACACAGACACAGACAGATAGTTCTGCTACCCCGAGGCTCGTGCTGGGATGGGAATGCACAGGCGCCTGTGGGAGCTCAGAGGAGGACCCCAGTGCGGAGGGTTCAACCAGAGGAGAGGCCTTCCCAGTAGGAGGAATTGCTGGGGCAAAGACTTCACCGAGGTGGGAGAAGGCCTGGCCTGCTGGAGGAGTGTCCAGAGGTGGTGCTGGAGACGGATCTGATTTCCCCAGCTGTAAAATTGGGAACTGAATTTGATCCTTTCAAAGTCCTTTCCATCTCTGAGCTGCCCCAGAGTCCTTAATCCTCCAGGCTTCTGTGGAGAAATACTTGTGACTCGAATAGAAAATCTGTGGCTGAATTTGGTGTTACTTAGACAGGCTCTTGATACATTTTATGGGTCCATGCATGGAGGTGTGGCAGGGATGGAGATGGAGGTGATGGTGGAGGTGGTAGAGGTAGCAAAGGTGGTAGTAGCAGAAACAGAGATGGTGGAGGTGGTGTTGGAGGTGAAGGAGGGAGAGGTGGTAGTAGAAACTAGTGGTGGTGGAGAGGAGGTCGAGGTGGTGGTGGTAGAGGTGGAGAGGGTGATGGACGTAGTTGTGGAAATCATGGCATAACTGGAGGACATAATATACCCCATGGTAGTGGAAGAGTTGGAGGTGGTGTAATTGATAGATGATGTGGATGTAGTGGAACTGGAGGAGATGAAGGAGGTGGTGGTGGTGGAGGTGGAGTTGAAGGAGGTGATGCAGGTGGTGGAGGCAGTTGAGACAGTCGAGGTGATGGAGGTGGGACAGGTGAGGGAATGGATTGAGTTGATGGAGGTAGTGGAGTTGAGTGAGGTGGTGGAGTTGAGGGAGGTGGTAGAGTTGGTGGTATAGAAGATGTGGGCAGGTATATCTGTGTTTAAATGTGGGTACAAATGAGTGAATGGATAAACCGCTTCAATATTTGATGCAAAAAGAAAATATATTTTTTTAAAAAATTGATCTTGTTTCTGAGATTAGCAATAAAAGCAAAATACCCTAGAACCCCCAGGGCAGGAGCAGGTGAGGGAGGCTCAGATAATTCAATTCACTGCCAGTGTTACTCTTAGCTGTCAGCCTGTGCAAAGGAGAAGGGAGGACAGGAAGAGACCTCAAGGCTTTGCTAAGCCCTTTCCACTACTGTTGAATTTGGGATTTGAGGCTAAGCAACGTCTACTTTAAAAGATCATAGCACCAAGGCCAGTTGGGAAAAACACAGGTCTGAACTTGTGTAGCTGAAGCCACACAATAGTGTGGAGTGATGGGCTATGAAGTTGAAATGCTTATTCCTTTGTTTGCTGTTCCTAATAAGAGAAAATGGATAGGAAATACTGTTGGCTTTACAAACACCCACTGCCAATACTGGTGGTTGTATTTATGGGACTGAGCCACAGCCACTCACTGAATTCAGGGGGAGTAACTGTAAATACCCACAAAAGACATGATGTGTGGGGATGATGACCATCATCACTACTTTCTTGAGCCTTTAACATATGTTTTTGTCCCAAGAATTGTATAAAGGAGTTATTATATCCCCATTTCACAGATGGAAAAACTGAGGCCCAGAGAGAGGAAGTGACTTGCCCTTACAGTCCAGCCAGGACTCTCATCCCATTCACTCATTTACTACTCTGTGAATGCTTGCAGTCCTTGGCTTTGCCTTTTGTGGGCAAGAGCCTCTCCACACTTCTCTGGAAGAGCCTGGAAGGTGGAAGACAGAAACCTCTAAGGCAGATGCCAGCAGGGTTGATATCTGAGCAGGCTTTCCCTCTCTCCCCCTTTCTTTTTGCTCTTTCCATGCTGCCCTCTCTTTCTATCTACTTTGGACAATCAGAATGGCCAGCAGCTGCCAGCAACCTCGCGGTAAAAACCTAGCGGGAGCGTTGGAAGTGGGGGCCAAGGGGACCATCACCATGGTTCTGCCACATCCAAGGACCAGCCAGATGTCGGCCTCAGAGCCTGGGGAACTTAGGATCAAAGGAACTTGGATGTCCAGTGCATCAGCCAGGTGAGGAGACAGTGGCACTAACAGCAGGCAGTCGTAGCAATGACAGTGATAACAAATGCTGATAGCGGATGCCTGCTGAGCATCAGCTCTGTGCTCCACCCTTTCCGTACATCTCATGACAATGTAAAGTGATTTTTATCATTGTCCCCATTTTACAGGTGAGAAAGCTGGGGATCAGAGGGGTGAGACATTTTCTCAAGACCCAGAGGCAGTGGTGGAGTCAGACCCAGGTCCGTCTGTCTCTAGGGCCAATGCTGTTTGCTGTATACCACATTTGCCCAAGGTTACCATGGCAGAATCTTGACCAGAATCCTGGGCATTCCTTCCTTTCTTCAATTCATTCATTCAGCAAAAATGAATGGAGTACCTACTTTGTGCCAGGTGCCTCATAGCCGAGCCTCACCCTGTGCTTCCCAGAGCTCCCAGGCTAGCTGAGGAAGGCCACCCAACATCTAATTACCACCAGCCCAATAAGAGCACTAATGGGGAAAACAGACTTCCTGACTCCCAACCAGTGTTCCCATTACGGTACCACTCCTCAGGTGCCTTTAGACTCCTGCGGTGGTGATGACAGGTTCCCCGGGGGCTTCTGAAAACAAAGTCACCCCTCACTGCACCCTTTAAGACCCCAGGACCCTCCCCACACACAAAGTTCCATCCCACACACCTCTCACTCATGCACATGCATAGTGCACCATTCTCCAAGTCAGCAAATATTTCCCATCTTTCTATCATCCTTGGACAATCTGGGGCTGACTACCTCCCTGAACACGGCTCGGGTTATGGCAGCCCCAGCTCCAAATCGCTGAAATCCAGCTCCCTATTCCCACAGGCCTGAAGCCTTTAAGCCAGCTCCAAAGCTGGATGTGGCCACGTTCTCCAGAAACAAAAAAGCACCCCAGGCTCTGCAAGCTCATGTGAAAGTGCCCATCACCAAGCCTCCCAGACAGGCAGTGGGATGTGGTGGTCAGGAACCACATTCACTTGGGCGTGACCTTGGGTGAGTCACTAAGTCTGTTTCCTCATTTGCAAATCATAATAGCTGATATTTGCTGAGCTATATGCTGATATATTTGTGCCTTCAATATATGTTTTGCATATATTACCTCATTTAATCCTCCTAACAAACCCATGCAGTAGGCATTGTTATTACCCCCATGTTACAGATGAGGCTGCCACAATGCAGAGAGGCTAAGGTACTTACTTGCCCAGGAATACACAACTAGTAAGTGGTGGGCATGGGACCCTGGTTCTGGGGCTGGCCTTCTTACCTACTTCAGCACACTCCTCCCCACCCCTAATCAAATGGAAATGATAATAGTGTCTCCTCAGTAAATGAGGTCATTCATCTAAAGAATTCAGTACGGGAGAGGGATATAGGGGGGTGCTTAATAAATGATGTCTGGTACACAGTTGGTGCTCCATAAATGTGCACAAACAAAGTCAACTCACCAGGAACTGGGGCACACAACCCCCACAATCAGAGCATGAGAAGATCAGAAAGGAGCACTTACTGAGCACCCTGTGCATGCTGGAATGAGCAGAGTTGGGGGTAGTGGAGGGCAGTGCGGAAGCAGGGCAGCAGCCTGTGGAGGTGGCCTGGGTTCTGCTTCCTGCCCCACGCAGAAGGGGGTGAACCTCAGGGTTTGCTTTCCCACTGTGTGCTGGCCACCTTTGCATTCTGCTCCTGTGGCAGGGGCCCCCTGTGTTTCCCATTTTCCACGAGGTCCACCTTTTGTCACCTAGAAGAAAATGCATGCTATTAAGAAGGAAATTACCCTGGCCCTGCAGCCTCTTCAGCTGCTGACCTCTTGGTCCCTGCAGTCTCAGACTGCTCACCCTGCAGTGCCATGGCTGTGACACCATCAGCCTCTGGGGCTTATCTTCCCCTGAAAAGTAATTGAGTTGCCTTCCTGGCTCCAGGGAGGACAAATCTAAGCCAGATACCTGCCGGGGGTTTGGGGGTTGTGGGGGTAGAGTGGGGAGGGAAATGGTGTCTGAGCAAGGCTGCCCTTCCCTTCCCATGCTGCACACATTGCTGGAGGACATCAGATAAATTTGGCTCAGACCCCCACTGCCCTGAGCATGCTCACCCAGGCTGAGAGAGGAGCAGGTTCTCGACCACACCAGGTACTGGTTCTGTGGCCCTGGGCAAGTCATTTCACCTCGCTGCACCTCACTTTTCTCCTCTGTAAAATGGGCATAATGAAACTTCTCTTGGGTTGAAGTGAGGATTCGGTGAATTTTAGTTCTCTTCTCTCTTCACTTCCCTGTCCTTAAAGAGTTCATGGTGTGGTCAGAGAGAAGGGCCTGGGATCAGCTGATAGTGATGCAGGGCAGCTGAGCTGAAAGTAGGGGATCGAATTAAGCTTACCCCTAAGAGGAGAGGAAGTGACATTTGGACTGGGCCTGAAAGGTCAGGCAGCATTTTCCAGGTGCAGCAGTAGGGTGGCCCTCCTAGGTACAGGGAAACTGCCTGAGCAAGCACCTGGAGGGATGGAAGAGGAAGGCAGGTGGGCACGGTGAGAAATGTTTGTGGTCACAGCACAGGACATGTATGTGAAAGCTCTCTGACTGATGGTGGGCCAAAGAGTCTGGACTTCACCCTGCAGGTAGAGAGGAGCCATAGTCTGGGGGAGGGGGTGACATGGTCAGCCCTGTGTGGTAGAAAGCTATGTGGTAGCTGGAGTTGTGGATGAGTCAGAGGAGCAAGCCTGGAGGTGGGAAACCTGGAAGGCAGGAGCCGGGATGCCACAAGAGGAGATGAGACCTGAATTCATGAATGCTCCTGACCCATGGGGGCTGCATGGGCTCAAATGCATGCTGGAAGGCTTCTAGGAGGAGGTGGGCTTTGATCTGCACCCTCATCAGAGGCAAGGGCATTCCAGACAGGGGTGGGGATGGAAAATGGGGGCCGAATCTGATGAAGCTGGAGCAACCAGTGTGCCGGGTGGGAGTGCATTTGGGCGAGAGGGGTAGGCAGGGGCCTCAAGGTCTTGATCCATCAGTCTTCGGCTCTCCAAGAAAGGGCTGAGCTCTGGGGGAGGGGAGTCAGAGGCTGGGCAGGACCAGCTTGGAGTTTTTATTATCACTGGGTGGGATTTTTATCACTGGGTGGGATTCAAGGTCTGTGGAGGAAGCGGCCACCCTCTTCCGGCCAGCCATTTTTTTTCCTTGCACTGGCCTGTTTGGCTTTTTCCCGAGGCTGCATTTCCACAACAGCCCCTCCTGGCTGGCTGGGTGTGGGCACGGCTCCGCCACACACCCAGCAGCAGGGGCGGCTGGCCTTAGGCTTCCTGCCCCTCTCTGGGCAGGCGGACTGGAGGAAAACAGCCCTCAAGCCTTCTTCAAAACAGGAAACTGCTCTCCCTGCTTCCTGAAGGGCAGGAACTGTCCCTATGGCAACCATGGGACAAAGAGGCCACATTAACCCTTCTGAGGGCAGGCCTGGCTGAGAGCCTCTTCACCAACCCCTCCTGGGCGTACAGGCAACAAATGGGGGTCACATCCCCCAAGGGACACCCCCCAAGTCTCACCACCATTCCAAGGGAAAGGCAAGTCTGGGTATTATACCCATTAGATGGAGGGCAACATTGAAGTGAACTCGGAGGGGTGGAGAGGCTGGCCCTCATCTGGACCACACAGTGCAAGGACTTTGGGTTTCATTCTCTGAACAAAAATGTGGAGCCACAGAGGAGGTGAAGCAGGGGAGGGATGGATTCTCACTCACATTGTAAAAGATTGTCTTCTGGCCATGGGTGCTGGTGGGATTCAGTGCAGAGTGACAGGGACTTGGGACTCTGAAAGGTGTTTTTTTCTGGGGGACTTTGCCCTGAGAACGCTGGAGAGACCTGAGTCATGGGGAGACGTAGTCATTTGTTGTTGTGGAGGGTGGGGGAGGGTGGAGACTCTGGCTTGCACCCAAATGTGGCTACCACTCAGGAGCCCAGCCTTCTCCGTAACCAGCCACCAGCCGTCCCTCCCCTACCCCCAGTGGCCGCTGTAAGGATGCCACGAACACAGCTCCCAGCACTGTGGCTGCACACAACAGCTGCTCACCAGTTGCTTTGGGAATAGCATCCTCCTTCCTTACCACAGCCCCTAAGCCCCAGCACCCCACCCACCTCATCATGTCCCCTTTCCCCACCCCATCTCTCACCACCTCCCCCTTTTCACTCACTTCAGCCACACTGGCCTTCCTCTCCATCCCTGACCCTGCTCAGTCCTTCCAGCCCCAGGGACTTTGCCCCTGTTATTTCCATTCCCTGGAAAACTCTTTCCTAAATGTTCACATGGCTGGGCTGGCTCCTCTCATTTCTCAGGTCTCAAATGTCCCCCTCACAGAGGCACCTCTGACACCACTCCCTACTCCCTTGCCATCCCATCACCCGGTTATCTTCCTTCTCTGCACTCATTCCTATCTGAAACTGTCCCATTTATTTGTCTGTGTATGTGTGTGCTGTCTCCCCGATTAGAATGCCAACCCCGGGAGGGCAGGGCTGGATCTTCCCTGGTGGCTGCTCCACCTCCAGCACGGAGAACATAGCCCGGCACACAGTAAGTGCTCACTCTAACATCTGCTCAGTGCAGGGAACCATCTCTCAAGAGGAGTTAGTTGGGGGCGCGGGGAGCAAAGATTAAGTGTTTGCCCTATAAGACAACTAACATTTCTTGAGCAAGTACAATTGCCAGGAACTTTTTGGGGTGCTGATTGCATTTGGAGGGATGTATTATTATCTCCGTTTTTCAGATGAGGAGACTGAGAGAAGTAAAGGTTCATTCCCGAGGAGTTGAGGGTAAACCCAGGGTAAACCTGTGCCTTCCTGCTTACCCTCCCACCAAGCTGAAAGGGGCCTCATGCACAGAGAATGAAAAAAGGTGATTTGACTTTCTGAGGAGTTGACAAGGTCACTGCCAAGGTCCACACCTTTGGGTTAAAGCAGGGCATCCCAAACTCCCTGATCTGAAGGATCTTCCGGGCTGGGTACAATACACATTTCAATGCCTGCCCCCAGGCCCAGTGAGGTGAGATTCCCTGCAGCTTGAATGAGATTCTTCATTTGGAGAAACAGGGGGTTAAGGCTCTGGAGGCCCTGTTAAAAGCCTGGGGTTGGGGGAACACAGGGACTCCCTTCTCACCAAAGGGCCTGAAGTCTGAACCAGGCCATCAGAGGAGAACCCGGCCGTTAATCATTCACTCAATGTGTGGTAGAGTCTAAGGGCCAGGGCCTGTCCGTGCCCTGCTGTGCCCAGCTAGGGAGCCGGGGCAGCTCGGGAAGGCCCTGACAAGCAATTGACTCCAACTTCCTACCTCTGACAGCCACCTGTCCTTGAATCCTGGGGACGGGAAGCTCAGTCCTCACAGGGCCGACCCTTCCCTTGTGGGCTGGCTTTGCAGAACAGAGGTAGCAATGTCACCTTCCCCAATGCACCAGGAAGGGTGGTGGTTTAAAGAGAGGCATTTTGATGAGCCACCAGGGCCGACTCCTGATTTATTTTCCCCATTCGAGCTCCAGAGTGGAGACTGCGTTCTCTCTGCCGGCCCTGTGGCAGAGGGTGAAGGAGGTAGTGGCTCCGGAAAGACCATATTAATTAGCTTAATGAGCACTTGTGCATTTGTGTGCACAGACATGGGAGGCAAGTGTGAATCTCTGTCACCGACATCATTAATTGCTGGGGGTGCATCTCCCCCCACCCAAAACCTAGACACTTAGAGAAATGAATCAGGCCCAGTCTGGGAACACCATTAAAACACTTGGCTGCTCTGGGTGCCGGTCCATTGCCCTGTGGCTGCTGGGGCTCTGTCCTTCAAGAAGAGGCTGCTGTCAACACACACAGTCCCTGCAGGAGCAGCCTCCAAGCTGCCTTCCAGCAGGGGGGCCCCAGGCCGAAGCCTGGTCCTCTACAGCTTAGGGGAGTCCCTAAGGAGGGGAGCAGGTGTGGGGAAAGCACCTTCCACCCCCAGCAGGAGCCACACACTGAGTCGGGCTGATTATTTCCTGCAGTGTGCTCTCTGATGCTGGGATGGAGCCCCAGCCCCACCACTCACCAGCCCTGAGCCCCCACGAAGTCCCTGTTCCTTCTGGGTGTCCCTCTCCTCATCTGTAAGATGAGGCTTTGCTGGCACCTATGGCACATGCCCACTAGGAAGATGAAATAAGATAGTGACCCTGAAGCCCTTAGCCCAGTGCCTGGCACACAGGTAACTGTCGGCAATGTTAGATTTTTTTTACTGAGCATTGTTAACAAAGTCCCTGGCACATAGTAGGCAGTGAATTAGGATTTCATGTCTTTCAGCAGGTGGACCTTGTGTTTGGAGATCTAATCCACGTGCCATTTCTCACTGACTTGATAGTTTGGTTAACCAATGTTTAACCTTTTATAAATACCATTTGTTCACATCTCACCTATAAACAGGCAACAGCAGCCAGCCCTCGCTGTCCAGGCGCAGCATCCCAGGGTCAAGTCAAATTCTTAAATTGGAAGCCCGAGGAGAATTTGCCACTGGCTATAAACACCTCCCTCAGGATCCAGACGCTCCCTGCCTGTCTGCGTAGGTGAGGGTTCAGGGCCTCCTCAAGCTGGTTGGGCCACTGGTGCTCCCAGTACCATAAGCACCCTGCACGTATGTATGTCATGTATACGAGCATGTATGACTCTTTTCATAGATGAGGAAACTGAGGCGCAGAGACTTGCTTAGACACACAGCTGGCAAGCAGCGGAAAGGTCTGACCCCAGGTCATTTGTGACCACACACCTGGTTTTAACTCAAGACCCTCCCAACCAAAATCGAGATAATTTCCCCTGAAACAGTGGCAGGCACAGCACTTACAAGGGTGTGAAGGGGTCCCCTTGCGGCTAGGCACACCTGGGTGGGTGGTAGAGCAGTATCCATACCCCTGGCTTCTCCTTGCACCTTCATTTTAACCCCCATTTTATCAGCACCCTCTTTACTCCAAGCACTGGGGGAAACCCAGTGGGGTCAGATGCACCCGACCAGCAATTAAAAGCAACACTGGCTCTTGCCTCACTCTGAGGATCAGAGACATAATTGGTGGGGCCCAGTGCAAACTGAAAATGCAATACCTTTTCTTCAAAAATTAAGAATTTCTAGAGGTCACTGCAGCATGTGGGGGTCTGAGCCAAGCACAGGGCCCTCCTCAATGTGGGGCCCAGTGTGGCCACACTGGTTGCATAGCCATGGAGCTGGCCCAGCTCCTGCTCACAGCCTGGCACAGACTGGGAGCAAAATACATGTTTATTGAGTGAGTGAAATGGCATGTTCACCCCCAACTCTGTGAGGTGGACTCAGGATCATGAATTTGCAGGTGGGTAAACTGAGGCTCAGGAAGTTTCCAGATTCATCCTGTTCTACCTGAAGCCCAGGTCCCTGCCTCCTACCACTCTTGTTTGCCCACTGTTCCATGCTGACCCCAATCCTGGCCTTTGTTTTCCTGATCCCAGAAAGAAGGGATAGTTTACCATGGGCTGGAGTTTATTTTATTTTTGTGTTTTCCAATAATTGATTCCAACAGTTCCTACAGACAGACGTCCTGCAGAAGGAAAACATGTTTTGCTCGCTCAACCTTCGACTTCCTCATGGCACCACAGTGGTGGGGGCCCATGGCCTCGAGGAAAGCGTGGGGTGACTTTTCCCTTGGTTATTTTTTTCCATCTCACTGTTGGGGGACAACAAAACATGTTTTCCTTTTTCTCCAAAGGAAATCGGAACTTTCTTATTGACTACTCATTGCCTAAAACTCACCTTCCTTCTCCGTGATAATCTTGGATTGGATGAGATGTGTAAGTTAACTTCAAAATAAAGGAATGTCCTTCATTTTACTAAAAGGACAACCATCACAACCAAAGATTTCATTCACATGGAGCCACCAACACCACTGAAATTCACCGTGGCTTCCTCGTCAGTCTGTGCACACATTTGAAGTGGCTTTATAATTTCAAGTTCACACGTTTGCTCATAATGTTACCTTTTTCAAATGCACAGGGCTGAGTGAACATACACATTGCCAATATTCTGGTCAAGTTGAAATGGCTGCTTAGAGGTCATGGAAACAGAATTAGGTGTATGGTGTGAGGAAGGGGTCAAGAATCTTTTTATTCCCATGTGAATGTCCAATTTATCCAGCACCATTTATTTAAAACACCCTCTCTCACTGTACTGTTGTGTCTCCCCTATTATAAATTTGGCACTTCTATACATGTTGGGCTAGTTCTGGACTTTCCTTTCTGTTCCTTGGGTCTATTTTTTTATCTTTGCACCAAGACCACCCTGTCTTAATTACTATTGTATCCACTGAAATCAAGAAATCATGCTAGACTTAGTAACTCTCCTATTGTTGAACATTTAGGTTGTTGCCAATGTTTTATTATAACGACTTGTGTAATACTGAGTCATAGCAATAAAGAAACAATCATAGTTGAGACTTACGGTGTGCCAGGCTGTAAGTGCTTTACATATATTAACTCATTTAATCTTCGTAACAACCCTTGGAGAGAGGTGCAGTTTTGGTCTCCTCTTTGAGAGATGAGGAATTCGAGGCACAGGGAAGCTAAGTCTTTTGCCTTCAGTCCTATGGCTTCTGCATGGTGGGCAGGGGTCTGAACCCAGGCAGGCTGGCTCTGGAATCTGTGCTTTTATTCACTCACCTCTGTAGTAGGTGAGCGGATAAAAAGGGGGTGCATAAAGGAATGAATAGGATGGAAGTGACGATGCCTTTCTTATCTTCTTGAACTTATGAAGTGGCTCAGTGGCTGTGGGTCTGAGAGCCCTGGGAACCCCCACACCCCCGCCCGGTCCACCACTCACTGGCTATGTGACTTTGGATGAGTCATTACTTCTCTTTAAGCCTCAGGTTCCTTGTCTCTAAAATAGAAATAGTAGACCTATTTGTCTGGATCATCCTGGGGCTTCAGGAACCAGTATAGTGTCTACTGGTCCAGAGAAGGTTCCCTGAGGTCTTAACCATCTTGATGGTCACCCAGGAACCTTGGTGACTACAGAGGGCTCCTCCCAAAAAGCTCTTTGCTTTGTGGATATTCTAGGCTTCCTGCTGGAGCTGGAGAGACCTTCACAGATGGGGAAACTGAGGCCTGGAGAAGCTAAGGGCATGGCCAGTGGGCACCCTGAACCTCCTTCTCACAATCTCTCTCTGCATTTGTAGATCCAAAGCTCGAGGCTCTCCTGGTCATCAGCTTACCAGGGTGGGTGCTCAGCCCAGAATGTCCCCACCCCCTTCATTGGGCAGCTCTTTCCCCTCCTTCAAGGGCAGCCCCCAGCTCACCACCCTGCGTCGGCTCTCCTGATCTGCAGGCCTGAGTGATCATCTTAGGATAGTGACTGCCTGCTGCAGTGGGACTGTGAGCTCCATAAGGATGGGCCCCTGCCATGGCTCCACCGATAGAACCTGGCACAAGGAGACGCCCAGAAGATAGCCAATGAATGAGTGAATGAGTCTTACTTATGAAGCAGTTACCAAAGCTGACCAATCATTCCGGTTTGCCTGAGACTGAGGGTTTTCCTGGGATGCAGGACTTTCAGTTCTAAAATCAGGAACATTCTAGGCAAATTGTGTGGCAAGTGTTGGGTTCAGCTTTTAGAGCCACCATTTGGTCTCATCCTCATGTTTTACGCCAGGTTCCCTAGAAGGAGAGCCTCAAGAAATGCTCTCAGCAGGGAGTGAGGGATGCAGGCAGGCAGGGAAAACACCACACAAGGCTGTGTCCTCGCTAGACACTGGCCTCAGCCTGATCTTCAGGGCCTCTGGAGCACACAGGGCACCACAGCATGAGTCCCACCTTGAGGGGGTGACTCACCCTGGAGAAGGGGGGCACAGTGCTAGGGGAGTGCCTGCTGGCCGCCAAGGGCAATGTTCAGGAGAAAGGGGCAGCTGTCAGCCATTAGCAGCCAAGGTCACTGCAGCCCCAACCTGGTCATGCAGAGCCAGGCAGGGCCCCCGGTGTACACTGCACTTCCTCACAGCTTCTAAGGGAGGTTAGGTGGGATTTTATCCCTCACAGCCTTTTTTAACCTCAAACTGCCCGTAGAGCCCCTTGGGCCACAGCCACAGATTTTGGACTTCAGAAAAGTTACTAGATCTGTAGAAGTCAGAGAGACTACAGCTGAGAAGACTTAAGGAGTCACATGTGCTGTCCCAGAGCTGGGGAACAGGCAGGTCTGGAGGTCCACAGGGTGGTGCCAGATCCCCTGCGGACATCCTCCCAGCGCCCCAAGCCACTCTCCAGCGTGTGACTTGGGATTGTTTTCTCCACCGCACTTACCACTACCTGAAATTATTCTGCTTGTTCATTTCTTCAGTTGCTTTGTCTGTCTCCAACTCCAAAGTATAAACTCCATGAGGGCAGGGATCTTTCTTGTTCTTTATTGTCCCTTCGGGCCTAGAAAGTGCCTGGCATTTAGTGGGTGCTCAATAAATATTTGTCGAATGAATGAATGTGTCCCTCGTTTATAGATGACAAAATTGAGACTCTGCAAAGTCATGCAACTTATTGGCAAGGTCATCTGCTGCTAAGGGTCAAGCCGACCTTGAGGCAGGCTCCCATCCCCCATGCAGCCTGCCTGCTAGCTTCCTGGTCGACCCATGATGATGGAGATGGTGTCTGATTGTGCCACTGATGGCTCCCTGGCCCCTGGCTCAGGTAGAGCCCCTTGGGGCCTGTGCATGCCCTGCTTGCATTTCCTGGGGCTTCTGGTGCATAGGGAGCCTCTTCAGCCCGCATCACCATCCTGCGATCTGAACAGGCTGCACAGCACTGTGGGGGAGGGGGTGGGGGTGAGTGCTGTCTGCTGCCATGATCAATGTGAATAATAAACGTTTAGCGTTAATAAGCTCGAGTTAACTTCTCTTGCTTTAGTGACTAATGGGCTTCCCCGAGCCCATAACTCACGCTGTCGGCTAAGCCTCCCGTCCCTCCTTGGCTTCTCTCATCCCAGCCTGCTGTGAGATGTTGCTGAGAAAGGAGGAGGGAGCTGGCTCAGCGGAGGCCTTATTTATGGCAGTGAATACGGTGCTTTCAGGTGGCAGCAGGGTCTTTCTGGCTGCTTTTTGGCTCCAGGAGAGGAGAAGGGGAGGCGAGGGAGGTTGGCGATCGATCCACCCCTGTCAGCTGGCTGGGGGAGCTTGGGCAAGTTCTTTCCCTTCCAGTTCCTCATCTGTCAAAGATAATAACCAGGGCTGTTCCAAGAATCAAACCATGTGACAGATATAAGAAGTGCTGGACATATGGGGAGGGTTTGCAAATGTTTGAAGAGTTGAGGGAGAGGAGGAGGTGGCTAGGAATGGAGAGTGCAAAGATCTTGGCCCCTTGTTCCTCAAAGGGTGGTCCTGAGACCAGCAGCATCCATGTCACCTAAGGGCTTATCAGACCAGAACTACAGAATCTCAGCCCAACTGGACCAGAATCTGCATCTTACTAAGATCCCCAGTGATTCCTGTGCTTATTCCAGTCTGGGAATCACCTGCCGAGATGGAGTGTGGCCAGGCAGTAACTTTGGTGTTCCTGTTCACCAGTCCCTAGACAAGAGCAGACATTGATAATCAATCCCAGCACTCTTGTTGGTGGAGCCTAGAAACCCTTTCAGCTTAGCACTCCTGGCCTCCTTTACCACTGTTGAGAGCTGGCATGCAAGAAGGAAACTGTTTGTTGTCCTGGGCCTAGACTCTGCGCCTCCAAATCTTTGACTTAGATTAGGAAATCCAGCCCAGTCTCTTCTGCAGTTTCTGGAAGCAGTACTAGTCACAGAACAGGGAAGGTAGGATGAGGCACAGAAGAGGAAGATATGGGAAACAGAGGCAGGGAAAACCCAAGAGGCTCAGTGAACAATGGAGTTCCTGCTAGCATGAAGATGAGAAGTGGGGTGGGCCCTTGAATATCTCTTGGAAAGCCCAGGAGTAGGAGGTTCATGGTAAGCTGGACCCCCAGCTCAGCAACGAGAGGACAACCTTCTGTCCCAGTCCTTGGGCTGACTCCTGCCTTTGCTCATAATGAAGACATGATGGTCAGAGCTCCATAAGAACTGTTTAAAAATAACTTTTAAGAAAGAGTATTTGTTACCAAAATTATTAGAGCTATAAAAACCTATTGCAAAAGCCAAACAAAAGAGATATGACATCAAAAAATTTACTAATCTTGCTGCTAGTGATTCTTTTCCTCTGGGATAACTGATGTTAGCAGTTTAGTGAATATTTTTTTCCAGTTTACTCTTTGCTCTTTCAAACATGTTTACAAAAATAGGATCATACCATATACCTGACTCTGCATCTTGTTTTTTATATAATATATCATAAGCACAATTTCAGGTCCATACACATGTACACACACACACAACATACACACAGATCAACTTATTTTTATCAGCTGCTTAACATTTCATAGAACAAATGTCCCATAATTCATTCAATCATTGCCTTAACGATCAATATTTAGCGCATTCTTTTGTTTTTGCAACAAACATCCTTGTACATATCACCTTATGTGTCTATATGGTTTTGTACAAAAAATTCTCCAAAGTGGAAGTGCTGGACCAAAGGTCATACACATTTTAAACTCCAATACAGATTAGTGTCCCAAAAGATTGTGGCAGCTCACACTCCCACCAGCCGCGTCAAAACTGCTCAACTGCCCCCGCCTGGCTGGCACTGGATGTCATCAATATTTAATATTTTCCCCAATCTGATGGGAGAAAAATGGCATTTGGCATATCGTTATTCTTTTAATTTGCATTTCTATGACTGCCTGAGAGGTTGAGCATCTTTTCATTTGTTTATTGGCCATTTGCATTTCTGCATCTGTGAGTTGTCTGATCATATTCTTTGTCTATGTGTCTTTCCTTATTTTTGTTTTGTATTTTTCTTATCAATTTTTAGGTACTCTTTGTATGTTGAGAATATTAATCCTTTGTCTATCTCATGTGTGGTCTACCTCTATGCCAAAAAGATCTTTGCAAGCCACAACAAGATCTCTGCAAGCTGCAATTCTGCATGGATGAAATGCTGCAAGATGAAACAATAAGAATAAATGCAAATTCTTATTCTTGGGTCTGCAAGCTCATGCTATCCTTGGAAGGAGAAGGCGGGATGTCCTGACCATTCATGACATCAGAGGTTGATGAGTTCAGTGGGAGGTAACAGTGGGATACAGCTGCTAAAACAGCTGAAAAGGGACCTTCGCATGCCTTCATGGAGATAGAGGGTTTACAATGTCCTTCCCACCTCTGTGAAAGGGGCTCACTCTGGAGCCCTAGAGAAGGGTGAGAGGGCTGGAGCCCCCTTCCTGTGAGGAGTTGGCCCTGCTCAATTTGGAACAGAGCAAGACTATCCCTGCCTAGGGGGGAGCAGATGAACCTCTGTGCCCAGAGGGCAGAGTGGGGTCCACGAGACATCCCAGGGAGGTGGGTCCCAGCTGAGAGTGAGGAGGAACTTTTTCCTTAACTACCTATTTCCAGAATTGCATCCCAAGTGCCTCCTACCCCTTTTCTTGCTTTATCTTCTCCCTCACAGTGTTTGCAATTTCTAGCATACCATACATTTTATTAATTTTTTGTACTGTGTCCCTTTACTAAAGTGTCAGCCCCATGAGGACGGGAGCGTTTGTTTTGTTCACTGCTGTGTCCCTTCCACAACCATTGTTATTGTTTCTCCCACTCAGAGCTGTGCAGAAATGGGATGAGCTGCTGAATAGGTGGTGAGTGCCCCATCAGGAGAGGCGAGCAAGCAGAATCTGCCTGGCCACTTAGCAGGCATTCTGTGCAGGGGGATCCCAGTCTTCATCTGCAGTTTTCCTACCTAGGTGAGGTCCGGAAGGGCCTTTGGGTCAACAGGAGACCCCCCTGGGCCTCCCAGGGTGGCGAGGGGCCTGGGAGTCAGCCATCTGGAGCACCAGAGCTCTCCAACTGGGTCAGCTTCTGTTTATGTTCTTGTCCTGGCCCATCCTGCACCCCGGCCCCACCCTTGGTGAGCTTCAGTCCAGCCTCAACTCTCCTCCCAGCATGAGGCCCTTGTGTTTTGGAAAATCAACCGGCATCACACCAGACTGAAAATATCTCAAAATATCGCTTGCGACTTCCTCCTGCTCCCCGAGGCCCCGCCTGGGCGGGCAGCAACCTTTCCCTTGCTGTTGATTTTCAAGAAAGGCTCTTCCATCACTGGGATGCAGGGAATTTCCAGTATTTTTCTTCCTCTGGCCCTTTTTTTTTTTTTTTTTTTTTGGCCTTCAGAGGCCCACATTGTGTTGTCCTGACGCAGCTCCAGGCAATGTTTTGCCCCAAAGGCCTGGGCTGGGTCAGCGAGGTTTGGACCAGCAGCCCTGGCTCCTTGGGCGCAGGAACAATACCTCCATAATTCACTGAAAGCTCCCCTCGGATGACTTTTTCCTGTTGCTGATTGTCTCCAAGTTCCAGACCTGCACAAACTGCTTTTTCCCCGCAGCTAAATTTAAAAGGGCCAGACCCTGGAAACAGTGCACTAGGCTGCCTTCACCGTGGGGGCAAAGGTGGCGGAGGCTGGATGGAAGTAGAGCCCTGAAGCCACCGCTTCCCTGCCAGCCCTGACACACATACACAGGTGGCTGCAGGACTGTCTTCATTTTAATTCCTCAAACTGCCCTTAGAGCTCCTTGGGCCACAGCCACAGATTGTGGACTTCAGAAAAGTTACTAGATCTGTAGAGGTCAGAGGGGCTACAGCCGAGAAGACTTAAGGAGTCACATGTGCTGTCCCAGAGCTGGGGAACAGGCAGGTCTGGAGGTCCACAGGGTGATGCCAGATCCCACTGCGGGGTGGATTCAAAGGGCAGGAGGAGATTCCGCTCAGGCAGGGCAGAGCAGGGAGAGCACAGGCATCCAGGGGAACAGCTGAGCCCCTGGTCGCTGGAGGGTGCAGACACAGGTGGCATGCCTACCCACCGGGGAAGTGGTCAAGGGCTGACAGTGCCAGGTGAGGGTCAGGTGCCAAGAGGGCCCTTCCCGGTTCTTGCATTTGTGGCCACCCCGGGCCGGCAAGGAGGGGCTGCGCCAGCCATCTCAGAGGTTCCAGCAGCCTTGCCCCTCTGCCCACATTGGCCTAGCCTGTGGCTTTTGACAAGTGTAGAGTGAAATCCTCTGGGCTTGACTTCTAGCTTTGCCACTGACTTGCTGTGTGACCTTCCAAAAGCCTTTTGCTTCTCTCTGCCTCAATGTCCCCATCTTCAAAGTGGGAATAAGAAGAAGCACTTACATCTTAGGGCTCTTATGAGGTGTAAGCAAGTTAATACTTATAAAGTGTTTATATATATATATATTTATTTATTATTTTTTTGAGACAGAGTCTTGCTCTGTCGCCCAGGCTGGAGTTCAGTGGCATGATCTCACCTCACTGCAACCTCCGCCTCCTGGGTTCAAGTGATTCTCCTGCCTCAGCCTCCTGAGTAGCTGGGATTACAGGCGTGGGCCACCATGTCCCGCTAATTTTTGTATTTTTAGTAGAGTCGGGGTTTCACCATGTTGGCCAGGCTGGTCTCAAACTCCTGACCTTAGGTGATCCACCCACCTCAGCCTCCCAAAGTGCTGGGATTACAGACATGAGCCACTCACTGAGCCCAGCCCTATAAAGTGTTTAGAGCAGTGTCTGGCACCGAGTAAATAGGATTTAGAATTATTATCATTATTATTGAAGGACTCCAAGGAGGGCTTTCCCTCTTCATATGTCAGAAATGGAGGCTTTTTATGTTACACATTGCCTTTTCTGGGGTAAAATTTAAGCCTCCCCCGGAAGGAGGAATAAATCCCCAAGGTCTGGGGACCTGGCTTGCTCCCTAATAGGCTGGGCCTGTGGCAGGGACAGCCACTGGACACATGGTTGAGTCACACGTTTGGGAAGGGGCACAGCCCCGAGGCCCCCTTCCCTCCATTCATCCCCTGCTCCTCCAGCCCACCCCTTCCCAGGCACTCGCATGGAGCGTGGGAGCTCAGCCTACCTGGCATCCCTGTCATCTTATCATCCTGGGTCAGCCACCGGTTTGCCAGGTGACCTCAGCCGGTCTCGTCATCTCTGTTTCCTCACATTCCAAGGCTGCTGAGAGGGACAGAGGACATGGTGCACAGAGCTGGGGGTCGTGCCATGGAAAGTCCCAGGGGACAGAGGGCACAACTTGCTGCTGTTCCTAAGCCCGAGTACCTGGGTGCAAGGTGAGAAGGCAGGGAGTGCATCCAAACCCTGCAAGCGGGACGGGTCTGGCCAGTGCAGAGACGCCCCCCAGTGGACTGGAGGTGACAGGAGCACTGACCGCATGTAAAAAAAGAGTCCTCAGAACCTGGCTAAGGATGGAACAAAGGCTGAATCCCCCGACTCGTTCCCACATCCCAGAGGACAAGGGAGAGGGGAGCAAAATATCACAGAGAGTGGGAACAGACACAGCAAGCACCCTGAAATGAAAGGAGCACACCAGCCAAACCTCAACACCCCTGGAAACGTGTTTATTCAGGGCCATTTCCCACATGCCAGAGATATATACATCATCTTAAGGATGTTTGCCACGTCTTATTTGTTGAATATCTTTCACTAAATCCATCCACATTTTCAACTTAGGTGTATTTAAAAAGGAAACTTCCAATTACTGCCTTGCTTTGCCATAAATATAAGGTCACTGTAAAATGGACAGACCGGGCATAAAGCTACATTGTTAAATTCTAGCCAAATACTGTTGCCTACCCGAGGCTGTGAGCTTGAGACCTGCTCTGCCTTAGTTAAAAGGGGAAAATGGACCAGTTTGGGCAACATGGTGAGACCCTGCCCTGTCTCCACCAAAAAAAAAAAAGAAAGTTATCTGGGCATGGTGGCACACTTGTGGTTTCAGCTACTCGGGAGGTTGAGGTGGGAGGATTGCTTGAGCCTGGGAGTTTGAGGCTGCAGTGAGCTATGACTGTGCCACTGCACTCCAGCCTGGACAAGAAAGCAAGACTCTGTCTCAAAAACAAACAAAAAACCAAATACAAAAACAAAAACCCAAAAAGGGAAACTGGCAAGCATCAAAGAGCTGTTCAAGTCGGGGTGGCAGCCACCTGAGACTCCTTGATGGCATGGGAGGATGGGAACAGATGGGAAGGAATATCTTTCTCACTCTGTTCCTTTGTGCTTCCACCTAAAATAAAGCAGTTTATGCTTGAAAATACTAACAAGGTAAGGCCGGGTGCAGTGGCAAACGCCTGTAATTCCAGCACTTTGGGAGGCCAAGGCAGTAGGATCACTTGAGGTCAGGAGTTCGAAACCAGCCTGACCAACATGGTGAAACCCTGTCTCTAGTAAAAATAAAAAAATTATCTGGGCATGGTGGCACATGCCTGTAATCCCAGTTACTCGGGAGGCTGAGGCACGAGAATTGCTTGAACCCGTGAGGCAGACGCTACACTGAGCCAAGATTGTGCCACCATACTCCAGCCTGGGCGACAGAAAGAGACTCTGTCACAAACAAACAAACAAAAGAAAATACGAGGTGAGCATTCCTGCCATCCCTTGAGAGTCCCCTCCTGACTATCTCCACATGCCCCAGGCCAGCCTGTGGAAGAGTCCTGGATCTCAGACTGGGGCATACTAGGATGTGGCCCACAGCCCAGCTCTCAGGGGTGTAGGTCATTTCCATTACCTCCTTTATAGCGTACAGCCCCTCCAGGATGTTCTCCTTCCCCAGCAATCTCTTCCCTGAGCCGAGGTCCTGTCCCTGCCTCTTGCACCTGCAAAAGTGACAGGTTGGATGGGGACCTGCAGAAGGTGGCAGCAGCCCTCTCCGCCAGGCCATGCTGAGTGCGCAGCTCTAATGAGCACAAATAGAACCCAGTCCCCAGTCCTCCTCCCGAGCCTGCTGCTTTACAGTCTCTCCCACTCAGGAGAAGCAGCCCTATCTTTACAAAACACTGACGTCATTCCTGCCTCCTCTCTTTCTCTCTTGCCCCAAATCTGATCTGTTAGGACACCCTATTGCCTTGATCTTCAAGACACAGCCACACTCTCCCTGCCTCCGTCTTGCCCCCAGACAGACAGTTCTTTCGGGCAGTCAGAAGGACTCTGCTGAAAGCAGGAGGTCCCTCTTCTGTTCGGCCCCCTCCATGGCTCCCACCTCAATCCAGGAAAAACCCAAAGTCCTTCCAGTGCTCCCCACACACTATTCTGTGTGATGCTATAGTGGTGGACATGCCATACATTTGTCCAAACCCCTAGAATGTGCAACAGCAAAAGTGAGCCTTTATGTAGACTGTGGTCTTTGGGTGGTAATCGTGTCAGTGTAGATCCATTGATTGTAACAACTGCACCACTCTAGTGGGGAGGCTGACGGTGGGGGAGGCTGTGTTGGGGGCGGTGCCGGGGTACCTGGGAACTGTCTGTAGCTTATGCTCAATTTTGCTGTGAATCTACAGCCACTCCCAAAAATAAAGTCTAGTTTCATTTTCAAAATGGAGAGAATGAGAGTCCCTTCCACTTGGAGCTCATGTCAGGCTGGAATGACAGCATGTGCCGACAGCCCTCAGTGCAGGGTCTGAAAGAAGAGCTCAGTAATGTGGAGACCAAAGGGACCACAAGGAGGGGATCTCTGATGGGGCAAAGTCACCCTCAAAGTGTGGCACATTTATAGAACCTGCAGGCTTAAGGAGGGGGAGGAGTCATCAGAGACTCCTCCCCTTCTTTTGCCTCTAACCTAGTTTTTACAGATGAGGAAACAGGCCCAGAGGAGGCATGACACCATCCAGGACACACAGCACAGGGAACAGATCGTGGCAGCTATTGTTTTTGATTGCCCAGTAAGTTTTCCCATTCGCCTTCTCTTGGTGACAAACTCTGATGCCTTACATGTGGTGGGCATGTGACCCAGACTGGCCAATCACAGTTCTCTGTCCCCGGGGCAACAGTGACTGGTTCGAGGAGTAGCCAATCCGAGCCTTCCCTGAGACTGACCTACAGATGCTGGGAGCATCACTCCTTTCACAGGAGAAGATAGCTGCCACTGCTGTGGCCACAGCCAGGCTACGAGAGTCTGCGGAGGTGGGCAGAGATAAAGGCCAGGAAAGAGCCCCAGCCCCCTCATTGCAGATAGGCAAATACCACCCCTGCCACCACTTCCAGAGAGCAGTGATGCCTCCTGGAAGAAGCCTCTGCAGGCTCTATCTGCCCCCACCTCAGCCCAGCCCAGCCCATCTCACCTCCCTGGCCACATCTAGGACACGGTCCCTGGCAACCTGCTCAGTTTTCTCTGGCTTTGGGTTCCCTGGCCTCACTTTCCCCAAATGTGAAAGGGAGAGCTATTAGCACACATTACGAGGATTAAGGAGGGCAGTGGCTGTAAATGTGCCTGCTTTGGGTCTCAGTCCTTAGTGGGTGTTCAGGATGGGCTGGACCAAGGATGCTCAGAATGCTTCCCCTTCCCTTCTCCTTCCCACACCTAGAAAAGCCCATCAGCCCATCTGCTCTGAGAGTTCACCTAGGGGCTTTGCCCGCTGGCTGGAACCGCCTCCATATCATTCTGCCCTGTGGCCAGTTGCCTCTTGCTTCGATATCCTAACTGGCCATTCCCATGACACCCACAGACTGAGAATCAAGGCAAGCTTTTATTTATGTTTCTTGCTTCCCAGGGGAAAACATTTAGAATGGCAAGATTAACCTGCTACATAAAGAACCACTAAATCTTGGAAAGCAGAAGGAACTAGGAATCTACTCCCACCTTCATCTCACTGGTGGGAAAGCTGAGGCCCACGGGACTGCCTCACCTTGGCCAGGCACTTGCCTGCTTGGAACCTCTGTTTCCCCGTTTGTAAAGGAAGCTGGCGGGCTCCATGACCTGTTCCAGGAGGCAGCTAGAAGGAGTAGAGAGGGTGAAGGTTCGCCTGCCAGATGGGAGAGTTGACAGCCAAGCTCAGCTGCTCGCTCACGGAGGGGACTCTGACAACTTCCTGGGCTTCCCCAAGCCTATCTCCTCATCTGAACAATGGGAGTGATTAAATTGGCTAATCTCAGGGGAAGAACTGTGCCCAGTGCCTGATGAGGCACGTGTCTGTCTACTAAATAAATAGTAGCTATTATTACTGGCTAGTTAGAGATTACAAGAACAGGTACTCCAGAAATTCCAACATGTTTCTAGGTGACAGATGTGCAAGCAGTTAAGAATGTGCACTCTGGAGCCGGACCACCTGGGTTCCAGTCCTCACCCTGCCACTGCCTAGCTGTGTGATCTTCTCTCTATGCCTCAACTGAATTATCTGTAAAATGGTAAGAGAATTGACCTCATAGGGTTGTTTTCAACATAGCACACAATTCACCCATTTAAAGTGTACAATTCAGTGGTTATTAGTATATTCACAGATAATGTACAATTCTGTACATCACCACAGTCAATTTCAGAACATTTTCATTACCCCACATGCTCTGGCAGTCACGCTCCACCCCTTCTCCACTGCCCAGTCAGCCACTCATCTAGATTCTGTCTCTATAGATTTGCCTATTCTGGCCATTTCATACAATGGAATCACTCAAGGCTGGGCACGATGGCTCACACCTGTAATCCCACCACTTTGGGAGGCCCAGGCTTCGGGGATCACCTGAGGTCAGGCGTTTGAGACCAGCCTGGCCAATATAGTGAAACCCTGTCTCTACTAAAAATACAAAAAATTAGCCGGTGGTGCACACCTGTTAGTCCCAGCTACTCAGGAGGCTGAGGCAGGAGAATTGCTTGAACCCAGGAGGTGGAGGTTGCAGTGAGCCGGGATCGCACCACTGCACTCCAGCCTGGGCCACAGAGCTAGACTGTTTCAAAAAACAAAAACAAAAACAAACAAACAACCACAACAACACCACCAAAAAATGGAATCACTCAACATATGGCCTTTCAAGATTGCCTTCTCCCAGTTAACCAAATGTTTTCCAGGTTCATCCATGTTATAGTACATATCAGTACTTCATTCCTGTTTGCTGCAGAATAATATTCCCTGCTATAGATTTATCAAAATTTGCTTAGCCATTAGTGTACAAGTTTTTGTGTGGATATGTTTTCATTTCTCTTGAGTGGAATTCAGCAATTCCTCTGGTAACTCTATGTTTAACTGCTTGAGGAACTGCCAGGCTGATTTCCAAAGTGGTTGCCCCATTGTCATTCCCTCCAATAATGGATGAGTGTTCCAGTTTCCCCACATCCTCACCAACACTGGTTGTTGTTTGTCTTTTGATGATAGCCATCCTAGTGGGTGTGAAGTGGTGTTGCATTGTGGTTTTGATTGGTATTTCCCTAATGGCTAATGATATCGAATGTTTTCTCATGTATTTATTGGGCATTTATATATCTTTGGAGAAATGTCTATTCAGTGGCTTTGTCCATTTTTTAATTGGGGCGTTTGTCACGTCCACTTTTATTAAACCACCTTCTGTGTGATATACACCTACTGTGTGCTGGGCACTGTGTCATAGTCACATTGCATCCTCGCCAATATGCTGAAAGGTAGATGTTAGTGTCCCCATGATACAGATGAGGAAACTGGGGCTGACAGAGAGAAAGTGACTTATCCAAGATTGCCCTGCTTTATAGGGCAGGACTAGAACCTGAAAGCTTGCATGTGCATCAGAGAGACTGACAGTGCCCAACTGAACAAAACCAGGTAGCAATAGGCCCCAAGAGGGAAATAAAATAGGTGACCTGCTGGCAGGAGTCTGGGGGATGGAAATGGACAACACTAGCAGGGAGGGCAGGGGCCCCTCTGAGGAGCTGAGACTGACTGATGGTAAGTTGCTGACCATGTGGAGATCCAGCAAACAAGCCTTCGGGGCAGTGGGAGTGGCCATGCCAAGGCCCTGAGGTTGGGGTGGATCTCGGCATGCCCGAAGGACAGAAAGAAGGACACCATGATGGAGAGGGAAGGCTGAGGGGTGGAGTGGAGAGCGGAGGCAGGAAGGTGGGCTCGTGTATATTTTGGTTGCACAGAGAGCAGCCGGGGCTCACCAGCCCAGTGAGGATGGCTAAGGGCTGCCCGGCAGCTGTGGGGCATGGAGTCCCGGATCAGATCCTGCTCCACCACAGATGGGCTGAGAGGTCACGGACAAGGCTTTTCCCCACTCCCAGCTTCCGTTTCCCATTTGAAAATGGACTGCTGGGCATGGGAGGCACCGAGGTGGGCATCACATGAGGCAAAGCCAGGTCAGCTCGGCGCCTGCTCCATGTAGGTGGAAGACAAGCATGGTGATTTCCTCACCTGTACAATCAGGGAGGGGTGGGCTCTGCCTTCCATTTCACCATCAAACGGCCAAGTCCTGGTGTGTAGTAGCTGCTCATTAAAAAACAGCTGACTGAATGACCAGCAACGAGTAAGGATTCCTGTAAAGATACTTGTGTGAGGGAGCAGCGAGGAAAGCCAGCGGGTGGTGTCCACTGTAGAGGGCTGTGCACAGGCAGATCAGCCTCTGGGAACTCTCACTTTTCCGTTTCCTCTCGGGCCCCTCCCTTTTAATTTGCTAAGAACAACCTCCCTGCCCAAGGCTGTACCCTGAATTCTTGCCATAAACCGGTTCTGTACCCAATCCTCAAATCCAGTGGCTTTCAAGCTTTCCTGACCACTTTCTTGAGGAAGAAATACGTTTTGCACAGTGAAGACAAAAGAAAGAACCCACTCCCGGCGTTTGCATGTTCCCTGAGCTCCACTCCTGAACCACTCCTTAACTTCTCACAATAACCCATGTCATGCTGTTTTCCCCCCATGGGCAGATGAGGAAACTGAGGCCTGGAGAGTTAACACACCTGGGGTCATGTGGCTGGACAGGTGGGCTCCAGGGCTTGCATTTTTTGTTTTGCTTTTTTGAGGCAGAGTCTTGCTCCGTCGTGCAGGCTGGAGTGCAGTGGCGTGATCTTGGCTCATTGCAATCTCCGCCTCCCAGGTTCAAGTGATTTTCCCACCTCAGCCTCCCAAGTAGCTGGGATTACAGGTGTGAGCCACCGCACCTGGCCTGGGGCTTGCATTTTTAACCACTATACTCATGGGTGACTGAAATAAAGCCTGTGCTTTATTATATGCAAGGCGTATTTTCTATCCCAGCTGTCTCTTTCAAAATGCGCATCACAACCCACTCCATGGATTTTGCAATTCACTACTGGGTCACAAGCTGCAGTTGGAAACATCCTGTCCAGACCCAGGGGAGGATACGCTGAGATGCAGAATACCAAGGGCATACCAACTGGGCACCTCCTACCTCCTGCTCCCCACCTCCCAGAGCCAGGACCCCTCCCTGTTGTCCTTCCCTCCAACCCCACAGGGCCAGCAGCCGAAACAACCCACTCTCTTTCTCATATGTGAGCTGACAGCTTCGGGGCAGTTCACGTGTCCCCAGCAGCCCCTAAACCTAGGGAAGGGAGAAAGAGGCAGGAGGGGAAGGCCCACCCAATCTCCTTCCTGGAAGGGGAAAGTCATTATGATGCAGCTGGCAGGAGCTGGCTGGGCTTTTATTTCCCAAGGCCTGAGCTGGGGGCCAGAGGAGATTGCTCACAGATAGGGAGATGCTGCTGCTGGGGCTGATGCTTTATTCCTGCTCCTGCTCCTGCTCCTTGGCCCGCAGCCAAGCCACTTAACCCTTGAGGGAGCTGCAGACTGGAAGCAGCCCGCAGTGGGGTGGGCCCTGCTGGAGTGCAGGCTGGCATTACGGAAGGCAGGGGGAGCGCCTTAATCATTTTATTAATAGTTATTCTCACTTATGTTTAGTAAGCATGAGCTAAATCCTTTCTCTGTATTATCATATTTAACCCACCCAATATCCCTGGGAAGTTGCTTATTGGGATCATCCCATTTTATAGATAAGGAAGTGGCAGTCCAGAGACCAAAGTTGCTTGCCCATAGCCTCAAGGCCAGAGTGGGGGGCAGTGCAGGGAGAAAGAGGTGTTGTTAATATTTATTGAAGGGGTAAATATTTGAGGGTTCTGGGTGGGGGTGTTGGGGGTTTCAGCAACCTGCAGCCACGTATCTATTCTGGATCTTTGTGGCCTAGGAGGACATCCCAGGCCCTCTGCAGAGGGGCCCCATCCTCTCAGGCACACTGTCTTTTTCCTGCCTCAGTCCATTCCTGGCACCTAATGCCACTGTTTTTTATCCATCATCTGTGTGTTTTGAGACCTTGTGTTGCTGTGCCTGCAGCCTGGCCTGCTGCTTTTCACTATGAGAAACCAGCTTTATAGGTTGCACTTGCATCTGGCATCTTGCTGAATCTATGTCAGTTCTAACAGTTTGTCTATTGACTCTGTTGGTTTTTCTAGGTAGATGATTAAATTATCTTCAATACTGACAATTTTATCTTTTGCTCTTACATCCTTGTACCTGTTTCAATTTCTTTCTGTAGAGTGTTGAAGAGCTCTAATATATTTTGGACAGTGGTGTTGAAGTAGTATCCTTGTCTTTTTACAGGGAAGATTAAAACATTTAAAGTGTTTCCATTGCTGGGCACGGCAGCTCATGCCTGTAATCCTAGCACTTTGGGAGGCCGAGGCGGGTGGATCACCTGAGGTGAGGAGTTCGAGACCAGTCCGGCCAACATGATGAAACCTTGTCACTACTAAAAATACAAAAATTAGTCGGGCATGGTGGCAGGCGCCTGTAATCCTAACTACTTGGGAGGCTGAGGCAGGAGAATTGCTTGAACCCGGGAGGCAGAGGTTGCGGTGAGCCAAGACTGCTCCATTGCACTCCAGCCTGGGCAACAAGAGTGAAACTCCATCTCAAAAAAAAAAATAAATAATAATAATATAATAAAATAAAGTGTCTCCATTAAGAAAAATATTTGTTGTGGGTTTTTCTTATATAAACTTCACTAGGTTAAGAAAGTGACCTTCTATTTCCAGCTTGCTAGGCTTTACCTAATAAATTTTATTCACCAGTCGAGATAGAATTTGATTTTTCTTATTTAGTCTATTAATATAGCGAATTATATTGATTTATTTTCTGACATTGAACTGTCTTGGCATTGCTAGGATAAACCTTACCTGACATAATGTATTATTTAAAAAAATAAATATACCATCGGATTCAGTTAGCTAATCTTTTATTTAGAATGTTTGTACCTACATTCATCAGTGAAATAAGCAATGAGATTTTCATCTTCTCTTCTTTGTATTGACCTTATCTGATTTTGAGGTACACTAGGCTCAGAAACCACCCAATTGCCCATCTACAGTAGAATGGAAAAATATATTGTGGTATAACTGTACAGTGAAATTCTATAAACCAATGCGATTGAATGAACTTCAATCACATACAACAAGGATGGATTTCATAAACATAATGAATATAAAAGAACCCAGACACAAAAGAGTGCACAGTATGTGATGCCATTTGAATAAAATGTAAAAACAGGCAAAACTAACCTATGGCGGAGGCAGGTGATGATTTGCTCTGGATTCTAGTCATGTGCTGTGTTCGTCTATTCTTGCACTGCTATAAAGAAATACCTGAGACTGGGTAATTTATGAAGGAAAGAGGTTTAATTGGCTCATGTTTCTACAGGCTGTACAAGCATGGGGCCAGCATCTGCTCAGTTTCTGGGGAGGCCTCAGGAAGCTCTTATTCATGGCAGAAGGCGAAGGGGGACCAGGCACTTTGCATGGTGAAAGCAGGAGCAAGAGAGAGTGGGTGGGGAGGTACCATGCTTTACAAAAACCAGATCTCACGAGAACTCACTGTCTTGAGAACAAGATTAAGCTATGAGGGATCCCCCACCATGACCCAAACACCTCCCACCAGTCCCCACCTCCAACACTGGGGATTACAATTCAACATAAGATTTAGGCAGGGACAAATATCCAAACTATATCATAGGGGTATGTTTACCTTGACAAATTCATTCAGATGGAGCTTAAACACTGTTTACTTTTCTATATTTACATTGTACTTTGACAAAACTTACATAGAGCTTTATAAAATAAAATTTGCTATTTTTAGGAACAGCTTATAAAACACACACATAAACAGTTTTTTGTTTTTTTTTTGAAACATGGTCTGGCTCTGTCTTCCAGGCTGGAGTGCAGTGGTGTGATCTCAGCTCACTGCAACCTCTGCCTCCCAGGCTCAAGCCATCCTCTCTGCTCAGCCTCTGGAGTAGTTGGGACTACAGGCTACCATGCCCAGTTAATTTCTGTATATTTTGCAGAGACAGGGTTTCACCATGTTGGCCAGGCTGGTCTTGAACTCCTGAGCTCAAGTGATCCACCTGCCTCGGCCTCCCAAAGTGCTGGGATTACAGGCGTGAGCCACATGAGCTATTTTAAACTCACCTGTAAAACCATATGGACCTGGGTTTTGGGATGTGCGTGTGTGCACGTGCACACGCATAAGACTGACTGCCGTTTCCATTTATTTACAATTCCAGGTTTTTTCCAGTTTTTGATTTCTTTTTGCAACAATACTGGTGTTTTTTTAAGAAACATATCCATTTTACATTAGGGAGGTAATTGATATACCAATCAAACCCAAAAATATCAGTGGCTTAACACAATGAAGTTTATTTCCCGCTCTTGACATTGTCCGTCGTGGGCTGGGGAAGGGCTCTGAGAGCCAGAACTCTCCCATCTTGTGGGAGCATTAAGAGCTCAGAGTCCTCCACTGGCGCTTCTGTATCCAGCATTCTTCCCTGCGGACAGCATGGGGGCGCTGCGGGGTTAGCTTTTACAGGCTGGGCCTGGAGGTGGTGAACTTAACTGCCACCCACATTTCATTAGCCAGAACTTAGGCACCTGGCTGCAGATGAATCCATGGGAGAATGGGAAGTGTAACAGGGCTGTGTGCCCAGAAGGAAGGGAAATCATTTGGGAATACACGGCAGGCTTTGCCCCAGGTTTCATCTAGGTTTTCACATTTATTGTTGTCTGATTGTTCATAATAATATTTTTAAAAAGATCTTTATTTCTCTTTTTTTCCCAAGCTGTTATATATCTTTCTGGGGGTCCACTTATTAATTCATTTAAAGGACTAGTTTTAGGGTTTGGTCATCTTCACCATTTCATTAACGTCTGCATGTCTTTCTTATTTTTAGCCTTTTTTGGCTAAAAAAATAGCCAAGTAATAATAATAAATGTACTTAAAGCTCTACATTTTCTTCCAAATACTGTTTTAGCTGTGTGCCACAAATTCTGACATTGTAGCATTTTCATTATCATTCAATTCTAAATATTTCTGAATTTCCTTTAGGATTTCAATTTTAACCAAAGACCTAGAGTGTTAAGACATTTTTGTTATTTGTCTCTAACTTCATTGCATCCTACTTGGATAATATAATCTGTAAATTCCTCTGGATTGAATGAGGCTTCCTTTATGATCTAATATATGGTATATCTTTTACAAAGTTCCACAGGCGTCAAAAAAGAATGTGGGTTCTCTATATTTTAGGTAGATTCACATACACGCAGTCAAGCTCACTGATAGCATTATACAGAACTTTGATATCTCTGCTTATTTTTTGTCTGCTTTATTAATTTCTGGGAATGGTATTTTTAAATATTCACTTCATTAGCTGGATGCAGTGGTGTGTGCCTATAGTCCTACCTACTCAGGAGGCTGAGGTGGGAGGATAACCTAAGCCCGGGAGTTCAAGACCAGCCTGGGTGATATAGTAAGACCCCGTCTCTTAAAAAAAAAAATAAGAAAATTCATTTTAAGTTGGTTTTATGTTTTTTTTTTTCTTGATGTATTTTGAAACTGCATACATCCTGGTGCATTTTCATTCTTGTTCTATTGTTTCTCTTACCCCTATATAACATCTTTCTCTATCCTCTATATTTTTGGTTTAAATTATATTTTGTCAGATATTAGGATTGCTATCCTAGCTTTTTAGGTTCATATTTGCCTGGTATATATTTCTAGTCCTTTATCTTCAATATTTATGTGTCTTTCTATTTTGACTGTCTCAAGTAGACAACATAGAGTCAGATCTTGTATTTTTAAACCTAATCTGAGAATCCCTACATTTTAAACATTTTAACAGCTTTATTGAGATATAATTCACATACCACACAGTTCACCCATTTAAAATGTAAAATTCAGTGATTTTTAGTATATTTACAAAGTTGTGCAACCATCACCACTAATTTTAGAATATTTTCACAATTCCAAAAGAAATTCTATATCCATTAAAAATCACTCCCTGTTTCTCCTGCCCTCCAGTCCTAGGCAACTACTACTCTAGTTTCTGATTTTATAAATTTGCCTATTCTGTATATTTCATGTAAATAGAATCATATAATATGTGGTCTTTTGTGACTGTTTTCTTTGACTTAGCATAATATTTTCAAGGTTCACCCATGTTGTAAAATGAATCAAAATTGTATTCTTTTTACTGCTGAGTAACATTCTACTTTACGGATATACCATAATTTATTCATCTATTCATCAACTGATGGACATTTGAGTTGTTTCCCCTTTATGGCTATTGTGAATAATGCTTCAGTGAACATTCATGTACAAGTTTTTGTATATGAAAGTCTCTATTTTTTGATTGGCAAGTTTAACCCATTTACATTTATTATACTAACCTTATATTGAGACTTGTTTTTGGTATTACTTTTTTACTTTTTTTTTTTTTCCTCTTCACTTGTTTCCCTTGGACAAACAGAGTATTCCCGAGCAGTCAAAAAGTTATACATTCTATTTTGGTCTTATGGTGGGTGCCATTAAGACCAATTTTATACCTGCTTATTCCTATTGATGCTTATGCTTATCAGTGTCTACTTTTCCCCTAAACAAGCTAAATACTTTTTCACACTGCTATGTCTCTTTAGTATCTCTACTCCTACCCCTACAGTTTAGAGTACTTTGCCTATAACTCTTTAAAGATATTACATTCTTCTCACTTCTAGCATTGCTATGAAAAATCTGATGTCAGCTTGACCCTTGTTTCTTTGTAGGTGGTCTGCTTCTCTCTGGTATCTTTTAGAGATTTTTTTTTCTCAGATTTCACTGTAATATGTCCATGTGTAGGTTTTTCCTTAACTCTTCTGTTTGGCACTCTGATTAATTTTACCCTGAAGTCTTTCATTTTTCATAATTATGGCATATTATCTCCATTATTTTTTCAAATAATAGTTCCTTCTCTACATTTTTATTTTTTTTTACCCTCCAGGACCCTTATCATCTGGGTTTTGGTACTTTATTTTTTCTCCACATCTTTCAGTGTTATATATATCTGAGCTGTGGGTTTTGCTCTGTTACCCAGGCCAGAGTGCATTGGTGTGATTACAGCTCACTGCAGCCTTGACCTCCCAGGCTTAAGCAATCCTCCCACCTCAGCCTCCCGAGTAGCTGGGACCACAGGCACACCACCACACCTGGCTAATTTTTAAATTTTTTGTAGAGACAGGGTCTCACTCTGTTTCCCAGGCTTGTTTTTATATTTTATACATAGTTAACCTTTCCTGATTCTGGGAGAGTTCTATAGTATAGTCTTCTAATCTATTAACTGGCTCTTCAGCTTTTGTCTTATATGTATGATGTTCCTCATCAGCTGCTCTGCTTATGTGTTTTGGGGAAGAATGACAAGCCAAGCCCCAATCTATGTCAGAGCTGGTAAACGAATGAGCCCCTTTACCCCAAAACCTTTGTTCCTCACTCAGATTTATTGTCACTCCACTAGGCAAATTCCCTGGCTAGAGTATGACCTTAAAAATCCCTGGGGGAAGCAGCACCCACCATCAGAGGGGGCCTCTCACGGCCTTGTAATCAGTAGTTTGGAGGGGAAAAGATGGAGCATTTATTTATTTATTTATTGAGATGGAGTTTCACTCTTGTTGCCCAGGCTGGAGTGTAGTGGCGCGATCTTGGCTCACTGCAACCTCCGCCTCCCAGGTTCAAGCGATTCTCCCGCCTCAGCCTCCTGAGTAGCTGGGATTACAGGCGCCCGCCACCACACCTGGCTAAGTTTTTTGTATTTTTAGTTGAGTCAGGGTTTTAGCATGTTGGCCAGGCTGGTCTTGAACTCCTGACCTCAGGTGAATCACCTGCCTAGGCCTCCCAAAGTACTGGGATTACAGGCGTGAGCCACCACATCTGGCCAAGATGGAGCTTTTAAATGGTCAAAGGCACCTGGGAGTTATCATCTGCTTTCGTCAACACCTTAATGGCAAAGCCTTTGCTGTCCTTCAGTATTAACCCCTGCATCTGCACCAGTGGCCTGGGCTGCTGCTGTTGCTGCAGTAAAGAGGCAGGTAAAGACCGCCCCAAGGCTCTGCTGAGGAAAGGCAGGGCAGAGCTGGGGAAGATTTCATACAGCTCTCTTCCACTGCACCCATCTCCTGTCCTCCTCAGGCTGCAGCCACCCACATTTTCCCCTGCAACCAAACCAGTTTTAGACACATTTAGTCTTCCAGGTTTTTCTTAAAGGGTTTAGTTCCTGGTGTCCACACTTGCTTCACAGTTTCTCTGGGGCAGGGAAGGAGCCAGCAGTTCATGTCGGCTTGCCAGGTGGGTGAAAACCAGGCTGCCTTTGGTGGGTGTTTATATCTTGCAGAACAGACATCCTGCTGGTTCTAGCTCTGGCCCTATTCATCTTTGGACCTAGGGGTTCTTGGGGAAATTTCTGACTATGGTTTTTGGGATTCAGCCTAAAAATCCCATCTTATTTCAACAGAAGATTGCTGAAACCTGCCTGTGATTTCACTTTCCCAGTTTCAGGCCTTGGGACAGACATGCAGAGGTGAGGGACAGTGACTGAGCCTCTCTCAGGCTTTGGGTGCAGGCTGAGCCAGCCCAAGCCCTCCAACCACTCCTCACAGAATGGGTCTGCCACCTGCTCCTCACCCTGGGCCTTCGCACTGCTCTTATAAGAAGTGTGACTAATAAGAAACCATCAAATGCTCTTCCAAAGTACTTTTACCATTTTGCACTCCCACCAGCAATGTATGGGAGTTCTAGCTGCTGCACATACTTTCCAGTACTTGGCATTTTCAGTTCAAAAAAAATTTTTTTAGCCATTCTAATAGGTTTCTAGTAGTATCTCATTTGTGGTTTTAATTTGCATTTCCTTAAAGACTGATGACATTGGACATCTTGTCATTTTTTTTTAACCATCTATATATCTACTTTTGCAAAATGTATGTTCAAATATTTAGTCCTTTAAAAAAAATACAGGGTTTTCTTCCTGAGTCGTAAGAGGTCTTTATTCCAGAAATTTGTATTTTTCTCCCAGTTTGTGGTACACCGTTATATTTTCTTAAAGTGTTTTTGGAAGAGAAGTTTTTAAGGTGAAGTCCAGTCCATTTTATTTTTCTTTTCTTTTTTTCTTACTGTCCTAGGAAATCTTTGTTTTAAAATCACAAATATTTCCTTATGTTTTCCTCTAGAATTGTTGTAATTTTAGCTCTTAAGTACAGGTCTATGATCCATTTTGAATTAATTATTGTGAGTGGTATGAAGTAAAGATTGATTTAATTTTTCCCAAACAACTGTCTGGTTGTTCCAGCACCATTCCTTGAAAAGACCACCTTGTCACTTACGCTGATGAGACAAGTGCTTACCACCTGGTTTCCCCTCCTTCCTCTTGTGTTTCAGCCCCTGAAGATTTTTCCTATGACCTTGTGAGTTCCCATATGTAATTAAAGGGGTATTTAATTTATGTTATCCAGTATTTCTAGCGTTTTCTAACAAGATGGTGTTTTCAGGCCATTTAGTGCGCAGTGTTGCTGGAGACAGAAGCCTCGCCCTTGTTTCCCTCCTCTAGGTCCTGGATGCACCTCCACAGGGAGGGGTGGGAGGAGACCTTGCCCGCTGCTGCCGTGTGCTGACTGTACCGCCATCCTTCCTCTGGGCTTCAGTCTCCTTTTTTATAAAGTGAGGGTGAGGTGGGAGATCAGCAGGACTTGTCTTCCAAGCCTTGGTCACTGCCCTGCTGATGGAAGCATAGTGTAACAAGAACAACAAAAAAGCCGGCCCAAACCAGCTAGGACCATGATGGTGATGAAAGCAACCTCTAGTTGCCCTTGTTGCTCATTATATGCTAATTATAATACATTTGCATAGGCCACTCACAAGTGCCACGATAGTTTATGAATGATGCCATAGCAACACCCTGAACGTTACCTTACATGGTTCCTGGAACTCCCCGCCCCTTTTCCAGAAAGTTCACAAATATCCCACCCCTTATTTAGCATATAATTAAGAGTGGGTATAAACTAGCCCTGCTCTGTCTATGGAGCAGCCATTTTGCTGTAGCTGTTGCTGTAATAAACTTGCTTTCTTTCACTGTGGGCTGCCTCCTAAGCAAAGCCAAAAACTTTCATGAGTTGAGCCCCAATTTGGGGGTTCACCTGCAGATCAAGGGGTCAGACACCATGATTCCTGGGTTTCCTCCTTGCCCTAGTTTTCCTGGACGCCGAGTCTATTCATGGGTAGTCTTGCCCTCTCCTGGGCCTTCCACTGGGTCAGCCTGAACAAGAAAGGATTCTCAGTAATAAGGGGAGACCCTGCTCCCATTTCCCAGAGGCCATGGGCTGCTGACCATTCCATGTCTCCCTGACAGGCTGATAACCTGGGAGGTGAGTAATGGGATGCCGCCTACTCAGACACAGGTCACACACAGCAATGCCTCCTAACAAAACCCGCCCTGTAGGTTTTAGCTCTAGCTGCACCCTCTCTTCCTCCGAGGAGTCTTCCTAAAAACTGAGTCTTGGCTAGAGGAAAGAGCTACTCCGTGGATGGAAGAGACGGGAAGGTAGTTGGTAGGGGCTGCCTGCAAAGACTGGGGGTGAGGCAGCAGCAGATGTGCCAGGGTTTGCCCTAGAGCATCCATGTGCATCGGGCCACAGCTTTTTCCTTAGAGAGGCTTGGACCTCCCTATAGCCAAAACGACAACAGAAGGAAGCCTGAAGAGTCCAAAAACAGTTTATGGCTCAGTTCTCAGTTGATCGAGCACCTTTCCATCGTGCCTGGTTTGTTGGGGGCATCTTTGAGGGGTGAAGCCTTATCCTGCTCTCCTGGGGTTTCCATGGAGAGGGGCTTCCCCTTTTCTCCCTCCTCCCTAAGGTACATTTGATTCTGCAGCCCTGGACATTCGCTGGGCCTGTTCCACCAGTGGGAGGCGTCCCGCTCACGAGCAGCTCATTTTTGCCCCTTTCAGTGTGGTGAGCCCCGTGGGCAGGGCCAGGACCTGCCCTTCAGAGACAGGTCTGTGTGCACAGTGCTCGCGGCTGTTGACATGCGCATGCAGACTGCTTGGCATACCCACGCAAGCACTCCTGAGCACACGGCCCACAAGGCAGGTCTAGGGTGGCAGGGCAGAGGCTTTGTTTCAGGCCCTTGCCTGAGCCGAGGTCTCCATTCCGGCCTTTACCAAGGTCTTGCCTTAGGGGCTGGAAGGTGCCTGCCTGCAAGGACAGAGGTGGAACTTTCTTTCCCTTGCCTTCCAATCCTTGTCTGTCCTTGTGCTCAGGAGGGGAGGAGGGGAGAGTGGATAGAGCCCCTGGGACCCATGATAAACATCAAGGTCCTTAAATATCAAAGATACAAGCTTACGAATATCGCAAGCCATTTCAAATTCATTTCTAGAAGAACAAGTGTATAATTCAAAAAACATTTTTGAATGATACAAAGGATAAACATTAAAGCTTGAAAAATTCAGATTAAAAAAGCTTATATTACAGAGGAAGCATAAGCATTTCTAAGTGCAACATCTCACTAAATGCTGCCTGCAGCTCAAGGCCTGAGCTCTGCTCTGGGCTGGGAGAAAAAGGTAGACCTTCTGGAGTCCTCAGCTGCTCCTGGAAAGGGCTCCGGTGAACCCAGACAAGACAGCCCAGTGTCGTGGGCCCAGCGCAGGGGTTAGGACGAGACAGCCCAGAGCCGTGGGCCCAGAGCAGGGGTTATCTCTGTCCCTCACAGGCACCCTCAGGGACATGGGGAAACTTAGCACCCCAGAGGGACTACTGTCTTGGGCCCCTTGATGCTGGCAAGGATTTCTAAGGCCTGTGGCTCAGGAAAGAAGCCCGAAATGCACCAAATGGCACTGTGGCTGGGCTCAGTGGGGATGTCTGCCCCCAGGAGGCCACAGGGCTCTGGCTTTCAGGGCATCACTGAAGGGTCCCTAGGGGTGAGCACTCTGTCATTAAGTCTCCCAGCCTGCACCATTCTCATCTTCCTCAGATCCCCCCTCAGTGATTTCTTCCCCATCACCCTCTTAACTCCCTCCTCACTCCACACTTGCTTCTTCCTGCCCCTCCCTCCTTACTTGTTCCCCTCCTCCCTCCCCTCCTTCCTTACTTGTTCCCCTCCCCCTCCCTCCTTGTTTATTCCTCCTACTTTTCCTCTCTCCTTCTCCCTCCTCCATCTTCTTTCTTACCCCCTCCCCTCCCCCCTCACTTTTTTCTTCCTCTCTCTCCTTGCTCCTCCTCTCATTTCTCCCTTTGTCTCTTCTTCCCTGCCTTTGGCCTTTCTCTCTGCCTCTTCACTGTTCTCTTCTTGCTGTCTTTCCCACCTACACCATAGACTGAGCCTCCCTCACCCAGGAAGGGTATAGGAGGCCCAGTTCAGTCCCATCTGGGCATCCTGGGGGTTACTGGGTCACCTATCCTCGCGCTACCTCTTGGAGGTAGCTTCCTTCCTTGAGTGTGGGAGGGCCTCAGCTGACTTAACTGGCCGCAGAGGAAGTTCTGCATCGGGGGAACCGAGTTTCCAAGGACGTGACCTGGGACAAGTCTGCTGGGGGCCTCTAGCCTCACAGAAGACAGAATGAGCTGGGTCTGTCCTTCCCCAGAGCCTCACCCCAATGCTGGAGGCCCGCTGGTTTATTATAGAAGCTTGGAGGACAGGGTGGGAGACCGGGGAGGCAGGGCTGGGCTGGCAAGAAGCCCCAGCACCCCGGGCCGGGGCCTGGCTCACTTGGCTGCTGCCAGGATGGCGCTACTTCTTGGAGGCCTGCTTCTTCCAACTAGTTATCTTGCTGTCCCTGCTGAGAGGATGTAGCTCCACTTCAGGCTCTCTTGTCCTAAAGATCAAAATAGAGGGCCGGGAGGCGGAAGGGCTGTTCTTCACAGTGCCCAGAGCCCAGGCCCGGTTGGGCCAGGAGGGGCAAGGCCCTCTCCCTTGCACAGGTGAGGCTGTTGGGTGCTGTTCCAACCAGAGGGCCCCGGTGGCACCTGCGACCTTTCTACATGCTCCTAATTTTGCTTTTCTATCTTCATGAGAAATATGTGATTTCCACGCCATGCCGAATGTGTGATTCATTTCATGGTTACCAGCACCAGCAAGTAAGTGGCCTTTAACAGGTGCAGCAAGTTTCTTGCAAGGAGACAGCGGGGCAGTCTCCACCCTTCTCAGACTAATGGGTCTGGGCTGTGGGGTTCTGCTGCAAAGTCTACAAAAGGCCTCCATCTCTACCACCCAGACCACTGCGAGCAGCTCCAGGGCAGCCTGCATGCCCGCCCAATATTGTGTTGATTACATGGGCTAGATGTCAGCGATGGTTGGACATGACCCAGGCCACGCCTGGGGGTAGTGACTTGCCCAAGGCCAAATAGCCCCGAGGTGGCCTGCTGTGAGCCACGCCCATTCTGGCAGCTGATGTGGTCACCTACTTCTCAGCCTCCAGAGATAACTCCTTCTCCACATAGTCTTCCAGGGCCAATGAGGAGCTGCTTCCTTGGATATCTTCTGACTCGGCTTTCTTGACTGATTCAGAATCCTCCAGGCTCAGGACAGAGTTGGGAACACTGCAGGGGAGGCAGGGTCGGGGGCAGTGCTCAGGGCCCAGGGTGCACTGCACGCTGTCCCATCAGTGTTCTGGGAGCCTGGACAGACAAGGACACAAGTGCTTCTCCTCCTGAGGGCAGCGAAGGGAGACTCTGACCTCCTTGGGGACCCAGTGACATGCTGGAGGTTGGCTTCCCTGGCTTCTATTTTGGGCTGGATTAGCCCTAACCCAAATGCTGCTACACTCGCACCCCCAACACTGACCATAGCAAATGCCTGCGGTGGGGCGGGAGGGCTCCGTAAGTGACCACAGGAGAGATGACAGGGGGCAAAGGAAATGTGTCATCATGTGTGGTATTGTGGGCTGAACACATGTCCCCCAAATACATATGTAGAAGTCCTAAACCCCAAGACCCCGGAACGTGGCCTTATTTGGAAATAGGGTCGCTGCAGACATCATTAGTTAAGATGAGGCCATACTGGAGGAGGGTGGGTCCAATCCAACATAACTGGTGTTCCTCTACAAAGGGGAAATTTGGGAGAATGCCATGTGAGGACTGCAGTTCTGTGGCCATAGGCCAAGGAGCTACCAGGAACAGGGAGCAAGGCCTGGGACTGAGCCTCCCTAGCAGCTTCTGGAAGAGCGTGGCCCTGCCCACAACTTGGTCCAAGCTTCTGGCATCCAGAACTGTGAGAGGATGAATTTCTGTTGTTTCAGCCACTCAGTTTGGGTCACCTTTGTGTCTTAGGCTGTTCGAGCAGCTATTACAAAATACCATAGGCTGGGTGGCTGTGAAACAACAGAGGTTCCTCTCCATTCTGGAGGCTGGGAAGCCCGTCATCAAGGAACCTGCAGATTCAGTGCCTGGTGAGGACCTGCTGCATCACAGATGGCTGTGTTCTCATAACTTCACACAGGGAAAGGGGCGAGGGTCCTTCTGGAGCCTTTTATAAGGGCACTAATCCCATTCATGAGGGTTCCATCCCATGAATCACCTCCCCAAGGCTCTGCCTCCTAAACCATTGCCTTGGAGGTGAGGATTTCAACACATGAACTTTGGGGGGCACACTTTCAGACCACAGCCCCTTGTTACAGCAGCTCCAGCCAACACAAACGTGGCTATTCCTTACCTCTGTGCCACACCTCACAGCTTTGCAGCCATTCATTGTCAGTGTTTCTGAGTTACGGGATGTTTCTGAGATTCACAGCAGCCCTGGGAAGCAGGCAACTCTGGGACATTTGTCCCATTTTCCTGACAAGGGCCCCGAAGTCCAGAGAGGTGAGTGGGCTTATTCACGGGCACATAGTAAGTCAATGGCAGAGACAGGACTGGCCCATGTATGCACTGTCTAGTCACTCGGTCATATTTACTGAGCCTCTACTATGCGTCCGGCCCTGAGGAGTTTACAACCTGGTGGGGGTCATGGGTAGCAGTATCTGGTGCTGAAGAAAGGGGCATGGCTTGGGGAGGGGGCTTGAGGTAGCTCTGGGAGTATGTGGCTAAGGCTGGGCTGGGGACAGGAAGTGGGTGTGGAGGGACTGTCCAGGCAGGGGCCATCCTACAAGGCCTAGAGCAAGAAACAGTGTTTACGGGCTGTCTAAATCTGTTTTGTTTGTATAGATCAAGCAAGGGAATCACAGGTGACTTGCTTAAGGCCAGGGCCTTTCAGAGACAAGAGGAGACACAGCCTACTCCGTCATTTCAAGGGCCCTAGAAAAACTAAACACCAAGAAATGCCGAGACCGGGCCTCAGAATCTGGGTGTATGCACAACGTTTACATGTGGCAAATTAACGCCTCTTTGCAGCCCCTTACCTCCAATCCGGCCTCACAAGGAGCACACACACTAAACTAAGCTGACCCTTTAAACGCCTCTCTTAGAGGCCTGCCTGAGGCCCTTTGAGAAGAGGTGGACTGTGGAAGTGTCTGGGCCTATGGTCCAGTCCCTGCCATTCTCAGGGGGCAGGGTGGAGGGCAGGAGACGCAGGGTAGGCTGATGGGCTCCTCCAGGGCCCCCCTAGAGCCCCAGCCCAGGGTGGATGTGGAGGAGGTCCCAGCAACTCTGTTTGGTGTTGAGTGCTTGAGGAGTGCAGGGGAAAAGGCTCGGAAAGAAGCATGGTCCCCCTCACCTGGACATTTCATTCTTTCTTTCATTCATTCCCAGAGCACCTCCTCCCTGAGCTCAGCTCTAGGACTAAATACCTATAGAAGGCCCTGAGTTCACAGCCAGCCCCTCCGTCCCAGCAGTTGGGAAATGTCCCCACCCTGGGTACTGGCCTCCTCCCTGTTCTCCCTGTCTCCAGCCTCACCCTCTTCCATCCAGTGCCCCTACCCCGCGCCCCACCAGAGGGCTGGTCCTCCTTGATCTGGCCTTGTCTCTCCCACTTAAAGCCAGTGTGTGGTTCCCTGATGCTTGCAGGGGTAAGCTCCAGCCCCCACGGCATGACGCCTGCTTCAGGGTCTGTCAGAATCTGCTGATCCAACTAGAGACCCAGTCTCCTCACCCTGTGCCCTCCCCACTCCCCTGCCTACCCCTCCTGCCTCCACCTAGTCTCTTCCTGCCTCTTCTGAGGTGGGCAAGGGGCAGGGGTGCTACCAAGTGGCGCAGCTGTAAAGAGCTTCCCCTCCCATCTGGATAGCATGTTACAGATACATGGCCCAAACTATCAGCATGTTTTTCTAACAGCCTGTCTTGGTGGCTCCCCTAAATCCACAGCCCTCCTGCTCACAGGTTCCTGCGGTGCACTGAGCCCTTGCCTGCCCCAGCCCCTCCTGAGTGCCTTTTCCCTCTCCTCCTTTGCTGGGCCTTCTTCTTATCCTTCAAGCCAGCCTCCCAGGTCCCCTCCTCTGCCAAGCCCTCTGAGCTCTAGCAGAAGGTGAGATTTCCTCCACCGTCCCCTCTGCCTCCGTGCTTATTATGGTGCACTGCTCACAGCTCTATGAATTTGCCCTGCAAGTGCCTCAGCAGGATTTGGTCTCAGCGCCTTGGCACCTCCTGTGTCTGGCTCTTAGCCAGGCATGAGTGAGTGAATGAACGAATGAACCAAATGATGGGGACATCAGAGGATCGTGAACGACTAGGCCAGCAGAGCCACACAGCTGTCCTGCTGGGGTGACAGGAACACATGTCCCTGCTGACAGTGGGCCAGGTGCTTCTCTGGAAGACTAATCTAGAGGTTGATTCTGAGACCATCCTTGGTCAGGGATAAGCAAAAAAGACCATCGGGGGCTTTGCAACAGGCCAGTCCCTCCAGGAATTTCAAAGCCTTTGTACTCACCACAGTGAAAAGGAAAAGCATCCACAAGAACAGGCCCTTGTCGGGTGTGGAGCCCACCTCCCCATGGTATTGCGGCTAGCCCACTATTTCTGAGCCCCTGGTCTACTTCAGGAAGGTAATTTCTCTCTACTCAGCGCCCCCTCAGGCCCCAGTCCAGAAAAGAGGTAGTTTTAACACCATCCTCATCCGTCGTTACTGTCTGCTGCTGTGACAAGCTCATGATACCCTGCTTAGCCCCAACCCAGTCCCTGCCAGGTTCATGAGTCTAAAGCCCAACTCTGATCAAGTCTCTCTCAGCTCAAGAACCTTCATTAGCTCCCCATTGCCTGTAGGATCAAGTCAGGAAAGCCTACGTCTGCATGCCCTTCCCCTGCCTGTCCAAGGGGCTTCCTTGGGCTGAGTGGGGTGTGGGGTTGCTGGCATGAGCAGCCGGTAAGGGTGGATTGCTGTTCCTCAGAGCAGCATCATAGAGGGAGGGCCTGGCGGTGGCTGGCTCCTTGCTGAGCACGGGGCCTGCTCTCCACAGCTCCATCCTTGGAGGGGTCTTGGTGTATGCAGCGGACGAGGGTGTGGGCCCCCTGCACTGCTGATCCAACTAGAGACCCAGTCTCCTCACCCTGTGCCCTCCCCACTCCCCTGCCTACCCCTCCTGCCTCCACCTAGTCTCTTCCTGCCTCTTCTGAGGTGGGCAAGGGGCAGGGGTGCTACCAAGTGGCGCAGCTGTAAAGAGCTTCCCCTCCCATCTGGATAGCATGTTACAGGATACAAAGCCTCTTGAGGCTCACATTGGTGTTTCTGTAGCGCTCTGTCTTTATCAGGTCTCATTCCAGTTGGTAGTGTGGTCTGCGTTTCACAGAGCCCTTGACGGTTTATACCGTGCTTTGTCCCTTCTAGAGTGTCTTATGGTTTACAAACTGCTTTGAAGGGTAGGAGGTGCATTACAGTTTAGAGAGCACTTTACGGGGCTCACAGTAGCTTACGGAGTGCTCTGCTGTTCTGGAGAGCAGGCCCGTGAGGGCGCACAGCAGTGTAGAAGATGCTTTCTGGTTTACAGGGCACATTGCTGCTTCCAAAGCCCTTTGTGATTTTGGGGACATGTGGCAATTTACAAAGGATTTTGTCTTTTACAGAATTCATGACAGTTTGCAAAGTACTCTGTGGCTTACTGGGTGCATTAAAGTTTACACAGGGCTTTGCAGTTCACAGGGCACATGACAGTTTAAGGAACACTTTGTCATCACAGGTGCAGTCATCTCTGACAGCTTCTGATCCTCTCAACTCACTCCTCTGAGAATGGTCCAGAAAGAACTACACCCCCATCCCACAGGGAGGGGACTGAGGCCCAGCAAGGGCAAGGCCAGGTTTGTGGCATCACCTGGGCACACTGTCTCTCCAGGGCACCTCCCTACCCTGGCTGGGCCTCCACTTTCCCTTCTCTAATATGGGCACTCAGGGCCCGGGGTCATCTTTTCTGCAGGAAGCTCACCCACCAGACTCCCACATTGCCTAGCAGCTGGGGTTGGAGCCCAAGGCTTCACTCTCCTCTCCCCACCACCCCATGCTAGGCCCAAGGGCAGCACCACAAAGGGGCACTGCCAGGCGCCTCCACCCCAGACACTTGTGAGGGCTCCAGGACACCAGGTCTGGCACATTCCCATCCTGGGGACCTAACAGGCTAGCAGGCGAGGCAGACAGTTGGCCAGTTAGCTCCAGTCCTAGGTAGATGGAGAATGGCCTTTCCGAGAGGTCCCAGCAGGAGGATGTGACAATGGAGGGACAAAGCAGAGGCTTCCGGCCCTCGCTGGTCTCCTGTGCTCCAAGACATCTTCCACAGTGAGTCGGAGCCGTCGTCCTGACAAAGCTGCCTGGCCACGCTCCTCAAAGCCGCCTGGCCACGCTCCTCAAAGCCTCCCACAGCTCTGGCCACACTCAGGAAGGGGACAGCCGCCCTGGCTGGGGGTCAGGCCGGCTGCACTTGGCTTCCAGCTACCCTGGCGCCCCACCTCTTCACCTACCCACTCTCTGCATCCTGGGTGCTGGCAGGCTGAGCTAAGAGGGCCAACTGCCCTCCCTGCCTGGTGGGCCCTTCACGCCCCGTCACCACTGTCACAAGTCCAGTCCTGGTCTCTTGTGTACCTCGTCCCCACTGCTGTATGAGTGCAGCCGGGCAGCACCTCTGCTCACTGGCACAGATAGGGGCCTGCAAATAGTGACTAGTGTGTGACCCCCCTCCCCCTCGCCGGCTGCCCCTGAGGGTGATGACGGAGGCAGGGGGATAGCAGTGACTGTCGTGTGCAGGTGGACATGGTGCAGACTCACGAGCTCTGCATGTGTTCTGGGCTGTTCTTCCCAGCCTGGCTACTGCTGGCTGCTTGAAAGCTTTCCTGGCAGCTCCAGCCTCCTGAGCCCTACCAGGTGTCAGAGCTCCCTCAGTCCCCTCCATCTGGGGGCCTGGAAGCTTTCGGGAGTGAGGATGAGCTCTTGGCCTCTCCGGTCCCTATTGTGCTGGTGCCCAGTTGGGAAGAGTCTGGCAAGGACAGGGGCTGAGCCAGATGTGACCCAGCGCCCCGCACAGGGCTGCCCTGGGGAGGGGATCACTATCTGCCACACAAGAAAGGAGAAAAGGCACAGGCTGAGTGGGGGACAGGGAGGCTCCAAGCCTCACACAGCTCTGGTCTCTGATCAGTCCTGGCCCCGAGCTGGGCTGCTGTTTCCCAAGCTTGGAGCCTTCTGTGGCCTTATCTTGGTGCAGCCCACTGGGCCCGCCACTCCCAGAGGCCCTGCAGACTCCCCCAGTTGTTTTTGGCCTGGCAGGCCCTCACCCTTCTGCTCTGTTTGTCAGAAGGCAATCTACCTGCCAGGTGACAGCTTGCCCCAGCCCCTGCTGGAGCTCATGAGGCCCCCGTGGGGACCCTTTCTTCCCCAGCACCTATGGTCCGACTCCTTTGTGGGTTCCTCTTCCTGCTCCTGGCCCTTGCCTCTCCATGGCGGCTTCACAGATTCCAGGCCCACATTGAGAACTCTTTCTGTGGCCAGCTCCTCTGAGGAAAGAGAAGGCTGAAGTGCCCCCAGCCTGGTGACCACCCCAACCTGACTGGACCTGGCTTCCAGCCCAGCTTCCCTGCACCTGCTCTGCTCACCTATTGCTTTTCTCTCCACCTCCTCACCTCCACAGAAGGATTTCCTGGACTCCCCCCCAACACTTGTGCAAAGCCAAGTCTACTCTGGGTAAGGAAGACATGATTCCCACCAAGCAACAGTGAGGGCCTCCCTCTCCTAGCACTCTAGATGCAAAGCTGTTGGCCAACATCCCTCAGTAAACGGAGGACATAGAAAACAATGTCAGCTCCTGGCACTGCAGACTCCCTTGCTCTAGGCATGGATTCTTCTGATTTCAGAGACTGTTTCCAGCATAATGGTCCCTCACGCTACCCCTTCCATGGCCTCTGACCATCAGCCTTCCAAATCTAAAGGTGAACATTTATTCTTTCCCCCAAACCATCCCGTAGCAACTGAGCCTGCTGAGACCTTGATTCAGCCATCTCTTCTCCCTCAAGGGCACAACTGATCAGCAAGCCTTCTATGTATTCATCCTGGTTGCATATTTAGAAAATAAATGGACCGGCCAATCACAGAGGCCTGCCCTTTAGGCTGCTGCTGAACCTCACTCACTGGGGTGTGGCTGCAGAAGCTACCATCTGAACCACATGCATCCACCTTGTCCATGAGGACATTGTGAGATTTCACCCAGTATCTTCTGGAATCCAGGTGATGCGGCCGGCCAACAGCACGTCTTGTACTACTAACCAGTCACCCTGCTGGAAGAGGAACTGGGGTGGATGGAGTGCTTTTCAAACATGTCCACAAATTCTTCAACACTCTTTCCCCATCAAGAGGTGGTGTCTAATTCCCCCCGACCTTGAATATGGGCTGGCCCCAGGGACTTCAGTGCAATGGAATGTGTAATGCTGCATGACTTATGAGGCTAAGGCATGAAAGGCAAGACAGCTTCTCGCTGGCCCTTTCCTGGGAAGCTCCCTCTTGGAACCCAGCCACCATGTTGTGAGGAAGCCCAGGCCACTTGGAGAGGCTACATTTGAGTGGTCTGGCTGACAGTCCACACTGACCACCAGGTATGGGAGTGCGCAAACCTTGGAGATGACTTAGCCCCAGACAACTTCTGACTGTAACTGTATGACAGACCTTCTCACTCCTGCCAAACAAGAACCACTTAGCTGAGCCCAGCTGGCACCAGGACCATGACAGAGAATAACAACAACAACAACAACAACAACAACAATAATAATAATAATAATAATAATAATAAACGATTGTGTTGTTTTATCCTACAAAGCTTGGGTGGTTTGTTTCACAGATACGGATTATAGGAACAACTGCTATGGCAATGCTTTCAATTAAAGATTCTATTTCCTTTTTTCACCTAAGTGCTCTTAAACCATCAACCCACTTGGCTATTCTAGGATTAGGAGGAGTCCTACTGGTTAATAGTTTCACGAATCTGCCTCTTTCCATTTTCAAGAACCTAGACCATCTTGTGTGCATGTTTCTAGTTTGTATGTATGTGTGTATGTTTCTATCTAGTTTGTGTGTGTCTGGTTTGTGTATATGTGTGTATAGTGTATGCATGTGTATGTGTGTCTAGTTTGTGTCTACTTCTGTGTGTCTAGTTTGTGTGTGTTTGTGCATCTAGTAAGTGCAGGAATCTAATGTGTGTACATGTGTGTCTGGTTTACATGTGTTTATAGTTTGTATGTATGTGTATAGTTTGTATATGTGTGTATCTGGTTTGTGTGTATGTATGTGTGTCTAGTTTTCTGATTCTTTCCTCACCATTCCTGAACAATTGTTGAAGACTGTTGTAAGCATACCACTAAGTTCTTTCAGAATCCTTGAATATAACACATTAGGAGACCAGAGCTCATTTTAATGATAATAATATCACTAACAAGGGTAGGCAGTAATCTCAGTAAACGTGAGCTATGTGCCAGCACTTCCCATGTGCTGACTCCTCTAATCCCCATAACCCAATACAGTGAGTCTCACTCTACAAAGAAGCTGGCGCACAGAGAGGGTGAGTGTTTTACACAGTTCACGCAGCTATGAAAGGTGGCCGGACTCCTTAAACTGTCATTTCCTACTAAAGAGCATCTTCCTTTTGAGGACATCTAGAGCCAAATAAAATATGTCTCTTTGTAACTACTTTCTGGCATCCTCCACTGTGATGTCTGAACGTCTATGTCCCCCCAAATTGATATGCTGAAATCCTCATCCCTAAGGTGATGGTGTTGGGAGGCAGAGCTTTTGGGAGGTAAGGCAGTCAGTCATGAGGGTGGGACCCTCATGAATGGGATTGGTGCCCTTATACAACAGGCCCCAGAGAGACCCTTGTCCTTTCTGCCATGCAAAGACACAGCAAGAAGGCGCCATCTATGAACCAGGAAGCAGCCCTTCCCAGACACCAAATCCATTGGCGCCTTGGTCTTGGACTTACCAGCCTCCAGACAGTGGGAAATAAATGTTCAACAGGCTAAGACATTCACTCCCCATGCACCATAGCAGGCTAGCCTTCTTCTGAATGTTTCTGAAAATGCCCTTGCTGGTCCTCTTTGGCATCTTCCTGCAGCCTCAGCTCATCTTCAGCCTGGGCCCTTCCCAATAGCGTCCCCCTGTCCTGTCCTGCCCTTGGTGCCTCTGTCTTTCTCCCTGGGATTGTTGGTGACTGGTCTTCAAGGACCACCAAGCCCTCTCCCTCTTGAAGTCTCAGGCAGTGGGGTCTCAGTGACTTTTCTGTCTGCACCTTTCAGCATCTGCTCCTCCTTACCATCCACAGGCTCCTCCTGGGCCTGCCTTCCCCGCTGAGTGCTCTGAGTTGTGGGGGTCACTTGGCATGACCTCTTCAGTTCCTCCAGAAGTGGGTTGCCCCACTCGGACAAGGCCCAGACTCAGCTTACTGCAGTGAGAAGGGCATAAGACTCCTAGAAAACTGAGGGTCCTGTGTGGGAGTAGGGGGTACCCAGACTCGGTGCTGTGGGGGTGCAGTCACAGGACTTAGGGCTGCATACCCCAGGTCTGCATATAAATAACACTTTCCACATGCCCCATCATTTGCTTCACAGTTCACAAAGCTCTTTAACGAACACACTTTCATGAGATCCTCACAGCCTCTCAAGGTGGGCATTATTTCCTCATTTTGAAGGTGAGGAAACAGAGGATTAGGGAGGTAAACTGATTCACCACAGTCACCCAGCCAGTAGAGTGGAGCAGGGGCTCCAACCTCATCCTGCAAGTGTCTCACTGCACCGTGCTGCCCAGGCATTCTCAAATCTGCTCATGTTCCCCTAAAGCAGTCTTCAGGCGCTTCATGCAGCGCAGGCTCCTTCCTGGACTAGGATGTATTCTTCTTGAGCCACTCAAAGCTAGGTCTCTCGGCTCAAGAAGATCATCTCACGAGAGCTGGGCCCAGGAGGTGCTCAACAAGTTGGCATCACCTGGTTGAAAAGCCCAAGCTCAGAAGCCCAGAGGCAGACTTAAGCCAGCATTTCCTGCTACAGGGGCCTGGGATCACTTCATGAATGGCCTTTGTCTGTGTGGGGAGGCTGAGGCAGGAGGATCACTTGAGCCCAGCCATTCAAGGATGCAGTGAGCTATGATCGCGTCACTGTACTCCAGCCTGGCCAACAGAGTGATACCCTGTCTCAAAACAAACAAACAAAAAAACAAAGCAGAAGCAGAGCCCAGCTTGCACATGAGGTGGTGGTAGGGTGTGGTGGGACAGAGAGGGGGTGTAGCCAGAGCTCCTGCCCACCAAACCTGTCTAGAATATTCCAACAGAAACAGGGACTGTGCAAGCATTCCCATGTCCCTCTTTCCCCAAGGGGGCTCTTTTTCCAAACTTGTGTCCCAAAGAAACCCACAACATGGCTTTGCTCACACACCCCCTCCCACTCTGCACCTGCTCCCATCTCTCCCCTGCCCACCTGCAAAGTCCTCCTGCCGCAGTTTTTGCCATGTGTGTGCCACAGGTGGAGGCTTCCCACCTCCAGCCCCCCTCCCCACTCCATCCCTTCAGCCCCGCCTGCTCCCCTCAGTTCCCCTTTCACAGCCCAAGTCTCCTTTCTGCCCTCCATACCTCCCCAGGCCCATCCCTCATCCTGCGTGTTTCCTGTTTTACCTGAATTTGTAGTCATCCGGCAGGAAGTAGCCCATCTTGTAATCCTGTTGAGACCGGAAGATCTGTTTCAGCAGATTCTGCTTGCTGAGGCCATATCCATTCAAAACACGGCCCCCAAAAATGAGCTTCCCCCCGGCAAACATCTGTTGACAGGAAGGAAATGAGGAGAGATCCTCAGCACATCAGCACAGCAGTGTCCACTGATAAGACAGGCAAGTTTGGAATTTCACTAGAACAGCGCCACAGGCCTCTCAGAGCTTACGCCGTGAGGCAGGCCTGGGGTGGCTGGGGAAGGAGTGCTGCCCTCCCTGAGTTGCCCAGGGAGGTATGGCTGAGTCCAGCCCCTGCCCAGGCTGGGACGGTGGGGTTGCCCTATGATCTGGGGGCCTGGTCAGGGGTTTGGCTCAGCCATATCTCCCTGGGCAACCTGAGGAGGGCAGCACTCCTTCCCTTCTGCCTGCTTGGCCACCCAGCTCAAATGCACTTCACATACAACCCCACAGAGCCCTGGGGCCAGAAATGTGTTCTCCTGCTGTGTATGTACGTTTCAGCTTATCCCATGGAATGGGAAACCCTTGAGGGCAGGGCTCCCACCCCCATAGGTCAGTCCCCAACAAGTAGACACCTACCCAAATATTTCTGTGCAAAAATATTCATGACGGCATTATTTGTTATGGCAAAAAAATACAAATAACTTAAATGTCAACAAAAACAGCACAAATAGATAAAATGACAGACTCTTCACTTTGGGAGGTCAAGGTGGGCGGATCACAAGGTCAGGAGTTCGAGACCAGCCTGGCCAGTATGGTGAAACCCCAATCCTACTAAAAATACAAAAATTAGCCGGGCATGATGGTGGGAACCTGTAGTCCCAGCTACTTGGGAGGCTGAGGCAGGATAATCACTTGAATCCGGGAGGCAGAGGTTGCAGTGAGCCGAGATTACACCACTGCACTCCAGCCTGGGTGAGAGAGTGAGACTCTGTCTCAAAAAAAAAAAAAAAAAAAAAGAAGACAGACTCTTACACAGTAGTTAAAAATCAGGTGTTACAAACTAAATAAGGACATGGGGAAATGCTCATGGTATTTTAATTTAAAAAGAAGAATTGCAAAGAATATATGCAGAAAAGGACTGCAAAGGTCAGACACCAAAATGTTAGCATGTGGTGGCCCTTGCAGGTGCCAGGTACATATCTGTGGGGTGAGCAAATGAGACTCTCTGAGTGATCTGATGATGTCATTATTTTCTAAATTATATTTTCTAAGCTTTCCATAAAGAACATGTGCAAGTATTTACAGTACACTGTTTTTAGGATAAAGCCATTTAAAAACAAACAGATGAAGGGAATTTGATTTGCTAGGTTGAATGTCACCTGTCCCTGCAGTCTCCTGGGATGGGGGACACATAGGGTCCTGGGCTTCAGCCCCAGCTCTGTGTGCTGGGTGACTCTTGGTCAGTCTTCCTGCTCTCTGGGCCTCAGCCACGGTGGGGAGATAATTCCGCAGCCCCTCCCTTCTTCTCCTCTCTCCTCCTCCTCCCACATGTGTGATTCTGCAGGGGCAGAGGTGGCTGCGGCTGGGGTGGCAGGCAGTGGATAGCAAGTCCCTGCTGGCTCACCAGAATCATCCCCTGCACCACAGAGTTCTTCTTCACCATCAGGGGAGGGTCCTCCTGCAGGGGGCTGTCCAGGTCATACTGCAGCAGGCGGTAGGAGTCATACCGGCACTACCAGGAGAGAAATATGAGAACTGGTCACCCCCATGCCAATAAGATGTACCTGGATTGCCATATTCTCGGCTAGGCCTGGTTCCCCCTGAGTCCTGGAGCCCTGTACAACTCCCTCTCCCCAACTCCTCCTGCTCCAGGGGCCCTTGGGCCTGCATGCACACCTCCCATGACTGTCCCTTGAGGATGTCCCTGGATCTGATTAGAGCCCGCTAGGGGAGAAGGCCATTTCCGAGATGGCTGCCCCACATGTGACTCCCACTAGCCTGGCTCTCTGGGGTCCACAGAATGTGACTGCTCCCTTGCCCTGGAGGTAGCACTGCAGAGGTTTGAAGATGGGAACTGTGTTCTTAGGTGGACCCGTTTCCAGGCTTTTGAGTCTACTTTACACAGCATAAAGAATTCCCCCACTCCCTACCCACTCCTGGCAAGCCCCTCAGGACCCTCCCAGTCACTATATCCAGGGAGAGGACCTGAACTGAACCCACACCTCAAGGTAGGGTGTGGGCAATTCAGAGGAAAGCTGGCCTCTCTCCCCTCCTTCTTTCTGGATGCCTCAGATCTATTAATACAGCCAATGTGCTGTCTTCCCATTTTATCTGCCTTATTTCCAGGTGCCTCCAGCTATCCTTTCAGTCTACAATATGAAACTCAGAACCACACCCAGTGTTCTAGCTGTCAGGGAAAGAGAAAGTCTGGGAACATTTCTGCATTCACCAAAGACACCCTAATCTGACACCTGCTTCCAAGTCTGTCCTCCAGGCCTGCTGCCCACTCCTTTATGAACTTCAACTGCCTCAGGCCACGCCCTGTCCTCACTCACACTGTTCATGGCTGGGCTTGGCCACCTGAGCACTCCAATTGCTTAGGGACAACTGTTAGCGAACAACGACTAGCCCCATAATAAGCTAAAATCAACTCTAAGTTCCCCCGTGGGCAGGGATTTTATCTGTCTCTACATGGACGGACACACAGAATTAACTCAATACATGCTCACTGGATTGAACTAAATTGGAGGTTGGCTCTGGAAAACAAACATGGCTTTGCTGTATGGGACAAGTGAAAAGGCTTGTGGCTGAGTCTACACTCTTGGACTGAGATGGTCAAAGGGCTACTGGTGTCTGCTCAGAAGGTCTGGAGCACAGACCCGAGGGTGGACGTGCCAGAGTCAGGGAGGGGCCACTTCTGGGAGGAGGGTGTCCATGCAGAACCCCTACCCCTGGTGTACATGAAACCCAGAACTCTGCAGCAGCAATTGGGAAATGGGCAAAGACAGCGGATTCTAGGAGACAGGAGGGCAAACAGGGCTTGAAGGAAGTCACCATGTGGACACCCAGCTCATGTGCTCATGTGCCATCCTTTGCTCCAGTTGGTCTGGGGTTGGGGCCAGCCTTCAAACTGTGCCAATGTTGCTGGGAATGACTGCATGCTTGGAGGATTACATAAGCCTGATAGGTGGGAACGACTCTACTGCAGCGATGAGTAGGCAGGAGTGGGTTCCATGGGCCTGAAGACTCCCTTTAGACCTCAGCCATAACCAGCTGGGACCTTGAGCAGTGCTTCTCTCCTGTCCCCCTTCGCACAGGCCACTGCCTCTTCTAGGAACATTAATCACCTGCCAAAACCCCATTTAACCTGGATGGCCCTCCGGACCCCCAGATGGCAGCAGGCACATGTTCCCAGGCTCTTGTGTGCCCAGAGCTGTCCTCTCACGGCCTCACTGGCAGTGCTGGAGTTGCTGCCACACTGGGAGCTCCTCTAGGGCCCGGTTTGCATCTGAGTCATGCTGGGTGCCCAGGGCCCGGTCCATGCCCAGCACACAGTGGGTACTTGTGACAGTCTACAAGTATTTTCAGAGCCCTGAGGATTCAGTGGTGAGCACTGCCCGTGCTCTAAATATTCACACCAACAAGCAGTCACAAACTGGAAGGAAAGGACAGTGCCCTGATTTTGTCTCAAGGGTCAGAAGAGGGCCTGGCCCTTATGTGGTGACATTCACCTTAGAACTAGAGGATGAGCGGGAAGGACAGAAGCAGGGGGAGGGAGGACACTGCAGACAGGAGAGTACACACAAAGACTCCAAGGAGAAAGGAGCTGAAGGAGGGTGGCCCCTCAGGCAGGTGCTCAGCCAGTCCTAGCACTGTGGGGGTTTTCTCGGACTGCCCCACTACCCCTGCCCCTGGCCTCCAGGGCCTCCTCACTGGGCCCAGACCAACCTGGATGCAGGGGGAGCCACGGCCCCGCTGCTGGTGGTTGTAGAGAGTGTTCAGCAGCCACTGGAGCTGCCCAGTGCTGGTGTAGTTCTGGCTTGAGATGATCCCAAACACCAGCACTTGGCTGGGGTCTCGGGGCGCCAACAGGAAGCGCTCCAGCTCCACGTCAGAGACCAGGGGCGCCTTCACCAGGCACTTGCAGCCAGCACGGGTGTCTTCCTTGAGCATGAGCTTCCGCAGCACCAGCGGGCAGTCTGAGGGCAAGGCCGCCCACCTGGTGGGGCTGCGCCCCTCGCGGGCCTTCCCTCTGCAAGGAGGAGCACAGTGCACAGGGACCCTCAGAAGGTGGTGAAGGTCTGTGGTTCCCAGAGCCCCCTGGCTCCTGCTGGTCAAAGGCCCTGCTGCAGGCAGATTTTAGTCTGGGCCCTGCTGCCAATGTGCTGCACCACCTTGAACAGGTCCCCTAACCTCTCTGGGCCTCTTTCCACAGTGCAAAATGAGAGTAACAAGTTACTCCTTCACCCATCCATTGGGTCAAAAAATGCTTTAGTGTCATCCTTAACTCCCTTCTCTCACACCGAACACATCCCATCTAATCTTGTCAGCAAGCTTGTCCTCTCTACACTCAAGACAGACCCACAATCTGACCACTTTTCCTCCCCTCCACCCCCACGGATGTGGTCCAAGTCTCCTTCATTCTTGCCTGGCTGCCTGCTAATGCCTCCTAATGGGTCCTGTGTTTTCTTCCCTGGCCTGTCTTCAGTCTGTTCTCAGACCAAGGGATCCTGTTAAAACCTAGCTCACGTCATGTCACTACTCTCTTCAAAACCCTCCGGTGGCTTTCTACCTTTTACAGAATAAAAGCCAAAGTCCCTGCCATGTGCTTCAAGGCTGCAAGAATCTGCCCCCTGCATTTCATCCTCCTTACATCTCTTACTCTCCAGCATTCCTGCCTTTGCTCACTGCACTTCAGCCACACTGGCCTCCACTTGTCCTTTAGTCTTGGAGGATAGTGGCCTTTGCTGTTCCTCCATAGAGCCATTATGTCACTCTCACAAGGCTCTGTCCAAACGTTACCTTCTTAATGAGATTTTCTGAGTGCCCTATTTCATCCCTCTTCTTCCAACACTCTTTCCCTTCCCTGTTTTATTTTTCTTCTTAGCATTGCTTGCTATCTAACATATCTTTTACTTTTAAATTTTATTATTGCACTTCTCTGTCCTACTAGAATGCAAGTTCCATGAGTTCATGAATTTGGTGTGTTTTGTTCAGTGGAATAAAACAGTAGCATTTGAAAAATAGTAAAGATTCAACAGAGATTCAATAAATATTCAAACCAATATTTGTTGGGCCCCTACTATGTGCCAAACACTGTACCGGGTTGTTGTGAGGGTTGTGGTATTTACACGGGAATAAGCGCCATCCAAATAGAAAGTGCTGCTATGATTCTACCTTTATCGATGTCTATTCCAAGACTGTGGATACTGTAAAATGCTAAACATGACGAAAGGCAGTAGCATGTTTAGCATTTTACAGCATCACAGTCTTGGAATAGACATTGTCTTGGTTAATTTTATAACAACTCTGTGCAACAGGCAGGACAGAAACTCTTTTTTCTTTTTTCTTTTTCTTTTTTTTTTTTTTTTTTTGAGATGGAGTCTCGCTCTGTCACCCAGGCTGGAGTGCAGTGGCGCAATCTCGGCTCACTGTAAGCTCCGCCTCCCGGGTTCACGCCATTCTCCTGCCTCAGCCTCCTGAGTAGCTGGGACTACAGGCGCCCACCACCACGCCTGGCTAAGTTTTTGTATTTTTAGTAGAGACGGGGTTTCACCGTGTTAGCCAGGATGGTCTCGATCTCCTGACCTCGTGATCTGCCCGCCTCGGCCTCCCAAAGTGCTGGGATTACAGGCGTGAGCCGCCGCGCCCAGCCCAGAAACTCTTATTGCCATTTACAGATTAGAAAACAGAAGGTTCCCACGAGGTGAATGGGTGCCCAAGTTCATATGGTAATTAAGTGGCAAGGGCTAGGATTAGAAACCAGGACATCCTGAAACAAGAGCAATGCAAGATGAGCATTATTTCTCAGGGGCTATTAATACTGATAAGTACTTGCTGAACAAACTTGTTAAGAATATCTCTTACTCAAGAACCTGCATATCTGGGGCAGAGCAGGGGGTGGGGGAGACTGGATCTATTAATTATAGCTTACCCAGGGAGAAGTTCAAAATAATCAAAGGTTTAAATGTGGGGCAATTAAGCCATAACGTTTCTACTAGAAAATATGGGGAAATTATTCTATAATTTTGGAGCAGGAAGGCTTTTTACAATTATGACTAAAAAATCCAGAAGTCATAATAGAAAAAGATTGATAAAGTCAACTACATGAAAGAAAACAGCCTCCAAAATCCCTCTGTGGCAAAAAAAATACACATACACAAAAAACCAAAACTATCATAACCAAAGATGAAAGACAAATGACAAACCGAGAAACATATTTGAAACTCCTGCCATAGAACAGTGGCCAATGTCTCCACTAGGTAAAATACTACAAATCAATTAGAAAAAGTTAATAACCCAATAAAATATGGACAAAGGTAGTGAACAAATAATTCACAGAAAAGAATATAGGTTTTAAAAATTATAAAGGAGGGAGGGCTGGGCATGGTGGCTCACACCTGTAATCTCAGCACTTTGGGAGGCTGAGGCAGGAGGATCACTTGAGGCCAGGAGTTCCAGACAAGGCTGGACAACATAGCAAGACATCATCTCTACTAAAAATTAAAAAATTAGCCAGCCATGGTGGCACATGCCTGTGGTCCCAGTTTCTTGGGAGGCTGAGGTGGGAGGAATGCTGGACCCCAGGAGTTCGAGGTTATAGTGAGCCATGATCACACCAATGCACTCCAGCCTGGCAGACAGAGCAAGACCCTGTCTCTAAAATAAATAAAAATAAAGATTTAAAAATAAACTCATAAAAAGAGGGGAGTGAAGCCACCAAAAATGGTGGTTACTCTAATTTTGGAACTCAAAAACCACATCCGTTGACTAGATCAACAATGAAGCTGGCAAACACTGTCAGAAACAACTTTATCCAAGGTTCTGGAATCTAATGAAAAAACTTGCAACAACCAGAGGAATGCTTAATTAAGAAAGATGCTGCTAAATTTTGGTAAGAGAGCATTGTAGCATTTTAAGCTTACTCCCCTGCCATCCCTCAAAGCCCTGCTCAGTAGCATCCATGGAATGACAGCCCCTGTTCCTGGTGCACCTTGCTAGTAGCAGAGGGGACAATATGAACCTTGTTCTCAAGGAATTGTGGTTCTGTGGGCTGGCCTGTCTAGAGGTTCCCTGAGGGATCAGCTCAGAGCTTGACTTTGTTTTATCTGACTCGCAACATTCTCAGGGCTGGAGCAGTCCCTCCTGGGAAGCATCTGTCAGGTGCATTTAAAGACAAAGATACCAGACAGCCTCATGGTGCAAGGGGAAACAGAAGAGGCACAGATAAGTAGGCTAAAAAGCCTGGGAAGAAAGAGGGTGGGGAAGGAGGTATATGGGAGAATAAGGCTTTGAAAGGCTCACATGCATACCAGGGAATATAGATACCAGGTTTGGAACCATGTTTTGAAAAGGCCTGAGAACACTCTAAGCTTTCATCTCTGGCTGACCACTGGACTTTTTGAAAGTAGAAGGTAAAGGCTAATGCAGATTAGTCTTGGTGTGAACAGCCTGACTAAAAGCATTGAATGAATGTCTCAATACAGAGCCAATCTGCAAAGACTGGAAGAGTTTTGTTTTTGTTTTTGTTTTTGTTTTGGCTCCAGATAATCTCTATCAAATCACTAGCTGACCACTTACCTAACTGAATGGAGACTACACATTACAAATGGTACAGTCTTTATAAAAGTAGTTTGGAGAAGTAACTAAATAACAAACAGCTACAAACTACAACAAGCAGCAACAACAAATCTTAAGGAAAAGGTGAAATTTGATTTCCAGGGTTACCACATTCTAATATTTAAAATGTTCAGTTTTCAACAACAACAAAAAAAACCTGAGGTATGCAAAGAAACAAAAAAGTATGGACCACTCACAGGAAAAAAATTTACTAGAAACTGTCCCCAAGGAAACCCAGATATTGGACTTACTAGACAAAGATTTTAAATCAACAGCTTAACTATATATATATTATTATTACAGTTTAAGTTCTAGGGTACATGTGCACAATGTGCAAGTTTGTTACATAGGTATACATGTGCCATGTTGGTTTGCTGCACCCATCAACTCATCATTTACATTAGGTATTTCTCCTAATGCTATCCCTCCCCCAGCCCCTGACCCCACAACAGGCCCTGGTGTGTGATGTTCCCCTCCCTATGTCCATGTGTTCTCATTGTTCAACTCCCACTTATGAGTGACAACATGTGGTGTTTGGTTTTCTGTCTTTGTGATATTTTGCTGAGAATGATGGTTTCCAGCTTCATCCAGGTCCCTGCAAAGGACATGAACTCATCCTTTTTTATGGCTGCATAGTATTCCATGGTGTATATGTGCCACATTTTCTTTATCCAGTCTATTATTGATGGATGTCTGGGTTGGTTCCAAGCCTTTGCTATTGTGAATAGTGCAGCAATAAACACATGTGTGCATGTGTCTTTATAGTAGCATGATTTATAATCCTTTGGGTATATACCCAGTAATCGGATTGCTGGGTCAAATGGTATTTCTAGTTCTAGATCCTTAAGGAATTGCCACACTGTCTTCCACAATGGTTGAACTAATTTACACTCCCACCAATAGTGTAAAAGCGTGCCTATTTCTCCACATCCTCTCCAGCATCTGTCGTTTCCTGACTTTTTAATGATCACCATTCTAACTGGCGTGAGATGATATCTCATTATCGTTTTGATTTGCATTTCTCTGATGACCAGTGATGATGACTATTTTTTCATATGTCTGTTGGCTGCATAAATGTCTTCTTTTGAGAAGTGTCTGTTCATATCCTTTGCCCACTTTTTGATGGGGTTGTTTGTTTTTTTCTTGTAAATTTGTTTAAGTTCTTTGTAGATTCTGGATATTGGCTCTTTGTCAGATGGATAGATTGCAAAACTTTTCTCCCATTCTGTAGGTTGCCTGCTCACTCTGATGATAGTTTCTTTTGCTGTGCAGAAGCTCTTTAGTTTGATTAGATCCCATTTATCTATTTTGGCTATTGTTGCCATTGCTTTTGATGTTTTAGTCACGAAGTCTTTACCCATGCCTATGTCCTGAATTACCGGTATTGTCTAGGTTTTCTTCTAGGGTTTTTATGGTTTTTAGGTCTTACGTTTAAGTCTTTAATCCATCTCGAGTTAATTTTTGTATAAGGTGTAAGCAAGGGATCCAGTTTCAGCTTTCTACATATGGCTAGCCAGTTTTCCCAGCACCATTTATTAAATAGGGAATCCTTTCCCCATTGTGTGTATTTGTCAGGTTTGTCAAAGATCAGATGGTTGTAGATGTGTGGTGTTATTTCTGAGGCCTCTGTTCTGTTCCACTGGTCTATATATCTGTTTTGGTACCAGTACCATGCTGTTTTGGTTACTGTAGCCTTGTAGTGTAGTTTGAAGTCAGGTAGTGTGATTCCTCCAGCTTTGTTCTTTTTGCTTAGGATTGTCTTGGCTATGTGGGCTCTTTTTTGGTTCCATATGAAATTTAAAGTAGTCTTTTCCAATTCTGTGAAGAAAGTCAGTGGTAGCTTGATGGGGATAGCATTGAATGTATAAATTATCTTGGGTAGTATGGCCATTTTCACAATATTGATTCTTCTTACCCATGAGCATGGAATGTTCTTCCATTTGTTTGTGCCCTCTTTTATTTCCTTGAGAAGTGGTTTGTAGTCCTCCTTGAAGAGGTCCTTCACATTCCTTGCAAGTTGGATTCCTAGGTGTTTTATTCTCTTGGTAGTAATTGTGAATGGGAGTTCACTCATGATTTGGCTCTCTGTTTGTCTGTTCTTGGTGTATAGGAATGCTTGTGATTTTTGCACATTGATTTTGTATCCTGAGACTTTGCTGAAGTTGCTTATCAGCTTAAGGAGATTTTGGGCCAAGACGATGGGGTTTTCTAAATATACAATCATGTCATCTGCAAACGGAGACAATTTGACTTCCTCTTTTCCTAATTGAATATCCTTTATTTCTTTTTCTTACCATTCACTCATGGCTTCCCTTGGCTAGGAAAGGGAAATCCCTTGACGCCTTGTGCTTCCTGGGTGAGGCGACACCCTGCCCTGCTTTAGCTTGCCCTCCGGGGGCTGCACCCGCTGTCCAACCAGTCCCAATGAGGAGTACCAGGTACCTTAGTTGGAAATGCAGAAATCACCCATCTTCTATGTCAATCTCACTGGGAGCTGTAGACCAGAGCTGTTTCTATTCAGCCATCTTCAACCACTTAACTATATTTAAAGAGCTAAAGGAAACCATGGAAAAACAACTAAAGGAAACCAGGAGAACAATATCTCACCTAATAGAAAATATCAATAAAGAGACAAGAATTATGAAAAGTAATCAATCAGAAATTCTAGAGTTAAAAAGTAAAATAACTAAAATAAAAATTCAGTGATAGATCTAAGCAGGCAGAAGAAAGGGTCAGCAAACTTGAAGATAGGATAATTAAGATTATTTAGTTTGAGGAGTAGAAAGAAAAAAGAATGAAGAACAATTAACAGAGCCTAAGATGTCTGTGGGACAGCATCAAACATACTCAAGACACATAATGGGAATCCTAGAAGGACAGGAAAGAAAGGAGCAGAAAGAATATTTGAAGAAATAATTGCCTAAAACTCTCCCAATTTGATGAAAGACATAAATCTACATATCTAAATAGCTTAACAAATTCAAAGTGGGATAAATTCAAAGAGATCTACATTGATACACATTATCATAAAATTATCAAAAGACATAACATCTTGAAAACAACGGGAGAAGCAACTCATCAAGTTCAAGGAATCCTCAATAAGATTAATAGCCAATTACTCATGAGAAATTTTGGCTGCTAGAAGGCAGTGGGCGGACATATTTAAAGTGCTGAAAGAGAAACAAGAAAAAAAAACCTTGTCAGCCTAGAATTTTTTTTTTTTTTTTTTAAGACAGGGTCTCATTCTGTTACCTGGGCTGGAATGCAGTAGCATGATCACAGCTCACTGCAGCCTCAACCTCCAGGGCACAGTGATTCTCCCATCTTAGCCTCCTGAGTAGCTAGGATGACAGGCACGTGATACTACTCCTGGCTGTTTCGTAGAGACAGGTTTTTTGTAGAGACAAGTTATCACCATGTTGCCCAGGCTGGCCTCAAACTCCTGGACTCAAGAGATCTGCCTGCCTACGCCTCCCAAAGTGCTGGGATTATAGGCATGAGCCACTGCACCCAGCCTCAGCCTAGAATTCTATATTGAGCAAAGCTATCCTTCAAAAATGAAGGAGAAAGTAAGACATTCCCAGACAAACAAAAGCTAAGGGAGTTTGTTCCTGGTAGGCCTGCACCACAAAACATGCCATTGAGTCCAGGTTGAAATGGAAAGATACTAGACAGTAACTTGAAGCTATATGAAGAAATAAAGAACACTGATAAAGGTAACTACATAGGTAAACATAAAAGAAGTATTGTCATATTTTTCAGTTTGTAACTTTTTTGTTTTTTTTTTCTGTATGATTTAAAACACAAATACATAAAACAATAATTGTACATATGTGTTAATGGGCACACAATGCATAAAGACGTTTTTTATAACAATGTCAACATAAAGTAGAGAGGTGGGAAGGAAGCTGTACGGGAGCAGATAACTTTGTATGCTACTAAAGCTAAGTTGGTATTAATTCAAACTAGATTGTTACACATTTAAGATGTTACTTATAATCACCACGGTAACCACAAAGAAAATAACTAAAATATACAGAAAAATAAATGAGAAGGAATTCAAAACCATACAGTAAAAAAAAAAAATCAATTAAACGTAAAAAAGGCAATGATGGAGGAATTGAAAAACAGAAAGATTTCTAGAAAACTAACAGCAAGATGGCAGAAGTCCTTCCTAGTCAGTAATTACTTTAAACATAAATGGATTAAAGTCTTAAACAAAACTCAGATCAGTGGAATGCAAATCCAACTGTAATCCAACTACATGCTCCCTACACGAGATGCATTTTAGATTCAAACATGCAACTAAAGCTGCATGCAGTAGCATGTGTCTGCAGTTCCAGCTACTTGGTAGGCTGAGGTGGGAGGCTCTCTTGAGCCCAGGAGTTTGAGTCCAGCCTTGGCAACACAGTGATACCCCATGTCTAAACAAACAAACATACAGCTAAGTTTAAAATGAAAGATTGAAAACAAACACTCTAAGCAAATAATAACCTAAAGGAAAAAAATAACCAGGAGTGGTTATACTAATATCAGACAAAAATAGACTTTAAGTAAAAAATTATTATGGGAGACAAATGAGGACATTATGTATTTAGAAGACAGTTACTCTATCTAGAAATATAACAATTGCAAACATATACACATGTAACAATAGAGTCCCTAAATATATGAAGCAAAACCTGACAGAATTGAAGGAAGAAATAGGCAATTCTATAGTAATAGTTAGATACTTTAACATCCCACTTTTGATAACGGATAGGATAACTAGACAAAAGACAAGGAAATAGAAAACTTGAAGAACATTATAAACCAACTAGAACTAACAGACACATATAGAACATTTGATCCAAGCACCGCAAAACACACATTCTTCTCTATTGCACATGGAACATTCTTCAGGACAGACTATATATGAGACCACAAAACAAATCTCAATAAATTTAAAAAGACTGAAAACATTATAAAATCTCTTCTCCAAGCACAATGATATGAAATTAGAATTCAATAACAGGAAGAAATTTGGAAAATTCACAAATATGTGAAAATTAAGCAACACATTATTAAACAACAAATGGGTCAAAGAAGGAATCTCAAGGGAAATTAGAAAACAACACTTTAAGGAAATGAAAACAAAAACAACGTACCAAAACTTAAGGGATACACTGAGAGCAACAGTCAGGAATATTTATAGCTGTAAATGCCTACATTAAAAGAGAAGAAAATCTCAAACCAATAATCTAACCTAACCTTAAAGCAGAAGAAGAAGAACAAACTAAACCCAAAGCTGGCAGAGGGAAGAAAATAATAATGATTGGAGTCAGTCAAGGTAAATAAATAAAGAATAGATAAACCATAGAGAGAAACAACAAAACAGATGTTGGTTCTCTGTATAGAGCAGACTAAATATTTAGCTAGACTGACTAAAAGAGAAAAGTTGCAAATTACTGAAATAAAAAATGAAAGTGGGTCATTATTACCAACCTTACAGAATTTAAAAACTGTAAGAAAAAATTGTGAACAATTGTATGCCAACAAATCAGATAATCTAAAAGAAATGGACAAATTTCTAAGACACACAAATGATCAAAATTAACTCAAGAAGAAATATATAATCTGAATAAGCCTCTAACAAGTAAAAAGATTGAATCAGTAATCAAAAACCCCCCAAGAAAAGCCTGGAACTAGATATTTTCACTTGTGAATTCTACCTAAAATTTAAAGAAGAACTAACACCAAAACTTTCTCAAACTCACCTAAAAACAGAAGAAATGGAAACCTCAGCATTACCCTGATACCAAAGCCAGACAAAGACACTACAAAAAAGAAAAACAGACAAATATCCCTTATTAATATAGATGTAAAAATTCTCAGCAAAATACCAGCAAACAAAAGTTTGACTAAGATGTCATATTAAAAATTGTTTATAGAAAATATATCATATATATATAATATAAAGCCTGCCTTTGTCTTCCTAGCCTCAACATTTTTTAAAAAAAGGTCAAATCTGAGATTTCTATGTGATCAGTTACTATTCTTTCTGCACTTATGTAAATGACCAGACCAAAATTGATGAGACTAAACTTATTTTGCAAACAATATTGCCTTACTCTGATTGTCTTTGGTAGAAAGTGGGATGACTGAAGAGAAAAATCATGTTTCCAAAGAAAAACTATAATATACCTGTTATTAGACTGTAGCCCTGTGCATTGTTTTCAAGTTTTTGTTTTCTATCTGTAGACTAGACTGGATCCTAAATTTGTCTTGGTTCTTTCAATCCAGTTTTCTCTCATTGAATTACTAAGGGCAGAAACTGCTCTTTCCTAAATACCTATAAACTGAGGCTAGATAATTTGGTGTAAATTTCAAAAGACAAGGTTTACGCTTAATGGGTGGGCCACACAGGGAGTTTAACAAAGCCAGCTGGTGCCATAACCACTATAACCAGAGATATTCAAGCTGCAATATTGCCAACTTCATGCTGTAGACAGATTTTCCCAAGATGCCAAACAAGATTTCATATCATAATGAGACTCTTACCCCTTGTAATACCTACCTTTTTCACTGAACAGAGTAACGGCTGTAATCAAAATTTCAGTCAGTAACTGCTATGAGTAACTTGACAGAACCTAACCTAATAAATCCTTTAGGCCACCTAGTTGGTAACTTTGACAACATCCCTAACTTGTTCAAATTGTACTAGAAGTCCCTTTTAGAGTTGCCACTCTTTGCTTTAATTCAACCCAGTCATAAAATGCTACTCAATGGCTACAACAGTTCTCACCCAGTTCCCAGTTCCCCCATTGTCCTTTGATTTGTTTAGTTAATTGCCCTTAGGCTTGGCTCTTGGTTCAAAACTGAATTTAGGATACTGTTGCTGGTTATTTTTTGTATTATGAGCTTTAAGCTCTGTTCTTGTTGTCTGTCTAATATTTGTAAAATCAGTTCTTCCAACAGGATAATGTTAGCTCAACATTTTGAGATGATTGCTTAATGCCCATGGATCTAAGAAGACAGAACTCAATGACAAACTCCAGGCAAAACTGCCCAAAGAAAGTTTTTTTCCTTCCTTATGGCCTCTTTGTTGCTCAATTGTGTCTAGGGTCCTTGACTTTGACTGCATCACCTTCCCCACAATGTGAGACCAGAGACCACTGGAACAGGTCCATCCTGACACTGAGGGACAACTAGCCTAACTTCAAGATAGTTGATCAATGATGCTTTCAGAAAAAGATCTTGACCAAGAGGAGGAGATGTGAAAATGGATAATATATGTTGCAGTTATCTCGTCATAACCAATTAAATTACAGTCAAGACCACAGGGAAAAAACAGTTGGGGCACAAGAGCCTACTCAGGGATTATATCGCAATCCAGTTGCTGAAATGACCTCCTATAACCTTAAGACTAAATTTACCTAGTAGCAGCTTAAGTGAACTGCTGTGATTCTGAGACTAGTTTTACCTACTGCTATCACTCATCAATCAGAGTTTGCCAGTTCCCCAAAACTTTGCTAGCACCAAGGAGCTTTCCTTCCAAACAATATGTAACATTTATCTTTCTAGTAAAACCCCCAACTTTCCTTGTTATTGGACATATCAAAGACTGCCTGGTTTGTGTGTATGCCTCCAATTGCAAGTTTGTTTTCCCAAATAAAAGCTCTTCTTTAGAGATTCATCTCTATATTTTTATTTGACTTTGACAGTATGATTCCCTTTATGTAAAACATGGAGAATGGGCAAATTCATAGAGACAGAAAGTAGATTAGTAGTTTCTAGGGAAGGGAGAATGGGAAGTGACTGTTTAATGGGTACAAAGTTTCCTTTTGGGGTGATTTAAAAAAGTTCTGGAATTAAATAGTGGTGATGGTTGTATGATGCTGTGAGTATATTAAATTCTGCTGAACTGCACACTTCATTAAATGGTTAAAATGGTCAATTTTATATTATGTATATGTTGTATGTAACTCATAAAAATTATGTAAAGAAGCTCCACTTCACTTTTAATAATATAAATACAAATTAAAACTATACTAAGGTAACATATTTTGCTGATGAGAATGTAAATTGGTATAATCTTATGGTGATTAATTTGACACTATCTCTTAAAATTATAAATGCACATGACCCTTGGTCTAATAATTTCATCTTTAGGAATTTATTTACAGATATAGTTGTACAAATGTGATATCACAAATGTATATGGTTACTACCTCCATTGCTTGTAATAGGAAAAAAGGATTGGGCTAATCACAGAACACCTACACAGTGGGTATTATATAGCAAGAAGAAAAAGAATGACAGCTATTCATGACATATTGTGAAAAAGTAAAGTTCAGAACACTGTTTTAATATAATGCTTTTTAAGCCAGCAAAGCGGAAGAAATAAGGCATATTTGCACTTGCTTGCATAGGCATAAGGAAACTCTAGTTGGGTTTTGCCAGTAGGGGCACCAGCAGGAGATCAGAGGGAAAGAGGAGCATAAGGTTGGAGAGCCACCTCCCTAGTTCCCTCCCTGTGGGGTCATGCACCTCTCAACTGCAGGCCAATGGCTCTGTCAGAAGGTCCTCCCTCACTGCTCTCTCTCTCTCTGTGGGTTCTAGTAATTTGTCCTGCACATCAAATCTAACCTCTTCAGCCTAGCTTCATCAACTGCTCCCCTTCCTGCTCTAACAGGCAAACAGATTTGTCAGTTGCTTCCTTACTTCCCACTAATGTCCCTGAGGATATCTGGAAACATTAACACATGACTCTACATTTTCACAGCACTCACTGTTTAAAAAGCACATTTTCACAACTAAGAAACAGTATTTGCTATTCACAGGAACATGGAGAGTACACAGGAAGAAGGAATTATTACACCAATGATATGGTTTGGCTGTGTCCCCACTGAAATCTCAACTTGCATTTATCTCCCAGAATTCCCACATGTTGTGGGAGGGACCCAGTGGGGAGGTAATTGAATCACGTGGGCTGGTCTTTCCCATGCTATTCTCGTGACAGTGAATAAATCTCATGAGATCTGATGGGTGTATCAGGGGTTTCTGCTTTTGCTTCTTCCTCATTTTCTCTTGTCGTCGCCATGTAAGAAGAGTCTTTCACCTCCCACCATGATTCTAAGGCCTCCCCAGCCATGGGGAACTGTAAGTCCAATTAACCTTTTTTCATTCCCAGTTTCGAGTATGTTTTTATCAGCAGTGTGAAAACGAACTAATACAGTAAATTGGTACCAGTAGAGTGGGGCATTGCTGAAAAGATACCCGAAAATGTGGAAGTGACTTTGGAACTGGGTAACAGACAAAGGTTGGAACAGTTTGAAGGGCTCAGAAGAAGACAGGAAAATGTGGGAAATTTTGGAACTTCCTAGAGACTTGTTGAATGGCTTTGCCCAAAATGTTGACAGCGATATGGACAATAAAATTCAGGCTGAGGTGGTCTCAGATGGAGATGAGGAACTTGTTGGGAACTGGATCACAGGTGACTCTTGTTATGTTTTAGCAAAGAGACTGGTAGCATTTTGCCCCTGCCCTAGAGATTTGTGGAACTTTGAACTTGAGAGAGATGATTTAGAGTATCTGGTGGAAGAAATTTCTAAGCAGCAAAGCATTCAAGAGGTAACCTGGGTGTTGTTAAAGGCATTCAGTTTTATAAGGGAAGCAGAGCATAAAGTTTGGAAAATTTTCAGCCTGACTATGTGATAGAAAAGAAAAGCCCATTTTCTGGGGAGAAATTCAAGTTGGCTGCAGAAATTTGCATAAGCAGCAAGGAGCCTAATGTTAATTTCCAAGACCATGGGAAAAATGTCTCCAGGCCATATCAGAGAACTTCCTGATAGCCCCTCCCATCAGGCCTGGAGGCCCAGGAGGAAAAAGTGGTTTCGTGGGCTGGGCCCAGGGTCCCCATGCTGTGTGCAGCTTAGGGGCTTGGTGCCCTGTGTCCCAGCTGCTCCAGCCATGGCTGAAAGGGGCCAACATATAGCTTGGGCTGTGGCTTCAGAGGGTGGAAGCCCCAAACCTTGGCAGCTTCCACAAGGAGTTGAGTGTGTGGGTGCACAGAAGTGAAGAATTGAGGTTTGGGAACCTCCACCTAGATTTCAGATGTATGGAAACGCCTGGATGCTCAGGCAAAAGTTTGCTGCAGGGGTGAGGTCCTCATGAAGAACCTCTGCTAGGGCAGTGCAGAAGGGAAATGTGGGGTCAGAGCCCCCATGCAAAGTCCCTACTGGGGCACTGCCTAGTGGAGCTGTGAGAAGAGGGCCATTGTCCTCCAGACCCCAGAATGGTAGATCCAGTGACAGCTTGCTCCATGCACCTGGAAAAGCCACTCAACGTCAGCCCATGAAAGGAGCCAGGAGGGAGGCTGTACCCTGCAAAGTCACAGGGGCAGAGCTGCCCAAGACCCTGGGAACTTACCTCTTGCATCAGCCTGACCTGAATGTGAGACCTGGAGTCAAAGGAGGTCATTTCAAAGCTTTAAAATTTGGCCCGCTGGATTTCAGACTTCCTCGGGCCCTGTAACCCCTTTGTTTTGGCCAATTTCTCCCATTTGAAATGGCTGTATTTACCCAATACCTGTACCCCCATTGTATCTAGGAAGTAGCTAGCTTGCTTTCAATTTTAAAGGCTCACAGGCGGAAGGGACTTGCCTTGTCTCAGATGACATTTTGGACTGGACTTTTGGGTTAATGCTGAAATGAGTTAAGACTTTGGGGGACTGTTGGGAAGGCATGATTAATTTTGAAATGTGAGGACATGAGATTTAGGGGGGCCACGGGTGGAATTATATGGTTTGGCTGTGTCTCCACTGAAATCTCAACTTGAATTTTATCTCTCAGAATTCCCACGTGTTGTGGGAGGGACCCAGTGGGGAGGTAATTGAATCACGTGGGCTGGTCTTTCCCATGCTATTCTCCTGATAGTGAATAAATCTCATGAGATCTGATGGGTTTATCAGGGGTTTCTGCTTTTGCTTCTTCCTCGTTTTCTCTTGCCACCACCACATAAGAAGAGCCTTTAGCCTCCCACCATGATTCTGAGGCCTCCCTAGCCATGTGGAACTGTAAGTCCAATTAAACCTTTTTTTGTTCCCAGTTTCGGGTATGTCTTTATCAGCAGCATGAAAATGAACTAATACAACCAATTTGACAGAAACTGAAATTTTGAAAGTCTCAATGTCTTAGACAAGAAAATCTTCTCCTAAAGAGGCCAATTCTCATAACTTTCTCAGGATTTTAGGACTAGGTTCTATGAAGTGAGGAGACATTGCTCTAAGATCAAAGGAGAAAAGGACTCAGAAGCCCACTGACCAATCTTGCAAAAATTCATAACAGTGGCTCTGACTGGATTCTGGGGTCTCTCCACCTGGGCCAGTGTCCCCACTCACATACATCCCAATGTACCCTGATGGGGATACATTTGCAATTTATACATTTATTCTCATCTAACGCCTCCCAAACCTACTTTTCCCTCAGTCTTCCCATCTGAGTCAGTGACGCCATTGTTACTCAGTTATTTAAGCCAAAAATCTAAAAGTCCTCCGTAAATTTAAAATTCTCTTTTCCCTACTACCATCTTTGACAGCATATCACTAATGTTACTTACTAGGTTGGTGCAAAAGTATTGCGGTTTTTGTCATTAAACGTAATGGCAATTACTTTTGCACCAACTTAATAGATTACTAAAACAGTCTTCTAACTAGTTTGCTTCCACTCTTGCTGAGGTAGGAGGCATAAGTCAGACACCAGACCAAACTGAGGATTAGCTAAAGCAGGGACGAGGTAGAAGCAGCTTTCCATCAGACATGCCCACCAGCGAGCCATGTCAGTTTACCACTGCTGTGGCAACACCTGGGAGTTACTGCCCCTTTCTATGAAAATAACCTGATGACCCAAAAGTTACTACCTCTACCCTAGAAATTTCTACGTAACCCACCACTTAATCTATATGTAATTAAAAGCAGGTATAAATATGACTGCAAAACTGCCCTGAGTTGCTACTCTCAGCACACTGCCTATGGGGTTTCCCTGCTCTGCAGGAGCAGTCACAGAGCTGTAACACTGCCAGAGCTGTAACACCGCCAGAGCTGTAACACCTCTTCAGTAAAGCTGTTTTCTTCCACCACTAGCTTGCACTTTAATTCTTTTCTGGGCAAAGCCAAGAATCCCCACAGAACAATCACAGGTGTTTCACTTCTGACAATGGCTGACTTAGGGTATTTTAGACCAATCCTCCTTCTCAGAAAACACAGAAAGTTCAACACAGTGTATATTTAAAGTAAGTCTAAGTGCATTAGAGTCACAAGTCAGTGAGGATTTTCAGGGCTAGGATCTGGTAAAAGAGAGAAACTAATGAAAGTGAGCATGACATTTAGAACTCTTTTACCTTTCAAGGCAAGTGTTGATTTTGAAAGTAAACCCAGGGATGACAGGCAGAGAAGCCAAGCAGAGCTCCTGACATGTTCACGAAGCTAGAGAGAGAAAAACAGGAATTCAGGGCCCACCGAGGTAGAAGACTCTGATAAACAACCTTGGCTTTCAGTTGAGGACCCGAAGAGCTATATCTATCTGAGGAGTAAAGGTGAAACAAAAATAGACAAGACCTCACAAAGGCTGAAGCACAGTTTCAATCCTTGTTTGGATGAGAGTCATCTGCCCCCAGCCTACTCGCCTGTTGAAAGGAAAGATAAGTCCTCTCCAGAGGAACATGATATCATCCAGAGTCTTAAATTATGTCTACGGTTTTTCATACACAATATCTGGCATACTAAAGAATATTAGATACAAAGTCAAGGATTGGCTGAAAACAGTGAGAAACAGACTTATAGAAATGCAGATATTAGAATTATCTGACAGAAGCTTTATAGTAGCTATGATTAAAATGTACAATTAAATAAGAAACAAGATGGAGAATTTCAGCAGAGTATAAGAATAAAAATGAATCCACTGGAAATTCTAAAAGTGAAAAATAGAATAAATAAGATCAAGAACTCAAAAGATGAGTTTTATCAGCACATTAGACACAGTTAAAAAAAAGCATGAGTAAATTGGAAGACAGGTCAGTAGAAAATACCTAGGCTGACCAAAAGGGAAAAAAAAAGATGAAATATACAGAACAGAGAACAAGAAATACAGACATACTTCATGTTATTGTGCTCCACTTTACTGCATGTTGCAGATACTGTGTTTTTTTAGAAATTGAATGTTAGTGGCAACCTTGTGTTGAGCAAGTCTATTGGCATCATTTTTCCAATAGCATGTGCTCACTTCATGTCTCTGTGTCACATTTGGTAATTCCTGCAATATTTCAAAATTTATTATTATTATATCTCTTATGGTAATCTGTGTTAAGTGATCTTTGATGTTACTATTGTAATTGTTTGGGGGCACCAATGAACCATGCCCATATAAGACAGCAAACTTAATTGACAAATATTGTGTGTGTTCTAACTGCTCCACCAACCAGCCATTCCCCTGTTTCTCTCCATCTCCTTGGGCTTCCCTATTCCCTGAGGCATAACAATATTGAAATTAGACCAACTACTATAGTAACTCTACAATGATTCCTAAGTATTCAAGTGAAAAGAGTTGCACGCACCTCACTTTAAATCAAAAGCTAGAAATGATTAACCTTAGTGAGGAAGGCAAGCTGAAAGCTGAGATAGGTTTAAATCTAGGCCTCCTGTGCCAGTCAGCCAAGTTGTGAATGCAAAGAAAAAGTTCATGAAGGAAATTAAAAGTGCTACTCCAATGAATGCACAAATAAGACAGCAAAACAGCCTTATTGCTGATATGGAGAAAGTTTTAGTGGTCTGCATAGAAAAGCAAATCAGCCATAATATTCTTATTAGTCAGTGCCTAATCTGGAGCAAGGCCCAAGCTCTCTTTAATTCTGTGAAGGCTGAGAGAGATGAGGAAGCCACAAAGGAAAAATCGTAATCTAGCAAAGTTATTCATGAGATTTAAGGAATGAAACCATCTCCATAACACAACAGTACAAGGTGAAGCAGCAAGTGCTGATTAAGAAGCTAAAGCATGTTATACAGAAGATCTAGTTAAGATCATTGATGAAGGTGACTATACTAAACAACAGATTATAAATGTACATGAAAGAGCCTTCTACTGGAAGAAGATGCCACCTAGGACTTACATAGCTAGAGAGGAGAAGTCAATGTCTGGCTTTAAAGCTTCAAAGGACAGGCTGACTCTTTTTATTAGAGGCTAAGGCAGCTGGTGACTTTAGGCTAAAGCCAATGCTCATTTACCATTCTGAAAACCCTAGAGCCCTTAAGAATGATGCTAAATCTACTCTGCCTGTGCTATATAAATGGAACAATGAAGCTTGGATGACAGCAATCTATTCACAGAATAGTATACTGAATATTTTAAGTCTACTGTTGAGAACTACTGCTCAGGAAAAAAGATTCCTTTCAAAATAATACTGCTCATTGACAATGCACCTGGTCACCCTAGAGTTCTGATGGAGATGTACAAGATTATTATTTTTATGCCTACTAATATAGCAACCATATTGCAGCCCACAGATCAAGGAGTAGACTTTCAAGTCTTATTACCTAAGAAATACATTTTGTAAAGCTATAGATGCTGTAGGTAGTGATTCCTCTGATGGATCTGGGCAAAGTAAATTGAAAACCTTTGGAAAAGGATTTACCATTCTTGATGTCATTAAGAATATTTGTGAGCCAGGCACAGTGGCTCATGCCTGTAATTCCAGCACTTTGGGAGGCCGAGGCAGGTGGATCACCTGAGGTCAGGAGTTTGAGACTAGCCTGACCAACATGGCGAAACCCCGTCTCTACTAAAAATACAAAAATTGGCTGGGCACAATGGCTCACACCTGTAATCCCGGCACTTTGGGAGGCTGAGGTGGGTGGATCACCTGAGGTCAGGAGTTTAAGACCAGCCTGACCAACATGGAGAAACCCCATCTCTACTAAAAAAAAAAAAAAAAAAAACAAAAAAATTAGCCAGGCATGGTGGTGCATGCCTGTAATCCCAGCTACTCAGGAGGTTGAGGCAGGAGAGTCGCTTGAACCCAGGAGCCGGAGGTTGCGGTGAGCCAAGATTGTGCCATGTGCCATTGCACTCCAGCCTGGGCAACAAGAGAGAAACTCTGTCAAAAAAAAAAAAAAAAAAAAAAGGCCGGGCATGGTGGCTCATGCCTGTAATCCCAGCACTTTGGGAGGCCAAGGTGGGCAGATCACGAGGTCAGGAGATCGAGACCATCCTAGCTAACATGGTGAAACCCCATCTGTACTAAAAAAAATACAAAAAATTAGCCAGGTGTGGTGGCGGGTGCCTGTAGTCCCAGCTACTGGGGAGGCTGAGGCAGGAGAATGGCATGAACCCAGAAGGTGGAGCTTGCAGTGAGCTGAGATCACGCCACTGCACTCCAGCCTGGGCAACAGAGCAAGACTCCATCTAAAAAAAAAAAAATTAGTTGGGCATGGTGGAAGATGCCTGTAATCCCAGCTGTTCAGGAGGTTGAGGCAGGAGAATTGCTTGAACCCGGGGGGCAGAGGTTGCAGTGAGCCAAGATTGCACCACTGTACTCCAGCCTGGGTGACAGAGTGAGACTCTGCCTCAAAAAAAAAAAAAAAAAAAAAGGAATATTTGTGATTCATGGGAGGTCAAAATGTCAACATTTAACAGGAATTTGGAAGAAATTGACTCCAACCTTCACGAATGACTCTGAGGAGTTCAAGACTCCAGTGGAGGAAGTAACTGAAAATGTGGTAGAAATAGCAACAAAGCTAGAATTAGAAGTGGAGGCTGAAGATGTGACCGAATTGCTGCAATCTCATGAATAAACTTGAAGGGATGAAAAGTTGCTTCTCATGGATAAACAAAGAAAGTGGTTTGTTGAGATAGAATCTACTCCTGGTGAAGATGCCATAAACATTGATGAAATGACAAAAGATTTAGAACATTACATAAACTTAGTTGATAAAACAGCAGCAGAGTTTGAGAGGACTGACTCCAATTTTGAAAAAGTTCCATGGGCAAAATTCTATCAAACAGCATCAAATGCTACAGAGAAATCTTTTGTGAAAGGAAAAATTAATTAATGTGGCAAACTTTTTTGCTGTCTTCTTTTAAGAAATTACCATTGCCACTCTAACCTTCAGCAACCACCACCCTGATCAGTCAGCCTCAGGGCAAGACACTCCACCAGCAAAAAGATTAGGACTTGCTGAAGTCTCAGATGTGCATTAGCATATCTTCAGCAATAAAATATTTTAAAATTATGGTATGTACATTGTGTTTTTAGAGGTAATGCTGTTGCACACTTAATAGACTATAGTATATTGTAAACATAGCTTTTATATGTACTGGAAAACCAAAAAATTTGTGTGATTTGCTTTATTGCAATTTGCTTTATTGTAGTGGTCTGGAACCAAATCTACAATATTTCCAAGGTATGCCTGTACATGAAACTTAGTAAAAAGGTGTACTTGGGAGTCCCAGATAGAGAGAAAAGAAAGAGAAAGTGGAAAGGTGGGGAAGGAGGTAAAGGAGGAAGGGAGGGGGAAAAAGAGAAAAAAGGGAGGATAAAAAGAGAAAAGAGGAGAAATATTTAATGAAATAATAGCTGAGAATTTTTTCTAAATAATGAAAGCATCATATCAAGAAGTTCTACAAACTGGATAAGTACAATGAAAATTACATTTAGGCACATCATAGAAAAGCCTTTAAAGAAACAACACTAACTAAAGGTGAGAGAAAAAAACAGCCAGAGAAAAAAAGATGCAATATCTTCAAAGAGCAACAATAAGACCAACAGCTAAATCCTTAATAAAATGGTAGAAGCCAGAAAACAGCAGAACGACATCTTCAAAGTGCTAAAACAAAGTAATTGCCAACCTTAGGAACACAGAAAATACCACTCAAAATGTAGGTAATGGGCCAGGCACAGTGGCTCACACCTGTAATCTCAGCACTTTGGGAGGCTGAGGCAGGTGGATCACTTGAGGTCAGGAGTTTGAGATCAGCCTGAGCAACATGGTGAAGCCCCATGTCTATTAAAAATATGAAAATTAGCTGGGTGTGGTGGCATATGCCTGTAGTCCCAGCTACTCAGGAGGCTGAGGCACGAGAATCACTTGAACCTGGGAAGTGGAGGTTGCAGTGAGCTGAGACCATGCCACTGCATTCCAGCCTGAGTGACAAAAAAAAAAAAGGCCAGGCGCAGTGGCTCATGCCTGTAATCATAGCACTTTGGGAGGCCAAGGCAAGTGGATCACTTGAGGTCAGGAGTTCAAGACCAGCCTGGCCAATATGGTGAAATCTCATCTCTACTAAAAATACAAAAATTAGCCAGGTATGGTGGCACACGCTTGTAATCCCAGCTACCCAGAAGGCTGAAGCAGGATAATCGCTTGAACCCAGGAAGCAGAGGTTGCAGTGAGCCGAGATTGTGCCACTGCACTCTAGCCTGGGCAACAGAGCAAGACTCTGTCTCAAAAAAAAAAAAGTGAAATAAAAACATATTCAGGCAAAACCCAAAAAATTCCAGCATACTTTAAGGAGAATTTGAAGATAGCTATTCAGACAGAAGGAAAATGATCCCAAATGGAAGCATGAAGCAAAAAGAAAAGAAGGCACAAATGTCTAATACTAGTTAATGTGAAAAGGAGTATCATCACAGATCTTACAGTCATTTAAAATATCACAAGAGAATATTTTGAAAAACTTTATTTCAACATATTTAAACATTTGGATGAAAGGGATAAATTCCTAGAAAAAGCCAACTTACCAAAATAGACACAAAAAGAAATTAAAAATCTGAATAGTCTTATGTGTAAAATAAAGAACAATGAAAAAAGTAAATATGTGGGCAAATCTAAATATAAACTGTATAATTATGTTCACAATAGGCCAGGTGCAGTGGCTCACGTCTGTAATCCCAGCACTTTGGGAGGCTGAGGCAGGTGGATCACTTGAGGTCAGGAGTTCAAGACCAGCCTGGCCAACATGGTGAAATCCCATCTCTACTAAAAATACAAAAAATTAGCCAGGCGTGGTGGTGGGCACCTGTAATCCCAGCTACTTGGGAGGCTGAAGCAGGAGAATCATTTGAACCCAGGAGGTGGAGGTTGCAGTGAGCTGTGATGGCACCACCGCACTCCAGCCTGGGTGACAGAGAGAGACTTCGCCTCAAAAAAAAAAAAAATTCATAATAGTGTCTCATGGGATAGTTTATAACATATATATAGAATTAAAACACATGACAACAATAGTGCAAAACAAGCGGTAAATGGACAAAGTATTCTAAGATCATTGCATTGTCTGCAAAGTGGTAAAAATGCTAGAGTATATTATACTTTAGTAATTAATCATGGATTTGTGTTATAGTCTCTGGAGTAACCACTAAAGAAATACTAAAATAATGTTTAAATATTTAAATAATATATGGAGAAACTTAGAATAAAAAAAAACTTTCATTAATACACAATCAGGCAAAAAAGGAAAGAATAAAGAATACAGTGCAAGTGAGTCAAACAGCAAACAAACAGTAAGGTGGTACAAATATTTAAGTAATTATATTAATGTAAAAATATTAGCCCAAATATTTAAGTAACTATATTAATGTAAAAAGATTAAATACTCTAATTAAAAGACAAAGATTGAAAGACTGAATTTAATTAAAAAACAAAAAATATATAATTCTTTCAAGAGACAGACCTTAAAATAAAGGAGCAGAAAGGGTGAAAGTAAAAAATTAAAAAACAAAAAAAGATATATTATGAAAAATAACCAGAAAACTGATGCAATTAAACTAATACTAGAGAATACAGGCTGTAATACATAAAACATCTCTAGAGATAAAGAGAGTTCTTAATAAAATGGAAAATTCACAATGTTTACAATTTTAAGTTTGCATTTGTCTAATAACATAGTTTCAAAATACATACAGCAAAAATTTACAGAAATAAAAGGAGAAATAGAGAGCTCCAAAATTATCGTGGGAGATATTAACACACTTCTATCAGTAAATGATACAAATAAGAAAGTATTTATAAGTATATATAAGATTTAAGCAATATGATTAATAAATTAAATTAATAAATTTGACCTGACATTTATAAAACGCTGTATCAAAAAACTGCAGAATATGCATCATTTTAGCTCCACATGAAACATTTACCAAAATTGACTATGTGCTGGGCCATAAAACAAGTCTAAGCAAATTACAGAGGGTTGAAATTATGCAGTTTTTTCTCTGACCACAACACAATTTAATGTTAAAAAGAAAAAATGATAACTAGACAATCCCGAAATGGTATAATTACGTTACACACTCTAAATATCCAACGGGACAAGAAAGAACAAGAAAGAAAAATATAAAATATTTTGAGCTTAATAATTACCATATGGCATATCAAAGCTTGCGGGATGCAGCTAAAACTGGACTTTGAGGGAAATTTGTAATATTATATGTATATATTCAAAAAAGAAAAAGAAAAAGCCCAATTATCTAAGCATCCACCTCAGGAAGTCAGAAAAAGAATATAAAATTAAACCCAAAGAAAGTAGACAGAAGGAAACAATAAAGATAAGAGTAAAAGTTAATAAAGTAATAAGACAAACGTATAAGAAGATCAACACAATTAAAATTTGGTTCTTTGGAAACACTAATAAATCAATAAATCCTGGGACTAATCAAGGAGAAAAGAAAAATTGCAAAAATAATTAACACTAGTATTGTAAAAGAGGGTATCACTAGAGATCAACACAGTCATTTAAAATATTGCAAAAGGATCTTTTTAAAAACTTCAACATAGGCTGGGTGCAGTGGCTCACGCCTATAATCCCAGCACTTTGGGAGGCCGAGGTGGGCGGATCATGAGGTCAGGAGATCGAGACCATCCTGGCCAACATGGTGAAACCCCGTCCCTACTAAAAATACAAAAATTAGCTGGGTGTGGTGGTGCATGCCTGTAATTGCAGCTACTCGGGAGACTGAGGCAGGAGAATCGCTTGAACCCAGGAGGCAGAGGTTGCCCTGAGCCAAGATGGCTCCATTGCACTCCAGCCTGGCAACAGAGTGAGACTCCGTTTCAAAAAAAAAAAAACCAACTTCAACATATTTAAACATTTAGATAAAATGGTAAATTCCTAGAAAAATCCAACTTATCAAAATAAACACAAAAAGAAATCTGAATAGTCCTATATCTACTAAAAATAAAAATTTTAATTAAAAACTTCCACTGAAAGAAAATCCCAGGAAGAGGTGACTTCACTGGCAAATTCTATCAAATATTTAGGGAAGAAATAATCCATATGTACACAAAGTCCACCATATAATAGATAAAGAAGAAATACTTCTGACCATAACATGGCAAGAAAGGAAAAATTATTGACCAGTCTACCTTATAAGCACAGATACAAAAACTCCTAAAGTCTAGAAATACATAAAAAGGAAATATATCATAACCAAGTTGAGTTTATGTCAGGAATACAAGATTGGTTGAACATCTGAAATATATCCATATTAATATCTATATAATTCACCACAATAATAGAATAAAGGAGGAAAATTGTATGCTTGTCTCAATAGATAAAAACATTACAAGAAAGGAAAACTACAGACCAATAACCCTTATGAGTATAGATGAAAAACTCTTCAACAAAATACTAGCAAATTGAATCCAGCAATACAGAAAAAGAATAATACATTATGATCAAATGGAGTTTATCCCAGGAATGCAAGACTGGTTCAACATTTGAAATCAAAGTAATTCACCATATTAACAAAACAGAGTCTAGAAAGAGACCCAAAGGTGCAAAGATAATTTAATGGAGAAATTTATCTTTTTAAAAAAAAGTACTGTTGGAACAATTGGCTATCCATATGTAAAACAAACAAACTTCAATTCATACACTATACCTTATATAAAAATTAACTCAAAATGGATCATAGACCTAAATATAAAACATAAACTATAATAAGCTTTTAGAAGAAAACATAGCAGAAATTTTTGTGACATTGGGTTAGGCCAGGAATTCTCAATCTTGGCACTATTGACATTTTGGACTTCATAATTCTTTGTAATGTGGAGCTGTTTTGTGCATTGCTGGATGTTTAGCAGCATCTCTGTCCTCAACTCACGAGATGGCAGTAGCACCCCCTCCCTAGTCGTGATAATAAAAAATATCTCCAAATATTGTCAAATATCCCTTGGGGGGCAAACTCATCTCTGGTTGAGAAACACTGGGTTAAACAAAGGGTTTTTAGACATGACAACAAATCACAATCCAGAAAAGAAAAAACCTATTTCAATTAGACTTCATCCAAATACATTTTACTCTGCAAATACACTGTCAAGAGAATAAAAAATTAAGCCAAAGGCTGAAGAAAATATTTCAAGTCACATATCTGATAAAAGACTTATACCCAGAATAAAGAACTTTCAAAACTCACAATAAGAAAACAATCCAATTTTGAAATGTGCAAAAGACTTGGATACTTCACCAAAGAAAATATATGAATGGTAAATAAGCCATGAAAAGATGCTCAACAACTTTAGTTATTAGGGAAATGCAAATTAAAACGATAATGGGATATTACCACATGTCTATCAGATGGCAAAAAACCAAACCCCAACAATATCAAGTGCTAACAAAGATTTGGAGCAATTGGAACTCTCATACATTGTTGGTGGACATGGATAATGGTACAGCTACTTGGGAAGACAGTTGGCAGTTTCTTACAAAGTCAAACATGCATTTACTATAAACCAGGCAATCTAGCTCTTAAGTATTTACCCAAGTGAAATGAAAACTTAGGCTCACATAAAAGCCTGCTCACAGTATTTATAGCAGTTTTATCATAATCAGAAAAAGCTGAAAACAATCCAAATGTCTTTCAGTGGTTGAATGGATAAACAAATTTTGCCCATCCATGCCATGTATTATATACACAAAAAAATTAACATTAGAAGGCTTGAGGCTGTTATCTTTAGAAGAACTTATTTACAACATTAGCCCTTGGCTGGTGTCTGGGAACTTGGCACCCTGCTCTATGCCTAGACTGCAAACTATGTGATTTATGCTGAATACCTGTTTTCCTTCTGGCAGCCTGGAATTTTGCTAGTTGCTAGGCTTAGGGTGCCTATGTGACCAGTACCCACTAAAAAGCTTGGGTTTGGGTCCCTAGTGGGCTTCCTTAGCAGAAACATTGCACACGTTACTGCATTTTTTTCTGCTAGAGAAAGGAGCATGCTAGGTGTGTCCTCTCACTGTGCACCAGAAGACACACCTGTGTCCTTCAGATTCTACCTGTGTCTTTTTCCTTTGCTGATCATATCATGTGTCCTTCCATTATAATAAACCTTATCCGTGAATACAACTATATAATGAGTCTCATGGGTCCTAGTTAATCTCTGAATGTGGGGGTGATGTGGGGGCCCCCTGAGACAGAACACTACTCAGTAATAAAAAGAAATGAACTGCTGATCCATGTAACAATATGGATGAATCCTGTATGTATTATACTAAGTTAAAGAAGATAGATTCGAAAGGCTGTATACAGTAGAATTCCATTTACATGATGTTCTGGAAAATGCAAAACTATATCTACAAAGAACAGATCAGTGGTTGTCAGGGATTAAGGGTGAGGGAAGGGTTTGGCTACAAAGGAATAGCATAAGGGAATTTCTTTCTCTTGGTTGGGGGGTGATGGAATCGTCCTGCATCTTGGCTGTGGTGTGTGTATGTATAGGGAAAAACAGAGTATATATAGGGCTTGGTACTGTTCACAGTTTCAGACATCCACTGTGGGTCTTGGAAAGTATCCCCTGAGGAAAAGAAGGACTGCTGAACTTAAAATGGTCAACAAACAATGGAGGGTGCTCAGCCTCTATAGTCATCAGGGAAATGCAAATAAAAAACCACTTTGTCACTAAGACAACACATTTCATCATTACAGAATGGCTGTATTAAAATGATTGACCATACCAAGCATTGGTGAAGATGTGGAGCAACTGAACTCTCAGACACACTGCTGGTGGGAGCAGAACGTAAAACGACCATGGCGGAAAACGGACAGTCTGTACTAGAAGCTGAACATACACATACTCAATGACAGCAATTTCACATCCTGGCATATGCCAATCAATAGTAGCACAGTTTGCTACTACCTAAACAACCAAATATTCATCAACATAGAATGCATACTTTCTGGTGTATTTACAATCGATTATTATTATTATTATTATTTTTGAGACACAGTCTCGCTCTGTCACCCAGGCTGGAGTGCAGTGGCAGGATCTCGGCTCACTGCAAGCTCCGCCTCCTGGGTTCACGCCATTCTCCTGCCTCAGCCTCCCGAGTAGCTGGGACCACAGGCGCCCACCACCACACCCGGCTAATTTTTTCTATTTTTAGTAGAGAGGGGGTTTCACCATGTTAGCCAGGATGGTCTCTATCTCCCAACCTCGTGATCTGCCCGCCTCGGCCTCCCAAAGTGCTGGGATTACAGGCGTGGGCCACCGCACCCGGCCTAAAATCGATTATTATAAAATAATGAAAAAGAAGAAACTATTGCTATACATAACAACATGCACAAATCTCACAATCATAATGTTGGGACAAAGATGCCAGACACCAAAGAAGACACACCAAAGAGATCTATTTTAATCAGGTTTTAGAAAACAATAAAAACTAATCTCTGGTGTTAGCAATCTTCCACCTGGGAAGGAGGGTGAGATTGGTCATTTGGATGGGACTAAAGGGGGCTTCTAAGGAGCTGGTAATGCTCTATTTCTTGACTTGGTAGTTATAGGATATGTTTACTTTGTAATATTAATTGAGCTACACACTTAGGATTTGCTCATTTTTCTGTATGCATTTTATATTTTTTGAAAAGTTAAAGCATGAAAAATATTTTAATACTTATTTAAAGTTAAAAAGAGATAAATCCCAGGCCAGGTGCAGTGGCTCACGCCTGTAATCCCAGCACTTTGGGAGCCCAGGCGGGTGGATCACATGAGGTCAGGAGTTCGAGACCAGCCTGGCCAACATGGCAAAACCCTGTCTCTACTAAAAATACAAAACTTAGGCAGGCGTGGTGGTGCATGCCTGTTGTCCCAGCACTAGGGAAGCTGAGGCAGGAGAATCGCTTGAACCTGGGAGGCAGAGGTTGCGGTGAGCTGAGATCGTGCCACTGCACTCCAGCCTGGGTGACAGAGAGAGACCCTGTCTGAAAAAAAAACAAAGATAAATCAGATGATGTCACTTCCTTATGGAATGGCCTTCCATAACACTATCAAGGCTACATGACCAAACTCCTGCCTACGTCTCAGTCGTCAATTCGTGTCGTTGTCCCCTTTTCCACCACACTCCAGCCTCACTAGCCTTCTTACTCTCTCACACATACCAACCTCACTCCTGCCTCAGTGCCTTTGGACTTGCTGTGCCCGCTGCCTGGTGTTCCTTCCCCACATCTGTTCCTGGCCGCCTGTTTATCATCCTTTGCATCTGGGTTTCAGTATAATCTCCTGAGAACTGCCTTCCCTCATCCTCTACCACAGCCCATCCCACACCACTTTCCAGCCACTCTCTATCACAGATGCCAGGCAACATTTTCTGTAGAGAGCCAGGTAGTGAATACCTGAGACTTTGCAGGCCTGACCCTCAATGTCCACTGTCACAAGGAAGTGGCTGTAGATGATATGTGAATGAGTGGGTGTAGCCGTGTTCCCAGAAAACCTTATTTAAGGATTCTGACATTTAAATTTTTATATCATTTCCCCTGTCATGAAATCTTCTCATTTTTTTCTCCCTTCAAGCACTTAAAAATATCAAAACCATTCTTAGCTCACCCACAAAAAATTGGCAGCTGGGCCAAATTTGGTCCATAGCCAACCCCTGCCCTAACCCATTACTCCAATTATTTTCTTCCTAGTCCTTATCGCTGCCTAAAATTATATCATTTATTCATGTGTTTATCTCCTCACTTTACTTGCCCTTGGAATTTAAGCTCCAAAAGAGAGGGGCCCCATCTGTTGGGTTCACTATCCTGTGCCCACTGCCCATCACAACACCCGATGCTGCGGAAGACGTGAAGGACCAAGCCAACCTGGATGTGACCTTGGCTTTGGTGTGGATTTTGGTGGTCTTCCGAACTGGGCTCACAGGAGCAGACTCAGGCTCATCCTTCAAAGTCTCTGCAATTGAGGATTCCAGGTGGCCTGACTGAGATCGTAAAAGACTTTCTCCTGAGTATAAACTTAGCTTGGGGAGCCGCTCGGGATGAGTTCTGGATCTCATCTTGAACCGAACAAATTCTTCCTCCTCCTTTTTGGTGGGATATTCAATGGTAAACAGACCTGTTAACAGAAGATGCTGCTGTCATTTTCCCTTCATGGCCAGGACTCCTCTGCCCCTGGTCCCAGACTGGAAACATCTAAGTGCACCTTGGCTCACCCCCATCTCCTCCCCTCCGCTCTCATTGATTCTCCGGCACCTCCCCTCTGCTGTCCAATACAGTACTCCTGTCCCAGTGCACTCATCAGTGACACTGCCAAATGTTGTGTTGTAAGAATGAATAGGTCTCCTTTCGTACTCATTCTTCAAGACACCTAGGGCCTGTTCCATTCAGCCTGTGTCCTCGCCAGCACCAAATGTAGAGGCTAGCTACACAATGCATTCCTGGCCCATGCTATTCCTTCCTTGAGAATGCTGTTCCCTGTGTCTCCAGCTTTAAGTCAATTCCAACTACTTTCTTTGTTGTATTGTATTTATTTATATTCTTGTCTTGCTTTCCCTACTAGACTGGAAGACTTCTAAGGCCAGGGACCTCTCATCTCTTCACTCACCAGCATTTCTCAAATGTGGGTGCTGAGCATGCAGAGGCACCCCAAGACAGAACTCCCAGACTCCAGAAATTCCCAGTGGGGGAGCAGGATGGGGGACATAGTCACAATGCTAAGTAGTAAGATGTATAATTAGAACATGTACAAAGTGCTGTGGGATCCTTTCTTTCACTTGTGTGGAAAAAAAAGAAAAAATAAATAATTAAGTGCTATGGGAGCCCAAAGGAGGTGTGACCGATTGGAAGTCAAGGAAGGCTTCCCAGAGAAAGGGGCAATCGACATCTCTGGGGACGAGAAGAAACTCCCCAGAGAGACAGTGGGGGAAGCACAGCCCCTCCATGCCCAGCCAGGGGGTGACACAGAATAGGATCAATGTATCCTTGTTCCCAGGCCCATCAGCAGTCAGGAGAGGGGCTCAGAGGTGGAAGGGTCCTGAGGCCACCCATGCTGGCCTTGGGGGATCTCTGTGGGCCTAACAGGGACAGCCTAGAGAGGTGATTGCATTTTTCTCTTCTGAGATCCACAAAAAGAAGGGAGGAGCAGGGGCTCCAGATGGATGATGGGTGATATGAGAAATGGAGCTAAAGGTGAATGTAGATGTGGGGTGGGGAACAAGAGGGACACAGCCAGCTACCGAGAAACCCAGGAAAATAAGACAATCTCATGGAGATGTGCAAGACACTCTGGGAGAGAGCTCAGAAATGCAAGTGGGCTCACGTCACTATTCTTAGCTGTGTGGCCTTAAGTGACCTGAGCCCAGTGGGACCTAAAATGGGGAAATATCTCTGCTATGCCTACTTCCCTGGACATTCAGACTGAAGATGGAATGGGCGGTAAAGTAAAGGTCTGTCCCTTGAGATGACCTGCCAGAATCTCAGGACTGGGGAAGCCAACAGATAGGCCTTCGCCCACCTTTCAGCCTCCTTACCTGCGGCCAGCAAGATAGAATTAATGAACTGAGTCACTGTCTTCTGAAACCGCTTCTTGATCTCAGCCAGGGCTCGGCTCATCTTATACACCTTGTCGTCCATGTTGCTGATTCTGCGGTTCAGCTGGAGAGGGGCAAAGGGGAGGGCGGGTGTCACCATCCCCTCAAAGAGCCAGCTGCCTAGTCCAGGATAACTAAGACTTGCTCCGGTTCAGAGGATGTGCTATTGCCTGCCCCCCTACCCCTACCTGGAACACACCTCTCTCCCTCTCAGCCCAGTGAGTTCCTGCACACAGACCCAGGCCTGACTCATGGCCTCTCCTCGGAGGGTTTTCCTTGATTCGACTGGGCAGAACTGCTTCTTGCTTTGAACTCTCATCATGCTCAATGCAGCTTGAAGATGGAAGTTAGCACTTTGCCAAGTGACAGCTGTGTTTGAGCCTATCTTTCCACTAGACTGCAAGCTTCTGGAGGGAAGGGACCGAGTCTTGGTCTCTTGTGTGTCTGAGTGCTTGTCATGCAGGTGCTCAGTAAATGCTATTGCATTCGTGAGTAAGTGGACGATAAAGCCTTCTGCAGAGCGTTCTCTGCCGGCCTCCCTCTGCAGTGGATGCTGCGGTGCATCCCCCAGGAGCCCCTTCATCCCTCCAGCTGTCAAAACAGTGGCTGCTGACATTGCCCAGCTGAGAACCTGCCTCTGGCCAAGGTTACAGAAGCTGACTGGTAATTGCAGGCCACAAAGGCCCAGGCCTCTTGTTTCCATTTGGGATTACGCTGAAGGATCATTCTGACTCCAGGGCTCCCCACGGGATCGCTGAGGCCTCTGCCATGGCTGCCCTCTCCCTCTGCCTTCCTTCAGACCGTCAAAGGGGCTGTTCCCAAGAGCAGTCTCCAGTAAACTCCTACATACTTGGTTCCATTCCACAGTCTGTTTCCCAGGAGACCCAATCTAAGACCTGCTCTGAACAGCTGGGGCATGTCAGTGGCACTGCAAAATCAGGCCCAGTTTCCAGAGGTATTTATATTCGGTCTTTCTCTCTAGGAAGCCTTCCCTGATTTCCTCAGCCAACAGCAACTGCTCCCTCTGCTGAACTTTCACACATGTCCCTTCCTGTCCTTTCTGCCCTGGGTCCTGGTCATTTTTTTTTTTTTTTTCACTGCCTTTGTCCCTAAACTCATTCAGCAACTTGAGAGGAAGATCTATCATTTCTACATCTCCCACGTAACATAGAGAAGGTAGGAAAAAAACTCTCTTCTGTGGAATTTAATCCTCAAGTGGCAAGAGTGGGGTGGGCAGTATCAGATTTCCTGATGAACAACAAAGTCAGCCCACGAGTCCTTCTTTATGCTGAAGGCAGGAAATCTATAAAGGATGTCCCCAACAAATGGCAAAGTCTCAACCATCCTTCTGATTCTTGGCCCCAGTTGCTGCTTCTGCACTCATCTTATTTATTTATTTGAAATTTATACTCAGCCTGCTTCCAAAAAGGACCTGAGGTGGCACACTGGGCTAATAAAGCATTTAAACAGAGGCTGTTGTCTCGCTTCCCAAGAGCTGCCTTGATGGAAATATTTAGTGAGGAGCCAGGCCTCAGGGCTGTAAAAGCTGGGACCGCCATTCTGCCTGTCTCTCTGATGGGTGGCTCTTTCCAGGGCAATGGGTGTCTGGGGAAGCCATTTAACAAGCTTCTCAGTGACAGGGACTTGGAGGGAGGAGCCCCAACACTCGGCACATTTTCTTGGAAGCTCCTTGCAGCTCTCACGGTCCAAGAATGCAAGATGAGCTAATTTTCTAAGCCTCAGGATTTCATGTAAAATATCCTGAGATGCTTAACCACATGGTTAAGGTCAACATTTGGAAATCCTATTACCCACAAGAAAGCATATTTACTCATTGTTTCTGTTTATCTTGTTAGAATGTTGTCATACATAGTACACATGCTTGCACTCTCGAAAGAGGTTATGATCGGAACACTTTTTTGGCAAGTCAATCTTGGTCAACATCAGCTTCTGCTTTCTATAATGCAGCACTGTTTTCAGAATCTGTCTCAATGTATTGGTCTGTTTGTCCCTATGTTACATTTCCTTAAGACAGTTATGCTCTTTGATTTACTGTGTCATTTTAAATAACCTCTCAGTCTTCTACTGCACTGCCAAACCATGCCTTGATAAGCTTCCCTTAATAGAGACTCTACCTTCTAGCCCAGCATGATCCACTAGAAATATAATGTGAGCTACATGTGTAGTTGAAAATGTCCTAGTTAGCACATTAAAAAATTTTTAAAAGGGAAAATTAATTCTAATTATCTATTTATTTAAACCAGTATATCAAAAATAGGGTATGTCAACATATCACCAAAATAGTCAATTATTAATGAGAAATTTTACATTCTCAATTCACACTAAGTCTTTGAAATGCAGTGTGTGTTTCCATGCAGAGCCCATCTCCATTTGGACTTGTCACACGTCAAGGGCTCAATTGCCATGTGTGACTCATGGCTACAATATTGGACAGCACAGCTCTAGACTTCTAATTCCAGCTTGAGGAGGTTGCTTTAAGGTAAGAAAATAAGACTTGAATTCCTAGGGGCTTTTCTAGGCCTAAGGGGCTTGTTGGGTACACAGACTGAGAGTAATTTTTCTCAGCTGCTCATGGGGGTCTTGAATTGCTTGTATCTTGGTTCTCAGCTGCATTCCAAACTTCAGAGATAATCAGACAAGAGGTTGCCAGAAAAATGAAGCATTGCCACAATTTTATGAGAATAAATAATTTTCTAATATCCGTTGCCTTTGATAAGAAAAGTAGACTCACATTTTAAAAACGCAACCTAAAAAGGTTTCCAAGAAACATAGATAGGTGACTTCATAGCCAGTGCATACTTAATCACTTAACAATAGCTTTTTCTGGCCAGGCACGGTGGCTCACGCCTGTAATCCCAGCACTTTGGGAGGCTGAGGCGCGTGGGTCATCTAAGGTCAGGAGTTTGAGACCAGCCTGGCCAACATGGTGAAACCCTGTCTCTACTAAAAATACAAAAATGAGCTGGTGTGGTGGTAGGCACCTGTAATCCTCGAGAGTCTGAAGGCATGAGAATCACTTGAACCTAGGAGGCGGAGGCTGCAGTGAGCCAAGATTGCACCACTGCACTCCAGTCTGGGCGACAGACAAGGCTTGGTCTCAATAAAATAAAATAAAATAAAATAAAATAAAATAAAATAAAATAAAATAAAATAAAATAAAATAAAACCAATGGCCTTTTAGAGTGAGAGTGTGGAACCAGATTGACAGGGTAGATGGATCAATAAGCAAGATCATTTATCTCAGCCCAGGTGGACTCAAACTCTTGCGGGTAGTTTGCTCTTTGAAGTAACCAATGCATGCCGGATTCACAGGCACCTGTGTTTCTCCGGTACTTCCTCTCTTCCTCTCCTAGCAGATTCCACATGACCCTCTGGCACACCACAAGGGTGAAGCTAGATGATCATTGGTGCCCATGCTTTTGCCTCTTCCATTAGATTGAGAGAATTTCAGAGTTTAGAGGGAATGAGACTTCTTTATTTCTACATCTCCAGCAGCCAACTTGGCCTGCTGCAGGTGCTAATAAATGTTTATTGAATTTGTTAATGAATTAATGAAGGTGAAATGCTGCTGGAATGAAAATGTAGTGGGAAAAAGAAAACAGATGCAATGCTTTCCTCCAGGAGTAACAAAGGAGACCCCTAACAAATGCCCACACCCTATGTCCTTATTGGACGTTGGGTTGGTTGCCCTTGCTGGGCTCTGCCAGCTTTGGGCGTCTGTAAGCTTGTGGCATACAGTGGCAAATGCCCACACAGCTTAAGAGCTTCTTGCTCAGGATGATCATATAATCTATCATCCAAACCAGGACACTTTTGAGGGGGACACATAGTGCCATTTACAATTTCTCCAGGTATATAATTGCTCTGGTATAAACTGGGACTGGCTCTGGGCAAACTGGGAAGTGTGGTCACCCTGCTTTTGCTTCTAGGAGCCTTCCCTTAGTGGGCAGAGTGCCCTGTGGGGAGCTCAAATAGTCTGCTCTACCCACCTGAGCTTTGGTTACCCCATCTTGTGTTGAGGTCAAGTGTTCTCTTTTGGGATATACACTCAGGGTGTAGGGACTGTGTCCTCTTAATCCTCTCCACCTGTCTCCCTGATGTTGACTTGACATCACCAGATACACAGTAGGATCCATGATGACCCACTGAATGAAAGAATGAGACTCCCAGTCTCCACTGTATTCTCATCCACCCAAAAAATATTTGGTAAAGATTTAATTTGAAGTAGTCCTCATGCTGGGCCCTGGGACAACAGACATTAGAGGGAATCACAGGGAATTTTCAATTTGTGGAGACGATAGACTTGAAACGAAAGCAGTCTAGAATGGACGTTGTCACGGCCAGGGGGGCTGAGCAGAGGGAGAGACTGACTCTACCTGGGATGAGAAGAGGGTGGTAGAGAGAGGGTCATCAACATGCACTGGTAGTTTTCTACTCAGCATCATTTCTTCTCCTGGTAACAGCACCTTGATTTTCCTTTAGGGAAACTCTTCTGCCTTATCCTTTGCCCAGGTGGTTCATTTGAGAGTAATCTGACACATTGGCCCCCAGGATGGACATGAGCCTCAAGCCTAGTCAATGGGAGCAATACATACTCCTGGCCACAGGGAATGTTTCACGCATGGGCAGTTAATAGAGCCAATGAGTGTTGATGTTGGCATTTCTACTGGAGTGTTTAGGAAACAGAAGCCCTCCTTCTTCCAGGGGCACTAAAGCTGGTATAATAATAGCCCAGAGATGTTCATGGTCATCTTGTCATCAACAGGAGAGAAACTCCTTGAGAATGAAGCCAACAAAGAGGAAAGCAGAGCCAAGAGATGCGAAGATCTGGTGGAATCATTTCAGGGCCTGGATCCAGCCATGCCTGAAACTGCATATTGACAGACTTCTCAGTTTATTGAGCCACTATATTCTTTTTTCATGCTTAAGCTAGTCCACACTGGATTCTGTCACTTACAACTGGAAGACCCTTAATTGATATAAGAAGTTTCACAGGAAGGTGGTACTAAGAGTAGGTGGTGAATAATGGCAGAGGAAAAGGCAGGGCCTTGCATGGAAGGGTGGTGGGGAGTAAGAGCAAAGGCCCTGAGATATGAAACAGCAACCCACGTTGAGATGCCCAGGGGTCAGGGCTGGGTGCATAGTCTGCCTTGCCTTACCCGTTTGTCATATGCCATTCCATGGGGACAATTGTTGGCCGACACAGTGAGTGTTACTGTCTCATTCAGGGAGGTGAAGGTGACTGTGATGGAGTCCTGTCCCAGTACCTTTAGTTTCATTTCCTCATTCACCTGTAGATGAAGAAACAGTACTCAGAGAATCCCTGCTTCAACGGCCCCAGCCACCCCTTCCTGACCCACCACGAAGCACAAAGCCCCTGTTGGCTTGGGGCAGAAGATTTGTAAGAGCTTTCCAGTTCTTATGTTAGAATTCCGCTTCATGGAGAAGACAGAAAAATTCCAGGTTTCCCTGGGGGCCCACTGAAAAAGTAAATGATGCTTCCTTATTCCTACTCCTTCCCTTTCCAACTCAAGCATGAAACCCACTGTGAAAGAGTCACAGGTGTCTGGCAGATGAATCAGCTTCAGTTCTGGTAAAGATGAATTGGGAATGCAGCTTGGATCAGAGGGTAACCCTTTATCCCTGAATCAGACAGATGTGTCCACTCAGGCACAAGGTCTGACTATGACTCTTGTCCTACAGTGGTAGGAAGGTGACCACTTGGCAGGAAGCGCCGGAAAGCCCTCTGCAGATGGGTGGGAAGAGGTCAAAGAGGACCCAGAAGGGCCTGGGCCACACATACTCAGCCCCTTCCACAAATATGTCATTATTCTTCCCCTGAGGAGGAGCCAAAGATGGGTGGAAAAGGGGCAGCTACTCTTTATCATCACTTCCAAAAGAGTGGGATTTCCTTTAAGCAGTACTAGATTGGAGCTTGGGGAGAGTGAGTTGCCCTTATAACAACTCACGCCTTACTGAGAGCTCTGTGGTCTACGGGTGAGTCCCAGTTCTGCCTCCTGATAACAAGCCAGTTAGCTTCGCTGAATCTCAACTTCTTCCACATGAAATCATTGAACGGCTATTATTAGGATCAAATGAGATAAAAATGTGGAAGTGGCTTTGTAAGCCATTAAGGCCTATGCCCAGCATGAGCAGATATTGTCAAGACAAGGTAGAGCAATTCACATTTAAGGCTGTTGAACAATTTGCATGTGCAGAGCACAATTTATACGCAGGGACCCTCCTGGAGAGCCTCAGAGTGTGCAGCCCTACACTGCTGTGCTTCTCTCAGTCTTCAATGTCCTTGACCTACAATATCCCCTTATCTACAAATACCCCCAGGATGCCTCTGAACCAAAAACAACAACAACAACAACAACAACAACAACAACAACAACAACAACAACAACCACTCTCTGCTTTGCTCCTTCCATTTCTTTCTACTATTCCAGTTGCTTGCCCAGGGGTCTACGCTTAACTTCCTTTTGAGTTTCTTCCTCACACCCTGCAGTCTGGAGACTAGTTCCCTCCAGCACCCTGAAAGCACTGAACTATGACTTGCCAAGTCTTTTGACATCTTTGAACTTGATCACTCTCACTTAAAAGAAACCCTCTGCCGGGCACGGTGGCTCACACCTGTAATCCCAGCATTTTGGGAGGCCAAGGTGGGCGGATCACGAGGTCAGGAGATCGAGACCATCCTGGCTAATACGGTGAAACCCCGTCTCTACTAAATATACAAAAAAATTAGCCAGGCATGGTGGCAGACACCTGTAGTCCCAGCTACTCGGGAGGCTGAGGCAGGAGAATGGCATGAACCCGGGAGGCAGAGCTTGCAGTGAGCTGAGATCACGCCACTACACTCCAGCCTAGGCGACAGAGTGAGACTCTATCTCAAAAAAACAAAAAACAAAAAACAAAACAAAACAAAACAAAAAAACAAAAAAAACCCTCCTCTCTCTTGTCCTCCTTCTAGAGAGATGTAGTATAGAGCCACGGTTGGGAGCTCAAGCTCTGCAGTTGAGCAAGGGTCAAATCCCAGCATTGCCATTTACCAGTTGGGCAATTTTAGACAAATTGGTTAGCCTCTCTGAGCCTGGGGACAATAATAGTAAAAAGTAAGGTAAAAGTAAAAAGTTTTATCCCATGAAATTTTCTCATAGGATGGTTAGTCAATTTCAGCAGATTTCATAGCTTAGCATAGTACAGCTTTCATTTATTATCCTTGCTCCCTGGATGGTTTTTCTTTCTCTCCCCCAAACTCCCAAGTATGGCAGCTCTATAAACCACAGACTTGTCTTCTTGAGAGTTCATTAGCCAGCCCATTATATCCATTATCCCCAGTCTCTCACCCTAGGTCAGGGTCCATGTCACAGTAGCCCAGAGAGATATGGCCACTGAACCAAATAAACATGTCTAAAATCATTTTGGTCACTGATCCTCTCAGAAACTTCTCTGTTTCCTCCCAGACACATAATCCGTCATGGAGTCATCTACAATTCCCTCTTCCTTTCATCTATCCCTTACAGGCCATGCCTGTGCACCATTGAGTTCTTTTATTGAAATGACCCCTTTAAAAAATATTGCCGCTATTTTTAATGCTTTTGGGTCTGGCTAGTAACTCCCCAACTAGTCTCTCCACTAGCCCACCCACTGGTCTCTCTCCAGTCAACCAAAAATGCTAGACTGAGCATTTCAGCCCTCAGCTTAAAAATCAACCAGCTGGTTCTACTTCCAGTATAGCTGAGTCAGTGCCTGACAGGCTGCCTTCCTCATAGATAACTATAAGCTTGAAAAAATTAAAAAAAAAAAAAAAAACAATGACCCAAAGGCTATGAAGAGTGAACAAATGCAGGCAGACTTTGAAGAGGAGTCAAAATTCAAAAGAAAGGAGCAGCATGGGATAAGGTTTACGGCTTTAGCCTGAAGGCAGGCCACAGTCATGGCCAAACTCCACCATCTTTCTGGCCTGCAGAACCCAGAGGATGGAACCTGGAGCAACCATAGTCACAGGAAAGTGTAGAAAGAATTCCAGAAAGGATAGCACCAGAGAAGGAGAGGCCAGAATTCTGTATATAAACTGTCCCTGTCTCTGGCTGATCCTTGAACCATCCTTGAGCAGGGAAGACTCAAGACATCTTACGGTTGAAGAAACAAACAAACATAAAAACTGAACTGAGACGTGAGCTTCTGCAGGTGAAACAAAGTTTGTGGTTTCAGTCTAACCAAGTTCATTGCCTGTTAAAACAAGAATATCAACACTCTTCAGAGAAATACACCAGAATTCAGACACTCCACCAAATAACATTCACAATGTCCACCTACAGTCCAAAATTATTCAATATGTGAAGAACCAGTGAAGTGTGAGCTGTTTTCAAAGCAACAGATAATCAACAGAGGCCAACTCAGTCTGATAAGACCCAGACATTGAAATTTTCAGACAAGGACATTAAAACACTAATTTAACTACACTAGATGAGGTAAGGGAAAATGTACTTGTAAGAAATTATAAAATATGGAATCTCAGCAGAGAAATAAAAAATATAAAAGTAACTAAGTGGAAATTCTAGAGCTGAAAATATGTAAATCTGAAATTTTAAATTATTATATTATTATCATAATAGTAGAATGGAGATGACAGAATAAAGTCACTGAACTTGAAGACAGATCAAGAGAAATCATCCAATCTCAAAAGTAAAGAGAAAAATAATGTGAATAACAACAACATAAGAGAGCTTTAGGAACCCTTGGGACAATATCAAAAGGTCTAAAATAGACATAATTGGAGTCTCAGAAGAAAAGGGGAAAGATTGGAGCAGGTTTTTATTTTCCAAAGAAGATTTAGAAGATTCCCCAAATTTGGTGAAACAAATTTAAATGAATTTACAGACTCAAGAAACTCAGTAAATGGAATAAATATGAAGACAACCACACCTAGATGTATCAGTTAAACTTAGAAAACCAAAGAAAAGAGAAAATCTTGCAAGCAGGTAAAGAAAATAAACAGTGACTTGAATAACTACAGACTTCTTATAAACTATAGAAGACAGACACAGAACAACATCTTTAAAATGCTGAAAGAAAATAAAAATCATCCCAGAATCATATCCAGCAAAAATATCCTTTAATAAAGAGATTTTTTTTTAATCATGGAAAAAAAACATTGCCAGAAGAATACATTGCCAGAAGATATGCACTTCAAGAAAGCCAAAAGAAGTTCTTCAGGCTGAAGAGAAATGGTACCAGAGGGAAACTTGGATCTTCAGAGAGTAATGAAGAACACTGGAAATAGTAAACATCTGGGCAAAAACAAATTGGCCCCTGCAGCCTCCAAGACAGCATGCAAACTCCCCAGCCTGACATCCAGTGCCTCCCACCTCCACCTGACACCATACATACCTCTTGCTCCACCTGTCTTTTACAAGAAGCACTTGTGACCTCTTAAAAATGCCACATTTAGTCCCAGCTTCAACCTTTGCAGACTCGGCTCCCACTACCCAGAAGATTTTTGCCTCCTCCTCCTCTCTATGTGAATCACACACACTCACCCCCATGCTACAACCCCAGGGCCACCTTGTTTTCCAGGCCACTCCTGACTTCACATGCCTCTGTTGTGCTCTTCTGCATGCAGCTCCAGGAAATATATAACAGTCAACTAAAATACATTGCTAAAACACTTTACTGATGTCAAAGCACTTTTCCCTCCGCTATGTCATTTCTTCTCATGAAAGTACCATGAGGCCGGAGGGCAGTTCTGGTGACCCACTTTGTATAGATGAGACAGCTGAGACTCAGAGAAGCTGAAAGGTTTTCGCAAAGTTGCACAGCCAAAGTCTGGCAAAGTTGGCACTAGTACTTAGCTCCTCAGGTTCTTATCCCAGTTCTCCGCTTGGACACACTAACACACAACTTATGATGCCTGCCTTCAACTGATTTCTAATCTTGGATTATACACTTTTCATACAACTATGAAAAGGTAAACATTAAGAAAACAACACAACACACCCCTAGACTGGGGCTCTCAGACCTGGCCAAGCCTCAGAAATGTTTGTGAAAACCACAGAAATCCAAAACTCCTAACATACCAACTGAGTCAGGGTTGCTCTGGGGCTGTGCCTGGGATCTTTATTTTATAAAAAGTCCCAGAGGTGACTCTGATACGCAGCCAGAGATGAGAACCTCTTCCTGACATTAATTACCAAATGACTAATCCAAACTGTGTGCACTGTGGGAAGATAGAAATGGGTGTGGGATGGGATGCCACAAAGGAGGGGAGTCTGGGCAGGGCTTTGAAGGAATTTGGGAGGACATTTGCACTGGCAAAGAGAGGAGGGGGTGCATTTCAGGCCAAGGGAGTAGGAAAGGTGAGACATGTTCAAGGGAGTGAATATTCCTAAGCAGAGGTGTGGTCTGAGGAATCAGAGCATAAGGAGGAGAGTCAGTGGCCAGTGTAGAGGATGAACCAAGAGGACAAGAAACAGGAGACTAAGGGTAGGGTGCTGGAGCCCTCCCATGCATTCCAAGTGCTTGTGTCCACAACCCTCACTGTGGGGCTCTTCATCTCAGGCCAGCTTGAGTGGATGCTATGTTCTGTGATCTTTCTCTGAATCCCAACACTTGCCCCTCTCTCACAGTTCTTGAATCTGTGTCTACCCTGTGTTCTTATTAGTCCCTTAGACTTTTGAGTTCCTTGATGGGCTTTGTTTCTCCTTCCAATCTCTGATTGGTGATTCTCAACTGGGGGCAATTTTGCCCCCCAGAGGCTACATTTGGTGATACCTGAAGATATTTTTGGTTGTCACAACTGGAGTAGGGGATACTACTGGAATCTAGTGGGATGCTAAACATCTTACAATGCACAGTTATACCAAAGAAGTATCCATCCCAAAATGTCAGTAGTGTCAATGATGAGGAACTCTGCCACAGATAAGTGACAAGCACAGTTAGTTGCTTTATTAATAAGTTTATTAATTTATTATTAATAATTCAGCCCTCTTTATTATTTGTTATTTAATAAATCTTTGGTAAATAATTATCTGAACAGCCAAATGAATGAAAAAAGAGTTTCTATCTATCAGTCACTTTTGACTTCTAGATTGTTTTATTTTATAGATAATAAAGTTATAAAAACAAAAACGGAGGAGACCAATATAGAATTGCTAATTTTTATTATTGCCACACATAGGCATTAAAAATAAAGCTATCAACTACTATAACTGTGACTTCATAAAACACATTTTAACAGTAAAAACAGAATAATATTAATAATAAAAATTACACAGGAAGGATATTACCAAGAAATGTCTGTAAAGCAGCCAATAGTTTAGGCTGGTGAAAAGTTCCCTTCAGCCAACCTGGACCACCATCCACCAACTTGGGAACCTCTGAATGAGATTATGAGCTCCTTCAGGGCAGGCTTCCTGTCTTACGGGTAGCCCTGGGCTTTTAATGCTAGGCAGTGCATGGCAGGATGCCCAGACCCTCCCTGTGACAGTGGTGCTCACTGCCACCCAACCTGTGCTGCCCATCCCTACCTTGTATTCCAGGGAAAGCAGGGTCTCTGTCCTGGAAGTCCAGCTCCACTTGTGGACTACATAGCCCTGCTGGTCATTGGTGGTCCCACCTTCCTCATCCAAGATTAAGACATATGGGCAACTAGGAGAGATACAGAAGTGAGTAGCTGCCACCGGGCCCCTGAAGGAAGCTCTCATCACCGCAGGTTATGGGCAGACAGGTCTGTAAGACTCAGTCCCAGGCTGGAGGAGTGGTGGAGTCCTGCAGTCAACCTTACTTTCCCCACTTGCTATGGTCTGAGGCCCCTTAACACCTGCTGATGCTACCGGAGGAGCCTATTCTGAGAGAGATGATGAAGTCTCAGGCCAAACCCAGAAGGGGAAGAAATGGGATTTGTGCTCTGTTGCCTAGTAGCCTGAGTGTATAATAGGCACCAAGATGGGAACTGGAATACCTATAACATAAGAGTAAGTCATTTCTTCCAAGAACAGTTCCTTATGAAAAGCCAGGCAAAGCCAGGCAAATCCAGACATGGTGGCTTATGCCTGTAATCCCAGCACTTTGAGGGGCTGAGGCAGGAGGATTGTTTGAGGCCAGGAGTTTGAGATCATCCTGGTCAACACAGTGAGACCCTGTCTCTACAAAAAAATTTAAAAAATTATCTGGGCATTGTGGCACATGTCTGTAGTCCCAGCTAACCCAGGAGGCTGAGGTGAAAGGATCACTTGAGCCCAGGAGTTCGAGGCTGCAGTGAGCTATAATCATGCCACTGCACTTCAACCTGAGTGACAGAGTGAGAGCAAGACCCAGTCTCAAAACAAAAACAAAAACAAAACAAAAAAGAAAAGCCAGACAATATCAACCTTTGGATGGCAAGAATATGCACTTTTCTTAAAAGATGCCATAGAAGTAGTGTGTTCATGCCTCTCCTTCACCTACTCCTGGTATAAAACATATTTTTTCCACTAAATAATTCTTCCATTAATATAACTAACAATCAAGATCTTAGTGCTGTGGGGTACCAAGTGGAGTAGGACTTGGGAAGGTGTCCTTCTTATTGGCTGTGACATAGATACAGCAAGGAAGGGCTGAGCCTTAAAGTTCCTATGTCCCTGCAGAAACAGCCTCAGCCCTGCCTCACTGCCTTACTAGATCTCTGGACACCGCCTGGCTTCTTCTTTAACCAGGGACTCGTAGTCACCACCTCAGTCCTCCCTCCATCACCCTCAGAGGTACTTCCGTGTGACTAGTACTCTCCCAGTCCACTTACCTGGTTTTTAGGTTGTAGTGAACACAGCCCTGGCCTTCAGTATTGAATAGGGCCAGCAAGGAGAATCCAGGTATGTCATTAAAGAGGCAGGTGATGGTTCTCCCTCTGCAGCATGTGGGGATCTGACATACAGCGACGTTTCCAGAGGGATAGCTGGCAGAAATGTTCAGGTAGAACTAACAGAAAACTCCCCTGGTTCTGCTCTCAGTTGTCCCATTGAAGCAAGTCCACATGTCAAAGTGTTAGCTATTTGGTGCATCATTCTCCATCTTCAAACACCCTCCTTGCATTTTGCATAAGTAACAATTATATGATTATGGAACCCAACGATGACCTAGCTGCTTTTCTGTATCTTCTATTTTCTCACAACCACCTTGTGGTAGGTAGTATTATCTTCCTCTCACAGATGAGTAGGGTCCCCCTGGGTCTAATGGGTTTCCTGAGACGTGGAACTTTCAGTATAAAACCTAAAAAGTCCCAGGCAAACCAGGATGAGTTGGTCACCCTAGATGAGGAATCCAAAGTGCAGAAAATTATCTGCCCCATGTCACATCACAAGGAAGTGGCTAGAGCCAGGATTTGATCTCTGAGGCCAGCAATATTTCTAATGCTATCAGGCTGCTCCCACTTCTGACCAATCAAGGAGTACAGGTAATGTCGCCTTGTTCATTTTCTAGTAAAGAGGCCCCAAGAAGCCCTGGTCCTGACTAAGGAGGACATGGTGTGGGCAGCTACTGTCCTGTGTGCAGGAATTTCACAAGCAGTACTCCAGACACAGAAGCATTTCAGAATGAAAGCAGAAAGAAAAGGAAATGAAGAAAAATGAAGATTCTCAGGGACCTGTGGGAGGCCATCAAGCATACCAACATATGAATAATAGGAGTCCCAGAAGGAGAGACAAGAGAAATTAGGGTAGAAGGAATATCTAAAGAAATAATGGCTGAAAACTCCCCAAATTTGATGAAAGACAATAATATACATGTTCAAGAAGCTTAGCAAACTCCAAGTAGGATAAATTCAAAGATATTCTCATTGAGACACATTATAATTCAACTGTCAAAAGACAGATACAAAGAGGGAATCTTGAAAGCAGCAAGAAAAAAGAGATTAATCTTATATAAGAGAACTTCAATAAGATTAATGGCTGATTTCTCATCAGAAACCATGGGGTTAAGAAGGCAGCAATATGAAATATCTAAAGACCTCGAAGGAAAAAAATAAAACTTTGACCAACAATTCTATATCAAGCAAAATTATTCTTCAAAAATGAAGAAATTAAAATATTCCCAGATAAACAAATATTGAGGAAGTTAATCACTAGTAGACCTGCCCTGCAAAAAAATGCTGAAGGGAATCCTTCAGGCTGAAATGAAAGGACACTAGACAGTGACTCAAATTCATACAAAGAAAAAAGAACACTGGTAAAGTTAACTATATAAGTAAATATAAAATCCAGTATTGTATTTTCAGCATATAATTTTTCTTTTTTTCCTATATGATTTGAAAGATAAATGCATAAAACAGTAATTGTAAACCTATGTTAATGGGCACACAATGTATCTATAAAACATTATTCTCTGATAACAACATAAAGGGGGAGGGATACAGCTATATAGGAGCAGAGTTTTATATATTATTGTGACTAAGTTATTAATTCAAACTAGTGTGTTAACTGTAATACACAGGTAAATTAGTTTCCTAGGGCTATCATAACAAAGTACGATAAACTGGATGGCTAAAAGCAACATAAATTTATAATCTTACAGTTCCAGAGGCTGAACGTCCAAGATCAAGGTGTCAACAGGGTTATGCTTTGGAAGGCTCTGGGGAAGAATCCTTCCTTGCCCCTTGTAGTTTCTGGTGGTTGCCAGAAATCTTTGGTATTCTTTGGATTGTACATGCATCATTTCAATCTCTGCCTCAGTCACCACATAGCTTTCTTCTGTGTGTGTGTGTGTGTGTGTGTGTGTGTGTGTGCGCGCGCGCGTGTGTGTGCGTGTGTGTGTCTGTTTTCTCTTCTTATAAGGACACCAGTCATTGCAGTAGGGCCCACCCCAAGAATATGACTGCATCTTAAAAATTACATCTTCAGAGCCCCTATTTCCAAATGTGGTAATATTCTGAGGTTCCATGTGGTTACAAATTTTGAGAGACACCATTTAACCCATTATACCAAGACAACCCTAGGGAAATAACTTAAAAATATGGAGAAAAGGAAATGAGAAGTAAATCAAAATGGCATGCTACAAAAAGTCAGACACAAAAAGTGGAAGTAATGAAGGAACTGAGAAACAAAGATGGTATACGACATATAGAAAACAAATAGAAAAACTAAAGAATTAAGTCCTTCTGTATCAGCAATTTAAACAGAAATAGATTAAACTCTCTAATCAAAAAGGCCAGAGCTGAGGCATGAGAATTGCTTGAGCCCAGGAGGTGGAGGTTGCAACGAGCCAAGATTGCACCACTGCACTCCAGCCTGGGCAATAGAGCGAGACTCAGTCTCAAAAAAAAAAAAAAAAAAAAAAAAAAGCTGGCAGGATAAATTTTTAAAAACCAAAACAATTCAACCATATGCCGTGTCTAAGAGACTCACTTTAGATCCAAAGACACAACTTGGTTGAAAGTGAAATGATAGAAAAAGATATTCTATGCAAATTGTAACCAAAAGACAGTAGGGGTGAATATACTAAAACCATGCAAAATAGATGTTAAGTTAAACATTTTTACAAGTGACAAAGAAGGACATTACATATTGAGAAAAGGGTGAATGCCTTAAGAATATGTAACAATTATAGAGATATACACACCTAATAACAGAGCCTCAATATATATAAATTTAAAAACTGACAGAATTAAAGGAAGAAATAGTTCTACAAAAATAGTTGGAGACTTCACTACCTCATGTTCAATAATGGATAGAACAACTAGACAGAAGATCAATAAAGAAATAGAGGACTTAGGCCGCTTGCAGTAGCTCACGCCTGCAATCCCAGCACTTTGGGAGGCCAAGGCGGATGGATCACCTGAGTTCAGGAGTTTTGAGACCAGCCTGGCCAACATGGTGAAACCCCATCTCCACTAAAAATACAAAAAAGTTTAGCCAGGCATGGTGGTGCACACCTGTAATCCCAGCTACTCAGGAGGCTGAGGCAGGAGAATCACTTGAACTCGGGAGGCAGAGGTTGCAGCCAGCCAAGATTGCGCCACTGCACCCCAGTCTGGGTGACACAGTGAGATTCCACCTCAAAAAAAAAAAAAAGAAAAAGAAAGAAAGAAATAGAGGACTTGAACAACACTGCAAACCAACTAGAACTAACAGAAACATACAGAATCCCACCCAACAACAGCAGAACACACATTCTTCTCACATTCACATGGATCATTCTCCAGTACAGACAATATGTTAGGCCACAAAACAGGTCTTAATAAATTTTAAAAGATTAAACCATAGAAAGTATCTCCTTTGGTCACAATGGAATGAAACTAGAAATCACTAACAAAAGAAAATAGGGAAAATTCACAAATACATGAAAATTAACAACACACAAACAACAGGTGGATAAAGAAATCACAAGGGAAATTATAAAATACTTTGAAATGAATGAAAACAAAACACAACATGTCAAAACTTATGGAAGAAAGGCAAAGCAACACTCAGAAAGAAATTTATAGCTGTAAATACCAACATTAAATGAAAAGAAAGATCTCAAATCAATAACCCAATTTTCTACCTTAAGGAACTAGAAAAAGAAGGGCAAACTAAAGCAAAGCTAGCAGATGGAAGAAAGCAATAAAGAATCAGAGTGGAGAAAAACAGAATTGAGAATAGAAAAATAGAACCAACAAAACCAAAAGTTGCATCTTTGATAAATCAAGAAAGCACAAACTTCTAGTAGACTGATTAAAAAAAAGAAAGACTCAAATTCCTAAAATCAGAAATGAAAATGGGACCTTACAGAAATAAAAAAAAAAATCCTAAGACAATGATACAATAATATGAATAGCTGTACACCATAAAGTCAGATAACGTAGATGGACAAATTCCTAGAAACATATTAACTACCAGAAGTGACTCAAAAAGAAATAAAAAACCTAAATAGAAGTATATAGCAAGTAAGGAGATTAAATCATTAATGAAAAATCACCCAACAAAGAAAAGCCTAGGACCAGATGGCTTCACTGGTGAATTCTACCAGACATTTAAAGAATTAATACCAATCCTCCTCAAGCTCTTCCAAAAAAATAGAAGAGCAGACCTGAACACTTCCTAACTCATTCTATGAGGCCAGGGTTATCTTGATACCAAAGCCAGACAAATACATAAAAAGAAAACTTCCCATATCCCTTATGACTATAAACATAAAATACCTTAACAAAATGCCAGCAAACCAAATTCAGCAGCAGCCTATCAAAAGGATTAGACACCATGACCAGGTGTGGTTTATCCCAGGAATGCAAGTATGGTTCAACACACAAAAATCAATGTAATGTACCATAGTAATAGAATGGCGGGGGTTGGGGGGAATCATGATCACCTTAACTGATAAAGAAAAAGCATTTGACAAAATTCAATACCCTTTCATGATTAAAAAACACTCAACAAATTCGGAATAGAAGGGAACTCCCACAACATATTAAGAGCCATATATGAAAAAACTCACAACTAACATCATAATAAATGGTGAAAGAATGAAAACTTTTCCTCTAATATAAAGAACAAGACAAGGAGGCCTGCTTTCACCACTTCTATTCAAAATTGTATTGAAAGTTCTGGCCACAGCAAATAGCAACAACAACAAAATAATAAAAAGCCTCAAAATTGGAAAGGAAGAAGTAAAATTACCTCTGTTGGCAGATGACATGATTTTATATATAGAAAATTCTAAAGAGTCCACACAAAAAAATCTACAGCAAACAAATAAATTTAGAAAAGTTACAGATACAAGATCAACACACACAAAAGAGTTGTCCCCATGAACACAAGATGTCTTTCCATTTATTTAGGTCTTCTTTAATTTAATTTGGCAATGTTTTGTAGTTTTCAGTGTACAAGTTCTGTACCTCTTTGTTATTTATTCCTAAGTATTTTAATCTTTTTGATGCTGTTGCAAATGGCATAATTTCCTTTTGTTCATTGCTTTTTTGTTCTTGTTTATACACCATTTTGTATTGCTTGTTGCCAGTGCTCATGGGTTGGATGAATTAATATTGTTGGCCGGGTGTGGTGGCTCATGCCTGTAATCCCAGCACTTTGGGAGGCTGAAGTGGGCGGATCACTCAAGGTCGGGAGTTCAAGACCAGCCTGGCCAACATGGCCAAACCCTATCTCTACTAAAAACACAAAAATTAGCCAGGTATGGTGGCGCACACCTGTAGTCCCAGCTATCTGGGAGGCTGAGGCAGGAGAATTGCTTGAACCCAGGAGGCAGAGGTTGCAGTGAGCTGAGATGGCACCACTGCACTCTGGCCTGGGTGACAGAGTGAGACTCTGTCTCAAAAACAACAACAACAACAACAACAACAAACTGTTAATGGTATTACTCCCCAAAGTGATCTACAGAATCAATGCAATGCCTATCAAAATCTTATTGCCTTTTTTTTGTGGAAATGGAAAACCTGACTTGAAAATTTACACTAAATTGTAAGAGATTCCAAGCAACCAAAATAGTCTTGAAAAAAAAAAAAGTGGGAGGACTCACACTACCTTATTTCAAAACTTGCTACAAAACTACAATAACCAAAACAGTGTGGTACAGTCATAAAGACAGACATACGTGTTAATGGCTTAGAATTGACAGTCCAAAAATAAACCCATACATCTATAGTTCTACAGTCAATTGATTTTTGACAAGGGTGCCATGACCATTCAATGGGGAAAGAATGCCTCTTAAATAAATGGTACTGGGACAATTAGCTATCCACATGCAAAGGAAAGAAATTGGAACCTTATCTTATACCACATACAAAAATTAACTCAAAATGCTTCAAAGACCGCAAGACCTATAAGTATAAACCTCTTAGAAGAAAACACAGGGGGCCGGGCACGGTGGCTCATGCCTATAATCCCAGCACTTTGGGAGGCCAAGGTGGGCGGATCACCTAAGGTCAGGAGTGAGTTCAAGACCAGCCTGACCAACATGGAGAAACCCCATCTCTACTAAAAATACAAAATTAGTCAGCGTGGTGGTGCATACCTGTAATCCCAGCTACTCGGGAGGCTAAGGCAGAAGAATCGCTTGAACCCAGGAGGCAGAGGTTGTGGTGAGCTGAGATCACGTCATTGTACTCCAGCCTGGGCAACAAGAGCGAAACTCTGTCTCAAAAAAAAAAAAAAAAGAGGAAAACACAGGGGTAAATGTTATAACCTTGGATTTGGCGATGGTTTTTTAGACATAAAGCCAAATGCATAAGCAGCGAAAGAAAGGTGGAAAAAATTGGACTTCATCAAAATTTAAAAGTTTTTGTGCATTAAATGATGCTACTGAGAGAGTGAAAAGGCATATGACAGTATAGGAAAAAATACTTGCAAATCATATACTGATAAGCATCTACTATCTATGCACAATATGTAAAGAACCCTTACAACTTGTTTTAAAGAAAGACAACTCAATCTAAACATGAACAAGGACTTCAATACACATTTCTCCAAAGAAGATACACCAAAACACACACACACACACACACACACACACACACACACACACACACACAAGAAAAGATGCTCTACGCCATTCGTCATTAGGTAAACATAAGTTAAAACCACAGTGAGATACCACTCACACCCACTAGAATGAATGAATGAACATTGAGACAGGTCTGGGGTCTGAAGCTGCCAAGTGCTAATCAATTATAGCTTACAGCTTTATGATATTCCCAGTGCAGACGTATCTTTTTTTTTTTTTTTTTTTGAGACGGAGTCTTGCTCTGTTGCCCAAGATGGAGTGCAGTGGCTCGATCTCGGCTCACTGCAAGCTCCACCTCCTGGGTTCATGCCATTCTCCTGCCTCAGCCTCCTGAGTAGCTGGGACTACAGGCGCCCGCCACCACACCCGGCTAATTTTTTGTATTTTTAGTAGAGACGGGGTTTCACCATGTTAGCCAGGATGGACTCGATCTCCTGACCTCGTGATCTGCCTGCCTTGGACTCCCAAACTGCTGGGATTACAGGCACGAGCCACCACGCCCGGCCCAGACATATAATTTTTGCCTGAGAGCTTGACCAGCAATATCTATGAAAACAGAATCGACTGCTGAGCCCAGTGTTCTATGGAAGCCATTAGGTGAAAGAAGAGTTTTCCAAACATTTTCTGTACTTGAGAGGGATCAAATAGCTGCACATGTGTTCTGACCATTTGAACACAGTAACAGAATTTCTCCTTTAAGATTACTGAGTTCAACTTCCTCATCTTATAATCAAGGGAAGTGAGGCACAGAGATCAAGTGATTTGTGCAGGGTCACCAAAAAGAACTGAGCCTAGAGCCCTGGTCTTTTAGGACTCCCAAAGAGAAGAGCATTAATTGCGAGGATGTGATCATTGCTGGGGTGTGAGTCAAGAGTGCCAGTAGCAATGGATCAAAAGTTTGGGTGATCTCTCAGACCATTTGGGGGTGGGGGGTGGGAGGGTGCTCAGAATTCTGGGACAAGTGAGAGAACAGAGATTCCTGCAGGCTAGGGTGCTGTGCTCTAATCATACACAAGCCCACCCTCCTTTCTGATGCCCCTGATAGAAGACTAATTCATAGACACAGCTTCATGAGGAGCTCAGGGAGATCATCCTATTAAATGCAGCAAAGAGTCAGAAAGAAGCAGGGGTGGGGCACAACACAACCCATTGCAAGCAGCAGCGGCTCTCGAAGGAGTCAGCTGTGTTAAATACTGGAGGGATGCGCTGCAAGCAGGGCCGAGCAGAGTGTGATGAATGGATTCATATACGGTCTGAGAAACAATAACACTTCTTTGACAGAGTGCTTAAATCTGAATTCCCAGTTCAGTCAAGAGGAGGCCAAAGGAAGCAAGGGGGCTGCTGCCAGCAGAGCCTGGTTGGGGGGCTTAGCCTTTGTGAAAGTGGTTGAGACAGCCCAGAGACCCGTCCTCTCCTCCAAGAAAGGGGCAGGGGATCCTGAGTGCCCAGTGATTTTATTATTAAAATGAGATCCACTTCCATCTCCCTCTACCCTGCTCTGTACTGGAGGAAATAATCCTTAAAGGTATAAAAATGGTACCCAACAAAGGACCCTAAATTGAGGTAAGGAGGCCATGAACCAAGGCCTAGCTTGGCCACAGAATTCCTTTTGTGGCATACAGTCAGTCACACCATGCCTTTGGGTCTCAGTTTTCCGATTTCTACAGTGAAGGGGCAGAAACAAATGACTGTGTTTCACATCCATGACATTTTATGTAACTCTAGACTGTGTAACCTGGAATAAGTGCTTTGCCCTCTCTGGCCTCAGAGTCCTTGTGGTCAAATGAATGAGACATCTGTGATCTGGTCCAGCTCTAGAATATGTTGGGTTTGGGCAACCGGACCCCCACAAAGAACATAGGGTACAAGGTGACTTCCTACCCAGACATTCTGTAAAGGGAGCCCTCTTTTTTGCTTTTACCACCCAAATTCAAACTCCTCTTCACTTTAAAAGAAGCAATTACAGTTGCTCCCTCTGAAGTACAAATGGTCTATTAACTTCATTATCTGACTTCATTGCACGTGACAGATACTCGATACACATCTGTGAGTGAAGAAAATAATCAGACTCAAATCACTCTGAGGTATGCACAGCCCTCAGGGCTCACCCTCCAAGGAGATTTGTCTTTTCAAACTCAGATCCAAAGACAGGCTTTGGAGGTTGGTGAATGCCCTGCAATCACAGGTAACGCCTTACAGGCATGTATAGATAAGTGCTTATTTCTAGGGAGAAGGTCTATAGCTTTCATCAGATTCTCAAAGAGAAAATGTGTCTCCTTTTGTTGCTCCCACATCCAAGGTTGGGACACAACTAGCACTATGCTCATGAGCCCAGTCAGATCTCAGCTGCAGAGCAGTCAGGGCCCAGGAGATAGCGCATTTGGGGTGAGGTCTCAGGCTCCAAGGATGTTGATAGGTGAAGTATCCAAGGACCACAGAGCTTAACCACTGAGCCAGGGAGAGAAGGATGAAGGTTCCCAATTGTTTAAGGCCTCCTAATTCTCTCCTCTCCACTAGACATGATTTGTTTTGTGTCTTTAACCACGTCTCAACTGAGAGGTTCTCAAAGGCAGGGACTTTGTCTGCATTCCCAGCCTGCACTGACAAGCTTCTCACAGGTAGCTGGGGTGTGGTATGTTCCTGTTGATCTGAACTGAACGTGAGGCTTGAAACTTATTACCTCCTCCTCTGACCTCCTGAGTCTGATCTAGACAAGCTCTTAATACCCAGGAGACCCATCACCAGGCTTCTCTGATAACTAAAAGGCCCAAGGAAACATTTAGGCTGTATCAAGTCCTGGACTTCTCTGGGGTTGAGTAGCTGGGGAGATAGGGTGGTACCAAATAAAAGGATACTAAACGAAGGAGGAGCCATCATAGAAGGTGTAATGAAACTTGAAGGCCTTCTTGGGTGCCTTCCCCTCTTGACAATGCTGACTGAAATGATGGTTGGCAGAAGATGGGTGAGAGGTGGGGCTGAGAGTCTGAGCACCTGCAGTGGGAGGGTAATGTAAACCCGGGGTCTGAGAGTCTCCTTTGCGGGCCAACATTAGATGAGAGGGCATCTTTGCCTTGTAGTTTCGTAAGATCATGGGGTAGGAGATATTCCTCCCTTTCCATGTGGCCCTTTCAGCTTCTCTGCAGAGAAGGAGAGCAATATATTGTCTAGCCTTTTGGTTCTCAAGCACCAGGGATGCTCTCTACAGCCCCTCCTTAGTGCCCAAGACCCCTATCCCATTCCCCTGTCCCCAAAGTACACATCCCCAACCCATGCTCCCTCGTCCATAAAGGTAATTTTTGGGAAGAACTGGGAAGTTCCCAATGCCCGTCTAAGAATAGCCCTTGCCTGATTTCCACCTGAGCCTGAGGGTGAGGACCTATGGAGTAGGAGTGTGTGTGGAAGTTGGGGGGTGGGTCCTGGGGGTTTGAAGACCTTGCTCACCCCAGTCCTGAGGTTGTGGGGAAGAGAGCTTCCTTCCAGAGTGTCACAGTGAGGAGGCAAACAGTGGCTGCCCTCTCCCCATGTTCTGGCCCAGCAACCCCCGGAGACGTATATGACCAAGCTATTAGATGTGAACAGGTGCTTAAGTCCTTTACACCCAGTGGCCTGGGCCCTCAGAGAAATGTTGAGTAAATTGCTAGGGCTTGTGGGATGGCCCCACAGAATGATAAAAACCACTAATCACCCATGTCAAGGGTCTTTTTGGTTTGTTTTGAGAGGTTTTTGTCTGTCTGGTAGAACATCTAGCAAATTAAGTTAAGAAACAAACAGTGCACAAAAGCCCTAAATGTAAGGAGCCATGCAAAGGGGCATCCCTGGCAAGGTGCTGCAGAGGCAGAAAGCATTGCTGGGCAGGGGCAGGAGGCAAGCCACTGGAGCTGTGTGAGCTCAGGCAATTTCTTACTCACATACCTGCTTAGGCTGCCTCAGTTTCCCCATCCACAAAATGGGCATCAATCCTGTCTTCCTTGCATGGTTGCAGTGATATTGTAGGGAGGGTGGTGAGCAGGGAAGGACACGGGTGTGTGTGTGCCTGTGAGGGATGCTGCACCTGTGGCTGTCGTGGGGAGTACCACATAACCCACGCTCCCAGGTGGCATGTCTCACACACTTCTGTGACTGTCCACTCACATATACACAGGGACTCCCAGCTGGGGGCCAGGCTTTCTGAGAACCCTTGACTCCCCCGACCCAAGCACTGAGGTGCTCACATGTGGCGACACAACTCCTGCAGCTTCTCCCGGGCCTCAGGGCAGGGGTCGCTGAACTCCAGGCTGTTGGCAGGGGTTCCCACTCCTCGATGCAGGGGCGGCATGCTGACATCTTCTGTAGTTCTAGATTTGCCTGTAGTTGGAGGGCAAGAAGTTAGAGAGATGCCCAAGACCATGGGAACCCACCTTTTGCATCAGTGTCACCTGGATGTGAGACCTGGAGTCAAAGGAGATCATTTTGGAGCTTTAAAATTTGTCCCGCTGGATTTTAGACTTGCATGGGCCCTGTAACCCCTTTGTTTTGGCCATTTTTTCCCATTTGGAATGGCAGTATTTACTCAATACCTGTACCCCCACTGTATCTAGGAAGTAACTAGCTTGCTTTTGATTTTACAGGCTCACAGGTGGAAGGAACTTGCCTTGTCTCAGATGAGACTTTGGACTGTTGGGTTAATGGTGAAATGAGTTAAGACTTTGGGGGACTGTTGGGAACGCATGATTGCTTTTGAAATGTGAGGACATGGTCAGGCATGGTGGCTCGTGCCTGTAATCCTAGCACTTTGGGAGGCCAAGGCAAGCAGATCACCTGAGGTCAGGAGTTCGAGACAAGCCTGGCCAACATGGTGAAACCCCGTCTCTACAAAAAATACAAAAATTAACTGGGCGTGCTGGTGTGCACCTGTAGTTCCAGCTACTCAGGAGGCTGAGGCAGTAGAATCTCCTGAACCCGGGAGGTGGAGGTTGCAGTGAACTGAAATCACACCACTGCACTCCAGCCTGGGTGACAGAGTGAGACTCCAACTCAAAAAAAAAAAAAAAAAAGATATGTGAGGACATGAGATTTGGAGGAGCCAGGGGCAGAATGATATGGTTTGGCTGTGTCCCTACCCAAATCTTAACTTGAATTGCACCTCCCAGAATTCCCATTTGTTGTGGGAGGGACCCAGGGGGAGGTAATTGAATCATGGGGCCGGTCTTTCCCGTGCTATTCTCGTGATAGTGAATAAGTTTCATGAGATCTGATGGGTTCATCAGGCATTTCTGCTTTTGCTTCTTCCTCATTTTCTCTTGCTGCCATGAAAGGAGTGCCTTTCGCCTCCTGCCATGATTCTGGGGCCTCCTCAGCTATGTCGAACTGAAGTCCAGTTAAACCTCTTTTTCTTCCCAGTCTTGGATGTGTCTTTATCAGCAGTGTGAAAACTAATACAGGAGGGGTTTCAGAAAATGGTTTTTCAAGACATTGTGTTTACCAGGGGACACGGGGCCAAGAAGAGCAGGAGAGCAGCATCCTTTAAATGTCAGAATATTGGGGGTATCATTGATGCTCACCAGGAATTGTTGACTGGTCATTTATCAAACAGAGATGTTACTCATACTGCGAGTCATCTGTGATGGATGTGTCAGGGACTGACTTGTGCAAAGTGATGAGACTGGCCATGTCTCCCCGGGTTCCAGGAAAAGAGAGCATTTCCAGGGCTGGACGGCCCTCACTGAATTGGACCCTTTTGATTCACCTGATTAAAGACACAAAGTCTCTATTTCTTCTCAATCAGCTTGAAAACTTCTCTGATGATGGCTAATCTTGGGTCTTCTCGAGGGAGCCCAAGTGCCATAGGCACAGATCACTGTCATCTGAGTCTCTGCAGACCGGATGACAATGATCTGCATGACCTGGATGACAACGATCTGTGCCTGTGATACTAATTTTCACAGCTGTCCTCCATGATAGGTGTCAGGTGGTATGAGGATGTGGTCATGTGGAGTCGTGGCAGTGATATCCCACCCTAGGTTCCAGGGGCATCTATTTAGTCATTTGTGTCAGGTCCTACCTACAATGAACCTCTGACTCCCACCCAGCTGCAGCCTCGAAGTATGCAGGCTTAACTTCACCTTGGATTTGAGGATGAAACCTGGCTTTGGGTGGGGGCATTTCTCAGGCTCTAACTGAAACCCTGAGGGCCTCAGAATGGAGCCCTCCTTGCTGCTGGTGAAGCCTGGGGGTTTCTGGCCAGTGCTTGGGAACCATCTCTGGTATCTGCCACCCTGAGTGGTTCCTGGTCACTTCCCCCACTTCTCCTGCCAACAGGGACCAGAGACTGAACCCTGAACTCAAGCCTAGGGCCTGAGGTCCAGCGACCTGCTAGCAGGCCACCTGGAGCATCTGCTGGATTGAGCCTCCATGTCTGGCCTGCCCCAGGTGCCTTGGGCTCCCCAAAGGTGACGGTCTCTTGCTCTGACTAGGAACTGCTATTAACAGTTCTCTTCTTGTAACATTGGACACCTTCCAGAAATAGCTGCCGTCCCCTCAGGGAGTAAGCCCAACTCCTGGAACTGATGCTGAAAGTCAGCCTGGCCCCAGAACTGTCAGCAGGTGAGGTGGAATAGCATGTGGACATGGAATGGATGGTGGAGGCCCCGACACCCAAAGTGACTTCAAACCAGAATGGCTATAGCAAAACCAGGCATCATTCATACATATGTCATAGGACAACAGGCATAAACTGGGACATTGCTGGGCTAGAGTTACTTACGAGCTATGAGGCAAGGCTAATCACCCATGCTAGCATGCATGTGTCAGCCTAATTCCTAAACAAGATTAAGACCCTATAATGCAGCATCACTGAATATACTTCCCAGTGTCAATGGATGCAACAAGGCAGCTAAAAGTTGGGTGGCAAAGGAAAGCAGCCACATAGACAAGAGGCCAATAGACATGTAGCAATCCCCCGAGTCCTTGAGAAATACATTCCAGGACCCCTTGTAAATGCCTGAAAGCATGGATAGTACCAAACCTGTATATGCTAAGTTTTTTACATGCACACCTATGATAAAGTTTAATTGGTAAGTTAGACCCTAAGAGATTAACAATAACTCCTACTAAAATAGAACAATTAAAACAATATATTGTAATGAAAGTTAGGTGGAGGAGTGGGGAAAGATGGCCAAATAGAAGGCTCTACTGATTGTTCTCCCCATAGGAACACCAAATTTAACAACTACCTACACAAAAAAAGCGTCTTCAAAATAACCAAAAACCAGGTGAGCACTCATAGTACCTGATTTTAACTTCATATTGCTGAAAGGGGCACTGGAGAGGTAGGAAAGACAGTCTTGAATTGCTGACACAACCCTTCCCCATCCCCAGCAGCAGCTGCAAGGCACAGAGAGTCTATGCATTTGGGAGAGGGAGAGTACAGTGATTGTCAGACTTTACATTGAACTCAGTGCTTTCCTGTCACAGTGGAAAGCAAAATCAGGCTGAACTCAGCTGAAGCCCACTCATGGAGGGAGCATTTAGACCTGCCCTAGCCAAAGGGGAATTACCCATCCCAAGTGGCTGCATCCTGTGTTTTGGCAAGCCTGTCCACTGTGGGCTCTGGAGTTCTAAATAAACTTGAAAGGCAGCCTAGGCCGCAAGGACTGCAACTCCCAGGCAAGCCTTAGTGCTGAGCTGGGCTCAGAGCCAGTGGATTTAGAGGGCATGCAACCTACTGAGACACCAGCTGGGGCAGCTAAGGGAGTGCTTGTGACACCCCCCACCCCAATCTCAAGTGGCACAGCTCATGGCTCCAAAAAAGACCCCTTTCTTCCACTTGAGGAGAGAAGAGGGAAGAGTAAAAAGGACTTTGTTTTGCATCTTGGATACCAGTTTAGCCACAGTAGGATAGGGTACAAGTTAGCGTCATGAGGCCCCCATTCCAGGCCCTACTCCCAGATGACATTTCTAGATACATCCTGGGCCAGAAGGGAACCCACTGCCTTGAAGGGAAGGACCCAGTCCTGGCAGGACCCATCACCCGCTGACTGAAGAGTCCTTGGGCCCTGAATAACCAGCAGTGATACCCAGGTAGTAGGCTGTGGGCCTTGGGTGACACTCTGAGACATGCTGGCTTCAGGAGAGACTCAGCACATTCTCAGATGTGATGGTCACAGTGAGGGACTCCTTCTGCTTGAGAAAAGCAGAGGGAAAAGTAAAGAGGACTTCGTCTTGCACCTTATGTACTAGCTCAGCAATGAGGGGGCAGAGCACTAAGGGGCTCTTGGGGTCCCTGATTCCAGGCCTTGGCTCTCAGATGGCATTTCTATACCTGTCCTGGGGCACAGGGGAGCCCACTGCCCTGAAAAGTGAGTCCCAGGCCTAACTGAAGAGTCCTTGGACCTTAAGTGAACAGTGGCAGTAGGCTGGCAGTACTCCCCATGGACCTGGTGGTGGTGGCCAAAGGGTGAGACTCCTCTGCCTGTGGAAGAGGGAGGGAAGAGTGGGAAGGACTGTGTCTCACAGTTTGAGTGCCAGCTCAGCCACAGTACAATAGAACATCAGGTAGATTTTGAAGGTTTTTTACTCTAGTCCTGGCTCCCAGACAACATTTCCGGACCTGCCTGGGGCCTGAGGGAACTGTCTGCCCTAAAGGGAAGAACAGAAACCTGGCTGGCTTCACCACCTGCTGATTGTAGATCCCTAGGGCCTTGAGCAAATATAGGCAGTAGTCAGGTAGTGGTTACAGCAGGTCTTGGGCAAGACCCAGTGCTGTGCTGGCTTTAGGTTTCATCCAGTGCACTCCCAGTGGTGGTGGCCACAGGGGTACTTGTGTAACCCCATCCCCAGCTCCAGGTGGCTCAGCACAGAGAGAGACTCCATTTGTTTGGGAGAAACTAGGGAAGAGAACAAGAGTCTCTACCTGATAATCTAGAGAGTTCTCCTGGATCTTATCCAAGATCACCAAGGCAGTACCTCTCTGAGTCTGCAAGAACCGCAACATTCTGGGCTTGGGGTGCCCCCTAATGCAGACATGACTTAGGTCACAACACCCAAACCCTTTCAAATACCTGGAAAGCCTTCCCAAAAAGGAAAAGTACAAACAACCCCAGACTGTGAAGACTACAATAAATACCCAACTCTTCAATGCCCAGACACTGATGAACATCCACAGGCATTAAGACCATCCAGGAAGACATGATTTCACAAAATGAACTAAATAAGGCACCAGTGACCAATTCTGGAGAAACAGATATGTTACCTTTCAGACAGAGAATTTAAAATAGCTGTTTTGAGGAAACTCAAAGAAATTCAAGATAACACAGAGAAAGAATTCAGAATTCTATCATTTAACGAAGAGATTGAAGACAGTGTGGAGATTCCTCAAGGATCTACAACTAGAATTACCATTTGACCCAGCAATCCCATTACTGGGTATATACCTAAAGGATTATAAATCATGCTACTATAAAGACACATGCACACGTATGTTCATTGCAGCACTATTCACAATAACAAAGACTTGGAACCAATCCAAATGTCCATCAGTGATAGACTGGATTAAGAAAATGTGGCACATATACATCATGGAATACTATGCAGCCATAAAAAAGGATGAGTTCATGTCCTTTGCAGGGACATGGATGAAGCTGGAAACCATCATTCTCAGCAAACTATCACAAGGACAGAAAACCAAACACTGCATGTTCTCACTCATAGGTGGGAATTGAACAATGAGATCACTTGCACACAGAGGGGGGAACATCACACACTAGGGCCTGTTGGCAGCAGGGGGGTTGGGGGCTGGGGGAGGGATAGCATTAGGAGAAATACCTAATGTAAATGATGAGTTGGGGGGTGCAGCAAACCAACATGGCACATGTACACCTATGTATCAAACCTGCACATTGTGCACATGTACCCTAGAACTTAAAGTATAATAAAAAAATAATAAAAATTTAAAAAAGAGACTGAAATAATTTTAAAGAATCAAGCAGAAATTCTGGATTTAAAAATGCAATTGATATACTGAGGAATGAGTCAGAATCTTTTAACAGTAGAATTTATCAAGCAGAAGAAAGAATTAGTGAGCTTGAAGACGGCCTCTTTGGAAATGCAGAGGAGACAAAAGAAAAAAGAATAAAGAATGAAACATGGCTACAAGATCTAGAAAATAACCTCAAAAGGGCAAATTTAAGAGTTACTGGCCTTAAAGATGAGCTAGAGAAAGAGATAGGGGTAGAAAGTTTATTCAAAGAAATAATAACAGAGAACTTCCCAAACCTAGAGAAAGATATCAAAATTCAAGTACAAGAAGGTTACAGAACACTAAGCAGATTTAACCCAAAGAAGACTACTTTAAGGCATTTAATAACCAAACTCCCAAAGGTCAAGGATCCTAAAAAAGGATCCTAAAAGCAGCAAGAGAAAAGAAACAAATAACATACAATGGAGCTCCAATTGTCTGGCAGCAGACTTTTCAGTGGAAATGTTGCAGGCCAGGAGAGAGTGGCATGACATATTTAAAGGGCTGAAGGAAAAAACCTTTTACCCTAGAATAGTATATCTTGTGAAAATATCCTTAAAACATGAAGAAATAAAGACTTTCCTAGACAAACAAAAGCTGAGGAATTTCATCAACACCAGACCTCTCCTACATGAAATGCTAAAGGCAGTACTTCAATCAGAAAGAAAAGGTGTTAGTATAAAACTCACTGGTAATAGTACAGAGAAAACCAGAATATTACAACACTGTTACTGAGGTGTGTAAGCTACTATTATCTCAAGCAGAAAGACTAAAAGACGAACTCATAAAAAATAATAGCTACAGGTCAGCATGGTGGCTCACGCCTATAATTCCAGCACTCTGGGAGGCCGAGGCAGGCAGATCACTTGAGGTCAGGAGTTCGAGATCAGCCTAGCCAACATCTCTACTAAAAATACAAAAATTAGCTGGGTGTGGTGGCATGTGTCTGTAGTCCCAGCTACTTGGGAGGCTGAGGCAGGAGGCTTGCTTGAACTCAGTAGAAAGAGGTTGCAGTCAGCCGAGACGTGCCACCGCACTGCAGCCTGAGTGACAGAGCGTGACTCCGTCTCAAAATAATAATAATAATAATAATAATAATAATAATAATGATAGCACAACAACTTTTCAAGATATCGTACAATAAGATATAAATAGAAACAACAAAAAGTTAAAATGTGGGGGGATGAAGTTAAGGTGTAGAGTTTTATTAGTTTTCTCTTTGCTTGTTTCTTTGTTTATGCAAACAGTGTGAAGTTGTTATCAGCTTAAAATAATGAGTTATAGGATAGTATTTGCAAGCCTCATGGTAACCTCAAATCAAAAAACACACAATGGGTACACAAAAAATAAAAAAAAAAAACAAGAAATTTAATCATATCACCAGAGAAAATCACCTTCAGTAAAAGGAAGACAGGAGGGAAGGAAAGAAGAATGAGAAGACCACAAAACAACCAGAGAAACAACAAAATGGCAGGAGTAAGTCCTTACTTATTAATAATGACATTGAATATAAATGGACTAAACTCTCCAATCAAACGACATAGGGTTGTTGGATGGATAAAAAAACAAGACCCCATGATCAGAAGCACACTCTACTTATAAAGACGCACATAAACTGAAAATAAAGGAACGAAAAAAAGATGTTACATGCCAGTGGAAATCAAAAAAGAGCAGGAGTAGCTATACTTAGACAAAATAGATTTTGAAACAAAAACTATAGAAAGAGACAAGGAAGGTCACTATATAATAAAGAAGTCAATTCAGCAAGAAGATATAACATAAGTAAATATATATATACCCAACACTGGAGCAGCCAGACGTATAAAGCAAATATTATTAGAGCTAAAGAGAGAGAAAGACACCAATAAAATAATAGCTGGAGATAGCAACACCCCACTTTCGGCACTGGACAGATCTTCTAGACAGAAAATCAACAAAGAAACATCAGACTTAATCTATACTATAGACCAAATGGGCCTAATAGATATTTACAGAACATTTCATGCAATGGCTGCAAAATACACATTCTTTTCCTTAGCACGTGGGTCATTTTCAAAGCTAGATCATATGTTAGGTCACAAAACAAGTCTTAAAACATTTAAAAAAAAAAACCTGAAATAACAGCAACCATCTTCGCTGACCACAATGGAATAAAACTAGAGATCAACAAGAGGAATTTTGGAAACTATATAAATTCATGGAAATTAAACAATATGCTCCTGAATGACCAGTGGGTCAGTGAAGAAATTAAGAAGGAAATTTTAAAAATTCTTGAAGCAAAAGACAATGGAAACACAACATACCAAAACCTGTGGGATACAGTGAAAGCAGTACTAACAGGAAAATTTATAGCTGTTAAGTGCCTACATCAAAAAGAAGAAAAACTTCAGCCCAGGCATGGTGGCTTACTCCTGTAATCCCAGCAATTTGAGAGGCCAAGGAAGGTGGATCACTTGAGGTCAGAAGTTCAAGACCAGCCTGGTCAACATGGTGAAACCCTGTCTCTACTAAAAATACAAAAATTACCCAGGCATAGTGGTGCATGTCTGTAATCCCAGCTACTCGGGAGGCTGAGGCAGGAGAATTGCTTGAACTCGGGAGGTGGAGGTTGCAGTGAGCTGAGATCACACCACTGCACTCCAGCCTGGGGCAACAGAGTGAGACTTCATCTCAAAAAAAAAAGAAGAGAAACTTCAAATAAACAACCCAATGATGCAACTTAAAGAACTAGAAAAGCAAGAGCAAACCAAACACAAAATTAGTAGAAGAAATAATAAGGATAAGAGCAGAAATAAATAAACTGAAACAAGGAAAACAATACAAGAGATCAATAAAAACAAAAGCTGTTTTTTTAAAAAGTTAAAAACAAATTTGACCAACCTTTTGCCAGACTAAGATAAAAAGAGAGAAGACCCAATTAAATAAAATCAGAGATGAAACAGGAGACATTACAACTGATATTGCAAAAATTCAAAGGATCATTAGTCCCTATTATGAGCAACTATATGTCAATAAATTGGGAAATCTAGAAGAAATGGATAAATTCCTAGACACATACAACCTATCAAAACTGAGCCATGAAGAAATCCAAAACCTGAACAGACCAATAACAAGTAACGAGATTGAAACTATAATAAAAAGTCTCCCAGAAAAGAAAAGCCTGGGACCCAATAGCTTCACTGTCAAATTCCACCAAACATTTAAAGAACATAGCAATCCTACTCAAACTTTTCTGAAAAATAGAGGAGGAGGGAATACTTATAAACTCATTCTATGATGCCAATATTACTCTGATACCAAAACCAGACAAAGACACATCAAAAAAAGAAAACTACAGGCCAATACCACTGATGAATACTGGTGCAAAAATCCTCAATACTAGCAAATTGAATTCAACAACACATTAAAAAGATCAAGATCATTCATCATGACCAAGTGGGATTTATCTCTGGGATGCAAGGATGGTTCAACATATGCAAATCAATCAATGTGATACATCCTATCAACAGAATGAAGTACAAAAACCCTATGGCCATTTCAACTGATACTGGAAAAGCATTTGATAAAATTCAACATCCCTTCATGATAAAAACCCTCAAAAAACTGGGTATAGAAGGAATATGCTTTAACATAGTAAAAGCCATATATGACAGATTCATACCTAATATCATACTGAATGGGGAAAAACTGAAAGCCTTTCCTCTAAAATCAGGACCACGACAAGGATGCCCACTTTCACCACCATTATTCAATATAGTACTGGGAGTCCTGGCTAGAGCAATCAGAAAAGAGAAAGAAATAAAGGGCATCCAAATTGGAAAGGAAGAAGTCAAACTATCCTTGTTTGCAGATGATATGATCTTATATTTGGAAAAACCTAAAGACTCCACCAAAAAATTATTAGAACTGATAAACTCAGTAAGGTTGCAGGATACAAAAATCAACATATAAAAATCAGTAGCATTTCTATATGCCAACAGTGGACAGTCTGAACAAGAAACTAAGAAAGTAATTCCATTTAAAATAGTCAGGAATTAAAGAAATGAAAGATTTCTACAATGAAAACTATAAAACACTGATGCAAAAAACTGAAGATGACATCAGAAAATGGAAAGCTATTCCATGTTCATGGATTGGAAGAATAAATATTGTTAAAATGTCTGTACTACCCAAAGCAATCTACAGATTTAATGCAATCGCTATCAAAATACCAATGGCAATCTTCACAGAAATAGAAAAATCATTCCTAAAGTTTATATGGAACCACAAAAGACCTAGAATAGCCAAAGCTATCATAAATAAAAATAATAAAACTAGAGGAATCATCTTACCTGAGTTCAAATTATACAACAGAGCTATAGTAACCAAAACAGCATGGTACTGGCATAAAAACAGATATGTAGACCAGTGAAACACAATACAGAGCCCCAAAATAAATCTATACGTCTACAATGAACCCATTTATGACAAAGGTGCCAAGAACATACAATGGGGAAAGAACAATCTTTTCAATAAATGGTGCTGGGAAAACTGGATAACCATATGCAGAAGGACCCCTATCTCTCACCATACACAAAAATAAAATCAAAATGGATTGAAGACTTAAATCTCAGGCCACAAACTATTAACTACTAATAGAAAACATTAGGGGAAACTCTCCAGGACGTTGGAGTGGGCAAAGATTTCTTGAGTAATACCCCACAAGCACAGGCAACCAAAACAAAAATGGACAAATCAGATCACATCAAGTTAAAAAGCTTCTGCACAGCAAAGGAAACAATCAACAAAGTGAAGAGACAACCCACAGAATGGGAGAAAATATTTGCAAACTACCCATTTGACCAGACGAGAATATATAAGGAGTTCAAACAACTCTGCAGGAAAAAAAATCTAATAATCTGATTGAGTGATCTTTCAAGCTCATTCTTCTCAAAAAAAGACATACAAATGGCAAATAGGTATATGAAAAGGTGCCCAACATCACTGATAGTCAGAGAAATGCAAATTAAAACTACAAGGTGATATCATCTCACCCAGTTAAAATGGCTTTTGTCCAAAAGACAGGCAACAACAAATGCTGGTGAGGATGTGGAGAAAAGGAAACCCTCCTAACTGTTGGTGGGAATGTCAATTAGCACAACCACTATGGAGAACAGTTTGGGGGTTCCTCAAAAAAATAAAGATAGAGCTACTATGCGATCCAGCAATTCCACACGTAGGTATATACCTGAAAGAACAGAAATCAGTATAATGAAGAGATATCTGCACTCCCATGTTTAGGGCAGCACCACTCATAATGGCCAAGAGTTGGAAGCAATCTAAGTGTCAATCAACAACAGATAAATGGATGAAGAAAGTGTGGTACATACACGTAATGGAGTACTAGTCAGCCATAAAAAGAGAATGAGATCCTGTCATTTGCAACAACATGAATGAAACTGGAGATCATTATGTTAAGTGAAATAAGCCAGACACAGAAAGGCAAACTTCTTATGTTCTAATTTATCAGAGCTAAAAATTAAAACAATTAAACTCATGGAGATGGAGAGCAGATGGTTACCAGAGGCTGGGAAGGGTAGTGTGGAGTGGGGAGGGCTAATGGATACAAAAAAAACAGTAAGAATGAATAAGACCTAGTATTTGATAGCACACAGGGTGATTACAGTCAAATATAATTTAATTATATATTTTTAAATGACTAAAAGAGTACAATTGAATTGTTTGTAACACAAAGGATAAATGCATAAGGTGATGGACACCCCATTTAGCTTGATGTGATTATTGTGTGCCTGTATCAAAATATCTCACATAACCCATAAACATATATACCGACTATCCCCACAAAAATTTAAAATTAAAAAAAGTTATATGAATGTGGTCCCTCTCTCTCTCTGCCTCAAAATATCTTAATATTTTTGGACCGCAGTTGACCATGGGTAACTGAAACCACAGAAAGGGGAAACCCTGGATACGGAGGACTTCTGTATTTAACTCTTGCTTTGAAACAGCCTTGCTCAAGACATCACCCTCAAGTTCATTACGCAGAAAAAGTCATTAAATCACCAGGTGTCTTGAGAGTACTTTCTTTTCCCTCAAACTGACTGTGGGATCACAGGGCCAGATCTAGGGCCAGCTCAGGAGGGCACATGATAATGGAGTACTAAGCCAGGCGCACATGCAATGGGGTGCTGGCAATGGTGCTGTGGGTTATTGTACCACAATGAGATGAAGCACATCAACACAGGTAGAGCAGTCAGGAAGGTGTGGCGGCCGCTGAAGCTACTCCGTGCCCGGAAGGAGGAGGTCAGCTCCTTTAAGCAAGGCATTTTCTGTCTTACAAGTCCACATCTGTATCCCCAGCATTTGGTACAGAGACTGACAGTTAGCAAGTGTTCAATAACCATTTGTTCAATAACGGAAAGAGTATAGGATCAGCTCGATATGGTGAGTGATGAAATACAAGGCACGCCCATGATGACCATCCCCCTTTTACCAACATGGAGGTGAGGGCTGAGGAAGGCGGGTCAAACAGCCAGCCAGGGGCTGGGGCACGGAGGAAATCCAAGCTCCTTGGCTTCCAGCCTTACCTCCAGTGTCTGTGGGAGTCATCTGGACAGCCTGAGCATTCCTGCCTGCCATCCACCCTCCCACCACCTTCAGGAACGTGGTCCTCTCCTACCTACCCTGTCCCCACAACCCAGCTGTCATGGCTAGCAGGGTGGGCCTGGGAGTTCTGCCAGACCTTGTCCTGTTGTCTGCAGCCCCAGCCTGTCTCTCCTCTGAGCTTCTTCCTGAGCAGGTATTGTCACATTGGTTGTCTTTGTCTGCCACCTGTTCTCTTCCTGAAGCCTCTCCTGTGTGTGTCTTCCTCAGTAGAATAGGAGTATCTCCTATGTCTTTGTTTCCTGCCCATAAAAACTTGCCCAATTTGGGAAGTGCAACTGAGGTCTACCAGGTTTGGTATCCAAATACCTCTCTTCAGATACTAGTTCCCCCACTTGCTGTGTGACTGGACAGAGCTGTCTGAGCAGAGGCGTGAGTTTGGGATACTGTAGGGATAGAAGAGATGGGTTTGGTGGGATGTTGTCCCAGAGGAGGGACGCCACATCGCTGGGAATGTAGGGCATGAGCAAGCTGAAATGATGAGCCTGTGCTATGCAGTGATAGGGCTGGACTGTGACAACCTTTCCATGAGCAAATCTGTGTGGACAGCTGCTGGATCTCCAGGCAGAGCCGCTATGTATCCTTCTAATCAGAAGACCAAATCAAACCATCCCACCAACCTACACAGGGTAGACGGAAACCTATCCCCCACCCCACCGCCACCACCAATGAATGGTAGGCCACGAGGAACCATTTTTACCTATTTTCTTCTTGGCTTCTTTTCCAGCAGAGAGAGAAAAGCTCAGACAGGCTGTGGAAGAGTGGTAGATCAGCTGGTAAGGCGAGTTCACCCCAATGGCGGACATGTTTGCGAGGGACTCTGGAGTGGGAGAGAGAGAGATTCTTCTTTCAACTGTTTACTTTTAATTTTATTAGCCAAAAATGTAACATGGATTTCTTGTTCTAGTAGTACGGTGGGTCACATACTGTAAAGTGCCGCATTGTTACAAAACACCTAGATCTTGGAAGAAGATTTTGCAATGCACCGGCAGAGCAATTAGAGGAAATCTTTACAGTTCCCCTCTGCAGTGCCTCTCCTCCCCAACCCTCTCAAGAGGGGGACCGGAACAAGGAACAGCAAGCAAGCACGAAAAGTGATATTACTCCAAGGGCAAAGGCAGGTATCAGTGCTGCACCAGGTCAAGAGGATAAGCCTTGGGCCAGCAAGAAGGAAATTAAGAACCATCTATTCCCCCTTATCTAAGCCACAGACATCAGATGCTTCTTCAATAATATATCAGTCTCTTGCAGAATCACACCATCTTTTATAGAATCGTTTGATATCTGACCACTTAAGAATTAAAATGTAGCACCCTTATGGCTAGTGGAAAATCTTGTTCATTCTTATACAAACCTCACCAAATCATTTGTTTATTCTTCCCCCAAATATAGTCATTTCACTGGTTAGGCGTGAAACCACTGTTAGAAAATTTTAGGTGATTCACTCATCACAGCTCACTCAAATTCAAAAAGAAAATGGCAAATTTGACCTCCTAAGTGGACAAAGACTATAGAGATTCCACAATGGATGATAAAACACAAAAGTAATCACCTCTGCTAGTGATCCAGAAGTTGAAATTAAGACAACTTTCAGGACCTTCTAACTTGGTAGAAATGAAAAGAACTAACAATAGCCAGTAATGGTAAAGAAGGAATAAAACCCATCAACCCTGCTGGTGTAGAGAGAATCCAAATTAAGTGTGATTTCAGAAGAAGAGCTATATATATATACTGAGACCTCTGCTCCAATGATCCCTCCCCTGTGAAGTTAACTAAATACAACAGAAATAAGAAGCCAGGTGCATAAAGTTGCCTATTACAATGCACATTATACAAATAACAAAAAGCCTGGAAACCTAAGCATTTCGGTAAATGTGGAACATGAACATTACAAGGAGTCTATGCCCACTCAAAATGACAATTATTTAAAGTATATAGCCATGTTGGAAAACAGCTGTACTCTGTTAAGTAAAAGAAACTAAGAAACAGAAAAATTGCAATACTCTAAATATATATATATACATACACGAGCACAGGAACCACAAAGGAAACTGCAAAGGTGAAAAGTAGCTCTTATATGAAGATGGCAGGATTGCTTCCTCTTTTTTGCATTTTTATTAATGATATTGTCGTCAACTAAAAATAAAGGAGCAGTCTGGTTTTCTTCAGTGACAAGCCAGGGCTAGTAGGTATCAGGACAGGAGGGAAGACTACTTAGCACAGGGGATATTCTGGATACAGCTTTTTTTCTTTTTCTTTTCTTTTTTTTCTTTTTTTTTTTTTTTTTGAGACAGTCTCACTCTGTCATCCAGGCTGGAGTGCAGTGGCACAGTCTCGGCTCACTGCAACCTCTGCTTCCCAGGTTCAAGCGATTCTCCAGCCTCAGCCTCCCAAGTAGCTGGGACTACAGATGTGTGCCATCACGGCCGGCTAATTTTTTTGTATTTTTAGTAGAGACAGGGTTTCATCATGTTGGCCAGGCTGGTCTTGAACTCCTGGCCTCAAGCAATCCTCCTGCCTCAGCCTCCCAAAGTGCTGGGATTACAGTCATGAGCCGCCACACTCGGCCTGGTCCCAACTTTAAAAGAAGTTAACTCTAGACCTGTTACAGCTTTGGTCTACCTCACATAAGAGGACGGTCCCGAAAAACATAATTCATGCAAAACAAATCATCAGAGTTTGAATCTTCTTTTTTATGCCCCAGGAGTGCTATGTAAGTAAAGTCCTTTTAGGATGAATGAGTGTTTTTCCAAAATAAATGGATCACTCCTTCGTTTTTGTTTTGCTACTTAGATTTTTGTCTGGAAACTCTAGGCTTAATTAAAGAGAGGAGCGTCTGCACCAGCAAGTGCCAACAAGACAGGGATGCTTGCTAGGGAGTGTGATGGAGAGGGGCGCTCTCAGCAATCGGCTGGTGCAGCAGGACAGCAAGATGCAGAGATCACCCAAAAGGCCCCCTGCCCCCAGCTCAGCTTAACTCTCTTCCCATTCTCCTCCATTAGATGAATCGCAGCCCACAGAGGATGCCAGAAGCCACTGTGCCTCCCTCATCCTGAAAGAATGCTGAAACACTTTATCAGAAGGAGTGTTAGTGGTGAGGACCATTTTCCTTTTAAAAGTGAGGAGACATGGTATTCAGGTGGGAGTGGCTCAGGCAGGTGTCAGGCCCGAGGGTTGGGCTGGAGCTACCCTGACATCTGCCATGGGACTCTCATGCACGTGCAACAGACTACTTAGCAGCTGTGCCCCCAAATGAGGGAGATCTTTAAGCCCCAAAACAGAATGCAAGGTGCAGAGCTCTGTCTGGCGATCACCACCTGCACAAATAATTACAGCACAACTAGAGGACCTGTGGTCTCAGAGCCTAGCTGATCCTAAACAAAACAGGCACAGTGTAACTTCCCCTAAAACAGAGATCTTCATTTCATGGTAAACACTGTGGGTAAGAGTGTTTTATCACAACTTTGTCTTAGAAAAGGAAGCCAAAATTTATGAAAATAACATTTTATCTTGTATTTTAAAAAATTAGTTGGTACTCTAAGAACACATTAAGTCTTACAAAGAAAATAAAAATGACTGCTGGGTTTTTCAAGGCAGTATGGTTTCTTTCTTCCTGAATGATTGTATCATGGCAATAAAACATAAGGCCCTTCATGTTTTCCTTTTGCAAAATTATTGAAGAGCTTTACTGCTTTTTATTTTCTCTCCATGGAGTCATGATCCTGTATTCGGTTTTCCCTTCTGCGGCAGGCGGCTAGTGCTGCTCCCCCGCATCAGGCATCAGGGGCATTGGAGGGGCATTCTGCAGCTCTCCAGCATCACTTTCATTGACTTCATGAAATCTTACATTTTTTCCCCAAGATCTGCAATTTTTCTATGCAATTTATTTGCACTGTATGTGTGTATTAGCAGATGTTTAATCTCTGACCATCAGGGGAGCCTGACAAAGCTACTGACTCAGTGGACAGGGAGAGAGACTAAATGGGGACTGACTCTACAGGTGACAGCAAATAGTTAGGAGATAGAATTTTTTTACGCTTCCTATAAAACCTCTTGTCAGTGAGTACTTTCAGGCATTCAAAATGAACACCTGTGTATTTACCAAGCTTAAGACATAAAACACTGCAGAGCAAAAACCAAATAACTTGATTTAAAAATGGATTAAGGACCCATTTCTCAAAAGAAGAGACACAAATGGCCAATAGGTATATGACAAAAAAGCTCAATGTCAGTAATCATCAGAAAAATGCAAATCAAGACCACAATGAGATACCACGTTACACCTGTTAGAATGGCTATTACCAAAATGACAAAAGCTAACAAGTGCTGGCAACAGTGTGGAGAAAAGGAAACCCTTGTATGCAGCTGGTGGGAATGGAGATTGGTGCTGCCATTATGGAAAACAGTATGGAGTTCCTCTGAAATTTAAAAATGGAACTACCATATGATCCAGCAATTCCACTTCTGGGTATTTATCCAAAGAAAAGAAATCAGTATTTCAAAGAGATATCTACGCTCCTATGCTCATTGCAGTATTATTCACATAGCCAAGACATGGAAACAACCTAAATGTTCATCAAAGGATAAATGGATAAAGAAAATGTCACACACACACACACACACGAATATGATTCAGCTATTAAAAAAGGAAATCCTGGGCTGGGCGTGGTGGCTCACGCCTGCAATCCCAACACTTTGGGAGGCCAAGGCAGACGGATCACAAGGTCAAGAGATCGAGACCATCCTGGCCAACATGGTGAAACCCCGTCTCTACTAAAAATACAAAAATGAGCCGAGCATTGTGGCACACACCTGTTGTCCCAGCTACTCGGGAGGCTGAGGCAGGAGAATGGCGTGAACCTGTGAGGTGGAGCTTGCAGCGAGCCAAGATCGTGCCACTGCACTCCAGCGTGGCAACAGAGCGAGACTCCGTCTCAAAAAAAAAAAAAAAAAAAAAAAAGGAAATCCTGCCATTTGCTACAACATAAGTGAACCTAGAGTACATTATATGCTGAATGAAAAAAAAGCCAGAAAAAAAAGACAAATCCTGTATGATCTCACATACATGAGGAATCTAAAAAAGTCAAACTCAAACTCATAGAAGCAGAGAGTGAATGGTGGTTGACAGGGACTGGAGGGTGGCAGCGGGGGAGTGGGAAGATATTAGTCAAAGGGTACAAACTTTCACTTATAAGAGGAATGAATTGTGGAGAACTAATATATAGCATGGTTACTATAGTTAATATCACTGTATTGCACACTCAAAATTTGCTTGGGGAGTAGATTTTGTGTTCTTAACACACATACACACACACACACACACGCACGCACGCACAGAGAGAGAGAGAGAGAGAGAAACAGAGAGAGAGAGAGAGAGGTCACTGGGTGAGAAAAAAGCAACAAAAAGAACATTACAGACTCAACTGCTTGCTGTCTTCCAGATCCTGTTCCCCTTCTCTCTCCCCAGAGATCACTTCCTCGAATTTCCCCCTTCATGCTTTTATACTTGTACTTTGTGTAATGTACCTATAAATGATATATTACTACTTTCCATGCTTTTAAACTTTGAAAAGTAATATCCTCCCACAGCTTCCTCTTTTTTTTCCTTAATACTATCATTGGAGATTTCTCTCTGTAAATATCTATGCTTTAGTGCCTCACTCATTTTCGTGATTCATTATGTCCCACTGTCTAAATGGACCTTAATTTATATCTTTTTCTCTTGTTGATAAACATTCGGATTAATTTTTGCCAGTCCAAAGAATTCTGCAATAAACATTTCTTTTTTTATTTTTAATTTAAAGACAGTCTCACTATGTCACCCAAGCTGGTCTTGAACTCCTGGACTCAAGGGATCCTACTGCCTTGGCCTCCCAAAGTGCTGGGATTACAGGCATAAGCCACCATGCCTGCCTGCAATAAACATTCTTGTATGACTTCTGGAACATGTGTGAGCTTCCCTCGGGCTGTATGACTCGAGTGCAGCCTGTGGACTGCCACTGACCCACATAGGCCATGACCAGGTGAGCACAAAAACTGAAGGTGAGCACTGAGAGGCCTGTGCAGCAACTTGACACTGCTGTGACATTTATCATGTGTTTAAAAGGGTCAGTCCACAACAGACTGGAAATTTTAAACATGAGTCCTTCACTGCACGTAGCTTGAGAGCACGGCTCTAGGGAATGACCTCTAAGAGGAGCTGCTGGGTTGTGAGGTGTAGCTGTTGCCCACTCAGCAGATACCGCCAAACCACTCTCCACAGGAATTGCACCAATTCATCCACTCACCTGTAGCATTTGAAAATCCCTGTTGCTCCACATCCACCTCAATTCTTGGAAATGTCAAACCTTCAAACTGGGGGTTTTGCCTTTCCATTGCATTCCTGCTGATATTGTTTGCACTTCTTACCTAAGGGTTGAAGCTCAGGTACCCACCTTTCCACAACTGTCCGCTGCTGTAGCCACTTCTCCCGGCTGTGCTGATCAGGCAGTTGAAGGCCATCTCCTTGGCATTGAGGTGGAGGAGCTGGCTGGCCTCCACAAAGCGCCTGGTGATGTCCAAGGGGTTGGCACCCACTAAAGCAATGATAGAAAGCAACACGTGTCCCTCCTAGCATGGGGCTAATGCTTCCAGAAAAGGACCTCTGTAAATGGCCCAGGAAAGAAGGGTAGAGTAGAGCGCTATTCCTAGGGTATGCAGGGGTGAGGGGGCTACTGTGAAAGGCTCTCAAGCTCTGAGGACCCTTCAGATGTCGCTTTGCTCTCCTCCCTTTGCCTGTCTCTCTTCCTACCCATAGGCCTGGGTACCGATGCTATTGGTTTCTGAAATGATGCAGCATCCAGAAGGCTCCATCACTGGTGCTGCTGTAGGTCCTGGCCTTGATCCTGGGATGACACCTTCACTTTGGAAGGACCCCGGTTCTTTTTTTTTTTTTTTTTTTTGAGATGGAGTCTCGCTCTATCACCCAGGCTGGAGTGCAGTGGCATGATCTTGGCTCACTGCAACCTCCACCTCCTGGGTTCAAGCGATTCTCCTGCCTTGGCCTTCTGCGTAGCTGGGATTACAGGTGTGCACCACCATGCCCGGCTAATTTTTGTATTTTTAGTAGAGTCAGGGTTTCACCATATTGGCCGGGCTGGTCTCGAACTCCTGACCTTGTGATCATCCTGCCTCAGCCTCCCAAAGTGCTGGAATTACAGGGGTGAGCCACCGCGCCTGGCCTGGGACCCTGGTTCTTATGACTCCCCCTTGTTCTGGCTCTACTGGGCTCTGTCTGGCTACTTCCCAATCAGCCCTGCTGGTTTGAAAACTTCATATGCCACCCGGACATGGGTGCTGTCTCCGCACCTCAGCATCATTCTCACAAACACTGCCCCTTAGTGCCTCTGACCTCGCACATTCCTATTACTAACCTTCCAATCTGGACTCTGGAAAGCTGGGGCAATGGCAGGAAAAATGGGAGAACAGGGAGGAGTGAGAGGATGATTCCAGGAGCCGCAGAGGGAAGGCATCCAATTCCTACAGCAGACCCACAGTTGCCACCTGTTCCCAGCATGTGCCTCTGAGACGCCCGTCTGTAGTGGGTGTGGTGGGCACATACACAAACATCTGGGCCTTACCCGACATAGACTCCACCATGGCCTTCATCTTCAGTCTGAGGAGCTCCGTCAGCAGGTGGATGGACTGCTGCTGAAACCTGTTCAGGGTCTCCTGGTGGGTGCGCACCTGACGGGCCATGGTGGGAGAGAGGGTGGAGCGCTTGGCTGCCCCAGTGGTTGCCAGCAGCACTGGACGTGGTGGTGCTGGTGGTGGTGGAGGTAGTGGCTTCTTCAGTGTGGGGACCTGCACAAAGGTGGGTTCCATGAGCACCACCAGGGGGGCTCCAAAGCTGACCTCCAGGCCCAAGATGTCGGACGGGGTAGGCACTGAAGGGTCACTGATGAGCTCTTCCCAAGTGAACTCAAAGATGTTTCTGATGCCTTTTGGTACAGAAATGCCTGCATTCTGGCAGATCATGAGGAGTTTGGAGATGCGGGCCAGTAGCTTGGGGGCCATGGCTGTGTATTGCTGATATAATTCTAGGTTACTCTTGATGTAACTCATGAGAGGGACCTTCAGCTATAAAGAGAGCTCTCTGAGAGGTGACTGAGAGCAAAAGTTCTTCCCTACGGTGAAGGCTTGGAGATGGACAGAATGGATGTGCTGAAACGGCCCTTACAGGTCATTGAGCCAGTGGTTCCTATCCGGAAAGGACAAGAAAAGAGTTAGTCACTCTCCCCATAGTAGGGCAAGGGGAGGTCCCCCGTCCCTTACCTACCCAGAGACACCATCAGAGAGACCAATGTTAGTGAGTCACTTTGGGAAAGGTCTGATGATAAGTATGGTTCCAGGAAAGCTTCAAGGACAGTCACACAAACTGGGTATAGGACCCTGGGGGGGCTGGAGGAATGGAAGGGCTGGGGAAGAGAGAAAGGTCCCATTGCACCTTTTGTAGCTAGAGATCCGAGGGTGAAAGATCTGCTTGTGGTCAATCATTAAGAACCTGCAAGAATAAAAAGATGTTTCACTGGTTCGCTTTGGAAGCAAGGGATGCAGAAGCTCCTGGTCGCAATGCCAAGATGGGCATGGAATTATCCAACGTGTACATCTGAGGGCAGACAGGAAAGAATGAGGACAATGCATTTACTAAGCTCAATCACTAATATAATTTGCCAAATTTCATCAAATCCAAGACATTAGTGATCAAAAGATGCACCATCTTATAAGAAAAAAATGAATGTAAGCTGCCATTGACTGTAAGACATATTACAATTTCAGAGATGTTAAAGTTGGAAAATGTGCCTGAAAATCAATGGACTATAATAAATATTTTTCCACTTTAATACTACAGTAATGTTTACCCTGACATATTTCTACATTGTGTTTTATTCTTACCTTCTTAACTTATACCAAAAATAGACCACTGGTTGAAGAAAGGAAGCATAAAGAACAATTTAATAAGCAAAAAAATGGCTAGAAAAACCTGTAAATACACTGGCAGAGTTTTGTAACCAGATCCTGAAAGTTTCATTTTTCTGAACAAAATGAACCTGATAGCAGTCTTTAATAATATATCAAATTAAAACTAGTCACATCTTATGCTACACAAAAATGATTTGTTTCTTGTAATTCCCAAGGGACTTTATGAGAGTGTGAGCCTCCGTGAAAGACTCAAGAATCCACAGCACGTAGCAAAGGTCAACCCCAGGGAGACTTAGATGCTGATGGCCATCTCCAGCATCTTGATGCAGAGTCAGCGAGTTGTTCCTGTTGCCCAACTCCAACAACCCTAACCAGCCCACTTACCAGGAAGGGCTGCTGGCCCAAGGCTTCTGACCACACTTGTGAGTGAGTGCAGCTGTCCAACCATCTCTTCGACCACCTTTTATCCTGACAACCACTCCAGCCAACACACCTACGTCTTCTTTTCCACTAGACAATGCTCCCTTTCCCTTTTCAAACCCTCTGGAGCCACCCCAAGTTCGCCATTCCAGGATGGCCTGCCTGGTGCCCACCTTCCATGTTTACAGGGCAGGCTCACAGCCACGAGCTCGTGTGCCCACCCAGTGGTGAGAAGGCTATCATCTTTCTTGTTTTGCTGGGAATCAGAGCTCTTGGTCAGGAGTCACCCATCTGCAGACTCCTGGCACAGAGGCCTTTCCAAACACCACACTAATTTTTCATGGCCTCTGACCTGCCTCTGTCCATCTATCAATAACAAAATCTCCAAGGAACATGAGCCCCAAAGAGCAAACCCTTCCAGCATCCTGCTGGTTTGCAGATAGTGGCTTCCTACGCCTATTTGTTGACCTCCTGGCATCTCCATTCCTCAGCTTTGCAGATTGGGAAAAAGAGCTTTGTTTTTGAAATGATAAGTCCACAGGACAAAGAAACCACTCAGAATCCCGGTCATCTGGGCAACCAGCCAGAGGGATCTGATCCTGACTGTGCAGGGCAGATTTTTTTTTAAGTCAGGACTTAAATGAGAAGAAGGAGATAACTAATATAAGTCTTGAAATATTAACTGGTTTGGGAAACTTATCCCCCCTGCCACCAGTTCCTTTGTTTTTTGAGGTTAATTTTGAAGATATATCTTACAGATAAAAACTGAATTTTTGAACAGCTTTATTGAGATAGAATTCACATACAATCCACCCTTTTTAACGTGTGTACAATGGCTTTTAGTATATTCAGAGTTGTATAACCATTACTATCAAATTTTAGAACATTCTATTGCCCCCACACAAAACCCATCATCAGTCACTCCCTGTTTCCCCTCACCCTCAGGCAACCATTCGTCTAGTTTCTGTCTCTGTGGATTTGCCTGTTCTGGACATTTCATAAAAATAGGATCATCAACTATGTGGGTTTTTTTGTGACTGTCTTCTTTCACTTGCTGTAATGTTTTTTAAATTCATCCATGTTATATAGCATGTATCAGTACTTCACTCCTTTTAATGACAGAGTAATATTCCACTGTATGGATATACCACAATTTGTTGATCCACTCATTTGTTAATGGGCATTTTGGTTATTTTTATTTTTTGGCTATTATGAATAGTGCTATGAATATGCATACATAAGCTTTTGTGTGGATGTATGTTTTCATTCTCTCACATATGTATACCTAGAAGTGGGATTGCTGGGTCATGGGGTAACTCAAGTGTTTAACTTTGTGAGGGCTTGCCAGACTGCTGTAACATTTCACAGTCCCACCAGTGGCGTTTTGAGAATTCTAATTTCTCTCTTTGCCAGCACTTGTTATTATGCCTTTTTGACTCTAGTGCTATCCTGGTAGATGTGAAATTATGTCTCATTGTGGTTCTGATTTGTATTTCCCTAATGACTAATTCCCTAAGCATCTTTTCATATGCTTATTGGCCATTTTATATCTTTTTTTGAGAAATGTGTATTCAGACCTAAAAACTGTTTTAAAAAGCAATGTCATTTTAAATTAAATGTGGAGATAACCTATGTTTATTGCTGTATATTTACATCTCTTCCAAACTCAGAGGTGAACATGTGACTACATCCTGGCCTGAGATGCAGATGAAGCTCCTGGGTAAAGGACCCTGAGAAATCTGTTTGAAGGAGACTGCCTTCAGGGAATGAACATAATTTTTTTTTTTTGTACCAGCTGACCTCTCTAGTCCTTCTTGCCTGAAATGGATAAGATGGCTGCAGCTCCAGCAACCATTTTGAGCCACGAGGTTACCCTGAAGAGGGAAACTTCGCATTAAAGGTGGCCAAGCTGCGCAGCAGAGCCCGGGCTCCTGATGACATTGTGGCACCCACACCAGCACTCAACCATCCACCTCCAGGCTTTTTCCACATGCAAATGAACCTCTAATGCCTTTAAGCCACTTTATTTAGCTCTCTATTCTGGCCAATGAAAGTGATTCCCCACTGACCCCCAGCCATGTTAGATCATCACTCCTTCCTTCCCATTTATCCAATTTCTATTTTGTCATTCATTTTTCCATCACTGAGACATGGATCTTGACCTAAAGTAACTCAACAATGAACAGGCAGAGCAGACTTACAAAACTGACTTATGTGATAAGGGTCACACTACAGAAAAACATACAAAGGCCATGAAAACAAAAACAAAAACAAAAAGGAAAGAACTGGCACTAGACAGTGTTCTAAAAGATGAGTAAGAAGTTGCCAGGCAGATAGGAACAAGACAGGCATTCTAGGAAGAAGAAACAGCACCTACAAAGAGATGGTGACATTGGAAGCATGGTGGGCTCAGAGGACTGCACACACCTCAGTATGTCTGGGATGTGGGGGGATCCGTGGGAGAGCAGCAGATGAAACTGGGAAAGTGGCCTAGAATCAGATCTTGCAGGGCCTTGTATGTCATTCCAAAGAATTTGCATGTGCTATATAATCAAATACTCCATGCAAATACTGAAATGTATTGTCTTTAATGGCTAATTGTGTTCCATATGGTCTCATCTCTGCAATTGGAGGGCAGGGGCCATGTCTTCTCTTTTATAATCTCTACAATGCTAAGCCCAGCACTGCTACATGCCAGAAACGGAAAAATATCTGTAGCATTAAAGTCAGCCACATAGCCTAAGGGACCCACGCAGATGGCTATAAACAAAGCTTCAAGATGCAATTCCCACAAAGGAATGAAATGTATAAGAAATTTATAAAGGATATGAGGGATGACCATGGACGCAGCACCTTCTTCAGTCAACAATCTGCTGCATGTCTCCACTGTTTCCAGTTAGCTTCTGGGACAGGGATGGGGAAGGCATGGGCCCTGCTCTCGAGGGGCTCACAGTAGAGAGGGGAGACACACACACAGAAGGCTACAGTAAGTCAGAGTGCTCTCTGCAAGGCGGAATGGAAACCCAGAGAAGGAAGTGTCACTGGGAGGGCAAGAGTTAAGGTTCTCACGTCACATGAATGTGTGTTTAGGCAATGTGACCTTGAGCCCAGCCTTTGATCTGTGTGATGTTCCCAATGGCCACGTGTGACACTAGTCCCCACCTTCAAGGACTGTGAGGATTAGTGAGGTGGTGTGTGTGAAGGGTCAGCACACACGCAGCACAGAGTTGAATGCTCAGTAATTGTTAGGTAGAAAAAAGGTCATTATTTGAAGTGGTCAAAGGTTGTATTACAGGCGATGGGCACAGCTCTTGTACAGGCTGAAGGCTCCAAACAGCCCTGACAAGTTTGTGGAACAGCAAGGAACTGGATGCCGCTACAGGGTAGTGTAGAGGTGGGGAGGGTAGGACCAGGTGAGAGGAGCCTGAGCTTGATCTTGTAGCTGATGGGAAACTACTGAAGTTGGCAAACAAAGGAGGCATCTGCATTGTAGGGTGCTCCTTCTGCTGCTGGCAGCGTGGAGGGAAGTGTGGTGGGGTGAGTGGATATGGATAGCTGCTGCTAGGGGTTAGCCAAGGATGTGAGCTGCACCCACAGCACACTTATTTCTGCCTACGATCAAAAAAGGATGTTCAGGCCAGGCATGGTGGCCCACACCTGTAATCCCAGCACTTTGGGAGGCCGAGGCGGGCAGATCACCTGAGGTCAGGAGTTTGAGACCAGCCTGGCCAACATGGTGAAACCCCGTCTCCAGTAAAAATACAAAAAGTAGCCAGGTGTGCTGGTGCGCACCTGTAATCCCAGCTACTCAGGAGGCTGAGGCAGGAGAATCGCCTGAACCCGGGAGGCAGAGGTTGCAGTGAGTTGAGATCGCGCTATTGCACTCCAGCCTGGGCAACAGGAACGAAACTCCCGTCTAAAAAAACAAAAACAAAAACAAAAAAAAGGATGTCCAGTCCTAGGAGCACCTGGAAGGGTATAAAAAGGCACAGACCCAGCAAACTGCCAGGGGTACATGATGGTGCAAAAGCAGGACAGGGAGGAAAAGGGAAGACGTTCTGAATGAGCTTCAGGAAAATCAAGGGTACCCGGCCAGAAGGCAGCTGAGGGGAAATAAGCATAGATTTAAAAGCAGAGAGAGGGCATACCTCCACCCCTTTACTGGCACTGATTCAGAACACATTTTTTGGTCAAAGTATACACAGCTGTATACTTAAGAAGACAATCAAACTAAGCCTCCTCAGGTTATCTGGTCACGGTGTTCTCTGCTATTTTCTCTAGTTTCTGGCTCTCTGATTTTAATCAGAAATACTTCTGATAAGGGCAGCGAGTCCAGATGTCAGCGCGTGACTGCAATTTGTGAGCAGGCATGGCTTTAGGCTAGGACAGGTCTGAGAATCAGCCCTCACTAGATGCATAAAAGAAATGGAGGTGGACCTAGGAAAATTAATAGATGCTGTTCTCTGTACTGTTAAGCATATAAAACAGCATTCTGGACAGATGCTTGGCAGAGAAAAGGAAAGAAGGGCTCTGCTAGAGAGAAGTGGATCTTAAGGTGAGCAGAGTTGGGGCCACTGCACATAAGATTGAGCTTAACTTCATGAGAAGCCAAGGTTTAATGTGACACTGGAATCTCATGGTAGCCATCCTAGAGTGGATTCTCAAGGAGATTCACTGTGGTATCAAAGGGCCCTTACTGTGATGGGTCTCCTGACAAGACCCATGAAGAAACATAAAATTGACCATCTCTTTGACCCAGTTTTCCTGCTTATGAAAGTGGCACCCCAGGGGACAGTTTCAAAATGGGGGGGAGGAGTGTCAGGGAAGTTATCTGTATAAAGATCGATGTTTGTTAAACCATACTAAAAGATGCTTATAGCCACTTCATTCCCTATAGTGAAATAATGATGTACATTAAGCTGATGAACTATTAGGCAACAATTAAAAATAACTAGGAAGCTCGGTTTTAGAAATGTTAAAGAAAGAAGAACCAAATGGTGTGTATACACTGATTACACATTCCATGGAAACCTGTGCAGATCATAAGTTGGACACAGAGATACAAAGCCTTTTCTTTTTAAGGAAAAGGTGATTATTTTTGGAAAAGCAATAAAACCTGGGTTCCCAGCAAAGACAGTGGCACAGTTACCAGACTCACTTGCAACCTGGGAGACCTGGGCTGGGAGCAAGGTCCACTCTTGTATTTTTTGATTTTCAAAAACCGTGAACAACTATGGCTGTGCATGGAGAGGCTGGTGTGGGGTGGGGTGCGGGGAGGTGCTCTGTTCAACCGCAGGGAATAATGACCAAAAAAAAAAAGGCGGGGGGGAGGGGGAAGGAATGCAGTACACCCCACAGAAAATGCTTAAAACCTGGCCAAACTGTTACTAAGCATGTGAGCTTTCAGACTTAGGGAGAATGTGGCAATTAGAAATGTAGTGGAGGGCCGGGTGCAGTGGCTCACACCCGTCATCCCAGCACTTTGGGAGGATGAGGCAGATAGATCATCTGAGGTCAGGAGCTCGAGACCAGCCTGGCCAACATGGGTGAAACCCCATTTCTACTAAAAATACAAAAATTAGCTGGACGTGGTGGTGCATGCCTGTAATCCCAGCTACTCGGGAGGCTGAGGCAGGAGAATCACTTGAACCCGGGGAGTGGAGGTTGCAGTGAGCCACTGCACTCCAGCCTAGGCAGCAGAGCGGGACTCCATCTCCAAAAATAAATAAATAAATAAATAAATAACAAAAACAAAAGAAATACAGTGGAGAAAGAAGCTGTTTCAATTGAGGGTGGAACAGATGCAATATTTCTGGCCACTCCTACCACTGGACAAACACACACTTACTATGAGTGACTATATAGATGCAGCCTGGGATTTACTAAGAAACACCATAACAGAACATCGATAGGCCAGGTGACAGCTTTTCACTACAACACCTTACTTCCTTTGAACATTTGGATTTTCTAGTTTTCCTAGACAATGACCTACACCCATCATATCATTCCTGGCCTCTCGCCCCCAGTACACACACTTTAAACATGAAGATAATGTCCACAGCCCACCGGGGCAAAACACCTCACTCAGCCAGCTAACAGGGGCAGGCAGGATGACTGCAGTAGTTTCATCTACTCTCATTTTTTCAGTGGGTCAATGAATTCCTTTCAGTGATCATCACTCACCTTAGCCATGTAGTTTTTTATAGGAACTGCTTGCCGAATAACCGACTTAGTTCAATTTACTGACTTAAAAGGACACAGTATGGCATGGGCTACTCCAGGTTGTGTTAACTGTAAAGACCAGTACCCATCCCCGTTCCAAATTCTAAACTCTACTACCTCATCTGCATGTCACAACAAGGTCAGCTGAAAACCTCCCTGTGGGCTGCACTTGAGCTTTCACAGGGAATAAACGACATCACAAGTCTGGCAAATGTATGGCTAAACGCAGCAGGAATCTCATGTATATGGATCTGAATGTTCTTTGGGAATTCTGCAGCAAATAAAATGATTTATTGAGCCAATTCAAACGAACTCTATCAAAACACACAAAGGCCTAGAGGAGAGATTACAATGAACGTAAATAATTCAAGGCAATTTTTGATCTAAAGCATTTTGCTTAGCTCTACAAAGGCATGAATGAGGTGTGGTCACGTTTTTGTATAGGAGGTTTTGCCACTACTTGCTCCCAAGTTAAACATGGCCACAGAGTATTGTGAATGTTTAATGTATGCCTGGGAAAAATTTATTGGCCAATACTTTAGTTACTAATGGGAGGATTATGTATAGTCGGACCATAAAGCGTGTAAAAGCAGATCACTTAGAGCCGCTCTGTCCAGGACAGCAGCACTAGATGCATGGGCCCTTTGAGCACCTGAAATAAGGTTAGCATGACTAAGGAACTGGGTTTTATTTTTTCAAACTTGATGTTCAATTCAGTTACTGAAAAACTTTACTATGTTTAACTATCTTTGGAACAACTTGGATATGAATTTGTGTTTTTCAACTGCATATTTTACAAAATCTAAATACAGATCAAGTATTCCTGATGAAACGTTAGCATCCAAATTATGCTATAACCAGATACACAGTGAGTTTTGAATTCTTAGTGTGAAGAATAATTTTAGATCTCACTAATAATTTGCATATATTGAGTACATATTGAAATATTTTGGATATGCTGAGTTAAATAAAATATGTTATAATTTCACTTTTTAAATATGGTTGCTAGAAAATTGAAAATGACACTCTGGGCTTATTTTTTTTTTTTTAATTTTGAGACGGAGTTTCACTCGTTGCCCAGGCTGAAGTGCAATGGCGCAATCTCAGCTCACGGCAACCTCCACCTCCCAGGCTCCAGCGATTCTCCTGCCTCAGCCTCCCAAGTAGCTGGGATTACAGGCATGCGCCACAGATTTATTTTTTATTTCTGTTGGAGTGTGCTGTTTTAAGAGTATGGAGCTGACATTTAAGAATTCTAATGCCATCTGCTGGATACACTGGTACAAGACAGGCCCGTGTCACAGTAAGACTGTGATGGTGTGTCAATACTCAAAGAACTGGATCTGAAACAGAAAAGGGCTCACAAAACACTGAACTAAATTATACTGTTAAGAGGGGATTATAAATAGGTTTATTTAGTTTTTGAAATCCCAGAGAAAATGTGACTCACAGTTATCTTCAGATAACAGTGACCATGAGCCAACGAGCATAACTGCTTCGCCGTCCACCCGGGTGCTGCAGGCATGGATGTGGTCACCTGGGATGGACCCTTTGTGATGCTGGCTCCCACACCTACAGCTCTTCCTGCTGCCTGCCTTGTCTCTGTCTCCCTTCTCCTTTCTACTCCACAGTCAGCCTCAAGTCCTTCTGCTCTGGGTTACACACACATCCTCTTTCCATCTTTCTTTGTCTATTCATTGTTTTTTTTTTTTTTTTTGAGACACAGCCTTGCTCTTGTTGCCCAGGCTAGAGTGCAGTGGCGCGATCTTGGCTTACTGCAAGCTCCGCCTCCTGGGTTCATGCCATTCTCCTGCCTCAGCCTCCTGAGTAGCTGGGACCACAGGCACCTGCCACCACGCCTGGCTAATTTTTTGTATTTTTAGTAGAGACAGGGTTTCACCGTGTTAGCCAGGATGGTCTCGATCTCCTGACCTCGTGATCCGCCCGCCTTGGCCTCCCAAAGTGCTGGGATTACAGGCGTGAGCCACCGTGCCCAGCTGTTTTCTTTCTACCCTTTCTTTTTTCTATTTTTCCTATGATTCTAGCATGTCTAATAATTCTATTTTTCTTTTTAGTATTCCAATTTTTCTTTTTGTCTCCTCCCTCTTTATCCTACAAGCTGTTTCAGTAGGTTTTGTAGTTTTAGCTCTTACATTTAGGTCTTTGATTCATCGTGAGTTGATTTTTTGTATGTGGTGTGAGGCAGAAGTCCAAACCCATTCTTTTGCATGGAATATTCACTTGTCCCAGAACCATTTGTTGAAAAGACTGCTCTTTCCCCACTGGATGGTCCTGGCACCACTGTCAAAAATCAATTGACCACGGATATATGTTTTATTTCTGGACTCTCGCCTCTATTCCACTGATCTATGTGTCTATTCTTATGCCACTACCACACTGTGTAGATTATCGTAGCTTTGTGGTCAATCTTGAAATCAGGAAGTGTGAGTCCTCTTTGTTTTTTCTCTAGATTGTTTTGACTATTCTGGGTTCCTTGCATTTCCATGTGAATTTTAAGATTAGCTTGTCAATTTCTGCAAAAAAGGCAGCTGGGTTAGTTGGTTTTTATGTGTATTTATTAAAAAAAGCAATTACCCGATTAGGCTGACAGAATGATTAGGCTGACCATTAAAAGGACTGGCAACTTTATCCTCAGAGTTTAGAGGTAAGTTTGTAAGAATTCAGGATGTTTGTCTAAGATTGCTTGATACTAGGGCAACAAGACTGAGAGCAGAGGGCACTAAAAAGACTGTCTAGGGGTTAGACATCAATTGTGTTTAAGTCTGAGATCTGCCCCTTAGGTACCATATGACCCTGCACAAGTCATCGACCCCTCCACACTCCAGTGTGTCATCTGTAATGAGGATGGGGCACTCCCTTCCACACTGCAGCACTGCGGGAACCGAGACAATGCCATCGCAGAGGACCTGCAGGGGACAGGCTACTTCACTCACTCCTCTCCTTCCCACTCTTCAGAGAACAAGGACTTGTGCTACTGTATTCTCACAGCACTCACTGGCCTGGGAACCAGCTGTGGGAGCCCTATGGGCCTGGTCATCAACTCTCAACTGCTTGTGTGCAGCTGTAGGAACCCTCTGAGGTGTGGCAGGTAGAGGATGGGGTGGGTGCCCAGGCACACTGCTGACTTTCTGGAGCCCTGCCCACCCCCAACCCTCTCCTTATTACTAATGACACGGGAACCCACCTGCTCCACTGTGCAGCCCCAAGTCTGATCCAAGTCAGGCTCCTGAATGTGAGGAAGCCGAGCATGGGGGCGACAGGGAGGTGGGATGCACTGAAAAGCTCTAACCATTGCCGCTAAGGCACATCAGTCTCTGACCAGGTCCAGCAGCCTCCACGTACGTCCCAGTCCTTCAACACACATTTACTGAATGCCCACTGCACACAGGAGTGTAGGTAATAGCATGGTATGACAGTAAAATTAAGTAAACAACTCCCACTTCTACCTTTCTGGACTACGAAGAGCTCCTCCTGGTCTTCCTTATCATTTCCTATGTGATTACTTCCGGGTCCTCTTGGAGAACAGAGCATTTTGCCTCCCATGCAGTTTTCCACTGCTTGACAGGGAGAAATTCCTCGTGACCTATGGTCCATCGGCTGATCTGGAAGCTGAACCCTTGGAATAAAGACACCTGCATGCTCGGATTTGCAAAAGGAATGGAAAAGAACCCTTAAATATGAGTAAGTCGTGGGAGTAGATATGAAACAGGGTTATAAGCACATCTCAGTGTCTAATTTTACAGAATAAATACTTCTATTCTATCGCAGCTCACATGTAAATCCAGGTAGGTATGTCCCTATCCCACTTAGAATAAAATGAACAGCCAAGTGGCCAAAGTTTCCATAACTTTCCTCCTTGCTGACAAATCCAACCCGAAGTCTGTGCCTCCTAGGGAAAGGACAGGACAAAGGTACAATTCAGTTCCTAAAGTTATTTCTCCCTCTGGGAGAGAAAGGCACTGTCAAAGTACAAACCCAAGTCAGCGTGCTTTGAAAGATCATGTCACTTGTTTGTAATAGGAAATCATGTCATCCAGAGTTTTGAAAGTAACTGTGGGGGCTTGTGGTGGGTTGTCGGGGGCAGGAGTGGGTGACGTATGTTCAGGGCTAGGTCCGTGGCTCTGGTCAGGGCACTGCCCTGGGTCACTCTGTGCTGGCCCAGGTCTGCTCCATGCCTGGCTGCTGGAAAAACCAGTTCTCTTCTGACCCACAAAGTAATCTGACGGCGGGGCAAACTCAGGATCTCTCTCAGCCCGGAGATCTGACTGCCTCTTCGACCAGTATCCAAAGGAAAATTCTGGTAAAAATAAGAAAGAAAGTTATTAGAACTGATTAACGAATCAGTTGAATTTATTGTTACTATTATCTAATTGTATCATATATTTCTTAAAAGCCACCACAAATTATCCAAAGAATAAGAATGGCAACAGCAAAACTATATTACAAGGTATAAGTAATACCTACAACGAGTATAAAAGACCAGGCTAAGAAAAGGGAGTGACTATCTCTAGATGGGGAAATACAGAAAAAGAGAAATACAGACAAATTATCTGCTTGACATGACATTGTAGGTATTTCATACCAAAATACAAATTTTGTCCGTTATTGAGTTTTGGAAGACACAAAAGGGAACTGTCCAACCTTGTCTGGTATTTCATCTCTATTTCTAACAGTGGCTCTTGCATTTCTCTTACTTTAGCTTTGGATCTTATCAGCTCAGACAGCATGGGCTAATGTTCTACTGAAATGATCTTTTTCAAAGAGGCATAAACCATAGTCTTCCAGAGAGGCTGCTGTGGACACTCTGGAGAATTTACAGAAAAAATGTCCAGGGAAATTCCCCAATGGAACCATGTGTGAATCCAGGTTAGTACACTGGCATGTAGACCATTTTCAACTGAACATAAAAGAGGCTGCTAAAAACAGAGCATATGAGAACACCAAACTTTCATAATACTTTAAAGGCAGGTCCTGAGAAATGGCATTCCAAAGCTGTAAAACCACACAAGGCAGCACGAAGTTAAAACTTACCCCAAGTGCTTCTAGAAAAAAAACCATTTTCCATTCACTGGAGAGTTCTTACACCTCAGAGCCCACCTCCCTTACCTTTTCCGCGGTCCCACTCCCGGATGTGTGGCACTCCAGGCTTGGTGTCCTTCCTCTCCTGGACAATGACTTCTACTTTGCTACTCTGGGCAGCAGGACGTGGGGTTGGCACAGCCTCTGGCTCCGGTGGCAAAGGCCCAATAACATCTCCATCTATTTTTTGTAAAAGAATAAGACACTGTTATAAAAAAGCCTAAAGCTATTTTTAAAAATACAGAACATGCTAATCCTGAAAGTAAAAGTAACCATCAGTATTTATGAAGTACCTAACATGTCCCAGGCAGTGGATTAAGTCTTTTGTATACAACAGGTCATTTAATTCTTGTAACAATCCTAATAAATTCAATACTTCCATATTATCCCCATTTTATAGAGGGGGAAAATTAAGCTCAGAAATGGTACACAGGTAGAAAGTGATACGGGCTGGAGTCCTGGGCTGGGCTGGATGGATTTTAGTCTCTGTGCCCCTCACTATGCCACTCTGCTTCTCCAAACTGGCAATTGCAGGACCAGAAATCCCCAAATCACTCAACTAACATCACAATCTCAGGCGAAGCAAGCAGAGCCAAGGGGATGAACAGCTGGGGTCTGGTGTAGGCTGTTCAATTTTGGTCACATTTTTAAAATGTAAAAGAAAAATGGATTTTTAAAAAACACTGTGGTGGCGCTTCACATTTTCTGGACATGACAGATGTTCAGGAGATGGAGCAAAATTTGAGAAACAATCTGCACAGCTTAACATGTTATAGAGCGAGCATTTATCTGAAACTAAACAGATGGTTTTCAAATTCCTAAATGTTTCTGGTCTGTTTTGTTCAGACATTAGGAAATGGCCCATGGCTTCACATAAGCTTTGTGAGAGCTGGAGAGCTATACGTCCCTTCATACCCACACTCCTCCTTTTCCTTTGGGTAACAGAATGCCCCCCGGTTGCAGCTGAGCATGTGGCCACCTTGCTGGAGAGGCCATTTCCCAGCTTCTCCTACAGTGAGGTGTGGCCCACAGGACTGAGCTCTGGCCAGCAGGATGTAAATGCATAGGCTGTATGTAACTTCCCACTCACATCTCTAAAAAGGAAGGTGGCTCCCCTTCCCAGTCTCCCTGCCTACCCCTAGGCTGGATCATGAACAGGTGAGCAGGGGAGCAAGCTTTGACTATGCAGAAGAGAAAAATACTCTAGGAAATGGCAGAAACAGCAAGCCTGGAGGAAGCCTGGGACTAGATGACCATCTAGGGCAGAGCTACTCACATGCCCTGGATACCCACTCACCCACCTACCTCCAAGTTGTTAAGTAGAGAAACAGATCTCTATTTTGTTTGAGCCATTCTATGTAGGAGTCTCTAGATTGATGGCAATTTAGCCTGTACTACCACAACTCATGCAATAAGCTAGTCTGACATAGCATTTAACAGTGTTTCCAAGGGGAACCGTGCTCCAAGTTCCACATCACCAACTTCTGGAGCACAGTTCTTTGGTAAGCTTTGGCAAGCTGTCGATATTCATATTTCTAAATTCTTTTACTATGTAACTTTATGAATATAAATTTCTTTAAATATATATATAAAATAACCAATAGCAAAAAATTTAAGTCTAAAACATATATATGCAAAGCTAAACTTTATCTTAAAATATCTCTTTACTAAGTCTCAATTACAAGACTATGCCATTCTAAGATGCAACACAATGTATTGTTGCTTCATATCCTCATCTATAGCCTAAAAATATTGAATGTCATTCTGCATCACTTTGGTTATAAAAATTGCTCCTGCCAGTACCTCAAAGGTATACTGTTTGCTTAAATATAAAACTAAATGGCTAATTTTCACATTGCCAGCCCTATTAGCAAGACATCAATGGAAATAAAATTTTCCCTTTTGAAGTTCAGCAACATAGCCATGATATACCTCTATTTTCTTCTTCTGTTCCACCTTCTTTTGATTTTTTCATCTTTTTTTGTCGAAGTTTGGCAAGTCTTGCCTCTAAGATAGCCTTTCGCTTTTCCTTTATGTTTTCTCGTTTTGTTCTCTGATCTGTTGTCTGAACAGAAAATCAGAAAATTATTTGCTTGAAGCCAAATTTGCAATATTCCTGTCCAAAAAGATGAAATTTTCTTCTAAAAATAGACTAGTTAATTGATCTTCAGGCCACCTCTAAGAAGCTGTCCTTGAGATCCTCACAATGAAGCCCTATGAAGTACTCTCCTATGAACCCTCTGATGTCTTACAAAGTTTCATAAGAGTTCACAGAGCATCTTGCAAGCCTTAACACTCAAGAAAACCAACCCATTCCGTCCTACACCTTAATCCTTTAAGTAACTTTCTATTTTCCCATCCAAGCCACCCCAAAAGTACCACATTTGGGACCAGATTTAAAACATCAAAGTTACACAGGTTACTTGTGAGCAGTTATAAAATTTGAAACACAAAAATAGTATGGCAACTACCTTTATGCAATTCTGAATATCAATTTTAATTTCTAACTAATTTACTAGATTTTTCTGCAGTATGGTCCAGCAAGAAACCAAGCGCTCACATCTTTCCTCACAGTCACTTGGGATTTATCTGTACCTGTTCACGCAGCATCTCTAAGGTTTTCATCTGCTTGTTTCTCAACTCTTTGTCTCGGGCAAAGGCAAAATACCCAACACCAAGTTGCCGGGCCTCTGAAAGAAGTATGAATTACCCAAAAGATCAGACTGTCCTGATCATTCAACTACACTCAAGCCACATTTCCTACCAAAGCAAAAAGAAACACAGTGATATTTGGCACAAGTTTTAAAAAGAAAAAGAAAACAGCTAAGCGAAGAAACAAAAAACCAAAGAAACACAAAAGTTAGACCAAGTTTTCGTCCTGTTTGCCAAGGGAAGCATAACAAGGGTTCGTTTGCTTTCAGCCATGGGCTGTCTCCACTTCTCTCAGGGAACAATCCCTTGGATTACCAGACCCTCTGTCAGGAAGATATTCCCAAATGTGAGTATTTTAAGGCTATGAAGTGAACAAAGGAGATATTTTCTATTTCCAAAGCAGGATCTTTAATTTCCATGTAAAAGCTATTGCTTTATGAATACTTCCCTTTATGTTTGCCATCAGTTTAAGGTTAAAAATAAGATTTGCAAAGCTGCAAGAAAATAGTCATACCATTTTCCCGAATGTCTTCATAATGTACGGGCCCCATGGGCCTCTTCAGGGCCTCTCTTTCTTCTTCCTCCCATTGCTGGCGCTGAAGTTCTTTTCTCATATCTTCAGATAATAGGGTTTTTTCATTAGCAGGACTAATAAAACTAGCAGGAAAACAGAGCAAAAACTATCTTCAGATAAGGATTGAGATATCAGTGTTTAAGTACAGTCAGTTGCATCATGCATAAGTAACACTATTTGATAAAGAAAACAGGGAACTACAGAGGCTTCTGACCCACAAGACTGCTGGAAAATCAATAAAACAGCCTTCGCCTTTTTTTTTTTTGGAGACTAGTCTTGCTCTGTCGCCCAGGCTGGAGTGCAGTGGCACGATCTCGGCTCACTGCAACCTCGGCTTCCCAGGTTAAAGAGATTCTCCTGCCTCAGCCTCCCGAGTAGCTGGGATTACAGGCACCCACCACCACATCTGGCTAATTTTTGTATTTTTAGTAGAGACAGGGTTTCACCATGTTGGCTAGGCTGGTTTTGAACTCCTGATCTCAGGAGATCCGCCTGCCTTGGCCTCCCAAAGTGCTGGGATTACAGGCATGAGCCACTGCGCCCGGCCAGCCTTCACCCTTCTTACTCAAGCACCAGACTTGTTACCTTAGCCTGACGGAATCTTGCCTGAGCACTCAAGACAAAAAACTTTCCTTCCACCCAGGTCCTGGGCTGACCAGATGGGAGGTGGCCCAGGCAGGGAGGAGGAACTCTGGGTCTCCTCCTGTGGATGGTCTCTCATCTGGGGACATGAAAACTGCTTAGCACTGTGGCCTGAGTGGTGTCTCCTGTCCTTGCAGATGGCTGGGCCCTGAGAGGCTCAAAGGTTTCCATTCTCCCTTTCTTTCTTTTTTTTTTTTTTTTTTTTTTTGAGACGGAGTCTCGCTCTGTAGCCCAGACTGGAGTGCAGTGGCGTCATCTTGGCTCACTGCAGGCTCTGCCTCCTGGGTTCACGCCATTCTCCTGCCTCAGCCTCCTGAGTAGCTGGGACTACAGGCGGCCGCAACCACACCTGGCTAATTTTTTTTTTTTTTGTATTTTCAGTAGAGACGGGGTTTTACTGTGCTAGCCAGGATGATCTCGAACTCCTAACCTTGTGATCCGCCCGCCTCGGCCTCCCAAAGTGCTGGGATTACAGGCGTGAGCCACCGCGCCCAGCCTCCATTCTCCCTTTCTTATGCCAAGCCAAAGGCTATGTGCTGGATGCCTGAACCTGCAGGACTTGGACAAGGTGGAGTTTCTCCCAACACTTTTCACATAAAAGTTCCTATGGTAAGAGGAATTTATTCCCCTGGATGTTTCAGAGTTATCTCTTAGGTCTTACGTTTTAGAGTTATGTCTTAGGTCTTAGGCCCTGCTGAAAAATCTAGTTATAAGGCCCTTACTTCAAAAATGCAATGATACATAAAGAAAAAGTGAGTAAGTTCTCTCCCTAGAGCCACTTGTTTGTGGGATAATCAAGTGTATATTCTCAAACCACTTGTCTCCACAAAGCCTGGTTTGCTGGTTTCGTTTGGGTTTATTCTGTTACTCTGTTGTCAGACATCCTTCCAAGTAAAAGAGACAGCTCTACTCATCCACCAGTCAGGTTGTTCCCCAAGTGTGGATTATGTGTGTATGTGCATGCTAACCACTAAAAAGTGCTTCAATCAATCAATCAATCAATCAATATCTCCTTACTGGAGCAACAGAGATCATTAATTATAAAACAGCCTCCCCTCACAAAACAATCCCTGTGGCTGCATTTCAGACCTTGGCAGAGCTCTGTATACCACACACACTTACAGTCTCCCCTGAAGATTTTTATCCATCTCCAGCAGATCTGGCAAATCCTTTCTCATACAGCGCCGGGAACGCCCCAAAGAGTCCACGTAATCCACCCTGAAATGAAAGCAAAAAGATGTGAAGAAGGACTTGTACACATGTACAAGCCCCTAAGTCAGGGAGTAGGTGAACAGTGAAGGGGGAAGATAGGCCTCACTACCAAGAAGAGCCCCCAACCTCAGAGACCACTACCACTGATAGGAATATGCTTTTTAAAGCTGACACACAATAAGCTCATTGTGCCCCTTATTAAATATTAGTTTTAGAAACTGTTAACAATAATTTTGATCATTTATGCCTTTGATCTCACAGATAAATCACCCACACGGAATTTTGCTGCAGCATCTACGAACTTACTTTAACCTAGTTGAGACAATTCCAGACATTTTATCAGTATCTTAATAACTTTGCCTTGTGCCTGAGATTCTCAACTTGCTCATTTCCTCACAGTCTTCAAGTCTGACTTTTTATTCTTTCTCTTATTTCCTCTAATTGGTATAATTCTACCCAATGTATTAGCAAACTCTTAATGTAAGAAATGCACAGTATTTTTCAGAGTTGGACTCTTCTTAATTAGGAGGAAGCCAAACACCATACCTCTCTCCTCATCTTTGCTCAAACTAGACAGTGGTCAGACAGCTAAGCCAGGCAGATAGCAAGGCAAAGTGAAATATTCTGACTTCCTACAATGGAAAATACGGACAGATGTTCATGAAAAACATCTCATTTGTATTATGACGCAACAGATATTTTACTTTTTAAATTATGGGCAGAGAACCTCCTAGAGCCTTTAGCAGGGTACCGAATACACAGTAAGGTCCAATAAGTACTAGCTGGCAGACCAATTCAAGGTCAGATTTGGCAGGTATGTGGCTTTGCTTTTGTTAGCAATTTTTTTTCCTCTCAAGCAATGCTGATTTCAATTGTTAGTTGTGATTTAAAAACTGAGTGTTTACTCTAGTACTGAAGCTGATTATCACAAGAAATAAAACCTCCAACTGCAGCAAGCAGTTTCTTTCTTCCTTTTTTTCCCCCCAAATGGATGGGGGAAGAAAACCATCTAGCCAGATGGTCTGTGTAATTATTTACAGTATCTTTACGGAAAGATTTTCTACCACCTGGAATTTAACTATCAAAAGGATTTTACAAGCAATTACAATTCTGGAGCTTAATTTAAAAACAAAAAAATGTGTCAGAACTGCTTGCAGAGCGTCTTCCTTCACCATATGGTGGCATGTGACACCTTCAATTGCCCTCCAAACTCTTCAAATCACTAGCAAATTGCTTGTAATCACACAGGCATTAATAAGCAAAAATTTTTAAAAAGACATTAGACCTTTCAAAGGAGATGAGATTTCTGCTATGAAAAGCAATCATAGACCATTCTGTTTCTGGAGAAGGCCTCCAAAACATACAGATCTCATTAAATAGAAGAGGCAAGACAGTAGTCAGCCACGGCTCCATCTAATCAGCAATCACCCACTGAGCAACCCCTGCAGGCAAACAAAGCTTTCCCCAGGCAAGGAGAGTAATACAAGAGGGCTAACAGCCATGCCATCTTCCAAGGGTCTAGGGAAGTTAAGGCACACACCCATGAAACGCTTATTAACAACACTGGGTACGTAAAGACTACCAAAAGTTTGCTAAAATCTTTTTCTGATAATGAGGCCTAGTATGTGTCAGTAATAAATAAAAGGTAATACCCGAAGAGCAGGAAGTATATTAAGTGCTACCTGACTTCAGATGAGGGAGCAATCACTTAGACATTAGAAATGATAGGCCAGGCGTGGTGGCTCACGCCTGTAATACCAGCACTTTGGGAGGCCCAGGCAGGAGGATTGCTCAAGCCCAGGAGTTCAAGAAGAGCCTAGGCAACATAGTGAGACCTTGTTTCTACAAAAAAAATTAAAAACTGAGGCAGGAGGATTGCTTCAGCCCAGGAGGTCGAGGCTGTGATGAGCCATGATCATGCCACTGCACTCCCACCTGGGTGACGGAGTGTGGAGACCCTGCCTCAAAAACAAATAAATAAAAAAGAAAGAAAGAAATGATGAAGAAAGACACCAAAAGAAGAGACTGCATGTTCTTCTCTTTTGGTTTCTTATAGCTTGCAGGCTGACACCTGTTCCAAATGGTATCAAACTATTTAGATCTAAGTTTTTAAGACAGTAGGTAAAAAGATACCTGTTTTATCCCAATGAGAATGTTATTTCTAAACCAACATGGACACCCTCAGTAGAATGAAGATGCAGTTTCTCTGCCATCCACAGTAGCTGGGACTGCTCTCTTCAGCTCATCAATGACTGCCCACAAGGCCAAAGGCTGACAAAAGATGAACGCCTGCTACAAAGAGTCCTGAGCAGTTCCTAACAAATGCCCACCACAAGGAGGACATTTGAGCCTTGAAAGGAGGATAAGAAGAATCCCAAAGGCAAGAGGATGGGTTCCCAGGAAATTGTCAGAGCATCAGTACAGCTCTCAGCAATTTCAAGCACTGCTGAACAGTTTCCAAACAATAATATCTTAGGTAGAAAAAAATCATTGTAACAGAATTCCCATTCTGGTCTCTCTACTTATTGATACAAAGTCTCTTTAAGGAAAAGACGAGTTTGGTTCTTCTATCATTCATCTACATATAGGCAAAATTCAGGAAAATGACAATAATAAAAGTTTACAAAATGCCTGCTTATACTCCACAGGCTGCACTTTCTTGTGTAGCCTGGAACACTTACTTCTTGAAGGGGGGCGGGGGGGTGTTAAAGCAAAGGGCCATGGGAATGAGGCATTATAATCTCTATTTTATAATGGAAGATCCTGAGCCTCAAAGACTAAGGAACCTGATTAAGATCATACAGCCAGTAAAAGGTGCAGATGGAACCATCCAAGGCCCACGAGTCCACACCACAGTGCCAAACAATGTCACAGGCGGAGTAAAACACACTGTGCCACCTCTGCCGGCTTCCTTCTCCTAGATGACAGCTCTCCACCATGTCAGAACAAGAACACGGGTAAGGCAGCAGCACAGGTACAAAAGGAAGGCGCTCTGCCCTCACTGTTTCATGTTAGTGAGCCAGGCAAGCCAAGTCTGCCAGGCACTGGGTTTCCTTCGGCCTGGCACAGAGCTGGGCACACAGCAGAAGCCCAGTCAGTATTTGTAATTATATGTAATTATTGTAATTATTGTAATTATGTCTTCATTTGAGCTACTGTTTTTACAACTATAATAACCTAATCCAACCTAACTTAAAGGGAAGTCTCAAAAGAACACCCAGGAAGAATAAAGAGAAATGGCTCGATAACAACCCAACAAAATCACTCCCAAAATGTCAGCGCAAGTCTGAGGATGTTCCTCTGAGCTAATCCATGATGTTACCAACCATTCTTCACTGGGGTCTTGGGGAGGAGGGATCTCTCCCTCAGGAAGGTTTTCCTCATCGTCGTCCCTTTCTCCTGCCTTTTGAGAATCTCTATGGGCACCAGATGCCTCCATTTCTTTGCGCTTGTCTATGATCTTCTGTGTGAAATCCACAAGGTACATATCCTCTACTTCTTCATCTAGGACATAAAAATCAGTTTTCAGACATCAAAAAGGAAAATCACACATGGAATGGACAAGAAGCAGTCACATTCATTGCCTGGTGGCCCCATCACCCCTGACAGCTCATCAGCCAATGCCTCCACTCCCCAAATGTTTACAAAGACACACAGCTACCTTGGGAACTGACATATACTACACAAAAAAATCTTGAAAAAGCCTAAAGTTTTCTATTGCCTCATCAATACACTACCTGAGTGAGCAAAACCATCTTAGAATGTCATTTTAAGATAACACAACAGTCTGATTTTATGCAACTCATCCAACCAATTACATCATACGGAAGCAAAACTGCATTTTCCGTGTCATCAGATCAGGACAGTAGAACTTCTTGCTTTAGGCGTTATATATCTGTCTCACCATGTGGGCTGGATCACTAACCCTGATTATACTGCTGTGGTATGGTAAGTGTTTTAAAGGTCATAATACAGGTAAAAGAAGTCATCTGAGTTCTTGTCAAGCCAATGAACACCAATTCCAGGCAAGGCATAGAGCCCGGCCCTGCAGGGCATATACAGATATGCAAGACACCCTCTGCCTGCAGGGCTTATGGTCCACTCGAGGAGCTAAAACACACACTGAAAGTTAAACAACAATCCATGACTTACCTAATTTAACCCAGGATAGCTCATGTAGCACAAATAATGTATACCTAAAGTTTCACTATGCTGGATTTAGGACACAGTCATTTGAGTCTTTTTCTCTGATGACAGAGATTAAGCTACATTGAACCCACATTAAGCTCCCTATTACCAGGGGTGGTGTTTTCCCCACCTTAGGGTGAAGAAAAACTGAGGCTCCAAAATATAACTTGCCCAAACTTGCAGGTCTGACATATCTATCAGGAGGTAGGCTTGCTGGCTTTGACAAAACCAGGTCTCTACCTTCACACTCCTTTGGACCTGATTTCTATATTAACAACATAAGTAAAGTTTGAATCAAAACAGAAAAGACTTTAATAAAATAAACTTTTTTTTTCTTTTTCTGAATCTGAATCTCACTCCGTCGCCCAGGCTAGAGTGCAGTGGCACTATCTTGGCTCACTGCAACCTCCGCCTCGCGGGTTCAAGTGATTCTCCTGCCTCAGCGTCCTGAGTAGCTGAGACTACAGGTGCCTGCCACCACGCCTGGCAAATTTTTGTATTTTTAGTAGAGATGGAGTTTCGCCATGTTGGCTGGGCTGGTCTCAAACTCCTGACCTTGTGATCCACCCGCCTCGGCCTCCCAAAATGCTGGGATTACAGGCATGAGCCACCACGCCTAGCCTGAAATAAACTTATTTTTTAAAACCATGAAATACCTGAAATGGAGAGGAAATGTCTGAGTTATAAGGCCATAGGCTAGTGAGGCCTCCTGGTAGGCGGCCATCCTGCTGCCCCTTCAGGAAGAAGGCAAAACCTCTCCCACAGTACCTAGCTTTGTTGAGTGTCTGACCTTCCTGTGCCAGGCTCCTGCTATACAGGGAAAGTGCCCCTGCTGTCTGGGAAGAAGCGGTCAGGGACCTAGGACCAGCCTGGCCTCTCTCCTACTGTACCTGGGCCCCAGCCATGCTAGGCTAGGTGACTCTGTTGACCTCTGGCCCTGCCCTCCTCAGCTGGTCTGCTTACCAATCTACCCCTGCAGGATCCCTTTCTCCAGCTTGCCAAAGCTAAGCCCAACTTCTCCCAAAAGACTTCCCTGATTACATATTCACTCTCCCTGCCTCATAAAATCTCTTCTACTGTTGTCTAATTATGGATTGGGTTTTTTCTGGGGGATATGAGAAAAGGGAGTTTTTTGTTTTTTTTTTAGAGATAGGGTCACACTCTGTCACCCAGGCTGGATCATAGCTTACTGCACCGAGGATGCAGTGGCATGATCAACAGCTCACTGTAATCTCAAAGTCCTGAGCTCAAGCCTCAGGCTCCTAAATAATGGGACTATAGGCATGAACCACCATGTCCAGCTAATTTTTAAATTACTTTTTGTAGAGACAGAGTCTCACCATGTTGCCCGGGCTGGTCTCAAACTCCTGCCATCAGGTGATCTGCCTGCCTTGGCCTCCCAAAGTGCTGGAATTACAAGCGTAAGCCACTACACCCAAACAGATTTAAAGCAATTATAAGCACAGCACAGAAAAAAAATTGAAAATAGAGGGAAAATAGGGAAAGAAGAAACATAACTCTAGCACCTAACAGAACCACAATTCCACCCAGCCCAACCCACCCTGTTTTAGCACAGCTGTAATTGTAGGTAATTGCGGCCTACTCAGACATTGTTCCCTAACTTTGCTTTGTTCTGTGTCATTTTCCTCCACCAGATGACCCTGCCTTGAGGGCAGAGACAGAGGATCTGGCTTCCAGTACTTGTTTGTCCCTTCCAGGCACCTAACATGCTGCCAGGCACCCACTAGACAATTGGTAAATTATTGCTGATTTTCTTGTCTCTGTGCAGCCATGGAAAGTAAAATTTTGACGTCTAAATTTTCTCTCTACTCCTACAGTTATTTTAACAAGTAATGTAATATCAAAGGGCTGTATGCATTATAGAAAATGAAGTAGAAATAACAAATTTTATTTACCTATAAAGTCTCCTTTAGTCATTTTTTCATATAATTTGGCTTTTTCTTCCAATTTTTCCCTAGGAGAAAAAAAATACAAGTATTAGAAATGGTCTTATAACTGTTCATCCTGGTTGCCCCCACACTCCCTGCCTGACAGGTACCATCTGCCCATGAGGCCCAGCCTGTCAAGACAACCACAACCAGCACAGACCACACCATCCTGAGGAGACCCTCAGACCACCCTGCCCCATGTCTGCTCTGCCAAGGAAAACAGAAGCTCCGTGAGTGCATGGCCTGTGTCCTCTTATTTATTACTTGGTCCCAGGGCCTAAAATAACACTTGGCACACAGTAGGTTCTCAATCAATATTTGATGAATGAATAAGTGGATCAACTGACTTAAGAATCCAACAACTTAATTTAACTGCCAACTTAAAACAAATGTCAACATTCCAACAAAGCAGCCTCTCTGCTCACAGTAATTCTGATGACATGTATTTTTCAGTGGTACAGACCATGAGAGGGTAAGCAATTCTTTATTCTGGAAATACTTAATGATGGTAAAGAGAAGCCCCAAAGAGTTCTCTTGTGGATGATCTGCGAGTTCTCTTGTGAATGACCACTCTTAATCACAATGTCAGAAACATTCCTCTTTTATTTTACACATCCATTCACCAAGTACTTATTGCACACCTCCTACCTGCCAAGCACTGTTTTAGGCACTGAGGACTCACAGGAACAAGAAAAAGTCCCAGCTTCCTGGGAGTTCCCATTCTAGAGATGGAGAAGGACAATAAAGAAAGGAATGAAAAGGAGGACCTGAGACTGTGAGAAGAGCTGTGAGGGGAAGAAACGCATGCCAGCAGAGAGGCCCCTTGACATGCAGTAATGCAGTGCATGGTGGACCGGCTCACTCATATCAGGCTTCTAAGACCCCTATTTTGGAGGGCTCTTACTGTAACTAGCTGGTCATCAGAGGATCTTACTGTTTTAATGAAAAGAAAACTAGAAAAAATTTAAAAGTCAAACAGAACACAAAGCAACAAGTGTCAGGTTAGAGTGAGTGGGCAGGACACTAACTGAGAGAGGGCAGTCAGGGGAAACCTCTCTGAACATGAAAACGGAGCCATGGCTTGCACAGCAAGAAGCAGCCAACCACAGGAGGATCTGGGGGCAGGGAAGGCAGGTCAGAAAAAGGAAAGATTAAGTGAGGATGAGCTTGACATTTTCAAGAGAGACCAGTAGAGCAGAGGGTGCTGAGCAAAATAGAGAATGGTGCAAAATAGAGACAGAGACAGGCAGGGATGAGAGCACGTGAGAAAGGATATGAAACTTGGTGCAGTGTAGCAACAGTTTTCAGGGGTTAGGAACAGACTACAAATGGATAATTGAGATCAAGGAAGGTGTCAGGGAAACGGCCGCTGGATTTAGTGGATGAGGATGTCACTAGTGACTTTAAAGAACAGTTTCTTCTGTTGAGTTAGAAAGATGGGATTCAGAGCATGAGAGCAGGGACACTGCCTGCAACCTCTAAGTGCCAGACACTATTTATCTCCTTTAATTCCCTGAAGGACTTCATAACCTAAGTATTAACCACCTCACTTCATAGATAAAGAAAGAGTCTTAACAGATAACTAACTTGCCCAAGGCCTTCTACCTCAGAAAAGCCTGGGACTGTGCTTGCGTGTTCTGAGCTCTGGAGGGAGGCAGACATCCTGCAGTTGTCTTGACTCCCACAACACAGCAAAACCAAAGTGCTTCATAAAAGTTACTGCATAGAAAAAGCACAGCAAAGTGCCAAGAAAAACTCTTGATACACAGAGCAAAATAATAAAAGATCATGGTAACTTTGGACAAAATTAAAATTCTGAGAATATGTCCAAGAGTGGGAAATGTCTCAAAACTGATCATATCTTTAAGTAAAGCCTGAGGTCTGTTGGGGACAGGTCAAATGCTAAGAAAATGTCCCCAAATGGGCTAATATTCTGCCTTCTATCTTCAGACCCAAGATTGCTGAGCAACCTTGGCAACTACTGTTTGGGACCACAGAATTTTATTATTCCATATATCCAAAAGCACATGTAGCAGTCATGCCAAACATTGAAACTTGGGATTCTCTCTGAGGGTGATGCTGTCTTTTCTTTAGAAAAATAATAAAGATGGAATGACAGAATTAGAAAAATCATCATTCTGAAACCAGCAATGTGATAACTGATAACTATCAAGATTCATCAATGATAACAAATCATTGCATGGAAATGAGTTGGTGAAGAGGATATTCACACAGTCTCCAAATTTCCCACTTCAGATTACTATTAATTACAAATTGGGGAGGCACCTTTACAGTGGTGAAACCAAGCATATATACCTTAACCAAGTAATCAAACCTATCAACACCAATAACGACTCAAACTGACCTTATGAGCCTCCTGATGTGATTCAATGGGAAGGACACACCACTGCCCACATAGTATTCTTACCAAAAACATTTCATACGACTCTAATTGGTTGTGGGACACTGCAGAAATAACTGGCCTGGACCCTTTAAAAACGTTAATGGCATAACAGACAACCAAAAGGCAAGGGAACAGTTCTAGATTAAAGAAGACTAAACAGATTTGACAACTACAAACAATGGGTAATCTTTGAATCCTGGATTTTTTTTTAAATCTATAAAATACATAATTGTACTGGGATAACTGGTGAAATCTGAATATGGACCACAAAATAGATAATACTAATTTATCAGTGTTAAATTTCTTGGGTTTGATAGCGGTATTGTGGTTATGTAGGAAAATGTCCTTGTTCTCAGAAGATATAGGCTGAACGACTTACAGGGAAAGTATGAAGCTTAAAGTCTCTCTACACACGCGTGTGTGTGTGTAAGAGAGAGAGAGGGAAAGCACATGTGACAAGATGTTAACTGGGGAATTTAGGTGAAGAATATTAGAATGTTCTATGTACCCTTGAAGTTTTTCAAAATAAAAGGTGGGGGGGAAGTTTAGGGTTTCTAAATTCTAGTGTCATCCCACCTAGCCCACACCATGGGAAAACCTCTTAAAAATGTATTGATAATCTTAGTGTCTAACAAAGGCTGACAGCAAGAATGTTTCATCTTATAAACTGTGACTATGTTTTACCTTTTTATAAGACTACAGATATATCTGCAAATTATATTATTTTTAGAGTACTTAGAGCATTGGGCTAGAAGGATGTTAAAAATAAAATTTGTAAATCAAAAAGGACAAAATTTGAACTTCCATTTCTCTGCCTGGGTAGCCTCAAAGCTAACTATATTTACCAGAGCTTATAACTTTACCTTGCTTTGTCTAAAGTCTTCTGTTCTTCAATCTTCTGTTCAGCATCCTTCTCAGCTCGATTTGAAACGCCTACATTCTGTTTGCTCCAGATACTTGGTTTCTGGAGAATAATTTTAGAAGACAAAACAGAACCACATGATTGCCAAAAAATCTCTACTTGTGCATCAGGAAAAAAAAAAACAAAGGAGATCATGAGTTCTTATGAATCAATGGAGATAACTAGATAAGCTGTGTCCTACAAAGATACTGACTATACATGGCAAGCAGGAGCTAAAAAAAGAGCCCTCAATTATATAAATAACTTTTTTTTTTTTCTTTGAGACAGGATCTCACTCTGTCACCCAGGCTGGAGTGTGGTGGTGCGATCTCAGCTCACTGCAGCCTCAACATCCTGGGCTCAAGTGATCCTCCCACCTCAGCTTCCCAAGTAGCTGGGAATACAGGTGCGCACCACCATGCCTGACTAATTTTTTTTTGTAGAGACGGGGTTTTGCCATGTTGCTCAGGCGGGTCTCGAACTCCTGGGGTCAAGTGATCTGCCTGCCTCGGCCTTCCAAAGAGATGGGATTAGAGGCGTGGGAACCACGCCCAGCCTAAAGAGCTTCCTGAGTGCAGAATCACTTCCTACTATCTTTTATCTCCTGAATGATTACAACCTAAATCAAGATTAATGAAAATGTACATATTACAGAGAATTAGTAATACAAATAGTAGACACTATTACCTATAAAACTGGAAAAATTCACAGCTCTTATACACCCTGATATTTTCCGCTATATTCCTATATTATCTAATTGTTTATCTCTATTTGGATACCTAACACTTATAGAACCAGATAACCTTCCATCTGTTTATGAAATGTAAACAATCCACATTTTTCCAAAAGAAGTGCTAAAGAATTAGCACATTACTATGTACTTTTATATAATCTTACTAATTTCTATTTTAATAACATTTCATGCAGATGTTAAATACAAGATAGAGATTTTTCCTTAACATTTATGTGTACAGATACCACTGACAATTTTAAAACACTTAAATATGGTATAATTCTCCCATGTTTGGAACCAATGGAGATAATTAGATCTTATTTTTTACCTTGTTAGTTGTTTTTGGTTTTCCAAAAACTCCAGAATCTTTTAGAAGTTTTTCTTGTTTGAATTCTTCTTGCTTTCGGAAGAGTTCAGCCTTAAGATCTACCAACTAGAATGAAAGCAGTAAGTAAACAAAAATATTAAATTCCTGCAGGTGACTGGATTGCTAAATTATTATAATTTCCAAAGGAATATTTCAAGTTCCGCTAAATGGACAAATATGGCTAAAAAACTAAATGTTTAAGTAACTAAATGTTTAAATGTAGAATCCAGTACACAAATTAAGCTAAGTCATGTTTCATTCTACCTCTGCTGCAAATGCATTTTTACTCTGACTTTCAACACTCGAGGCTTTCCTTAGGCAAGGAGAAAGTGATAAAGCAAAATAAATTAATAAAGTCTGCATCTTTTAGTTTCAGATTAAACTTGCATTATTAAGCACCTTCTCTCTGACTAGCACTGCACTCATTTCATCATCACAACTTATTTCTACAGTGAAATGCTGTAGAAATAACGCTGAAGAGCAGAACATAAACATGAATTAGACATACTCTCTGCCTCAAAGAGCCTACAATGTAACAAGGAAAGTAATTTATACTACCAACAAAATAAAACAAATGACTCTAGAGTGGAAGAAAGTAGCACATAAGTTCAGATAACAGAGCATTTCCTTCTGAGCAGAGTGATCAGAGAAAGCTTAGAGCAGAGCCTTTAAAGACACATTATTTCAACAGCTAGAAATAAAATAGACTGGGTGAATTATAACAGCTCCACGTTTGACTTAATCCATTTCAAAAACCGTAAGCTTGGCTGAATCACACGGTTCAAGAACAGGAAAGAAGGCCAAGGCATAGGGAGTGGGGCAGTTGGGTGAATATTAGTACCTTTCCCTCAGCTACATTAATTACCCCTGCCTACTCTGCAAAAAAGGATATAACAACAGTTTCCTTTTTAATGGTCCAGGTACAGCTGCTTATATGGATGGGCATTTGTAAATCAGATACTTCATCACTGTCTTAATCATCAGATACTTAAAAAAATCACTTTATTTGTTAAGGAAGATAAAAATGGCTGGGTTCAATTTCCGTTTTGGAAGAAATCGATTTAAAAGGTAACCATTTAATAATGCAAAGGGCAGTTTCACTGCAGACCCTAATACTGGAAATTTTTAAAAACAAATGAAAAACTTCTACTTTTTCTTCTAAGCTTACTTAACCACACCAAATTTTCCAGCCACATATCTTCCTAGTCTACAACTGCCTTTAACTTTAAGAGATGCTCAAAAAAATGTAAATTCTCAAATAGCATTCTTATTACAATTACTGCTAACCTGTCAGTATAGGTTGGCTTTAATATTTATAGCTTTCTGGTTCCTGATCTTCAAACAAAATAATAACTGGTACCAATTTTAACCAATAATAGTTACCAATAATAACTAGTACTCAAATATTGGGACACCTATATGTTTTCCTTCCTACTCACTTTGTGTCCTAATACTCTGAAGTAAATTCAAGATTAAATCAAAGGTTGGGCAATTTGCTCTGATGATGAAAAGGCAGCAGCTTTGGAGTCAAGTAGAGTGAGTGAGAAAGGGTCTATCACTAAGATTTCTTCCCCCCGCCCCCCGCCCCTTAGACGGAGTTTCGCTCTTGTTGCCCAGGTTGGAGTGCAATTGCGCGATCTCGGCTCACCGCAACCTCCGCCTCCCCGGTTCAAGCGATTCTCCTGCCTCAGCTTCCCGAGTAGCTGGGATTACAGGCGTGCACCACCACGCCCGGCTAATTTTTTTATTTTTAGTAGAGACGGGGTTTCTCCATGTTGGTCAGACTGGTCTCAAACTCCCGACCTCAGGTGATCTGCCCGCCTCAGCCTCCCAAAGTGTTGGGATTACAGGCGTGAGTCACCGCGCCCGGCTATCACTAAGATTTCTGTCTGTAAGCTGGGGAAAGCTACTTCATCTTTCCAGGCCTCAATTTCATCATCCATAAAACGGAGATATTAATAGCACCTACCTCCTAAAGCCATTGGGAGGATTCAATGAGATAGTGCATATAAAGTGCTGGCACAAAATGTGTACTTAGAACAAGTTTTCTTTCTAGAGTAGCTGATGTAATAAATCTGCTTACATCCTTTCAGACCTCACAACTCCCTATGCCTGCATTAACAACTGTTTAGTTCCAGGGAGGGCACGCTGGACACTTTCGGGTCCTGCGAAATATGTCACACTCTAAAGTTCTGGGAGGACTTTGTGGGTCCCTGGATGGAGGAGAAACCAGGAAGAGGATATGTCTGCATAGCAAAAAGAAGCTAGGGTTCCTCCTGACTGTAAGGGAGAAGGCTGACGAGGTGCAGGTCCTTGTGGGCAGGGCAGAGGTGAGGCACGGAGTTTCCTAACCCACGGGACACCAGGTTCAGATCCGTGTCCGAGGGTTCTGGCCCGGGCGCATGTCAGAGGAGAGTAGCCCAATTCAGGGTCCTGTAAGAAAACTGAACCGGATCCCCGCCGGAGAAGAAAATCCAGTTCGGGGGTTCCTGTTTGAGGGGAGAGGTCAGGTCTCTGGGTCCCCGAGTGAAGAAACAAGCTAGGTCGACATTCTTGTCTGATGGAGACACGGTGAACCCGGAGCCCGTGGAGTTACCTCATACCCTCACTCACCGAGGAGGCCGTGACGTCCAAAGGCTTTTTCCTACGGTCCATGGTCGTGGCAGAGGGTCCCGGTCCAGGAAGGACCCTTTCTACCCGACACAGGCCTCGTAAGCCTACCTCCGTCGCAACCGGAAGTGTCTTCGACAGCGACACTGAGTTTGCGTGAGTTTGCGACGCGAGTTTGTCAGCTCAGCGCCATCTTGAGAAGGTCAGAGTGTGGTGCGTATTACGTTCACCATCATTTTGGAAAGGTCATAGAGTGCGGAGGTTGACGCTAACTGCTAAGGTCATCTTGAGGGCGGAAGGTAACAAGGATTGGTGTGGGCGCCATCTTGAGAAGGGCGGAATAAAGCTTTTGATTGCGATGGACGCCATATTGGGTGGGGCGGATGTGGGGTTGGCGACAAAGATAACGCCATCTTGGGGAAGGCTGACGCTTAAGTAAGTGAACTCGAGCGTCTCGGGAAAGGTGGATTGGGAGGACCGGAAGAATCTTAACTGCAATTCCAGGACCTGCTGCCTGGCACTTTTCACACGTTAAATAGTTGGTTCTTAAAAGAGCGTACGAGATAAGGATTATTATATTAATCTTAGTAGAAATAACAAGAATAATAGCTAACATTAATGTAGTGCTTATTATGGGCCACTTTACATATTTCAGCTCTTAAGAACGTGAACTCCTGGGCCGGGCGCGGTGGCTCACGCCTGTAATCCCAGCACTTTGGGAGGCTGAGGCGGGTGGATCAGGAGGTCAGGAGTTTGAGACCAGCCTGACCAACATGGTGAAACCCCGTCTCTGCTGAAAATACAAGAAAAAAAAAAAATTAGCCGAGCGTGGTGGTGCGCGCCTGTATTCCCAGCTACTCAGGAGGCTGAGGCAGAAGAATCGCTTGAACCTGGGAGGTGGAGGTTGCAGTGAGTCGAGATCAAAAAAAAAAAAAACAAAGAACACGTGAACTCGAAAGCTGACTTTCTGGGTTGGAATCGCTCTTCACGGCTTACTGCTTGTGTGACCTTGGGCAAGTTACTTAACTTCCGTGTGCCTCAGTTTCCAAAGGGGGATATAATTTTATTTACCTAATGGGTCTTAGTGAGGATTAGATGAGTTAAATGAGCTAGTCTTGATAAAAATGTTAATGATTATGGTAGACAGACCAATCACCCTCACCCCGACTCCCAGATGTCTACCTTCTAATCCCCAGAATCTGGGTATATGGTGACCTTTATATAGCAAAAGAGAATTGGCAGAGATGATGAAATTAAAGCGATTGAGATGGGGAGCTAGCCTGGATTGTGCAGGTGGGTCCCCTATCATCAAAACCATCCTTATAAGGGGTAGACAGGATGGCCAGAGTCAGACAGAGATCAGAGATGCTTTGAAGAGGGAGAGTGGGACCACATGCCTAGGTATGCAGGAGGCCGCTAGAAAAAGCAAAGAAATGAGCCCTCCTCCAGAGTCTCCAGAAGGAATGCAGCATTGCTGACACGGTGATTTTAGTCTTGTAACACTCATCTCAAACTTCTGACTTCCAGAACTCTACCAGAATACGTTTGTGTTGTTTTAAGCCACCAAACTTGTGGCAATTTGTTACAGCAGCAAGACGAAAGTGATCATAATGATTGTAACAGTGGCATTTAGTATATGTGGGGCATGTGTATGACTCTTTGCATAGATTATATTATATAATCCTTGCAAGAATCCTAGAAGCGGACCTATTATCCACCATATTAGAGAGAAGAAAAATGAGACTCATCACATCCTCATCTCATCTGTCTTTATGGAGAAAATGGGAAAAGGGAAAAGGAGAGGGGAATTGAGGCAGTTGACTGTGTTCAGTCTTATTTATTTATTTTCATTTGTTTATTTCTCCAAGTCCGCCAGTCTCTGAAATTAGAACAGTAAGCAATATGAGATAATCGGGCCTAATAATGTTGTGATTCTCTTTTCTTAATGGAGTGGAATGTTCTGTCCCCACAAGAAGGATTATACCTTATAGACTTGTCTTGTTCAGATTCTGTATTTACCCATTTTACTGAAACACATACTAAATTCCATGTGTTTTTGTTACAAATCTTCTGAAAGAAAATGTGAAACATTAAAAGGTATTAATAATAATTTTTTTTAAAAGGAAAAAAAATGAGGCTCAGTTGCTTAAATGGCATGCCAGGGGTCATTTCCCAGCTAGCAAGTGAAGGAGCCTTCAGTTAAAAAATAACTCAAAGACATTGAGTTAATTATTGGCGTGTTATTTACTTGTAACTAGTGGAACCAGTATAGACTGACTTCATCTCAGAAAGCGAGGAAAGGATTTATATAGAAGAAACACAGCTTCTAAACTATGAATGTTGGTTTTTTTGCCTAGCTGGACCCTGGCAATGAAGCCAGTGAGTGTTCTGATCCTGGAAAGCTAGAAAGAAAGTAATTCTAGTTGCACGTGAATGTCCCTGAAGACCATGAGAATTTAGCTTCCTCTGCACGATGCCTGTCAGGGTCCTTGGTTGTCATCTCCATCTTAGCGATGCAGGTTTGCACCCTCACCCTTGTCAGAAATTCTCCCTAGAGTGGCATCCAGCTGATTGTAACCACCTCCCAAGCCACTTAAATGACCAGGAGCAAGCTAGTGAGTCCCCTTTATTCCCAGGCTCACTCATTTTGCAGGCTGCAAAAGCACAAAATAACTTAATCTTGCATTGACCAGAATGCTCCCCTGTCATACAAATGATTTTTCACATATCCCCCCATTTCCTCAAACTCTCTCCTCTTTGTTTATGTGTTCCAAGCATCTGGGTCTATCTGGAATTGCCTTCCTCTACCAAGTACAAAAGTTGAAGCCCAGCCCAGTATGTTCTTTACTCAGTCACCCTCTAAATACATGGACCTGGGTTTGTTCTGGAAGAAAGGGAGGGCAGGGACATCCTAGTCTGGTGAAAAGAGCACAGGATTTCCTCCGAGGCCGCTAGCACTCCGTTCCAGCTACGTTCCTTTAGTTAGTTTGGCAGCTCCCATCTCCCCTCTGAGCCTCGGTTCTTTTACCCAGTTGGGCACACAGGATGTTTGAGATAAAGAGTGTAAGAATGGTTTGCAAACTGAAAATGCTGTGCCTGCATCACTTGCAGGATAGTTCTGCTCAGTGCCAGTTTTCTCACAGCAGAAGGCGTGTGCGTACCAACAGTCTGTGTTATGACACTGCATATTTTGCAGTGTTTTGACCTCCGGTTTGTCCTTACCCCTGTTGAGTCCCAAGAGAGTGGGACTGGGTGGGAGATTGATTATCTTCTTCCTTCTTATATCTTACTAGATTTTAATTATCTATGAAGTCTTTTAGGTGCTTTAAATAAAGGGGGAGAGAGGAAATCTTCTGAAGCAGATGACAATTATTTCCCCCAAGCACAGCCACCAAGCCATGCTCTTATTTTGAATGATCTGCGTCATTTTCCAACATGAAGCCTCAGAAGGACATGATTACAGGCTGGACTCACCGACTGTAGCCTGTGCAGCTATTGTAATGTTTTAATCAGTGATTAAGTCAAGAGGTTTAATTTAGTACCGGGCTCCGTTAAGCTTGTGAAAATGGTTTTCTGCCTCCTCAAACTAAAAATGTGTCTCTCCCCCATGTGTCCAGCCCGAAGCATCTTAACCTTTGTTCTATCTTCAACACCGCTGGCTCTAACAAATTACTCAGCAGTGAATGAATTAGCTGAGTCCAATGTGTGAAAAAAGATTAGGCTGGACCTAGGAAAATTAGCTTCTAAGCACAGCACAGGATGAGGCATAAAGATACCTGGACTCGTGCCCTGCATGACAAAGAAGCTAAGCTTCATTAGCGTCAGTCATGACATCCGTCATTGGCATTATCTCATTGAATCCCTGCGACAACCTCAGGGGCAGATGCTATTATTATTCGCATTTTGTAGATGAAGAAAACTGAGACCCAGAGAAGGTAAATAACTTGTCCATGGTCACACAGGCAGTCTTGGTCCCAGGATTTGAGTTGAGGCAGCCTAGCTCTGGGATCCCCACACTGTCCTTCCTCCCTCGCTGGATCTGAGACTACGTTAGCTTTGCATTCATTCATTGATTAACTCTGTTGGGGAAAGGGGACATTTTAGGGAGCTACCCCAGAATAGTTCTGCAGGAGGGACCTGTCTTTAGGTCATTGCAAGCAGAGATGACTAAGGAGGTGAGTGCCAGGAGTCCTGACCATGCAAGCTAGAACTGGACAAGCATCATTTGGTATCACGGAGAGCCCAGCCGAGCTTGCAAATCTGGAGTAACAGGATGGCCTATGGGGCTTTTTCTGCAGCCTGGGGAATTGGTGCCTGAGGCCATGGCTAAAAAAAAAAATGAGAGTTGCTAAAAACTACAGCCTCAAACTCTTAATGGGGGCCCAAGTGCTGCCCCCCAGCTTCAACCCAATGGCTTACTATGAACAGGAGAAGATGCTTTATAGTGCTCAAATCCACCCGACCCCACTGGATTTAGAGAGGCAGCAGGGAAGTGGTAGAGGGAGCTGTCCACATTATGAGATGTTGGCCTCATAGAGAGGGACGGGAGGGACATTTCTCTAAACTCCTAAAGCCAAGTGAGGGGCTCCAAAGATGAGGAACAGAGTTCAAATCAGAGATCTGGCAATGTCATGGTGGGGAGTCTTGAAGGTGACCCAGCTGAACCCAAGAAGTAGGAAAAAGCAGAGAAAAGCCACAGCAAGAAGTAGGGAAAAGCAGAGAAATGCCACAGTAAGAAGTAGAGAAAGCAGAGAAACATCACAACTAGAAGCAGCCCAGGTCCCCGACCCTTCTTGTTGGCCCTGCGTTAGTTTCCTAGGGCCACCATAACAAAATGTCACAGACTAGATGGCTTGAAACAATAGAAATTTATTGTCTCACAGTTCCAGAGACTGGAAGCCCTAAATCAAGGCATCGCAAGGCCAGGTTCCCTCTGAAACCTGTAGGGGGAATCCTTCCTTTCCTCCTCCCAGCCCCTGATAGTGAGTGGCAGTCCTTGGCTTTCCTTGGCTTCTAGATGTGTCCCTCCAGCCCTGTCTTCACGTGGCCTTCTCCCTGTGCCTGTCTTCACATGGCCGTCTTCTTACAAGGACACCGGTTATATGAGGTTAGGGGCCCACTGTACTCCAATGTGACCTCATCTTAACTGATTGCATCTGTAACAACCCTATTTCCAAATAAGGCCACATTCTGAGGTACTGAGGGATAGGACTTCAACAGATCTTCTTTTAGGGCGGGGTGCAGTTCAACCCAGAACAGGCCCTCCGTGTCAGTCTTGAAAAAGGCCAGCAGAGACCCTCAGTACTAATGGGAGAGGAGACCTGAGACCCGTCCCAGAGAGCCGGGGTTTATAAACTGGCTGAGAAAGGGACTGCCAGAGGGGTCATGAAGGAATGACAGTGGTGGGGGGCCAGAGGGGCTGCCTGAAGTGGAGATGGGACAGAACAGAACTGCTCTGTGTGCACGCCCTGTCCAGGCCTAGCTGCTGGGGAGCTGGCTGCCCTTTCCTGCCAGTGAGGCCAGTCAGTGGGGTGCAGCAACCCTCACCCCCCACAGCAGGAAGGAGGAAACAAACTTTGGTTGGAACCACGGCGGGGCGCAGGCAGGAACTAAAGAGTGAAAAGGAGAGCACTCACATTTGGGGAGGCACACAGAGAAGACCTTCTTGTCTTGCAGGGCTCTGGGGAGCAGAGCTATCTGGGTGGAGTATGGCCAGATGTCAGCAGCACCCAGGCCAGCAGGCTCACATGGCTGAAGGAGTCAGGATAGGATGGAGGCCAGAGAACATGGAAGTGGGGCGCCCACATCTCCTGGTGCTTCACAGGCCACTTATAGGGACTTGGCGTTTACTCTGTGTGAAGTGGGAGCCGTGGAGGACACTGAGCAGAAGAGGTCTGTGGCCCAACTTAGGGCTTCATGGGATCCCTGTGGCTGCCAGATTCAGAAGAGACCATTTTAGCCAGAACAGTTCCCTATCTGCATACTTCCCATGGACACACAGCAAGGGAGGCGACCATGTACCTCTGTTTTAAGGACAGGTGTATGCCTAAGAGACCAGACAGAACATGCTTTATGTCCACTAGCTGTGAGCCTTCAGATAGCAGCCACTGTGTGCCAGGGACTCTGGTAAGTATGTTATGTATTTTTTTCTTTGAATAAACTTTACAAAAATTTCAAACACCTTTATACATACAGAAAAGTTGCAAAGATAGTGCAGAGTTCCCACGCACCCCACACCGTTTCCTGTGTTGCTAACGTCTTACTTTTCTTCATCGTCCATTCATCACAACTAAGAAACCAATCTTGATACATGCTGTTCATTAAACTCCACCCTTTACTGGATGTCACCAGTTTTCCCCAATGTTGTTCTCCAGACCAAGGTCCCATACGGGACACCACATTGAATTTAACTGTCACATCTCCTTAGTCTCCTCTGGTCAGTAACAAATTCTCAGACTTCCCTTGTTTCTGATGACCTCAATCGTTTTAAACAATATAGATCAGGTATCTTATAGAATATGGCTCAGTGTGGATGTATGTGATATTTTTCTCAGAGTTTGCATGGGATCATGAGTTTTGGGGAGGAACACCGCAGAGGTGAAGTGGCATCTTCATCGCATCATATCAGGGGTATGTGCTGTTGAAATGACTTCACGGATAGTAACCTTGGTCACCTGGCTCGAGGTAGTGTCTGCCAGGTTTCTCCACTGTAAAGTCACTTTTCCCCACTTTCCTTATCTACTCTTTGGAAGCAAGTCACCTAGATCAGCCCACTCTCAAGAGGCACTGTAAATAGTTTTTAAAATTTTATTTTTAATTGACAAATAATTGTACATATTTATGGGGTACAAGTGATGTTTTGATAGATGTTGACAATGTGGAATGATTAAACTGGGCTAATTAACAAATCCATCACCTCACATACCTCTTTTTTGTGGTTAAATCATTTAAAATTTACTTTTAGCAATTTTGCAATATGCAATGCATTTCTATTTATTATAGTTACCGTACTGTGCAGTAGATCACTAATGCTTATTCCTCCTGTCCAACTGAGACTTTGTGCCCTTTGATCGACATCTCCTTTCCCCATCCACCCCTCTCCCACAGCCTCTGCTAACCGCCATCCCACCCTCCACTTCTGTGAGTTCAGCTTTCTTCGATTCCACAGTAAGTCAGATCATGCGGTGTTTGTCTTTCTGTACTTGGCTTACTTAACTCAGCATAATGTCCTCAAGGTTCATCCACATTGTCAAAAATGACAGATTCCCCCCACCTTTTAAGGCTGAATATTTTCCATTGCATACATATATGCACCACATTTTCTTTATCCACTCATCTATTGATAGACACTTAGGCTGGTTTCATATCTTAGCTGTTGTGAATAATGCTGCAATGAACAAGTGCCTACATCAAAAAAGAAGAAAGATTTATAACAAGTGCCTACATCAAAAAAAGAAGAAAGATCTCAAATAAGTAACTTAACGTTACAACTCAAGGAATTAGGAAAAGAACAAACTAAGCCCAAAATCAGGAGAAGGAAGGAAAGCATAAAGATCAGAGTGCTTTACATATTTTAACTCGTTTATGTTTCACTGCAGCCTAAGCTGCAGGTATGTTAACATGTCCACCTCACAGATGAGGGAATGGAGGCTCAGGGAGTTCCACTGGCCCACCTGCAGCGATGCGGGAGCGCCTAAGCTCGCAGTCCCCTGCCTCTCCCAGGAGACAGGGCTCTTGGACCTGTCTCCCCTGGTTCACCATCATCTCTGCATCCTCCCTGCTGTCTTTTTACCCTTCATACATGCAGAGATGGAAACAATCCAAGTTTCTGTGTGGCCCCAACAGTCTGATATGAGACTGTACTTGAAAGAAAGAGGTCCCTCAATCACATTCCTTTTTGTAGACACGTGGGTCTCAGCCTGGGGCCTGAGCTATTTGTTGCAAATGTCCTGATACCCACTTTAATTTCCTGCCTGGTCTAGACAGACACAGATAGAGACAGTGCTAGGAGGCACTCTTGGGGGGAGGGGTGTGTTTCTCCAAAGAAGGACCATAACAGCGGTGGCCGCCTCCCTCCTGGGTCCTGCAAGAGAGAGGCATCAGGGAGAACAGTCCTGGGGACAGTGACTTGAAGGATGGGAGCTAGGGTCGCAGTTTTAAAGGAGGAATGAGGGCTTGCCAGCCCCTGTGGTGCTGTGTCAAGAGAGGTAGATGCAGAAGCTGCCTGGGGAAACCGAGCTCTGTTCTCAAGCACACACCTTCTTCATCCTTCCATTCCAAGGAGCCTCCACCCAGGCACCCCAATGCCACCTTCCTCCCAAGAGTTCATCCCTAAAAACAACAGCATGCAGGGACTTGACTGTGCTTACACTTTTATTCATGCATTTGATAGTCAAGACACTTTCTAAGTGACTGTTCTCTACTGTGAATTGGGCCAAGTGCTCTCTTTACACTATCCCATTTAATCCTCACAGCAACCTGTGAGTATTCTTATTCCCATTCTGCAGATGAGGAGATGGAGGCCGGGAGAGTGAAGGGACTCACAGTTGGTACTGGAACAAGAAGTAAAATCCAGGGCTGTCTGACTGCAAAGATGGCTCTTTCTATCCATTATTTATCTGGTCCTCATGTTCCTCACACTCCAGAGGGAAGGCAGACACCACCCCTACCACACCCCCACAAGGAAGCAGGGCACATTACATCACGGTCATTGCTGTGAAAGGATCATGGCAATGTGGTGCGATAATAGAGAATCAAGAGGTGGGAATGAATCTAATACAGACTGTGACGAGTGAAGGTGTCTCAGAGGAGGTGATGTTTAAGCCATAACTGAATACCTGGAAGAACAGGGAGAAATGTGTTTAAGGATTTAACAGCACGTATGAAGTCCTTAGGTTGGAAAGAGGTCCAGAAGTGGGTGAGAAAGAGAAGTGGGATGTGAGGTAGGAGGGGTGGTGGGCAGGATCCAGGTCCTGTGGGGCTTTGTAGATCAAAGTAAGGGACTGGAAATTTATCCTGAGTGTGATAGAGGCCATTGGAAGGTTTTCAGAAGGACAATGACAACATCCGTCTCTCAAGGTGCCCACATTTTAGAGCAGGGATTCTAAAGTTCAGCACTACTGACATTTGGGGCTGAATAATTCTTAGTTGTGGGGGCTGTCCTGTGCATTGTAGGATATTCAGCCACATCCCTGGTCTCTCCCCACTAGATGCCAGTACTAGCTCCCCACCCTACTTCCAGTGGTGACAACCAAAAATATTTCCAGACATTGCCTCTTGGAGAACCACTGACTTAACATATCAAAGGTTTATTTGTTGCTCTCCTACACATGGTGACTACGTTTCTTAGTCTGTTTGTGCTGCCATAACAAAATACCACAGTCTGGATAATTTATAATGAACAGAAATTTATTTTAGCACAGTTCTGGAGGCTGGGAAGTCCAAGATCAAGGTGCTCGTGTCTGGTGAGGGCCTTCTTGCTGCACTATCACATGGTGGAAGAATATCTTGTCTGTACAGGGTTGAAGGTGGAAGGACAAAAGAGAGCAAGAAGGGGCTGAATTTGCCCTTTTATGACAGCATTAATCCCACTCTCATGGCTTAATCTCCTTTTAAAGGTCCCACCTCTTAATACTGTTACAATGGCAATTATACTTCAATATGTGTTTTGCAGGTCACCTTATTCAAACCACAGCACCCAGGTATTGGGACTTACTGCATCAGGTGGCTCCACCATCTCAGAGCCCTTTGCTTCCATATCATAGGCCAGGGAGATACCACAGAAGATGGCATGGGTTGTTTGATAGCCAGGTCTGGAAGCAATTGTGTACACTATTGCCATCCACATTCCACTGGCCAGAACTCAGTGTCATGGCCCCAGCCTGTCTGCAAGGCTCCTGGATCCAGGAGGAGCAGATGACTTGGGTGGCATAAAGACTTGCCTCTGCACAATGAACTAAGCATTTCCTGACATGCTCCACTGAATGCTCACAACACACAAGCAGGTGGTATTAAACCCATTCTTCCAAGACTGATCTGTAGAAGGGGTCAGTGGTCAGGGCAGGGACATGGGGTCCCAGGTGAAAGCACCCAGGACCAGGCTCCATGCAAAGCTCCCTGGGCCACAACATGAGGCTGACACATGCAGTAGATGGCTACGGTTTGTCTTGATAGCATCCCACCCTCCTTTGCTAGCAAGAACCCCCGATTTTTGTCTGGGGAGCTAGCCTCCCACCATTTGTCCAGCTGAGGTTCCCCACTCAGGTTTAGCACATGACCCAAGTCTGAGCCAGTAGGTGTGGTGCATTCCTCCAGGCACTGTGCCTGCTCGGCCAGAGCGCACATCTCAGGGTTGCTGCTGGGGATGAGGGGATAGAGACTTGTCTTTTCTCAGCTGGGCATGAGCCTGATGCTGCTGGTGGCCTGCCTGGGTATTTAATTTTTTTTTTTTTTGTAGAAACATGTCTCACTATCTTGCCCAGGCTGGTGTTGAACTCTTGGCATCAAGTGATCATCCTGCCTTGGCCTCCCAAAGTGCTGGGAATACAGGTGTGAGCCACTGCACCCACTCACCCTCAAACTTTCTAATCACACAAACCAATAAATTTCCATTTTCTGTCACTTGCAACCAGGACAGTGTTGAGCAACATAATACATGTTCCCCTCAAGCCCAGAGATACTTGGGAACTGGGAAGGGGCTGAATCTGCAGGGGAGATGACCTGTGGATCCACCTCTGGTATGCGTGGGAATACCAGGGTTGGAGGCAGGATGCTGAGATCCAGGACAACTAGAAAAGGACCCTAGTAACCCTAATATCAGGACAAAGTCACCCTGGCATGCCACCCATGACTTAGAAGTTCAAATAAAGGAGTATTTATTTCTTTATGTTCCAGCAAATGAATCACTAACCTAACTTTCCTTGACCACAACTCTGAGAAATAGATACCTCTGTGAGCTCCGTTTTACTGGTGAGAAGGCTCAGAGAGGCTAAGTGATTGACCCAGGTCATGTAGCTTGTTAAATTGTAGAACTGGGACTTAAAACCACGTTTCTCTGACTGCACAGCCCATGTTTTGTTTTGTTATATTTTTCTATATAATAAATTCTAACATCTTCCTAAACTTGTTTTAAAAGATAAAGCCTTTTGTTTTCGTCCAAGGCTGGAATTTATCAGGCATCCAGGGCACCCAAAGATAGGCTTGGAGAAGCCAGACCACATCTTCCCTTTTCTCTTCCCTCCTAGTCCCCCTCCCTCAGGTCTGTGTTTGGGTAACACACGCCTTCTGTAGAGAGTACATATTTAAGCATTCCGAGGGCACACAACATCTGCTGCATTGATACCAGCATTCCCTCCTGCAGGTGCGTGGTTCAGCGTGGGTGAGACGGAGTGTGGTGAAGACACGCTATAAATGTCAGCATGATATTCACACCCGACTGTCTAAGAATTAACAAGCCTTTGCAGAATGGCTTCTGTCAGCACCCCACTGTGTGGGGAGGACACACCCCCTTCAGGCATGGTGCGTTTGCGTGATTGGCACAGAGGACACATGAGGTTGTGTTTAGGAGTTGTGTGTGCATGCATGATTTTGGATGTGAACACACTATCTGCACATGCTTCACAATCAGAGTCGAGCAACCAAGCCTCCCAGAGCCAAGGGAGTGAGTCAGCCATTGGCTGCCGAGGAACAGAGAGGCATGATGATGACGATTTTTCTTCAGGTGGAATGCTGCTTCCTGCCGCTGGAAGAAAAAAAAAGTCCTCCAGGTAATTTAAAGGAAACAAACAAACAAACAAAAACATCCCAAATCAAACCGCACCTCTTATAAGCTCTAGGGAGGATCATTAGTGTGAGAAGTATTTTATCATTTAAAAAAATGGGTTTCTCTTTGTGTAAACAAATCAACAAAGAAGCCTGTTTATTTCTCACAATCAATTCTGGACAAATGTTATAGATGGAAAGTTTGTGTTCCCCCAAAATTCATATGTTGAAATCCTAAATTCCAACATGATGGTGTCAGAAGGTGGGTCCCTTATGAAAGAGGCCCCAGAGAGCTCCCTTACCCCTTCTACCATGTGACGATAGCTAGAAGGCACCATCTATGAACAAGAAAGCAGGCCCTCACCAAACACCAATTCTGCTGGCATCTTGACCTTGGACTTCCCAACCTTCAGAACTGTGAGAAACACATTTCTATTGCTTATGAGCCACCCAATCTAAGGTATTCTGTTATCACAGCCCAAATGAACTAAACCAAGAAGCAAAAGTGTGAGTTTGTGAGTTTTGTAATGGCTTCTGCTTATTCTTCCCCTGGTCTCTCGGAAGGACCAACTTTTCACTCTCTCTGACTGTCTTCACCTGAGATAAGTTCCCAGACATTAACCTATTGCATTGTCATGGAATGAGACACGACAGTGAGTATATTGCTGGGACATAGGAATAGAGGATCTAGAGGGCCAATGGAGACCTGAAGTTTCTGTTTGTTCAGTATCCATTCTCCCTTCTGGCAGTAGGGCCCCAATTTATTGTGGGAAGCCACAACTTTCTCACTCTCAGATTACATGGTTTAGGAGGAGCTGACCCCACATTTAGCTCTAAGGTTGCAGATTTGACCCAGGCCCAGCCACTCAGCAAATTCCATTGCCATAACCACTGTCATTATTTTAAGATGGGCACATGACCCAAGTTAGTCCAGTTAGAGACAATCCTCGGACCTTAGCTGGAGCTATTGAGAAAGAGAAGGCTTCTTTCCACTGATGTTGCTAACTGCAAAGAGGTGAGACTGTGGCTTCCAAAAGTCTTCTTGCCACCAAGAGGAGAGAGCCCATCACAGAGTAAAGTTGACCTAAAGGAAAGTAGAGCTCAGATTGGGAGCAAGAGAAAGCTTCTAGATGACATCCATTGGGTACCTACATCCAGGCATGCCTGAAGCTACTATTGCCCTGGGATTTATTAGGCGCATGAGGCAATAAATCCCCTTTTGTGTTCAAACCAGTGTGAGTTGGGTTTCTAACACTTTCAATGAAAAGAATCCTGACCAAGAGGAGGCATTGATTTGACCAGAAGGTCAAAGCTCCCAGGAAGTTGAGGACAGGGCTCGGTTTGAGAGCAGATTGAAGAAGCCACTTATGGCCAATGAGAGGCAAAACTTGAGTCTGACAGATGCTAAAAACTGAAGCCCAAGACTAAGAGTTTCCCTTCATGTTGGGTGGTGATCAAAACTAGATGCTCTGTGAAAAGATGCTCAACATCATTAACCATCAGGGAAATGCAAATCAAAACCACAATGAGATATCACTTCACACCCGCTAGGATGGCTAGAATGGAAAAACCCTCAAAAACAGAGAATGAATATTGGAAATAATATGAAGAAATTGGAACTCTCATACATTGCTGGTGGGAATGTAAAATGGTGTAGTCACTTTGGAAAAGAGTGCAGCAGTTCTTCAAACAGTTAAACATGGAATAACTATATGTGCCAGCAATTCCATTCCAACCTAGATAGTCTAGAGATCTGTGTCTTAGTCCATTTTGTGCTGCTATAACAATACCACAGACTGGGTAATTTATAATGAACAGAAATTTATTTGGCCCACAGTTCTGAAGGCTGTGAAGTCCAAGACTGAGCACCTATATCTGGTGAGGGCCTTCTTGTTGCATCATAACATAGTGGAAGGCAACACATGGGCAAGAGAAAGCAAGACAGGGCAAGAGTGGGCTGAACTCGCTTTTATAACAAATCTACTCCTGCAAAAACTAACCCACTCCCACAGTAACGATATTAATCCATTCATGAGGGCAGGGCCCTCAGAACCTAAACACCTCGCATTAGGTTCCATCTTCCAAAACTGTTGCATTGGAAATTAAGTTTCCAAGACATGACCCTTTGGGGACACATTTAAACCACAGCAAACTGAAAACATATTTGCACAAACGCTTGTACAGTGGATGAATATTCATAGCAGCATTATTCACAATAGCAAAAGGGTGGAAACAACCCAAGTGTCCATTGATGAGTGAATGGATGGAGAAAGTGTGGTATATTCATACAATGCAATATTGTTCATTGTTAAAAATGAAGTACTTACCAGTCATGCTACAACATGGATAAACCTCGAAAACATTCCACTAAGTGACAGAAGCCAGTTACAAAAGGCCACCTGTGATATGATTCCATATATAAAATATCCAGAACAGGCAAATTCATAGAGACATAAAGTAGATTAGTGATTGCCAGGGAATGGGAGAGGAGAATTGGAACTAACTGCTAAAGGATTTCTTTGGGGAGGATGGAAACGTTCTGGAATTAGATCATGGTGACGGTTGCACAACATAGTGAATGTACTAAAAACCACTGAAGTTTACACTTTAAAATGATGATTTTATTTTATATGAAGTGTCTCTAAATACATGCTGTATTAAAGAAAAAAACTAGATGTCCTGGGAGGAGCTGGAAGAAGCCAGGCAGCACCTAGTTCATGTGGATGAAGGTTGGTTAGAAGAAAGCAGCCCAGAAATGAATGGTTGGGTAAGAATATAAGGGGTGCTTGGGATCTATGACCAACCTTATTTGTTTTAGAAATGCCCTGTTTATGCATTGGTTGAATGCCCAGCACTTGGCCTCCAAGAGCCCAGCATGGATGCTCCAGAAGTTAGCACTCTTCTGGGTTTGCCTCAGTGTGGGGGAATTAGCCTCCAGCTTGCCCAATGAAGAAAGCTCCTGCTCTCCAGGGAGCTAGAGCTCTGCCTACATTGGAGGTGAAGAATGGTATACTCTGGTACTAGGAAAAAAAACTTGTATGTGGCAGATAAAAACTGAGGTCAGGAACTCAGAGGAGACAATGGGGTACCAGGATCTGTGGACTGAAGAAGGACCATGCCATTTAACTCCAGCTCCCCTAGAAGAAACACTTTGGTAAGATCATCCCTCTGTGTGTGCCATGCTGTAAGGTTTATGGATTCCCTTGATAACATCTGAAGTGATGCTGCCACTGTCAGTGCCCTCCTGCTGGTGGCTTCTTATTGAAAACACCTGTGTCTCTGCCTGCGGTGGTTCTCTGGCTATGGGAGTAAGCTCAGCTGAGGCAAAGTGCAGGCTGGAAATGCCTGGGAGTGAATGCCCAGGAGCAGCCCTCAATCAGTGATCAACGGCAGCTGGTGCATAAATACCCCAGCTCCCTCACCCCTCGTGGGATGGGGGTTGGGGAACAACAACCTCTCAAAGGTCTCCAGCAGAATTGAGCCTCAGTTGCCCACAGTGGTAACTTGCCCATTAGTACCATCATTGCTCTCTCTCACTTCCCTGTGTGGGTTGTGAGAGAGAATCTTGGCTTCTGGATTACCTACCGACTAAACCACTTGCATGGTAATCTTAGTCTCAGAGTCTGCTTCTAAGGGAACCCACACTCAGAAAAGAGGTAACATTTATTGAATGTTGACTGTCTTCCATGGATTGTGCTGAAGTTTACACAGAGTGTCTCATCTACCCTTACAAAACCTCTGAGTTTGGCATTATTATACTCACTTACCAGAGGTCTTAGCCAGCTCAAACTATCATAGACTGGCTGACTTAAGCAACACACATTTATGTTTTGCAGTTCTGGAGGCTGGGAAGTCCAAGATCGAGGCAGCAGCAGATTCAGTGTCTGGAGAGGGCTTGCTTCCCGGTTTGCAGATGGACATCTTATTATTATGTCCTCACATCCAAAAAGTAAGCTCTGTTATGTCTTTTTATAAGGCACTAATCCCATCCATGAGGATTCTATCCTAATGACCTAATCACCTCCCAAGGGCCCCACGTCCTAATGCCATCACACTGGGGATTAGGATTTCAACATATGAATTTGTGGGGGAACAGAAGCATTCAGCCCATTGTACCAGATGAGGAAACTGAGGCTTGGAGAGGTGCAGCAACTTGCCTGCTGTCCTGACAGCTCAGATTCAAACCCAGGCTCAGCTAGTTTCCAGTGGAATCCTCTGCAGATTCATACAATGCCATGAACCTCCCTCTATGTAGGCTTGGTCTAAATCTCAAGTAGATTTTGTCTTGAGTGCTGATTCTGATTGGGCACTGTGTTGAGAAGGATTCTGAGGTGCTATCCCAGCTCTGTGGTCAGGAGTGAACCTTCATCACTGGTGTCTTCTCAGCTTCTCTTTCTCCTTTATTCTGGAAAATGACTCTTCTCTGACTTCATGTTTTTCTCTGGGCTGCCAGTCCTGGTAACAAAGAGCCCCCCTTCCACTGAAAACATGATCCCAGCAGGCCAATCAGAAGCCTCCCCTGAAGTAGTCAGGATGGGGAGGGGAAGCATGCTGTCCATCTTACCATCTTACATGAACTGGGAAGGAGGTAACTTCAGAGCTTCTAGCTGCCATCCGCAGGAGCCCTGCCTGAAAGAATGCTTGCAAACATACAGATCCCTAGAGGAGAAATGAAGAGGGGAGAGAGGGGTCCAGTGAGGTTCCCAGGAGGGCCCAGGGGCTGCGCTGCTGCCTGTAGCTTCTTCTTTGGTTTTCTGAGCTACTCCAGTATCCATATAACAAACCCCTTTTTGCTCAAGCTGGTTGGTCATTTCCAACAAAAAGAGTCCTGACTAACACAGAGTGCCATCATTGATTAGTAATGTCGGCCTTGGGTGAGTGAGTGGGGAGCAGAGGTTCATTCAGCATGTATTTCCTGTTCCTGGCTAAGAGTTTGTCTGAGACAGTGAACATGTTCCATGACTAATATTCTTTAAACAATGAGAATTTTACTCATCAATTCATTAACAAATATTTATTGAGCACATACACGCACACAGTCCTGTGCTAAGTGTCTGGGCACCATAAGACAAGGAAGGTAAACAGAATTCACACTGAGCACCTACCATATGCTGGTTGCTTCATGTGTGTGCTTTGTAATTTCCTCTAACCATTATAACACCTGGGCTTGAATGGTTTAATTATCCCCACTTTATAGAAGTTGAACTGAGGACTCAGTCCAAGCTTTTGATCTCTGGTCTGAGGCTGTTGCCAACACATCCCTCACTCTTTCATTTCCTGAGTTATTCCATATATATTGATGCTGGCTAATTATAAAAGCAATAGCGGCAATGAAAACAAGAATAGCAGCTGGCACTTACATAATCTTTACTACACATGAGGCATGGTTCTAAGCCCTTTGCCATGCTTAACTCACTTGGCCATTTCCAATGTTAAGCAGAAAGGCAGGAAAACAGATAAATCCCATGTGTTTACCTACTTCAAGGAGATCGTGGTCCAGCAAACGACATAAGCGCCTAGATGGGTAATTGATAATTTTGTGTTCATGTCCACGCTCTCAACCCAAAGAATGTCAAGACTCAGCTCAGGCATCATCTCCTCCAGGAGACCTCCCCTGACTCCTGTTTGATGCTTCCCCTGGGCACGCATGGCTCCTAGGTGCTGGGAAGCCCTGTCTGGTTCATCTCCAACGTCCAGTTCCCAGCATAAGACCTTGCTACACTGGGTGCTGGGAGTATTTGCTTCATGACTGTATGTGGGGAAGTCCATGGGGATGGGTGGAGGCAGGAGGAGATGCTGACTGTCCCGTGGGGAGGGGGTTCACAGAGAAGGCTGCATCAAGAAGGGGTGCTGGGTTGACTCAGAGGCGAGAGACACTAGGCCACTTTCATATTGGGAGGGCTCCTGATGTCATAAATCATGGAGAAATAATGTCACAAAGTGGCATATTTTTAAACAGTTCAAATGAATGAATGAAGACTTTTAACAATATAACCCCAAGGCACTAGAAGGTGTATGTGAGGGATGTGTTCCTGAAGACCTTGCATAACTCAAAACTCATAATTCAAGACGAACATGGACACTTCTGCTTACTGCCAGTGTGGCGCCACCGTGTGGCAACAAGTGCAATGGGACTCACAGACCCAACCTGCCCACTATGGAAGTGCTGCAGGACACTTGAATTTCCCGCTACTGCTTAGAGTGTGTGTGCGGGGCGGGAGATAGTGGGTAGGAAGATTTGTATTATTTCCAGTTTTGTATTTAGAATGAGACTTCATTAATATTTTAACACAACACTGCCTCAAATTCACATAAAATGTAACCCCCATCTCAAGAACATCACCAGTGAATGTGTGAGGGCCCCTGTGAATGTGAAGATGTCACAAGTTACCACTCTCTAGCCCCTGACAGATCCTGGGAGCTGCCATGCTCACATTGTCCCATGATGATACATCGTCCACACCCTCTTTCCCACTGGTCCAGCCACCAGGGCATGGAGGTATGAAGCCAGAGTGACCAGGTTCCGCCACACAAGCAGTGTGCCCCATAGGCCTGGGCGTGCCATCCGTGTGTAGCAATGACCCGAGCACAGCCCCGTCAGAGGCAAACCCTTTGCTCTCAGGCTGTCTAGCAGCCCTACATCAGTCTTGAGTTTTGGATCCAAGACAGCATCTCAGACTATCCAATCACTAATCCAATGAGTGAATATTTATTGGGCATTTACTGTGCGCTGGCTACTGCTCTGGTGCCAGGAAAGTCCTTGCCCCATCTTGGGTCGAATATTCACATAGCCCATTTGGACAGTATTAAGGAAGTTCCAGGTCTTGGACTTTCTTGAGGGGGCAGAGATAAATCTTTCAATGTTCAACAGTATTTAAAAAGCACCTCCTACATGCAAGGAACTGTCCTAGGCACTGAGCAGTGAGCAAACCGGGTGAAGACCCTGCCCTTATGGAGCTGCCATTCTAGCGGGGAAAACAGAAAATAAACAACATAAATAAGTAAAATACACCAGACTTCAGTGATTCTATGATGCTGATTTCCCCCTGACATTTAACATTTCTGAAATCAGAGTGTGTCCTACATTCAATGGTATCTTAGTCTTGTTCTGCTGTTTAATTGGCATGTTTATCTTTCTTTATGGTGCATAAACTAATAGCTCGTCTTGCTACTGATGACATCTGAATTTGATGAACTGCACAGTAAGTTAGACCATGTTGAGAAATAAGGAGAAAGCTAAGCAGGGAAGGAGGGTGGGGGTGTTGTGGAGGGCGGCTGCATTTACAGTCCTGGCAGATAGGCAGAAGGTGAATTTCAGCAAAGACCTGCAGGAGGTGAGGGAGGAAGCCGCATGGTGTCTAAGGGACGAGCACTGCAGCAGAGGAAACAGCATATGTGAATGCCTCGAGGCAGCAGAGTGCCTGGAAGAGTGGGGAGGCCCATGTTCCTGGAGGGAAATGAGTGAGGGAGGTGAATAGAGGATGAGTTCAGAGGGGGAACAGAGGCCAGGTTATTTTGCCTTTAAGAGCTTTGTAAGGACTTTGGTTTTTACTCTGAGTAAACTTCCACAGCAATATTGATCTTCTGACATCCACTTTGTGGATCTTCCAGAGAATATTTTGTAAATGTCCCAGACCAACTCAGGAGAGTGGTGGAGCTCAGATCCTAAGCCAAATCTGACTCTTAAGGCTGTGGTCTCTCTTGAGCAGGCAGATGAGTGACCAGCACAGGGGAGACAAGTGGGGGTGGTCGAGGGCCCAGCCAGGCAACAAGGCCTCATCTGGCATAGAGAAGGCCCTGAAGTCCAGGCCGGTGGGTGCTGTGACTAGGGGACAGCCTCCTTGGAATATCTCTTATAGAGTCCCCCAAAATTCACACAGGGAGCACCCCTTCAACGTGCAGTTCTTACAAGGAGCTCTGGATTAAATGAGCTTGATTGTCAAGGTAGTGATGCCACCAGAACATGAGTGTTTATCTTGTGGCTCAGAGACTTGAGTAAATACATTTCACAATTAGTGGCTAGTTTATGTAACAGTAATGCCCTAATAAGCCAACTCACAGGATTATCTTGGGGACTTATTAAGTATTAGGAGCTCCAAGTTGGATGCATGGAGCACACAGTATTCCAGCAAATCCTCCCTAGCCCTTCAGGTGTAAGTAGACAGGGAGGGAAAAGAGGGTTGCCCACGTCCCAATCCTCCCTTCCTCTTCTCTCCCTCCTTTCCACTCTGGAGCAAGGCTGAACCTTGCCAGTTCGAAGACCGCAGGCCTTAGCTGTGGGTAGTGGCAGATGAGACAGGCCAGCCATTCCAGAATGTTTCCCTTTTGTAATAGATTGATTGTATTAATGGCCTCCCTGTGTCTGCATCTCTCTGCAATATGACCTTGCCGCTCCTCCTATATAAAGGGGAGCCGGTTTCCCTGTCACTTGAATGTGAGCTGACTTCCTGACTTGACTTGCCAGGAGAATATGGCAGGGGTGACTGTACACCAGTTCTAAGCCCAGGCCTGAAAGGTGCTCACATGCTTCCTCTCGCTCTCATGCCATGAGAACAAACCCTCTCTGTAGCCTGCTGGAGGATGCTGAACCACATGGAGGAGAGCCCATGAGTCCCAACACACATCCTGCACTAGCATGAAGCAGCCATCTGACCCCCAAACAAGGGAGAGAGCCCAGGACAGATCGGCAGGGCTGTCTACCTGACTGTCAGCTCACGTCAGATATGTGAGGGAGCCCAGCTGAGACCAGAGGAATCACCCAGCTGATCTGTAGACCTGTAATCTCATAAGCAACATTTACTGTTTTAAGCCATTGAGTTTGTAGTGTCTGTTACACAGCAGTAGCTAACTGACACGTTTCTGTTCTGAAGTAGTTCTTGATGGGCGGGGGTGGTGTGACTTAGGATGACAAGATATAACGTCTCATTGTCCTTTTTTTCTTGGCAGTCAGGAGAAAATAGGACTTCCAAAGATCTCTGAAGAAATGTCAGGATATTTGTATGTTACTGTAACAGGATAAAAATGACCAAAAATGACTGTGACAGGGAAAAGAAATGTAACAAGAAAAATGTGTCAGGAGGCAGCATTCACTGACACCAAGTTCACGCACATCTTTTTTCCCCCGCAAGCAGTGGGGATACCTGTGTAAGCAAATACATTAATACTGCTGCTGTAACAGACATGCTCCCTGGCGCTGACGAGCTCACCCACAGGATCCCTGCTGGGGTGGGAGGATGTGAGTATCCTTGCATCTTTGTTTGCTGACAAGCATTGAGAAGCGGCCAGACTTACTGCTGCCCATTTTTGCTAAGACCTCTGTTGTCGTGGAAACTTCCTCAGCAAAGATTGCAGCCGTGTAAAAAGGAAAAGAGATGGAGAGGACTTTTTGAGTTTATCAGGAAACTCAGTGAAAATGTTGGCCCTCCAGCAGGCTAGATCAGGTGTTTGTTTGTTTTGGAGACAGAGTCTCCCTCTGTTGCCCAGGCTGGAGTGCAGTGGTGTGATCTCAGCTCACTGCAACCTTTGCCTCCTGGGTTCAAGTGATTCTCCTGTCTCAGCCTCCTGACTAGCTGGTATTATAGGCATGTGCCACCAGGCCCAGCTAATCTTTTTTTTTTTTTTTTTTGAGATGGAGTCTCTCTCTGTCCCCCAGGCTGGAGTGGAGTGCAGTGGCGTGATCTCAGTTTACTGCAAGCTCCACCTCCCAGGTTCACGCCATTCTCCTGCCTCAGCCTCCTGAGTAGCTGGGACTACAGGCGCTCACCACCATGCTCAGCTAATTTTTTGTATTTTTAGTAGAAATGTGGTTTCACCGTGTTAGCCACGATCTCCTGACCTCATGATCCGCCCGCCTCGGTCTCCCAGAGTGCTGGGATTACAGGTGTGAGCCACTGTGCCCGGCTGAATTTTTGTATTTTTTAGTAGAGACGGGGTTTTGCTATGTCGGCCAGGCTGGTCTCAAACTCCTGGCCTCAAGTGATCTGCCTGTCTTGGCCTCCCAAAGTGCTGAGATTACAGGTGTGAGCCACTGCACCCAGCCTAGATCAGGTTTGTTCTCATGGCATGAGAGCGAGAGGAAGCATGCAAGCTCCTGTCAGGCCTGGGCTCAGAACTGGCACACAGTCACCCCTGCCACATTCTCCTGAGCAAGTCAAGCCAGGAAGTCAGCTTACATTCAAGTGACGGGGAAACAGACTCTCTCTTTAATGGGAAGAGCTTCAAGGCCACATCGCAGAGGGACTCCGACACAGGGAGACCCAAAGAAAAGGCATCAGCTACTTAAACATTTTTAGCAGTTCACAGATTTCTTCACTTTCTCTCTGGAGGTAGGTACTAGCATTACCATTTCATAGATAAGGACACTGAGGCTCAAAGCAGTGAACTGTGCAAGGTCCACAGCTGCGAGGGGCAGAGCAGAGTCCTTAGGCTCCAGCCTCTGTGTCTCATGCTCTCTCAGGGGTTGGGGGTTCCTGAAGTGATGGAATCAGCTTGCAATGGCCTAGTTCTTTGGCTTGGGGGTGGGTGCATGGGTGTTCGTTCATTGCGTTACTGTTTCTTCTCTTTGTGTGTCTGGGATATTTTATAATTTTCTTAGAAGAAATGGAAAGTAATTACCTTGTGTTGTTCACCGAACCACAGATGCTGCATTTTGAGCCCCCAGTATATTCTTTATGAGCATCTTTGTGCAATACTCATAAAAATTGAGGAAAACAGCAAGAAGGGCGAAGGGAAAAGCAAAGAGAAGAAACAATCCTGGCAAGAATGGGGCCAACCGGCCACATCTGCCAGGGGCTGCCCCAGGCTTTGCAGACCAGGTGCCTGAGACGCTCTAGCAGTAAGGGTCTGCAATGCCCTGATTTCAGTATTTGGGCCTGTTTTCTATGAAGAGTGGTTCCTAGCTTGGGAGGAAAAGGCTTCTGGCAGCCTCTGTCTGTGCTCTGTGGGAGGCCCCAGCCTCTTCAGGCCACACTGCCCTATCCATCTGGCAGTGCCCGAGGCCTTCTTCTCGCTGCTGGATGGGCTGACAACTTCCTGCCCCTGGGAGCAGCCCTGACCAATGGCTGAATATAGTGGGGAATAAACATGCCCACTCCCTTTCCCCTCAGATACAACACTGTGAGCTCTGGTCCTCCTTGGCTCTCAGCACATCTCCATGGCATTCCGCTCCAGTTGCCTGTGGAGGTGGCTGGTGCCTGAACTCTCTTGGTGGGCTGTCTTCCCCTCCCTGTCTCACTAGGCCCTCTCTTAGCAGTGCACCCAGCCTCCTCTCCCAAGGAAAACACCTGCACTTGCATCCCTGCCTTAGGGTCTGCCTCTGAGGAAGCCTGGACCAAGACAGAGGAATATTTTCAACAAGACATAGAGGTGCTTTTGAGATCCTCCCCTCCCTGCCCCAAATGAATTGAGAACTCCTTCAGCAAACCACCAGAAAGTCCAGGTATGCCACCCTCTCTGCACAGGGGCAGTGGAGAGCGCACGGCTTCTGAGGCAGCGGCCTGGGATGAACCTCTAGCAATTCCGCTCACCAGCAGTGTCACCTCAGATAAGCTACTTAAGGTCTCTGGGCTTCAGTTTTGTCACTTGTCAAGGAGGAAGTCCTCCTCCCCCTGTGTCATGAAGATTCAAGGAGAGACACATGGACTCACCCTGAACAACATGGACACTGAGCAAAACCTCAATTTATGGTTTTAAAGATGTCAAGAAGTATTACCTTAATATACATGTCACAAAAATCCTTGTCAGACTCTGTTCTGATTTACTTGCTATGTAGGTCACATAGCAAGTAAATGCCTAAAAAGTGCAATTTAATGATCCTTTCGTAAACTCCTCTTCCCCTGGGCTGGAATGATGTTCTGGAGTTATAAATTAAAAGAATGCTGGTACCCTACCTAGCTGGAGGAGAGACATAAATCATGGTACACTGTGAAAAGAGCACTAAGAGATGTCTCTGGTGGGCACTTGCGGCATTTGGTTGTGGGATCCCCACAGGGCCTCTGGTTCTGGAACCCTCATTTCCCTCCAGAATCCATCCCTGCCCACTTCAGACCTTCTGGCCCCCCATGGGTGGCCATGTGACTCAGGCTGGGCCAATCAGAGCTGTCGATCCCCTGGCCAGAGTGATTCGTTCAAGAACCAGCCTGTGACCCACGCTGGACCGTTGAGAATCAATTCTGAGACCTTGTGTAGCTACTGGGAGAGGGAAGCTGTCTGCTGAACTTAAAGCAGGCAGGGTAAAGGCAGGGGCTCCTGGGGGCTGCTTGAGAGTGAAGGAAGGTAGGATCGATAGACAGCTAGAGGCAGGGGCCCAGCAGCATGTTTTCACCCTTTGCCTCAGCTGCCTCGGAAGCCTGTGTCTAACACCTGAACTTTTCTACTACATGAGCCTGTGAATCCTCCTCCTCCTTTTTTTCCCCCTAAGCCATTTGCTACCAAAAGTTCATGCCTTCTGTAAGGTCTGTACAAGTCACAAAGAAGGCACGGGGAGGAGGTTAGCACTTCATGAAAGGGACTGGGAAGCCTTCTGAGGAAGGGAGCCTCTGATTTTAGGCTTCGAGGGATGAATAGAAGTGTTTTTTTGGTGACCAAAGCAGGGAAGGGCATTTGAGGCAGAGGAAATTGCACACAAAGGCGTGGAGGTGGAAACTAGGAGTGCTTCTGTGTGGCTGGTGTACCGAAGATGAGGCAGAGGTGTGAGCAGGGGCCAGATCATGGAGCTTGAATGCTAGGCTAGGAGGCTTTTCTCCTGTGGGAGGCCTGGGCGGGGGTTGGAGGTTTAGGGGGTGCGTGGGAGGGTGGGAGTAGGGGGAGGGCAGATGCCTGTGTGTGGTAAGCAGAAGAGAGGGTGAGTCAGACCTTGCTGGGGCCGTGGAGACTTAATGAATGTCTCCTGCAGAAAGTATCTCCTCATTGCCTGCAAGCAGACATCTTAAGGACTTAATATCCTAAGATTTCAGCTGGGAACGCGTTCTGTGAACACGTGGCAAAGCTGATGTCTGAGGTAACCTGGACAAGCTAATCATCTGGCCCACCTACACAGCCAAATCTAATTAACTATGTGTTTAGCATTCCTGTGGAAGAGGAGTGGTGTTGTCTAAGGAAGGGGAGAGGAAGATGTGAGTGGCAGCTTTGGCCTCTGCTCCACTGCCTGAGCATTTGCACTCAGCTGCCAATCTTGCACCCCACGCCCACCCCCCTAAGGCAGCCCTGCAGTTACCTCACCACTCTCTTAGAAGTTACTAGGACTGGCAGGGCGTGGGGGCTCATGCTTGTAATCCCAGCACTTTGGGAGGCTGAGGCGGGCAGATCACGAGGTCAGGAGATCGAGACCATCCTGGCTAACACAGTGAAACCCTGTCTCTACTAAAAATACAAAAAATTAGCTGGGCATGGTGGCACGCACCTGTAATCCCAGCTACTCGGGAGACTGAGGCAGGAGAATTGCTTGAACCCGGGAGGCGGAGGTTCCAGTGAGCCGAGATTGTGCCACTGCACTCCAGCCTGGGTGACAGAGCAAGACTCCGTCTCAATAAATAAATAAATTAAATTAAATTAAATTTAAAAAAAGAAGTTGCTGGGGCTGGCCAGATGCGCTAGCTCACGCTTGTAATCCCAGCACTTTGGGAGGCTGAGGTGGGCAGATTGCAAGGTCAAGAGATAAGACTGGCCAGGCGCGGTGGCTCATGCCTATAATCCCAGCACTTTGGGAGGCCGAGGTGGGTGGATCACGAGGTCAGGAGATCGAGACCATCCTGGCTAACATGGTGAAACCCCGTCTCTACTAAAAATACAAAAAATTAGCTGGACATGGTGGTGGGTGCCTGTAGTACAAGCTACTCAGGAGGCTGAGGCAGGAGAATGGCATGAACCCAGGAGGCAGAGCTTGCAGTGAGCTGAGATCACGCCACTGCACTCCAGCCTGGGCGACGGAGCGAGACTCCGTCTCAAAAAAAAAAAAAAGAAAAAGAAAAAGAAAAAGAGATCAAGACCATCCTGGCCAACATGGTGAAACCCCGTCTCTACAAAAATAATAAAATTAGCTGGGTGTGGTGGCGGGCGCCTGTAGTCCCAGCTACTCGGGAGGCTGAGGCAGGAGAATCGCTTGAACCCAGGAGGTGGAGGTTGCAGTGAGCCGAGATCATGCCACTGCACTCCAACCTGGCGACAGAGCAAGACTCCGTCCCCCACAAAAAAAAAAGAAATAAAAAAGAAGGAGTTACTGGGGCCCACCCTTTGTGGAGCCCCCTGTGGAACAGCCTCCTCAAGGGTGTCACCCCTACCTCAGTAGCTTCTCAAAGCTATCCTTTCAAACCCACATGTTTCTCCCAGGGACGTTTTAGCAGCACTTAGACATTGGTGCCTTAGACATCTTCTGACTCTCTGTCCCCTTCATCCAGTTCAGGGGCCAACAGGAGACTCCTAAAAACCAGAACTCAGGGACTGGGACAAAAATGCTGAGTGGGTTGCGTGAAGCCACACAGCCTGGAGTTGACCTCAGCTCCCGCTGACACAATGTGTGGTCTGGGACTGGCCCTGCCACCACTGGGAAGATTATCAGAAATGCAGAATCCCCGGCCCCGGGACCTACTGAGTCAGAATCTGCATTTTAACAAATCTCCAAGTGACCCATATGCACATTGAAGCTTGAAAAGTAGTGCACTCTGTATGTTGCACGGAACTAGCCAAACAAAAAGAAGAAAAGTGGCAAAAACTAACTTTGGCTGGGTTGAAACAAGGAAATTAGAAAGAGTTATTGTTTCTCTTCTACACATTCCAAAATGTGATTATATTACTTTTGTGATGAAAAAAATAAACGCTTAAAATTTAAGAAAATCTGAGGCACAAAATTACACAATGTCATAAAACTAGTAAATTATGAAATGGTTATTTGCATTTAAAAGTAGGTCCCATTTACAGTCTGTAATTGCTTTTTGCTTTAATTGTTCTTTCTTGCTTTCTTATTTCTCCTCCCTTCCTCCCTCCCTCTCTTCCTCCCCCTGCCTTCTTCCTTTCTTTTAAAAGTACCCCAAAGCCAGAAGCAGAGGTGGTTTTGAAGGCAGGCTTAGGCCTCACCCCCTTGGGAATGGCTGGTGCAGGGAAGGGCACCTTCTGTCTGCAAAGGGAGCTTATTATAATATAGATCTTTTCAAAAGTGAATAGGGATGAAAATTTCCATGTTTATTGAAATGAAAAACAACAAATGATTTAAGGGTTAAGTGTGATTTGCAACTTGCCTTTTCTCCCAGGTGATATCCCTTCATTAATTCTTTTTCTGTCTACACAGGATGAAGGCCCCTTCCCTTTCCCAAATTTCTCAAGGTTTTTAAACCCCAAAACTGCTGACTTCAGACTTGGCCTCTTTGCCTAGTTTACTCTTACTTGTCCTTCAGCACTCAGCATGAATGTCACTTCTCAGGGAAGCTTTCCAAAACCCTTTAGTCCTGTATCAGGCAGAGCTCTTGATTGCAAGGGGTGGAAAAACAAACTTAAAGTGACTTAAGTCAAAAAGGGTGACTGTTGGTTCAGATAATGGAAAAGCCCAGCTAGTATCTGGCTTCAGGTATAGCTAGATCTAGGGTCTCAAATGACATTGCCAGAAGCTGCCTAGTGAAAAATCTCTCACCTTTCCTCTGTGAGGCTCCAGGCTTAAGCAAGCTCTCCCCTGGGGCTCCTATTTAAGCTCAAGATATTTGAGCTTCCAGCTTAGAAACCCCAATTGAGAGAGAACAACCCTCTTCCAGTTGTCCCTACAAAAGTCCCAGAGTCGAATCTCATTGGCCCGACTTAGGTCACATGCATATCTTTGACCAGTCATTGGAGTGGTCAGAGAATGGAGTGTTCCCATCAGGCAGGGTCATGTGCCCACCATAAACTCCTTCCCGCCTGAGTTACATGGGCTGATGGAAGGAAAAAGTACGTCCCTGAAGGAAAATTAAGAAGATGAGGTCACGAGGCTGAGTGGGCAATACAACAGCAGTTTACAACAGACCTCCTGTTACAAGGTTTCATAGCACCCTGTAATTTGCATTTGTAACATTTACTGGCTTTTAAAAACTATATAGTAATTTGAGTGGTTCCTTGATTAGTGTCTGTCTCCATTGAGATTGAAACCCTAAGAGCAGACGTTATGTGTGCTCACGGTTAACAGTATCCACAATGCCTGACACAAAGTAGGTGTTCATGAAATATTTATTGAATGAGTGGACTCACTCCAACTGCTTTAACAACAGCTCTGTTTACTCACATTTACTAGGGACGATCTGGAATGCTGGCAATCGGCCTCCCCATTTTAAATCAGATTTGGCCACTGACATAGCCAGAACCTCTGTCTCAGCTGTGCCCTGGGACAATCTGTGCCAAGGAAATGCTGTTCTGCCAAACTGGGGACATCTGCCACATAGCTGATGGCAACTAGAAACTTGTCAGCTAGTACAGCCCCTGGGGTGGGTTGGCAGCAGACAGGGTGGGGGAGAGGGGGAGATTTTGGATTCTGCTGCACTGTAGTGCCTGGCTTCTGGAAGCAGTTTATCTTGAGCCTCACAGCCTCCCTGTATGGTAGTGTGATTGTATTCGTTTATTTTAGGGAAGAAAGTGAGGTTTGGAGCAGCACACAAGTCTCCCAGCTCATAGCTGGCAGAGCCAGTACTAGAATATAAGTCTTCCAGACCAGTTCAGGTTCAAATCCAGGCTCTGCCACCAGCTTGCTGTGTGACCTTCAGCAAGTGTCTACCTCTGGGAGCCGCAGTCTCTTCCTCTGTTAAAAGGGCCTGGTTATTCTACCTGAAGAGAGTGCTTGGGATGGTGTGAGCTCTGTGCAGCATGCAGAAGCCCTGATCATGCAGTGGGCACTTGCCTTCCTCCCTTTTGTAGAGGTCGCTCCAGCTAATGCCTCCCTGGCAGTCACTGAAACAGAGAAGTAAGCTAATGGGGAATGCCACCAGGGGGTTTCTTTGCATTCAACTAGAAAATGAATGATCACACCTGACCATAGGACACACTTGTCACTCAGGACACAGTCCAGAAAGCAGCCTCCCTGAGGGTGGCACCAGGCCCTTCCCATCCCAGAGTCTTCGCAGTAGTCAGGGAGCTGATCTTGTTTGGTCACCAGATGACCACTGAGGTCGCAGGAGATGAGAGCCACACTTGCACTGCAGCGTGGGCCTAAAGACTCATGCCCATAGGCACTAACGCTCCTTATAACAACAGCTCCATGTGCAAAGCCCACAGGTGCCTGCAAGGGATATAACCATTTACAAGAGTCACTGCACATGGGAAAGCCAAGCATTATGATGTCTCCATCGGACACTTGTCATTCCTTCGTGGTCCTCCCAGTCCAGGTCTAATTCACCAATCAAGGGTCATTTTAATATAAACAGTGTTGCCTGGCAACACAGCTGACATTCAACCTTTATATGGTTTCTAGGATTGACAGAGCTGGTAAGTTAACCCAAGATCCAATTTGTTCTTAAGAAGAGAAAGGGTTTCTTAACTGTTTATCCACAAATATTTGCTGACGGCCTCCCTCCCCCACACGTGTGAGTGCACGTGCATGCGCATGCATGTACACACACACACACACACACACACACACACACCTGCCCTTTCCTTGAATCCTTTGCTCTCTCCCCGTCTCCTAGTGGCATTCATTGTTTCAGGGAAAAAATGAAAGGCAGAAACATCGGGGGCAGGGGGGGGCAGAAATCTTTGAGTTTCAAAAGCCAAGATTTTTTAGTTTCAAATGCCAGAACTTTGAATTCCAAGACCAAGATTTTCCTGCGCCTGGCCTTTTGGTTTTTGGAATCCAATCCCTGAGCCAGAGCGTAGGTTCACGTTCTAATTAATAGATTTGGAAAGAACAAATGAAGAACTAGGTGACCTAGACCTCAGAATATTGAACAGTTTCCCACCTGAAGAAGGGTGGGATGAGGGGCCATAATGAGCAGGGGGTCCCGGCAAGGGGCCTGGGCCTGCGGCGCCCTGGCTGTCCTTGTCAGCCCCCAGTGAGGATCATTGCTCCGGGGCAGCAGGAGGACGCCAGCTGTGCCCTGGGTTGTTCTCAGCTGCATTGGACTCACCTTGTGTGTTCACCCCTACTCACCTACTCCAGCTGAGCCCGGAGCCTGGCAAGGTACTGAGGGAAGCGCAGGATCCCACACCTGAGTGCTTCTGAGCATGGCCCACCTGAGGTCTTCCCTCCTCAGTGGGGAACCCTAGCCCCCCAACTCCTGGGCCCCTACACCTCAAGAAGGTGCAGGCAGATGAGGTTTGGTGGTGGTGGTGTGTATGAGGGAGGGAGACAGAAGGTCCCTGAGGGAGAACTGCTGATTTTTTCTTTTTATTTATTTATTTTTTTGAGATGGAGTTTCGCTCTTGTTGCCCAGGCTGGAGTGCAATGGCACGATCTTGGCTTACTGCAACCTCTGCCTCCCGGGTTCAACCGATTCTCCGCCTCAGCCTCTCAAGTAATTGGGGTTACAGGTGTGCACCACCATGCCCAGCTACTTTTTGTATTTTTAGTAGAGATGGGGTTTCACCGTATTGGCCAGGCTGGTCTCGAACTCCTGACCTCAGGAGATCCGCCCGCCTCTGCCTCCCAAAGTGCTGGGATTACAGGCGTGAGCCACCACACCAGGCCTGCTGATTTGATTTCAAATTGGAATTCAAAGAACCTCAGCTTTGGAGTCAGCACTGTCAGGGGCTGAAACCCCATTTCCCTGTGGGGTCCAGGGCAAGGTCATTAGTTCATTCAACACATGCTCTTTGCGGGGTTATCTCTCTGAGCGCAGGTTCTGGGGTCAAGCTGCCTGGGATTCCCAGTTCTGTTTCTTCCTGGGGCAAGTTATTTCATCCCCTTGTGCCTCAGTTTTCTCATCTATAAAATGGGAACAAAATCAATACCCACTTCTTAGGGTCATTTTGAAGTTTAAAGGCCTTAGTAATATCTAAAGAACTCACAAAGTGCCACGCACTTAGCAAATACTCCATAAATGTTATGTACTACTTCTACGTGTCAGACTTTTTTCTATGCAACAGAGGTACAGGAGTGAACAAAACAAGATAATCAATGGCATGGAGCTTCTGTTCGAAGGAGGGAGACAGATAATACCAGACCAAATCTAGTATCTGTATTTGGAAGAAAGAAACAGGATAAGGCTCAGGCAATTCCTTTACTCTCTGAGCACGGGCCCCTCTGGGGTTAATGAAGGAGCCCATGCACCTGTCTTGAGCACAGGCCTGGCATTTAGTTGGTGCTCACTAACGGTGTGTCCTTCCCCTCCCTGCCTACTCTCCGGCACAGCTGCCCATGTGACCAGCCAGGATCTACCTCCTCCCCGGCTAGAAAGCCTTGGCCATCAGGAGTGACAGGAGAATCAATAGAATTGCAGATACACAAGAAATTCCCAGAAGCAGGTTCCCGCCAACCAGATGTTCCCACGCCTTTCTCAGGCAGATTAGTGTCCTAGCAACTGGAAAAGGGGAAAACGAAGTCTGTTTTTCTCTGGGAATAGAATGGACAAAAGACATTTGTGTAAGTTCAACCTTCTGGTAAAGCCCCAGGCAGGAAACACATTTGGTGATGAGAGCATTCAGTTCAAGACCCCCTTTCATCACCGTGATGTTGACCAGGTCAATTTCCTGCTTCAAGAGCCCTCAATGGCTCCCTGTTATCCTTCAGATAAAAGAGGACTCTTGATTTTCTCCACCAAACCTGTTCCCTTGCTATCCTCCTGACCCTTCCTCATCTGATGTAGGGTGTGCCGATCACCCAGAAACCTGGGAGTCCTCCTTGACTCCTGTGCTCTCCCTCTCACGTGCAGACCATCCATGTGTGGCTGTTTCCTTCTCCATCAGTTGTCTGGCTTGACAAGGCTGCTGTGTAACAAGCAACGACAACTCTTAGTGTATGCAACAATATGCATTTGTTCATGTGTCTGGGGTCAGCTAGGCAGCTCTGCTCATCTCTGTGGGGCTCACACATGTGTCTGGGGTTTGGCTGGCTGTGGGCTGATCTAGGTTGGCCTTGGCCTGGGGCAACTCTACATGTCTCTTCTTCACCAGACTAGCCCCATGGCCAGTGATGGCGGAGGCACAAGAGTCAGCCTGCCCCCAAGGGCACAGGCCCATCTCAGTCTGTGCTGATGTCACACCTGCCGGCATTTTATGGATCAAGCAACTCATGAGGCCAAGCCCAGCATGGAGTGGGGATGCTGCGGAGTTAAATGGCAAGGAGGAGGCTGCAGGGGGTGAAGAATGAGGACCTCTGAGTGTAATCTCCCCCACCTGCTCTGCATTCCCAAACCACTGCCTCACTCCATGCCACCCACAGCTCAACTCTAGACCTCACCCAACCTCTGACTTCCACCCCACTTTCATCCCCCACTTACAGGCCATTCCCCACCCAGAATCCAAGGCAACTTCTAGAAATGTAAATCTGACTATGGCAGATTAAAATCCTGCTTAAAATCCTTCCATGGCTTTCTGTTGCCCTTGGAATGAAATTCAAACTTCTAACTGGGACCTAGAAGGCCCTTGGGATCGGGCCCTGCCATTTTTCCCAACTTCTCTTCTGACCACTGTCTAATTCCTGCTGAGTCTTCCAGCCACGGGGTCCTCACTTAGTAATGAGCTAAGGTGGCTCCCCTCTTAGGGCCCCTGTACTTGAACATTCACTGGGCCCAGACACTCTCTTCTTACCCCTCCCATGATCGCATCCCCACTCCAGTTAAATCTGCTGAAATGCCACCTCCTCAGTGAAGCCTTCTCTGATGATCCTTCCTGAAGTCAATTCTACTTCGTCTCTGTCACATCCCCTTGTTGTTTTCTCCTTACCACCCATTTGTTCATGTGGTCTGGGATCAGCTATCCCAGATAGTTTTAAACTTTTCCCCTATTTTCTTCCCTGCTTCCCACTAGAATGTAAGCCCCATGGGGGTAAGATTTTGTGCATCTTGTTCACCCTTATGCCCTATCATGTCACATAGAAGCTGGTCATTGTGGATGAAGAACTAAAGTACATGTTTCTCATTCCAGCACTCAAGGTGCTTAATATCCTGTTCCTGCAAAGACACCAGGAGGAGTGGGGGAGAGGGGAAAAAACAGCGTGGGTCTGGCCTGTCCAGGGGGATGGGGACCCACGTACAGGATGGCAGCTCGGGAGTCCATAGAGACACAGTCCCCAGCGCCACCTTCTAGAGTGACTAGGAAGTACAGTCATTTCTGAGCCCCAGTCAAACCCCAGGGACATCTATTCCACACATTTTTCATGAGCATCTTACTGTATGCTGGGAACCAGGCTAGGCCTTTGGGGACCTGAAGAGCTTTAGGGAGGACATTCTTCTCCTTCATCCGGCAAACACTTAGCAGCCCTTCTGCACCAGCCCAGTGACAGGTGTTGGGAATATCCTTGGAGACTTTTCCTGCTAGTCCTGTCTCAAGTTGGCCCATCTACCTGCCTCTTCCTGCCCATTGCTGGCCCCCTGCACCTTGGAAGCAGGGACTTCCTCTAAGACCTCCTGGCACCTGCAGCCTGGCACACAGCATGGAGCTGGATAATAGGGCACTGTTGAAGACTGAAGTGGACCCAGGATCATTTGTTAATGATCAGATGACTGACAGTCTGCTCATTAGCATACAGTGTGACCAGGCTGCCCCGGGGAGAAAACCACCTCAGGTCTGAGGAAAGTGCTTGGCACATAGTAGGTGCCAAATCAACTTTTAATGTCCCCATCTTGGAAGCCCTTCCCCCTACCTCTCACAAACCCAGTCATGCCCTCTCCTCTATGGAACCTGCCCTTTCTCTCCTGTTGTAGTGGATACCGTTGGTGTCCCACCCAGATCCTATGCCAGATCCTGTACCCATCTCCCCACTGTTGGGAGTGTTGGCTGTGAACATCTCACAGCAGCACCTTTATCCTGCAAGTGGCCCTTAGCTGACGGGAGCCTCCCAGGAGGATGTCTGGGAAGTTGTGCTTTTCCTGTGGGATGGTGGAAAAACCTCTCTGGTATGGTTCTTGTTCCAGAGCTCCCATGGGGTCGGGTGAGGCTGGACTTTTCCTTTTCTCCTCCCTTACCGGTTTCTCCCAAGAGCTCTCCCTCAATAAACACTTGAGTACGAGTATCTGTCTAAGGCTTTGCCTCCAGGGAACCTAATCTAAGACAATGCATTTTAAATATATGTCTTTCACGTGATGTAAGGCACTTCGAGGCTTGGACCCGGAAACCCTCCCAAATCCCATCCTGTCTCCTGTTTCCCCTTTCATCAGCTTCATGTGTGTGATTGCGTTGAAACAGTGGGTCACAAGATTGGGGGAGCTGGAGCCCTGAATCCCTGCATGGGGGGTTGACTTTGGACTTTATATGAGTGAGAAATAAACATCTATTGTATTTGAGCTATTATACATGTGGGAATCTGTTTGACCCAGCAGATAACATTACTATGACTCACACACCTGAGGTTAAGTCACTTTTGACCCTCAAGTCCTGACTGATGCTGTGGAAAGAATGCGAGGCATTCCACCTTTGCCATACACACTGTGTGACCTTGTGAAGGTCATCCCACCTGAGACTCAATTTCCCCACCTCTAAAGGAAAAAATCATAAGTCCTTCCTCTGAGGGTCATTGTGAGCATTAAATGAGATAACACTTAGCCATGGTGCTGAGCCTGGCAACAAACAGGGCTTTGATAAATGCTAGCTCCTTTCCCCTAAAGGTTCGTGATGCCATCTCCTGAGTTTTGAGTCACACTTCCTGGGCCTCAGCCTCTTCATGACCATGCTGGGTGGAAGGGTCTATGGCTGTGGAAAGTGAAAATAAAATCCTAAGCTCCCAACCAACTGAATGGACCCCCTCTTGGTTAAGGGGACTCCAAAAAAAATGAGTTCCTGACTGCAATGTGATGGGAGGTCAGACCCACCTCATTCTACTCCCTCCCTGGCTAACCGCTGTGAGGCTTTCTTCCCTAAGGGCTGCACAGAAACCAGTCCTTTCAAAAGACTCGCCGCACCACTGATTGCAGCCAGCTGCCTAAAGCTGCCCTCCACTTTTGCAGTTTCAACACATAACCGGCCAGCATCCTTTCCTGATAAGAGACCACCGACCACAGAGTGGTTCTGGCCAGAATATGGATGCTGCTCAGGGAGGGTTTTTGTGTCCTCTGCTTCACCTTTTGACATCAGAAGGCCGAAAACCGCACTCTGGGATCGTGCTAATACCACCCTTTTTTTGTACCTATGACCCATGAAGGGGCTCAACTGTGCATGTGTGTTTCTTCTTTGTAATTATTCATGGCTCCTCCCATGGCTTATTGAGTATGCATATTCAGCCACCCTATTCAGCATAAATCCCTGTCTTATTCTTCTGATCTCAAAGTGCCTGTTTCCGGCTTCTGGCCAGAAGCTATGCTTCCCAGCCTGTCAGAATGGCCACCTGCAGGCTGCAACCCTTTATGAGAAATAAAGCTCTCCTTTCCAAATTTTTGAAGTTTTTCCTTCTTTAATTGATAGCTACCACAGGTTTTCAGCCAGTGTTTTCACTTGAACATGGCCACATCATACAATGTCACCCACATGTGCCTCCTCTTCAGCTGTCTCCATGGTCACTGCTCCAGTACAGGCCTCCTTGTCATCACAGGGATCATCACACCAGCCCCCGCACTGGTCTTCCTGCCACTAGCCTTGCTCCCTCCCATCCATCTTCCCAAAGGCCATAGGGTGAGGTCTCTAAAGCCCAGATCAGTCTATATTATGCTAATATTAAACAATTTTCTTTTTGCTTACAAATTTCAGTTTACTCATCTGTAAAATGGGAGGGTTGAGTAGATGAACTCCACTGCTCCTTCTATTTTCATGATTTGGAGATGTGGTCCCTACTCCTTTGGCTGGCAGATAAGGTATACTCCTTATCAGGCTCAATAGGTCTTCATTACTCTTTCTCCCATGTTCTGTGTGTGCAAATATCCTGCTCTATCCAAACTGATCTCCCTCTGGTTCCCCAGGGCCCCTTCCTGCCCCTGCCCTCTGGCCCGTGTTTCACATATCCTCCTAGCAGGCCGACTCTACCTCCTGTGAAAATCTTGCCCATCACTAAAGGCTCAGCTTAAATACCACCTTCAGCATGAAGCCTTACTTGAATTTCAACAGGATGCTACCAGATTTTTCTCTCTCCTTTAAGTCTTTACTAAATCATACAGTGGAAGGGACTGTGCCTTAATTATCGGTGTATCTCGCATGGAACACAGTCCCCTGTGCTTAATAAGTGCTCTAAAAATGTTTATCAAATTGATTCTATTGTATATTCACCATCTTACTATTTGTTTTCTATCTGTCCCACCTGTTTTGTTTCCTCTTTTTTCTTTCCTTATCTTGGATTAATCAAGAAGCAATTTTTATTACAGTTGACTTTTCATATCCGTGGGTTCTGCATCGTGGATTCAACCAACTGTGGATCAAAAGTATTTTTAAAAATTGCCTCTATACTGAACATGCACAGACTTTTTTTCTTGTCATTATTCCCTGAACAATACAGTATAATAACTATTTGCATTGCAGTCACATTCTGTTAGGTATTATATGTAATCTGAAAGTGATTTAATATATATGGGAGGATGCGCACAGGTTATATGCAAATACTGTGGCTATTTCATATCAGAGACTTGAGCATCTGCAGATTTTGGTTATCTTTGGGGAGATCTTGGCACTAATCCCCCCACCGCCAGATTCCTGGGTGGCTGTATTTCATTTCCCCCCATGTTTGTTTGTTAGTTATACATTATTTGACAATTTACTTAGTGGTTAAACCTCAATATTATAACATGCATCTTTGACTCGTTAAAGTCCAATGCAAATTTGTACTTTTGTCACATTAGAGACAATGCTAAGATCTCAGACTATTTTAACTCCATTTACACTTCTCCCATTGTTCTCATGCATTTTAATTCTACATATATTTTAAACCACAGAAGACATTATTATAGCTGTTTTTGTACAGTCAAGTTTATTTCAATTTATTCCAAATTTACCCTTCATTCCTTTCTGCATGTTCATATTTCTATCTGGGACTATTTTACCTTCCACTTGGAGAACTCCCTATAGTATTTCTTTCAGTGTGAGTCAGTTGGTAAAAATTCTTTTAATTGTCTGTGTCTTTATTTTGTCTTCATTTATAAAGAATATTTTCTCTGAGTACAGAATTTGAGGTTGGTAGTTGTTTCCTTTCAGTATTTGAGGTTGTTCTACTGTCTTCTACTTCTAGTGTTTCTATTAAGAAGTTAGTTGTCTGTGTTATTATTGATCCTTCAAAGATGATGTGTCTTTTTTCCTCTGATTGCTCTATTTTTTTGCCTTTGAATTTTAGCACCTTTACTCGTATATGCTTAGGTGTGGTTTGTCTTGTATTTATCCTGCTTAGGGCTTGTAGTGCTTATTGGAACTGTGATTTGATGTGTTTTTATCAACTTTGGAAAATTATTGATTATTTATCAGAAATATTGATAGTGCATTTTATTTGTTCTCCCCATTGGGCCTCCAGTTATGTGTACGTTAGACCTTTTCACTGTGTATCATGTATCTCTTTCCTTTATTTTCTGTTATTTTTGCTTTTTTTTTTTTTTTTTTTAAGAGACAGGATCTTGCTCTGTCACCCAGGCTGGAGTGCAGCAGCGTGATCATAGCTCACTGCAGCCTTGAATTCCTGGGCTCAAGCCATCCTCTTGCCTCAGGCTCCCAAAGTGGTAAGATTACCAGGTGTGAGCCACTGTGCCCAGCTTTATTTTTGCTTTTCATTCTGGAGATATTTTTCTGCATACTGACTCATCTTTCAATCCACTAGTCCTCTTTAGGTGTGTCCAATTGTCTCTAAACCCATCTAGTGAGTTATTGGTTTCAATTATTGTATCTTTCAGTTCTTTAATATCCAACTGATTATTTCTTAAAGATCCTAGTTCTCTGAAGAAATTCCCTATTTTGTCTCATTTTCTTGAACATACCATTCACAGTTATTTAAAGTCCATGCCTGATAATACTAATATCTGGATCACCTTTGAGCCTATTTCTACTGCCTATTTTTTTTCATTTTGTTTCTGTTTATTGGTGTGTCTGGAAAAAAAGATTTTTAAAAAATTTCATGCCAGATATTGTGCACGAAAAATTGAAGAGGATCTTCATGATGTGACCTTCCCCTAGAGAAGATTGCTGTTTCCTGTGACAGTAGATAAAGTGAGAACATATCACCTAAATCTATCACAGACTGAGCTGATTCAAGTCTGGGTTGCAACTTTTGTAAGTCTTGTTCTACCTCTGGTTCACCCATCCGGTTATAACCATCCAGTGGTCTCAACTGAAAGCCTGGGCTATTTACTAGGGCCTGTCCTTCCTGCTGGGCTCTGAACTCCAATTTTTTCTCGTAAGTGCTGTGAGACTGAAAATACCCCACTCTGCTTTTCCATTGCTTTCCCCTTAACTTCTCAGTCTTCTCTTGTACAGAGCTTAAGAAATGGTAAATGCCTAGAAGGAAAAACTGGTACTGAGGGTCAGGCTTACTTCTCTGTGTCTCCCTTCTCTCCAGGATCCTTGTCCTGATGGCTTGGTCATCCCAAACTTCATATTTGATCTCTTCAGCCCCATGAAACTACCTAGAGCTTGTTTGGCTTCTCAGTCTTTCACCCTGTGCCAAGAATTGGCAAATGCCCCAAGAGAAATTCATCTCAATGAACTTCTCTGTATCTGGAATCTTGATCCCTCAAGTCCTGAATGCCTTTGCAGGCCCCTGATACACACACACACACACACACACACACACACACACACACACACACGCATACAATGGTGTGTATATATGTACACTACATCTGGCTATGATAAAGTAGTTGGTAGCAGGCTGGTGGGTACCAAATACTTTATCACAGCCAGAAGCATATCCCTTTGGCTGTATCTAAAATGAAGAGCTTTCAAAGCCGATATGAACCACAAATCCTAAAACTACACTAGGGACTGATGGGGACATTATCAAAGTCGCATAAATAATACTTTTTTATTTTATTTAATTTATGTATTTATTATTTTGAGACAGAATCTCACTCTGTCACCCAGGCGCAATCTCAGCTCACTGCAACCTCTGTCTCCCAGATTCAAGTGATTCTCCTGCCTCAGCCTCCTGAGTAGCTGAGAACAGGTGCGTGCCACCACTCCCAGCTAATTTTTGTATTTTTAGTAGAGATGGGGTTTCACCATGTTGGCCAGGGTGGTCTCGGACTCCTGACCTCAAGTGATCCACCTGCCTCGGCCTCCAAATAATACTTTATAATAATGATTATAGATAACATTTTGAGAGCTTATGAAGTGCCAGCCAAACTGTGTAGAGTCTCGAATCCTCCCAACAGTCATCTAAGGTAGGTATTATTATTTTACTCGTTTTACAGATAAGCCAGCTGGGACTTTGAGAGGTGAAGTCAGTTGTACAAGGAACTGAATACTTGTTCTGTTAATCACAATATACTGCCACCATTGTGGGTTTTAATTTTGTCTTCTTGGGCTCCATAGAACAAGTATGCCACTTTTCCCCCTGAGTTACATGGTCAAGATGTTTTAGACTACAAATAACAAAAAAAAACTGACTGAAACTGGTTTAAACAATAATGTTAAACAGTAAAGAAAGTCTGAGATGGGTAGTTTTGATTCAGTTGTTCTGTGATACCCTTGAGAACCCAATTCTTTCCTTCTCTCTACCTTGCAATCTCTAGAAATGTCTACTTCACTCTCACAGTCTCTTACTCATTTTGACAAGGTGAATGCCACAGTTCCAGGCATCACATCTTAGCACGTGGTCATGCGGGATAAGGAAACCTTTCCCTGAAGTCCCCAAATTGACATCCCCTCAAGTCTTGTTGGACAGACTTGAGCCCTAAGCCCACTCCAACCAATCATGAACCATTATGGGGTTCCCATAACTGATATGGATCAATCTAATTTGATCCTTGGAGACTGAGAAAAGATCACCTATTCCTGCATCACTCAGATATGGGATAAGCACCTGAATAAGCCACACCCTGCCAGTAAGGAAAAAGGAGGAATAGAGAAAACACTACTGAGATGTGAAGGAAATAAACAAAAAACAAGCTTGGAGAAATGCAAATTTAAACTACAATGAGATGCTACTACACCTACACACCTATTCAAGTAGCTTTTTTTTTTTTTTTTTTTGTTAGATAGAGTCTCACTCTGTCACCAGGCTGTACTGGAGTGTAGTGGCACGATCTCGGCTCACTGCAACCTCCGCCTCCCGAGTTCAAGCAATTCTCCTGCCTCAGCCTCCCGAGTAGCTGGGAGTACAGGTGCTTGCCACCATGCCCGGCTAATTTTTGTATTTTTAGTAGAGACGGAGTTTCACCATGTTGGCCAGGATGGTCTCGATCTCCCGATCTCATGATCCATCCGCCTTGGCCTCCCAAAGTGCTGGGATTACAGGTGTGAGCCACCGCACCTGGCCTCAAGTAGCTTTTTTAAAAAAGAAAAAGCCCTAAAAATACCAAGTATTGGTAAGGATGTGGAACAACTAGAACTCTCATACAATTTTGTTTGTTTGTCATAGAGATGGGGTCTCACTATGTTGCCCAGGCTGGTCTCAAACTCCTGGGCTCAAGTGTTCCTCCTGCCTCAGCCTCTCAAAGTGCTGAGATTCCAGGTGCCAACCACTGGAACTCTCATACATTGCTCCTGGGAATGCAAAGTGGTACAGCTACTTTGGAAGATAGCTTGGCAGTTTCTTATAAAGCTAAACTTCATTTATCATATGATCTATGAATTCCACTCTGAGTTATCTCTACAAGAGAAATGAAATCTTATGGTCATGAGGCAGGAGGCAGGACTTTACTCCAGACCAGATTGAAGATTGGCTAAAACAGGGAAAAGGTGAAAAATCACCTCTCCAAAAGACATACCCAGTGCCATATCAGTTTACCATTAACATGGCTATACCCAGAAGTTACTGCCCCTTTCCATGACAGCAACCCAGAAGTTACCACCCCTTTTCTAAGAAAATTCTGAATAATCTGCTTGTTAATTTGCATGTAATAAAAAGTGGGCAGAATTGCCCCTGAGCTGCTACTCTCACGAGCTTTAAAAATGCTGCCTCAATAAAGCTGTTTTCTTCTACCACCAGCTTGCTCTTGAATTATTTCCTGAATGAAGCCAAGAAGTTTCCTGGACTAAGCCCCAATTTGAGGCTCACCTGCCCTGCCACAGCCACACAAAAAACTGTACATGAATGTTTATAACAGCTGAGATGGGGAGTTTTCTGGGTTTTAATTCAATTGTTCAGTGATATCCTTGAGGACCCAGTTCTTTCTTTCTCTCTGCTTCCTAATCACTAAAAACTGGAAATAACCGAAACTGTCATTCAGTTGGTGAATGGACAAACAAACTATGGTACATCCATATGATGGAATATAACTTCGCAATTAGAAGGTATATTAGTCCGTTTTCTGTTGCTTATAACCAAATACCTGAAACTAGGTAATTTATAAAGAAAAGAAATTTATTTCTTCCAGTTCTGGAGGCTGTGAAGCCCAAGGTTGAGGGGCTGCATCTGGTGAGGGCCTTCTTGCTGGTAGGGACTCTTTGCAGAGTCCCAAGGTGGTGCAAGGCATCACATGGCAAGGGGCCGAATGTGCTGGCTCAGGTCTCTCTTCCTCTTCCTATAAAGCTCCCAGTCACACCCCTATGATAACCCACTAAGCCATTAACTCATTAATCCATGGATGGATTAATCCACTTGTGAGGACAGAGCCCTCATGACCCAATCACCTCTTAAGGACCCCATCTCTCAATACTGTCACATTGGGGATTAATTTCAACATGAGTTTTGGAAGGGACAAATATTCAAACCACAGCAGAAGGAATAAACTACTTTCATCTACAACAACATGGATGAATCACAAATGCATTATGCTAAGTAAAATAAGCCAGACTGAAAAGGCTCCATACTGTATGATTCCATTCTGGGAAAGATATGACTGTGGAACCAGTAAACAGATTAGGAGTTGCCAGGAGCTGGGGGTGAGAGGAGATGTTGACTACAAAGGGGCTTGGGAGAATTTTAGGAGCAGTCAAACAGTTCTATATGTAGATGGTGTGGTGACTACACCAATGTATACATTTGTCAGAACTCACAGAACTGTGCACTAAAGAGGGTGAATTTTACTTTATGTAAATTATACCTTAATTAAAAAAAATTACTAAGCTGAAAACTTAGATTTTAAAACACCAAACTCTTTCTAGATAAAGTCTATAAAAATCCATGTGAGACAATAGAGGTAAAACAAAGGAAGAAACAAAACAAGCTTGGTTATGTGATGTAAGTCATAAAAATAATTTTTAAAAGTGGACATTTAGGCAACACTTACTGTGTGTCAGGCTTTGTGCCAAGCAGTTTGCTCACATTGGCTCATTTCATCCTCATGGCCAGTCCCAGAGCTAGGGAGGTAGGTTCCTATCTTATATATGAGACCACCAAGGCATAAAGAAGTCAGGAAACTCGCTCAAAGCCGGACAACTAGAAAGTATCAGAGCCAAGCCCGGCAGCCACTCTCTCTGGCTCCTGGTGGATCACCTGAGGTCAGGAGTTCGAGACCAGCCTGGCCAATGAGGTGAAACCCTGTCTCTACTAAAAATGCAAAAAATTAGCCAGGCATGGTGTTGCATGCCTGTAATCCCAGCTACTTGGGAGGCTGAGGGAGGAGAATCACTTGAACCCGGGAGGCGGAGGTTGCAGTGAGCTGAGAGCACGCCACTGCACTCCAGCCTGGGTGACAAGAGTGAAACTCTGTCTGAGAAAAAAAAAGAGAGAGAGAGATACACATCTTTCTTAACCACAGAGCCTCCAACAAGTCACTTTCCCATGTTCAGCCTCAGTTTTGCCATCTGTGAAATGGAGCTGTTAGCATCCTTTCTTCTTTCATGGTTTTTGAAGAAAAGACCATGATTGGCTTTAAAACAAACAAATAAACAAACAAACAAACAAACCTCACAAATGTGAGAGAGTAAACAGAGATGGTTTTAGACATTTCTGGTCTCCTCTCAAGTATGAAATCTGTTTATTTAAAGACATTTCTCTGGAGATGTTTAGCGCAACCCCATGGGCACTGAGATGGGTTAAGGTCAGGAAAGCAAGGCAGTTTTTGATGCCCCCATCTAGAGGGGGAAAAACCGCCCCACAGATGTCCCAAGATGGAGAAAAGGAGATATTCCAGGACTCCTCGGCATAAAGTCTTCTGTGGGTTAAAAGGAATCGTGGTTGGGTGAGGCCCTGCAGCCTGAGGAAGGGTGAGATCTTTGAGAGCAGGTCCACTGCATGGACTGCCAACAAGAGGGCGAGGCAGGGATCGGGCCTTGGTTTTGCTGAGTAAAATGTGCAGGTTTGCTGTCAGAGCTAAACTGCAGGGGCTGACAACAGAGAAGCTAATTCTGTTCCCCGCATCCTCCTCACCCTCCCCAATCTGTGCTGGGCCTCTTCCCTGAATAACTGTGGCTGAACTGATATTTAGAGAATAGTAATTTCCATCCGACTCAAAAGCTGGGCTGCCTGGGGCTCCTCCTGAGCCCTTGTTCTGGCCCAGACACTAGAGGCTGCTGTTTCCAAAAGGTAGTCAGGCTATGCTTTCCCCATGATTGCCTGGTGGTGATGTGAGAGGAGAAGAGGCAGCTTCCAGCTTCAGGAGCTGGAGGGGAGGTGAAGGGCAGCCTCTATTTCCTTTCACTTCTCAGCCCTGACTGGACCACACAGAGAGCATCAGACTCAAGGGAAGCAGGACAGGAGAGGGCACCTGGGCCGCCATTCTTGCTCTGCCCCACCTCACTGAGTGGCCTTGGATGAACCATGTTGCAGCCCCTGTCTCATCTGCATTTGGCAACAGCTGCAGAATCATCTTGGAACGAGGTTCCTTCCAGCTCTAGGTGCCTGGGATGCCTTTCATCGAATGTCTCAGGCCCCTTACCTGCTTGTATCTCAGCCACATTGCAAGGTTGGGGGTTACAAGTCCCACTTTAAAGATGGATAAACTGAGGCTTGGAGAGGTGCAATGACTTGCCTGAGGTCAAGTAGCAAATAAAATGTTCCATTAGGATGTGAGCTCTGTGACAGCAAGGATTTTCATCCAAATCAATGATGTACTCAACACAAAGTACAGTGCCTCCTATGTAGCAGATGTTCAACAAATACCCAGCGAGCGAATGAATGGAACAGTGGAGCTGGGAGCTGGGATTTGGATCTGCAGCTGGGCGACTCCGAAGCTTTTGCTCTTTCTAATGCTCAACATTTTCTCCAGGTAGACCTATTGAAAATATGTGGATTATCTTTTTTGGAAGAGGAAGGACATATAAAAATATACAATATGGGTTGCCTGATAGCAATCATCAGGGAAGGGGCAAAGTGAAAGCTCAGGGTAATGGGGAGGCCAGTCCCGGACTTACAGCTTGAAAAGAGAAGCGAGGTGTGAGGCCTTGTACATGAGCTTAAACCAGAATGTAAAGGCTTTTCTGGAGCTCTGCTGGGTCCTGCAGTAATTGCAGAGTGATTGTCAGTGCATAATTGCATGCAAATGTCCCCCAGAGAGCCCACTGGCACCAGGGCGATTACCCTTGCACAGGGACCTCAGAACTTTTGTGATCTCTCACTCCTATTGATAAAACTATTTGGGAACATATGCCCCCAAAATGTGTACGCACTTGTAAACTGAACATATGTACCATTGTCAATCCATATACTAAATACCAGTAAAGCTTCCTTTCTTTATAATTTTAGATAATAAAAAGAAAGATAAGTAGTAATAGTTCCTTCCTGCACCCCAGTGGTTTGGCTCAGCATCTCCTCCCTCACCAGACCAAGTTGTGCCTGGCCCCCTCCAAAGGCCGGCAGGTTCCTGGGAAGTGCACCAGCCCTCTCCCTCCTCTCCCCAGGGAGCGCTGGCTGGGGGCCTGGAGGCCAGGCTGGGGCTGAGCTCCTGCCACCTCTTGGTGAATAAGCTTGGCTGAGCTTGGTTCCTGCCTGCGACAGCTCTTACAGTCCTCACCCAGCCTCCCGCACAAGGTCATGCTGAGATTCACTCAGAGGCCGTAGGGTGCAGTGGGGAACACACCCTGGGCACCACCAAGACAACAGCAACCAAGGAGGCCTTCAGATCAGCTGGCACTGCTTTCCCTGCAGCCGTGGTTCCTCAGGTGCCCCTCCCATTTCCACGATATTAATACAACTAATCATAGTGGCAAACACTTACATAGCACCTCCTGTGAGTCAGGCACCAAGAGCTTTACATGTATTGACTCATTTAATCTGCACAACAACCTTATCAGGGAGGTATTTTTAGTATCACCATCCCTATTTCACAGATAACAAAACTGAGGAATAGTTCAGGAACTCACCAGAGGCCACACAGTTTGGAGGGGATTTCAGACCAGATAGCCAGTTTCCTGTGATTTCTCCTCCTATTTCTTTTTTTTCTTTTTTAAGTTCCAGGTACATGTGCAGGATGTGCAGGTTTGTTACATAGGTAAATGTGTGCTATGCTGGTTTGCTGCACCTATCAACCCGTCACCTAGGTATTAAGCCCAGCATGGATTAGCTCTTTTTCCTGATGCTCTCCCCTCAGCTTCTCCCCTATTTCTATTCCTCTGATTACATCTTCCTGTTATGGCCCCATCACCTCTACCTTTTCCCTTTGTCCACTGCTCTTGCTGCCATTCTAGCTACTATTCTTATTATATGATCCCCTCAAACACTGGGCTTCTGTTTGCACCTTCTCCCTTTACTCTCCCTACCTGATGGCTTTGTCTCCTCCTTCATTCCTCCCCTACTGCAGTTCTTCCTATTCACGTCACCATTCTTTTTCTTATCACTATTCTGAATAGTACCTTTCCCAGTATCGTTCCTCTTCCTACTACTACTTCTTCTATCCCTCCTCCTGGTAACTAATTTCCTCTCTGACTCCTCCTCAGCCCTGTTGCATTTTCTCTTACTACTTCCTCTATTCATAGGACATCCTCTGTTACTCTTCCTCCTCTTCCTTCCTCTAACACTTTCTTTCCTTTCATGGGTTTCTGGAAGAGCTGCAAATTCTTTGTCACTCCTCCCATGAGAGGTGGGGTTCCCCCGCCCTCCCCTGGAATCCAGGCAGCTTATGACTGCTTTGATGGATACCGGATGGCGGGAAGCGCTGGGACACGATTTCTGAGGCTAGGTCATCCAAGGGGATGCAGCTTTCACCTTGTAGAGCTGGAACACTCGCCCTTAGAGCTCAGCCCCACGTAAGAAGTTTAACTGCCCCGAGGCCACCATGCTGTGAGAAAGCCCAGGCCACATGGAGGCACTGTGGTAGGCACTGGGACAACTGTTCCAGCTGAGTCCAGCCTTTGAGTCATTCCAACTCAGATGCCAGGCACCAGTGAGTGAAGACCCTCCAGATGATTCCAGCCCCCAGCTATTGGATCAGCCCCAACTCCACACCACTCCACCCTTTGAGTCTTCCTAGCTGAGGCCTTAGCCCATGTGGAGCTGAGACATATTCTTTCTGCCTTCTGTGCCCAAATTTTAACCCCTAGAGCTCATGACCGTAATAAAGTGATTGTTCTATGACACTTATGTTTAGAGGGGCCTGTTATGCAGCGTTAACAGGACCCCCGCCTCTTCTCATGGGGAGTTCCTGGGCCAGCACCCTGCCCTCCTAACTGGTCTCCTTCGCTGGGGCCTCCTTTCCTGGCACTGGTATCTTCGCTTCTCCCATCAGCAGTTCCAGCTCTGTCATCCTCAGAGCAGTGGGCATCCTAGCTGTGGAGGCCATCAATCTTAGTGCAGACAGGAGTGATTCACAATGCTGCTGCCGGGGGAGGCTCACTTCCTTGTCAGAGCTCACAGCCATTAAGACAAGCTCTGGAGTCAGCACTCCTCAGACTCAGGCCTGCCTGCTGATCTGCCCCTCCCTTACTCAACCTCTGGGCCCTGCACCCTGCTTACTAAAGTGGTTAATAATTCAGGATGAATACAGGGCTGCAATGTGACCCATCGAGGGTCTTAGGAACATAAATAAGAGACAAGCATATTGATGGACTTTGTGAGCAGCACTGTCTGGGGATGCTGTGGAGCTAGGCAGATCTGGGTTCAAATGCCCATTCTGCTACTCCTGGTGGTGTGACCTTGGGCAAGATATTTAAACTGTCTGAGGCCAAGTGTCTTCATTTGTGAAATGGGGCTAATTATACCAACCTTGAAGGATTATTGGGGACCTGAGATAATTCCCTTCGTTACGAAAGTGGAACTTCTGCATGCCAAAGTTCGGATGGCTTCACTGACGGTATGAAGATGCCTGGGATTCCACTGCTGAACTCTCTTTTGGAACACAAGCAGCTGGGTCAACTCTACTCAGCCCTGTTAGGGCATTATGATGATCCCTAGTTTGCAGATGGGGGGTCTGAGGTTCAAAGAGACAAGGTGATTTGCCTAGAGACAGTCAATTTAAATGTGGCAAACCCAGCGTTCAAGCAGAGGCTGCTTGCTTTCCTCCCAACCCTCACAGGGGTTATCATGTGCTCTGCACTGACCACCAGGGTCATATTTTACTGTGCTGTTGACCAGCAAGACCCTCTTCCTCTCTGAGCCAGAGCAGGGAGAGACAGCATCCTGGCATATAGGCTGACTTGACTGGGTGGGAGGAGGCAGCCTTTACTAAGGTATAAACACTTTAAATATTGTAAAAATTTGTCTATTTTAAAATTTCAACTTATTTTTTGTGTAGATAATGCATTTCTAGGGTTCAAAATTTCAAGAGGCACAAAGGGGGATTCAATGAAAAGTGGGCCTCTCCTACCTGCTCCTGGCCTCATGAGTCCTCTTTTAGAGAGGGCCAGTGTTTCCACTAGAGATAGTTCCCCACAGATCTGAGCAAATATGAATGCAGCTTTCCTTCCTTTCTGCACATTATAAATACTGTTCTTCACTTTGCCTTTCTCACTTAACAAGGCACCTCAGAAATGGCTCCCCATTGGGACACAAAGAAGGCCGTCCTCCTTTTCAGGGCTGTGTAGTACTCCATTGGCTGGATTTTGTGTGTGTGTGTGTGTGTGTGTGTGTGTGTGTGTGTGCCCCACACCTGTTCTCTACTCATTCCCTTGGAGAAAGCAAATCTGACTTCTGAAGATAGGCGTTTCTGCTCCATCCCCAGGTGGTTCATCCCCACAGCCTCTGAAATCAGATGAGCTCAGCTGCCTCAGCCTGGTGGAGGGAATCATTATTATCTCCACCACGCCAGCCTTTGCTGTGTGTTCAAACACAAGCTGTGCCCTCTCTGGGCCTCTTAGGCCTCATCAACAAGATGCAACCCTGAGGCCTCCTTCCCAGGACAGAGCTGAGGGCTCCTCTGGAGGGTCCTAGATCACTGTTGCCTCTTACAAGCCTGAGGCCAAGGGGCACTCACTCAATTGATTGATTTTTTTCAGTAACTTATTTACATTTTCCTTCACCCATTTACTCACTTATTAATTTACTCATTGATAAAGGCACTAATTCATTCATTCATTCACTCTCCCATTCACTTATTGACACATTTATTCAGGCCTTGATCCACTCACTCGTACATTCCTCCATTCATTCATTCGCCCATTCACTCACTTATGCACTCATCCATATACCTGTGTATTCACTCACTTATGCGCTGATTCATTCATTCACTCACTTATTCACATATTCATTCATTCACTAATTCGTGGTGATTAGAGTCATTTAGGTATGAGTTGGAGAGCCCTGTGTGTGGGGGAGACTGAGGACGGTGTGTGAGGCCGCTGGATGTCAGCGAGGGTGCGAGACGGCTGGGGCGCCTTCGGGCTCCCCTCCAGCCGTCCTCTCCGCGCCCGCCCCCACCGCCATCCCGCCCCCGGCGCCCGGGAAAGCGCGCGCTCGAAAAGCGTAGCTGCTCAGCCGCGGGCTCGGGAGCCGGAGCGGAGCGCCTGGCGGCCGCCCCGGCACCCCCACCCTCGGCGGCCGTCCATGCCCGCGGCTCCCTGGGCCCGCGGCCCTCCCCAGCGCTGCGCTGCGCCGCCCTGCCCGGCGGGGGCGGGGCCGGGGCCGGGCTGGCGAGGCCGGGCCGGGCCGCAGGGCGGCCGCGGGGATGCGGGGCTGGCGGAGGAACCTCGCGCTCTGCCTGCAGCGGCTGCCGGACGAAGGTAAGACGCGGCCGCTGCCCGGCCGGTGAGCGCGCGCGCGGCGCGGGGTGCGGAGGGCGGACCCAGAGCTGAGCTGGCCCGGGGCGCACACGCCTGGGGCGCCGGGGAGGGTCCCCGCGGGAGGCGAAGACAGGCGCCGGCACCCGAGGCGCAGGAGGGGGTCCCAAAGTGGGGAGCCTGGAGGATCACCTCAGGACGCGAGCTGCGGAGCGGAGCCTGGTCCCGGAAAGCCAGCAGTGGGGCCCACGGGGCGCGGGAGTGTGGGACCCGGGGCAGGGCGCCCGCCGGGGGCTGGAGCGAAGGGTCTGAGCCCTCGAGGGGGCATCCACCGGCCCGGCCGGCGGGTCGGGCTCCTGGAGGGAGCCCTGGCTTGGCGAGGCGGCCACGTGCCTCACCTGCTCCCTCCAGCCAGCCCGCCGGGTGTCGGGAGGTGGCCGCGCTCACGGTGGGGGTCCTTTGGCCCCCGAGGCTGCGGTCCGTCGCACCCAACTTTCCTTTGAACGCCCGGCGCCACCCCCATGCCGACCCCGGAGTCCGCGGTTACTCAAAGTTGCGAGGAGGCCAGGGAGGGGGCTGACTCGCCGCACTGCCCCCTGCCCGGGCCTGCCCCTGCACAGCAGCGCTGCGGCTCAACCCCTGCGCGGGGCCGCCCGGGCTGCTCCCCGCGTACCTGTTGTCTGACCGCGAGGGGGCGGGAGGAGGAAGGAGGACCCGCGCCTGGGTCCTGCCACTGCTGAGGAAAAGTTTGGATTTGGTGCTAATGAAGAATTTTCAGAACTGGGAGTCGGGGGCAGGGTGAGGTCACAGTGGTGGCTGCTCACCCGCTGCTCACTTTGGGGGGCATAATGGCTGACTTCGAGGCCCCGCAGACTGTGCACATCGCCCCTGCCTTTGACCTTCACAATCACCCCCTTAGGAGGGCGCTATTTTTCTTTCGCTTTGCAGATAAGGACACTGAGCCTCAAAGAGGTAAAGCCCCTTGCCCAAGGTCACACAGCCAGCAGGTGGTAGAGCTGCCCGGGAACCTAAATCTATGTGACCCGCAAGCTTTTAGTAGTTTCCAGGCCTCCCACCTTCTTCCAGTCTGCCCCCCAGGTTGGGCCTCTCTCAGTCTAGTGGGAAAGTTTCCATTTCCAGCCCAGGCCCAGAGCTCCTGTGTGGGACTTGGGGTAGGGTGGAGGAAGACGGAGAGAGCTGGTCCCTGCCCCTCCTGTCCTGTCCCAGGGCCAAGTAGGGTCTGTCTTCTCGGCCCCACTGAGATCCTGGGTTGTGAGGGGTTGCAGGCAGAGCCCGTGGAGGGTCTTGCTTAGACAGCCATTAAGCCTTAGCCAGTGCCTCAGACCCTGGTGGGCCTATAGGTGTGCCCAGCGAGGGAGCAGACCCTCCACTCCTCGCCTGACCTGAGTTGGTGCGGATGGAGCAGCTTTAGGGTAGAGAGGGTGCCTAGGTTTCCTTCCTTGAGATTGAGGGAGGAGGCAGGGGAGAAGGGCTGCCAATAAGGAGGGGGGCGGTGTCTTGGAGGAGTGCCTCTACTCAACGGAGCTGCCCCCAAGGAGCAGGGCTAATTAAGAAGGAAATCTCGCAGAGCCAGGTGCCCACCACTAACTTTCGTCTGAGCATGCCCTGTGATCTTGGACAAGCCTCTCTCAGGCTCACTTTCTGCCTCTTTAAAGGGGTGGGGGGCAACCTGTCCTGTTGGGGCCCTAGGAAGGATGAAATGAGGCACCCTGGCAAAGCACACAGTCCAGAACAGGCTTGGAAGTGGGGGCTGTAATGTCCTGAGAGGGACTATGTAGCTCTCTTGCTCTTGACACCCCCTGCCTCGTGTGTGTGTTCGTGTGTGTGTGTGTGTGTGTGTGTGAGAGAGAGAGATGGGTGAGGCGGGTGGATGGTGTGTCTATGTGGGTGGCATGTTTGAGATGCATGTGGGTGTGTACAAGGCATGTGTGTGACATGTATGAGGCATGAGAGTCTTGTGACACCAACAATGGCTTTGCCCACACTGAACACATCTCTTGAGAGAAGGCCAATGCCTTCCTCAATGCCAGGAGGTGCCCCACATTTGAATTTTCCTTGGAAAATCTGAGTTGGGATTGATCCTTGAGCTCCGCACTAAATCAGAGGGTGGCTGGTGTATCCACCCGCGCTGGCAGGAAATTACTATTTTAAAAAGGCAAAATCTCCGGCTTTCTCTGGGCCACAGGAAAATTAGTCCCCGTGGGCTGGGTCTCACATGAGAGGTTTGGAGATGTGAGTCCTGCTTGACAAGAGGTTGTGGGGAGAGGTCAGCCAGGCCCAGGAGTGACAGGGATAGATGCAGGGACAGGGCCATCCACCTGGCATCTCTCAGAGAGGGGCCCCAGCCAGCGGGAGGGATGTTTTGAACAAGACCAGCTCATCTGCCTACACGTTGTATAATTTAAGGCCTCAACAAAGAGGAGTGGGCTTGAAGACCAGACTCATGTCCTTCTTAAGTCCCTCTGATTACTAACTATGTGACCTTGGGGAAACTACTTAATTTTTCTGAGCTTCAGTTGCTTTCACCTGTAAAGTTGGAGGGGCAGCCTCGCGGGGTGGTCAGAAAGAGTCAATGCTAACATATCCTAGCACAGGAACCAGCACGTAATAGGTGCTTAAGAAATGCCAGTTCTGTTCTCCCTTTCTTGATTATTATATCTGATTTAACTTCAGATTTGGAGAAATGATCTGATGCATTGTTGGGCTCGTTGGTCAGAGGAGAACTCAGGGCTCAGGGTGGATTTCTGGGTCATGAGTGGCCAGCTTGAGATGTTCCACTGCTAGGGTTTGAGGGGATCCAGTAGGTTTGTGTCTACCATGTGGCTACTTGAATTCATGGCCTACTGTTGCCCAGTGAGAATGGACAAGACACACCACAGACTTACATAGCACATGTGTCAGAATCACTCACACAGGGTTTAGAATCTTAAACAGCAGTCATCTTCCTTGAAGAGAGACACATGTAGCTGCTGGGATTGGGATACTCTGTGATTCTTGCTTTATTACGTTTTTGAGTTGTGTGTGTATGTGTGTCTGTGTGTGTGTGACTGTGTTTGTGTGTGATCCACACTTCCCAAGCACTGGGCACCTTGAACTTCTGTTATCTGAGGGATTGGGGGTAACTTGAAGCTAAGGACAGGCTTTTATTTTTCTGATTGTGCAGAGACCAGCTGGAGCTGACACACACACACACACAAACACACACACACACACACACACACACAGAGAGAGAGAGAGAGAGAGAGACTTGTGCTTCAATGACCCTCCCCCTTGACATTTTCTTTCTTTTATTGCAGCAAATGCTTCCAGAGGACCCCTTTCCAACTCCCCCTCCCCAGGCTCTGGCTGGCCTCTGTGCACAATCAGAAAAATAAAAGCCAGTCCTTAGCCTCAAGTTGCCCCCAATCCCTCAGATAACAAAAGTTCAAGGTGCCCAGTGCTTAGGGAGTGTGGAGTTGAGGGCGGCAGCAAATTCCTATCAGGGAGACTGCTCAGAGGAGGAAGGCGCTGCGACCCAGTTGAGAAGGTCAGATTTCCACCAGCAGATTCTTCCTGTGGTGTGGCCTGATTAATTTCCCTCCTTATGCTGGCCCTTTCTGTCTCTAATAGACCCTTGGAATGTTAGCCAGAAGTGTTATAGAAGTCATCAGATCCAACCCTTATTAGAGAGATGGGGGAAACATAGATGCAGCAAGAAGGAAACAACTTTTCATTCATGCAACAAATATTTACTGGGCCTTGTTCTGGGTATTGGGGGATAAAACTGTGAACAAGAAAAAGACCCTGTGAAACAGAGTTTACATTCTAGAGGGGGAGACAAAGAACAAGTGAACAAATAAATGTGAATGGAGAGTTTCAGAGAGTCATCAGTGATATGAAGACAACACAGGAATACAGGGTGATGTAGAAGAGAGTCCCGCGGGAGGGTGCTTCTATAGCAGGATGGCCTAGGATGATCAGGGAGGCATCCCTGGAAGGTGACTTTGAGCTGGCACTAAAGAGTGAGAAGGCCCAGCCACACCAAGAGCAGAAGGAAAAGCAAGGCAGGCGGAGGGAACAGCAAATATAAAGAAAAGCCCTGGTCTTCAGGGGGTTGTGTGGGGAGGACAGTTTGACCTGTTGGAGGAAGAGAAAGAAGAATAGAGGAAGGGAGAGAATGATAAGGTTGGAGGAATCAGATCATGGAAAGTCAGATCAGTGTAGGACCTTTACTGCCAGGGAAAGGAGTGTGGATCTTATTGTGATGGGAGCCCTTGAAGGAGGGGCTCGGAGCTCTTGGGAGACCAAGAGCTTGGGCTAGCTCCGAAAATGACCAAAGTTTTGGGTGATAGAGATGGTAGTAGGGAGTGGCATCCCAGGCAGAGAAACAGCATGAGTAAGGGGGTGGAGGTGAGAAAGCTGTGGGAGATAAAAGGCTGTCAACGTAGTTAACCAAAGGCTTTGAAGTCTTGGGTTGGGGTGGGGATCTGTCCAGGGTGCTGATAGGCACATCCGGCATTTCTGCAGTTATGGACTGTTAAGGGAGCATGGTTGTGTGTGTGCGTGTGTGTGTGTGTGTGTGTCCCCCTGTGGTACCCAGCTAGCTGATGTGTCCCTATGCCGGTTACCTAGGAGACAACGGGAAGACGATAAGGCGGCTTTTGATTGGCTCCTCACTCCTGCTGCTCATTTCCCTGTCAGAACCGCAAGCAGAGGTTACAAATGGTCCACGAGGTCATGCCAAATGCTGGAAGGGGAGCCATGAATGTTCATTGCCCCAGGTCCTGTGTGTGTTTGTGTGTGCGTGTGTTTGTGTTTGTGTTTGTGTGTGGTTTCCAGTGCGTGGGTGCATACACACTTCCTGAACAAAGCGGCATCTGGAGCTAATGCACTTCCTGCTGTGAAACATCTGCTCATTGCCTTAAATCAGGTAGTGGGGGCCCAGATAAATTTACAGAGGACCAGTTAGACTTTGGAAGGAATCTTTTGTTTGGGTTTAATAATTGCAGTGTCAACACCGGAGCTGATTTTAAATGTCTCCTTGTACCTCCAAAAAATGCAAATAAAGCTTTGAATGGTGGAAGTCATTTCCCATGCCATGGATCATGATGTCAGCATGCAGAATTGCCCCCCGCAACCCCCACCCCAGCCACAAATGGTGATATAGATTGTAGACTTGTTTTTCTTACCCTCTCCTTTAAAATCATCTCTTTTGCTTTTGCTTTGTGGGTAAAAGGACAAGGAATCTACACTCTAATTTGGCTTAGAAAGGTGGTGGAGAAACACAAAACCCATCAAAGTGATTTCTTTGCAGTTGGCTTTCTAAGGCAGCAGCCTGGGTAGGCTTGGAAAATAATTTTTTTTTAAAAAAACCAAAACACATAAAAAAAGCCTCAGGGCTGCAGAAGATTTAGCATTCTCGGTCTCTCTTCCACCTGCCCTGCCTCCACTTTGCAGGGGTTGGCAGATGATGCAGTTGGTGAGGAAGGAAACGAGAATTCCCCCTCGCATTCTTGGCTTCTCTGTCCTTGGCTCAGGTTTTAGCATGCCATGCATGAGCCTTCTCTGCCTCTTCCCTGCCATCCTAATGGGGATTTTTTTTCCCCACTGGAAAAAATTATCATATGCCTTCCACCCAGTTCCCTATTTCTCATGTCTCTTCCACCACTGATCAGAGATGTTTTATCTGAAACACATATTGGAAGGTGGTTTTCACCTGTTTACACATTGCTTATTATGCTCCATTACTTACAGTAAGGTCTCAGGCTTTAATGCCTTCACCCAAAAGATGAGTGAAGGGGACCCCAGGGCCTTTGCACTTGCTGTTCCCTTTTGCTGGATTGATCTTCCACTGGTTCAGTAACTCACTTCGTTTAGATCTATGCAGCTGGCTGGGCGCAGTGGCTGCTCCTATAATCCTAGCACTTGGGAGGCCAAGGCAGGTAGAATTACTTGAGCTCAGGAGTTTGAGACCAGCCTGGGCAACATGGCAAGACCTTGTTTCTACAAAAAAATTTAAAAAATCAGCTGAGTATGGTGGCGTGTGCCTGTAGTCCCAGCTGCTCAGGAGGCTGAGGAAAGAGGATTACTTGGGCCTGGGAGGTTGAAGCTGCAGTGAGTCATGATTGTACCACTGCGCTCCAGCCTTAAAAAAAAAAAATCTATACAACTGTCCCCTCCTCAGAGAAGCCTTCCCTAATCATCCCACATAAGATAGCAGTCCTTTGGTCCTATGAGTTTCCTATTCCTGCCAGCCCTTTGCACTGCTGGGTTTTATGTTAAGTGCTCATATATCACCTTTCTCTCCCTCTAGTGAGTGCTGTGAGGACTGTGCTTGTGTCTATTTTGCTTTCCACTGTATTCCCGGTGACTAGTATATTGCATGGTACACAGTAGGTGCTCAACAGGTATTTGTGGAGTGAGGGAGTGAGATGGGCCTGGGGACAGTGTTGAACCAGAGAATGTGGGCCTTATGGGTTTCTGGTTCAACCACCAGAGTTTCTGATTTTTCTAGAGAAGCTAAAAATCTAGAGTTTAACCTACTGTCTCTCTCAATTTTAAAAATGTTAACCACCAATCTAAACAAAAAGCCCTAAGGGTCAAACGCACTCCCTTTTGAGCTGGATTTAGCCCAGGAGTCCCTACTTTGATGCCTCTGATACTCAAAGCCCTGTGATTGGCTGCAGTAACCTTTCTTACCTCCTTACCTGCCAGAGGGCTTGCTCCTTCCTACCTCAGAGCCTTTCTCAGGCAGCTGCCCCTGCCTGGAGTTCCTCTCCCATCCTCTTCTTCACCCTGTAAGTGGTGGTTTCCTCCAGTTCTGACCCCAAGGCCAGGCCTGTGGGTGCAGCTTCCTGTTGTCCCTGCTAACATGACAGAATTAGCCCCTCTCACTTTGTAGGAACAAAGGCATGTGCTTGTATCTCCATCACTGGATATAGAGCCTCATGGGGGCAGGGACCCCGTCCCATTCCTCCTTGAGTCTGAAGTGCCCAGCTCAGAAGCCAGCATGCAGTAGGTGCTCACTAGGTGAGTGGTGAATGAAATAAAGAAGAGAAGGGGGAGGAAGCAACCTTTGCGAGCCAGGCCCTGGGCTGCCCCTGTGCACATCCGGCCCTCACCATGGCCCCACCACGAGGATGCTGAAGCTCAGGGAAAATGGCTTGGCCGGAGCTGCTGGTCTGCAAGGGGCAACCTGCGGAGCCAGGCAGCCCCTCCCTGCGTGTGTGCATCTCCATCCCACTTGCTCTGTGGCTGTAGCACCCACAGGGCCACACCAAGGCTGGGTGGGTGTCTCAGACAGTGCCTGAGCCAGGAGCATAAGTCTGTGGTCCTTCCCAACTCTGTGAGTGATCCCCGTGGCGACTGTCTGACCTTTCGGGGCCTCAGTTTCCTACTCAGAAAAATCAGAAAATAGCTCTGTCCCAAGGGGATGCTGTGTGCGTCTAATTTTTAAAAATGGAGGAGAAAGTGGTTTGAAAGTGCAGGCGGCTCATACCTGTGGAAGTCCCTGAAATGGGTGTGGGGGAGGGGCTGAAGAGTGTGCTGGAGCAGGGGCTGCACTGATGAGAGTGTGTGAGGTAAAAAACAATGACAATAATAACAGCCAGGCGCTGGGCACACACCTGTAATCCCAGCGCTTTGGGAGGTTGAGGCAGGAGGACCATCTGAGGCCAGGAGTTCTAGACCAGCCTGGGCAACATAGACATCATCTCTACAAAAGCACAAAAATTAGCTGGGTGTGGTGGCGCACATCTGTAGTCCCAGCTACTCAGGAGGCTGAGGTGGGAGGATCACTTGAGCCCAGGAGTTCTAGCCCAGCCTGGGCAACATAGTGAGACACCATCTCTACAAAAAAATACAAAAATTAGTCGGGTGTAGTGGCACACACCTGTGGTCCCAGCTACTCGGGAGGCTGAGGTGGGAACGTCACTTGAGCCCAGGAGTTCCAGGCTGCAGTGAACTGTGATTGCGCCACTGTGCTTTGGCCTGGGTGACAGGGTGAGACTCTGTTTAATAATAATAATAACAGCTAACCATTATTAATGGTTTACTCCATGCAGGCTAAGCGCTTTATATGTTAACTATTTTAATTTTCATAACAACCCTGTGAGGTAGGTACTATACTTAATCTCACTTTTCAGATGAGGAAACTGAGGCAGAAATGTTGAGTGACTTGCCTGAGGGCACACAGCAGCTAAGGGGCAAAGCTGGGATTTGAACCCAGGCTAGAGGCTGTGCTTTTAACCACTGGGAAGTGAATGAGGGCTAAGGTTTCCATGTGGCTCCTGCAGGGTCCTTTGGATGTGATTGTCCTAGTCCTAGAGTGGCCCTGCCCTGGCCCAAGTGGAGCTCCTCTCCCTCCCCAGGATTCACCCATGTGTTGAGTGTTGATCCCAAGAGACTGAGTCTCAGTCTGGGACTCTCCAGACAGGCCTCAGGCAAGGTGAGGGAGCGCCTCTTTCCCCAGGGAAGGAAGGCTGCCACTGGGAGTCACGCCTGCTCCCAGCCTCTGCCCTCGGTGTGGCAGCACGTCACCGCTTCCCTACACACGTGCCCCGAGTCTGCTCTTCCTCCTGGGGCATCTGATCCATATCCCCAGAGCCCGGGGCAGGGCTGAGGGAGGGCCAGGACCCCTTAGCTCCCAGCACAGACTGGCCCAGTGTTTAGCAAGACTGTGAAAGAGACAATTGTTTGCTGTACCTGCTACCCTGGGAGAGGGATAGGGACAGACCAGAGTCAGAGGCAGAGAGACAGAGCACCTGTCCTGGGAGGGCTCAGAGCAGTACTTGAGGGCTGGGGAGACCAGGTCTCTTCAGGGCCATCCCAGGCACAGAGAACAGGCAGGTCTAGGCCCCCAAAAGGCAGGGCTGCACCTCGCCAGGAGAGGAGTCACAGGGAGGCAGCAACTGCAGTGAAAGGCTTTCTGCTGGTCACAGTTGGCTAGGGATGGGCTGGGGGCTTTGAGAAGGGTGAGTCCCCCACCATCAGGGTCATGCAAATAGAGCTTGGATGAGCTTTCACTGGGGGTGTGGTTTGAAAGTTTGGACTAGAGCCTAGCTCTCAACTCTTTGGGCCTGGGTGGGGGTGTCTTTGTGTTGTCACAATCACAGCAGGGCTGCTGGCCTTTAGTGGGAGGGTACCAGAGATGCTATGTCTCTGGCATATCCAGGACAGTCCTGCCCAAAGAACTCTCCACCCCAAATGCCAGCAGCATCCCTATCGAGGAACCTCAATGCCTTTAGCCTCCGGAGTATGAGGGATGTTGTCAACCTGTAGCGCACTGGAACTGTGAGAAGGGAGGATGGCCTGCGCCTCGTGAACCATGGGGTGGCATCGTTGGTGGTTTGTCACACAAAACCCATGTTCAGGGTCATCTTGGGAGAACTATAGGAGCTCTGGACCCACATGGTGACTGTGTCACTCGTTTGTGTGATGCCTTCTGTCCACTGGCCTGGACTGAACGAGGCTTGGTGATGCACACAGCAAATGGTCGTAAGTTGTCCTCGTTTGATTCTTGCGTTGCCGGAAGCGGGAGCCATGAGGATCAGTCATGTTCATGGCCCAGTGGGGAGGCCCCTAGGCCTGTGTCTGAGAAACCAGACAAGACACTGAGTCAGAGGAAAGTCGGAGTGGCTTTTGGAGCAAATATTTATCTCAGGAATGTTTTTTTCTCCATAATACAAATAATATTCTCTCAAGATGTAAGCCAAAAGCAGAGACAAATACTGTGCTCCCCAGGCAGACAAGGGTGTCAGGAACTTGGCACCTGAGCTGTGCTGGGCTGAGACCCCAGCGGCTGGGAAAATCCAGGCCAGGCTGGGCTGGGTTGGGGATGACATTAGTTCCCAGTGGTGTCCACGTGTGTGGTGACACCAGGCTTGTCCTGGCCTATGAGTGTACCAGGCAGGGGTGCGATCAGTGGAGCAGAAAATACTCAAGTTAGATGGTGGCAGCATTGTGGCTCCGTGTCCTTGTTCTGGGAGAAGGGCACGAGTCAGATGGTGGTAGCATTGTGGCTCCAAGTCCTTGGTCTGGGAAGAGGATGCTAGTCAGACAGCAGCAGCATTGTGGCTCCATGTTTTTGCTCTGGGAGGAGGATCCTGGCCAAGAACAAGGATCACGGGGTTTTGGGGCCAGAATTCCAAAGAACAGGGTCAAGCAAGACACTAGACTGCAGATGGGGAAATGGAGGTAGCAGCCTATTCTTTGTGCTAGGCCACCACAAGGAGTCAGGGGAAGCGTGGCTTGTTGGGTGCCTGGAAACCCAGAGCTTCATGTGTGACATCAAACACTCCCGCCGGTGCTGGGAATTGGGTCTCCTAATATCTGGCCAGGGAAAAGAGCCCAAACCGTGAGGACAGCTAAACATGGGTCCACGTCCTGGTAGGCGACCTTGGGCAAGTTCTCTCCTCTCTGAGCCCGGTTTCTTCAGTGGAGTGTGTGGGGTCGACTGTTTAAAGAGGCTTCCCAGGGCCTGATGGCCTCCCACCCTCTTTCTTTCCCCGACTCCTTTACCAGCTGGAGACACAGAGCCTGTCCATGCAGGTCTGCTGGCAGGAGACTCGGCCTCGGGGCTCTTTAAACTTGGATGGCACCTCCCAGGGTGGAAGCTGTGGAGCCTCAGAGCCCTGGAAGGCCCCATGGATCATCAGCCTCTCAGGCACTTACTTCTGCATGGTCCTATCTGTCATCCTTTCTCTGAAAGTTCCCCCACTCCAACTCTGAGCTGAGCTCAAGGACCCAGCCTGGGAGCAGCTAGGACAGGCCCGAGTGTGGAGGGGGCAGAGATGCCCCTCTATGTGGAGCTGCTGGATGCATTCACGTGGCCATTTACATTTTACTGAGCAGCCTTATTCATATTACTTAAAGTCATCCATTCAATCATTAGACTTTTTTGGGTACCTGCTATGTGCCAGACATCAGAATACAGAGCTGAAGTAGATAGACAAGGTCCTAGATCTCACAGAACAGAGCAGACAGATGTGGATACAGAGGCCCGAGAGGCTGCTGCTGCTTCCCTTCCTCTTGATGTGCCTCCTGGGCACCAGGTACTTACATCTCTTCTCTACTTTTCTTGACATCTGGTCTGCCTCAGTTTACCTACTGGGACTCACTCCTGTGTAGTCCTTGCCCTTGAATGGCGTGTACTCCCAGAAGGTCCTCAGGGTGCCTGGCACTGGGAGATAGAGGGCCCACAGCTTTCTCTGAAATCAGGAGGTTGGAAAAGAAGGCAAGAGGCACGGTTTGGCTAAAACCCAGGCTCCCTTCCAGAAAGTTAGCTAACTTTTCCATTTGCTGAGTCTATAGAACTCTGAGGAAATAGTCATTCTTTATTCCATTTGTTCTTTCATTGCATAAACCATTATTAAGCCCCTGTTGCATTCTAGATACTTCTTTTATATCATTTCATTTATCTTCCCAGAAGCCTGACTGAGCGTAGGTCTGATTATTTCCATCTCATAATTGAGAACCTGAAGCACAGAGAGGTTAAGTCAATTGCCCAAAGATGCGCTGCTGGGAAGTGGCCGAGTGGGGATTTCACCCCAGGAATGTCTTTCTGCCAAGCCAAGGCTCTTCCTGTGTCCTCAGGCAGCTTCTCCTGGAAGTATGGTGCTCAAGATCATACAGGGAATATTAATACCACAGGAGTGATGGGGCGGGCACTCAGGGAAGGAGCGTGGAATTCTGTCTGGGGCTGGGGAATTGGAGTTGACATTTGATCTGGGTTTTCAAGATGAAGTTGAGAGTTGGCCAGAAGGAAAGAGCAGGGAAAGGCATTTAAGGCAGAGGGATCAGCATGTGCAAAAGCACAGAGTGGAGAGAAGTGTGCTGTGCCCACATCTGAGTAGTGTGACTGGCCTGTTAGCTGTGTGAGGTGCACATGTGGAGGGATGACTCTGCAGAGGTGGGTTGGGGCCAGATTGTGGAGGGCAGAGATAGCCACATCTGGCTCACAGGTGGGTCTTGTTTGACTCTGATAGTGGCTTAAAAAATCAGTTACCAGTAAGTTTTCAATGGAGTAGAACGTTCACATAAAAAAATGTAGATTTACTGCTTTCTTTGGAAGATCGGGCAACCCTGGGTTTGCATTTTTGCTTTCCCCCTGGGGGCACATTGTGGTACTCTCCACCCAGCCCCTTTATACACTTAATCACCTGCTCAGCTGGTAGAGGCCTTTGTATTTGAGACTTTGAACTCACTTGCTAGATGAATTTGAGCTTCATCCTCGTTAGGCGGTTGAAAGGTTTTCAAGCAAGAGTGACATCTTCAGAAAGCTCCTGCTGGCTATTAGAGGGAGAGAAGCAAGTGGAGGCAGGGCGACCCCTGAAATGACCGTCCTTGCTATGTTAGGAGCATTTGCTCAGCATTTCTGGGAGCCTTATTCATTCTCTCTCTACTCCTTGTAATAACCCTGCAAGGCGGGGTATCAGCCTTATCAGATGAGAGAAAAAGTCCAAATGCAGATGTGATGAAGAAAATGATTGAAAAATTGGAAAATAAAAAGTAAAACATTTTGTATAACAAAAGAAATCATTCAGAAGGTTCAAAGACAAGACACAGATGAGGAGGAGTGGTATTTACAACCTACATCCCAGATAAAGAATGATATCTGAGTACACAAAGATCTGCAAATCAATAAGAAAAGTAAGCGTCCAGGAGCCTGGGAACAGGCCTGAGCAGGCAGCGATTAGAAGAGGAAACACAGGTGGCCAGAAAGGGCTGAAAGAAGGCCAGCCTCACCTTCTCAGGGATTATTCTGTTAGCATTAGGAAAACACTCATAAAAGCCACATGCAATATCAATTTTAATGGGAAATTTTAAAATTCGTGGTGTTTAGCTGGGTGTGGTGGCTCACCCCTGTAATCCTACCACTTTGGGAGGTGAGGCAGGAGGATCACTTGAACCTAGGAGTTTGAGACCAGCCTAGGTAACATGGTGAGACCTCATCTCTACAAAAAATACAAAAAGTGGCCAGGTGTGATGGTTCATGCCTGTAGTCCTAGCTACTTGGGAGGCTGAGATGGGAGGATTGCTTGAGCAGGGAGGTTGAGATGTGGGGTTGAGGCTGCAGTGAGCCATGGTCATACCACTACACTCCAGCCTGGGCAACAGAGTGAGACCTTGTCTCAAAAAAAAAAAAAAAAAAAGTGTAGTCTGTAGTGTTGGTGGGATTGTGGGGGAAGTAGAGGCTGACATCTACAATAAGTGGGTAGTGCTATCGTGGAGGTTAGTTTGACAGTTACCTGTCGATATGGCAAGTGCTGACACTCTTTGACCCGGCCGTTCCTTCTCCAAGTATCTATTCTAGAGAAAAACCTATCACAGACGCACTAGACAACATGAATAAGGACATTTGTTGCAGTGTCAATAAACTTTTAAAAAGGAATAAACCAACTGTCTATAGGGGATTGGCCTGAGAACTCAGTCACATTGTTCAGGTAAAAAAAATCTCAAAACACATCCTTGAAGAACCTTTCTCCAACCCCTGTCTTCCATCTGCTAGTCCCCACCTCTCCCATGGTAGGCAACAACTACCATCATCCATTTCTAGACTGTCCTTCTAGAAATTTCTTCTATGCCTATAGAAGCAACTGTGAATACATCTTTCCCCCTTTTTAGACAAATAGTTGTGTACTATCATGCATTTCTACACTTTGCTGTTTTATCACGAGGTATATTGTACACAACGAAGAGTGATGGGTACATTTGTATTTTTTAAAGAGCAACATAAAGACGTCCCCAGTGCACCCGTTCTCTAGCTAAAGAAATAGGTTGTGTCTAGTGCCTGGTGTTGCATGGCTCCCCAAGAAGGCTGTTCCAGTTTATGCTCCCACTTAGGATTTGTGTGAGTTTGCAAAAAGGATAAAGACTTGAGATGGTTTTGCTTGTTCAAGGTCCCGAGTGAGTAGGCGCTTTCTGTTCAGCCCCAGGCCTCTGCTCAGTGGGGTGGAGACCACAGCCTGGAGGAGAGGGATGGAGGCAGGTTTTGGGGGGCTGGGTGTGAGGGGCCCGCCATGAGGCCCCTGTCTTGGAGGTCCCTGGATGGATAGCCCTGGAAGCTGGGAGCCAGCTAGAAGCTTGCTGGGGAATCCCCTGTGTGGGAGGTGTGGGGGGCCCTTCAAACAACCACTTTTCAACCAAATGAGCAAATGCTTCCCCTCTCTCATCCAGGGATGGTAATTTTTCTAGGGTGAAAAATGAATTCTCCCAGGAAGCTTTCCTGCCAGAGACCCTGGAGCCTTAAATTTACTGCTTGCCTTCTGTGCTGACGGAACTGAGCCTCAAGATTTATATCCAGGGGTTTGTGGGCAGCTGGCTCTGGGCCGGCGGGAGTCCTGAAGGGCAGGCAGGTGGGTGCAGCTGTATTTTACAGTGAGGCTGGACCCCAGAAGGGTACACATCAGTGGCCACCTGGGTCCCAGGAGAGGCCACCCACCTTGAGTGAGTGGGGAGGGGCTTGAGGCTGATGTCTGAGGACAGCAGAAAGGACCTATTCTCAGAGACCACTCAGTTTGGCTCTCCTGGGTAGTAGGTAGGGAGACAGTGTCCAGAGAAGGAGAGAGGGTGGCCCAGGGTCCCAGGGGAGGCCGGGGTTCCTCACACCCAAGGAGTCAGACTCTGGCTTGAGTGACTTGCTTTTTGCTGTTCTTTTGTTTCTTCTAATATAAACCAGGCTGAACCACAGAGCTCACTAAACAACTCTTGACTGAGTGCCAACAGTTTGTTGGGACCAGAGCAGTGACTAAGACCTCAGTGAACTCTGCCCTCCAGGAACTCACAGACAGAGCTAACGGTCTCCCAGGTTGGGTGCAGGAGCCATGCCCAGGACAGTCTCCTGAGGAGGAGGTTGGGAACAAATATGAAGAGCTTCCATTTACATTTATCTTCTATCACAGTTTAATTTGTTTCTCTTTTTGGGTATGTTGTATAATGTGCATGATATGCAAATATAGTAATACATGGCTACTTTATGAATAATATGTATATGTCACTGCAGAGGAATGCACATTTTTTATAGACGGAGTGCAAGATTGAAAAGATTTGAGGAGGAGCCCTGCCTACCTGTTGGGAGTATAGTAGTTGGAAGGACCCTGAGCTGGGGTCTTGGAGGGCAGAGCGCACCCAGCATTTACTACCATGTGCTGGGCACAGGCACAACCCTTTCTGTAGAGGCCACAATCCTACCAAACAATGGGAGGCAGGGACAGTTAACTTCATTTTGCAGATGAGAAGATTGAGACCCAGAAAAGAGAAGGGTTTTTTTTGTTTTGTTTTTTTTTTTTTTTTGGAGATGGCATCTCACTCTGTCGCCCAGGCTGGAGTGCAGTGGCATGATCTCAGCTCACTGCAACCTCCGCCTCCCAGGTTCAAGCGATTCTCCTGCCTCAGCCTCCCTAGTAGCTGGGACTACAGGTGCCCGCCACCATGCCTGGCTAATTTTTGTATTGTAAGTAGAGATGGAGTTTCACTATGTCACTATGTTGGCCCGGCTGGTCTCGAACTCCTGACCTCAGGTGATCCACACACCTCAGCCTAAAAGAGAAAAGTTTTGCCTAACTTAGTACCTGAGCTAGGATTGGACTCTTGGCCCTCCTGTTGGCCAGTTTCATGGTTCCTCCTTTTTCTACATTTCTAATTTTATAAAACCACATAAGATGTTTGTTGGACATTTAAACTAGTTTTAATAATTAAACACAGCGACATCAATAAACAAAGACATTGCCATGCAGTGGACCTCCTTCTCCATACAGAACTGATATGGACACATTTCTCTGGCTTCTGGCTATTTTTAAGAAAATAAATCCTCTTAAGTGAAATGACTTTTTCTCAGATTAAGCATGTAATTGTTGTTAAATATAGACTATTTTGAAAATAAAGACGAAGAAGAAAATGAAAATCATCCTCCACCTGCCCCCTCCCCAGGGCCACTCTGGTGTATTTCCTTTCAGTCTTTTATCTATCATTTATTTTTGTTGCTGTCATACCACACACATTATTTTATGTTTTGTTTTTTCTTCACCTGGCTTTACAGGATCAGTATTTCCCTGGATTATTAAAAGCCCTTGAGTGGCAGAATGCATCATGGAGTGGTCATTCCAGGCATGGTTTATTTACCTGTTCCCCCATGGTTGGACATCAAGGTTGTCTCAGCACTGGGCTTTTTAAATAAGGCTGCAGTAAGACTTACGTTTCCTGGGGCTGCCATCAGTCTATCATGCAATTCATATAGGCTTTCCCCCCGCAGATGTTATTTCTTACACTTGTCATTTTTAAGGGCCACATAATCTCCTGGAGTATGGCTATTCCTCATGTTCTAGGCCATTTATCCCTCTCTACATTCCATGAGGCCTCCCCACTTCCTCTGGGAAGTGCCCCTAACCCCAGCACCTTTGATTCAGGGAACCAGCCTCCGGGGGAGGGCAGGGCTGTTGTCACCATTGCCCGAACCTAGGCATTTGCTGCCTCTCCTGCCTGCCTCCTGGCCCTGGCACCCAGCCCTGCAGGCAGATTCCTTTTTTCTTCTTTCAGTCATTCTACAACTGTTTAACTCGCACATGCCAGTCACTAAGTGCTGGGGTACAGTAGTGAATAAGACTGAGTCTTTATTCTTGTGGAGCAGAGAAGATGGACCAGAAACGGGACAAATAAGTAAGAGTTCACTGGGGGAAGAAGTGCTGTTTGGAGGACAGGGCAAGGGGATGAATGATAGAAGTTGATGGGGTAGTCAGGGAGGGCCTTCTAGAGGAGGTGACATTTGTGTGGGGCCCAACCAAGGGAAGACCTGGAAGAAAAGTGGTCCAGGTAGAGGGAACCACAGGAGCAAAGGCCCTGGGGCAAGAGTGCACCTGGTGTGTTTGAAGAACGGAGGCCAGTGTGGTTGCCATGCTGTGAGAAAGCCGGAGAGTGAAATGGGGTAAGGGCAGAGAGCTTAGCCGGGGTGCCAGGCCAATGGAAGGAATTTGGGTTTCTTCTGAGCATCATGGGAAACCTTTGTTGTGCTTTAAGCTGGGGGGCTGATGTGGGACCTGATTTCTCATTCCTGAGACCTTGCACCTGCTGTCCCCTCTGACTCTGTCATCTTTAGGCTGAAGGGACCCTCCATTTCCTCATCTGTAAAATGGAATAAAAATGGTACCTTTCTGCTGGAGAGGTGGTGAGAGTTAAATGAGCCAGTGTGACAGTCAGTGCCTGGTATGCAGTGGGTGCTTGGTTGAGCTAGCTGTGTATATTCCTCCTGAAGGAAGCTGGGGGGCTGAGGTTTGTTCGCTGTGCAGAGTTCACTGGAGCTGCTCTCTGGTCTCCTTTAAGCCTAGCCTGCCTCCTCCTTGCAGCTCACGTCTGTTTCCTCTGACAGTCACCCTAGGACAAGGTGGCTCTGCCCAGCTGCAGTCCCTTTCCCCTCCAGCTGCCTCGGTCCCAGAAGTGGGGGCCTAATGGGCCTGTGTCTGCTCTGAACTGCCCTTTACGTGTGAAATGGGCCAATTCTACCTCCCAGAGCTATATGGAGGCTGTGTGGGCCCCATGGGGGCTCACTAACATCAGGTTCAAATATATTAAATCAAACACCTTTAAAAATAATATTTTATGCTGAAATCTCCATAATATGGCCAGGCGTGGTGGCTCACGCCTGTAATACCAGCCCTTTGGGAGGCCGAGGCAGGTGCATCACGAGGTCAGGAGTTCAAGATCAGCCTGGTCAATATGGTGAAACCCCATCTCTACCAAAAATACAAAAATTAGCTGGGCATGGTGGCGGGTGAGTGTAGTCCCGGCTACTCGGGAGACAGACAGGAGAATCGTTTGAACCCGGGAGGCAAAGCTTGCAGTGAGCTGAGATCGTGCCACTGCACTCCAGCCTCAGCAACAGAGCGAGACTCCATCTCAAAAAACCACAACAAAAAACAACTCCATAATATTTGTTTGTGGGTGTGTGAGTGCCTTGCCTCAGTCCTGGCCCTGCAGGCATCCTGGAAAGAGGTGGCAGGTGGCCCCTTGGGGAAAATCAACAGCAATTGCATCAGATTCTGCACTTAATTTAATGAAAAGACCCTGTAGGGAGGCAGAGGCAGCGAGGCAGTGAGGCAGGGTCTATGGGCTGCGGGCAGGAGTGATTCCAGGGGAGATGTATGGGTGCTTCGTAAAAGATTCAGATCCAGGCTCAGTACTCTGGGATCCTTCTCTGCCGTCTGAGAGGCAGGTGTTCTAGGGCTCCCAACAGCTCTATTTGCTGTGCGAGCCTGGGCAAGTTATGGCCCCTCTCTGGGCCCTGCAGCACCACTGGGCATTCTGGAGCCCCTCCTCCGCCCATAGTCCGCGGTCCCAGGCTGCTGCCTACCTCCCACTGGACACGTGTTTTACAAGGATTTCCACACAGCGAAATCCTCTTCCTTGTAGCGAGCACACCTTCCCCGCAAGTTGTTTTTCCATGTTACAGAGGAGGAAACTGAGGCTCCAAGAGGTCCACTGATATGCACAGAGTCACGCAGCAAGCCTGGGGCAGCGATGGGGGTCGTGTGGCCCCTTCACAGAGTCAGGAGCCTCCACGGTGGGCTTGAAGGACACTCAGGACTTGGATGAATGGTGACTTGATTCTCCACACAGCCCCAAGTGGAGTCTGTTCTGTTGTGTTTTATTTTCCCTTTCAATAGAGAAGGGCCAAGAGAGTTATGGGACCGGCCTGGACCCCACAGCAACTAGTGTCAGAGCAAGAATGCAGTCACCTCCTGGTCCAGCCTTTCTCTCCAGCTTGTCACAGAAGTCCCTAGGCCTCTGTGACTTGAGCTGAGCTACTCCCCTCACCTACTGTGTGACCTGGGCAAGTGACCTGATCTCTCTGAGCCATAGTGTCTTTGTCTATAAAATGCAGATGGCAATATGCCCACCTTTCAGGGTTGCTGGGAAGATCAGATTTTGGCAAGTGGTCTAGGATAGCAACTGGCATCCATTTCCTCTTGGAAAAATTCTAATTCTAGGGCTGCTCAAACTATGGAGGAAATCTGACTAGAAAGGAGACCCTCCTTTTCACAGGGTTTGGGCTTTGCTGGTGTGGCCCCTCCCAAGATGGAGGAGGAGGGAAGGAACTTGGCGTACACTGGTGGTTGCAGATGGCAGGCAGCTAATTTATTTACCTCTTCCTAATAAATATGCATGACACATAAATAAAATATCTCACTTGTACCACTCCACCCGGATCCCGGCAGGCAGTGACAGTCAGCAGCGTAGCTTAGAAGCAGGCCTCTGTGAGCATGTGGAGTCTGGCAAGGGGGTTAATGAGCTGATTATTCTTCCTTTAACCTAATTTCTTGCCACACATCCAGCAGTGCTCAGAATTCCCAGTTAGGAGGCGCTGGGCTTTCCCTCTCAGCCTCCCAGCCTCCCAGCCTCCCAGCCTCCCGGCCTGCCAGCTGAGCTCTGGTCAGGGAAGGCCCCAGTAGCTTTTGCTCCCCTTGGAGCTTGGCAAGACTGGACTGGACTTCCCTGGGAGGTGGTGGGCCCCCATCAAGGTTGCTGTCAAAAGGGTTCCTGTTCTGGCTGGGGGTTGGACTAAGAGGCTTTCAGGACATCTCTCGAGACATCTCTCATGATGGTTTGACCACTGAGGTGGGCCTAGGTTTGTAAACTTGCCCTGCATCCGGTTCATGCACTGGCCTCATCACAGGGCTCTCAGCCCCCAAAATCCCCCCAACTACAGTCAGTCTCTCCTGCTGCTCTTACCCAACTCATCCACGAGCCAGGAAATCCAGTCATAAGACAGGGTAAGAATTCATGGAACTGCCACCCCCAGAGCCGAAAGAAAGCTGGAGAGGGGTAGGGGAGCAATGACAACCTATGGAGTGAGAAAGACCTGGGTTCCACTCCTGCTCAGCCACTTGCTCTGAGTCTCAGTGTCTTCATCTGGGAAATGAACACATAGTCAGTGTCTACCTAACAGGGTTGTTGTTAAGACTTGTTCACTCATTCACTCAACAAATGTTTACTGAGCAGCTACTATGTGCCAGGCACTGCCTTAGGCCCTCAGGACCCAGTGGTGAACATGACAGAGACTAGGACCTTGCCCTGATGGATCTTAAGTTCTAATGGGCAAGCCAGCCAAGCACATGTCAACAAACAGATGTGCATGCTAATTAGGTCACGGAGTGAAAATGAATGAAGCAGAATCAGGGGATAGAGAGGGAGGGAGACACCCTCTCAGCTGAGATGCTCGGAGAAGACTTCCTGAATGATGAGAAGGAGCCAGCCCTGCAAGGAACTGCATGCACAAATACAAAGGTCCTGAGGCGCAAACAAGCTTGGCATGTTCAGGGAAGACAAGGGTGGCTGCAGCACAATAAGGTGAAGTGGCTCTGGACACGAAGCAGATATCTGTTGGCCCTCCCTTCCTCTCTTCTCCAGACCTCCTGCCTTAATCCTTCCTGTAATCTAGGAATGAGGGTCAAAGATTCCTAAAACATCCAAGCTAGAAAGACTTGGTGATTTGTGCAAAGACCCCCTTTAGATCCATCCAGATGTCCCTAAATCTTGTGGGTGGCCTCTGGTCTCACCCTGTGCCTACCTTGCAGCCGTATTTAACACCTATAGAAGAAGACAGACAACTCAATAGAAAACTGGGCTAGTGACTTGAGCAGTGATCCAAGCGGCCAGTAAATGCATGAAAAGGTGCTCAACAGCTTCTTACTTGAGGAAAATGGAAATTAAAACCACAGTGGGATACCTGCCAGGAGGGCTGACATTAGAAACTTTGACAATGCCAAGTGTTTGCACATTTGCATGGCAGTGGAGCTGCGAGACTCTTATACCCTGCAGTGGGAGTATAACTGTGGCTTTCCTGAGGAGTCCCTGAGATATGAGGAGCAACACGTCATGCTCCTGACCAGTATCTCTCGTCTCCCCTAGCCTGTCTCCCTGGTAGCCCTGCTGCTGGATTCCTTTTCCCACTACTTCTCCCCTCTCTCAAGTCTTTCCTCTGTTGCCCTACTCCTCAGCTCTCTTCCAAACTTGCCAACACCAGCATCCAAAACAGAGGCCAGGCCAAACTCTATCAGCTGAGCCACAACCACCTGTTCCTTCTCACGCCTTTCCAAGAAGGCAGTAGCAGGCAGGCAGTGTTAGGTTATAAGTGGTAGAAACCCAACCCCAACTTGCCCAAGTGCGAAAGAGACCTTCAATGCTCATATTGGCATCAGGAAGGGCTACATCCAGGGGCTCAAGGGACAACATCAGAGCTTGGTCTTCCCATCATTCACTTCTCTCTTTCTCTGGGCTGTTGGCTTTGCTTTGGGCAGGCTCTCCAGACTTATATCATTCTACCTTCCAGTGGACAAAGAACATGCAGATGGCTCCAGCAAAAGTCCTGGGGCTGTCTCCCATTGGACAGTGTGGGGTCACGTGCTTGTCCCTCAGCCAGTCACTGTGGCCTGGAGAAAGGACTGCTATGATTGGATAAACCTGGCTTATGCCCTTCTTGGAAGCAGTGTCAGCCCTGTGAACCACATGGACAGGGTTGGGGAGGGAGACCCCCTCTGCAGTCAGTCTCTCCTGCTGCTCTCACCCAACTCATCCGTAAGCCAGGAAATCACATGGACAGGGGGTAAGGGAGGGGGTCTCCCCAGAGCAAAATCAGGGTGCTGTTACCAAAAGGAGGTCTGTATGCTGGATGGGCAGAAACAGCTGATGTCCACTGTGGGAGCCTCAGTTCATTTGGATGAGGAGGGTGGGGCTCCAAGAGTGTATTAGTCAGAGTTCTCCACAGAAAGAGAACCAATAGATCCATCCACCCATCCGAACATCTATCTATCCACCCATCCACCCATCCGCCCATCCATCTGTCTATCATCTATCCATCCATCCATCTATCATGTCTATCCAGAAAGACAGAGGAAGAGGTTGATTTAAAGGAATTGGCTCATGCAATTGTGGAGCTGGTAGTCAGTAATCTGCAGGGCAGCCCAGGCAGGCTCAAGCAGGGTCTCTATGTTGCAGCCTTGAGGACAATTCCTTCCTCTTTAGAGAATCTCAATCTTTGCTCTTAATTTCACTACTGATTGCATCAGGCCAACCCACATTGTGGAGGGTAAAATGCTTTACTCAAAAGTCTGTTGATTTAAATGTAATCACATCTAAAAAATACCTTCACAGCCACATCCAGACTATGTTTGACCAAACAACTGGGCACTAAAGCCTGGTCAAGTGGGTTTTTGGGTTTTTTGTTTGTTTCTTTTGTTTTTGAGACAGGGTCTCATTCTGTGGCCCAGGCTGGAGTGCATGAAGTACAGTGGTGCGATCTCAGCTCACTGCAGCCTCAAACTACTGGGCTCAAGTGATCCTCCTGCCTCAGTCTCTCAAGTTGGAAGCTCAGGCATGGGCCACCACACCGGCTAATTTTTTTTATTTTTTGTAGAGACAAGGTCTCACTATGTTGCCCAGGCTGGTCTGGAACTCCTGAGTTCAAATTATCCTCCCACCTCGGCTTCCTAAAGTGCTGGGAATACAAGTGTGCACCATTGCGTCCAGCCCAGCCTGGCCAAGTTGATGCATGAATGAACCATTACAGGGAAGCAAAGGTGCTTATCTAACACCATGAGGCAATTTAAAGATGTGTGGTCCCCTTCCTACCTGAGGCTGGAAGAAACCACTCAGGGAAGGGCAGGAGAGGCCATGGGGCCTTAGCAGAGGGAGAGGGAGGAGAACCTTCTGGGGCCACCAGGACTTGGCACGGTGTGGTCTCCATGGACTACTTGTAAATGAGTGTTGGCTTAGCACCTGCTCTGGGTGCTGGGGTATGGAGGTGACCAGACCCAGCCCCTGCCCCACAGGGACCAACATGAAGTCCTGTGTTGGACACAGTAGTTCTCTGAGTGCCCTGGCATGCGGTGACTTAGCCATCAGCCTCTGTGCTGAAAGGAGAGGCTGCCATACACTGCCACGAAAGCCACACAGGGAACCTGTTACCCATGTGATGGACAGCCTCACCCCATCACCCCACCCCGTATGGCACCGAGTGCAGCCCAAAGGCCAGTCCAGGAATGGCATGGAAGGATGTGGGGTTCTGGCTGCTTCTGCTGCTGCAGTGCTGTGAGCCCCAGGGAGGCTGCTCCTCTCAGCCCTGGTCTCGTGGTCAATGGATACTGGAGAAATCAACATTTGATAAGGGTTGATGGCACATCTTGTGTTCAGCCCAGAGCCAAGCTGAGAGGAATATTCCAGAAACAGAGGCTTGGGGAGGAAGCCTTTTCCCCAGGGTTGTGAAGGCGGGAGACTGAACGCCAGCCTGGGTGGGCCTGACTCCAGGGCTGTGGCGTTCTCATCTTGGTGGGAGACTCTCAGTAGAACTGGCGTGGTTGGGCTGTGGTTGCTGTTTTCAGTACCAGCCATAGAAGTTACCACAATGCCTCCCACCTGTGAAGGGCTTTCCCGCCTGACAAAGTTCCTACATGCCCGTCCTCCCATCCGATCACACACGAGCCCTAGAAAGTTTGCAGGAAGGTTGCCTCAGGGACATTTTTAAAAAATAACTTTGTTGAAGTCTAATGTATATACAGTAAAACACACTCATTTTTAGTGTACAGTTTAGTACGTTTTGACAAGTGTATACATTTTTATGTAGCCACCAACCCAATCAAGGTACAATTAGAACATTCCCACCAGACCTAGGCCACCACTGATCTTCCTATTGGTATGTATTCAGTTTGTCTTTAAGAGTTTCATATAAACCGAATCACAGCATGGATATCTTTTGTCTCTGGCCTCTTTGGCTCAGCCTGTTTTGAGACCCACCCATGTAGTTGCACGTGTCAGTGCCTTGTTCTTCCGGGGAGTGGATGTACCTCAGAGCGTTCATCCATCCACTTGTTGGTGGGCATTTGTGTGGGTTCTAGTTTGGGATGCTGTGGATAAAGCCACCCTAAACACTGATACGCAAGTGTCATGTGAATATGTGTTTCCTTTCTCTTGGCTAAATACCTAGGAGTGGGATTGCTGGGTTGCATGCTAAGTGTGTGTTTAGCTCTTTATAAGAAACTGTTAGGTCCACTTTATTGGAGAGGAAATTGAGGGCCAGAGAGAGAGAGAAAAAAAAAAAACAGCTGGCCTGGGTCACCATGTGTGAAAATAATGAAGCTCAGACCACAGCTCTTCTACCCCACTGCTGACTCACCTGACAAATAAGGGAGAAAAAACCCATTCCTTCATAAATTCTTTTTTTTTTTTTTCTGAGATGGAGCCTTGCTCTGTTGCCTAGGCTGGAATGCAGTGGCACAATCTCAGCTCACTGCAACCTTTGCCTCCCAGGCTTAAGTGATTCTCCTGTTTCAGCCTCCCGAGTAGCTGGGATTACAGGTCCCTGCCACCATGCCTGGCTAATTTTTGTATTTTTAGTAGAGACGGGATTTCACCATGTTGGCCAGGCTGGTCTTGAGCTCCTGACCTCAAGTGATCCTTCTGCCTCGGCCTCCCAACATGCTAGGATTACAGACGTGGGCCATGGTGCCCAGCCCCTTCATAAATTCTTATTAGCACCCACATATGCACCACTTCCCTTAGTCCTCATGACAACCCTGTGAGATAAATCATGATATTATCCCTATTTCCCAGATGAAGAACTGAGGCTCAGAGAGGTGACAAGTCTTGCCCACAGTCACTAGCTGGTGGTGGTGTAGCTAAGGCTCAGACCCAGGTCCCTGTGCTCTTGGTCTTTGCAGAGCAGCAACTAAAGATGCAGGAAACACAAGACAAGCTCCCCTGGCCCTCGTCGATGACAGTGCTTATCGATCACCACAGTTCTTCCCAAAGGCTCAGCTTCAGAGGCTTTCTTAACATGGAGCTCCACACAGTGGAGATGGCAGGAAGAGAAGGGCAACGAGAGTCTGCCTCTGCTCAATCTGAGTCTAGGTCTGTCCTGCAAAGGAGGACCTCTCACCAGCCTGAAGGCTGAGCCAGGGAGACCTTAAGCTCCCATCCTGTTCACCCCACAGGCCCTGGGCGAGGATGAGGCCACTGTTCTGTTGCAAGTGAAACCAGAGCTGAGAGGGTTTGCACCATCCTTAGCCAGCCCATTGAGGTGGGGACCATGATGACATCAGGGCAGAGGGACACTGTTTAAGCATCCACTGTGTGCCAGTGCCCTGCTAGATACTTCACAAGTGGGACCCCCAGCCTCACATGCACCTAGGGTGCATGTGAGCAACTTGGCTTAGGCCAAGGGATGAGTTGGTTTTACTTGGGCCTGGGGTGTTATCTGTTGGTCAGTGTCTTCCCAGAGGCCATGTCTGCTGGGACACCATCTGGGTGACCTTTTATCTTATTTTGATAAAGCTGTCCTGAGCAATTGAATGAGCAACCTTGAGCTAAGTCCAGAAGGAAAGGACCTTCCAGGTTAAGGCAACTTCCTGGAAGTGGGAATGTCCAGCTTTTGATTGGAGAGGAAGCAGGGCAATGGGGCACACTAGGATGGACACTGTCATTTGACTCCACTGAGTGGCCAGGAGCCAAACCATCACTGCATGTGTCTCTCTCTGCTTTGTCTCTGTGTCTTCCTGTCTCTGCCTCTCTATCAGCCTCTGTCTCTTTCTGGATCTCTTTCTCTTGGTTGTCTGTCTTCTTTTCTTTTTCTGACTCACAAACATTTTTCTATTTCTCATTGGTTTCCTAAGAAAGAAACATGCACCATTTGTCTCTTATCCAATTCAACATGAACATCACTAGTAGAAATAACACAAAATAAAACTGGCATCAACTAAAACTGTGCACAGTAAAAATAGTTATTGATCTAAAAATTGACAGATGAATCCAATCTCCATGCCAACATTAAATTCTGCAAAAATTTGAAGGGAGAGAATTGGAGCCGAAGGAAATAATGTGCAAAAAAGGAACTCCACAGTGGTAGAAGTTGTCTACAACTGGTGTAGGAGCTACGAGCAAAGAAATGTGTTGATGAATCAAATCCTCATTACAAACTTTAATTAGGAAAGGCTTCATGAAACCTATCTCAACAAAGCAAGACTGAAAGTGGAAAAGCTTGAGAGTGGCCTAACTGTGCTTTTTAGAGGATGAATCAATGGTTCAAGTGGTTGATGGGGTTTGTGCAGGACAGGGCTTCCTTACAGTCATCAAAGTCGGTAAAATTCATACATTGGTATTTGAGATGTCCTTGCTGTCTAGCAGTGGGGTCAAAATGGAACCTACGGCCTGAAGAGAAGATAGTGCCCGCGAGGTGCTCAGCAAATGTTGCACCAGTGAGGCCATGTTTGTTGACTGGCCGGTGTTGCCCGACGGTCAGGCTGTACGTGGCAGGAGAGCACCTGTAAAATGCGTATCTGATATCATTACTTGCTCTCTATGGTCCAGTGGCTCCCCACTGCTGTGAGGATCAAGTTCAAAGTCTTCCATGGCCCTCTGGCCCAGCGTGGCCCAGCACCAGGCCTCTCTCACCCTCGCCTCTCCCCGCCCTCCTTGCTCACTGGCCTTTCAATTCTTGGGGAAAAACAAGCCAAATGCGAGGCCGTGTAGTGAAGTGGGTTCCAATCCAGCCTCAGCTGCTGATGAGCTGTGTGACCTTGTGCTGGTTACTTAACCTCTCTGTGGCCCAGTTCTCCATCTGTAGAATGGGACTCACAGCACCCGCATCTCAGTGCCGTCCTGAGGATGGACAGAGTGAATGCAGGAAAGCTTTGAGAGCCACGCCAATTGCGTGGAAGGCTCAGCCTGTGCTCACTGTCAGCCCACCCCATGTCCTGCCCAGGCTCTTCTATCTGCCTGGGGTTCCTGGTGTGGCTAATTCCCACGGATCTCCAGACCTTGCCCCCAGACTCCTGGAGCTGCTGCCTGCTACACCCTCTCACCACGCCCCTGATCCACTCACTGCCTTTTATAACACAACAGTCCTGAGCCCCACAGGGGTGGGTCCTCCCATTTCCAGCACTGGCCATGGCTGCCTGCACTTAGCAGGTGATTAATAAATCATCACCTTAGGTGGTGATGGGGTGGCGTCCAGACTCACCTACCCAAGCCTGTCCTGGCTGATAAGGGGGCACAGCCTCCATGCAGCTGCCATCTTCTGTGACTTCTCACACAGAGGATGGGCCTGAAGCTTCCCTTTTCTCCTGCCTGCCTGCCAGCCCGCCCCTCAAGCTCTGGGGAGACAGGGCGGGCCTCAGCAGATGCCCCAGAAGATGCCAGCTGCCTCCCTTACGACAGCCCCTCAGGTTGCTTCCTCTCCACCCTTTTGTTAAAGGGCCTGACCTTCAGGGTGGGTTCTCTAGGCTGCCAGCCTCGGCTGTGGGATTCCAGTGACTAGTGACGAGCTCCCACCCTCCTGTCCAGAGTCCCTCTATAAGCCCAGCATGTGCCTATTAAAGCGAATATCCCACAGGACAGTTCTGTAGAAGACTGGCATCAACAGAGGGTGGCCTGTGGACCGGCTGCTATGCTGGGGGCTTGCTGGGCCCCCACCTCAGTTACCACACACCACTCAAAACCAGCAATGGGTGGAGAGGTGGGATCCACCCATTTGAGGCTGGCTTCTGGATTCCTCACCCCACGTGTGCTCAGCAGACGTCTTAGACCCCAGTGTGGCCCCAGAACCTTGTGAACTGGAATCACCTGGGGGTGGTGCGGGCATATTCAGAATGCTCATCCCAGGCCTGAGCCCAAACATAAGGAATCAGCATTGCGGACAGTGGCACAGATGCATCTTTTTTCTCCTCTTTTAGTTAAAATTATAAAATATATGTGTGAGTTTAACATAGAGGTGCCGCGTAGAGAGTAATGAAAAGTAAACACACTTATAACCACTCTGGTTGAGAAACAGAGCATTGCCATCCCCTTAGAAGATCCCCCCACCCTGCCACATGGGCTCATCTCCAATCACATCCCACTCCTGCTCCCCTAGAGGTACCCACCCTCCTGACCTTTTTTGAAAATCATTCCCTGGCTGTTCTTTATGGTGTTATCACCTTATGTGTATCGCTGCACAGGGAAGTTTGTTTTCACCTGTGCTTGAATTTCCTATCAATGGAATAATACAGCGTATATGCTTCACTGTCCAGCCCTTTTCATTCAGCATGATGTTTTTGATATTCATCCGTTTTGTTGTATGTTGCACATTCTTTTTCATTGTTATGTAAACTTCCATTGTGGGAAGCGAGAGTTGGTGGCCAAGATGAGCTTCCATGCAGCCGCAGCACTGATGAAAGGCTGCTCGATTAGGGATGGCACCTTGCGCTGGGCACAGCGTCGAAGCTTCACTCCAGCCAGCTTTCTGGCGGAAAACACGAATTTCCCTGATGAGATGGACACATCCTTCTTTGCCCAGGAAGGTATCCTCCATGAAGAGCTGTCCACATACCCGGACGAAGTTTTTGAGTCCCCATCAGAGGCAGCACTCAAGGACTGGGAGAAGGCACCGGAGCAGGAGTACCTCACTGGCAGGGCCCTGGACCGCAGTGAGCTTGAGCCCAGCCACCTGATGCTGCCTTTGGAGCGAGGCTGGCGGAAGCGGGAAGACACCGCAGCCTCGCAGCCCAAGGTGCGGCTCCGACAGGAGATGGTGAGCACCGCGGGGCCGCGGCGGAACCAGCGCATCGCTGTGCCGGTGCGCAAACTCTTCGCCCGGGAGAAGCGGCTGTATGGGCTGAGCATGGTGGGACGGCTCAACAACCACACCTACCACAAGCACATCGACAGCTTCGTCAAGCGACAGATCGAGGACATGGACAGCCACAGGCCCTTCTTCACCCACTGGCTCACCTTCGTGCACTTGCTCGTCACCATTCTAGCCGTGTGCATCTATGGCATCGTGCCCGTGGACTTCTCACAGCATGAAACGATGGACTCGATTCTGTGGAACCACTGGGTCTACGAGAACGTCAAGTACGTGCAGCAGGAGAACTTCTGGATCGGGCCCAGCTCGGAGGCCCTCATCCACCTGGGTGCCAAGTTTTCGCCTTGCATATGCCAGGATCCGCAGGTGCACAGCTTCATTCGCGCAGGGCGCGAGCACGAGAAGCACTCGGCCTGCTGCATGCACAACGACAGGTCGGGCTGCCTGCAGACCTCGGAGGAGGAGTGCTCGCCCATGCTGGCAATGTGGGTGAAGTGACCCATCCATTCCAGCGCCCCAGAGCTTGCCGGCCACAAGAGACAGTTTGGCTCTGTCTGCCACCAGGATCCCAGGGTATATGATGAGCCCTCTTGGGAGGACCCCCGTGAGTGGCCAGAAGACATTACCAAGTGGCCGATCTGCACCAGAAACAACCCCGGGAACCACACCAACCTTCCCCACATGGACTGTGTCATCACAGGACGGCCCTGCTGCATTGGCACCAACGGCGAGTGTGAGATCACCTCCCGGGAGTACTGTGACTTCATGAGGGGCTATTTCCATGAGGAGGCCATGCTCTGCTCTCAGGTGCACTGCATGGATGATGTGTGTGGGCTCCTGCCTTTCCTCAACCCTGAGGTGCCTGACCAGTTCTACCGCCTGTGGCTGTCCCTCTTCCTGCACACCAGGATCCTGCACTACCTGGTGTCCATCTGCTTCCAGATGACCATCCCGCGGGACCTGGAGAAGCTGGCAGGGTGGCACCACATAGCCATCATCTACCTGCTGAGTGGTGTCACTGGCAACCTGGCCAGTGCCATCTTCCTGCTGTACCGAGCAGAGGTGGTTCCAGCTGGCTCCCAGTTTGGCATCCTGGCCTGCCTCTTCATGGAGCTCTTCCAGAGCTGGCAGATCCTGGAGCGGCCCTGGCATGCCTTCTTCAAGCTGCTGGCTGTGGTGCTCTTCCTCTGCACCTTTGGGCTGCTGCCCTGGATCGACAACTTTGCCCACATTTCGGGGTTCATCAGTGGCCTCTTTCTCTCCTTCGCCTTCTAGCGCTACATCAGCTTCAGCAAGTTCCATCTGTACTGGAAATGCTGCCTGATCATCATCTTTCAGGTGGTCTTCCTGGGCCTCCTGGCTGGCCTGGTGGTCCTCTTCTACTTCTATCCTGTCTGCCGTGAGTGGTGTGAGTTCCTCACCTGCATCCCCTTCACTGATAATTTCTGCGAGAAGTACGAACTGGATGCTCAGCTCCACCGAGCTGGCTGCGGGCTCCAGGGACCATGCGCTCCAGCAGGCCAGAGCCAGACACGACAACCCTGAGCCTCACAGGCTTACCAGGAGTCACCTGCTCCATGTGGGAACTGGCCTGTTTCCTGAAGACAGAACTCTTGTGCCTTGTTCACTTCTGTTGAACCCCTTGTACTGCTGGGCATTTATTATACTACTTCCTGTGATAATCTTCTAGCTTGTGTCTTTTTTTTTTTTTTTTTTTTTGAGACGGAGTCTCGCTCTGTCACCCAGGCTGGAGTGCAGTGGCGGGATCTCGGCTCACTGCAAGCTCCGCCTCCCGGGTTCACGCCATTCTCCTGCCTCAGCCTCCCAAGTAGCTGGGACTACAGGCGCCCGCCACCACGCCCGGCTAATTTTTTGTATTTTTAGTAGAGACGGGGTTTCACCGTTTTAGCCGGGATGGTCTCGATCTCCTGACCTCGTGATCCGCCCATTCGGCCTCCCAAAGTGCTGGGATTACAGGCGTGAGCCACCACGCCCGGCCTAGCTTGTGTCTTGACGACCACCTCATGTGGCCAGTAAATGACCTGGGAGCGTTTTAGAAAAAAAAAAAAAGTTCCATTGCGTGAATATGCCGCCATTTTTATTGATCTCTTCTACCATGGTTGGACTTTCAGTTTGTTTCAATTTTTGACTTTTATGGAAAACGCTGCTGTGAATACTCCGGTGCCTAAACATGCCTCCGGTACCGAAATGCACACATTTCTGTTGAGTATATACCCTCAAGTGGAATCAGCAGCCCACAGGATATGCATATTTTTAACAGCTTTATTGAGATATATTTTAGAATATACGTATCTTGAAATTTTAATGGATACTATCAAACAGCTTTCCAAAGTCGCTGTACCACTTTACATCACCACCAGCAGCGTCTGAGAGTTCCAGTTGCTCCACAACCTCAGCAATGCTTGGTACTGTCAGACTCCTTACTTTTGTTTTGCCATGAATTTATATTTCTATCAAGCTTCCCAGGGGATTCTCAACTCTTGCTGTGTATCAACACCACCTGGTGAGCTTTAAAAATACAGATCCTGGGACCCTGCCCAGGTTATTCTGAGTCAGAGTCCCCCGAATGAGGGTTGGGGCACAGATGTGTGCAGATTGAACAAGCTGTACTCCCTCATGTTCCCTACAGTGAGCCTCTGTTCCTCCAGCTCCCCTGCCAGGTGACGGTTCAGCTTCTTCTTTATCCCTGGTTCTCGATGACCACTTTACTTAACCTCAGGCTGTCATTCTTCAGGCCTGAGGCCCTTCTCTGTCGGGAGCATTGGTTTCTGTCCAACTGCTGAGATCTTGTCTGTGCCCCGGTGTCTTGGGAGGTGCGGTGTGGGTAGGGATCTGAGGTGCGCGGGGGTGGGAAGCATTGGAGGGCAGCTTCATCCGGTGCAGACAGTGGCTCTGAGGGTCCCCTGGTTTCCACTGCGACCTTCATAGACTGTGCCTCAGTGACAGCCATGCCTGGAGGGAGGGGAGATCTGACGGGCGCTACTTGAGACTAATGGGTGACACCAGGGTTGCAAACACAGATGCCTACGAGGCCAGGCAATGTGAGTGAGGAAGGTGGGCCTGGAGTAAAGCACACACATGCCCAGGCACACACAGACACACACCTGCACGTACAGACACTCTCCTAGACACGTTCTCTCACACACACAGGAAAGCAGAACGTCCAAACCAGCCGTTCTCAACAGGGGGTGATTTTTTTTCCCCAGGGGACATTTGGCAATCTCTGGAGACATTTTGGGTTGTCACAAGTGGGGAGAGGGTATGTGCCACTGGTATCCAGTGGTAGGGGACAGGGATGCTGCCAACACCCTGCAGTGCACAGGACAGCTCCCCGCCACCACAAAGAATTGTCTGGTCCAAAATGTCAATACTGCCTGAGGTTGAGAAACCCTGACCTAAAAAAAGTTACATCTGTTTCAGCTCACATAAAAGTTTCCTTCATTTCAAAAGCAGAACTTTTACCTTACAGCTTTATTTTAGGTTGAATTGCACATCAGGTCGAGCGCCAGCTTCTCACCACTGGGTAGCTCCGGTAAAAGCAGTGCCTCTTGGGCTATCTGGGGAAGGCCAGTATTTTCTTTTTACTTTCAATCCACTGGAGACTGATACATTTGAGAAAAATACACTAACAATGAGTTATTGAAAAATGAAATTAAAAAACAAAGACCTGAAAAATAGAAGCCACTGATCAGGCACTTAGATATTGTGGCAATGTGTGAAATTGCTGTAATAGTTTTTAACCATTGGTTCTCAAATGTTTGTTTCCAAACGTAAAAATCACTGTCCAGCAACAAATAGTTCAAAGACAGGACGGGACCTGCAGCCGCACTTTGCATAGCTCTGTTTTTAATCTGACTGAGCCTCAGCACCCCTGGTCCTGGCCCCAGCTGGCCCAGACACCCTCCACTGTGCCCAGGGCAGCTCCCCTCCTGGCCCCCTGGCTCTGACTTCCTGCTGCTGCTTCAGTGTAAGGGTCATGACGCCATCCCAGGTGGGCTGTCTCTATCGGCAAGATGCTGATCTGGGGTCAGGCTGGGACACACATGCTCTGAAGACCAAAGAGGAATAGCTCTGTGATGCTGGCAGGAAGGAGATGACAAAGGGGATTTCATCACACACACAAGTGAACGTTAGACACCCCTGTTCTCAAAAGTCCTTCCTCCTCTGGGGCATGTTTCCCGCATCCTTCCTCTCACCTTCACCCCATTGCTACAAACCCCTCTCCCTTTGCTTGGGCTCTGGGGCCAGACAGCCTGGGTTCAAATCCCAGATCTGCCACTAGCCAAGTAGGTGACCTTGAGCAAGCCATGTCACCTCTCCGAGCCTCAGTTTCCTCCACTGTAAAATTGGGATAATTATAGTCCTCGTGCAAAGGTTTTTGTGAGAGTTAAATGAGTTCATATACATAAAGTGCTTAGAACAGGGCCTGGCTCGACTTCTGCCTCTGCCACAAACTAGCTGTGGGACCACGGCAGGTCACTTCCCCTTGGCAAGTGGTGGTCCTTGAAGTTAAAAATGCATCCTCACAGGGTGCTTGTGAGGCTCTGGAGGAAAACGCATATAAAGGGTGTAGCGCAGAGGCTGAGGCTGGAAGGAGCTGCACCAGTTGCAGCAAGAGGGGGGTGGTGGAGGAAGCGGCGCTGGCATGTGTGTGGCTGGTGTTAAAATACTGCAGCACCCCCACACTGGCTGGGAAACAACTGGTTCCCCAAGGTCTCCTCACCCAATGTCTCCAGGTCTCTCCCCCAGGACCCCTGGATCTCCCACGATCCGGCAACCAGAACTTTAATGCGTGGCCCAGCAGGGCTCTGGCAATCCTGATTGGCCAAGCCCATTGCCCTGACTGTATCCCCTAGGCCTCCCTGGGACTCCCCCAAGGCAGGGGACTAGGCACCAGGCCCTAAGGATCCAGTGGCTTAGAAAATGTGCCCTCTCTCCTGGCCTCAGTTTCCCCAACTGTAAAATGGGTGGGGTGTAGTTTGGACCAGAAGCTTTCTCTGACACAGCCCGATTCTAAGAATCCAGCCTTCTGCAACCATGTTAATCATTTTCTTCCCCAGAAGTTGTAATTCCAGGCTAGCAGGCACAACTCAGTCTTGGCTGTCACTTCTGAATCAGGGACAGGAAGGAGGCCCCGAGTCCACTGCAGAAGATGGAAAGTGGGTGGGAGGCAAAGCCCCATAAGGCGGGGGCGTCTGGGCAGAGTGGGGAAGGCTGGCACTGCAACCCCTCCCCGTAATCCTGATGGCCCAGCTTCTGCCTGTCAGCTGGATTGATTACTCTGCTAGCTGCCTGGCCAGCATTTTCCCCAGCATTTTCCCTGCATTACCCCCACAACAGCCCCAGTGAGCAGGTCAGGAAGCCGAGACATGGAGAGGGTAAGTGATGCTCTGGAGGCCACACAGCTGGTGAAGGGCAGAGCCGAGGTTGGAGCCTCGGTTGTCTGACTGCACGGCCTGCCCATGGGGGTGGTTTGCTGAGTGCTCATGGTGTGCTGACCTCACACTCCACATCTAGGTCCAGAAAGCTGGAATACATCCCTAGCTACTTCCTCCCTCGCTCTCACCTGTCCCAACCTATGCAGGGGCCCCATCCCATCTCTGTCTCCCTGCCACACAGGTATACTTCTGGACCCCTTCCCAGTTTTGCTCTGTAGCTGATCCTGGCACTAGTGTTGGGGGTGGGGATGGTCCACTTCCAATCTCAGACCCCAGACCTGTGCCACGTGAGTCAGGTATGAGTCCCAAGGAGACGCTCATGACAGAATGAGAGAGCACAGGCCTCGGAACCAGATGGCCTGGGTTTTAATCCCAGCTCTGACACTCCCTTGCTGTGTGACACTGGGCAGGTGACTTAACCTCTCTGAGCCTCAGGTTCCTCCTCTGTAAAGTGAACATACTTCTCCTGGCCTCACAGGGCTGTGTGTGTCTATAATGAGTCACTACTTTTCTTTAAAACATGTCCACGACTGGCTGCCTCTTACGGACCTGGTCCACGTCCCGGTGTCTATTAGTTGCATGGTTGCAGTGGCCTCTTCACTGGTCTTCCCACCTCCACCCTCACTCCCTCCTCAGTCTGTCCCTCCCCTGCAGCCACAGGGATACTGTTAAAACCTAGGTCAGATCACTCCCTCCTCTCTTCAACACCCTCCCATGGCTCCCACCTCCCTCTGAGGAAGACCAAAGTCCTCACTGCAGCCAACCTGGCCCTTGGTGGTCTGCCCCTGGGACCCCACTGACATCCTTTCTGCTACTCCGTCCATCACTCAGCTTCAGCCCTGGCCTCCTTGCTGGGCCTCAAACCAGGGCCTTTGCATGGGCCGTGTTCTTTGCCTGGCTCAGCAATCTGCATGGTTGGGCATGGTTGGGTCCCCTATTCCCTTCATTTGTGTGAAGACTTGATCACAGAGACCTCCCCCTACCTCATAACCATCTCACACCACTTCATTTTTCTTCAAAGCACTTATTTCAACCTGTGGTGTGTTACATATTTATCATGTCTTTGTTTGTCTCTCTGCGTAGAACGTAAGTGCTGGAAGCCTTATTCACTGCTGGAGCATAAGAGCTGCCCAGCACATGAGCAAGTGAATGAATGACGGGCACTATTGAATGCTTTGGGCCTGGGAATAAATGCTACTGGATTATACCGCTGTCATCATCATTACAGGTTCTCTCAATGCTCCCACTGCCAGGGCCTCATGAAAATCCTTGTTTGAGGACTAGAAGAGTCCCCAGTGTGTGTTGTGACCTTGTTATCACCCCTGGTTTTCCTTGTCCCTGGAGTGGTGGCATCATCCTGAACCTCGTGCTGTCTCTCCTGACTCCTGGGATGCCATGTTTCCTGGGATGCCATGTCTCCTGGGATGCCATGACTCCTGGGATGCCATGTGACACTGCAGCCCAGAGGCATGCAGGGTCCCCAGGGAGGGCATGAGGGATGGTTGGCCTCACTGAGCGGGATCCCATGCTGCAGAGGCAGGGGGCTTAGAATGACTTGTAGCCAAGATTCGTCTTAGGGGCCTGCTCCCTTCTTGTAGGTATTTTTTCCAGTGCTCAGGAACAGATTGGAAGGGTGTTTGGAACCAAGAGTCCTGGGTATGAGTCCTAGCCTTGCCCTCACTGCTGAGTGAGTTGCATAAGAATCTGCCCCAAACTGAAAGGGAAATCGAGGGGAATCATTGAATGCTCCAGCTGGCCTCAAGCAGCAGGACTGAGGGCAAAGGGCAAAAAGATGCCTCAAGGCTGGGCAGTTGACGTTCATTCATTCATTCATTCATTCATTCATTCAAGTGAGTCCTTTGGGAGCCACAGAAGATTGTAGAGAGGGAGAGAAGTGATGTGATCATTTCACAGATTATTGGAGGTGAGGTTGACCCTACCTTTGATTATTGGACCCCACCTCCAATAATCAGAAAGGACCTCAGAGAGGGCCAACTTCTTAATTTTACAGTGGGGAAACTGAGGCCCAGAGTAGGCAGAGAATCATCCCAGGTCACACAGTGGCCATGTGACTGCATCTCTCACTGGAAGCCATGGAAAGGGGAGTTTTCCAGGGTTAAGGGCAAGATTGGAGCTCTCTGGAGCTAAGGGCAAGATTGGAGGGGTCAGGGGCTGTGAAAAGGAGCTTTTAGGAGGTCACGGCTTGCTTGGTGAGCAACACGGATGGCTTACACTGTCCCTTTGAACACTGAATGGTCTGAGGTCCAATGATGTTGATCGCCTTGCTCTGTCCCCACCCTGACTCTGATAACCTGTGGTTTGGCTCCACTCGCTGCTGTGGCTTCTGTCTGTAGTTCTGGCATTCTCTGCTGCGGTTCTAATGGCCTGTGGCCAGACCACAGCGTGGTGGGTATGGATCCATGAGCGTAATGCCTGCAGTTCTTGAGCTACCATCTGGGGCTTCCTGAAGCTAACATTCTGTGGCTCCAGGGTTTCAATTTTGTGTGCCCTTGTGGGCTGTCGCCCAGTCCTGTGGTGTGTGACTCTGTGTTCCCATCCCTGGGAGCTCTGTGGCCTTGTGGGCTATCATCCAGTCCCCTGTGGTCATGTGGCTCTGTGATCTTGTCTAAGAGCCCTGTGGCTCTCATGGTCTGTCACCTAGTTTCCTGCTGGACTCCGATTCCCACACTACGGTGGCTCGTTTGAATGGCCAGAGTCACAGGACTTTGTCCAGATCATTGACCCTGCTGACCTGGAGAAAGATCACACAGTTATTGGCCATGCTGCAGCAAGGCTGGGCTGTCTGAGAGCCTCAGGGCACCTCTGGGATGCGCTCCTCCCTTTCTTCATCTGAGGCTAGAAGCCTCTGTGCTGTGACCCACAGGAAGCAGCACCCAGAGATGGCCCTGCCACTAGCAAGCTATGAGTGAACTGTGTCACCTAGGGCACGCTCCTTTCTCTGTGCTTGAGCTTGGCAGTTGTGGGGGTGAGATGCATGGCAGGATGGGGGCTGTGCTGGTGACGAGGTGGCCGGGACAAGCTCCAGCGCCCCTCTGTGTGGGCTTCCAGTTTTCTATGGGCCAGGTGGGAGGTACAGACCTGCAGACTGCCCGCGTGAAGGGCGATGCTGGGACATAGCTCCCTGCAAGGGTCTGTCACACCCACTTTCCCGTTCCCAAGGCAGTGCTGTGCTGCTGGCCACTTACACTGAGGATGCCAAGGCCCGGAGTGGGTAAATTTTACACAGCCCCTTCTCATCCTGTGGCACAACCCTGCTCTCCCACCTCTCCGGGCCTTCGGGACTTGGGGTGTGGGATTTGTTGGGGAGGTAGGGAGAGAGGAGGCAGGGTCCTGCCCAGCTGTGCGGGTTGGTTCTTGTTGCCATGTGGAGGCTGGAGGCCTTTTCCTGTGTTTGTGAGGGCCTGAGAAGCCCTATTAGCGTGGGGGTCCAGCTCCACTCCAGCCACTGGCCCAACAGGCACATCTGCTAAGTGGGAACAGCAGCCCCGTCTGGGAGCCCAGCACTTGAGTTCAAGCCCTGACTCTGCTTTCAATGGACTCTGTGACCTTGAGCTTGTTTTTTCCCTTCTCAATTAACCCACCTGCCAGAGGGGACAAGAACCCCTCATGTAACACTGTCTCCCCAAGGGTAGACCCAGCCTTCGCCCCTTTCCCTTAATTCTTGCCTCGTTTCCCAGATGAGGGTCTCACTGGCTGGTGCCCAGGGAAGAGCGGGAGCCTGATCCCATCTCCCACTTCTGACCTGGAAAAGCCCTCTCAACCCCCAGAAATGCTGGGCAGACCCCCTGGCACAGAGACCCAGGGTCACTGGAGCTCGGGTGCCCGGCTGTGGGCTGTGCCGTGCCCCTTGTGCTCGGGGTGCTGTGTTTGCTCTATTGAATCACACCACCCACATGCTCGCACGGAGCTGAGCAAGAGGCGCGTCTGTGTTTAGAATAGCAGGGTGGGTCCCAGGGTAGGCCTGGCCAGCACCTGATTCAGATTCCCACTCGGCTTCAGGCTGCATGACCTTGGCCTCCTGCCTGATCTCCCTATTCATGAGCATAATCAGGCCCCCTGTGGTGGGGTGTTGAAGAAGGTTAATGTGCATCCAGGGCTGGGAACAGTGTCTGCCTTTGTCACAGAGTGATCATTAACGTGATTCATCTTTCTCCCCTTTCCCCATTTTTCAGATGAGGAAACTGAAGCTCAGCAAGAGAAATGCCTGGTACATAATTTTAAGTCAGGTCCCACGCACGGAGCCCTTGCAGGCCCCAGACTTGTGTCATTTTCATGAAATGTCACACCACCGGGTGCCTGTGTGATACTATACTTACTGACTTTAGGGATGGCTAAGCAGCATGGGATTTGAATCCAGCACTGTTTGACTCTGAACCCCCTCGGCAGGCCGTCCCCTCCCTGAGACATGGCAGGTGTGGGGAGGGAGCCTGGGGTCAGAGTGGAGGAGGTGGCCGGCACTGCCGTGGCCTGGCTTGAGGAGGAGCCCCGGTGGAGCTGCTGCCCCGTGGCACACGAGGACCGTAGTGGCATTTCCGACACCTCCACCCACGCGGCCCACGATTTAATCTGCGTACTTGTGAATGGTGCCTGCCCAGGCTTTTGCTCCTAATTATTGCTCTTTAAAGGCAGTGCCAGGAATATTAACAGACATGCCACCTGTTTCTTGGCAGGTGGCTCTGTGGGTGCACCTGTCAGCCAGCCGCCCTAGCCCATACTGAAAACGCTTGGTGGCATTTTCTTTCTTGGCTCGGGATTGTCTGGGAGCCATCAGATGGATGAGCTGCTTCCCCTGGCAGGGTTTTAGCCTCCCTTGGGGCTGCTTCCTCTGCTTCCTGAGCCTCAGAGCAGGTCTGGTGAGGGTGGAGGGCAGAAGATGGGTAAGGGTGGAGGGGTTTATTGGAAATCCTTCCTCTGCCACTCGGTCGCCATGTGAAGCAGAAACAGCCGCTTTCTTTCTCCGAATGGCAGTGTTCCCGTCTTCATTTTAGGGCAGCAAGGTGACAGTGACTCTCCACTCCAGTGTTCAGTAGAATCACTGGGGAAGCTTAAAAAGTGGCCACTGCCTGGATGCCACCCCCCAAGTTTCTGATTCAGCACTAGTTCTTTTAAGCTCCCCTGTAATTCTAGCTGCCAGGTGACATCACCTTATGATAAGGTGAGGCTTGATGACTGTGGAGCCCCGAGTTCTGTGCCCTTCCCCTACACCCCTCCTCCCTGCCTTCTCCCTCTAGCAGCCAGAGGGATGGTGTTAAAGCCCCAGGCAAAGCTCCCACATCCTCAGAGGAAAAGCCAGATCCTCAGGAGACCCTGCATTGCTTGACCTTCCTCGGACCCTCCAGGCCCACGCTGCTCCTCCTCCCTCAGGAGCACACTCTTCCCCCAGCCCCCGCCCACCAAGGCACCCTCCCTCTTTTAACCCTTTCTCTAAATGTCACCTTTTTAGTGAGGCCTTTTATGACTCCCTCTTTTAATTTTTATTTTAAATTTTAAATTTTCATTTACTTCCAAATGGCACATATAACACAGAAATACCCTTGAGGCATTTTAAGGGCAAACCACAGAACTTTTTTTTTTGTTTCATCTGTATCTCCACAGATAAAGACTTTTTCTCAACTCTAATTACAACAGCAGCAGCAACCCAGCAGAATTAACCATAATTTCTTCATATCATCTTGTACCCAGTCTGCGTGCAATTTTCCCTGGTTGTCTCCAAAATGTCTTTTCATGATCGGTTTATTCAAATCAGGATTCAAGTAAGGTCCCTTGCCACATTTGGTTGATCAGTCTCTTGTGTCTCTTTTAATCTGTAACAGTCCCTTTTCCCTCCTTTTTTTTTTCCCCCACTCTCATTATTTGTTGGAGAACCCAGGCCATTCTTCCTGTGGAATGTTCTCGTGGTATCATTTAATTCATTCTTCTGCCCCATTGTACTTTCTCCCCACTGATATTTGGGGCTAAAGCTGGATTTGATTCAGGTCCAATTTTGCAGGAAAGAATCCATCTCAGGGAATGCTGTGGGCTTCCTTCCACATCCCATCTGGCGCACGTAATGCCACGTAGTTCCACTCTGGGCGATGCTGAGACCTGTCCGGGAGTCCGAGGACCGTCTGCCTCGGGAGTCCGAGGACCGTCTGCCTCATCCCTCTGTCACAGAGTCAGTGCTGGATCCTTTATTTCACTAGGATTGCAAAAAGGTGGTTTTCCAATTCCGTCATTTCTTCAGCACTTATCTGCTGTGGTTCTTCTCTGAAGGATGCCTTTCCCTTATTAGGGCCTCCTAAAACACTGCGTATACAGGAAACACAGGAAACGTGCTTCATTCTTTACCTTCATGTATCTGTTCATAGAAAAATGATGTGGTATCTTAACCACCCCCAAAGGAACCAGCCAGATTTTATTTTTTTCTTTTCAGAATCAATAGGAACACATGGATCACTGCAGTTTTGTAGTCATGATTCTTTTCTGATGTTCAAGTTGTCCCAGATTTGGCCGGTGGGAGACCCCTCCAGCTGGCTTCTGTGTCCTCACAACTTCCCCCACTCAGACCCTGAACACTTCCTTACTTTCTGAGACTACAAGAAAGGCTCATATTGCATTTTCCCTGCCTCAGCCCTGCAATCATCCATTGCTTTCAGGAGTCCTGGGGGTCCTTTTGCTGGGCAAAGGAATTTAGAGTCCAGAGTCTGGGTTCTGGGGGGACCAGCCCCTTTGTAACTGGCAACATCAACTTCTGTACTCCGGTACTCCTCACTTGCTCTGTTTATTTTTCGCAGCTTTCACCTCGCAACATGTTGCATCCTTTACTTATCTGTTACATCTGTCATTTACCCTGTCTTCCTCACTAGAATATTAGCACCTCGAAGCCTTGGTGGCTGTACCTCCACGCTTGGCACACAGACAGTGCTGAATAAAGATCTGCTGGATGAGCAAATGGATGGAGAGATGGATGGATGACCTGCATCTGCCTGCATCCTCTCCCTCCCCCAGCCTGGATAAACGGTCAAGAGGGTCTGCACCCAGCCTCCTCTCTTCCACCCACAGAGCCAGCCTTGGCGGCCTTGGTCTTATTTAGATCAGTAGAGCTGGGCAGCAGAAATGTCACCACTTGGCCCGTGGGGAAGAAAAGGCTGAGAAGATTAAAGGCATCTCTGATGAGATGCTAATTTGTTTCGGGAAGCAGGCGGGGATGGCAGCAACCTGGGGCCTCTGGAGCTTTGTGAAGCTGAGGCAGGAATGGAAAAAGCAGCATTGGTGGAGGCTGGCCTGGATCCCTCTGTGATCTTTTCCCTTCTTTAACCTATCTCCTGGGCTCTGTGCAGCCTCAGTTTTGAGGAGAGCCAGATAGTCCTGTGTTTGAATCCTGGCTTGGCCACCTTAGTGGCTGTGTGACCTTTGACAACAGGGGGAACCTCTCTGGGCCTTGGGACCGAGAAAGTGAGAATGCTATAGGGAGGATGAACTTAGGGAAGACCATGGAGTACAGCCCATGGAGGCCAGAGAATAGCAGAGACTTGCTCGAGGCCACACAGTAGTGCACACTGGCTGGGGCCTGAATTCAGACCTCCTGGCTCCCAGCCGGGCTGATCTGCCCTTGCTGTTTTCTTGATGACTCAGCCTGAAGCATCCATGGGTTCATCTCCTTTAAGGGAGCCTCTGTTCCCTCACAATTCCCTGGGGCTGCTGTCTGCAGAAGGATCCTGCAAAAATCTGGGGAGCACAGGGGAGCCTGGCAGGTGTGGCTCAGGTAATGAGCAAGCTTCAGATGGCTGGAACCTAGGACCCCAAGCCTCCCTCTGCTGTCTTCCTGATCTTCCAGTCGAACTGCTCAGCTGGGGCCCCTGCACCCAAAGTAATTCATATCCAGCTGTGGCCTCCTTTGACTAAAGTTGAGGGCCCAGGGGTCCTCTGCTGAAGGTAGAGTTTGGGGAGCATATTATTCCATGTTCCATCTCTCATTCACTGAGCCCTTGCTGCGCCCCTGCTGTGTGCTGGAATCTGGAACTCTGAGATGAGGAAGACACTGGATTAGTCAGGATACTTTTGGGCCCAAGTTACCAAAAACCAAACCCAAACTGGCTTAAACAAAGAAGGGAATGTATTGGCTTAAGTTCAAAAGGGATACCCAACTTCAGGCATGGTGGGTTCCAGGTGCTGAGATGCCATCATCATCAGGATTGGATTTGTCTTTCTCTTCTCTTTTGGTGCCACAGTGGCCGCCAGCAGCCTGACTGACACAGCTTCTCCACACCTCCAGAAGATTCCCTTTCCTAGTGGCTTCATCCAAAGCCCCAGAATAGCATCTCACTGGGTTGACTTGGGTCATGTGCCCATCCTTGAGCTGCTTGCCGTGGCTGGGGATTGGGATAGGCTACTTGGTCTGCTTTGGGTCAAGGCTCTCCTGGAGCTGAAAGACAAAGCTCCTCCCCTGGATGCAGGGAAGGAGCAGCTCCCCAAGGGAAATGGGGGTGACATTGCTGGGAGAAAAGGGGATAGAAGTCTAGAGAAGCTGGACTGCACATGGGCAGAGAAGCATATTGACTGTATACTGTATACATACACGTGCTTTTTGTTTTTGTTTTGTTGTTGCTGGGTTTTTTTAGACAGGATCTCCCTCTGTCACTCAGGCTGGAATGCAGTGCTACGATCAGAGATCACTGCAGCCTCAAACTCCTGGGCTCAAGTGATCCTCCTGCCTCAGCCTCGTGAGTAGCTGGGACTATAGGCATGCACCACCATGCCAGGCTAATTAAAAAAAAAAATTATAGAGACAGAGTCTCACTATGTTGCCCAGGCGGGTCTTGAACTCCTGGCCTGAAGTGATTGTCCCACCTTGGCCTCCCAAAGGGCTGGAATTACGGGTCTGAGCCACCAAGCCCATCCTCAGATGCCTAGCATAAATCATCAAATCATAACTGGCCTCAAGTTCTCCCCAGCCTCTGCTGACACAGGGATGGGGCTGGAGTTATGTGGACTCATTATTTCTTTTCCTGCAGCACTATGAGGTGCAGATTCTTGACCCCAGTGTTCAGACGGGGAAACTGAGGCTCAGGGAGAAGCAGCGTCTGTCTCTGCCAGGAGTTTTTAGAGGACAGGGACCATGTCTTCCTCAGTTCCGTTTCTTGTGTTGCACCTACTGTAGCCAGGCAGCTCCTCAGTGGGACCTGGATCTTCTGGGATCTATGGAGCCACCTCCCAAATTAGCTCTGAACAGGCTGAGCCCTAGTGACTTCTGGTGGATCCTGCACCCCCAAGACAGAGGTGACACATCTGAGCTTGGGACGAGGCAGAGAAATACACCGACCACTGCCTCCCACAGTTGTCTTCTCTTGGGCCCAACATAATGCTGGGATGCTACCATTAGAAACTACTGGATCATAGCATCTCTCTTGGCTCCTTTTTTTTTTTTTTTTTGATAAATTCTTTCTCAGCATACACCTTGGCTCACCTGCACTCCTAATTTACCAGACCCACCAGGGTCTACCTGAATTCCACTTAAACCAAGGAATTGGCCCTTGGTCCACTTGACTCCCCAAGGTCTACTTGAATTCCAATTTCACTTGGAACTCTGCAAGACCAATCTTAAGATAATGCTCTGTGTTTTTAATGAATGTGTGTGAGGAGCTTCATGTTCATTTGATCCCGTTTCACTCTCACAGCATACAGGAAGGCACATCCTATTATCATCTCCACTTTATAGGTGAGGAAACTGAGGCTCAGTCAGGTAAGTAACACGGTCTTGTTGCACAGCTAGAAGGTGGTGGAGCTGGGATTTGAACCCGGGCAGGCTGGCTCCACAGCCCACACCATTAAACACTCCTGAGATTGCACCTAACAAGTATTTTGCCCCCTCCAAGTCAGTGCCAGGCGTAATGGACAGATCCACCCTGCCCTCGGAGCTCCCCTTCTTCATTTGACCCAGGACAGCCGTAGGTGGCAGGTAGGGCGAGGTTATCCCTCTTGCAGCTGAAGAGCTAAGGGGCCCCAGGGAAGGGAAGTGCCACATAGTCAGGGAGTTTTCAGGCTGGGCTCCGTAGTCAGTTTTGCACATAACTGTAGGCTCCTGCAGTGGGCCCTGAGGCCTGTGGGGTCTCTGGGGTGGGTGTGTAGGGGACAGAGACCCAGAGCTGGGCCTGGAGCTGGCAGATCCACCTCCCTATGCAGGTCTGGATGTGGTCCTCAGAGTGTCCTCACCTGTAAGGCCTGGGACACTTACAGGGCACCCTCCAGGGTTAACTGGTGACAGGAAACCCCACCAGGTCGGAACTCTGCCTCTCCCGCACCCTGGGAGCCTCGGCCTCCTTATTTATTTATTACTTATTTATTGCTGTGCTCTCCACACGTCAATTTCAGCTGGCACTGCAGACCACCTGGGCCATTTCTCTTCCTACCAAAGGCACTGATGGAGCTAGGAAGCGGCCTCATCCACAGCCAGAGCTCCCAACCGTGCTCTGCCACTTAACAGTCTGCAAAACCCCAGGCAACGCAGCCTGCCCTCCCTGGGCTAAGCCAGCCAGGCGGGGCTCGGCCCACAGCCTGGCCCACAATAGGGGTTTTATAAGGGGTGCTCCCTGGGCCTAGATGTGGCAGCGGCCTAGTCTGGTGGCTAGGACCTGAGACCTGTTTTGCCGCATGCATGCTGTGTGACTCTGGTAGAATACCGCACCTCTCTGAGCTTCAGTTTCCTTGCTTGTAAAATAGGGATGTTCCTAGGACCACCCTCATGCGCTCTGAGGATTTGATGTGATAGTTCATGGAACGCATCAGATTCCTGACTTTCCTGCCTTCACCTCACTGGGCCTCCCATCCCCATTCACACACAAGGGGTTGGGCTCCATGCGGAATAACCACAACACTAATAACGGTTACATATTATTTATCTAGCACCTACTGTGTGCCACCCTCCGCTAAGTGCTCTATGCTTGTGATCTCGTGTAACCCTGCCATACTAGAGGCAGGAACTGTTAGCCCCATCTGTCAGATGAGGAAACTAAGGCACACTGAGTTGGGATTTGACCTCAGATCTGCCCATCCCTAAAGGCATGTGTTCTCTGCTCCCTTCCCTTCCTCTCTGTTTGCACAGCTAAGCCACAGCTTTGCTGCTCCTCTAGAGGCTCACGCCTCTCAACTGCAGAGGAGAGGCTTACAGTGGGGATGGGACAGGGGCTATGGCAGTGGGGCAGCCCTCACGCTGTCCTCAGGTCTCGAGAAGGAGCTGGGTGATGCCGTTCAAGTGCCCACTTCCTGCTTCCTCGGCTAGCCCTGAGAGGCCTCTGCCACCCACACCTTTAGGATGAAGACAGAATCCCTCAGCAGAGTCTGTGTAAAGGAGCCCAGAACCTCCAGCCTAGCTGAGTTGCCCCAACAGAGCCTCCCTGAGCCTCACCTTCTGCCAGTAGTGCCTCCTGATGCTTTGGGCTGGAATCCATGTACTGTGGGGCCTCTGAGCCTGGAGCCTGCTCTGTCTTTGTTTAAAATTATTTGTCTGCAAGTTTCAGGGAGGTAGTGTGGAAGAGCCGAAAGGAGACTCCTGCATGGAATCAGAAGGGCTGGGAGATTACTGAGAAGGGAATCACTTCCTCGCTGTGTAATTCATTTTTATTACTGGTCAGATCTGTGTATCCAGAACTGCCCTGTGTTCCATCCGTCCTAGGAATCCTGCGTGCTGGTGAATGCTAGGCCAAAGGATTCCAGAGATAGGATTGCTGCGAAGTGATGGGGATTGGCAGGAGTTCTGCATGTGGGGGAACCCTCCGACTTTCTCAAGGGAGGCTCTCACTGCTGGTTCACAGGCAAAGCCTGATTTCTGTGGCAGCCATGATTCCCGAGCGGGTGTCTTGCCCTTCCTATGAGTGTGGTCTGTAGCCTGATTCATCAGAGGGGCTTTCATGGTTTGGGAAAAGGATGGAGGAAGCATGAACACCTGCCTTGGTAGAGAGAGGGCAGGAACCTGGGGTTCTAGAGCCACCTCTGCAACATATGTGCTCTGTGACCATAAGCAAGTCACTGCCCATCTGCCTCAGTCTCCCCTAGGGCAACACTGCCCTGCCAAACTCAGGGGTCAGGATGTGGGATGAGAGAGGAGGCTAGCCATGTGTACGACAAGAAGGGATGCTGGATGCGTTTTCTGAGCACTCACACATAGTCCCCAAAACTCCACCCAACCAGCAGTTTGAGCAGCTTCTCTGGGTATCCCCATGCTACGTGTTATAGTTGTAGGGGTTAGGAGTTAAGAGGCGGGGCCTAGGTCTCCTCGTTCTACTCTGGTGGCCCTATCACATGCCCAGTGTGATGTTGCCTGCTGGGGACACAGGACAAGTGGACTCTTGTCCTTGTCTCAGAGCTCCTTAGTCTTGGGGGCAGGTAGATAATCTCAACCTAGTATGAAATGTGTTGAGGTCCAGCAGGCGGGGTGCCCTGAAGGGAGCAAACATTCCCAGGCAGAGAGGATGCATGGAGTCCCACTAGAGGGGAAGGACATTCTAGGGGGAGGGCCTTGCAGGTGCAAAGGCCTGGAAGTATCAAACAGCCAGCCCAGGGAAGAGGGGAGGAGGGGATTGGTAGATTTCAGCAAAAGGTGGGGTGGGCCAGGTGAGCACTTTGGTGGGAAGAGGACTTGAGGGTGGGGCCCGCTGGAGGTTTGCTGCAGAGGCTAGAACATCCGGCACTGCACTCCCCAGGCCCGGCTGCTTTGGAGGAAGGGCCTTGCCGCCACCAATGCCACCGCTGGCTCCGGGGAGGATTATCTATTTTAGCAACTCCGGGAGGGCGGAGGAAGGGAGCGCCCAGCCTGTGCCAGTTAGCGCAAGCAGCTCTGGAGCGGGCACAGGAGCGCCGGCTCCAGGCGTGGGAGGCTGGGGCAGGCTGCACAGGGCTCTGCCGGAGGGCAGGAGGGCACAATGCTGGCGGTGTCACTCAAGTGGCGGCTGGGCGTGGTGAGGCGGCGTCTCAAAGGTGCCGGTGAGTCTGGGTGGAGGGCGAGGGGCCCAGAGGGACTTCCCAGGCTCCCTGCCTGTCCTCAGTCACCCCTGCTCTCCCTCCCCGTCTCTCTCGCGGAGCCTTTTGGGTTTCTCTGCTGCATCTCTCTCTCCCTCCGTGTCTCTGTCCCAGATCACTCCAGTTCCCTTCCCAGTCTCTCCACCGCTCTGCTTCCTTCTCTGTCTCCTCCATCTCTCTGTCTCTGTCTCTCCGCTCTCTCTGGGTCCCTTCCTCTCTCTTCCACTGTCTCTCTGTCTCTCTCTCCTCTCTCTCCTGCTGTCTCTCTGTCTGGCCTCTGGGTCTCTCTGTGTCTGTCTCTCCTGCTGTCTGCCCTCCCTCACCCGGTTCTCTGCCCCCGCCTCTGCTCTGCCTTCTCTCTCCCACTCTGTCTGTCTCTGTCTTGCTCTTCTCTGTTCCTCTTGCACTGTCACTGTCTCTCCCTGGGTCTCTCTGGACTTTCCTGTGTGTCTCCTTCATCGCCCCCGCCCCCACCCCTTCCCAGGGCCATGTCCCCAGCAGCCTTTTCTCTCCTTCCTGTTGAGGCCGTGGGGCTGTCCAGATGGGCTGGGGTTGCCTGGCAGGGGCGCTGTGTGTGGGGGAGGAGGGGTGGGAGGGAGCGAGGGGCTGTACGTGGGGAGTTGGGACAGGGGGACATAGGTGAAGGCTGCCTGGCTCTGGGCAAGACTCTCTGTGCTGAGCCCCAGCCTGTGCCGGGTGCCATCCCTGGACACATGCTCAGCCCCTCAGAGTGCTAGGAAGGGGCTTAGGGTGGGACCAAGATTGGAGTGGGGGTGGGGAGGAGCTGGAGTTAAACCCCCCAGGCTGTGTGACCCCAGGCTTCACCTTTGCTGCCATGTCTCCATCTACAGCACGGGGAGGAGGGAGGTGGTGGATTCACGATCTCTATGCTTCAGGCTGAGGAGCAAGAATCATCTTGCTGTCAACAGGAACAGCAGTGACAGACATGCACTCAGCACCACTCTGTGCCAAGCAGTACATTCACTCATTCATTCCTCACAGTGGCCCTGCAAGGCTGGTCCCATCCTCATTCTGATTGTGCAGAGGAGGAAAGTGAGGCACAGAGCGGTTAAGTAACTTGCCTAAGGCCAAACAGCTGACTCACTGAGGCTGTCTCCAGCCAGTGAGCTTGTAACTGAGCATTTTCCAGACTCTGAGGTGCCTACACAGGGAGTCTTCCTTAGGGAGGTGGCGGGGATGGGGGTGGGTGTCCGTGGGGCAGCAGAGGGCTCTAGGTCCTTCACTGGCCTCAGGGCAGCTGGTGGCCTGACATCCTAGAGGTCCCTGGAAGCCTGGTCCACAGAGACAGAGCAGCTGGTGCCTGGAGAACATCAGGAACAGGCCTCTCTTTGGGTCTGACCAGAGACTCCTCTGCTGAGACCACCCCCGCAGGAGACACTCCCTCCCCCATTGAGGCTGCTGTCCTCTGTTCAGGTCCACAGACCGTAAGGGCCCAGTGGGATCCTCCCAGGCTGGAGGGACAGATGAAATCCTGGGTTGGCTCCAGATTTGAGCGTCCCCAGGATTTGGAGAGCAGCCTACTAAATGCTGTGGATCAGGCTCTGCATCTTGGAGATGCAGGAAATGCTTGTATTGGCCCGGACAGACCAGGGTTCAAATCTTGTTCTGGCTCTTACTCCCTGTGTGGCCTTGGATGGCTACTCAACCTCAGTTTCCTCCCCTGTTGAAGTGAGCCCAAGAAAAACTGCCCTTCTGAGATTGCAGTGCCGATTGAGGAAGTTTGGGACACACAGTAGACTCCTGGAATTTTTAATTCCATCTTCCCCTTAGTGACCCAACCACTTCCTTCCTCTCCCCATGCACACACCACTGTCCCCAGGGCAGTCACATCTGGGGCCAGCATAGCTCTTAATAGAAAATAAGCAAAGGAAAAAGGAGGGCTCAACCTGGTTGATTGAGGACACACTGCGGAGACTTGAGCCAGGCTCCTGCCCGACCCCTCTCCACTCCTTCACGGAGGGCACTGAGGGAGGCACAAGGAACTTGCTTTGCCCATTAAGTGAGCCTGCACATTCACGAAAATGAAACCTCAAGGAGAAGAATCCAAGAGATGTGGGAGAAGGCAAGGTGTTTCTTCTGTCTTCTTCTTCAAAATCTTTTTTTCAAAAGATGCCTGGGTAACATTTCTCCATTTCCAGCCTATATTATTTTAATGGGCTGTCCTGTTGCTCATCTTTTCTGGGTAAGGCCCCCAGGTTTCTCAGTCTGTGAATACTTGGGCGGAGGTCCCTGAGCCACATGGCCATGTGAGACCCCTCCCATGTCCTCCAAACTGAGACTCGAGGGTGTAGTTATTGCCTCTAGAAGGAAGCAATGACTTTGCTTGAGAGAGGTCAAAAGAGACTCCCAGAGCTGCGTATTTAAGGATGAGTAGGAGTTTGCCAGGTAGATAAGGAGGGGAGCAGCTCATGAAAATGCCTGGAGGTGGCCAGGCACGGTGGCTTATGCCTGTAATCCCAGCACTTTGGGAGACCGAGGTGGGCGGATCACTTGAGGTCAGGAGTTCGAGACCAGCCTGGCCAACATATAGTGAAACCCCATCTGTACTAAAAAATACAAAAATTAGCTGAACGTGGTAGCACGTGCCTGTAATCCCAGCTACTTGGGAAGCTGAGGCAGGAGAATAGCTTGGACCAGGGAGGCACAGGTTGTAGTGAATCAAGATCATGCCACTGCACACCAGCCTGGGTGATAGAGCGAGACTCCGTCTCTGAAAAAAAAAAAAAAAAAGGAAAGAAAATGCCTGGAGGCTTGAAAGATCTGCCTCAAGACCCCATGAGAGTCTTGGTCAGCAAGAAGGGTGTGGGGAGAGGAGGGAGGCAGGGTGGAGGAGGTGAAAGGCTGTAGAGCTTGGACCCTGTCTTGGGGGCAGTGGGAGCCATGGATGGTCCTTGAGCAGGAGAGAGTGGAGGACTGCTTCGAGTATTAGAATAGGATCTGGACCAGGTATGGTAGCTAGCTCACGCCTATAATCCCAGAACTTTGGGAGTCTGAGGTGGGCAGATCACTTGAGGCCAGGAGTTCAAGACCAGCCTGCCTAACATGGTGAAACCCCATCACTACTGAAAATACAAAAATTAGCCATGTGTGGTGGCGCACGCCTGTAATTCCAGCTACCTGGGAGGCTGAGGCAAGAGAATCGCTTGAACCTGGGAGGCGGTGGTTGCAGTGAGCCAAGACTGTGCCAAAAAAAAAAAAAAAAGAGAGAGAGAGAGAGAAAGAAAAGAATAAGCTCTGGCTGTGGTCTACAGACCATAGGTAGGGTTGGAGGAAGGAGTCTTGGGTGGGACCCAGGCAGGAGGTGAGGAGCCAGGACTATAGGGTGGGCAGAATCGACAGACGTCAAGGCAGGAGAATAGCCTGTGTCATTTACTCATTCAACAAATATTTATTGAGCATCTATTACGTCATAGGTATTGTTCTAGGCCCTTGGGGTACAACAGGGCACAAGACAGACACAAACCCCTGTCCTTGCCCTCCTGAGCTTTGTCTGCCTGTGCCCACTCCGTGGTGCATGTCTGTGATGAATTATTCACTCCCTCCTTCCGCTCCTTAATGGCACTCCCCTTGGCCTCCCACACGCCACCACATCCAGCTCCTGGCATTTCTCCTGGCAGCCACATCAGGGCCTCAAATCTGACTCCCAGAGTGGAAATGAGCCCTCTCTCTCCAGTGCGCCACTCCTGAGCCTCTGCCCTCCTCCATGCCTGGGGGCACCAGAATTTCAGATCAGCTATGGTGGCTCGGAGACCAGATAATTTTTTTCTTTTTTTTTGAATCAAGAAGACAAGGATAAACTCTCGTCCTAGAATTGCAGAATCCCGGCAGCCTGGAGTGAACCTCTAGATCTGTTCTTTGTTTCCCAAGCATTTATTGAGCACTTGCTGTGTGCCAGGCACTTCCCATGTACTTTCTCACCCTTGCAACAGGCCTGTGGGTTATGAACTAAATTGCCCCATTTGCAGTTGAGGAAACTGAGGCTTAAAGACAAAGTTACTTTCCAAGGTCACACACCTAGGAAAGAAGTAGTAGAGCATGAGCCTACCCAGGCCGCCTGACTTCCAAGTCCAAACATTTCACCCCGGGGGCGTTCCTTCACGGTCAGCTTATTCAGCCTCCCCTGCTGGGTCCAAGGGACCCCTCGGTTGTATTCCCAACATGTGGCCACTGCTCTGCTATCCCCAGGCTCCCCCAAGTCCTCTGCCTTCTCTGTGCTTCTCCTGTCCCGGGACAGCCCTGCAGAAACAGCGATGCCTCTCCACAAGTCTCCCTGCTCCAGGCTGAGTGAGCCCCGCTCCCCACAGGACAGTCTCCTCCCGCTCTCCGCCTGGCTGTCACCTCCATCCATACCCCATCCTCTGTATGTCCCTGTTGCAGAGCAGAGCCCAGAGTGGAGCCCAGGGCCTGGGGAGGTCTGAGCCAGGCAGAGCAGACAGACGTGCCAGGCTCCTCCCTGAATGCCCCAACCGCACATTGGCCTTGCTTGTGCGTGTCTCCCTCTGGAATGCATGCTGATCTCTTCAGCTCAGGTCCGGGCATTGTCTCTGTCTGTCGGCTTGAATGTTCAGTCCAGCAGGACCATCTGCCTGTCTTAATTGTCCAGATCGTTGTGAAGGCTCCCAGCCCTGTCTCCCCACCCACTGGGGAGATAGTCAGATGGAGCGGAAAGCACCTCCATCAGCCAAGGGACTCAGGCTGACCGCAACTCTTCATGGGTCCTTGGCAGGTCCGTGTTCCTCCTGGCCTCAGCGTCCCTTCTGGGCCCCCAGCCCTGCTCTCCCGGGCCTGGAAGCCTTGCTGCCTCCCCCCTCCCGCTCACTCACTCCCCTTGGGCCAACCTTGGCTCTCTGGTTCCCACATTTTGCTATCTTGGCCGAGGTGATGGTGACTCATAAGCAGATGTGGTGGGCAGGTGGGCAGGCGAAGCGGGGCACATGGCCAGCAGCCACTAGCAGCCCATAATTAGGGGTGCTGGGGTCCCTGTAGGATGACCTTGGGCAAGATCCTTGCTCCTCGCTGTGTCTCAGTGCCCATGCGCAGAGTGGGTTTGTTGAGGAAGGTTTGTTTGGGGTTTGTAAGCAGCCGAGGGTCATTTGGAATTCAAGCTGGGGATGGAGGTGAAGGGGTTCCAGGGTGGCTGAGGCCAGAGCTGAAGCAGCCCCTAAAGACCGCAAGCCCTACTCCTCCCGCAGCCCCACATATACTCCCATTTTATGCATGAGGAGATTGAGGCCGGTTTTGCCCAAGGTCATCCAGCCAGTCAGAGGTGGAGGTAGATCTAGGAGTTGAACTCAGGGCCCCTCTGAGGCACCAGCGGTGCCGCTGCGGGGAGGGTGGCATACTAGAATGTTCCTCACACTTCATTACCATGCTGGTGTCTTCTTCTAGGGGTAGATGGGCAAGGAAGAGAGTGGGATGGCCAGCAGTGAGTTGACACAGTGGGACTGAGAGGTGCCGAGGGCTTGGAGCCCTAGATGAGGCCCCAGCCAGCCGGAGGGCTTCCTGGGGGCAGCAGTCTTGAAGGGCTTGTAGGACTTGGCCTGGCAGACAGGGATTAGGAAGAGGGCATTCCTGGAGGATGGTGATAAAAAGGCTCAGAGGTGGGAATTGGCTCTGCTACTTGGTGCTGGGAATGGGAGGCGGGGAGGCTGGAGAGGGCTGGTCAGTTTGGGGCGCAGGGGGCTCAGCTGCCAGGCAGCAGGCACTGGCCTGGAAATCCCAGGGTCAAGCCCTGTCCTCAAACATGTGGTCGTTGCCAGGGCCCACCCCCAAACCCTGCAGGGCTCCCACCCCCATACCTCTGCTGATCTTTCTGGCATATTCTCAGCTGGGTGGCCTGGGGTCCTTGGATGGTCCTTCCCATGTTCTCACCCTGCCTGAGGGTCCACCGTGGGTCCACAGCTCCAGGGTTCTCTTTCAATATTCAAGTCTACCATGAGGACACAGAATCTGGTGATCACCACGTCCACCAAGCCCTTTTGAGAATGTGTGTGAATTGAACTGTGATTTAAGGCTTTGGAGCCAGAGAACTGAGCTGTCTCTGGGCTCCAGTTTCCTCGTCTGTAAAATGAAACGATTGATGATCCCAGCCTCATGGGACTGAAGTAAATGCCCCTAGAGGTGAGAAGTAGTATGAAATCTGTAGAGTGCCAGCTGGGGGCCAGCCGGGATTGTCATTATTAGAGGCTTATGTTCCCATTTTCTCTGAGCCTCAGTTTCCCCACTTGGGCGTAGAGGATGTCTGTCCAGCATGGTCAGATGTTGTGGCATCTGGGAAGATGGTTTGTTCTTCCTGGTTGGGGAACCCTCCAGGAAGTGGCCCCAGAATAACGGGGTGAATGGCCACCACCGTGTTCAGCCACACACTGGGTCTCCACTGAAGCCGCATCCAGACTGAGCTGTGGCCTCTCCTGCCAGGGCTCAGAGGCCATGGTGTGGGACTAGGGGGAGCCATAGGGAGGCAGGCTGCAGCTGGGATAACAGACTGACTGTCACCCCTTACAACTGTTCAGGAATAGGGTGGGCTGCTCAGAGGTGGTGAGCTCCCATTTATGGAGGTGTACAAGCTGTACTAGACAGCAGAGAGGATTCCTGCATTGAACTACAGTGTTAGAAGGGATGAATTGTTGATTTCTTTCCAATATGGCAATTCAGAGATTATGTACATTCATCATATATTTCTCATTCATTCATTCTGCAAACACTTGTGTAGCACTTACTGTGTGCACAACGCTGCCCTGGGCATGGGGTTGAAATCAGTGAGCAAGACAGTTGTGGATCTCCCATTTAGTGGAAAAGAACAGGTGGAGGAAGGGCTGAGAGGAAAGGCATTGGAGGAAAGGCTGAGGGAGGTAAAGGAGACACACCCCACATGGCCAGGGTGGGCCTCTGGGTGGAGGGTATTAGACTGGACTGTAAGGATGAAAGTGAGGAAGAACATTCCAGGCAAAGGGAAGAGTCTGTGCAAAGGGCTCAAGGAGGGAGCACCTGGTTCTCATGGTCTGGCCCTCTGCCCATCCTAGTTGGGCTGTCTTACCAAAGCCCCTTCCCCTCTCTCGACCTCAGTTTCGCACTGTAGCATGGGAACTGCAATGTCTATCCCATAGGATTCTTGAAAGATTCCATGAGACAGTGTACATAAAGTGCTGTGTACCCAGTAGGTGCTCAGCAAATGCTGGCCCTTTCCTTCTCTCTAAGGCGTTTGCGTTTGGACGGAGGGTCATGCTTGATCCATGGGTGGGTGGTGGGACTCTGGGCACAGTGTTAGCCACAGGCTGACGCTGGCACCAAAGCCGGTCACAGGCACGGGATGACAGCTGTGCCCACCCCTCCCAAAGCCTGATCCACTACCCTCATGCCTTGATTACCAGCCACAAGGGGGAGTCGCTGCATCAACTCCAGTGTGCGGAGGTCCGTGCACTGCTTCTGACGGCTTGGCCTGTGTACAGCTGCACAAGCTCTCTGTGTCTTCACCGGAGGGGCCTCCGGAGAGCCTGATCCTTCCTAAATGTCATCCACATGGCCGGTCACAGTGCCGGGAATGCCCCGATTCGGTGACCTCTCTTCTCCGCAGAACTGTGTCTGCGGAACCCGGCCCTGCGTGCCTAGCCAGCCCACCTGCTCTTTAGGGCCCCTTTTGGTGGTGCCTTTCCTTCCCACTTCCCACCCTCTGCCCAGGCTGTGCCCTCTCCCTGGAAATCCCTGCCTACCTCACCTTTGAGTGTTGAGTTTCTTTGTCCCTCAAGGCGTGGCTCAGACACTGCCTCCACCCGGCAGCTTTCCTGGACTCCTCCTCTGACCATCCCTGACTCTGTGGCCACCTTTGTTCTGGGTGGTTTTGTGGCAGATCCTCTTTGGATGTAGTCCCTTTTATAAGAGATACTGACATTTCAACATGTGTAATGTTCTTGGCCCCCAGTAGGCCCTGTGTGAGCAGTGACTGGACTTTGAACTTGGGTTTCTTGACAACATTCTCTAGGACAGGGCAGGGAGGGGCCACTGCATCCTGAGATTGGATGCTTAATGCTGCTTTTTCCTGGAGCTGAGCCCCAATAGCTTTGTCCATTTATTTCCATGTTTTGCTTTTTGTTAGGAAGGCAGAGAGAGGGCTGGTGGACAGTCAGAGCAGCCCCTGAGGGGAGGAGGATGGGGAGGGTGGACAGACAGCAAGGCCTGACCCCTCACCCAGGAGCGCTCTGAGCACCCATTCAAGTCAGTTTTCTAAGACACTTAGCTGACCCTATCCCTCTCTCCCTCCAAACTCTTCCAGCAGCATCCTCAGGAGAGAGTTCCAACTTCTAACATGCCATTTGAGGCACCTATTTATTTTTAATTTTTGAACTCCAAGTTCCAAAGCTTGAGCTAAATTTCTCAGTTCAAAGCACACATGGTTCTGGGCCATCCCAGCGCCAGATCTGGCTCTGTATAATCTTATTTCTTCTCCTTCATGCCCTATCCCCACCCCAAATTCCTTCCCTCTAAACTTGCACTTGAAATAGGTGAAACAGGTCTTTCCGTCTGTGTGTGCCCTTGCAGCATAGATAGTGCTTTATGTGTCTGCTTTCGATACATAATGACACCACATTTCAATACATAAATGATACCACGGGGTAGATCTCATTCTGTCTCTCTTCTTTCCTTCCTTTCCATCTTTCCTCCCTCCCTTTCTCCCCTCCTTTCTTTCTTTAATGTGACACTAGGTTTTCTAAGATCTGTTCATGTGGCTGCACTTCTAACTGCTGTGTCACACAACACGGTGTGCAGTCACCACGTTACCTGTCCCCTACCCTAGGATGGAGTCCCAGGTCACCTTTACCAACATTCTCAAGAGTTCATGCCCCTTAGGGACCTGGGTAGGGGGTGGAATTACTCTGCAATAACTTCCAGGAGTGAGGGTACTGGGACACAGGTGGCCAGACATGGAATTTCTCCTAACACCACCAGGTGCTGCCACTGTGGCTGCCTCAGTTTACCCCCCACCAGCTGTGCTGTGACTTTCCATCTCCATCTCCCCACATCTTCACCGGCTCTTGGTTTTGTCTGCATTTCCAGCATTTGCCATTTTGAGGAGAGTCAAGTGGGAGCTCGCTGTTTCTGTTTTCACTTCTCTGGTGACAGTTAGTTGGGACACCTCTGCATGAACTTGGGGTCATTTGCCCTCCACGCCCTGTGCCTCGCCTGTTTATAGCTGGTGCCCATTTTTCTTTTTCTTCCTGTTTTGCATCAAGATACATCCTGACTCCATGCTTTCTGACCTCTCCCACTGGCAATTCCTCAAACGTGCCCTATTGGCTGTCATTAGAGGAGCTTTGATGCTCAACTGAAGGGGAAAATGAGGCTCAGAGCAGAAGGGACCTGGATTCCAGATCTCCCGCCTCTCAAGTGCCTGGCCCATTTCCTCCCTCAGACCCCTCACCCCCGTGCCATCCTGACCCTTGCAGCCCACTCCCGGTAGTTGCCATTGCAAAATAGAAGTTAGGTCACAGCACGACCCTGCTAAAAACCCTCCCCTCACACTCAACAGAATCCCAACTCCTCTCCCTGGCCTCGGCCGACCTTGTCTCTGTGCGTTAGCTGCACCTGCCCCTCAGCTGCTCCTGGTACCCAAGCTTGGTCGGCCTACCTGGAACCTCCTCCTCCCTTTGTGCCTTCTCATCCAGCTCCAGGCAGTTACTGCAGAGCAGTCCCCTCCCTCTACCCCACCCACAGGTCCCTACGGGGTGTGAAGATGCTGGTGAAGGAGACCTGGGGCTCAGCTTAAAGGTCGCCTACTCTGAGAGCCTCTCCCTGACCACCTGCCTTGTATTCTCTGTGCCAACATCGTGACTGTGTCTGTCACAGCCCTCGGGACCATCTCAAATGCCTTCTGTCTGTCCGTCTGTCTGTCTTTCTTGCTGGATCTCTGGTCCTCCCTAGACCAGAAGCTCTAAGAAAGGAGGGTCTGCCTGCTCTGTTCACTGCTGAAACGTCTGGCCCAGCTGACCTCTGGAAGGTAGTAGGTGCTTAGTAAATATTCTCTGAGTGAACAAGTAACCAGAGAGACAGGGCAGGGCCATGATCAGGCTGGCCATCTCCCTGTGCCCACATGCTATAGTTTTTTAGGTGTTTCGCTCATTCACTGAGCTTCTCAACAAAGACCTTGTTAGTACAGACAACTTCATCATCCACATTTTAGAGGAGGAACCTGAGGCTCAGAGAGGCCCACTGTACAGCTGTGCTCCCATGTCCTGTCCTCCAGGAGGGAAGCTATTGTGGGTGTCAAGGGAAGCATGGAGCCCAAGAGGGAGCCCCTGGGAGCTGCCCCATCCGTGGCCAGGCCCCTGGCCTGCTGGTGACTTGACCCTGCCCAGTCAGGGGTTCCCAGCCCCTCTCAACATGTGTTTGTCGCTGGCTGGCTGCGTTGGCCCTCCTGACTCTGTGTTCACATGCCTGGGCTGTGGAGAGTGGTTCGGTGTGTGCATTTCTCGGGGCCACTGGGTGGGGATGCTGTCAGGCAGGCCTGGGTTCAAACCCTGGCTCCCCCTGACATTCTGCCTAAGGGCAAGTGGCTTTACCTTTCTGGGCCCTGGCTTCCTCATCTCTGAAGTGGAGATGTTCCTGGGATGAAATGAGAAAATGTGTGCAAAATGCTGGTCACAAGGCCTGGTGCGTGGAGTCTCTGCTCCGATTATGTTAACGGTGGCTCTTCCCAACATTCTGGACACCCCCTCTCCTGGGCCTGTCCACACGGCTGCCATGCTTTGCTCTTGCGGCTGTCGGAGCCTCCTTGGCCTGTGGCCTTGCGTGTTTTCCTGTAGGCTGGCAGGCTCTGTGGGTCTGAGGCTCACAGCTTGGGGCAGCCCACTGGGTGGCACTACTCCTGAAGCTCCTCCCAGCCTTCCCTGAAGTCAAGTGAGGGGCCATGAGGGCTGGGGAAGATGTGGAATACCTTGGACAGAGTGAGGACAAGACCAAACAGCGCCCCCTAAGAGGGGGTCCCCTAGTGCCCCTCCCCTGTGGCTGGTGGAATCCCAGACTGAGCCTCAGTTTCCCCATCTATAAAATGGGTACGATAATGCCTACCTGGCTGAAATGTTTAACAACAAGATGCAGGTTCTGAGAGGACCAGGCAGGGAGGGAGCAATTGTCCTGGCCCGGCCCCTGGGGTGGAGGGAGGAGGGTCGGAGGAAGAAGCAACGGACAGCCCAGAGCAATAAAGGTTTATCTCTCTTGTCCTTGAATTGCCATTGCTGCCTCCCTCTCACCCAGACTTCATTTCCGGCTGTCACTCAGGGCCCCTGGTGGGCTCAGGACAAGGCTCGCCTGTGTTATGACGGACTCAGCCCTGGAGTCAGAGATGAAGGACGGAGGCCTGGGTCCAGGCCCTCGCTGTGCTGGTGGGGCACCCCCGACAAGGCCCTCTGTGGGTCTCAGTTTTCCCATCTGCGCAGCATGGGCTTGGTTCTCAACTACAGTGGCCACTAGCCTCTGGGTGGGAGGGGCTAGGGGTGCTAGGAACCCTGCAGTGTGAGAGCAGCCCCGCACAAGCAGAATGCCCCAACTCTAGTGCCAGTGGTGCCCCACTGAGAGACAATGTGAGGGACCTGCAGGCCTGGCCCTGCGTTGGGAAGAGCATGTGGTGACCGTGAGTTTGCAAAACGCTTCCAAGGTCTCTGATCCTCACTCCTCACAAGGGGCAAAGTGAATCTCAGACAGATGTGACTTGCCTAGGGTCACACAGCTTGTGGGTGGTGGAGCTGGGATTCGAACCTGGGCATGTCTGACCTGTGTGCTTAGCTCCCTTGAAATTCTGTTTCTGGCCTATTTGACGGCGTTAGTTTGAGACTTTTGGCGGGCAAGTGGGTGGATGAATGCTTTCTGTTTCATTAATACGTGGTCTTCCCAACCCTAGAGGGTAGGTGTTTTTATTATTCTCATTCTACAGCCGAGGAAGCTGAGGTCCAGAGAGATTTGGACAAGTGCCCCGATCACACAGGAATCCGTCTTCCAGTTGTCTCACAAACCTGGGGACATGGAAGTGTCAGGGCCCCTCCTGACCAAAGAGGGGCTGCCTGCCAGCTCAGTGGCCCTGCCATCTCCCCTGGGCTGCTCAGCCCCCTCGCATGTCACCCACAGCATTTGAAACATGGGGCAGTCAGATGCTGTCCTCAGGAGCCCCTGGTGGCCTGGGTGCTTGGCAGGCCTGGCTTCCAGCCACCTTGCATGCCCAGGCAATCTGTTCCCCTTTTCTTCTGCTTCCCTGAAGTTGGCAGCATTGGACAAGAAGGATCGTCTTTGGAGGGTGATCAAGCAGCAGCTTTGCCTCTTCTCATGTCCTAGAAGGAGCCCTTGCTGCTCATTCCTAGGCCGCCTCCCAGACGGAAATCCTTCTCTCACCTACTGTCAGCCTGCACTCTGTGTTTGAGGTGCTTGCAAAGCTGTCTCACCCCGCTGCACTACAGCTATCCTTAGCTCTCCATTTCCTGCAGGATGAAAGACAAACTCTTTAATACAGCGCTCCTCAAACTTCATATGCATCACCTGAGGACCCTCTTAACATGCAGCTTTTGATTTGGCGGGCCTGGGCGGGGCCCGAGCATCTGCGTGTCTGACAAGCTCCGGGTGATGCAGATGCTGCTGGTCCTCAGACTGCACTTGGAGGAGCGAGACCCTAGTAGACCACCCCAGGCCTGGCTGTATCTCTGTTTCCTTCTTTGTCTCCTCACTTAGTCATGTGGGATTTCGGCCATGGACTCACACGCGTGCAATGGCTTTTTCCTTCGTGGACAAACTCCTTCCCATCCTTCAAAGTCAGTCTAAAAAACCCTTCTCAGTGGACTCCCAGACAGAGCTAATTCCTCTTCCTCTGCACACCCAGAAGCTTTACAAATCCCTGAAATCCTGAGGCCCATAGCAGTGCCATTAAGAATAGCGGTGCTGGTGCCAGGCCTCCTGAGTGTGAAACTTGGCTCCATCCTTACCAGCTGTGTGACCTTGGGCAAGTTGCTTAACCTCTCTGTGCCAAGTTATTTATTTAAATTCTGTCTTGTTCCAAAATGGGCCAATAATTGCTTCTGAACATGCACTTGGATAAAATCAAATGAAAATGTGCTCAGTAGGGTGTCGAGGACAGAGGGCAAAGGGGAGATGCTGTTTCCCATCTGCCTACATTGCATAGCATGGCAAGCACTCAGAGAAACGCCACAGAAGCTCTCCCATAATCCACGGCATGACCTTTCCAGGAGCTTGGGGGTCCACAAAAGTAAACTCCAAAGGAGCAGTGAGAGAGACAGAAATGTGGCAAGGCTTCCAATTGCCAATCTTAATCACTCATTTAAATGCATCTGTATGGAGAGCAAATTTTTTTTAAGAGAAGGAGCAGAGAAATGAGGCAAGGCTTCCAATTGCCAATCTTCATCACTCATTTAAATGCACCTGTATGGAGAGCAAATTTTGTTTTGAGAAGGAGCAGATACAGGAGTTTGAGACCAGCCTGGGCAACATGGTGAAAACCTCATCACTACAAAAAATGTAAAACTTAGCCAGGCATGGTGGCACCTGCCTGTAGTCCCAGATACCAGGGAGGCTGAGGTGGGAGGATCATCTGAGCCCAGCCAGTGTGTTGCAGTGAGTGGAGACTGCGCCACTGCACTCCAGCCCAGGTGACAGAGTGAGACGCTGTGTCACAAAAAAAAATAAAAAAAATAAAAAATAAAAAGAGAGAAAGAGAAAGAGGGAGAAAGAAGGGGCAGATCTAACTCCAACTGCCTGGGTGCCATGCGCCTGTCCTCCCTGACTGAAGAGGCTGTAGATGGAGGGAATGGAGGCGAGTGGGGTGAGGATCTGTTAGAGCAGTTCACATGCATTCCTTCCCGCGTGGTTGAAGCTAAGACTGCTCCAGAGTGGCCTCTGTGCCCTGGTGAAGGCCAGGGTCTTCATGGCGAGCCTCTCCCTGACCACTGCCAGGGTACCGGTGGCCAAATTGAGTGCGTGTACCCCCGTCCCTGCATGATTTGAGTCGTCCAGGAAATGTCCACTAAATTCAGGTCTTCCCTCTGCAATCTGACCCTCACCACCCACCCTGTGGCTGAGACCTTGGCATCACTGCTGGTCAAGGGAAACTTGCCTGGCACCTGGACCCTTCCCCCAGAAACAGATCTCAAGTTGCCCAAAGAGGAAGGCACCATAGGAAGTGGGCGGCAGGGCAGGGTCTTGAGTTTGCAGATACAAAAGCACAAGTAGCCCTGCCCCAGATTTAGAACCTGGATTATTCTAAAGGTGCCACTAGCGTTGGGCTGGCAGGAGCCAGTGTGGGGCGGCCCAGGAATTGTGGCTAAATTCCATGCTGGGGTCACTGTTCTGGAGGGAACCCACAAGAAACCTCGGGTCCCTAACTACCGGGCAGCCCTCTCCCACTAGCTGCAGGGCACATGGAAGAAATATGAGGCTCGTGTGTTCCCACGCGGTCAGGAACTCCATGGGAGCCAGGCCTTGTCTGTCTGGTTCTCTGTTGCCAGACGCACTGTGCAGTTGTACAGGTTGTTGACATCCACCATTCAGTGCCCTGTCACCATCACCCCACCCTTCTTGGTGTCTGACCCTCAGTTGGTGCCAGCACACACTGGTGGGATGGAGGGCAGGGGAAATTGGGTGCAGCCTGCCACCCCTTCTCACAGACAGGTAGAGGAGGAGCCTCAGGTGTCCATTAAGATCAGCCTGGTCAGTCCTGAGCCAATGTGGAGGAATCCCAGGAGTGTGCAAGGCTAAGGCCCAGCTGGGTCTGGGACGGGGCAGAGCCTGCCAGGTGTGGCTGGAGCCTGTGACCAACTGGCCCTGCCTATCAAGCCCAGAGGCGGGCAGATCCTCCACCCAGCTCACTTGGTCTTCACAAAAAGCTGGGTGGCCACTCCACGTGGCAGGCTGCCGGGTTCATCTTTCCTAAGTCCCATTTTACCGAGGGAAAACTGATACCTAGGAGAGGTAGTTGGAACATTGGTGGGAGGGCCCTGGAGGGTCTCCAAGCTCAAGGGTTTCTAAGCTGAGACCTACAGAGACGCCCTGGCATTGTTCATGCAGTCAAAGAGTCTGTGCTTCATCTAGCTTATGTCCTGGGGTTCTGTGCAAATTCTCTTGGAATCTGCCGTTTAGAAAAAAAAAAAGTTTGGAAAGCACTGTTCCCTGTCTCCAGATGAAAAAACTGATGCCTAGTGAGGGAAGAGTCGTTTGCCAAAGTCCCAGGGCAAGTTAGAAGCAGGCTCTCTCTCTGCCTGAGAGCCCTGGGGGAAGCCCCAGGCATGCCACCTTCAAAGACCCCCTGTCCAGACCCAGGCTGCAGGGGTGGGGCATGTTGGACCCTGTCCTGGAGCCAGCCTTGACAATAGCCATGTCCCCTTTAAGCAGAGAGCCGCCCGCTGCAGTGGGTGGACTCGGTGCCCAGCCAGTGGGAGCTGTGAGCTTCCCTCCCACAGCCCCTCCCTGGGGAGGGGAGGGAGGGCCAAGCAGCGTGGCTCCCGAGGGAGTTGGTGGGCAGCAGGGGAGACAATAGCGAACATGCTGTGTGGGCTCAGCCGGGAGACCCCTGGAGAGGCGGGTACGTAATGGGGGGTCTGTGGGCAGAGTGATGGGGCTGAACACATAGATCCCTCTGGAGCTGCTGCCCAGAGAGAGGGGACTGGATGGCTGAGACCTGGGACTGCCACTCCCTGGAGACCCAGGGCTTGGGGAGGGTGGGGCAGGACACTTGCTGGGGCTGTCTGTCTGACCCTGGCCACTGTCCTGTAGCAGGATGGCTGAGCCTCCCCCAGGGCTGTCCAGCACAGGCAGGCAGAACAGGCGGGTCTGGAGGTTCCGAGGGCAGTGCTCAGCCTTGTAGGGGGAAGGCTGGTCCTATCTGGGTGTGAGCGAAGCCTTTTGCCCAATCTCAGGATCTGCACAGCTGCCTGGTGGGAGTGAGTGTCCGACCCAGAGGGGTGAGAGCCCAAGGCCCATGGGCAAGGTGGTGGTGAGGAGTTCCTGTGCTGGCACAGCTGGGCAGGAGACTGGTTCTCGGCAGGAGGAGAAACTCTGGTTTGGGGGTCTGACTGGTGAGCCCCTGGGGCTCTGGGAATGTGTGGGATGGGGGATCACAGCTGCCACATTCCTGGGTGTGCTGAGGCTGGGACCCAGGGGAGGGGCAGACACGATTGTTCCATCTGTCTCTCCAGCCTCAGCCTGGGCTCACCCTATTCCTCCAAAGAGGGAGCTTGGGGCCTGGACCAGAACATACTGCATTCACTGCCCTGGGGTTGCCTCACTGGTTTCTTCCCACGCTCTTGACATATCTTTGCACCACAGCTCCAAGGGCAAGGACTGTGGTCCCAGTGGACAGAGGAGGAAACCAAGGCTCAGGGAGGGCAGTGGCCGAGCTGGGATTGACACCCCGATGACTTTTACTGCAGAGCCCCCAGCCCTGCTTCTGAGGGCCCAGTGGACTTTGATTCCCACCTCCCTTCCCATGGCAAGGAGCAGAGCCAGGTCACCTCTGGACCCAGCCTTAGCGACCCAGGAAAAATAACACTCATAATCATAATAGCTGGCTGTTGTCGAGAGCTTCCTCTGGGCCAGGCTCTTTTCTAAGCTTTCTGTGCATTTTCTCATTTAATCCTCATAACTACACTGCCACTTGGGTACTGTTATTCTCTCCATTTTGCAGTTGGGGAAACTGAGGCAGAGAGCTGCTAAGTGACTTGTTCAGGGTTATATAGCCAGAAGTGACAAAGCTGGGATTTGACCCGATGGGCCCACCCATCCTTGGCAACTGCACTGTAAATGGAGGCTCTGCCTTCTTGGCCTGGACACATCTGTTCTTTCAACCCAAGGCCCAGGTGAGTGGGGTCACCTTGGTCTGCTGTGGTCAGGGCCACAAAGGCAGCAGTGCCCTGGAGACCTTACCTGGGGCACTGCCAGGGAGGTGTCTCCCCCTCCTCATGGGCCTGTGACCTCCACCTCGGCCCAGGGTCAGCATCAACTGCCTGGGCCTTTGCCCAGTCTCCTCCCTGGCCTGGCCTCCACCCCTTTGCTGCCATGGGAGGAAGCTTGCCAAAACACAAATCTGCTCAGCTCCTAAGCCTTGCATTCAAGGCCCTTCCTGACCTCTCTGACATTTTCTCTCTCTGATGACTTACTTGACCTCTACCCTCACCACTGTAGCCTCCACCCTAGGTCTCCTCCCCAGGTCACAGAACCTCATGATCACACTTGCTTCAGTTTGCATCAGCACCAAGGCTCTTCTTCCAAAAAGTGTAAAGATGGAGCTTCAGGCACAGTGGGATCCAGATGCTCAATTAACATCATTAGGACTCTGGGTCTCTTCGTAGCTTGCTCTGCTTCACTTTAGTGAGCTTCATTTCCAGGCAGACTCTCTCCTCTCCTTGAGAGTTCCTGGCACCTTCAAACTTAAGGTCAACCAGCTCAGTCATCCCTAAGGAAAGAGAGCCTATTTCCAGTAGTTCCAGCAAATGCCCCAGAAACGGCTCTCATTGGTCCAACTTGTATCACATGCCCACCCCTGATGGATCGCTGAGCCTCTGATTGGCCAGGCCTGGTCATGTGACCTCCCCTGTTGCTGGTAAGGACAGCCATATACCTCCACATTTGGCACAGAAGACTGCAGCCCTGAGAAGTCAGCCCACTGGCAGTGTGCGTCAGTGAGTGCCCCGATTGGAGCTGGGCTCTGTGGACCAGGCAGCCCTATGCCCTTTCTCTGCTCCTGATGGACTCTGGGTGGGTCCCTTCTCAGGCCCCACACCCTGGGCATGTCGTCTCACTCCAGGGAGTCTTGCTTTCCTGTCACTAACCCCAGAGTTCTGGCAGGAAGGGACTGTGACCTATCTCCATTGGCCCAGGCTGGGGCACACAGTAGGCCTGAACACAGATTTTGGCAGGAAGTCCCTCTCCATGTTCACTCTCCTGCCTTGAGGACGGGAGGCCTGCTCTGACTCCGCAGCCACAAAGACATCTTTGTTCCAGGCCTGCTAGGTCTGAGCAGGCACTTGCTGCCATGCTGGGGGCAGGGAAGTCTCAGTGGGTGTGGGTGTACATGTGTGAAGGTCCCCCTGCTGTGCCCTGGGCTACCCACTCCTCCGAGGGGCCCTCACCAGGCCTACCCCTTGGCTCTGAGACTCCTCAGGCAGGCCTGGCCTCCTACTCCACAGCAGGGGCTGTGGCCATGGGGGATCCTTCGCCTGAGTTTGCGTCCTGGCTCTGTCTCTTCCTAGTCTCTGACCTTGAGAAACTCATTCCACCTCTTTGATTCTCATTCTCCTAATCTGTAAATGGGAATTGAATTAAAAAAATATTTGCTGAGCATGTACTACATGCCAGACAATGTGTGCGCTGCACACAGCAGTGAGCAGGCAGACAGAAGCCCGGCCCCCTGGAGCTGACATCCCAGTAAAAATAGTCGTAAATATTTAGATGGTGTTGATTGCCCAGAGGAACATGAAGCAGGGAGGGAGTGGAGAGGAGGTGTGGAGGTACAGGGTGCGTGTGTAAGTTCCAACAGGCGGATGGGGAAGGCCTCCCTGAGGAGGTGACATTTCTACAAGTTCCCGAAGGAGCTGAGACGGGAGTTTTGATGATGTCTGGGGAAGAGTTTTGTGGGCAGAGGGAACAGCCGATGCAAAGGCCCTAGGGGGATGTGAGTCTGGTGGGCCTTGGGTCGAAAGGACAGATGTGTCCAGGAAGGCTTCACCTCCCTTTAGAGTGCAGTTGCCAAGGTGGGGTGGGCCCATAGGGTCAAATCTCCGCTTTGTCACTTCTGGCTGTGTAACCAGGAACAAGTCACTTAGCATCTCCATGCCTCAGTTTTCCCAGCTGTAAAATGGGGAGAATAACAGTGCCCAAGTGGCAGTGTGGTTATGAGGATTAAGTGAGAAAATGCAGTGTGCTGGAGTGGAGCTGGCCAGGGCGAGCATCAGGAGGTGAAGTCAGGGGACCGGGGACTGACAGTTGTGGTGAGGACTTCTGCTTCTACTCTCCCTGAGCTAGACACAGTCTTCTTGTGACTGCAGGCAGCCGCCATTGGGAAACTGAATGGTTCTGTGGGTGACCCTGATTTTGAGGTCACGTTCCTTGACATTGCTGGTTTTAGAGTAGGGCAGGAGAGCAGGACCCAGAACGCAGAAGGCCAACCCCCAACTTGAGACTGCGCCCCCGCTCTCCCATGGTGGGATGTTGGCCTGCGTGTGGCTCAGGCCTGCTGGACAGGAGCCCCTCTCCCTGTGTGGAGGAGGATTGTGGGGGTGGCGGCCTCTCCAGGTGATGCCATGGGTCCTGCTAGCCCTGATGCACCCAGCCTGTGAGTGCCTGAGCCCTAACTTAGGTATTCTTGGGATACTGGAGCTGTCACCTTCCCAGTGCCCTGATGCTTCTCATTTGGGGTCTGTTGCCCTCCTGTTTGGAGGGAAAGAGCAGAGCCAAGGGTTCAGGGCATGGTCTGTTGTGAGGTCAGGGAGCCCTGGGTTCCAGGTGCCTCTGCAGCTCACCAGCTCAGTGGCTTCTCTGGGCCTCAGGCTCCCTATCTGTAAACTGGGGACAATCGGTGAGCCTCCCTCCATGGTTCTTAGGACAATTAACTGACTTAGCATTCATAAAGTGCTTAGAGCAGGCCTGGCCCAGGGAAGGGCCCAACACTGGGTGCTACTTATTAAGGTTCTTTATTTTTTTCTTTGCAATCCTTGGCAACAAATGAATGAGGCTTCAAATTTTTAAATGTATTGATGCATTTCTTTTTGTCTCCCTGAAAAACGTGCTTCTGCCGAGCTTATCTGATCTTTCTATGCTGCTCTCCCCATGGAAGCTGGGCTTCCTGGGAGGCTTGTCGCCCGTGGGGATTGGAACTGTCATTCAGAGGTCAGCCTGTAACTGGCTTTGAGGCATCTCCATCGAGCCCTTGGCCTGTTCCAGCCCTCAGTGGCCAGGGAGGAACGCCCAAAGGAGCTGGGGCTCTGCCTGGAGCCGAACAGCCCCGGGGCTGCAGGCATTACAGCAACTTCCAGGCTTGCATGGATGGGGGAGTAGGCAGGAAGGTACCCAGAGGGTAGGGCCAGACCCCTTAGGGAGCCAGAAGGCCTGGGCTTCAATCCTGGCTCTGCCACTTAGAAGCTCTGTGCCCCTGGGCAGTTCCCTTGACCTCTCTGTGCCTCATTAGGCCTGGGTTCAAACCCTGGCCCTGCCCTTTATCATGGGATATCACTTAACCTCTCTGTGCCTCAGTTTCCTCATCTGTAAAATGAGAATCATGATTATACCGCCTCAAAAGTGGTGAGGATTAAATGAGATCGTGCTTAGGAAGCACAGAAACCAGCACTTAATCACTAGGAGCCATCATCATGATTGATCTAGGAAAACCTTTCAACAAGGTGAGGGAAGCAGGCAGGGAGGGAACTGCCATGTTTTATGGTTTCTGTGCACACTTCCCCACAGTTCCTCCCAGCAACCCATGAGGTGGGCACCAGTACCCCCATTTTGCAGAGGAGAAGTCTGAGGCTCAGAGAGAAGTGACTTGTCCCAGATCCCTTAGCCAGTTGGCAGCCGATTTAGAATCAAAGTCCCAAGTTGGACTGACTCCAAAGCCTATCCCTCCCTTCCCACCATATCAACAATCCCTTCCATGGTGGGGCGAAGCTGGCTGGGGCTGGACCGTCACTTGGTGGAGTACTTAGCGCCCATGTCCTCTTCAGCACCCAGGGTCCCGGTGAGCTGGCATGGTCCTGGCCGACAGCTCACCGTCCCTGCAAATCATGTCCTGTTCGCCCCAAGTGGAGCCTCTGGGCATTTGTTTTCTCAGTGGTCCCTTTTGAGATGCTGAGTCCTCCCTCCAGGAGGCTCACAGAACAGGGCAGCAGTCAAAGCCGGCTGACTTTATAGTCCCACCCACTCCCCCACGCTTCTTTCCAGCCACCCGCTTAGGCAGGACCCTGGCGAAGGCAGCCTGGCAAGGAGTTGACTTCCTTTTCCCTTTGTCAAAGCTCAATAGCCCCCTGAGGCCCCAGAGAGCGGGAGATAATGAAGGCAAATTAGCCATGATTTCAAGAGAAATAAAATAAAAAAGAAGGCCACCCACCCCGGCTGCAGCGTGGGCCTGAGTACCAGGTGCACAGGTCTGAGCTCCAAGCACGTTTCTCCCTCTGTCCCTCCTCCCCTGACTTGCACACCCCACATTCGCCGGGACTGGCTGGCACCACTGCGGAAATGAATTTTCCTCTGAAGCGAGTTCCTACAGGACGATTGACTGAAGGCAAAAGCTCATAATTGCCCGTTGCTGGAAGGAGGAGACAGGGAAAAAAAAAAACATGGATAAAAATATCTCTGTTTTTTATGCACGTTTCCAGCTGAAAATTGGTGGGAAAGATGTTTTTGAAAAGCCTTCATCTCTAAGCATATAATTACCAGGTCCTGGAACAAAAAAGAGAGAGTGGGAGAGAGCAAGCATGTTCTCTGAGGAGGGGGCCTAGGGTCTGACCCCCCCAAGGGGTTTTCTATAAATAAAGTAATCCCCTCAACTTCTCAAGCTCTGGCCAGCTGGAGTCAGCCATGGGAGAGACACCCCCATTTTACAGAGGGGAAAATGGAGGCTCGAGTCACACAGCCAATTGTAATTCTAACCCTATTTTGATTCTTGGTTTGGATGCTGCCTCAGTTCCCCCCCATCTGAGGATGTTCGTGAAAGAGAGGCCCTATGTCCCCTCTGAATAGGCATCAGCAAACACTGCAGCATTCCTTCCGGGCACCTTTCTGACTATGCCAGGGGGTCTTGGGTGCTCAGAAGCCTCTCATCTGGCAACTCGCCTATCAAGAATGGCTTCTTGACTTCCACAAGAGGCCACCAAGGGCACACCCTGAGATGCCTAGGGAAGTCTCTCGAGGCCTCGCCTGCTGCCCACTGACTCTTTGCGCACAGTAGTATGACTTGTTTTGCAGCACGCAGTCAAGTCTCTGACAGCTGGGAAAAGAGATGGCTCACAGGCTGAACCCCAAACCGGCCAAAAATTGTAGCAGGAAGGGAGTTGCAGCCACTCGGTGTTGAGACCAGCAGACTCCGGCACCTCCGCTGTCCCTAAGCTGTCACTGTAACCCACTTTAGCACCCGGTAGTGCACTGGAGCAAAATCTGAATATTGGGGTGAGGAAAGGGAAGACAGGCAGTGTCAGAGACAAACTTGGAGGGCACCACGGAGACCCAGGGCATGGGTCCCCCCCTTCGCCAGCCAACATCGGGCACCCTGTGCTTCAGCATCCAGCTCTTGGGGGTGCCGTTGTTCCTCCGTCTGAATTTCTGACTTGTTTTTACAATTAGGGCTCACAGCTCCACATCCACTCTGGGATTCCACTGCTCTGAATTTGGTGAACTTGGGCTTTGGCTTCCTTATCCTTTCCTTAAGAGATAATCCTTCTCCCTCCCCCACTTTTCTCTTAGGATTCATAAACCTGGAGCTAGCAAGCTTATCTCTGGTCTTCCCAAGACAGCTGGAGATAGAGAGGGATTTTCCAGGGACAGAATCTAATCTGCACAGGATAAGACGTATTTTAATTCCAGAATTGCCCTCCTGAAATACCAGAGACGTTCACTGTCACACAGTTGATAGAACCCAGTCTTTTTGATTTTATTAGCTCAGAAACATCTTGTTGAATCTAAATGAAGTGCGTATTAGGAAACCGTAATGGGAGGCATTATACTTAATGGGGTGTCGCCTGAATCCGTGGTGGCTGATGTGAACTGGAGGTGGAAGGCGGATGAGCGGAGCTGCTGAGGACCCAACCCCAGGGGACCTGGAAATGATTCCTGGCTTAACTGCTATTTGATTTGTTATTTATCAGCTGCTGGCAAGCAAAGAGAGCCCAGCCCTGGTCTGGCGGAGCACGGTAGTTGGCAACTGGGACCTTTCTCAATGGTTACAGCTGCAGGTGGGAACGCTGTCAGGCTTCCATAGGCCCAAGTTGACCAGCAACACTGACTCAGGCTGAGCCCCGCCCTCAACTCAGCAGTATCCGGCCCGGAGCCAGGCTGAGCCCCGCCCTCAACTCTACAGGATCCGGCCCGGAACCAGGTTGAGCCCCACCTCCGACTCAGTCTGCGCCCAGCCCTTAAGTCAGTCTGAGCCCCGCCCTTAACTCAGGCTGAGCCTGGCCCAGACCCAGGTTGAACCCCCTCCCCTAACTCAGGTTGAGCCCCACCCCTGACCCAGGTTGAGTCCCCTCCTGACTATAGAGCAATGGTTCTCTGTTGGGGGCGATATGGTTCCCCTAGGGCACGTTTGGCAATGTTTGGAGTCATTTTTGTTGGCCACAGATGCTCCTGGCATCTGGTGGTTAGAGGCCAAGGATGCTGCTCAGCTTCCTACAATGCAGAAGAGAAGCCCCCACCACAGGAATCATCTGGCAAAAAATACCCATAGTGCGAAGGCTGAGAAACCTCCCGTAGACTGAGCCCTGTTTCCGGTTCTGGCTGAGCCCTGACGCTGGCCCAGACTGAGTCCTGACCTTGACTCAGGCCACTCATACCCAGGCTGAACCCTAATCAGACCCTCCCCTCATGAAAAAGACCTGGCTGGAGCAGAGTGGGGAAAGTGGCCTCTGCCACCTGCGGGGACCAGACCTTCTCCCGTCTTTTCTCCCGCTGCCGCTGAGGATGGGAGGGCGCGTGGGCCGCTGGGTCAGGTCTCACTTTCCATGGGTGTGAGGTTGGGGAGGAGAGCGAAGTTCCCACAGCTGGCGAATGGCAGAGCCAGGATCTCTACTGAGGCCTGGCTGACCCCTGAGCCTCTTCTGCTAACACTAGGCTAAGCTGGAGCCGCAGAGGTTGGGGTGGTAGGAGAGCCCTTCTTCAAGGGCAGGCGGGGGCATGTGCAGGCTCAGACGAGGCCTGAGGAAGGAGCAGAAGGTGCCCCGGAGGGCTGAGCCCTGAGGCAGCGCAGGGAGCCCACCAGCTTGATGGTGCGTCCCTTCTCACTTTGGCACCTGTTCTTGCCCGTGTCAGCCCAGTACTGAGAAAGGAGACTTAGATGAGGAATGTGAAAAACATAACCCGCTCGATGGGGCCTCAAGCACAGGGTAGAAAACGCTAAAAGGCCTGGGGTCTGCTTCCAGCTCTTGGTAGACGCTGCTTTCGCCAAAGACCTCCCTTTTCTGAGCCTGTTTCCTCGTCTGTCAAATGGGTGTGATCGCAGCACCTACCTCCTCCCAAGGCCACTGTGAGAAGTGAATGAGGTGGAACAAGATAATGTGGTGGTGTGCACAGGGCATGGCTGCTGCAGGATCTGTGAGTTTCCTTCCCCTCTCTGTCAGCACATAGAGGAGAAACCAGAATATGCCCCATCAGGCTGAACCCTGCCTTTAACTCAGGCAGAGCCCCGCAAAATGAGGCATGTGCAAAAGGAGGGATGCTGCAGGGAGGCTGGGGTCCAGCAGGTGACCAGACAAGCTTCCAGCTTCAAACTCCTTTGAAATGCTCAGGTGCAGTCACAGGAAAGTAAGGACAACCTCAGGCATCAGAAATGAAGCGAGTGAGAGTATCAAGGAGATAAGGATGGTCTGTGTAATCACCCCATCAACTTTGTAAGGGAGGTCTGGCCAGTCCAATAAGGCAAATAAGAGAAATGAAAGGCATAAAGTTTAGAAAGTAAGAAATAAAACTGTCATTTTCACAGATGATATGATTATGTATATAGAAAATCCAAAAGAATGTATGGCTAAACTTAGAATTAATGAGTGAATTTAAAAGTTCAGAATACGTACTCGCTTAGGCAGCACAGATACTAAAATTGGAATGATACAGAGAAGATTAGCATGGCCTCTGTGCAAGAATGACACACAAATTTGTGAAGTCTTCCGTAGTTTTGCAAAAAAAAATAGAAAGAATGAATAAGACCTAGTATTTGATAGCACACTAGGGTGACTATAGTCAATAATGATGTAATTGTACATTTAAAAATAACTAAAAAGATTTAATTGGATTGTTTGTAACACAAAGGATAAATGCTTGAGGTGATGGATACCCCATTTACTTTGATGTGATTATTATGCAGTGCGTACCTGTATCAAAATATCTCATCTACCCCATAGATATATACACCTACTACATACCCACAAGAATTAAAAATAAATTTTTTAAGCTCAGAATATAAAACGAACTGTATATTTTTACACCAGGAACAAATAATTAGAAAATGAAATTTGAAAAACAATCCAATTTCTGTAGCTTTAACACACTTTAAATGCCTAGGAATACATTTAATGAGAGTGGTATAAGACTTTTTCTCATACAAGTACACAGTGTTCTTAGGAGAAATTAAAGATAAAAATGAATGGAGGAATATACTGTGATCATTGACTGGAAGATTCAATATTGTCTCCCAAAGAAAAAGACATCAATTCTCCACAAATGGGCCTATACATGCATTTCCACTCAAAAAATGGAGAGAAATGGAAAACAAGTAGGATGAGTGCAGGTGATGCTGGGGCTTCTCTACTGGGGTGGCAGCAGGAATGGGGGGATGTTTGTGCGTCTGGTAGCCGAAGGCTTGGGTTTTAATGGCTCAGAGACACAGGAAAAGCTACCTTGTACTTTCCCAAGTTGGTACTGAGACCCCGGCATAAAGCCAGGACCTTTGAAGAGATCTACCCTCAGTGAAAGAGGAGACTTGGAAAATATTCACCCGTCTATCAGGGAGCTAAAACAAAAGCTTATCTGTCTCAACTCAGCCTCCAGTGGTCTCCTTTGAGGATTTGTGATCTAAGGTGTGCCCCTTGTTTCTGGTGAACATTAGAATTTATAATACCTCCATGGTTCTGAAATCTTTGAGCCAAGATTGGTATTTACAATACCATGGAGGTATTATAAATTCTAATGAGTGTTGTAAATACCCATAATCATTGATATCAGGGTAATGATACTTTGGCAAGCACCCAGGGGAAGGAATGGAAAATTCTCTCTGGACCCTGGAGCCCTACAACCAGGCTGAATAGAATTCCCACAGTTGAAGCACTACTAAAGATGAGTTCACAATCCAACAATTACCAACCACACGAGGAAACAGTCTACTGTAAGGGAGAGTCATCAGACACTAGGCAGAAGAAATACCTCCCAAGAGTTTGAGATAATGGAAAAATAAAATAATAGGTGAATGTTCAAAATATTTAAAATTATTAGAAAGATAAGGAGCAACAGAAAAAGGAAGAGCAAAATATAAAAACAGAACAAAGATAAAAGCAAAATAATCAAACAAAGCTTTCAAGAGCCATAAATGTACTGTTGGAATTAAAATTTGGAATGGGTATTAGACTAATAATTATGGTATTACTTTGTAAGGTGGGATATAATACTTTTATTGTATAAGAAATATGTTCTTATTTAGAAATGCATATTGAAATATTTAAAGGTGAAATTGCATTATGCCCAGGATTTGTTTTAAAATATTTCAGCATAGATAAAAATAAATGGGCTAAATACTGCAAAGTGTTAATGATTGTTAAAACTACCTGTGAGGTAATACCAATTCATTATACAAGTGTTTTTCCTTTTTTTTTTTTTTTTTTTTTTTTGAGACGGAGTCTCACTCTGTCGCCCAGGCTGGAATGCAGTGGCACGGTCTCGGCTCACTGCCACCTCCGCCTCCCAGGTTCACGCCATTCACCTGCCTCAGCCTCCCAGGTAGCTGGGACTACAGGCGCCTGCCACCACGCCCAGCTAATTTTTTTTTTTTTTTGTATTTTTAGTAGAGATAGGGTTTCACTGTGTTAGCCAGGATGGTTTTGATCTCCTGACCTCATGATCCGCCCCCTTTGGCCTCCCAAAGTGCTGGGATTACAGGCGTGAGCCACCACGCCCAGCCACAAATGTTTTTCAAACTTTAGTGCGACACAGAGTCACCTAGAAGGCTTTTCAAAGCACACATTATTACATCTGACAATGGATTTGTATCCGGAATATATGAAAACTCAATAACAAGGAAACAAACAACCCAACTTAAAAATGGGCAAAAGCTTTGGCACTTCCCCAAAGAAGATATAGATGAATGGCAAGTTAAAAAAAGTGCCCAACCTCATTAGTCATTAGACAAATGCAAATTAAAATCACAGTAAGATACCTCTGCACATGTATTAGCATGACTAATTTTTTTTTTTAATTAGGGAGACAGGGTTTTGCTGTGTTGCCCAGGCTGGTCTTGAATTCCTGGGCTCAAGCAATCCTTCTACCCTGGCCTCCCAAAGTGTTGGGGTCACAGGTATAAGCCAGTGTGCCCAGCTTAAATTTTTTCGTTTAAACCCTAACTGATATTACCAAGTGCTGATGAGGATGCACAGCGATTGAAACTCTTTTACATTGTTGGTCGGGTGCAAAATGGCACAGCCACTTTGAAACAGTTTGGCAGTTTCTTATAAAGTTAACCATATTCTTGCCATACCACCTAGCAATGCCATTCCTGGATGAAACAGAAACTTATGTTCAAACGAAAACCTGTATGCAAATGTTTATTATGGCTTTATTCAAAATCACCAAAAACTGGAAACACAAGTCAATAGCTAAACAAACTGGTATATCCATTGGATGCAACCCAAGTCATCCATAAAAAGATGCAAACTACTGATACACACGACACTGTGGCTGAATCTCAAATGGTTATGCTAAATGTAAGAAACTAGACTCAAAAGCGTACATACTGAGTGATTCTACTTACATGACATTCTGGAGAAGACAAGATGATAGAGACTGAAAACAGATAAGTGCTTGTGGGGAACAGAGGTTGGGGCAGGGACTGACTACAGTAGAACATCAAGGGAGAATTTTGGGGGCCAATAGAAATGTTCTAAAACTTGGTCGTGGTGGTGGTCAGGAGACATTTTCCAAAGCTCATTGACATGCTCACCACAAAGAGTAAATTTTACTATATTTAAATTTTTATTTATTTTTATTTTTTATTTTTTGAGATGGAGTCTCACTCTGTCACCCAGACTGGAGTGATGTGGCACGGTCTTGACTCACTGCAACCTCCGCCTCCTGGGTTCAAGCGATTCTCCGGCCTCAGCCTCCAAAGTAGCTGGGATTACAGGTGCCTGCCACCACACCCCCCTAATTTTTGTATTTTCAGTAGAGATGGGGTTTTGCCATGCCTCTGTTGGCCAGATTGGTCTCGAACTCCTGACCTCAGCTGATCTGCCCACCTTGACCTCCCAAAGTGCTGGGATTACAGGTGTGAGCCACCATCCCCCGGTCTAAATGCTAAAAAGTGAAGAATAATATAAGTTAGACTAATATACTAATATACACACACATACAGATTCCTGGAGCCCACCCCCAGGGTGTTTCCTTTTTCAGGTCCTGGTTGGGGCCAAGAATTTTCCTTTCTTACTTCCCTTTTCTTCCTCCTTCCCTCCCTCTTCCCTCCCCTCCCCTCCCCTCCCCTCGCTTTCCTTCTTTCCTTTCCTTTCTTTCCTTTCCTTTCCTTTCCTTTCAAGTAATTAGAAAATGAAATTTGAAAAACAATCCAATTTCTGTAGCTTTAACACACTTTAAATGCCTAGGAAAGGCAATGCCTTGGAAAAGAAATACCTTCCCTTCCCTTCCCTTCCCTTTCTTCCTTCTTTCTCACCCCCTCTCTCTCTTCTGTCTCTGTCTTTCTCTCTTTTCGAGACAGAGTGAGGGTCTCAGAGTCTCTCTGTCACTGGAATGCAGTGGCGCAATCACAGCTCACTGTAGTCTCGACTTCCCAAATTCAAGTGATTCCCCTACCTCAGCCTCCTGAGTAGCTGGGACTATAGGCATGCACCACCATGCCCGGCCAATTTTTGCATTTTTTGTAGAGATGGGGTTTCACTATGTTGCCAAGGCTCGTCTTGAACCCCTGGGTTCAAGTGATCCACCTGCCTCGGCCTCCCAAAGTGTTGAGATTACAGGCATGAACCACTGTGCCCAGCCAATAATTTACATTTCTGACAAGTTCCCAGGTGCTGTGGGCCTGGGGACCACATTTTGAGAATCTCTGCATCATACTGTTCTACCTTCTTTATGTTTGAAATGTATGAAAGATTTTCTACTAACTCAAAAGAAGCAAAAAAGACAGATTTCATTGCAGATGAAGCACCCCTTGACGTATCTTAGAGAGATAAAGAAGACATGGAAAATATGAGAGAAGGGTGGGTGTGGATGTGGGTCATGGAGAGTAAAATGGAAAGTCCTAAAGTACATCTATTAAGCTTTTCAAAAGAGAGAGAGCTGTTGGAAACAACATTTGAAGAAACACAAGGGAGCGCTTTCTCGAATTAGAGTGAAGGAGGACAGACTTATCTCAGGCTGCCTAGAACGCCTGAGAATGTGATTCATAAACTGTAAAGTGCAGTCCTCATGAGGAAGCATTAATCAGGTCCACCCAAGATTGAGTTTCGTCTCGGTCAGAGCTGTCTCACATGAGCTGCTGTGCCTGCGTTTGAGAGAGCTCCCCCTCCCAGCAGGTATGTAAGCACAGCCCTGGGTAGTAGAGTCAGCAGAACTGGGTTCTAATGCAGATTGCACAACTCTCCAGCTGTGTGACAATGGGCATGAGTTGGCCTTCTCTGAGCCCCAGCTTCCTTATCTGTACAGTGGAATAATCTGATCCATGGTAACAACATTCACAGGGTTGTTGAGACAGTGAACCACAGAATGGCTGTGAAGCTCCCAATATGTAGTGTAGTGCTCAAAGAATGTTACTCAGCCCCAAGAGCAGGGGCCAGGCTTTCTTTGGGAGGAGGAGCTGTGAGGATTCTCCAGCAGAGAATCGGGTGGAGCTGGTGGCAGGAGGGAACCCATCTTACAGGCCACGTCCACAGAGTGGAAAATTCCCAAAGCAGAAGAGGTCTGCAGGAATGGAAACGAAAGTGGAACTCGGCCTTTCCCTCTTTCTCTCCTGCAGACGATGGGCCCTACTCCAAAGGAGGCAAGGACGCAGGAGGGGCCGACGTTTCCCTGGCGTGCCGCAGACAGAGCATTCCAGGTAATGAGGCTTCCCTCATTCCCTCTTTTTCTGCCCTGGAGGCACAGAGAGCCCTAGGTGGGGGTCAGATGGCAACGGCTCTGCCACTGACTTGCTCTGTGACCTTAGACCAGCCACTTAACCTCTCTGATTCTCCTCTGTAAAAAGGAGGTGATCATCACCCAGGGCAATGCAGCAGAGTGCCCTACCAACCAGGTGCTCGCCTCGCTTATCTTAGAGCTGGGGGCCTGGGGTGGCCCCAGCTGCCCGCTCAAGCCCCCATCCCCATCTGTTGGCAGAGGAGTTCCGAGGGATCACTGTGGTGGAGCTGATCAAGAAAGAAGGCAGCACGCTGGGCCTGACTATCTCAGGTGGCACCGACAAGGATGGAAAGCCCAGGGTCTCCAACCTGAGACCTGGGGGACTTGCAGCCAGGTGAGAAGTGGGCTTGGCACGGCCGCAGGAGGGGGGTGCAGAGGCAATGATGGGAGCCCAGGGCCAGTGGAAAATGTACTGAAGGTCTTAGGCAAAGCAATCAGGCAGCTGTTTCCAGGAGCACCCATCAACTTGGTGTCTGCAGAGGGAAGGCCTCCAATGGAGGCTGTAATTCTAGGCCCTGGCTTCTCTTTTCTTTTACACCAGGGGCTTGGCCATAGCACCCCACAGTCACCAGGCCATATCTGCCCTCCAGGCCTTTGCATATGCAGTCCCCTATGTCCAAAAGCCTATTCCCCACAGCATCCTCCTGGCACACTCCTCTTTACCCCTCCACACTCAACACAGAGGTCACTGCCTCCAGGAAGCCCTCCCTGACCCGAGGCCAAGGCAGCTGCACTGCTCTGTTCCTGAAGCCCCACATGCACATTTCTGCACACATTGTCTGATTTCATTTGCCCCTGTGGCTCCCTTGGACTGTGAGGCCTGGGAGTTAGCCTCTCAGTCACTGCCTCCCTGGGCCTCACACAATGCTGGTGCAGATAAATGTCCAGTTGAACAGCAGGAAGGTTGGTGGTGAGAAGTCAGGAAGAGCATTAGGGAACAGCAAAGGATGTGATGATCTGGTCACTCTGCAGGCTCGTCTGAGACACCCCTGCAGAAGGAAAAGCAGGCAGACCAGCGAAGGGGGAAAGCCTGGGACCTGGGTGTCAGTCTCTGCACTCTCTTACGTGCTGTGTGACCCTGGACAACTGTCTGACCTCTCTAAGCCTCAGCTTCCCCATTTGTGAAATGAGGATCCAGTGATCATAGGGATTCCAGAGGAGGGTGGGTGTGAATGCCAGGACTGCATGGGCCAGCACCTGTTACCATGTGTGCCCTGGCCTTCCTGCTCTAGGAGTGATCTGCTGAACATTGGTGACTATATTCGGTCTGTGAACGGGATCCACCTGACCAGGCTCCGCCACGATGAGATCATCACCCTGCTCAAGAATGTGGGCGAGCGCGTGGTGCTGGAGGTGGAGTATGAGCTGCCCCCGCCCGGTGGGTGCCCTTGGACGGGGAACTTTCTCCACTGCCTCGGTTGCGGGTGGACACGGCTACCTCCCCACCAGGGCCTGGGTGGCAGGGATCATGCCAGATGGAGTGGGTAGAACCTGGAGACTGGCCACAAGCATCCATACCTCGCCTAGGGGCTGTGCCTACAACCGCAGTATGCTGTCACCAGGAGGTGGTGGGACTCTATAGCCAATGTCATTTTACATATTTAGTCTCCAGATGCTTTTCCTTTAGCGGGGAGGGTTTTGGAAGCATTAGCTGAATAAGTCGTTCCCTGACCTACCACGCCCACACTCCACTGCCCTGCACTAAGTAACGGTGGTGTAGGGTTTCACCTAGCTTGGGATTTTCAAAGCTGGTCTAAAGTCTTGAAGTTTGAGTAACTGTCTGGAATTCAGCCCTGGCCTGAGCCTACCAGCCATGGACTCAAGCCTGAGTTCTGCCGTCGTCTCTGTGAGCATGGGCAGGCCCTTTCCTCTCTCTCAGTGGTGGGCTAAGTGGGATTAGGGGAGAGGATCCCTCTAAGCCTCACTTGTTCGACCTGTAAAATGGGCAAGGGTTTACCCTCCCTGTAATCTCTGTGACTGATCACCCAGTCCTCCTGGAATGAGCTTTGGGCACATCTACCGGCCTGGAGATGCGACTGAGGGACTCAAAGGAGTCCTCCATTTCTCCCCAGCTCCTGAGAATAACCCCAGGATCATTTCAAAGACAGTGGACGTCTCCCTCTACAAGGAGGGCAATAGCTTTGGCTTTGTCCTTAGAGGTCAGTGAAAGAATTGCCCTTGGTATTGGGGCAGCAAGAAAGAGGCTAATACTAATTCCATGTGTGTGCTGTTTGGATTTGAATGTAATTTATGTGTATCTCAGTTCTGACTTTGAAGAACACAGGACCGTTAAGGTAAGTATTCAGTGGGAAAATCTGCCAAGCAATGAAGTAGGCTTGGTTGGGGAGAGTGAGAGGAGAAAGTTGTACCGGAAAATGATGGTGAAAGCTGCTACCGAGACTGAGAACAAAGTCTGGAGCTTCCTAGAGATCAGGGAAAAGGGGAAATAAGGTGAGGTCACAGAAGGGAGGCAAGCCATTTAACAGAGAGAAGACTTTGGTCATGTTACCCACCCCTTGCACCATCTCTTGGGAGGGCGAATTTATTGTTGGTGTCTCATAAGAGGGTCCATGGATAGCAAGGACAAGGTCCTCAAACAGGTTTTATTGAAGGAGCCTGCTCAGGGGCTGTGTGGGAGCCTCTGGATGGGAAGGGGTGGGTGGATGATTCCTGCTTCTTGTCAAATCCTGTCCAGGAGGTGCCCATGAAGATGGGCACAAGTCCCGCCCGCTTGTCCTGACCTACGTGCGGCCCGGTGGCCCTGCCGACAGGTGAGCCGAGGCAGAAGAAATCCACACACTGCACTGACCTGCCCCAACTCCCCTGCGAAGAAGGTGGAGTGGGGTCACCATGCCCCTTCCCCAGATGAAGAGATCGAGGCCCTGAGGGAACACTCCCTGCCCGGTGTCATTCAGGGAGTTGTTGATGGAACCGGGATGTAACCCCAAATGAGGGAAACCTCGAGCCCTTTCTTCCCCAACATACTGCTGTCTCAGGGGTTGGGGTGTTTGGAGAGGGGCAGCCTTGGTGTCGTTCTTCCCTTTCCTGCTCCTTGGTTTTCCCGTCTGTGGAATGGTCCCTAAGAGTTGCTATGAGAGATTTGGGGGCACGCTGATTGGCCACTGCTGTAGCCGTCTGTGACTCAGTCTCCTGGGTCCTGGCTGATCGACCCAGCTCGGCCCCGCCTGGGCCCAGCCCAGAAGGGCCAGGAGGAGAGAATGTGGGGAAAGAACATGTCCAGTTCCCAGCCCCTGATCCCTCGGCCTCCCCAGTGGGAGATTCCTGGCCATTTTAAGAGAAGCCTGGAACGGCCTTGTCAGAAATCTAAATCTGTCCTTGGGACAGGGCCCTGTGATGAGCTATTCATAGAACCCCCGAGAATAGCTTTGGCCACCTGTTGGGAGAGGCGTTCCAGGCTGGGGATGCGACCCAAACCGAGGTGAACCCTGCTGGGGCCCCTCCCCTGGCCCCTGTTGAGTTCTTTCCCAGGCGCGGGTTGTCATCAGGCCAGAATCACCGCTGAGAAACCAGGGTGAGGGTGGAGCAATGGGAAGGGACCAGGACGGCTCAGAGCAGCCCCCAATGCCGTGTGGCATGGGCACAGCTTGCACCCTCTCTGGGCCCTGGTGCTGTCCTTTGTCCCTGAGGCAGGAGTTGGGGGTGACGCTTGAAGAGCACCCCCAGCTCAGACATTTCAGGGTTCTGCACTGAGTCTGTGAATTACTGCACACCCAGAGGAGTGGCAGGCGGCAGAGCCACCCCATCCTGTCTTCATCCCCCCCTTGCTTTATGCAGCTCCCCACTCCTGGAGTGGCTCATTCCTTCACTCACTCATGCGCCCCTTCACCCGTCCCCTCCTCCCCTTCCTCCCCCACCCATTCCCTGCTTCTTCATCCTCCATGTCCCGCTTCCCAGCGCCCTCCCAGACAGGCTGTGCCCAGTGCTGCTGCCGGGCCAGGCTGGTGACTGGCCCTTCCCTACAGGGAGGGCTCCCTGAAGGTGGGCGACAGGCTGCTCAGTGTCGATGGAATCCCGCTGCACGGGGCCAGCCATGCCACCGCCCTGGCCACCCTGCGGCAGTGCAGCCACGAGGCACTCTTTCAGGTGGAGTATGATGTGGCCACCCCTGGTGAGTTGGGGGCCTGAGTGTGTGGGTTGGGGCAGGAGGAGGCCTGGGATGGGGGGAGGTGGCAGTGGCCATGGATCTTTACCACTGCAAAGGCTGCATGACCTTATGACCTTGGGCCAGTCACAGCTTCTCTGGGCAGTAAATAGTATGTGCTAGGCATTGTTTGATGTGCTGGGGATCCAGCCTAGAACAACAGAATTGAGGTGTCTGTTCTCATGGAGCTGGCATTCTGGTGGAGAGAGGACAGTATCCAGAATAGATAAGATATGGTGTATGTCAGTTGGCAATAAGTGCTATGGAAAAAAGAAAAGAGGCAGGGGAGAGAGATGGGACAGGCTGGGGGATGCTCTCTCACTAGGGGAGTGAGGGAATGAGCGAGGCATGGAATGTCCAGGGACAGCATTCCAGGAGGGCGGAAGAGTAAGTGCAAAGGCCCTGAGGCAGGAGCATGGCCAGCATGGTTGGTCACAGTGAGGAGGCTGCCGTGGTTGGCACAGGTGAGTGAAAGGAGGTAAGGGCAGAGCAGGGTGAGGTGGAAGCCGGGAGGCCATAGGAAGCGGCAGCAGCTGTCCAAGCGAGAGCTAAGGGACTGAACCAGGCTGGTGGCTAAGGAGGGGAGAAGGCACGGGATTCAGGAAATATGATGACGGTCCAGCTGGCCTGATCTGCTGAGATTTAGACATGGGTGGGCGAGGGCAGGAGCTAAGGGTGCGGCCAAAGTTTTAATTTCCAGCCACTGGGTGTGTTAATGGAGGTGCCATTTCCTGAGATGGGGATGGGTTGTAGTGAACTTTACAGTTTAGTGCTGGTATACCACAGGCTCTTCATAAACTCAAGCAAATTCATTTCACCCAGCAAAGCCCTGGGATCACAGCCCCTCAGACCTGAGCTCCTGCCCCTCCTCCACTGCTATCTTATCTGTCAAATTGATATAACATTTGGTAGAAGATAAAAAAAGAAAGAAAAGGAATAAAAAATTATGTTAATCAAATGGGTATAACAGTTTCTTCCAGGCAGCAAGGATTAAATCAGGATAGCAGGGTGAGGCTGGGGAGGAAAGTGCTCGGTATTTGCATTTCAAACTTTTTTTCTCCGTCATGCCAGACACGGTGGCTAATGCTTCGGGACCCTTGATGGTGGAAATAGTCAAGACGCCAGGGTCTGCCCTGGGGATCTCGCTCACCACCACCTCCCTCCGGAACAAGTCAGTCATTACCATCGACCGCATCAAGCCAGCCAGCGTGGTGGACAGGTAAGGCACACCCTGGGTGCTGCCACCATGGAGGTGTGTGCAGGGGAGAGGCGGCCCAGAGCTTTGTCTGGCCTGGACCAGCCTCCGCCTTCACTCCCCTGCCTGGCCAGGAGCGGAGCCCTGCACCCTGGAGACCACATCCTGTCCATCGATGGCACCAGCATGGAACACTGCTCGCTGCTTGAGGCCACCAAGCTCCTGGCCAGCATTTCAGAGAAGGTGCGGCTGGAGATCCTGCCTGTGCCCCAGAGTCAGCGGCCACTGAGGCCCTCAGAGGCAGGTGGGTCCCCTCAGTAGATCTCAGGGCCCAAACCTGGGCAGTCATGAGGCCTGAGAGGCCTGGGACCAGAGCCCTGGGCAGGCTGGGAGGAGCAGGCTAAAATGTACTAGGACAAATCCTCATTTGCCCAGGGAAGCTCAAATTATTAAGAGCAGCAACTGAGGGTGGGAAGGTGGGGCAGAGAAACAACTTGAGGGTTTGAATTGAGTCTGCTGGCATAGATGCCCCAAAGCTGGTTTCATCACTGGTTGCATTAATAGGAGTATAAGGGCTAGAATGAGGGAGGGAACAGTCCTGTGCTCTCTGCTACTCAGAGCTTAGATCCTGGGCTCTTCTCAGTGACTCTCAGCAGATCCAGAGGAGGCAGCTGGGAAGTTAGAGAGGGCCTGGAGTTTCTCCTTTGAAGAGTCAGGGTCTCCCAGCTATGAGCAGGGAGCTGGGTGCTGGGCATTTCCAAGAGCAGAGGAAGTGGGTGGTCTGGGGGTCCAGAGGGCACAGTTGGGGCCAGGGGCAGGGTGGGGGGTGGCCACAGAGGGGCAGCTTTCAGCTCAGGGCAGGAAAGCACGTCCAGCAGCCCAAACCTTGGGCCTTGAGTGAAAGTCCCATCTTTGCTCCCAGCAGCTGGACAAGTGCTTTTCCCTCTCTGAGTCCCAGTCATCTCATCTGTAAAAAGGAGGGAGGACTTCTAATGCACAGACATGGGGGAGGCTGACGGAGATAAAGGACAAGGCACAGCCCAGGCCTATAAATCCTAGCCCTAAGGGCAGAGCTGGAGGGTGAGGAAGGAGTCTGTCCACCCCACCCTTTGCAAACCCCATCTTCTGGAAGAGAACGGAATCCCCCACATCTGATTGGGAGGACAGTTCTTGGGGAGAGTCCATCTCTATGGTCTCTGCCAGCTTCTGAAAAAGCCACACTGAATGAACCACAGTCCAGGGACTGGTCTGGGTGACATTAGGGCTTGAAACAGCGTCATTCATTCTCGTACCATTTATCGAGCATCTGCCACGTGCCAGGTTCGGTGCCGCGGCCTGCACGCCTCATTACTTCCTCATGACACCTCTCTGAGCTTAGTCTTACTGTCCTCCCACTTTACAGGGAAAGCTGAGGTAGCGTTGCAAGGCTACACATCTGCGTACAACCCCTTGGCTCTCATTAACTGAGCTTCTACTAAGTGCCAGGCACTGCTCTAAGCATGTTATATTATTAACTCATTCTAACCCTCCCCATTACCCGAGGAGGTGGCCACTCTCTTGGTCCCATTTTACAGATAATAGCACTGAGGCACAGATAGGCGAAGTGACTCCTCCAGGTCCCGCAGTTGGTCAGGGACAGAGCTGGGATTTGACCCAGGCAACTGGCTCCAGAGTGGGCCAAGCCCTGGGGAGGGGGGCTGTGGAGATGTGGCTCAAGGAGACAGAATCAACGGGCTGAGACAGTTGAGTCCTCACCTGTCCATCCGCGCAAGAGGAGAGCTGGCCTGGGGCGGTCTGGGAAGAGGTGTTGTATGGTGGCCAGTTTGGAGGATCAGATGGAGGAAGCAGGGTCTCCTAGGGGGTCGGGGCAGTGGGGGTTCCCTGGGAACTTGGAACAGGAGTGCAAAGAATTCACTGTGGATAAGGCTGGGAAGGGTTGCAGCCTGGGAAGGGGGAGCAGCCTCAGCCCGTGGTGCACTTCAGCCTTGGCCAACCCAGCAGGAAGCCCTGGAGCAAAGGCTGTCCTGGAGAGTCGTGGGGCAGAAATAGCCAGGCCCTAGTGCCCCGGTGCTCAGCCACTGGCCGAGGCTGCCTGGGCTGCAGAGCCACTGCATATCCCCAAAGTGCTGCAGCTGGACACCGTCTGCCAGCTGCACTCCTCACCAATTCTTTCTTGGAGAAACTTCATGGCAGCACTCATAGCCATAGACCTCTCCGGCTCCAGGGCAGGATGCCTGTGTTCAAATCCCTGCTCCACAACCTCCCAGCAGTGGGCCTCGGCCTGGCTTCCTTTCTCTCTCCTGTCCCTGCCTCTCAGGCTGCCATGTGGCAGCAGCTGCACTCTGAACACAGTGCCCGGCACATTGTAGGCGTCCGGGACATGTGAGCAGAATACTAAATGCCTTGCCTGGCTCAGGGGAAGCACGAGGATCTTCTGGTTCTTGCTTTCCTGGCTTCATAGTGCCCTCAGCCACTAACGCCTGCACCTCTCTTTCCTCTTTCTCCGCTGGCTACAGTGAAAGTGCAGAGGAGTGAGCAGCTGCACCGCTGGGACCCCTGCGTGCCCTCCTGCCACAGCCCCCGGCCCGGCCACTGCAGGATGCCCACCTGGGCCACACCTGCTGGCCAGGACCAAAGCCGATGTAATGTGCCTGCCCTGCTGTAGCTCAGCCAGTCTTGTAGCCTTTCCTAGGGAGGGGGCGATGCCTGTTGTCTAAGGGAAGGAAACTCAGACTCAGAGATTAGTGAGCTGGGTGTGGTGGTGCACGCCTGTGGTCCCAGCCACTCGGGAGGCTGAGGCGGGAGGATCGCTTCAGCCTGGGAGGTTGAGGCTGCAGTGAGTCAAGATCACACCGCCGCACTTCAGCCTGGGTGACAGAGCGAGACCTCAACTAAAAAAAAAAAAAAAAAAAAAAAAAAGAGAGAGAGATTAGGTGGCCTGCCTCATTGTCATCTAGCATGCCAGTGGCAAGATTGGCCCCGTCCCTAATAGCTGAGTTTCACAGGGTCTATGGAAACCCTGCAGTCTTTGAGACCCAGAGAGGAAAGGGACTTGCCTGAGGTCACACAATGAGTAACTGATGTGAAGGGGGAAGGCATCCCCATCTCTCCCTGTGGTTGGGTGGCTTCCCAGCACCCACTGTGTGGTGGGGTGGAGAGCCTCGGCTGGGGTTCACGGGGCTGTGCTCTCATCTCCCCAGCCTTGTCTTCAACTCCCTTTTCCTCGCCGACCTTGAACCACGCCTTTTCCTGCAACAACCCCAGCACCCTTCCCCGTGGATCCCAGCCCATGAGTCCTCGAACTACAATGGGGCGGAGGAGGCAGCGAAGAAGGGAACACAAGAGCTCGTGTAAGCTGTGGTCTCTTCCCTCCTCCTTGGGCTGCTTGTATGTCTGAGAGTGAGGCTTGCCAAAGGGTGTATGTCAGGGCGAGGGGAGGTATTTTGGGCAGAGCTCCAGGTGTATGCGTGGGAATGTTAAATAACATGAGTGGAACACCAGGCTGTCATGGATGGTTGGGCAGGTTGTGCACTGCTCAAGAGGACCACTGAGAGGTGCCAGTTACTTTGTACACTTTTATTCTTGTATTTTTATTATGAAAAATTCCTAGGATTTGGTGATAACGTCCTTGAGGAAAGGAAGTCTTTTCAGATGTGCATGAAGTTTTCACATTTTTTGCCATTCAGTCCTGATTCATTCATGGATAAAGCCTCAGTGCTGCGTTACTATATCCTTACCACCTCTCTGCCATTTGTTAATTTCCCCTAAGACAAAGACATGGCCTGAGACTCTAGCTGTCCAGAATGTAATAATTTCCAGTCTTACTTCTCTGCTTATTTATTGTTCAAAATTGCCCTTTTGAAATAAAGATATTTACATGTTAAGAAAAGTAAATCAATAGAAGACAAAAGTAGTGAATGATAAGGCAGGAGCCCTGTGGAAGTGGCAAAACACAATAATGCCTAAAATTTTGAAACCCTTCTTGGGAACAGTCTTTCCTTTGTTGATGCAGAAAGGGTTCTCAGCCTCCTGCCACATGAGCTGCAGAGGCCTCCAGGAAGGATAGAAGATCAAACTGGGCCATTTGAGATAGAACCAGGTGAAAGAAGAGAGGAGTACAGGTCACCTGGTGTCTGAAAAAAGCTAAATATGGTTCTACACTCCCTGGCAGCCAAAGGGAAATGGGAAACAGATTTCAGTCAGATGAGAGAGAAAATATATCTCTACTAACCACCTTTCCTGGCCACCAAAGTGGGGAATATGTAGATGAAAAGATGCAGAAATGCTGTTCGTAGGTGGGGGATGTGGAGACTGGAGGCTCTTGCGACTCCTCTGCCTGTCTCCTTCCTGGGATGTGTAACTAAGAAAGTACTATCATTATTGCTGTTGATAGTAATTTATTAATTAATTATAATTAATTAATTATGGGGCATAGTACTGAATGTACATACTATGGGGACATAGTAGTGAAAAGAAACAAATAGGCCAGGCATGGTGGCTCACGCCTGTAATCCCCACACTTTGGGAGGCCGAGGTGGGCAGATCACTTGAGGCCAGGAGTTCGAGACCAGCCTGACCAACATGGCGAAACTCCATCTCTACCAAAAATACAACAAATTAGCCTTGTATGGTGGCACACGCCTGTAATCCTAGCTACTCTGGAGGTGGGAAAATCGCTTGAACCCGGGAGGCGGAGGTTGCAGTGAGCCGAGGTGGCGCTTCTGCACTCCACCCTGGGCGACACAGTGAGACTTTGTCTCAAAATAAATAAATAAATACATATAAAAACACAATATACCTAAAAACATAACATATTACACATTTTGTAATGTATAATATACAATATAATTTAATAATATAATATGACACAATAATATAATTAGTAATGAAATACCAAATAAATTTTGTTTGATAAATAATAAATGACTTTCAGGATTCATATTAATGATGCAAATATATTTCATATATGGAATGTAAAACAATATTTATTAAATAACCTTATGTATCAAATAGTTAAACATAGAGTTGCCATATCACCCAGCAATTCCACTCCTAGGTATATGCCCAAGAGAAGTGAAAACATGTGTCATCTCCACCTAAAAACTTATACACAAATGTTCATAGTAGCATTATTCACTGTAGCCAAATAGTGGAAGGAACGCAGTATCCACCAATGGATGAATAGATAAACAAAATGTGGTGTATCCATACAATGGAATATTATTCAGCCACAAAAAGGAATGCAATTCTGACACCTGCAAAATGTGGATGAACTTGAAAACATTATGCCAAGTGAAAGCAGCCTGTCACAAAGGCCACATGGTGCATGATTCTGTTTATATAAAGTGCCCAGAACAGGCAAATGCAGAGATGAAAGTAGATTCGCGGTTGCCTAGGGCTGAGGGACATAGGAAGATCTTTGGGGATGGCTGAAGGGAACAGGGTTTCTTCTGGAGGTGATGAAATGTTCTCAAATGCATCGTGGTGATGTTTGCATAATTGTGAATACACTAAAAACCACTGAATTGTACACATTAAATAGGTGACTACTGTGGTATGTAAATTATATCTCAATAAACCTCTTACCGAAAAGCAGAGTGACATAATATAGTAGATACTACAGTAGATCACAGCACAATAATACAATAAAATGACACTGCCCCCCAGAACCTGCTTTACAGCATGACAGTCAATCCCAGCCACTGTCTTCCCTAGTCCTTGCCACACCCCACGAGGTGGGAATCAACGATCCCATTGTTCAGATGAGGAAGCCAAGGCTCAGAGTGAGCTGTGATCTGTCTGGTCCCAGACTGAGTCAGGGCTCCCACTTCCTTGCACTCTGGCTCCAGTGCCTAGGGCCCCGGGATGGGCAGGCCCTGGCAGGAAGACCTCCGTGGGGCGGCTCACCTGAATGCTGGGCCCACCTGTCCTACAGTGTCGCTAGCCTCCAGCACGGTGGGGCCGGGCGGGCAGATTGTGCACACGGAGACCACGGAGGTCGTGCTCTGTGGAGACCCCCTCAGCGGCTTTGGCCTCCAGCTCCAGGGCGGCATCTTCGCCACCGAGACCCTGTCCTCCCCACCCCTCGTGTGCTTCATCGAGCCTGACAGTCCGGCTGAGAGGTGAGCCTCCTGCCCCCTCCCTACTGAGCCTGCCACTCTCTGAGAGAAACTGAGTCACAGCACCAAGCCCTAGCTTCACAAGCGCATCTCACTTAACCATTGCATCAGCCCCAGCACCAGCCCCATTTTACAGATGAGGAAACCGAGGCTCAGAGAAGCTGACTCACTTGCCCAGGATTACACAGCTCACCCATGGAATCCCAGGGCTTGAACCCCTGTCTGCCTGAAGGCAGAGTCCTCTGTATACACAACTTGTAAGGCCCATGCCATCATCCCCATTGGACAGACAGGGAAACTGAGGTCCAGCAAGGTCCAGCCCTTAGCCAGATTCCTGAGGATACACAGGTGGGCCAGGGCAGAGCTGAGAGTCACCCCAGACCAGGAGGTGTGACCCAGGTTCAGTCCTGCCCTGCATGGCGTTCTTGTCTCCCAATGGACCTGTCACGGAGCCTCTTCTCTCTGCCGGGCCCCCTGGGTTCAGGTGTGGGCTGCTGCAGGTGGGGGACCGTGTCCTGTCCATCAATGGCATTGCCACCGAGGACGGGACTATGGAGGAAGCCAACCAGCTCCTGCGGGACGCCGCACTGGCCCACAAGGTCGTGCTGGAGGTGGAGTTCGATGTGGCGGGTGAGTGAGTGGCCCAAGCTTCCTCCTCATATTTCAGGGCCCTGCACCCCTCCTCTCTTTATCCTGCCTCGCCTGTGCAAACGCTCCACCCCATCCCCCTCTGTGCCCAGTGCCCTTCTCCCAGGGGCTTTGCAGCTTATAGTGGGAAGGGAAGCCTTGGCACGGGAGGGAGAAGTTTCCACACCAGGAGACTTTTGCAGAGGGGCAGGACCAAGTGGGGATGGGGTTGGGGAGCTGAAAATACTCCAAGCTCCTTCTCAGCATGGGTTAGGCAAAGAACCTCGAACAACAGTTTGGGTCAGAATTCTGCTTCTGTGACCTCAACACAGTGTGGCTTTGGACAGGACACTCCCTCCACTGTTTCCCCATCCGTAAATAGTTGATAACGATCTTTTCACTATAGGGGCGGTACTTGGGTTAGGTGAGGCATATGCCCAAGAGAAATGAAAACATGAAAATACCCAGCCACGGCCTGGCACATAGTAGGTGCTCAGGAAATATGTGCTAGATTCACACTGGGTTGTTAGGCTGTGGGGAGCTCCCTTCCCGCCCGCCACACTAGCCGACAGCCAAGAGGCCTGGTTCCAGCCCCGACTCTGGTCTGACTAGAGCAGGTCAGTTGTTTTGAGCAAATCTGTCAGCTCACTCTGCCTCAGTTTCCTCCTCTGTTGAGAGGAAGCAGGGGGATGAGATTAGAACTGTGACTTTCGGGGTCACTCCCAGCACAGCCAGAATGGGCATGGGGCTGGGGTTCGCTGAGGCTCCTCCTCTGGGTCCTCACGTCGGTTTATGTCCATCTACCCCCAGAGTCCGTCATCCCAAGCAGTGGCACCTTCCACGTGAAGCTGCCCAAGAAGCGCAGCGTGGAGCTGGGCATCACCATCAGCTGTGAGTCTCCTCCCGCTGCTGTTTGCCCCTGGGAGCGAGCTCAACTGCTGGGGAAAAAGAGCTTGCCAAGCTCAGACCAGCATTTCCATGGCGTGACACCCTGCGGGGCCCGAGGAAAAGGCTTGGGGGTGTGGGGAGGCTGGCTTCCGTGGACCCAGCTGCGTGTTCTCAGCGAGACCCCAGCTTCCCAAAGCTTCAGCTTCCCGTTCTGCACCATGGCAGTCCCCTGGCCTCGTGGGTCTCCCAGGGGGCTTGTGAGGTGCCCATGGTGAGAGAGCATTGGAAGGTGACAAATATTTAGGCTGGGTTTGGTTTTCTGCCTGCTTCTGTGTTCTCAGAGCCCAGCAAAGGCCTGGAACACAGTAGGTGCTTAATTCATGTTTGTCAAAGGAATGAAAATGAGGAATGCAGAAGAAAAACGTAGAATGGGTGAGCATGGGAAAGGTGAAAGCACTCCCGTGGCTCCCATCTTATTCTGAGTAAAAGCTGAGGGCCTCGGGCCCCAGTGAGGCCCTCTGTGCTCTGGACCCCATGACCTCTGACCTCATCTCCCGACTCTCCCCAACTCAAGCCCTCCAGCCGCAGTCAGCCTGGCTGCTCCCTGCCATGCCTGCCCCTTCCTGCCTCTGGGCCTTTGCATCTGAGACCGTTCCTCTGGCCTCTTCCCTACCTCCTTCATGGCTTTGCCCAAATGTCACTTGACAAGGCCTTCCCCGACCACCTGACTGAACATTTACCGCCCTCGACACAAGCCCGTTTCTCAGGTTTCTCCACAGCTCACTTCATCGGTGTTTAAATGTTGTTGATTGTGACCACCACTGGAGTGCCAGCTCCAGGAGGGCAGGGAGAGATTGCTGTCTGTTTTGTTCACTTCTGTGTCTCCCACCCCCAAGCACACAATAGAGCCTGGGTGCTGGCCCTGAGCCCGGTGCTGGGGACACAGACACCAAGCAGACAGCCCCCCTCCACAAAGAGCTCGCAGTTTGCTGGGGGATGGGCTGAGCAGGAGGAAAGAAGAGCTGGCATTGGAAGGGCCATGCTGGATCTTGTGCCTGTGTTATCTGGTTTACTCTCACCACATCCCCATGAGGTCTGCGGTGCCACCCCCATTTTACAGGGGGGAAACTGATGCACAGGGAGGTGAGCTGATTTGCTCACGGTCACCCAGCCAGGAAGCAGTGGGACCAGGATGTGAGTAGGACCAGTGGCTCCGAGTCCACACTCAGACCCCTGGGCTTCGCCACCCCACCCCAGGCTGAGGCCACCAAGGTCAGATTCATGGCCTCTTTTTCTCCAGCGGCCAGCAGGAAACGAGGGGAGCCCTTGATCATCTCCGACATCAAGAAAGGCAGCGTGGCACACAGGTAGGGGCACTGGGGCACAGGAAGGGAAGTGGCCAACAGCAGTGAGTATGGCACCTGCATGCACCAGGCTCCTTCCATCCCCTCTGCCCCCGACTCATGCAGGACGGGCACCCTGGAGCCAGGCGACAAGCTACTGGCCATTGACAATATCCGCCTGGACAACTGCCCCATGGAGGACGCCGTGCAAATCCTGCGGCAGTGCGAGGACCTGGTGAAGCTGAAGATCCGGAAGGACGAGGACAACTCTGGTATGGCCCTCATGCTGGCCTCCTACCTCCAGAGGCCCACCCTTTGACTAGCGGGTTCCCAGCTTGCAATTCAGGGCTCCCTCCAGCCGAGGAAGGGAGGGTGGTGGGCGCTGCTGAAGGCTGGCTGGAATGAACAAATGAAGGAGGGGGCAACACCACAGATTTCTCACTGTCCCCGGCGTCTGGGGCCCTCCAGAGCCTCTGTGAGGTGGACAGGAGTTTGAGACTCTCCCGTAGTCTCCACATCTAGCACCAAGCCTGGCAGAGGAGACCTACTGGGTGCAGCTGGTGCAGCTGGTGGAGAGATGAGTGGGTAGGGCAGGGGAAGAGCGAGGCTGCCCTTTTGAGTGGCAGGCTATGAGTGGATAAGCAAAGACTGCAGACTCAGGCCCCACTGACGCCAGATAGTGATATAAATGAGTGAGAAAAGCTGTATGGATTGGAGAGGCAAAAGGGACGGGTGAGGACTGCGCCAACTGGAAAGTGAATCCCTGATTCAAAGGGGCAGCCTCCAAATCACCAACTCCGACTCTGTGAAAGAAGGTTACTGTGGGAGGTAGATTTCTTTTCTTTTCTTTTCTTTTCTTTTAAGAAAAGTTGGGCCAGGTGCAATGGCTCATACCTGTACACCCCTCACTTTGGGAGGCCAAGGTGGGTGGAGCACTTAAGCCCAGGAGTTCGAGACCAGCCTGGGCAACATGGCGAAACCCCATCTCTACAAAAAATACAAAAATTAGCTGGGTCTGGTGGTGCATGCCTGTAGTCCCAGATACTTGGGAGGCTGAGGTGGGAGGATCACTTGAACCCTGGAAGCAGAGGTATGGCAGTGAACTGAGATCGTGCCATTGCACTCCAGCCTGGGCAGCAGAGCAAGACTCTGTCTCAAAAAAAAAAAAAAAAAAAAAACAACGGATGATCGGGGTTCCCTTTGCTTCCTGCTGGCTGCTGGAGGAAAAGAGGCCACTGTTTCTTGTCATCAATGTTGTCATTATTGTGGGTGAGGTGTGATGTTTCTTTTCTTTACTGGTATTTGGGCAGAAGATGGCCTCAGGGTCCCCAGGTTGTGCTACATGAAATCAGAGCGTGAGTGACTGGGTGAATGAATTAATAAATAAGTATGAGTGAGTGAGTGAGGCCAAGGCTTTAGGAAGCTGGGTACCCCCTCGGGGGCCTCCTCCTCATGGGTCCCCGTGCTTGCAGATGAGCTGGAGACCACAGGTGCCGTCAGTTACACAGTGGAGCTGAAGCGCTACGGGGGTCCCCTGGGCATCACCATTTCGGGCACGGAGGAACCTTTTGACCCCATTGTCATCTCAGGCCTCACCAAGCGTGGCCTGGCTGAGAGGTGAACTGGGGCTCTGTGGGGACGCATGGTGGGCTCAGGGAACACAGGAAGCAAGAGCTGGGGCTATGGCAAAGCCAAGCAAGATTCTGACCTCTGTTCCAACATTGACACTGTGGGTGACATTGGGCCAGTCACTTCCCCTCTCTGAGACTCAGGTCTGCATTTGTAAAATGAGTGTCAGCCCCTGCCTGCCAGGGCAGAGGCCCACACCCCAGCAGACCTCCTGGCTCCAGGTAAGCACTGGGCCAAGGTGTGTGCATCTTCCTGCTCCTACCTGTGTCTGGAAGGTCAGCCCTGCAAGGCTATTTGGAGCGCCTGCTGTGTGCGGAATAGGATGGGGCAGTGCCCCAGTACCCTGGTCCCAGCACTGCCTAGGGCTTTCCTGAGGCATTGGGGGACTGTCCCTGCTGCCCCTAGACTCTGAAACTGTGGCAGCTGAGGGAGCTGTAAGAATGGAGCCCTGTCCCAGGGTGAGGTGGAGGTCAGAGATGGAACCCGACCCCCAGTGTGGGTGAGACCGAGCCTTCTCCCCCGAGCTGGGCAGGGATGAATCCGGCAGGCAAGGAAGCGGTGAGCTCCCAGCACAGCAACGAGCGGGCGGTAAAAGGAGAGCCTGGTGGGGGCTGCAGGGGCAGGACGCGTCCCGGAGGAGGGCACCGCGCAGGAGGGGCGGTGGCTGGGCGGGTGGGGAGAGGATGGGAGGGATTCCGGGACGTGGACCCTGCTCCTGGAGCGCCCCCTGCTGGACACCTGGCAGACTGCAGAGGTCGGTGTGGAACCCTTCTGACCCCAATGTCTTCATCAATTCGAGCATGTACTGGGCACCTGCTGTGTGCCTGGCCCCTCTGTCCTGGTTGCTGGGGCTGTACAGACAACCCTCCTGCCTTCGCCGGGCTGATGTAGCTCAGTGCTGTCCAACTGAAATATAATTTGAGCCACAAATTTAATCAGACACTTTCTAGTAGCCACATCTGCAAAGCAAAAAGATGAAATTCATCTTAAATATATATTTAGTTCAACATGTAATCAAATAAAAACCATTAAGAACATGTCTTATATTCTTTTTCATGTTACACCTTCCGTATCTGGTGTGAGTTTTCTGCTTTTAGCACATCTCAATTTGGGCAGTCACATTTGAGGGGCTCAGCAGCCACCTGTGGCTGGTGGCTGCCATATTGGACACTACAGCTCTGGTCCCCTCCCGGAGCCCACCATTCCCTGACTCGCTCACTATCCTCATCCCTGGGGAAGTGCAGGGCAATGCCCAAGCATGACTCTCCAGGAGCTCCCATATGGGGTGACATCTACAGCCCCAGAGGTTAAAGACCCCTGACCCTAGTCCTCTGCCTCCTTTTCCTCCACCTGGCTCAGGTCACTCTAAGCACCTGCTACAGCTTCTCCCCTGCTCAGCCCTGGCTGCTCCTCAGAATCACCTTCCTGCCCCATCCCCACAGGTACTATTTAATTGGTCAGATGTGGGGCCCAGGCACCTGCATTTTCAAAAAGCTCCTCAGGTCATTGTAATGGGTGTCCAGGTAGAAAACCACTGGGCCACAGCAGTGCTGCCGCCTGGCATCACCAGCCCTTCACGCCCTACTGTGAGGTCTGCTGGGCGCTGGTGATTATGCCCATTCTCCAGGTGGGAAAACTGAGGCCCAGGAAGGGGCAATGGCTACCAAGGGTGTCTGCTGGAGGGAAGTAGGAATCCATTCCGTTCATTCACGCCTCAGTTATGATTTGATAATTAAATTAGTATTATCACCCCCATTTTACAGATGAAGAAACTGAAACTCAAGGGTTTAAGAAACTGGCCCAAGATCACATAGCAAGTATTTGGCAGCTAGTATGTGGGATTCTCAAAACCTGTGTTGGACACTGGTTCCAGAACCTAATTTTGCAGTCAGGTGGGACAATCCCCTCCCAGGTTCTAGACTTTATGTCTCTATTAATGTGATCCAAGATCATACTTGCGTGCTTTTGTTTTGTTTTTGGCAGCTGGGTTTAACTGGGGTCAGCCAGACTTCTGCTTTGTGGCTCTCCTGGATTCCCTGAGGGCAGACTGCCACTCTGAGGCCCTGAGTGTCTAACTCCCATTCTCTGCCCTGCATCCACTCCTCAGGACTGGTGCCATCCACGTGGGGGACCGCATTCTGGCCATCAACAACGTTAGCCTCAAGGGCCGGCCGCTGAGCGAGGCCATCCACCTCCTGCAGGTGGCTGGAGAGACCGTCACACTGAAGATCAAGAAGCAACTAGACCGTGAGATTCGCTTCATCCCCTGGGAGCCACCCAGCAGGTTTAGGAAGGGCAATCCCTCTGTGCCAGGCTTTGCCTGCACACCCTCACAGAGTCCTCACTGCAGCCCTGTGGAGGCGGGCCTGCGATGGCAAAGAAGATAAGACTCAGAGAGGGAAGTGATGAGCCCAGGGCCACACAGTGGGCACGGGGCAGAATCTGGGTCTGAGCCCTGTTCTTCATTACTTCCTGCCTCTTAAGGTGCTCACGTGTGTATGCTTCATGGCCATAACTCATGCATTCCTCAGCTGCCCCTGAATACGTCCCCGTGCCTTGGTAGAAAGGCCACCATAGGCAGTGGAAGGGGCCTGAGCTAATCCTGGCTCCACTGGTGCTCACTGTGTGATCTCGGGCATGCTGCTCAGCTTCCCCGAGCCTCAGTTTTCCCATCTGTGAAACAGGTTTGCTTATTAGTGTGCCATGGTCATATGTCAGCTCAGAAGGGCTTACTGCCTGTGAGTTTCCAGACCAGGCTGAAATGCAGAAACTGAGGCTCACTGTGAGTGTCTCTGAAGTCAGAATTGACACCCCTCTCTCCTCCCAGGTCCCCTCCTACCCCGCAAGTCGGGCAGCCTCAGTGAGACCAGTGATGCTGATGAGGACCCAGCAGATGCCCTGAAAGGAGGCCTGCCAGCAGCCCGCTTCTCGCCGGCTGTGCCCAGTGTGGACAGTGCTGTGGAGTCTTGGGACAGCTCGGCCACCGAGGGTGGCTTTGGGGGCCCAGGTAATACCTTGGGGCCCTTGGACAAGTGGCACGCTCTCTCTAGGCCGCCCCTGCTGCTGGGCCTGTGCAGGACTGTTCTTGTGCCTGTTCCTCCCTCCTGCGCTCCTCTCCTGGCATCCTTTAGGGGCCCTTCCTGAAGGAAGACCTGATTTGGCTCCGTAAGCCACTCTTAGGGCCCCTTGCTCCTGGAAGCATGGACTGCAGCCATATCTTTTGATTTAGAACCATGGGTCCCATGCTGGCTGCTAAGCTTTCCCCACTGTGAAGTTACGGACAAAGTTGGTCTTTCTTCTACTGTAGCCTTCCTTCCTAGCCCAATGTCTGGCACACAGTAGGTGCTCAACAATGTTCATTCCATCCAGTTGAAAATAGGGAGGCCAAAAGCCCCCTCCCACCCCAGCCTACAAGACCGGATGTGGGGCAGACACCTCGGGCTCCCTCCCAGGCCAATGCATGTTGAGACCCGGAGGTGGCCGCAGGGAGACGTCTGAGTCTGGTGGCTGGCCAGCTGGCCTCAATGACCCAGAGCCACCGGAACTCCCCATGGTCCAACTCAGAGGACTGGGTAGGGGGGGCGAGGCCTCTACGGGCCGTAGGTGGCTGCCAGCCCGTTCTTGCCTGCGGACACCTGCTCTCCCTGGGCCTCAGCTTCCCCATCTCCAGCTCTCTGTCAGCATCTCTCAGCTCACTCCCTGGGGCTGGACCTTCAGAGCTCCCAAAGGCAGGAAGTGGAGGGTGGGCCACATGTTCAGCCTCCTTCCGTGGCAGGGTGATGGCCAAGCCCAGGCCGATGGAGTTGAGACAGAGTCGCAGAGCCCCAGGCATTAACTTCTGGATGACCAGGAGCTCCAGGGAGATTCTGAGAGGCAGAGGCCCTCAGAGGGCTGTGTAGATGCAGGCCCAGAGAGGAGCAACGACCTCCCCAGGGTCACTCAGCACAGCTGGAAATGGGGCAGGCAGGAGGGCAAGGTGAGGCCGCAGGGAACACAGAGGCCCTCTCTCCACCACCAGGGTCCTATACACCACAGGCAGCAGCCCGGGGCACGACCCCCCAGGAGCGGAGGCCTGGCTGGCTGAGGGGCAGCCCCCCACCCACCGAGCCCCGGAGGACGAGCTATACCCCAACCCCAGCTGACGAGAGCTTTCCAGAGGAGGAGGAGGAGGATGATTGGGAGCCGCCAACGAGGTCTGTGGTGGGAGCACCGTGAAGGAGGAGGGAGTCACAGTGTCTTGGCTGGGGTGGGCGAGGGTGCCTGTGCCAAAGTGGTGGGGGAATGGAGAGTCTTGGCGGGCTCCTGAGGAGGGGTGCCTCCTGGGAGAGAAGCACTGAGCAGAGCCACCTCAGCCAGGCTGAGACGGAGGGAAGGGCAGACTGGTGGAGGGCACGGCAGGGACGAAGGTATAGAGGTGGAGAGCAGCCTGGTTTGCCCTTCCCAACTTTGGTCATCTCCTGTTCTCAGAAGAGCAGCAGACTCAGAACTTGAACCCAGGCCCACCTGACTTACCCCAGATGGCCTGATGGCCTCCTGCGAGGGCCCTCAGCCCACCGGCACCATCCCTGGGCTGTGCCGAGTGGCTGAGCCGCTGGAGAAGGCTCCTGCAGAGAGCAGGCTGTGGAGAAATGCTGTTCCTCATCTGGCCCAGGCCACCCTCCCATCGTGGTGCTTTTGATCAGGCGGTTCCTTCTGCCTCGATGCCTTTCCCCTGGTCTCTCCTGGCAAATCCCTACTCATCCCTCAAAACTCAGCTCAAATTCTCCTGCCTCTGGGAAGCTTCCCTGTCTTTCTCAGGCAGAAGGGATTCCTCCCTCCCTCCTGGTACCCACAGCTGCTCCTACAAGTCTCCTGGTAGCCTAAACACCTTGTGTCTATCTGGCTAATTACTTGGCTATCATCTCTACTGCGTGGCACCCCAGCTCCACGCGTGGCCCCTAGTAGGTGCTCAGACATATTTTGCGAATGAATCTCCAGCTCTGTAAGAACAGGGGCCACACTTTATTCTCTTCCATATCCCTGTGCCCAGCAGAGGACTTAGCTCAGGAAATGTCTGTGGAATTGACTTGAATGGAGCAAGTGTCCTTCAGCCTCTGTCTTTTCATCTGTTACATGGAAAGGGAAGGAGGCAACACATCCTCGTTCCTAAGCTCCCTAAGATAGCAAAGCTTGCGTGCCCCTGTAAAAGAGCAAGTGCTGGCAGGGTGCAGTGGCTCACGCCTGTAATCCCAGCACTTCAGGAGGCTGAAGTGGGCAGATCACGAGGTCGGGAGATCGAGACCATCCTGGCTGACACGGTGGAACCCGTCTCTAGTAAAAATACAAAAAGTTGGCCAGGGGTGGTGGCGCATGCCTGTGGTCCTAGCTTCTCGGGAGGCTGAGGCAGGAGAATGGCGTGAACCCAGGAGGCAGAGCTTGCAGTGAGTCGAGATCATGCCACTGCACTCCAGCTTGGGTGACAGAGCAAGACTCTGTCTCAAAAAAAAAAAAAAAAAAAACAAGCAAGTGCTTTGTAAATCACAGCATGCCTTGTAACCGTTGAGGCCTTTGTAATTAGCAAGTGGCTTTGCGAAGTGTCAAAATGTGAATTGTGAACTTTCTGAGACTCAGTGTTGGAACTGATGATAACAGGCTCATACAACCTGTGATGGGAGTTATGGGTGGTCTCGACCCCTTCCCCAGCACAGTTATTTCATCCTCTCCATCCATCTGTGTCCTTGCTGGCCCCAGCTCTGTCCCTGTCACTGTCCCACGGTGCCGTGTGTCTGGGTGGGGCCAGGGGCCGTCCTCTGGGACTACACCATGGATCTCCTCTCTGTCTGTTCGTCTGTTTGTCCTCTGTCTCTCTTCCTAGGCATCCTGTGTCACCGCTCTCCACCCCGTCTCATCTGCCCCTGTTCTAACTGGCCACCGACAGTCCTGGTCGCCCCTAACTGCGTCTTTCCCCTATTCCGTGTCACCAACCACTGCCCCGGGGCCCCAGAACTGCCACCGAGGACGCCCGCCTGCCTGCCCGCCCACCCACCCTATGGCCCCTCGAGCCCAACGCTGGGCCCTGGGGCCCCGAAGACTCCTCAGGCCCCAGCCCGCCCACCCGCCTGCCAGGAGTTGACGCTCTCTGGTTCCTACGTTACAGCCCAGCCCCTGGCCCTGCCCGAGAGGAGGGCTTCTGGCGCATGTTTGGAGAAGCTCTCGAAGACCTGGAGTCATGTGGTCAGTCAGAGCTGCTGAGGGAACTGGAGGTATGGCTGCCTGCCCTGCAGGCCTGCATGGGGCACCCGGGGCTGTTCACTCTGGTGTGTGTGCAATGGGAGGAAGGCATGCTGATGGCATCATGCTCATGTGTAATGTGTACGTATGCACTCACCTGGGCACCCTGTGGGAAAAGGTGTCTTCACATATGTACAGACTGTGCATGGATTCATGTGCAAGTGTGATTGAGAGCACTGTGGTACTACACATTATCTGTGTGGACATGGAATATGTGTGACATCATCATGTGTACATTGGGAGCATATGTGTATGCATGCATGTGAACATGCTCATGCATGCACATTTGCAGAGTGTATTTCAGAACATGTGTGTCCGATTGTGCACATGTAGGCACACGGGGCAGTTTTGGTATTTTTGTATGTATGTGTGATCATGAATGTGGTTGTCGGCATGCCCTGTAGAAGCGTGAGTGTTGACATCAGTGACGACACAGGAGATAAGGGGCTGTGGGAAACCAGAGGTGAATGTGGCTTTGTGTAAGGTCAATATTGCTCAGTGAATAGAACAAACTGCCCAGGAGGATCCAGAGAGGATCTCGCTAAGTCACATCCCAAGCTTCCACTCTGAGAGCAATTATATTTTATTTAAATCTCTATTTTATCTGTGTTTTGCCCCCTTTTTATTTCTAATATTATTGATTGGGGTCATTTTTTTCTCTCCATTAATCTTGCCAATTACTAGGTTGCTCAAAGAACAAGTTTTTGGCTTTATTATTTTCTATTTTATTCATTTGTTTGTTTAGCTTTGATAGTCTCTTCCTTCCACTTTATTTATGCTTAAGTCATGATCCTTTTCATGGTTTCTTAGTGCCTTAATTTTCAGTCTTTCTTGTTTTTGAATAATGTATCTTTTAAAGCTATGAATTTACCTGTAAGCATTGCTTTGGCTGCATCCCAGATTTTGCAAATGCACTTTCCACCTTAAATTAAATTCTGTTTTGTCTCATAATAATATTGTTTCATTAAATTTATTTTAGTGATTATTTGCCTGTCTTTTTTTCCAATTTGGTTATTTTCTCTCTCTCTCTCTCTTTTTTTTTTTGAGACAGAGTCTCACTCTGTCACCCAGGCTGGAGTACAGTGGTGCAATCTCGGCTCACTGCAGCCTCCACCTCCTGGGTTCAAGTGATTCTCATGCCTCAGCCTCCTGAGTAACTGGGATTAAAGGTATGTGCCACCATGCCCAGCTAATTTTTTCTATTTTTAATAGAGATGGGTTTTCACTGTGTTGGCCAGACTGGTCTCGAACTTCTGGCCTCAAGTGATCCACCTGCCTCAGCTTCCCAAAGTGCTGGGATTACAGAGTTGAGCCACTGTGCCTGGCCAATTTGCTTGTTTTCAAATTTACTGTATCGTTGTTTCTAATGTGTCTCTATTGTATACTATACATAGCAGGTTCTCTTTTTATTAAAGATGAATTTAGTCTATTTATATTTGTTGTGACTACTAATATAATTAAACTTTTCAATCAGAGGTACACCTGAAAAAATATATAATTAAACTTAATTCTAGTATATAATTTATACTTCCTATTTATCCCATTTTCTTTATACTTCTTCTGATCGTCCATCTTTCCTTTTTTCTATTGATCCATTTTTCATTACTGCTCACTCTCTCCACAATCTCCAATTTGGAGATTTTAAATTTTATTTGTATTCTTGTAGCAATTATCTTTAATTCATTTGTTTTACTTTCAACATTCAGTTTTTACATTGAAATCTTTTATTATTACCTAAGTGATATGTGTGTATGGTGCAAAATTGGATAAGCAAAGTAGAATCAAAATAAGTAATAAAAAATAAGTAAATCAAAAAATAAGTAAAAGTAAAACTTAAGGACACAACATTCCCACCACCCATAGATCACCACTGTTACTGCTTTAATGAGTTTATGTGTATTTTTAAGATAATGAAATCATGATGTATGTACTGTTTTGTAGACTGCTTTTTTAGCTAGTTATTTCATTTTTCCATTTCGATATATTTTAATCTTTCCTAATACCAAGACCATATTCAGATTTCCTCAGTTGGACCCAAATTGTCCTTTACACCTGTTTTGTCCAAACCAATGTCTAATCCATGCTTGGAGCTTGGTTATTATGTCTCTTAAGTCTCTCTTTAGTCCAGTGCCTTTTACATGATACTAATGTAAACTTCCTGTTTATCAAGATAAAATTCATATATAAAATTTATAATTTTAACCAGTTTAAAGTGTACAGTTTAGTGGCTTTTGTTATATTCACAGTGTTGTGCAATCATCAGCACTATCTAATTCCAGAGCACTTCTAACACCCCAAAATGAAAACTTGTACCTTCCAATTCCTCCCACTTCCCATCCCCTGGCAATTGCTATCTACTCTGTCTCTATGGATTAGCCTATTCTGGATATTTCATAAAAGTGGAGTGTGTATTTGACTTTTTGTGTCTGGCTTTTTTCACTTAGCTTCATGTTGTGGCATGTGTCAGTACTTCATCCCTTTTTATGGCTAAATAATTATTAGGATAGATCACTGAAGGGAAGGCCATGGCCTTACCTTACATTTTCAATATATTTTCTGAACTTGGTTTTTCTAACAAGTGTAAGCAATACCTTTGTCCTCCTCTTGAATAAGATAGGCACTATAGAATTCTTTCACTTCTCTCCAAACTACCTCCTCTCATATCCCAACTTTCTTATAAATTGCTCAAACTTCATGAACGTGGGGGTTTTATCAGAATATTTGACCAATTTCTGTTATCACCTTTGCTTCTTGCATACCCCTTTTTTTCTGAGCTCATCCTTTAAGATAGTCTTTCACCGAGGGCCTTTAGGTGGTAAACTGCTTTAGGCTCTGTGTTCTGAAAATGTCTTTATTTATTTTTTTCTAATCAATTTAGAAGTTTATAAATGTCTTTATTTCACCCCTGCTCTTAAATGATAGTTTAGTTGACTATGAAATTAAACATTTACTCAGGGCTTTGAAGATATTATCCTGTTGTCTTCTGGCAATGATCGTTGCTCCTGTTAGGTTCATTGTTGTTCCTTTGAAAGTCCTGTGTCTTTTCTTTCCAGGAGATTTGAGGATTTCTTTCTCTGTGATGGCTGGCTCTCTTGCTCTGATGTGTCTCAGTAAGAGTTTATTTGTCTTACTACAGACTCAGTCTGTTTTTTCAGTCCGAGGACTCGTGTTTGCCTTCTATGCTGGAAAATTCCTAGTCATGGTGTTTACAATATTGCCTCCTTCTTATTGTCTCCTTCTGTTAAGGTATGTTGGACACTTGTCCTCCATGCATTCTACCCTCCATGTCTCTTAACTTTTCCTTCATATTTTCTCTGCACTGTGTACTAGCTGCTTTCCTTAACCTGTCTTCCAATTCACTAGTTCTTTCCTTGGCTGTATTTATTCTACTGTGTAACCCATTTCTTAGATACTGTGTTTCAACTTCTACATCTTTTATTCCTACAATTTTGTTTTGTTTTGTTTTGTTTTAATCTTCATAGTCTTTTTTTAAAGGCTTTTGCTTTTTATTTTCTTATTTTTCTACACATCTTAAACCAAGCTTATCCAACCTGTGGCCCACGGGCCGCATGTAGCCCAGGATAGCTTTGAATTTTACACAAATTCATAAACTTTCTTAAAACATTATGAGATTTTTGTTTGCGATTTTTTTTTCTCATCAGCTATTGTTAACGTTAGTGTATTTTATGTGTGGCCCAAGACAATTATCCCACATGGCCCAGGGAAACCAATAGTTTGGACACCCCTGTAAACAGACTTATTTCAAGTTTCTTTTTCTTTTTTCTTTTTTTCGAGATGGAGTTTCACTCTGTTTGTTGCTCAGGCTGGAGTGCAGTCAGTGGCATGATCTTGGCTTGGCTCGCTTGGCTCACTACAACCTCCACCTCCTGGGTTCAAGCAATTCTCCTGCCTCTGCCACCCGAGTAGCTGGGGACTACAGGCATGCACCACCACGCTTGGTTAATTTTTTTTTTTCTTTTTTTTGGTAGAGACAGGGTTTCACCATGTTGCCCAGGTTGGTCTTGAACTCCTGATCTCTGGCGATCCGCCCGCCTTGGCCTCCCAAAGTTCTGGGATTACAGGTGTGAGCCACCATGCCGGTTCTCAAGTTTCTTTTGACTTCACTATTATTTTTAGTTCCCTGAGTATGGATTCGCCGACTTGTTTTGTCTGTGGGCAGGTGGGCTTTTTCATCTCATCACTGCACTGCTTCCAGCTGTGGTCCCTTCCCAGGCACCCGCCTTGCTGCGCTCTGCGTTGTCGATGCATCAGTGAGATCGCTCCTCACTTTGTCTTGGCTGTGGCCTTTGAACTTCACCAGCTCCAGACTGGTTTTGACAGTAATTCCTCAGCTCAGTGTTTCTGCACTATTGTGGAAGGCAGATTCCGGCCCCACCTTCATGCGGAGGTCACGCTAAGGGTTCTAGTTTGTCACAAGTGATCCTCCCCCTCCCCGCCTGTTCAAGTCCTGGTGGTTCCTTTCTTGTACCCCTGTGGGCAGACATTTTCCAGTCTCTATCCAGCAATGAGATGGCACTCGCTTTCTGGAATGGTACCCAGTTTCCTGCTTTGAGACAGCACTGTCTTTTTCCCTGAACAGTACCCCAGCTCCAAACGCGTATGTCTCGTTGTTACCTTCCATGGGCCACTAACTTCCATAAGCCAGACAGTTCCACTCCTGCTCATGCCTGTCTCTGAATTTTTCTTTCTTGCTTTGAAAGTGTTTATTTAACAAATTGAAATCTATCATCTCTACGTGTTTGAAGGGAGGTGTGAACTTCCTGTATCAGCTCAGTCTGCATTTTAACTGGAAGTCCTTGAATTCTACAATTTTAGGGGTCCAAGACCCTGTGATGCCTGGACTCCCTGATTCTGTGTTTTAATAACTCTTATTATCCCAAAATGAGGAGTCTTGGATTTTCCTTTTGGATGCTGGCTCCCAGGCAGGTGAAGATCACTTCTAAGGTGTGAAAAAGGTGCTTCTCTGCCTCCTCATTCAATATCCTCCCTCGGTTTCCTATCTTCCCCCCCACTCCAACCCAACAGTTTGGCCCTAAAACAGTTTTTATTTTTTAGTGATAGGATCTTGCTCTGTTGCCCAGGCTGGAGTGCAGTGGCATGGTCTCAGCTCACTGCAACCTTCACCTCCCAGGCTCAGCTGATCCTCCCACCTCAGCCTCCCTAGTAGCTGGGACCACAGACATGCATCACCACACCTGGCTAATAATTGTATTTTTTGTAGAGAGGTTGTCTGGCTATGTTTGCCCAGGTTGGTCTTGAACTCCTAGACTCAAACAATCCTCCTGCCTCCGCCTCCCAAAGTGCTGGGATTACAAGCATAAACCACCACAACCAACGTAAAACATTTTAATCATAATCTACTTTCCCTTAGGGGATCCCTAAAAGACCAACCCCCCGCACCCCAAATGGTCAGATAGAACTATGCACTAATAGTGGGAATTCAGATACTGTGATGGGTAGAAGGAGAGATGTTTCTAGGCTGGGGAGACAATTGTGTGCCTGTGAGATTGCACGATGTTAGAGTAAGAAGTCCATCCTCCCCTCCCAGCAGCTCCAGCACCCCCACCTCCATCTCTGGATTTCCCAGCCTGAGTGTGAAGCTGTTTCCCTCAGGGCCACATACTCCTGACTGGCAGCTTAGAGCTCGGCATTTCCAACTGCTCAGCCCTCACTTCCTGAGCCCGTTCTAACTCCACTCCTTCTCTCCTTCCCCACTGGCACCATCCTTGTCCAGAACACCACTGTCTTTTCTTTGGACCACTACATGACCCCTAACAGATCTCCTCCCAGCCTCCACTCCCGCTCCTGCAGCCCAGTCTTCATGTGGCAGTCGGAAGATGCTTCTAGATCCACACATTGGTTATGTCACCTTCTCTGCCTGGCTTCAGTCCTTCAGGGGCTCCCTGCTGCTCCTGGGATGAAGTTCACATTTCTTACTGTGGTCTAGAGGGCGCCGCAGGACTGGCCCCCAGCCACCACCAGCCGCCGAGTTTGCTTCCAGATCCCCCCACCACAGGGCTTTGCACGTGCTGTTTCCTCTGCCAGGGACTCTTCCCTGGGCCTCTTCGTCCTTGTCCTTTCAATTTCAGCTCTGGATGCTTCCCCACCCCTCACAGGACGAGGGCCACCTGTCCCAGGCTCTCACTTCCCGAGTGCCTCACCTCTGTAACACTTACTGCAGTGCATAATTTTATCTTATTTATGTTGGCGATTAGCAATGTAGTAGAGTGGTTAAGAGTCCTGACTTTGGGGCTGGGCATGATGGCTCACGCCTGTAATCCCAGCACTTTGGGAAGCTGAGGTGGGTGGATCATGTGAGGTCAGGAGTTCGAAACCAGCCTGATCAACACGGAGAAACCTCGTCTGTACTAAAAAAGAAAATATAAAATTAGCTGGGCATGGTGGCACATGCCTGCAGTTCCAGCTATTCAGGAGGATGAGGCAGGAGAATCACTTGAACCTGTGAGGCGGAGGTTGCGGTAAGCCAAGATTGTGCCATTGCATTCCAGCCTGGGCAACAAGAGCAAAACTTTGTCTCAAAAAAAAAAAAAAAAAGAGTCTTGACTTTGGAACTAGACTCTGGGTTCAAATCTTTTTTATATCTCTAAGGAGACAAACAGTTTCCTCATCTGTAAAGTGGAAAAAAGTGGTATTTACTTGCATCATTGTACTGTAGAGAATAAAATGAGTTATAGGTGTAAAGTGCTAAGAACTGACTTAGCCCTGGGTCGGCACGAATGATTACGTGCCAGTGATTATTGTTCTCATTGTTAGTGTGATTGGTTCATGACTTCCCACTCCACCGCTGTTGGACCCAGCCCCAATGGGCAGGGACCATGTCTGTCCTGTTCACCATTGTCCCTTTTGTGGCTGGCACATAGTAGTTGTCAGTGGATGCTGACTGCCTGATGGGGCAAGCCAACAAGCATCTGAAAGAAAGGCCGTGTTCCTTGCAGGCATCCATCATGACGGGCACCGTGCAGAGGGTGGCCCTCGAGGGCAGGCCTGGCCACCGGCCTTGGCAGAGGGGCCGGGAGGTACGAGCCTCTCCTGCAGAAATGGAGGAGCTGTTGCTGCCTACACCCTTGGAGATGCACAAGGTAGGCACAGGGGGTGAGCACAGGAGACCTGGACCTGTGTTCTGGTGCCATGAGCACTGTCGTGGGACTCCAGAGGGGCCCTGCCCCTCTCAGGGCTTTAGTCTCCTCCACCACAAAACTGGGTTGAGTTTTCCAAAATGCTCATCATTTGGGTGACATGCACACTCACACACATGCACACCTGTGATTCACACTGGGCTATTATTTTTCTTTAAGTAGATGTGCTTTTTTTCCCCCCACTTAAGTTATTTTATCTATGTATTTATTTTTTTGAGACAGGGTCTCGTTCTGCTGCCCAGGCTGGAGTGCAGTTGCTCGATCATGGCTCACTGCGGCCCTGACCTCCTGGGTTCAAGCGATTCTCCCACCTCAGCCCCACAAGAAGCTGGGACCACAGGCATGCACCACTACACCTGGCTAATTTTTGTATTTTTTTAGAGACAGGGTTTCAACAGGTTGCCCAGGCTGGTCTCAAACTCCTGGGTTCAAATGATCTGCCCACCTCAGCCTCTCAAAGTGCTGAGATTACATGTGTGAGCCACTGTGCCTGGCCTTAAGTTATTTTATATCTCATACACACATATTTACATATAACATATAAACCCTTCTACGTGTGTGTGTGACGTCTATGTATCTCACACCTTTACATCCCTACCTTCAATGAGAAGCCAGTGTCTTGTGCCATCTATAGGTCATTATATAAAAAGATACGAGCTGGTCGCGGTGGCTCATGCCTGTAATCCCAGCACTTTGGGAGGCTGAGGTGGGTGGATCACGAGGTCAAGAGATCAAAACTATCCTGGCCAACATGGTGAAACCCTGCCTCTACTAAAAATACAAAAATTAGCTGGGCATGGTGGCACACGTCTGTAGTCCCAGCTATTCGGGAGGCTGAGGCAGAAGAATTGCTTGAACCCAGTAGGCGGAGGTTGCAGTGAGCTGAGATCACGCCGTTGCACTCCAGCCTGGGTGACAGAGCAAGACTCCATCTCAAAAACAAAAACGAAAACAAAAACAACAACAACAAAAAAGATATGGAGGAGGACAACCCCTAGCCAATGGCCCTCAGAAGCTCTGAGCAGCTCTTTGGTAAATGGGAATGAGTGACGGTCAGGGGAGGTAACAGTGCCCTGGCCAGGCCTCCTCCCTGATAGAGCCAGAGGACAGAGAAAGGGCTGAAAGGAAGTCACTCCTAAGGGCTCCGTCGTACTTGAGTGTTGTGGCCTGGAGCATCTGCTGAGGGAGGTTGGCAGGGAGCGGGGTGGCGGGGGTGGCTGAAGGCCCAGGGGCAAGAGGCTGGGGTGCTGCAGCCTGGGGGGTGTGGCTGGCCAGAGGCGCTGAATGCCAGACCAAAGGACCTGGGCTACTGTGAGAGGCTGGGGGCAAAGGTCAGAGTTCCAGGAACCTCCTCCTCCTTCTGCTTCCAGGTGACCCTGCACAAGGACCCCATGCGGCATGACTTTGGTTTCAGCGTCTCAGATGGCCTCCTGGAAAAAGGTGTCTATGTCCACACTGTGCGCCCTGATGGGCCAGCCCACCGTGGAGGCCTCCAGCCCTTCGACAGGGTCCTGCAGGTAATGCTGGGGCAGGGGCTCCATAGTGGGGGTGGCATTGTTTCCTAGCCTGAGGGTGGGGAAAGAGCCTGCATCTATCGCCTGTGAAGAGGGCAGGACAATGCAAGTCTGAGTCAGGTTAGCCAAAGTTGCATTGCGGGCCCCAGCACCCTCAGCCTCAGAGGCTGAGCACACACAGACCTTTCTTCTTACACCCCATGCCCATTGTGGGCTGGTGGGGGCCTTCTTGTCCCGGGCTGATGGAGCATCCGCCCATCTTGGAATTGACCCTCTGAGACACGTGGCCTCCTCAGACTCCACAGCAGAGGAGACAGACTGGAAAGTCACACGTGGATTTTTTCCGCCTTCACCCAGAAGCAACACTCATCACCTTGCTTCACAGCCGATGGACCAAACCCCTCATGTGACCTTCCTAACTAACTGTGAGGGAGCCTGGGAAGCGTGGGACATCGTGTACTGGGCACTCCGTGCCGCCCCTTCTCATGCCCTGGCTATTTTTGCTCCCTCAGTGTGTTTTTTGCCATATTTATATGAAATTTACTCAATTCATGTTTTCTCTAAATTGATGGCACTTTTTCAATTTACATTTGACTTTGAAAGGAAACTTTTTGTCTCCATTAGGAGTGAAAATCTTGCACCCCTTGCTTTGAAATAGAAAGTGGGTGTAAAATGCAAATAAAATAGAAAGAAGACAATGTCACATCACACAGTTCTAGGCAGGAGGCTCTCTGAGTGTGTGGTCTGCTCTTTCATGTGAGAAAGGGAGAAAAGCAAGAGTTAGAGGGGTATGAAAGGTATACCTGCCCCTTCCTAGAACTTTCTCTTTGATGAAACCTAACAGAAGGACTGAGAGAGAGTTAGAGGAAGAATGTTCCTCTGTGTGTGGTGCTGGTGATGTCAGGGCTTGCGTCAAGGCTGGGGCAGGACCCATCTTTAGGACATCACATGCCTCTTGCTCCCTTCAGCGCAGCAGGGCTGACATCTCGGTTCTGTTCCCTTGCTTGTGCCCCATGCAGGTCAACCACGTCCGTACACGGGACTTCGACTGCTGCCTGGCGGTGCCACTCCTGGCCGAGGCGGGTGATGTCTTGGAGCTGATCATCAGCCGCAAGCCGCACACGGCACACAGCAGCCGGGCCCCCCGATCGCCAGGCCCCAGCAGTCCCCGGATGCTCTGAAGTCAGCATGTGGGCCGAACTCCTAAGGGGCCACCCAGGCAGATCCTGGCTCCCAGACACGTAGCTGGGCTGGAGAAGCGGCCACCCACTCATTCATCTGTTGGTCTGGCAGACTCTGAGCCTGGGATGATGCTTGGTCTCTGTTCCCCAGGTCTGTGGTGACTGGGGTGCCAGGCAGGGAGGTCCTGCCCTAGTTGGAGTGACAGCTGGGGTCTCTCGCCAAGTTGGGTCTCCAAGATGCCCAGAGGAGCCTCCCTTAAGAAGGGTTGGCACAGGCTGCTCAGCCGAGAGGAGAGAGGCCTGGGGGCTGTCCCAGGTCTCTGTGGGGCCTCCTTGGAGAGGTCGAAGATGTAGGGAGCACTTCCTCCCAGCAAAGCCATGGAGCTGGAATGAGCTGCAAGGAGGAGTGAGTTCTCGGTCACAGGAGGTGAGCAGGCAGGAGCTGGATACCCCAGCGCAGTCATGCATTGGGGTATGAGGCATTCCCATGATGCGTGCACACGCGCTTGGGGGTTGGCTTCCTGATGGGGAGCCACTTCATCTAGAGACTCGGCCACCAGGAAGGATGCTGCTTCGGATGGGAGCCCAGCTCCTTCGCTTCTCCAGAATAGGGGTTTGGGGCTTGCTAGTCCTGAGATTCTGAGATTCCCAGAATCTGGTCCCCACTTATGAGACTCTTAAGTTGGGGCGTCTGGGATCCCAGGAAGTGCTGGCCCTTTGATTCTGAAAGTGGGTGATTCTTTGATTTCAGCATCTCAGTCTGAAGCTTCTGGGACTTGAGACTGTGGTTCTGGGCCCATTGGGCAGGCTCTATGGGCCTTGGGCTCTCAGCCCTCCTGCTTCTTCTGTAGGCCGTGTGGCCACTGACCCATCTGCACGTCCGCTCAGCCCAAGCCCCTCCATGTGGGAGGGGTCATTTTGGGGCAAAAGACCCTGGAGCTTCCATTCACCTGCCATCCAGTGAAAATTGAAAAGCGATGGACGCAGGACCTGTGAGGCGGTAGCGCTCCTCTTTACAGCCAGATCAGTGGAGGAAGAGGAGAAAGAGGGAGGGAGATGGGAGAGAAATGGGCCAGAGAAAAAGATGGGACACTCTTGCCCAGTGGAGGGTGTCCAAAGTGCTTATTCAAAGAAGTCTATTCCCACTTGAAATCTGGAAGCACCAGCATCCCTTAAAATCATTGTCCTCAGTGTCCACAAATCAGAGACCCTCTTCATTTTGAGAAGGGTGTGGGCCTCCCCTGGTGGTCTAGTGAGTGGTGCCTGGGATGGAGTGGGCGGGCAGGTGTAGCCAGGGCTGGGGATGTGCTTTGCCTGGCCCAGTTCTCACAGGGGTCTCAGGAAAACGGGGCACCCACTCCCACCTCCATCTGTCTCCAACCTGGGGTCCCTGGAGGCCAGAAAAGTGCTCTTCCATTTGAGGGAACAGATGAGGAGTCAAGAGGTCTGTTCTTTTCACCCTGGGTCTGTTACCTGTTTGCTGTGTGACCCTGTCTGGGTTGGACCCCCAGCCCCTCTGGACGATCACGGGTGGACAGTCTGAGCAGACACAGGCCTCCTGGTCAGGGCCGGAACCATCTCTGCCGACCCACCAAGGCCCCCTTGGGGACCTGCCCACGCTGTCTCCTGGAGGCCTGCCTCCCTTACCCCTCCCCTCCACTTCGCTGGGCTCTGCCCCTTGGTGCCCTCCCTGAGGGCCCTGCATGCTTGTGCCTGGGGTGCTCAGCGCCTCTGCTATCTTGGATTCCCGTGTACTCAGCCCAGAGTGAAAGGGCACTGTCTACCTGTCACAGGGCACCAAGTGAAAGCCAAGAGCCCTCACTTTTGAGGGTGAGGGACAGCACAGCAGAGGTGTGGCTTCTGGATGCAAGCAGCCATAGCTGTGTGACCTTGGACAGGTGGCTCAGCCTCTCTGGACCTCTGCTAAGCAACAGGGCTGGACAGGACACACTCTCAGGGCCTCTCGGCTTGGGAAAACTGCATTGACTCCAGGACTCCAGGCGAGGGAAGATGCACCCGACTCTAACTAATACCCCCCTCCCTCCTCGGGCTGAGGCCTCTGCCATTCTCCCAAAAGTATGCAATCAGGCCCGCGGTGGGCCTCCCAGCCATGCCGGCCTCCTCATATGCAATATTTCTTCTGGCTTCTCATGGGGATGGTTCATCCCCGACTTGAAATTTCCTGACACCTTTCCCCAGTGAGCGCCCTGCCTGCCTATGCATTTTGGGAACAGCCCCTGTGACATGTCCCCTTCCACCTGCCCTCTCCCCCAAAGCTGTATTTTTCTCTGGCTGAGATTAGAACACATTCCTTGTAAAGTATTTTTCTACATCGGGTTTTCTTAGGGCTCTCGGGAAGCACAAGGGGCTGTATTGCAAAGGCCGCTTATGGTCTGTTTGGGGCCCTCGTCTAAGTCTTTGTCCCACCAGGGGTTGCAGTGGCTTGGGGGTAGGTGCCATGGGGATGATTTTTTAAAATAAAATTATTTAAATCCACCTAGAGTAGAAGTTTGCTTTTTAAAAAAATCATGGATTGGCAAGAGTCAGCTTCTGTATGGGTCTGGTGACATCTCACCTGCTTTTGATGATTCATTAATTCAAAAAGTTTGCCATTTGCTTCCATCATCCAGCCCCTGGGCAACATGAATCAGACAGATTTAGGTCATGTCTGCACATTCTGGTGGCAGGCAGACAATCAACAAGTAAGCAAATAAATAATTATTTCAAAAGGCATCAAGTGCAACAAAGAAAACAAGGGAGTAACGGGATAGAGGGACCAGGGTGAGGGGCTTTAGCTCACAATATTAGGAGGGGTTTCTCTCAAGAGGCGACATTTGCAATGAGACCTGAAGACAGGAGCCAGCCTCCATGGAGACCTGGAGGAAGAGTGTCTCAGGCAGCGGGCACAGCTAGTGCAAAGGCCCTGAGATAGGAACGAGTTTGACGGTCTCAAGGAAGAGAAAGAAGGCCTGGGAGGGGAATGGGGCTGGAGACTAGGTTGGAGGTAGCAGGAATCAGTCGTGAAGGCTTGGGTAGGGGGAGCAAATTTGATTCTCTGCGCAGCAGAAAGCCAGAGGCAGGCAGTGGTGCCTGCATATGGAGTCTCTTTAGCCCAGGTTGGGAAGGTAGTGGCAGGAGGGCAGCCTCAGGTCTGGCTGCTGCCCTGGAGTGTCCAGAGAGTGTCTAGGGCAGGTGAGCTACAGGGTCTGGGACCCAGAGGCCAGGGCCAGGCCCCACTGGGGAGGCCACAGTTCTGTGAGCAGAGGAAGAGCTTCTTTCCAGGAAGCGAGTACTCTGTCTTGGGAGTGGTGTAGGCAGGGGGAAGGCCAAGGGAGGCAGCAGGCCTTGCTCTAAGCGCTTTGCAAGAGCTTGCTGGATCCTCCCAATAGCCTTTGGAGGTGGGCTCTATTCCTGTCCCATCATTACAGATGAGGAAACAGGCACAGAGAGGTTACGTAATTTGCCCAAGTCCACACAGGTAGTAAGGGATGGAACCAGGGCTTGAACACAAGCCACATGGCCCAGTACACATAGAGAGAGGCAGGCAGGTAGGCATAGGCTGTCAGAAAGAGCCAGAAAATGGGGGTAGGGTGGTCTTCTATTCTAACATTGTCTATAAATGAGTTACTGAGAATTTTGTCTGGTTAGTTGGGCAAAGGGCTCAACTGACTCCCGAGTTTGTCCATCCCAAAGGGTGGGGGGCGCTGTTGGCAGGAAGGCTGCCCCAAACATGGACCTGTTGTGACCCCAGAGAGCCCCTAACTGGGTATTAATGAGCGCCTGCACCTGACGGTGGGGGAGTGGGAGAAGGGCAATCAGGTTTGCTCCCCCTCTACCCTTTCCCCCACTCCGCCACCCGCTTTCTGCCCTTCTGGCAGGTCAGCCCAAGGCTAAAGAGGAGGGACTGAAAGCCGCAGCAGGTGAGCACCTAAGGCCAAGAGCATCACCTCCAATCATCCTGGTGGCCTTGATGGGGACAATGGTTTATTCCAGATGGGGAAACTGAGGCTCAGGTGACTGCTGCCAGATCTCCCAGCTGTACAGGGCTGGGCATGTAGCAGGTAGAATCAGTAGAGCCAGTAGAGCCAAGAGCTCATGGGCCCGGGTGCGAATCCAGGTTCTTTCATGGACTTGCTGTGTACCCCTGAGTGAGCAAGCTGCTTCCTCTGTGAGCCTCCATGTGGGAACCTCTAACCTGGGAAAATACCTACCTTTGAGGAGCGTCCTGGGATTGGACGGGAAGCCCTTTATAAAATGTAAAGCGTTTGGCAAACGTTGAGGGGGAAATACCTCACCAGAACACAACCCACACATGTTGGATGTTAAAAAGGAAATGTTTATTTTCATGTTATAAGGTGATTACAAACTCCTCTAAAAAAAGCAAAGATGAATTTAAAATATTGATATACATATTTATCTAAAAAGCAAAAGAGAAAAAAACCCCTGCAAAATACAGGGAATCATATCATAAAACATTTATACACAAAAGCTTGTATACTGCAAGACTGAACTACACACCAAGGATCTTGTTCAAATACAAATGTTCCTCCTCAGAAAAGTCTCTTGTTGGTTGATTTTTTTTTTATAAAAGTTTAAAATATCTTAAAAATATTTTGAAGTTTTAAAAAAATGTCCTGATGAGCCAGACATATTTCTGGAAGGAGGCAAGACCCACATTCTCAGCTTTCTCTTGTGCTAAATACAGAGTCACAGTTGCTAGGGATTGGGAGATTAATTGGGTAAAAAAAAAAAATGAAGCCAACATCTCAATTTGAAGTCAAATATATAACAGGATGCTCCATCCCTCGGAGAACACGCCAGAACATGTCTGTAGTGACACCCACAAGAGAACAATGCAAAAATGCTTCCTATTACAACAATATATATTCTGAGGATCAGGGAGAGAAGGAAAGGGGGAGGGCTGCCCCCTGCTTTCTGGACTGCCCACCTCTACAAGTTTGGCTCTCTGGGTTTGTTTTGTTTAGTCTTGTGGTTTTGTACTTCGATTTTTGCACACAGTGGTATTTACCGTGTCCCAGGCAGCCTGGCCTGGGACCACATGGGTCTGAGGGAGGGATGGGACCTCAGGCCACCTTGAAGGATTTTCTCTTGGGTCCTTTCCTGGCTTGTGTCTGAATCTTGGGTGGGGTGGGCTGCGGGGAGCAGTTAGGTGCCTCTGCCTTTAGACTGGCTACCCAGAGCATTTCCCCAGGGAGAGGGGCTGTGCTGGGAGATGCTGGCTGGGTGGGGGACCAGTGTGGCGGTACCCGGGTGATACAAGAGTGCCCTGAAGTGGGCTGGAGGGGCCATGCTGTGCTCTCCCCTTGTGTTTCCCCACTGTCTTTGGGGGTATGCTGGGGATCCAGGGGGCAGTGAAGGAGCTGCACATGGCCCAGGGGTTATGCTGTCCTGGAAGGAGAGCATCCAAGGCCACTTCCTGCTGCCTGGAAACTCCCCGCAGAGCCTCGGGGTCAGTCTGGAGCCAGGGCGACTTCATCTAAATCCTGCCTAAGGATCTGGCACACCTCTGGCTTCTCTGCACCTCAGTTCCCTCTTTCACAAACAGGGATCTCAATTCCTAGCTCACCAAGGGCTGCTGGGAGGAAGGAGGGCCCCGTGCAGGGCTGGGGTGTGCAGGTGAGGCTGGAGTCACCCAGCTCACGGAGCCACCGCATGGGTCCAGGAATTCTGTGAGGATGGTGGGAGTGTGGCTGCTGCTGCTCCCCTCATCCCTGAACATGGAGGGGAGCGCATTTCCTTTTCCATAAAGGCTTGTCTTTGGTTGTCAGGAAGACCTTGAGGATGTTGCTGGATGTAGCCCTGGTTAGACACTCACCATTCCCTGCACCTACCTCGGAGAACCTGCAGCTAGAGCTGTTTCAAGAAAATCCATTCCTGGCTCACAGTGCCTCCCTGAGCCTCAGTTACCTCATTTACAACAAGGGCGTTGGGTTAGGGGACCCTGGAGGCCCTTCTCTCCCTGACCGTCAGGAAATCTCTGTGGCCCTAGCATGGCCCATCTCAACGCAGTGTCTCCCACTTCTTCATCTTAAAAAATTGATTTAAACAACCCCCTCGCTTCCTTTCCAGATCTGGCTGGCTGGGCTATGTGCGGGCATCAGCATTTCTGACCCATCCCAAGCAGAAAGCAGGTGAAGGACTTTGCCCATTCTCTATAGACAGGTGGACCAGAGTCATGAGCTCTCATGGAAAGTTTCGTTTATACGGAGACATGAAGGTTGAGCATTATTACACAGGTACTCGCAGAGCTATGCTCTGCACACAGAGCCAGGGCTGGCTGGGCGAGAGGGCTCTGATTGGAGACAGGTGCCTTGGGGAGAGTTGAGGAACGACTTCCTTCCAGGCGGGGCCTGGGGACTTGGTCTGCCTGTGTCTTTGGTCTAGAATTTGGTCTGAGAATCTTATAAGAAGAGGCCTTCCTCAGGCCATGTCCAGAATGTTGCAATTTGCCTACCAACCCAAAATACTGTGGCCTTTCACCCAGGGAGCCCCCGCTGGGGAGATGGAAACTGAAATGACCACAAATGCCCAGGTAGCCACTGCGTGCCAAGTCCCCTCTTCCCCACGTGCCACCTGCCCTCAATCATTGACAGTGGTTAGTTTACTAAAGTTATATAAGACAAAGGAAAACAGGTCACAATGCTACTCCATAAAATCAGGGAAAAAACAGTAAAATCAAATCAGACACAAACGGCAACCATAAATACATAGAAAAACAGGAACAAGATAGAATCGTTGAGAGTTTGGAATAGGACTGGGTGTTGTTTGGCAGAGTAGATAGCTTTGGAAACAGTGAAATATGTATGCCTGCCAAAGATGGGGTTCAGAATTGCCCCTTGGGAGGGGGACACCAAAGGCATACTCCTCCTCCCAAATTTAAGAAGGGGGTTTCCAGGGTTCCAAGAGCCCCTGCTGTGAAAATTCTGCGGTCTGCACCCCTCGAGGCAGTGACTGCCTTTGTGCGTGGTCACGTTTCGGTTTCATTTAGACTGAGCTTGGAAGTGACTGTTCAAATGGCACAGTTTAGGTCCAAATAGGGGCTGGGTGGGGGTGTGTCTGCCCTGGGGATTTGAAAGGTATAGTACCTTCTCTCCTGGTTCAGAGACAACCTCTGCTCCACATAAGGCCCTTGATCAAGCCAGTTCTGAGGGGCCAGGACCCTGACAATCCCAACCTTCTAGAAAACTCTCCTAGGCCTTCTCTTTTGGGTCCGCAGGTGGTAAATGTCTGTAAACCCAGCTATTGCAGGGGTTTTGAAGTGAAGAGCTTTGTTATATCCTAGGTCAGCACCACGGGCTGCCCTTGTTCTGAACTGGGAGCACTTCCCCCAGTGGAGGATACAGACTCAAAAGCTGTTCTTGGTGTGCCTTGCTAGGTGCCAGGGCAGCCCAGGGTGGCATCTTTAATGAGGGCTTGGCAGGAGTCTCCCAGGCTGAGAGTGGGGAGTGGGGAGATGAGGAAAGAAAGCACCCCTCCCCGACACCGGGCCCATCTGCATGCCTGGGGCCTATATCCTTTGGTCCACTCACCTCCCCACCACTCCCCTAGTCCCTCAACAGGTATGTCATGCTTCATTCCTGCAGGCAACTTTAAGAGATGCTGAGATGTTGCTTGGGGAATGACCAGAACCTGCTATGACCCCATTCAAATGCAACAGACTCATCTGAGCCCTGAGACCCCAGCTCCTGCCGGGAGAGCCTCTGCTCCTTCTCTGCCTGGAATGCCCCAGGAAGGACTGTGGCCTCCTGTGCCTCTGCCACCTCTTGCGAGGCTGAGTTGTGAGCCTCACTCCTGCCAGCCTTCTTGGATCTCTAGCAGCTCCCTCTCTGGCCAGTGGTTCTGACGGTCTACTGACTATCCACTCACCATCTCAAAATTAAAAGTGGGATTTTGCTTCTGGTACAAGTTTCTACTGCTCTTAGAATCAGACTTCTGCTATAGGGCCTCCTCATTCAGCTTCAGCCAGTCTCCTTTATGTGAAGGGTTGGTTCATTCCTTTGGCATCTCTCTTCTTCACTAAGCCAAGTTTAATGAGGTATCTCCTCACAGCCCTCCTTTCTTCCCCCTGGGTCTGCCAGCTAATGGGTCCTCTCTCCTGCTATTTCTTCCATCTGAACCAGGATTTGGAAGGTATACCACCTTAAGATGGGTGTAGAGTCCCAGGAAAATTCCATCCTGCGTTTACTGGACAGAACTTTCTGCCAGCTACACAGCACCGAAGAATTGCTTTTGAAAATGAGATCTATTGCTGGCAAGAAGATCAATTCAAGTGGTAAAAGTATATGACAATCTCTAAGTGTATATATACTTATATGTAAAAAAAAAAATACAAAGAAAAATTTACCAAATTCCCATAAAATACATCTAATTCAGTATGAAAGCTCTGCCTCTCCACGGACATCTTCCCGTGGGTTTTCTTTTTGTACAAAATATCCCCCAAATCAAAACAAAACACACACACACGATACACACACACACACACACGCACGCACACATACCCACAATTACATTTTCTGTGACAATTACAAAAAAAAAAAAATCCTAGTGCAAATATAAAGCTCTGTAAACCTGGTCCTATGAGAATCTAATGTTAGTAAACAGCAGGAAAGCCGCCGGCCCCGTCGACCCGAGAGAGCTCACATCATGGTCTCCACAATGATGTGGGTCGGTTTCACGAGAGCGCCGTTCATGACGGTGCGAGAGTTGTAAGGTGTGGCTCCCTCGCGCTCCACAGCCCAGCGGTTGGGTTCCCTTGGGGTCAGCAGGTACTTGACTCTCTGGAGAAGGATGACAGGAGTGAGGGGGGAAACGTCAGGCGGCCTGGTCTCCCCTTCGCCAGGGCCATCTGCCTCCTCCTGAATTGGCTCATGTGCTGTTTGGTTTTTGGTAAACTCACACCCTCTCTGATCTCCTGTTTTTGTCCTTTTTGGAAATAATGGAATTGAACTAAGGCGCTCCTAAGGTGCCACTAGGCCCTGACTCAAGGCGGAATTCCTGTTGGTGGTTTCCTTCCTTGGCCAAACCCCTGCTTACGTTCCTACAGGGATGGGGGACTCAACCTTCATGTGCTTTTTTTCTTCTATGGAACTAAAATATGCCTCCCTGTGATTCTCTCCCTCTGATTTCTCTGCCTTGCAAAGCAGCAGTTGAGTTCCTCTCATTTGTATGCCCTGAGTTGGACAACTGTCTTCAGCCTCCATGGCTCCCACCTTCCCCAAGGAGAAACTCCAAACTCCTCAGCCTCCCATAAGCTACACTTCCTGCCTTCTTGCAGAGACAGGTCTTCCCTAGTTTCCTGAAGGCATCCAGTCCTCCCAGCAGGGTTTACATCTTAAGGGCTTGGAGAACCTTGCTCGCATTTGAGCTGCCCTTCCAAGAGATAGGAGCTGCATGGGAATTCTAGATCACTCCTGAGCAGGGTGAGTTTTGTCCTCACAGTTGGTTGAGTGTCCCTCTCCAAGGATACCCAGAAAATCCATGTCAGAACTGGGACTCAACCAGACTCCCACTCCCCAGTCCACCTCTTGCCAACTGTCAACTCAGAGACTTGAATAGGCCAGCAGTTGAAAGACAAACAAACAAAACAACAAGCCCTCTTTCTAGGCATTTATATTCAACTTAGGTATGTTACAAATTTTTAAAAGCTGCTTATTAAAAGCTACAGTATTTCATTTAAAAACCCAGTTTTCGGTAATCCCAGCACTTTGGGAAGCAGGAGGATCGCTCAAGGTCAGGATTTAAAGGCAGTCTGGGCAACACAGTGAGACCCTAACTCTTAAAAAAAAAAATTAAAAATTAGCCAGGCATGGTGGTACGTGCCTGTAGTCCAAGTTACTCGGGAGGCTGAGGAAAGAAGATTGCTTGAGCCCAGGAATTTGAGGCTGTGATTGAGCCACTGCACTCCAGCCTGGGCAAAGGAGCAAGACCCTGTCTCTATTTTTTTTGTTTTTAAATCCAGTTTTCCATCTTTTCTTGAAAAGCTGCAAGATCTGGCAACTCCAGGCCCAGGTCCCCTCCTTGTAGCACCTTCTCCAGTTTGCTCCCAGCCCTACCCCCATGACTTCCCTCACCTGAGCCACCTGCCAGCTCTCCCTCCATCACTTTGCCTCTCCACATCCATACAATGGGCTGTGCCTGGGAGGGCGGAGGAGAGTCAAACCCCCAGGCAGCCACTTGGGGCTCTGCCTACACAGGAGGCTCAGGCAGAGCTGGAACCATCCTGGGACAGAGATCTGGGTTTGCCAGAACCTGGCTCAGAGAGAAGCTCATGGCTGGGAGGACACCTTGATGACTTGTGCAGGTGGGAGCCCCTGAGGGGCACATAAAGAAAGACAGACAGATGGTGGCTCAACTGCCTTCACAGGGGCCTTTGGTGAAGTCAGACTGGCACAGGAGGACGGGGTACCAGTGTGGGGTGAAGCCTGCCCTCACCCACTCCCCCACCTCTTTCCCCCATGCCAACCCCACTCCACCCAAACTTCTAAATGTGGGCTGGACCAATATTTTAAAATGAGGCTTTGAAGGACACCAAGTTAGTGACCTGTTGGGTGTCCCCCTGAACCAATGGTATGTAATTGCTTTGGGCACTCACCAATCAGAGCAGAGACCCCTAGACCAATCAGAACCTTTAGAGACCCCTTGCTGTGCCCTAATGAACCCTTTGGCTTCTGGACAGTAAGGACATTCTGGAAACTCTGGTTGGGTTGGCCTGGAGTATTGTGGGGTCACCTGGAGGGCTCGGGACAGTCACTGTTCCCTGCCTGTCCCCAGGCCCAGTATTTCAGTCTGTTAACAGCTCATAGGGCCATTTAGCGTTCTGGCTAAAGACTGGTTGGGGTGCTGCCCTCTGTCCTCTGAAAAAATAGAATGGGTCAAAAGCTCCAGGATAACCCCAGGGGCCCCCCCAGTTTCAAGGATTTCCTCCTGCCCTGCCAGCTTCCTCAGTCTCCCCTCCCTCCCCTGCCACCAGCACCACCTCCAGGCCATTCCCCTGCCCAGGAGGAAACAGGACCCAGCCCAGCAGGGAGCCAGGGCCCCAGGACATCCTGGCTCCAGATTTTTAAAAGAGAATAACAATAAAAACAGCCCAGAACAAAACAGTGCACTCTTGGAGCCAGCCCAAGCTCAAAAGGTTAAGGGAGATTCTGAGAAAAGAATTTCTTGGAAAGAGTAGGGCCTTTGCCAGGGCCTGGGATCTCCAGGGCTGTTGGAGGAATTTCTGAGAGGAGGCTGAAGGTAGGTGGGGCCAGGGGAGGCCCCAGCAGGCACAGAGGCAGAGGTCTGGCTGCCGCCACAGATCCGGAGAAGACCCCAGCATGGGCTGGGATGATCCTAAATTTGGCTCCTCAATAAAAGAAGGCATCTGGGTGGGGCTCAGGCTTCCTCCCTAGGCTCCTGGCTTTGTCCCACCGCTTCAGGAACATGGCCCCACTGGTCCCAGGATAAAGCCCCAGCTCTTAGCTTGGCATCCAAAGCTACAGTCACCTCTCCAGCCTCACTGCCCACCCCAACTCTGCCAACACCAGGAACACCTTCCCTCTCACATTCTCCATCTGGCAAGTTCCTCCTCACCCCACAGCCCGGCTTCCAATGTCTCCATAAAGCCTTCTCCCATGTGAACTCTACTTGCTTCCCGTCTTCCCACAATGCACTCTGCTGCCCATAAGCTGAACCACTGGATGGGTGAGGGAACTATGGCTCAGAGAGGGCAGGTGACTTGCCTGAGATCACGCAGCAAACTGACAACAATCACCTTTGGCCTCGCGCCTCCCACCTCCCCTGGCCCTGGGCCCAAGCACTTACCACAAGGAACGGCCCCTCAGTCTGGCAGAGGCGGATGACGATGACCAAGGGAACGCAGAGCATGGAGGAAAGGGCCAGGCTCCAGCCCAGCCCAATGGCCCAGTTGGGGTACACGTATGTTTTGTTGTAGGTCAGGGGTACGTACTTGACGAGCGAGAAGATGAAACATCCCTGCGGAGAGATGGGGGCAGTCAGGAGAGGGGTCCTGGGCATCGGGGGGTGGGGGGCTTCTGGGACTAGGACTGGCCTCAACCTGAGGGAAGGGTCTCTCTCCTTGGGAAAGGACTGGCTCAGAACTCACACCCCTCTCTGCTGCCATAAGGATCCCCCCCGCCCCGGTAAAAACACAGTAAGTCGTTTCCCTGCTCAAAACCCTTCTGTGGCTCCCAGTGCCAGCAGATGCAGCCCAAACTCCTCGGTGCAGCCGGGAGTGTCAGCAGAAGCTGTACCCCTTCCTCCCTCATCTGCCTCAACTCTCCCTCCGTGTCCACACTCCAGCCACCCTGAAGAATTCCTTCTAGCTCCTCTGTCACTGAACTCTGGGTCTTGGCATGGGCTGTTTCCTCTGCCTGGCCCTCTTTCCCCCACATCTTCTCATCCTAACTTGGCTCCACTGGGTCTGCCTTACTTGCCCAGGCACCACCCATACCTCTCCTTCCAGAAAGCGAGTGGTTGTAACCATCTCTTGGGCACACGTGTTCTGCCAGACTGTGAGTCTGAGAGTAGGAATGTGTGTGTCTTGTCCTAGTTCTTTAACACCCAGTGCAGCTCCAGGTACATACAACAAGTGCACCATAAGTGCTAGCAGCGTAGATGAAAGCCTTTCTTCCCCCACTGCCACCCTCCATGTCTATCTCTGAGCCACCAGCAGCAGGGGCCTGGGCACCTGAGCCTTGCCCTGTTCGGTGTCCACAGCCCAGCCCTGGGTCCATGCTAATGGCTAGTGGCCATCAGCATGCATGAATGGTGGGGTGGGGTCAGCCCTGTGCCTCTAAAGGGAGCAAAGCCCACCTTTCCCTGTGAGAAGAGCACCTAAGGCTGGCTCGGGGCTCCCGGGGCTTCTGCTTCTAGTCAGAATGACAGCATCTCTGAGGAGGGCCCAGGGTGGCCTCTGATTGTTCCATAATGTGAAAATGGCCTAACTCTTCAACACCTAGTAACTGGGATTTGACAGGAAGATGCATCTTTCTAAAGCAGAGTCGGTGATGGGCAAGGGAGAGCACTAGCCTGCAGGCATCTTTTACTGGGCACCAACTGCACGTCTGGCCCTGCTGTTGTTCCCGTCCCTACGTGTAGGGCTGTGGCTCAGATGAGTGAGTCCCAAGAGATGCTGCCCTGGGCCCTCCCAAGCAGGAGGAGCTTGAGCCAGTGCCTGCCTGTTTCCCATTCCTCTCCATGAGGGTGACCTCATCTCACCACCTGGGAATGCAGCCTATCTCTGACGTATCCAGCTCCTCAGGGAGAGAGATAAGGAAACTGAGGGTCAGAGTGCTGAGAAGAGCTGCCCACAAGCAAACATTAAACCAGGATGAGAACACAGGTGGGCCAACTAAACTCATCTCCAAAGATAAACTCACCAATTGTTGTGGTTACTGGCTCTTACCATTACTTATTTTTGTGGGAGAAAGTCTGCACTTCAGAGGAAAAGGCTTCATATGCATATTAAATAACAGTAACAGTCTAAGGTCGTCAGCTGCCACCGGGGTCCTCCTTCACAGTCTCCTGGTTTTACAAGTGGGGAAACTGAGGCTCACAGAGGGAAGTGACTTGCTTGAGGTCATATCATGAGTTAACAGCAACATTGACTTAGTCTGGCCTGATAGCAGGTCACGGAGGGGAGGGCCTATTTGTCCTCAGCACCTGTCTCCTAAATCCAAGGAATATTGGGCCATTTGTGCTCCCCATAGTGGAGCCGTGAATGGCAGGATGGATGTGGTCTCCCTGGCAATAAGCTCCAATGATCACAAGTGATTGCAAACCCTGACGGCTTTGCCATGGAGGAATTCCACTCACTGGCACCCTGGAGTGCGACCATGAAGCAGACTGCATGGGCAGGTGCCAAGGCCAACTCCAACATGGTGGGCGAGAGCATCCTCGTGGGAAGAACAACGTGGCACACTGATACCCTTGGGCCTGGGTGAGTCCAAAGCTTCCCTATCCTTGGGAGAACCCAGGACTTCCCCTCTCTAAGCTACTACCCCCACCTCTCCATGGAAACACCCCATTTCCAATGTCTATGACCTCTCTACTAGATATCCCAAAGGCCCCTCTACTTCCCCAGTGACCCAAACAGAGCTCATGCGCTCTGGAAGGTTTGGGGAAAGAATGTGCTTTCAATTCTGGATCCCCTGGATTTCTCAACATGCTCCAGATACACCCTCTTCTTTTAGGATGCCTTGGCCCCGCACAGGCTGGCTCCTCTGCCAGAAATGCCCTTCTTGTTTTCTACTCCTGACAAATTCCTACTTATCCTTCAAAACTCAACTCAAGCTAACTCCCTGGAGCAGCCTTCCTCCCCTCTCCCAGGCAGCGCTGAAGCTGGGTTTATTATAAGCCCACGCTGAACAGATGCTGCATGAAAGATGGTTTAGCGGGTGAAAATGTCAAGCCCCAGGGAGAAGAGGCCACCAGCCAGAGCCACAGAAATGGAACTCACAACACAGAGAACTGGAGTGATCACAGCCCAGCTGTACTTCATCCAGGGCCCGGGCCGATAGCCAATCATGTCCTCAATACCATCATAAAGGTTATCACCTCCTGCAAGAGACAGAGGGGGACATTTTCTGACACAGCGTTCAAGGCCAGCAGCAGCTCAGGGGCCATGAGTGGGGTCTCTGGGACCTGATCCAGGCCTCTGCATCTCCACACCATGGATATACAAGTGTGGCAAAAACAGACATTTACATGAAATTCAAATATAACTCTGCATCTTGTATTTTTCTGGCAATCTGAGGCACACTCCAAACCCTAGGTGTGCAATCTTAGGCACAGCCCAAACTCAAACCCAAGGCCTCAAGGAGATAAAAAAGGAGTATTCCAGGTCCTGCACAACCAAGTTCTGAAACTGTGAAAACATCCAGTCACACCTCACACCTTTAGCACCAGGAGGATCTTCAGTGTGGCTACAGTGAGATTATTTGTGTAGTCTAGGTAGGGAGGGCCTACTGTTCAACTCAAATTGAATTTCTGTTAGTATTCTCTGCTTCTGAAGCTTCTAAGTAGAGAAGCCCAAAGGAGAGCCTTGAGAAAGGACATGAAAAAATCTGTACTCACCATATATCCAGGCAATAACAAAACATTCAAAGAATGCAACCCACAAAAGGCATACACCGCTAGCTGCATAGTAGTCAAAGAGCTGAAACACATACATGCCACCCTGTGAAGAAAAAAACCACAGAAGGTCGATTTCCTACCTGGTCTCCAATTTCTTTCATATACAAAGAGCTCTGGCATATCAATAAGATTAAAAAAACCCAAGAGAAAAATGGACAAAGACTCTGATGACCAGATAAATATACAAAAAGATGCTCAACTTCATGTTTGACAAATGTAATTAAAAACACACATACAGATAAATGAAAGCAAAATGATGGGTCCACGGGAGCCTGCTTCCCAAGGAGGTGCTTCACACCAAGTGCAGCTGACAGAGAAGACTCCAGGGTCACCCAGCTGCTCAGTGAGTGGCCCTAAAATCTGACTTCTGGGGTGGGGGTTCTTACAAATACCTCCAGAAAAACACTTTTACTTCTGGTAAGGAAAAATGGTGAAGTGAAGCCCTGAATTGGGTTTTCGGAGAACTGTTAAATGGGACCCGTTCCTGGGGAACAGGGGAGGTGGTGGGGGGGGGCATGCAGGAGAGAGCGTGCCCTGGCTTTGATGCTAGGCTTCCATTCTTAGTACAATCTTTATCTCATCTGGCTTGCCTCTTGCTAGACACGTCTTAGACGTTCCCGTTCCCTTCTGCTCTTTGCTTCCCTTGTCTGCATCTGAAATCGCCCCTCCTCCTGGCCCCTGCTCACCCTCTGAATAGTGTATGTGCCCCCTATCAACCCATACCCACCAGGACTCGGTCCTGTGGCAGGTGACCTGCAAGGTGGTGCACCTCTACGTGGTGCTGTGGTATTTCCTGGGAGGCCTGCGTTTACCCTTGAGAATGTCTCCACCCCACCCCCAGGCCTGAGAAGGGCACACAGTCAGGGGTGAACAGAGATGTTGTGAAATGGATTTCAGCTGAAGATCCTCTTCCCAGGACAGAGGGCAGCGGGTGGTCACAGTGTTGCCACAGCAACAGGCAAAATAATTGGGTAGTTTGGGTCAGCTGTGGGCTCCTGAGCCCCCTCGTGCTACCCCCAGTGTTGGTCCAAGCAGGACCCCTGAATTGGGTGGGGCTGGGAGATGAAGCCCCTACCTGGCCCTCTCACCCAGCTGCTGCCTCCACTATGGCCTTGAGGAGGGCACTGGAGCACCAAGCCTGAAACACAGCTGAGAGAGCCACCTACCTCCGTCACCATCGTCAGCCCCAGCAGGTAGCTGATGCTACACACGAAGGCGATGAAGATTTCCCGACGATAACCCTTCCTTAGGAAGGATGGGTAAAGATCAACCAAGGATGTGATCTGTCCTTCAACTTCAACAAACTGAGGAGGGGAAGAGAGAGAGCTGGTGAGCGGCTGACGCTCAGGCCACCCTTGCCTGCTGCTCGGAGGGAAGGGCCCAGGAACACACAATGCAGGAGCAGACGTGACCATCCTTGTGTCCAGAATTGGCCTGTGAGATCAAGTCCAAGTGTGGAAGCCTGGCCTCCCTGACTGTGCCTGGGGAGTCCCGCCTGCCACTCCTCGGAGCCAGACAACGCAACATTCGGTGGTCCACACCGAGCTGGCCAAATATTCCACACCTCTGCATCTTCTCTCAGGCTGTTCCTGCCACCAGAATGCCTTTCCCCATCCTCCAAAGCTGAGCTTGAGAACAACTGCGCCTCTGAAGCCAATGCTGACCCTCTGTCCTGGCACATTCAGGGGCATATATGTGTTGCCATGACAACCTCCCTCACTGATCTCCATCCTCGTGGAAGATAAGGGTGGTATCACATTCACTTTTGGGCCTCGAATGCCGAGCCCTGCCAGACACATTGGCTGCTCAGAAAATGTGATGAATGGGTGGACCTTAGCACCAACTTGCTTGGCAGGTCAGGGGAAGTCTGAGCCTCAGTTTCCCCATCAGTGGAATGGCAGGCAGTTCAGGTCAGATTCACACAGTGGCTTTCAATCCTTTGGGGATCACAAGCCCATGAGAGGACTTTGCATGTGCGCACACACGCTGTGTGTGCTGCCTGGGACTCCAGGAACCCCTTCCTGGGCTCCCAAAGGAAAAGAAGCTGGTTGGAAAAGGCCCCTCTGTAGGTAACATTTCAGGGGAATTCTCAGTCTTTCTAAACCTTTCCATCTCGTGCCTAACCATTTATCTTGGGGGTTGTTCCACATCATTACACAGAAAGCTGCCTCATTTTTTAATTGATAAAACTCCACCCTGTGGGTAGGCATCGCCATTGATCTAATGCCCAGCTGATGGTCTCCAGACTCAGCTCTTCCTCTCCTCCTGTGTGCAGGCATCTGTGCATGTAGCACAGTCTTAAAAGAGAAGCTTTGGGGTTAAAGAGCACACAGCAGCACTTTAAATTTGGATGGCTACACCCAAACTTCCCTGCCAACCAACACACCCTCCAAGGCCTATCTGATTCCTTCAAAAGTTGAAGAGCTTATTCAACCTGGACCCAGATGTCCTTTCATCTGAACGAGGCTTTTGGGAAGGACGTTTCCCCAGCATTCCTACCAGAGAAATCTAACCCCTTCCTCCTTTGGGACGCATTGCAGGAAAATCCAGGGAAGGAACACAAACGGGGAGAAATCCCTTTCATGTGCTGACAAGGGCTGGAGAGATGAGACTGCCACCAGGAATAAGGGAAAAGACGAGCAGGAGGCTCTCAAGAGGGATCCAAGAGAAGAGGCTGCTTTTTTGACCTCTGACTCATGTGTCTGCCGCAGGGGTTTTGAACCTAAATTGCCACCGAATTATAGCAAACCGGCAGCTCAAACACTTAAGCTTCAAAAGGAGCTAAAAACAAAGGTTCTTTCCTTTTTTGAGATGGGGAAATTAAAGACAGGAAGGTCAGTGTCGCTGTGAATCAGGGCCAAGACCAGCACAAACCCCCATTTCTCAGTTCCTGCCGCTTCCAGAGAACACTGCCCTTCTCCACCAGCCTCTTCAGCCCTCCGTCGCTTAACAGCTGTGTGATTGGCTTCTCCGAGCCTCACTTGCCTCTCCGTGAAATGGGAGGATCTTGTCCACTTGGCAGGGATGTTGAGAAAGATTTGAAATTATTAGAGTAAATCTGCAAGTGGGAGATAACTGTTAACCCATGTCAGCGGGCTGGGTGAGCTCTTTGGTTGCAGGAGGAGTGGGTTCCAACTCTCATCTCCTCTCACAATTTGTTAAAAAAAACCATGTCCCAGCTGGGTGCAGTGGTTCACGTCTGTAATTCCAGCACTTTGGGAGGCCAAGGCAGGCAGATCACCTGAGGTCAGGAGTTCGAGACCAGCCTGGCCAACATGACAAAACCCTGTTTCTACAAAAAAAAAAAAAATTAGCCAGGTATGGTGGCACATGCCTGTAATCCCAGCTACTTGGGAGGCTGAGGCAGGAGAATCACTTGAACCCAGGAGGCAGAAGTTGCAGTGGGCCAAGGCTGCGCCACTGCACTCTAACCTGGGCGACAGAGCAAGGCTCCATCTCAAAACAAACAAAAAACCGTGTCCCTCTTGGGTAGCCTGGATGGCAACAGGCATCTGCCTCCACATGGCTGACTCCTCTACCCTGTCTCACCAAGAAAGGCGCAGCAGTATGATGGCTCTTAGGCCAGACGGACTGTTCCCGCCAATGGTAGGAACCCCTGATGAGTCAGGGTGACACCCCCTGCTCCCTTGCCCAGGACGCAATAACATCAGCGGGAGGCCTCTGCCTCTGGGCTGTAGATCTCCATACTTCCAACAGGAGGAAGTTATTTTGGGGGAATTCAAGGGGAAGGCCAGTTGGGACAAACTAGCAGGTAAGAGACAGTTTCTGCAGACAGGCAGACCTGGTATCAAGCCCTTCACTAGCTGTGTGGAGCCTTGGCTAAGTTCTTGGTCTCTCTAAGTCTCAGTTTCCTCAGCTATAAGAAGGGTAAAAATAGTACCCAGGCATTGCAACACTGCAGCTTAAGGAGTTCATGTACAAAAAGCCAGGTGCGGGGCCGGCAGGAGGGCAAACTGGGGAGTTAGGAGTCAGTGTTGAATGGGGACAGAGGCTCCATTTGGGAAGAGGAAAAAGTTCTGGAGACGGACGGTGGTGATGGCCGCGCAATGTCTGAAGGTACTAATGCCACTGAACTGTGCACTTAAACCTGGTTTAGATGGTAAATGTGTGGTCACCCCAAACACACGCACACACAGAAGCCTGCCATGAGGACCGGCACCCAGGGAACACCTCTTACGGCAGAGGGCTCTGATCCTGTCACAGTGCTGGCAGTGGGTGAGGCACACTGCTGGCATCTGCAAAACCTTCCCCATTTCCCCAAGTTCACAAAGCAAAGAGATGCAAAGGAGGAAGCCCCACCTGTGCGATCAGATTCCCATCCTGGTTCCCTGGGACATGGGGCCTGGGAGACCAGTGACTTAGGTTCGATTTCTACCCTTGTCCCTGGCAGGTCATCTAACTGCTCTGAGCCTTGAGTTCCTCGCTCTGCAAAGTAGGAGGAGTGGCTGTGAGAGCCCACCAGATTCTCTCCGTGTGCCACTGACACGGGGCCTCCCTGAGAGATGCGTGTCCTCCACCAGGCCCCACTTCCTGGGGAGAAAATCTAATGAGTGACCACCTCCACCTGCTCAGGGAGCCGTTTCCAAAGCCCAAGTGGCCTATTTTGGGCCCATGAAGATGTCATGCCTTGTCATTTATTAACCTCTGTTTTTGTTTTTTTCTTTCACTTAGAGCTCTGGAAGAAGTTATAAAAGCCATTTGCTTGGGGCCTCTGAAGGCCAAACTCATTAACTAGGAATGATTAATGGAGTCCTCCTGCTTGTTTATTCAGCTCAAGTCTATCAACAACTGCAGAAGTATTTTGTTTTCCGTCTCCCTGATGTTTTCGTTCTGTCTTCTCTGCTAATCCTGCCCCCTTCTCTGCCAAATCCCCTGCTCTGCTCTTGACCTTGCTGGCTGGCCGCCTCCTCTCCCTGGACTCACCCTCCTCTGCTTGACCTTCAGAGACTTTTCCCCTACCAGGTTCTGGGGACCCACTTGGGACAATGACTCTGAAGACTTCGGCCCGCGGGGAGGGGGACAAAGGGTTCTCCCGCCCTGGCTGCAAGCTCCAACCTCTCAGGGGGTCTCAGTTGCTCAAAGGCTTCCCAAGAGGCATTCAGACCTCCAGACCCAGACTACACAGTCTACATCCTACCTGCTTCTCAGTGGCCCATGTGCATGGCGCTGCCTGAGGGGCTCATGCTGGGCTGGGCACACAACCAGCCTGTCCCACATGCCATAAATCCCTACTCCTGGAGTCATGCCTGTGCTCTGAACTGTTGTTTCAACAAGACCCTGTCAAAAATACACCTATTTCCAGGGAAAGGGGCCCAGGAGCTCAAGTGAATTGTCCTCCGAGCACTGCTGACTACCCCACACTAGGCACTGGCTACTCTACAGCCAGATGCAGCCACTCATCGGCTCTCACTGGCATTCCCTGGCCATGAGTCACCTTCTAGTGGAGGCCTGAGCCCTGAAGGGGTGGGATACGGGGTTTAGAAGTGCAGGAAAGAACCTCAGTGGAGACAGGAGTCCTGCCTTGGGAGGGGAGAAGCCAGGACAGCCAGAGGTCAGGGCGGGTTTGAGCGAGGCTCCCGGCCTGTGCGGTGTATAAAGCACGGGAGGGAGCCAATGCCCAGCCCCTCGCACGCTCCAGGGAGCACAGAATCCTGAGTGTGGCGTAGGCTTCTCCTGGGCACTTGCAACTTATTACGATGGCCCAGACAATGATCAGCTCACACAGAAATGTGGGTCCCTTCTCCGAATCGCCCATCTGCCATGTCCTCCTGTGCCCCGCCGACGCTCCACTGGAGCACATCATGACTTATTGAGTCATGACCTCCAATTCGTCATTTGTGGCTTGACTGTAACCACAAACCCTGGTTGTCCCTGTCATAACCCACCCACTCCGAGAACCTCTGGATGCCCCTCTGCTAGCAGATAATGTGCCATGCCACGTCTTGTTTGCACTCCATTAGGCTAAATAATTATCTTGTTCAAATGCACTTTCTGGGGACGCAGAGCTTTTTCTATTCCTGGTGTCCTGGAGGAACCCTCACAGCTGAAGCACTGGAAGTCTGACTGGAGGGGGGAAGGGGGTTGACCACCTCCCAGGTGGAATAAGGAGTCTTTCCCAGAGTCAGGTTCCCCACAGGGGCAGTCGCCCCAGGGCCATCCCTTATACGCACCTGGCTATCCAGTCCAAGCAAGAGAAGCATAATAAAAAAAAGAATGGACCAAAATGTGGGCAGCGGCATCATTGTCACAGCTTTTGGGTAGGCAATGAAGGCCAGGCCAGGACCTAGAAAGGAAAGAAAACGGGGAGGGGCACAGGGGAGGAGACATCAGCCACCAAGCCACTGGGAACCCTGGGCTCACACAAAGACACTCAGACCCAAATACAGCAGGGAGCCAGGTCTGAACTCTGGCCTGGGGAAAGAGACCAGGCCTGTCTCGCCTTTGGGTGGGACACGCTGGGGCTCAGGAGGGGCCCGGTTTTAGCATCTGTCTCCTACACAGCACACGTGGCCTCCTCACACACCAGCATCCATCGGGGCGTGGTTATTTGGGGTAGGATGCAGACTGAGCCCAGGGCTTGGTCTGCAGAGACAAAGGAAAGGGAGGATCCTCCCACCCCAAAGCAAAGCCATTGAGTGGACAGCCTTTGCTGGAAGGAGGCGGGGGAGCGTGGTGGTGACCTGACCGCCCAGTCTCCTTTGCAAAGGGAAAGTTTCTATTTTTGAGTTAATGGCTAAAACACCATAGGAGTGGAAAGAAAAACCAATACAAAACCACGCCCAACAGGAGGCCTGTCTCTTCAGGGGTGCATTTGTGGGGCTCTCCCTGGCAAGGTCAGAGCCAAGCCCATGAGGTCAAGGTTGGGCCAACCAGGGCCCAAAGCTGAGGGAACATGGGTGCAGGGGCAAGGTCCCAGGCCTGCAAGCCCTGAGGCCTGCATCCAAGTCATCCTCTTCCAATTTCCTTTTTGAATCACCCCATACCCTCTCAGGGCCTCAGTTTCCCCACCTGAAAAGTGAGGGGCAGGTGGCCATAAATGACTCACAAGGAGCCTTCCTGTGTTTAGATTCTCAGAGGTAGACACCATGTCACTAGAAAAGGGCTCTGGGTTTCAAAAGAAGGGACTTGGATAGAACCTGAGGGAGAGCTGGGGAGATGGGAGCTCTGTCAGCTCAGGGGATGTCTCTGATGGGAGACATTCCGGAGACAGAGAGAAATGTCTCCTCCTGTCTCCAGCCTGCCTGAAAGCGGATGCCAACGGAAATAATTTAATTGTTAACTGAGACCTGTGGGTCTGAGAAGCGAGGGCAGCAAAAGAAAGTAAAATCTACAACTAAAAAAAAAAAAAAAAAAAAAAGTCAAGAAGCAGGAAACAAAAAGGGCCAGAGCAGGAGCTGTTCAGCAGGGATTAGAAACCAGACGAATGGCTCAAGAATGAAAAACAAAAAGCAAAACCCAACTTTACAATAAATTGGAACCAGAAACCACATTATACGGTGTTAACACCCCCAGTGTGCCAGGGAAGGGTGTGTCCTTTTACAATCCAGAGAAAACCTGACCAAAATATATCCTTGGGCAGCGACAGAGTGGTTGCTCGCTGAGATGCTGGAGACCCCCATCAGGAGCGGGGGTTACCAAGCCCAAAACTGCTCAGAACATGCCCAAAAGAACCAGGGCCAGGTTCAGAAAAATATGGACCCCAGGACCCGGTGAGATGACTTTTGAATCAAAGTTGAAGTTGGAGTCAAAAGCCGCGGCGTTTCCACCCAGACCGGGGCCCCACTGGTCCCTACAGAACATCAGCGTTGGCCCTGACTGGTCCACACTGAATGAGGAATCGAGTCCAGCCAGCTGCAAGACAGATGCAAAATGGGCCCCCACAACCCCCAACCCACCAGGGACGTTGTGAAGATTCTCAATTCGCTCGTTTCTGTATTTTAGTTTTGCCTTTCTCAAGCGAGCCTCTGGGAGAGGGTCTGAGCGTCTTTCTCTAAAAGTGCATGGTGAACTCAAGAGAGAGAAGTCCAGGAGACATAATCCAGCCACTCCGAGAACCTCTGGATGCCTCTCTGCTAGCAGACAATGTGCCATGCCACGTCTTGTTTGCACTCTGTTAGGCTAAATAATTATCTTGTTCAAATGCACTTCACTCAATATGGTGCTTGTTAAAAGCTTATTAGAGAAATAATCACCCTTGATGTGCCGGCTGTTCAGACATCACCGTGGGGAATAAATGACAAGGTGTTTGAAGTGGACGGGAGGAAAAAACAACTGAGATTGACAATATATGTGTCTACGAAAATACTTCGTTGTCCATGGAGGAAGATACATTGTATGTATCTATCTGTATCTCCCATTGCCAAATTCACTCCATACTCCTGGAGATTCCCACTCAATTGCGATTGGTTTGCAAGCCCTCAGCTGAAAGCAAGCCATCTACAGAGGAGGTATAAATCATCTCTGGCTCCCCCTCACCACTCTAATTGCCAAACTCCCTAAGGGGCGTGGGGACTTCTGGAGTTACATTCTGTGTCCTCAGTCTCTGGCCTGCTTTTGGGGGCTCTTTGGGCTCAGTGGAGGGAACAGTACATCTGAGGGTCCACTTTGGAAGCAGGGACAGTGGAGAGGTGTGTGGGGGTGACATGTGGATTTGCCAAGGGGGTCCTGCAGTGTTGTCAGGGGTCTCAGGATGGGGCTGGGCAGTGTGCATCTCTGCCAAGCAAAGAAGACAGTGAGGAGGGGCCAGGGGCTCTGGGAGGTCACAAGGGCCAAATTCTCACACTGGAAGGGCCAGAGGTTGTTGCATGTGTCCAGGGTGGGCTGGATGGCAGGAGGGGGACACCCTTGTGTCAGAAGGCCTGTCCAGCGTGTGACAAGTGGAGAAATAGTGGACAGGATGTTCAGAAAGCCCTGTTGTAGCCCCACCTATCCCAAGCAAAGCCCTTGCTCTCAGGTTGCTGGTCTCCTCATCTGAGAAGGGAACATCTGGACACGCGATGCTGAGGCACCTTCTGACCCCCCAGTGCTAGGGCTCTAGGACTCAGGGACTGGGACATCGCCTCATGTTCCAAATACAGATGGCACAGGAGGTCAAGGGCAGTGGAATGGCAGGGCCTCCGGCTGTGTCTGGCCCTAGTCTATGGTGGTCCCTGAAGTTAATAACCCCCACGCTCTCCCTTCGGCTTGGAAGGAGCCTCAGCCCAGGACCTTGCCACCTCCAGGTAGCCCCAGGGAAGTTGTATGAAATTAGGACATGGACGGGGTGGGGCTGGGGGCTCAGCATGTAAAATAACAAAACCAACTGATGACCACCCTCCAAGTAAACTGTGCAGGGCCGGGGAAGGGTGGAGAGGTCGGAAAGGTGGACTTTGAGGATCCTGGGAGCCTGAGGGAATCCCATAACCCAAGCCACTGCAATTAAAGCTACAGACCCAGGACCTCAAGCAGCCATGGCCAAGTCCCAGAATCGAGGCACCTGAGAGATTGCAGATTCTAGCAACTGAAGGCCCCATGATTCTCAGGTTCCAGAAGCACCTTGCTGGAACTCTGGGATCCCAGATTCCTAAGTTCCCCGTCTGTGCAGAGTCCGTGATTCTAAGCCACTGGCATCCTCCATGCCTGTGACTCCAGGTAGCCCGAGGAAGAGTGCCTGGTCAACAGGGCCCACACCCCGAGGGGCGACACTGTGCTTACAACCCACCCCCAGTTGGATCTGCCACCGTCCCAGTAGGTCGTCCCCTCATCTACGCCCTCCCCCCACACACTGCACCCAGTGCCTACGGTGGTGCCTGACACAGAGTTGGGACTCATTCACGAGAAATCGGTGGGATGGATGAATGCGTCTGCTTAGAGGGAGCACGCTGGGAGCAAAGTGCAAAATACAGAAACCAAGGCTGAGAAGGTGGTGATGGAATGCCGATTGGTGGCTGACTTGGGCCTGAGTTAGGAAAGTGGTTTCTATTGTGGAAACCAGGAGTTTGCTGGGGAAGGACGGGGGGGCGGGGAAGACCACACTAAGGTAGCTAAAAATTCCCCAACTTAACCACCCCCCATGCTTTTGCCACCCATCAGGGCCAAATTGCAATACAAATGTTTAAAATTTGGCTTTGTACTCTTTGAAATTTGGGGGATATCTTGGTGGCGGGGGGGGGGTCCATTTTAGAAACCAGGCTCGTCCCCCCTCAAAGCCCCCTGGGGTCTGGCTTCATGCCTGCAGTACTTGGCTTACACACTAGGTGGCAGTGCCCACCACCACTGCCACCGATACCACCGTACCTGACTCAGCCACATCAGCAATGTCCACCCCTTGCTCTTGTGCCATGAAGCCCAGGATGGAAAAAATTGCGAAGCCAGACACAAAACTGGTACCACTGTTCAGGCATCCCAGCAGCATACAGTCCCTAAGTTACACATATGTCAGGGAGCAAGTTAATTCACAACACAAGGAAGCCACGCTCCCTACTTCTCTTTTTCTTTAAACATCATCATCATCATTTCTAAAGTCCACCAGGCCCGCCGGCGCAACACTTGCCTGTACGAGTTATACTTGTACTTGTTGTAGCTCCCCAGCGAGGTCATAGCCCCCAGGCAGATGGCATAAGAGAAGAATATCTGAGTCCCAGCGTCAATCCACACCTATGAGGGGGAGGGAGGTGGCAAGGAAAGAGAGGAGGGCTGTCAGAGCTGGCTTCCTGGAGGAGGCAGCGAGGGTTATGTCCACCTGGCGATGGCCTGGGGACGGGACCTTGCACATGCAAATGGAACATTTATGCTCGAATCCAAGGTGCCTTTCAAGGCAGTACTGAGCTGCAAGGAGCCCCAGAAATCAAACACCCCACCTCCCAGCGACCTAGCATCAGGGTTAAGAGGATTCAGAAGCAGATGGATCTGGATTCCAACCCTGGAATGACAGTGGGCAAGTAAATATCACTCCTGCAGTTTATAGATAGTTTTCACATCTATAAAATGGGCTCCTTTGCCCTACCCCATAGAGCTATTTCCCAGGTTCAAAGAGTGGCGATTCAGCCCAGTGCCAGTTACATGGCAAGCCCGTAAGTCAAGGCTGCTGTCACCACCATTGTTGTTACTGTTTGCAGACCCCCGAGTTAGAATGCAGAAGGAGGTCCCAAGGAACTATGCAGGCAAAGCTGCTCTCCAGAATCTTCACTAAGCAGCTCGTTCCCAGCTGTCCTCCAAGGCTGGCCAACCCCTCTCACAACTGTGTCCTGTCCAGGGGGAAGGGTGGTGGGGAAGGAGAGCACAGGCCCTTGGGAAGCAACCGGAAGGCCCTGGGGATTCAGGTCCTCAAACAAACCCAGAAAATCTCCCAGGGCTTTCTCCACCTCCCCAAGGTCACAAGGCTGAGTGCCAGAAGGTGTGCTTTCGGTATCTGCCCGTGGACCCTCCAAGGCCATTAACTCTGAATTCCACCCTCAGCCAAGGAAGCCCGCAGCTCTCCAGGCCCCGACTCTCCCATCCCCAGGATGCAGCAGCCCTTGTGGCTGCAGTGGGCAGAAGCTGGGTCCGAGCGGGAGACTTGCTCATCAGAAGATTTCTCCCCCTTGGTGCAGGGCCTAAAGCAGCCTCTCTAAGTGGCCACCCTCAGACGTCCTTGACATGAAAAGAGATGCACACAGCTAGAAAGGTCCATCAGCACCGTGGACAGGCACACCCGCCACAGGCCCGGTGGAAAAGTACCAGGGGGCGGTGGCCCAGCTAGACCTGTGCACTGAAGAACCACGGAAGATGTGCTGCCAGTGGCCTCTACATCCTGCCCTGTCCTGTGCCGGCCCAGCCCTGGATGGGAGGGAGGATGGTGTGTCCCAGCCCCACAGTACCTGTGGGTCCTCAAGGCGGGTGATGTCAGGATACAGATAGAACTTGATGCCTGCGCCCGCGCCCGGCAGCGTCAGCCCTCGGACCAGCAGCACCAGGAGCATGGCGAATGGAAAAGTGGCTGTGAAGTAGACGACCTGCAAGGGCGAGAGGGATTCAGGAGGCCATGGGCATCACTTGCTGCTGCTAAGTCTGAGCATCCTCTCAGAGAGGCAGAGGGGAGCACTGGTCAGGATCAGGAGTTCTGGAGCCAGGTTTGCTGTCTTACTTGCTGTGCGGCCTTTGGCACATTGCTTAACCACTCTGGGTCTCAGCTGCCTCATCTGTAATCTGGGTATATACAGGTACCTACCTCACAGATTTCTTTTTTTTTTTTTTTTTTTTTTTAAATTTGAGACGGAGCCTCGCTGTCACCCAGGCTGGAGTGCAATGGCACGATCTCGGCTCACTGCAACCTCCGCCTCCTGGGTTCAAGTGATTCTCCTGGCTCAGCCTCTCGAGTAGCTGGGATTACGGGTGCCCACCACCATGCCCAGCTAATTCTTGTATTTTTAGTAGAGATGGGGTTTCACCAGGTTGGCCAGGCTGGTCTCAAACTCCTGGCCTCAAATGATCCACCTGCCTCAGCCTCCCAAAGTGCTGGGATTATAGGCATGAGCCACAGCGCCAGCCCACCTCACAGATTTACTGAGATTAAATGAAAAACATCCTATAAATAGTTTGTCCCAGGCACCATCTAAGCACAAAATACAGTGGTGGATAAGACAGAAAACAAATCCCTGCCTTCGTGGAACTGACATTCCAGGGCGTAGAGGTGGAAAAAGCAAAATCAGAGAGTAAGCTATCAAGTGCGTGTGTAGAAGCCTCAGCCCAGTGGTTGCCAACCATGGCATGTGCCCATTGCATGCAGGTCATATTAGTTAACAACTAACTACAATGTTGGTATGATTCCTATGGTTAGGGATCAGATAAGCAAGGGTTCAAATCCCAGCTCCGTCCCCTCATTTGCTGTGTGATCTTAGGCACATTGCTTAACCTCTCTGGACCTGTTTCCTCATGAGTAGAATTCAGATAAGAGTAATAGAAGCCCCTCAACAAGGGGTGAGCTGAGGATTCAATAGGATGATGCTTGTAACACTGCCACTCAGTAGGTGCTCCAGAAAGAGGGCCTGTTGTTGACACTGATTTTGCTGGAAGGACGAGACCTTCAGGGAAGAAAATGAGGCCTCTCAAAGGCCCTTAACTGGGAATAGGAAAGGCTCCCCGCTTCACCGGGCCTCTGGGAGACCCATGGCCTTCCCTGGGTCACACTGCATGTTCCAGACAGGCCAAGATCAGGTGTGAGGTGGGGACTAGAAACGATGTGGCCATCTCCTCCCAAAGACCTTCTCTCCTCTTGTCCTGCAAGCGCTGTTTGTGGCTTCAGTTCTCATGGATGGATTTTCCCATCTTATTCAACACAAGGAGTTTCCAGACAGAGATTATGCCTGGGAGGAGTTCGAAGGTGCCTGGCTGAATGGACAGTTCGATCCTAGTGTTTCAGGCAGGGCACTGGCTGAGTAGGAACGTCCCAGGCACAAGCCCACTTCATCCTCACCATGCCCCCCAGGACGGTGGTTTACAGTGGAGAAACTGAGGCTTGGTGGGCTTTAAGGACGTGCCCAGGGCATCAACGGAATCCAGGATTTGAACCCAGAGCCTGTGGAGGGCTAACCTCTGTGCAGAAAGGCATGAAGTGTTTTACTTCGACATGCAGAAAGTTCATGGTGGCCACCTTGAAACATTGAGACTGGTTGGCAGAGCCCTGGGCCGCATCTGGGGATCAGGGGACCTTGGAGGAACCACTGCACAGTCAATGCACCCATTTTACAGGAGAGGAAACTGAGATGAAGAGAACAGGACAAATGTGCCCATGGAGTTGGGGGTGCAGTGCCAGGGCACTGCTGGGGCCCAAGTATGTAACAGACACTGACCAATAGTGACAGAGCCCCAAACCTCACCTAGCTGGCACCACGACCCTCGACAGAGCAAATTCTTGTGGCCATGATCCCTTTGAGTAGAAACAATGAGAAAGGGGCTTTGGAAAAGGGCAAAAAGGAAGCTTTCAGGGCCTGCTTAGCTCAGCTGCCCTCAGCCCAACAACCCCTAGGCAGCGTTTATTGAGCACTTACTGTGTGCCTAGCACTGTTCCAAATGCTGTGACGTCTATTTTCACTGGCCCGTGCCCTAACCCTCTGAGGTAAGTTGTATTACTATCTCCATTTTGCAACAATAAAACTGAGGCCCAGAGAGAGTCCATCACTTGCCCAGGGTCACGTGGGCTTAAGCAACAGAATGGGGACCTGCCCCACAGCCCACACATAGCAGACCAGCAAAAAGCCTCCCACAACTGGCAGTTTACTGATTCTCCCCAAGACCAGAGGGCAGCCAGTAGGGAGGCCCTCAGGTCTGAAGCCAAGCTTAGAGGCTGGCTTGCCATGAGACCTCCAGGAAGCCGCTGTCCGCTCTAGACTGTTTCCCCACCAGGAAGTAAAGGGCTGGGACCGTAGGAGCTCTGAGGTTGCCTCCCACTCTGCCACTCTAGGTCGAGGGGTAGAGAGGCTGTGGGTCAGCTGGGGAGCCACCTCTACCAGGGGTTGCACGCTGCCTCTGCCACCCCTTGCTGGTGACCTGGGCCTCAGCTTCCCCATCTGTCCACTGAGGATAAGGGAACGCTGACCTTGCTCGATGGCCCCTGGCCTGCGGTGAGCATTCAAGAAGCCTCTTTGGCCGGCACTGTCAGGATGGCTCTCCGACACTGACAGGCTGGGCCCTACTGCTGCCTCTGCCCCCGGGCGTCCTTTGTTCCTCCAGGCCTCAGTTTCTCCAGCCACCGTCATCTCTTCTCCTTGAGGCCAGGAGCCTACATGATTTCCCGAGGATGGGAAGGCAGACGTGGAGGGCGGGGGCACATCAGGAAGCCACAGAAGGGGGGAAAGAAGTGAAAAAAGAAAACCAACCTGCCTCTCCCTTCCTGAGGACAGGCGGACAGGCGGCCAGGCGCCCCGACCAGTTCCCACCTCTGGGGCCCTTTGTGGGCCACACCCGGGCTGGCGAACAATAGCTGCTGACAGCAGCCCCGCAGGGGTCTCCAGAGGGCGGCCACTTCAAAGCCAGCCAGGCCTCCACTGGGCCAAGCAACCCAGTGGTCTGTGACCAGAGGGCTTTGTGTCAGGGACAGGGGTGTGGAGGTGGCTTTCTTTGTTTTCACGTAGTTAGTTTATTTAACAAGCACTTATGCAGTGCGGATTTTGTGCGGGGCACTCAGCTAAGGGCTTCGTGAGTTTTAACTCATTTAATCCTCAGACAACTGAGAAGAGCCAGGCATCAGCCTCACCTGCATTTTCTAGATGAGGAGACTGCCCAGAGAGGTGGGGGCACCTGCCTGCAATCACAGTTACTGGTGGTGGATGCGGGATGGATCCAGGCCAGCTGGTGTCAGGTCCCCACACCTTTGGGATGTGTGTCATTGTTCCTCCCCAAATCCTGGTCACGCCACCTCAGCCGTGTGAAGGGAAAATAAAATCTCAGGACCCCAAACTCACTATGCAGAAGGAAAAAGTTAAGCTTGGGAAGTGAGTCACACACACGCACAAAACCGGCCTGCTTTCTGTTCTTCAGCAGAGAGTTGTGAGATACAGGCCACGTATCTCCCCAGGCGGCCTCCCTCACCCTGACAATGTAAACTCACAGCTCATCTTCACAGGTGCCGGACAAAGAGACAAGAAATGAGCCATCCACCCACACATCTAGGCATGTGTCTCCTTCCTCCACCGTGTGTACACACCCTACCCTATGGAAAATGTGTGTGTTCTCTACCCTATGGAAAATGCAGATTTGCTGAGAGACATCGTGCATAATTACCTGAATTACCTGTTCCTCTGTCCCTTCCTGCTGTTTCCCCTTACATTTTTTTTTTAAGACACGGTCTCTGTCGCCCATGCTAGAGTGCAATGGCGCAATCAAAGCTCACTGCAGTCTCAACTTCCCGGGCCTAAGAGATCCTCCTACCTCAGCCTCCTGAGTAGCTGGGACTACAGGTACGCGCCACGATGCCCAGCTAATTTTTGTATTTTTTAGTAGAAACAGGGTTTTGCCATGTTGACCAGGTTGGTCTCGGACTCCTGAACTTAAGCAATCTGCCCTCCTCGGCTCCCCCAAGTGCTGGGATTACAGGTGTGAGCTACTGTGCTGGGCCTCCCCTTTAGTGTACTGAGGTTCTCAAAACTCTCTTTGGAAAAAGTGCAGGCCACAGATCCTACTGTGGCTCAGTCTCTTTCCTGAGCACATCTTCAACCTTGGCAAAATAAACCTCTAAGCTCATCGAGCCCCCTGTCTCAGATGGGTTTTGGTTTACAGTAGCAGGTTTGAAAGCCACCCTTGCTTTGCAGAATCTGCTGCTCCGAGGACAAGCCCCTGAGAGCCATGCTTTCAACTTTTCTGTGGCTCCCCCGGGATCCCCAAGGGACAGGCTGGTGCTAGCTGCTGCCAGGGGCCTCTGGTGGTGGCCCAGCAGGCCTTGCTGTGGGACGTGGTATTTTTCCACTCTTGCTGGTGAACCTCCGTGGCTCCTCTGAGCCCTAGACCCAAAAGCCCTGTGGCCCAACTGTCCAGGAAACTCACAAGGACAACTTTTCTCCATCCCCTCTGGGCAGTAGAAAAGAGGGTGGCTGAGCAGCAGGGGGAGCCGGGCATCCTTTGGGAGGTAAGTGTCTGGGCAGCAGCAGCAGCAGGGGGAGCCAGGCATCCTTTGGGAGGTAAGGGCCTGGGCAGCAGGGCTCGCCATTGATCCCAGAGATCCTAGGCAGGCCCTAAGGATCCTCAGCGCCCTGGCTGTTGGTGAGGGGCTTCACTAACTCATTTCACATAAGGGGAAGGTGAGGCTGAGAAAGTGAAAGGGCCTTGTTCAAAGTCATGCAGTCTGGGGGATCCAGAGCTAAAAGGACCTGGCTCTGACTACCCCCTGCTTTGTTTTTAACCAGGCAAAAAGAGCTGCTCCGGAGGCCAACAGCGAAGAGCCCCAGCCTCAGTGAATGTCCATGCTCACTCCGGGGCCTCCTCCCCTGTGCGTCTGCAGGGCTTGCACTTCCTGTGTGAGTGTCTGGATCTCTGCCCCCTTCCCAGACCCCACTCTGTGACAGCAGGGACATGCCTGCCACACGCCCTACTTACTGCATCCTCAGGCTGGCACGGGGGTGGGCACAAGAGGCGGAAGAGTGTGGGGCACCCAGGTCGGGAGTGGGGCCGCCTGGGTCCAAATCCCAGCACAGCCACTGACAAGCTGTGGGATGCTGGGCAAGGTAATGAGCCTCCTTGAACCTGAATTTCCCCATCTGTAAAATGGGACTAATAACTGCACATACTCCAAACCATGAGGAGGATTCAATGAGCTACCTAGCAGCACTGAGAATGCTGCCCGGCACTCACAGGCTACTGCGCTTTCGCCACCGTTATCACTATTTGTTGAATGGATTAATGGCAGCCTAGTTTCAACTTCCTGGAATAGTGAAAATTACAAAAAAGGAAACTGCAACCTAGAGAGGCAAAGTGACTTGAACTCAGATCCTGAGCCTCTCAGGCTGGGGCTCTCCCTCCATTACCCTCCAACTCCTCCTTGCTGGACTAGACACGAGAGCAGGGCCTTGGCAGGATGAGGTCCATCTGCTGCCTGTGGGCCCAGCCCCCACGTCAGCCACAAACCTGGTCTGTGGCCAGGGCTGGAAGCCATGGCCAGCGAGCAGGCAGCCTCTCAGCCATGGGGCTTGAGGAAGTTCACAGAGCCTGACTGTGTTTGTCTTGGCTTCTCTGGCCTGGCCCAGGCTCTGCTATTGTTCTGGGAATCACGCCCACCCCTGGGAGGCCTACAGCCACCCCACGAAGGAGGTTGTTGCTAAGGGTGAGAAGGGAGGACCCGTGGAAGATCACGTCTTTGCTCGGCCACAGCTGCAGCCTGGCACCCTCTCTCTGGCTTTGACACTATTCTCCTGTATTCTGCATTATGTCTCAAAAGTTGCTCACTGTCCCTGGCGGACATCAGCCTCCTCCATCAGACTGGGTGCTCCCCAAGGGTCTGGGTCAAACACACCTCAGGGCCTTTGCACAGGCTGTCACTTCTACCTGGAGATTTTCCCCTCCACATACTCACCTGGCTCAGCCCTTCACTTCCTTCACATCTTTGCCTAGAGTCACCTTCTTGGTAGGTCTTGCCTGGCCACCCTATTCAAAATTGCTCCCAACACTCCCCATTCTCCTTCTCTGCTTGACTTTTTCCCATAGCTCGCATCCCCATTTGACTCCTATATATTTTTCCCATTCGTTTTGTTACAACCTGACTCTTCCTGCCAGGCCATCAGCTCCTGGAGCACAGGAATTTTTGTCTGTTTTGTGAACCACTGCATGTCCCCCAGCCCTGTTTCTACAAAGCACCTGGCACACGGTAGAGGCTCAAAAAATACTAGTGCGTAAGTAAGTGATGATGTCTCTAGCACTGCTCAGGACCAGTGCTCCACAGAAACTTTCTCACTTCTGTGTGGGGAAACTGAGGCAGAGTGAAGAAGGGCATGGTGGCATGTGCCTGTGGTCTCAGCTACTCAGGAGGCTGAGGTGGGAGGATGGTTTGAGGATGGCTTGAGCCCAGAAAGTGAGCTGAGATCAAGCCACTGCATTTCAGCCTGGGCAACAGAGCCAGACCCCACCTCAAATTACAAAAAAAAAAAAAAAAAAAAAAAAAGAAGAGAATTAGCATTTACAGAACCGTCTGTGCCAAGCATTGTGCCAGGTGTTTAACACACCTCATTTTAACCCTACTATCACCTATTTTATAGAGGAGGAAACTGAGGCTCAGAGAGGAGGAAGTGACCTTGGACAAGTCACTTGACCTCCCTAAGCCTGAGTTTTCTCATTGTTTAAAGAAAGGAATAAAATGGTGTGCTTGTGAGACAGAGAACCGGGGTAGCACAGTGAAGGTGCTCTCCAAGGAGGTGCAGGAGTTACCCATGTCCCCTGCTCCCGCCTGTTCCGGGCAGGACCGTGCTCACTGGTGGGCACGGGCAGGTGTCCAAGGCCTGGACTGCTTCCCTTCCACCCTTGGCTTCAGGATGGCAGGGTGGTTCTGCCCCAAGAAACAAGCAGAGGGCACTGTGTGTGTTGGAGGGGGGTGCACAGGATCACCCCCATTCTACCTCTTGCAACCCTGGAGTCCCAGGTCTTGCAGGGTAAGTGACTGGAATAATTACTTGGATCTCTACAAATCTATGATTTTGCCTCTTTGGGGGCTCTTTATCCAGGGAGACACATTCCTCAACCCTCAATTCCACTGTGTGGCTGGGGCAGCTAAGGTCACTGCCCACAGCTCCATCTGGAATGCTACCTTAAGACGCTCCTTTGACTTTTGGGGGTTTTTTGATCTTAAAGAGACGTTCCCTCTTTTGGGATGTGAGTCACTGGGGAAAGCGTTGACAGGGCACTATCTAAAGGCAGATGAGCAAACGCCTTTGTTCTTTATAGCTTAGGGCCCTGGGTTCAGGCTCACACCTGTGATCACAACATACCCCCGCACCAGCCTTTGGCATCAGCAAAGCCATGACAACAGCCAGTGTCTAGGTTTTCAGGGAACAGTTCAGCTCTAATTAGTAACAGGTAACATTTCAGTTATGGGTTAACATTTCCACTATTGCTAATGTATCAGTTATACCTAAAACCTTAAAATTACAAGCTAACATTTTACATTTGTTAATCACTAACATCCTAGTCACTATGTGACATATTAATCAGCAGCAAACACTCCAGTTATGAATAATACTTTGGTTAACAGCTAACACCCTGGCCATGAGTGGATGATTTAATTATCAGCTAACGCTTTCCTGAACAACTAACATTGGAGGTGCCGGCTGAAATGTTAGTTATAACTCAGTTAATCTGATTTAGCAGCTAAAATCTAAGCCAGTGCCTCTCAACCCATAAAGTGCTCTTGGATTATCTGGGGATAATGTTACAACGCAGCCTTGGAGTTTGTAGGTTTGGGGCAGGCCCACGAAGCTCCCTGCAATGCTGATGGGAATGCTTGTGGCCCCCTCTGCAAAGCGAGGGTCCATGCTGTGGCTAATGGCTCTTACCACGGTTGCTGGCTAACCTCCTGTTACCAGCTAACCTATTTATTAGAAGCCCAACATTAGTTATCTGCTACCATCTGCACTGACTGCCAATACCTTGAGATGAGAAAGCTGTGGTGGATGGGGCTAGCTCGTGTAGGCTCCTGAGAGCCTGGCTCTTCAATATTCAGGAATTCTGTGAGCTGGTCATTAAACTGTGGACAGCTTGAAAGCAAACATGGTGGGAGCACTGACACCATGAAATGGACAAACGCTACAACAAACCTGAGTTTTACTTTTTTCCAGAGGGCGGGCTTACCAGCACGCCACCACTGGCCACCTCCCTCTTGGGGCGTGGCTAATTGCAGGCGGGAAGTGGGGGAGAGGGCCAGCCTGGCACAGCTCTCCAGGAGGCAGGGGACGGACAGAAGTCCAACTTACCTTCCCAGTGGACCTGACGCCCTTCCAGATGCAGAAGAAACACACTAGCCAGACTAAAAGAAGGCAGAGAGCGAGGTCCCATTTCAGAGAGCCTGGGTGGTCGATTCCAGGGGACAAGCTCAGCACGTTGCGCCTTGAAGCAAACACAGAGCCAGGAGTCAGTGAGGGGCCTGGCCCTGGAGTAGAGAGAGCCAAGGCTCGGACATTAACAGGCTGGGGGTCAAATCCCACCTGAGGCGCTGCATTTACATAAGTCACCTCACCTTTCCAAACCCAGGAATCCCCATTTGTCTTGAGACAGAGTTGTTGGAAAGAAAAGAAAAGGATAGACTCAGACTCCAGATTCAGGCAAACCCAGGTTCAACTTAGTCTGGCCTCAGGCAAGTTAAGGAACCCCTGAGCCTCAGTTTCCTCATCTGTGAAATGGGCACTGATTTTCTGTTGGGACTTCAGCAGAACCTTCTTCAGTGCCAACCGTGGGCCAAACACTAGGTTCAATTCTCAGCTCTACTGTTTGTTCCGTCACTGACAGAACGAAGTTAGCCAACTTTCCCAGACCTCTGGCTCCTCGTCTATAAAGTGTTGCCCTCCCCCAATATTGTCCCTTATTATTTTATTCATCCCTGTGTAACCTGGATCTCTCACTAAAATGTAAGTCACACAAGGTCCTAAATTCAGGGTCTGGGATGCAGCTAGCACTTGATAAACCTTTGCAGATGTTAACTGTGGTGTTCAGATGCCCAGGGAAGTTTCAGGCACACAGCCGGCACCTAAGCAATGCTGGTTTCCTCCCCTGCCCTGCCAGGGTTTTGAGGGTCTCAGAGAGAGGCAGGTAAACGGTTTTAAGGATAATTGGCACGGGACAGTCACCAACCCTGCCCAGGATGACACGGCAGAGCGTGGGTCTTTGGAGTCCAGACTTAAGCCTCCCACCAATCCGAGCTGATTCCTGCTGCCCTGCTAAACAAGCACACAAGTACCTACTCCCAGACATTCTTATGGATGACAGCATCTGAAAGCAGGCCAGGGCGATGCAGGGTACTGACAGCCCAGGCCATGAAACTTGATGCCCAGAAGTGGCACCCATGGTCCCAGAGCTCTGACTGCTGCAACAGTGATCGAGGACAGCCACGCTGAGAACAGAGACATCGGCCCTGCCCACTGGGCCTCCCAGGTTACCTGTCCACCACAGGCTGCTGGCCACAAGAGACAGGGTCTGCATGCTCCAGGGTGTTTGCGAACCCCTGGAAGAAGCTGAGTTTCCTTCTAATGGGAGTCAGCTCCCTGTCTGAAGGTCACACTCCCATGCAGGAGGGGCAGGGAGTGAAGTGTGACTCTGTGCCTCAGTTTCCCCTTTTGTAAAATGAGAATAACAGCTCCTGCCCAGGATGCTCTTGGGGAAGCATTCTGGAACATCCCAAGCTTTCAGCCAGTCCGTGGGATTACCCCCACAGTCAGGGCTCTGGTTCTCGGAACACACACCAGGCTAGACCCTTTATCATTTTTATTTTATTTTTTTTAGAGAAGCTTCAACATAAGGACTTTGAATAAATCCAAGATTCCCTTCTCAACTGGTATTCAAGCAAGGCCTTTCTTTAGTTTACTGCTGTGTTCCCAGCACCTAGAACAGCATCTGGCCCATTGGAGGACCTCAATAAAGACCTGTTGAGTGAATGAGTGAATGAATGGACTCAACTGGGAGGACAGCAAGTTCACATGTCACTGTAGGACCGATCCGTGAAATACTCCCACTAACAGCCATAAGACAGGACAGCTTTTCTTTGCCCTCTTCTTGCTGGTCACAGCGACATCAGTGGGCTCCCCCTGGCACCAGGGATGTCAACATGATAATGCTGATGGACGAAATAAAAGCTACCAGCAACCACCTGCTTTCCAAGGCCTTTTCAGTTTATCTCATCTGATCCCAGGAGTAGAGGCCATTCACCCCATTTTACAGATAGGGAAAATGAAGGCTTGGTGGGTCCACTTGCCCATGGTCACAGAGCCAGCAGGTGACACAGAGCTGCCACCCCAAGCCCACACCTGTCTGACTCCAAAACCAGTGCTCTCTCTACTCCACTACACTGTTGGTCTGGTTTTAAGAGAAAACAGAGCCTAAATTTTAACAATCTCTTCAGTCCTCTGCTATATGCTGATTTAACAATCTCTTCAGTCCTCTGCTATATGCTGGGATCACCTGGCACCTTGGGGCAGGGGGCATCCCTATAGGGCAGGCTGGCGGCCAACCACATCCCAGCTGGGGCCCTGCCAAGCATGTGGATCTGGCGCCTGCCACGGCTTTAAAACAAAAAGCCTTTCCTCATTCTGCAGGGCTCAGCACCTTCAGTGAAAGCCAGGGCAGGCTGGGCAGTGGCCCAAGACTTCCTTGTGAATGGGCAGCACCAGGAGAGGAGGAAGAGCACCTTTCCACCATCTCCCAGGCCCACCAGGTGCACTATCCTCCGTCTCAAAGGAAGCCTCCCTGAGGTTCTGGAAGACTCACTGTAGAGCCCCTGTCTGTCTTCCGCTGTCCTGTCCCACGCTGGGGAAATGTCTGTGTTGCCCACCAGACCCTGGACATCCCAAGGACAAGGGCTTTATATGCTGATAAGATGCCCAGTCACAAGACAGCCTTTCCTTTGATTCTTCAGGGCAAGCTGGCTGAGAAGCTTAATACTCCAGAGCCCTGATTCTGACCATACCCAGCCTGCAGCCAGCTCATCTAACAGCATCTGCCCTTCTCCTACCACCATGCTGGTCAAACCAGTGGTGCCCAATACTGATGGGAGGCTGCCACACTGACTTGTTCGGGGCAGCTGACCAGCTATGGAGTCTACAACAAAGAAAATGAGTCCTCCGCCTCCTTCTCCATTGCTGGTGGTAGTCCCTTTGTAGGACCTCATGGTGCCATCCAGGGACGTTTGCTTTGATCAGGCAATTCCATTCCTAGGATTACCTCCTATAGTTACATCTGCATGGGTGGCCAGAGACATAGTACCCCCCTCAAGCAGTGCTGTCTGTAGAGTGAAAGATTGGAAATGACTCAAATGTCCATCAAGAGGAGCTTGTAAACTGTGGAGCAGGCACACACTGGAATACAATGCAGCGGTGTAAAACAGGAAAGTTCTGTGTCCTACTAAGGAGCTCGGTCCTGGAGACAAAATGCAGGAAAGAAGCAAGGTGAAGAACAGTGCATGAGACATGCTCCCTACCGTGTAAAGAGGGAGGGAGACAGAGACACATTTGTACTTGAATACACACACACTATTTTTGGCAGGACACACAAGAAGCTGGTGGCAGTTGCTGCCTGTGTGGGGGAGGGGGATGCACTTTGCAAAGTATTTTTGCACTATTTCAATGTTTTTAATGTGCACATATCACCTTTATAAAAGTTATTTTAAATTCTTGAAAAGCTTTATAACGGGCCACGTGAACATACTAGGGCTGAAACCAATGTATCTCATCAATCAGGATTTGTCACAACACAGCCTGACACAGGCTCAGGGCCAGAGCAACCGACATTCTTTCCAAAGACATCTCGGGCAGCCATGCAGGCTGAATCTCAGGCAGGCCCCTCCACAGTCCCTTCCGTGTCTGACTTCCAGGGTCTTCCCAGCCAGAAAGCAGCCGATCAGGATCCCAGCCAATCCCTACCCAGCAGTGAGGGCGTGCTCAGTAAACTGTAGAGTGTCGTGCCGAGGGAACGCCATGGCGCCCTGCCACTCACCTGTGCCTCCTAAGTACCCCAGGAGGAAGCTGCACAGGCTCCCCACAGTGTTAACACAGCTCTCCCAGCACAGTCTCTGCCCCTGTCCAGGCCCCTGACGCCCCCAGGATGATTTCCAGCAGCCTCTTCGTTGGTCTTCCTCCCTCTACTCCTGCCCCAACAAGTCAGAGGGAATCTATCAATACCTATGTCAGGCCACATCCCTCCTCTGCTCCACGTCCTCCCAGGGCTCCCGCTCCCCGGCCAACACGGCCCTTCTGACCCTGCCATTCAGACTCACTTTTAAGAGCGAGGGGGTGCCAATTAGTAAACACACAGGTGAACGGGTGTAAAGGGGAAGTGTTCTGGGCAGGCTGCGGGTGCGGGCGCCCAAGCCCTACCCTCATCCCCCAGACTGCAGCATCACTTCCTCCTCCTTCAGCCACCCTAGCTGCTATCTGGGCCATTCCCTGAACAGGTCGAACGCGATCCTGCCTTAAGGCCTTGGACCTAACTGCTTCCCTCAGCCACTTGTTCCAAAACTCCCTCGCTCCTTTCCTTCAGGTCTCTGCTCAAAGGCCACATCCCCAGGGCAGCTGTTCCTGGCCACCCTCTGTAAAAAACATCCCTGGTCACTGTCCTTCCCCTGCCCTGAGCCTATTTCTCATCACTTATTGCTTTTATATTATAATTGTACATGTGCTATCTATTTAATGTCTGCCTGTCCCACTAAAATGTCAGTCCCAAGAAGGCAGGGTCTATGTCTGTCTTGATCACTGAACAGTGCCTGGTACCTAATAGGTGCTCAGCTGACATTAATTGAGTAAATTAATTATACCCATTTGGTTGATGGGGAAACTGAGGCTGAGACAAGTTCAGGAATGCACCTGAAATCACTCAGATAGAAATCAGCCATGGACCTGGTTCCTTTTTACTGATGCCACCCTGGGGCCAGCCACCTCATGTGCCGGGCATGGTGCTGGCCTTGGCAAGGGCCCCATCATCCCCAGCTTCCTCGTCTGTCTCATACAGAGGGAGGAGACTCCGAGGTAAGCTGCATTCTTGTCCAAGAATAGTAATGATTCACTCCAGGGTGGGATCCAAAAAAGAACTGCCTGGACGTCTGTTTTGAGTCGGCCGCCCTGCTGCCGTCCAGCCGGCACTCAGAGATGTAAATACGTCCTCCTAGCGGGCCAAATCGTTTCCTTTTGACTGCACGCCAGCCATTTATTGGCCATGGCTCTCCCCTGGAGACTAGCAGAGGCAACAATTATAAAAGGGCCCGTCCGCCCAGAGCACGGGGCCGTGCAGCCTTTCTCCACCGCCTCCTCTTTCCGACAGCTGCAGGGGAAGATTGGCTGAGCAGGCCTTGTTTGCAAATATGACTCATTTCTTTGATTCTAATAAAGTCTAATGATACGTGCCGAGCTCCCAGGGGGTCTGGAGGAGCCTAGGAGGAAGGCACGGCTCCAGCCTGATGGAGGGCCTCTGGCCAGGTCTGGCCCCGCCTGTCCTCCAGGGCGACCTTGGGACAGAGGTGACCCCAGACAGCAAGGAGAAGCAGGGGACAAAAGCTCTGCTTCCCCATCCCAGAGCAACTCGGCGCTCAATTATAAAGCCAGCATGAAATGACTGTCTCTGGGGCCCCAGCGGCTTCTCATGAGGATCTGGGAAAGTGCAGCTCACTGGCTTCTGCTGAGAATGGTGACTTAGCACTGCACACAGGGTGGGTGTAGGGGGTCCAGGCCGAGAGAAGACCCCAAGAGTAACCTGGGAGCGGGGAGACACACATGTGGCACAATGTGACCTGTGACCATGGACTTGGGCTCCCAAGCCTGGCCCGGGCTCTGGGCTGGTGGCTGGTGGGGACACAGACAAAAGGTTAGCTGGAGGCAGGATGCAGTGCTGAATGCCAGGGCTGGAAGCTTTGCTCCTTCTAGCTGTGCACGTGACCTCGGGCAGGGCACTGCACGTCTTGCATCGTCAGTGTCCCGTGGCCCCCTGCAAAGCACATCCCTGGTCTTAGCTCCAAAACACTCAAGCCAGGCTGTGAGTCATTGGGACCACGCTACTTCTGTTTACAGAGGAGAGAAGAGGGCGTGGAGAGGTGAGGTCACTGCCTCAAGGTCGTGCAGCTGGGATGTGTGGGAGCCAGAGTTGAGCTTTGTCTCCCCCCACAAGGAAAGGGGAATGTCACCCATTGCTGCTCTGCTGCCTCCTCTGTGAAAACAGAGGGAGGAAGGGCTGGCAGGGAGGGTCAACAGGGACCTTTCCTGCCCAGAAGAAGCTGGGAGATGGCTCCGCTCCCCTGGTGCCTCGTACCCCTGACTTCCAGAGACTACTGAGCACCTGCCAGCAGCACCTGCCAGCAACTCCTGCTGAAGGAAAGGACGGGCCAGGGACCTATGCATCTGGGGCATATAAGAGAAGTGAAAGGAAGCAACAGCTGGGGCTGGGCTTCAGCTTGAGGGTCACCAAGACCAACCTTCGAGGGTATCCTCACTGCTCTGCCGCCCAACTGGCTCCCAGACAGCAACGCGCAAAAAATCCTGACAAGATTCACTCGAGAGAAACCCCAGGGTCAGACGCTGCAGGGTTGGTGGCTATCTTCAGGGGGATTCAGATAAGTTTCACCCAAAGGGAACCCAGACCTGCTGAAGGCTGAGGTCTCCGAGGCCCCGTATACAGTCAGTGCTCAGCATACATCCAGCCTCTCTTTCCCACCAGTGTGTTCCTTAAGGAATGTCCAAAAATCACATTCAATTCAGTCACACCACCTCCCTTCTCATATACCTTCTATGGTTCCTCCTCCAAGAGAACAAAGTTCAAATGTACCCGCCTAACATTCAAGGCTTTGACCCTTCTCCCTGGCCCTACCTGGCCCTCACCCGTGCATCCTATGCTCTAGCCAAACCATCCCAAATACTCATGTGCTTTCAGAATGCTGACTCTGCATGGGCTGTTCCTCCTACCTAGACTGTCTTGTCACTCTCCTTTTCTGCCTAGTGAACTTCTACTCATCCTTCAAAGCCCAGCTCATATGCTCCTCCATCTGCAGATGGGGAAGTGAGCCAGAGAGAGGTAGTGATTTGCTGCTCCACGCAGGTGGATGAAGACATGGAACTAATGAGGAGATTCAGCACCCAGTGAGCACTTGCTGTGTTGAAATAGTCTCAATCCTTTCTGCCAGGGTGAGATCATAGCATGGGAAAAGCCATGAGAGGGTTCTGAGCTGGGAATTAACAGGTTGGATTCAGAATTGGTTACGGAGGTGCAAGGATAAGGCACGGAGAGATCCAAGAGGCCAGTGCTGGTGTCCAGGAGAGTGATGGGGGTCCCATGGGGGTGACAGTGCATGGGGACAGTGCTCAGATTGTAGGTATACTCTGAAGGGGGAGCCAAGAAGATGTGTGAATTGGATGTGGGATTTGAGGTAGAAAGAAGAGTTTTGGATGATGCCTAGCTATTTCCTCTACTTAGAGACTGAAAGAAATGACAGGGGCAAGTTCCTAGTACTATGCTCACAGGAGTCAACTATTCCCTACTGGTTCTCTTGCCTTTCCACCATTGCATGCCAAGAAAAGAGAAGGCTCTTGAAGGCAGGAGGCCGGGTCTTTCTTGCCCACGGCACCTGGCTCAGGGCTGGAACTGAGCTGTCCCCTGGTGTAGCTCTCTGGCCTCGGCCTGTGCTGTGAAGGCAGGTCACAGGAGGCAGTGCTGGTCTTGCCTAAGCCTGCTTTCCAGGCTCCTGCTCCATGGCCCTCAATCTTCCCCAGGGTTCTAGAAAGAGGGCAGCTTATTTGTGAATGTTCAGGTGGTCTCACAAAGCTCTGCTGGAATCTGGGGCTAGGGGTGCAGGGGTAGGAGAGGTGTGAGAGCTGGAGTGGGAGGTGAGTACCAAGCTGGCAGCCAGGGTTCTTTGGACAGAGCAAATCCATCTGGATCATGCAGAAGCTTGGGAAGATGCCTGCAGAACCAGACACTTTCCAAAGATAAATACTGTCTCAGTGTCTTCCAGGCCAGAAAATGGAGCTGGGGTGCTCAGAATGGAGATTCTGGAAGGCAAGGGTCCCAGAATACCCCCGAGGGCCCGGTCCCTCTGGAAGGTGTGAGTGAGGACTGGCCAACCTGAGGACCTCACATTGCTCCCAAGTGTTCCCTCTCTAAGACCCCTGGGTCCTAGACAACAGCGAGACAAGCAGAGCCCAGAAGAGGATGACCCCTTTACAATAGGGGGTGATTCTTTAAGTTCATAACACACAAAGAAACTGCCCTGAGGGGTAGTTTTATGCACTATGAGGGCACTCGATAAATAATAATGGATTCTGGCCAGGCACAGTGGCTCACGCCTGTAATCCCAGCACTTTGGGAGGCTGAGGCAGGCAGATCATGAGGTCAGGAGATTGAGACCATCCTGGCCAACATGGTGAAACCCCATCTCTACCAAAAATACAAAAATTAGCTGGACATAGTGGTGTGTTCCTGTAATCCCAGCTACTTGGGAGGCTGAGGCAGGAGAATTGCTTGAACCAGGGAGTCGGAGGTTGCAGTGAGCCGAGATCACGCCACTGCACTCCAGCCTGGCAACAGAGTGAGACTCTGTCTCAAAAACAAAATAACAGTAATAATAATAATAATAATGGATTCTCAGGGCTGGCCACCCAGGATCTCATGCAGTCAGGGCCATCCTACAACCTTGGGATGTCAGCACTGCCATCTCCCCAGGTGCAGGTGAGGATACCACGGCCCAGAGAGCGGGATACTTCCGCCTAAGCTAGAAGTGGCAAAGTGAGGGTTCAAACCCAGGCAGGCCAGTCAATGTCTGAGGCAAGGAGGTCCCAGCAAACGCCTTCAGTAACTGGCTGAGTGCCAGTGTCCAGGAGTGGGGAAGGCCCGGTTTTCAGGCCACTCCAAAAACAGCAGAGAAAGGACAAGGCTGTGCCTTGGACCCCATTCAAGTGAGAAAAAGGAAGTGCCAGCCTTTCTTTGTCTGTGAACTCAGCTCCCCAGGGAGCGGGGAACCGAGGGGCAATGATTGTGCTTCCAATGTCCCTTTTGTTTGTAAGTGGAAAATATACACACTAGAGGAACCCCCAGTGACAGTGGGCCTAAGGACCTGCCCTGAGCATACACTGAAGGCCTGGAGCAGCGACAGTGACACGGACCGACCAAGTAAGGGCTCCACACCAGTGAGGGCAACCGACCCCTTCTTTGCCAACGATGTCCCAGCCCTGACCCCAAAGCATGGCTGGGGCCAGTCGGTAGGCCGCTCCCTCTTCTCTGGCCCATTCCTGGGCCAGCTCCTAAGAGGTGGGTAAACACCTTGAAAATGGCAAAACCACACACAAAAGACAGGGACTGTCATCTCGTGATGATTCAGAACCAGAACCACCCTCTTCCTTAACAGCACCCCTGCCCCTGGCTCACAACCTTCACTCAAGGCCTCATCTCAGTTATTTCCAGGGTCAAGGGGCTGCACTTGAGTGCTGAGCCCCAAGGCTGGCTTATGAAGAAGAGGGAAATGATGCAGTAGCCTATTTTTGATCAGCCTCTAAGCACTATGTTAGAAGAATGTCTCCACACATCAGCTCACTCAAGAGTTCCCCAAGATCAGGACTCCACATCCCACCTTTCTGATGTTTGTCCTCTGTATCCTCCCTGTAGTTACTGACTACAGTTCTTCACTCCTCTCATGAAGAGACAGAATTTATTTCCTCCACCTCTTGAATCTGGGTTTGTCTTGTGGCTTTCTTTGGCCAAAGGGACATGAACAAAAATGATACAGACAGAGGCTTGAAAAGCACTTGGGTTTCGGGGATTGACCGTTTCTTGTTCCTAGAGTGCTTGCTTAGTGGCCGGTGACAAGCCCAGGCTAGCCTGCTGGGTGATGAAACCACAGGGACCAGTTGCCCCTCACACCCCAGCCAATAGCCGGCCAAACCCCAGAAGAGCTACCCGGAGGACCTACAGTTGCCTGCAGACACGTGGAGGAGACCAAGACCAGAAGAACTGCCCAGCCAAGCTCAGCCCAAACTGCCAACAAGCAGAACAATCAAGAGCTAAATAAATTGTTGTTGTTTAAGGCCGCCAAGTCTGGGGATGGTTGTTACATAGCAAAAGCTAACTGATGCATCTTTTTCACTCTACCTACTCACTTTCCACTTAACTACTTCAGCTTCATATATGCATTTTTCTCTGTGCAATAACAGAATATATTTTTTCCTAAAATACATTAAGAAAACTGTATCATTTTTAGACAACATAAGTATGCATACCTGCCTCACAGGGTAGTAATGATTCATTCTTTTTATCTTACAGGTAAAGAAACTGAGGCTCAGAAAGGAGGAGTGGCTTGCCTAAGGTCAAACAGCCAGTAAGTGGCAGAACTGGGATTCCAGTCCTGTCTATGGCCAAAGGCATAAATTTATCTCCAGATCTGCACCCTCCTCCCACTCCCCCGAAGACAGTGGCTCCTGTATCCCAGGGGAGGAGATAAGGAAGTGGGCCATCCTCTCTGCCCCACCCATGTCCTCCTCCTTGCTTCAATGAGGTGGCCTTACTCCCAGAACTCGATGACAGGGGAGGTGAAGTTGGTGGAGCTGATGGTGATCCAGACACTCTTGTTCTTGCGCATGGTGTCCTCCATGCAGTGAGGTGTGTTCCAGCTGTGGTTGCAGTGTGCCCAGGGCAGCTCCTTCTGGAAGGACTGGAACAGGTAGTATGTGGCCCAGGCCAGGATGACGATGTAGTAGACATTCAGGAGGGACACAATTACAACGGAGGCATAGCCGATACCTGCAGGTTGGGCAAATGAGATGAGTAAACATCTGAGGGAGGCCAGACCCACCACGGCCACATACTCAACTGGAAGGCCATGGTATCCCCAGGCCCCAGGCCACAAGAGGCCTTTCAACAGTGACCACCAAATATTTATAGGGTGAATGGATGGCTGGTTGAATGGAAAGGTGAAACAACAGATGGTTAGATAAATGGGATGGATGGCAGGGGGCAGGGGGGATAGAACAATGGATGGATGGATAAATAGATGGATGGATGAAAAGATAGATAATAAAGAGGATGGTTGATTGGATGGTTGGATGGTTGGATGTTTGGATGGATGGATGGATGGATGGATGGATGGATGGATGGATGGATAGCTGAATAGATGAGATAAATAGATGGATGAATGAACAGATGGATAGTTGGATGATTGAATGAATGGCCAGATGAATGGATAAACAGCTAAATTGAAGAATGTTGGATTGATGGATAGATATCCATTTGTTGCATAGATAATCAGTTTGTTAGATGGATGTATGGATGGTGGTAGGTTAGAAGGTTGGGTAGATGAATGGAAGGATGAATAGATGGATAGATGGATGGAAAATGGATGGATAGTCTAATTACTGAGTGGTTTAATGGAAGAAAGGCTTAAGGATAAATGGATTTACGTGGATGACCGAATGAAGAGACTCACATATGCTCCCGTCTCTGCCAATTAAATCATAACAGTGATTATTTTGTGTGCATACTAAGTACTAAACATAGGACTAAGGAAGCTACCATTCATTTGATGCTGACTGTGTACAAAGCATTCTACGTGGCTATGTCATTTTGTCTTCATAGCAACCCTGTGAAGTAAACATACGACTATATTTCTATTTCATAGATGAGAAAATTGAAGTATAAAGTGACCTTCTCAAAGTCACAAAACTATCAAGGGGAGTTAATGAGACTTGAACCCAGACAGAAAGCCTCCTGAACCTGAATGTTTATCTGCTGCACTCTACTGCCAAGTAGCTACAGGCTTCTTTTTTCTTGTTTAGATTCAGGGGGTGCAGGTGCAGGTTTGTGACAGAAGAATATTGCATGAAACTGAGGTTTGCACTTCCATAGATTCCTGCCACCCAAGTAGTGAACACAGTATGCCATAGGTAGTCTTTCAGCCCTTGCTCCCCGCCCCTTGTGGAGTCCCCAGCGTCTGTTGCTCCCATCTTTATGTCCCTGTATACCCAAGGTTGAGTTTCCACCTATAAGCAAGAATACGTGGTATTTGTTTTTCTGTTTCTGCATCAATTCACTTAGGATAATGACCTTCAGCTGTATCCACGTTGCTGCAAAGGCCATACTGCTATTCTTTATGGCTGCATAGTCTTCCATGGTATATATGCACCACATTTTCTTTATCCAGTCCACCACCGATGGGCACCTAGGCTGATTCCATGTCTTTGCTACTGTGAACAGTGCAGCTGCAGGCTTCTCTATGCAACAACCTAGGGAAGTGGGCATGCTGGGCCTTACTGAGCAGCTACTGCGTGCTAGGCACTTGCCACATCTCCTTTCCCCGTACTCCTAAGCAGCAGCATCCGCATCACACTGGTACTGTACTGGCTGCTATCTTGTGTCAGCATAGAGCTAAGTGATGTGCATGAGGCTCCAATGGACCTGGCAGACAATAGGTGCTCAATAAAAATGTGTGGAACTGATGAGTGCCAGGCCCCAAGTGACCTCCGTCCCATACTCACCAGAGAACAAGGGGCAGATCTTTTCCCAGCAGGTGATGCCCCCTTCAGAGGTGTACTGGCCTATGATGATCTCCAAGAAAAACACAGGCAGGCCGCTCCCAAACAGGAAAATAAAATACGGTATGAGAAACGCACCTGCAGAGAGCAGAATGGGCAAAAGTGAGGCTGTGGCCATGGCAGCGCCGACGCAGAAGGCTCCCAAGCCCTCCCAGCCAATGGAACCAGAGAGAATGCATGAGGGGCATGAGGCTCAAGGCCAAACTCTTGGACCTGGTGGGAAATGCTCCAGGCCCTGCCCACCTGGCCAGCTGGTTTCACCTTTCCAGTGTGCCCTCCCTCTCACCTTCAAATCTACCAGGGACTTCAAGCCTCAGAGCCTTCTTTTTTTTCTTTCTTTCTTTCTTTCTTTTTTTCTTTTTTTTTTTTCTTTTGAGGTGGAGTCTTGCTCTGTCACCCAGGCTGAAATGCAGTGGCGTGATCTCGGCTCACTGCAAGCTCCGCCTCCTGGGTTCACACCATTCTCCTGCCTCAGCCTCCCGAGTAGCTGGGACTACAGGCGCCCGCCACCACGCCCGGCTAATTTTTTGTTTTTTAGTAGAGACAGGGTTTCACCATGTTAGTCAGGATGTTCTCAATCTCCTGACCTCGTGATCCGCCCGCCTTGGCCTCCCAAAGTGCTGGGATTACAGGCGTGAGCCACCGCGCCCGGCTGCCTCAGAGCCTTCATGTCAGCTGTGCCTACTGCCTGCCTGTCTCCTCCACATCCGTCCCCTGAACAAGGACGGCTTGGCCTCTTAAGACCCACTCACACGTCGCCTCTTTGTTGGGGCCTTCACCTACCCTCCCCAGGCCTGCCCAGGGCAGGAGGCAGAAAAGCACCAGCTAGGAAGGGTGAGGTGGTAAGGGGCAGAGGGTAGGCATCTCCGGTGGGGGCGGGACCAAGGGGAAGAATGGGGGGGCAAAGCATTGGGGCAGGGGATCCTACCTGGTGTCCACTAATGGCTTCAGCGGGTCCATAAACCCTTTGAAACTGTGGGCAACTTGGGTCTAGTGTATGTGCTTTGTTCTGGGGAGCGTCTAGGACACTCATCACAGTCCCAAAGGGGCCTGAGACCTACAAAAGGTTAAGAAACCAGGCTCTAAGGGAAAATTCCCCAAAAGGTGGTTCTACTAATGTGGGCAGCACAAGGCATGCCCATCTCTGCTGACACACAAGCCTTTGACAACAAGCAGTCACCAGCCGTGAGCAGTTCCTCCCTATCCGGTTCTCTTCAACCCCATCATGGCACCAGCAAGAAACCACCGTTAGGTGCTGCCTGACCTCAACACAACCCCGTAACAGAAGACCTGTCAGAGGGTTCCTGCTCGGAGCCTTCAGCAGGCAAAAACACAAAAACAAAAGCAAACCAAAATCCAAAAACCCAAACCAACCAACTCATCAACCCAACCAAGTGCAGTCACTACATTTAAAAAATATCTTCACTGTACTTTTTATTCCTGGATACCTTTGGAGCATGACAAATGATACCAGTTTTCCATCTACAGCGGGTAACAGAATTTGCTTTCTGGAGTACATTTGGTAAAGTTAGAAAAGCAAACATGAATATTAAAGGAAAGATAAAGAGTCAGAGGCAAGTAGATATGGCGGACAGATAAGGAGGTGTGTGAATGTCTGGGGCTTGGGAGACACAAGCCTGGCCTTGTCCTGCCTCTTTGGAGGTGGCAAACTGGAGGACCAGAGAGGCTGAGGGACCTGCTCAAGGTAACACAGAAAGGCCCTGCAGAACAGTACTCTGATTCTCAGTCGGGCTTATCCCCTGTCTCTAAGGGTGGGGTTGGCAGGAGCATGGCAGGCTGACCTCATGGAGGTCAAGGGGGGGGGCCAGGGAAAGCAGGGAAAGAGAGGCCACCCACGCTCTGGTCCCAGCCTCCAGCTCTAAGGCGGCTTTGTACTGGATGGGCTCCCCTGTGGCCCGGCCCAAGCTCACCTCCACCATTCTTGTAGCAGAGGTACGGGAAGCGCCAGACGTTGCCCAAGCCCACGAAGCCGCCAGCCACAGAGAGCACAAAGTCGATCTTGCTAGACCACTTCTCCCTCTGCGGAGGTTTTCCCTCAGCCTCGTCCTCAGGCCGCGTGCCTGGGCTCTTCCCTGGTGAGGGCTTCAGGATGTCCTTGTGGAAATCTTTCAGACACTGCAGCTTCTCCTTGGTGGCCATCTCCTTGCTTTCTATGGGGGACAAAAGAGAAGCATCCTGCAGCTGATGAGGGACCACCTGTATGTCTCAGACACAATCTCTGCTTCCTCATCCACGAGCCGGCTCCCACCTGCCCGGGCCTGTGGCAAGGGGCCTGGCATCCCTGTCTGTCCAATGCTTTGACAGCAACATCAGGAGTCATTCAGACCCCTTCATGGACCAGGGACCTCAAGATTCAGGCTGTGGACACTTGCAACCCACAGAATCGGCAGGTCCATTCCCCGGGCACCTGCTGAAGAGAAGCACCAGAGGCCCCCAGGTTTGTCGTCTGGGTGTCACACTTCAGCCTGCACCCCAGCCCTAGCATCGTCTTTCACAAAACACAACACACCCAGGCAGTTCTAGGCATCTGCCAAATAACAGCCTGCAAGCAGTTTCTAGAAATTAACAGATACTATTTTCTAAATTTGGATTTGTATTTAAAAAAATGGAGGCTCCTCTTTTGCAAATGCCTTAATACAGTGCCCAGCCCACAGGGATGACCATTTATAACTGTAAGTTAAAAAAACAGATAGACGGAAACGAACGAGGAATGGGGTTTCAGGCTGGAATGGAAACAATATTTGAGATGGGTTGCCATCCAAGTATAGAGAATGGATGTTTATGAAATAGATGTGCAATTTATTAACCAGTCACATCTCTAGCAGAAAAAAATAAGGGATTTGCACTGGTGAGGATTATGCAAGTGTGCTTGTTCATCCCCATTTGTCCACCCTTCTCTAACCATCCTCTGGCTTGCTGTGATTCCAGGGGCTGACCCTGTAGATCCTATAAGCCAGGTTCCCTTGCCCTCCGGCTCCCTGTTGGGTTTGGCCAACGGGAGGCCCCAGAGAAGGTCAAATCTCTAAGCCCCCGGAGCTGTTCATGGTTACCCTCAGCCCACTTATGCTTGGCTCCCAGTCTAGAGGGAGGTCTGCCACCAGCCAGGCCAGAGCCTCTTCTTTCTGTACTTCCTAAGGTCCCCAAGTGCTCACTCACCCTGTCAGCTCGACCCTGAGGGCCACAGTCACACCCAGTGTGGCCGTCTGTGCAGAAGGTGGATACCCCTGGCTCTCTGAGAACTGACAAGGGTTACCAAGAGCATCCTGATTTCTAGCCCACAGCGTGAGGAAACAGCTCAAGGCTGGGTCCCCTGCCTTCAAGGGCTGACCCACAACATAACAGAGGGACACAGAAAACGGATGAGCTGGGAAAACCAGAGCTACTAGGCCTACTCGCCCCTCTCTGAGCATCAGTTTCCCCATCTGCAGAATAAAAAGGATGACAGCAGAAGTGGCTGACTCAGAGCCAAGCAGTCTGGGACACAACTTGTTTGTCTTCATGATCAAACTGGTGGCCAACACTGAAATAATCAGATTTCAGAGAAAAGTCAAGAATTCTGAGTTCTCTTGAAAAATTGGAAGGTTGGACCACAGTGAGCTCATACTCCTCATGGCGATTGCTGACTGGAGCAGATGTGACCACCTTGTCACGTGACCCTTGTCACACGACCACACCCTGGCCAGCTCACCACCCAGCTCAGGACACACTCGCTTGGCTGGCTCCAGTGGGCATCTGAGTTTGTCTTCTCATCAGAGAACCAAACACTACCTGAAAGTATCTTGTTCAATTCCTCGCTTCCCTGTCGTCTATCTCCTCAACTAGAATAGAGGCTCCTGGGGACAAGGACCACACCTGCCTTGCTCACAACTGTGTCCCAGAGCCAGGCGCCATGCCTGGCACACAGTAGGGTGTCAGGCAAGAGCTGCTGGGTTAGGTGGATCCCAGAGTGGCATCCACAGGCAGCTGGTGACAACTGCAAACCCTGGCTTTGCCAATCCTGTGACCAGGCGAGTCACTTGGCCTCAGGGCCTTGCAGGCAGGGTGAGGCAGTAGCTGCCTGAGGACTTGGGGTGTGGAGAGGGGATGTGCTGGCTTGGCCCCAGCTGCTGGGCCCACAGGGGCTGTGCTCGAGGAACAGAGGCACAAAAGCACAACAAAACCCCCGTTTCCCCCACACCTCCTTCCTCTCCCTGGCTCGGGGTGGGGGACCCCAATTGTTTCACTATCTGGCGGCCAGCAGACCAAGAAAGGCTTCCTGAAGCCTCTGGGCAGCTCATGGAGCCCTTCCTCTGTCTGCCAGAGCATCCGCGCCGCCTTTCTCTGCCCTGCTCCCTCGGGGCCGGGCGCGGGATTCGACAGGCCAATGGCTACTGTAAAAATAGTCCTAGCAGCCAGCATTGTTCCAGCATTGACTTGCACAGCCCCCCGATGGTTATCAGGGCAGCCCATTGTGGGCTGGCTCGGTGGGCGCATAATTGGAGGATGTGAGACTCAACTCCCTCCGAGTGAAGGTGTTTCTCAGGAAATGACCCTGGAGCCTCCTCACCCAGAAGCTCATGACCTCATTGGCAGCTGGGATGGGCCAAGTCCATCCCCGCTAGGAGCTGGGGTCTGCTTCACTGCGGCTACCCTGAGAGTCCCGGCTCTGCCCTCTGGGCACACAGACCCACTTGCCACACTAATATTCGAGAACCCTCTAGAAACATGGAGGAGGAGCAACTGGGGTTCCCCAAGTCCCTTTGCTCTAGGCTCTGATTTCCTACAAAATGAAGCCTCCACCCCCTTCCACACTCAGGACCCCATCGTCCCACCACCTGGGGCTGAGCCAGGATGGGGGTGGGGGTTTTCAACAGGGCAGAGTGGGGACCTGTCACGTGCCTGGCATGGTGGGGGTCTCCCAACTCCTCATTTCTAAGGTGCACCCACCTCTCCACCTGTGGGGGCTGCAGTCACAGGTCCACCTGCCTTGAAGAACACACAGCCAGCAGCCCTGCCCCTGAAGAAGCCCATTCCAGCAAGACCCGCCTGTACATTCCTGGCATCCACCCACAGCTCTCTATCGCCATGGCAACCACGAGCTACAGGCCCCTCAGCCCTTGCACTGGCATCTGTGGCAGCCTCCTCACAGGTCTCCCTGCTGCTACTCTGCCCGCCCCTGATCTATTCTCAATGCAGCAGCTGAAGGCAGATTAAAAAGCAGAATCAGGTCCTCATGCCCCCGCCCAACCCTTTGCTCACCCCTAGAAGAAAACACAGGCTCCTCACCATTGCCCACCAGGTCCCAGCACATGCCCCTGCCGACCCTCTGGCCCCATCTTCCCTCTCCCCTTCTCCTTGGGACACGGGCCACACAGAACTGCTTTAGTCCCTCCTACTGCTCAGGCTCAGTCCCCTCTGAACCTTCCCCACTGGCTGTTGGAGCCGCAGTATAAAAAGCCCCCTGGCTCCCTGCCAGCTGCCCCAGGCACCCTGGCCCCTACAGGGACCAGAATATAAGCCTCAACCCAGAAGCTGAAAGTCACTTCCCCAAACAGGTGACCTAAGGCAAGTCACTCAACCCCACTAGTCTTCAGTGTCCTCATCTGTAAAATGGGGTAACTGTACCTTCCCTGTGGGAGTGTTGTGAGGGTTAAATGAGGGGGGGTGCACAGGAGGTGCTTAGAACAAGATGTGGCACACACTCCATGCACAGCAACTACATTATGACTTGAGACTATCTCCTCTTACTACCGCTATCACTACTATCCAGTCCACCCCTGGCCTTGGGGTATATAAAGCCTTCATCCTCCCCAGGGTGAGATCAATAAGGCCCAGAGATGACAAGAGACGCCCTGAGGTCACTCCGCTGGGAGTAACAGTGACCGTGATGTATCCAAACCCTTAGGAGCTTAGCCTCCACTGTCCCTCTGCGGCTCAGTCTGACCTCAGAGGACACCCTCCAGGGAGTCCCCGGAGTATCTCTGTGCACCTCTGCAAACTTGCAATTAGGCCAGTCACCCCAGCTTCCTCACACACACACAAGTGGTCACCCCGCTGCGCAGTGAGTACTCAGGAGCGAGTCCTCCTCCACAGGCGTCCCTGCACCCGCCGACAAGGGCTGTTTTCCTTGGCACTGGGCCCAGGGTTATTTTGCAGCAGCCGAGATACATAATTCCCCATTTTAAGAGCTTCCTCTTTGGTTATTACAGCTACAAGTGATTAGAATTGACTGATACAGAGGCTATGGGATGAAGCCTCTCCCTGTGCCCAGCTAAACATTCTCCTTGTCTCTGTGTTCCAGAGGTGACAGCCAGAGCCAGCTGTGCCTGAAACCAACTGCAGATCACCTGGTCAGATTTGACACACACGCAGGCAGGTGCAGCCCCGTGCCAGCGATGCCATGGCTTGCCACAATATCCCTTTGCTGTCTCCCTGTTTAATATTAAGATTTGTGAGGACTTATTCTGGGGGCTGAGCTGTTTATGAACACAGTTTCCTATTCTCCAACACTCCTATTGTGGAAGAGACTTTGGTAGTTTATAGATAAAGGAAGCTGAGGCTCACGCAGGGAAGCGAGCAGCCTGGCTGAGGCTACACACACGGGTGGAAAGGAGAGAGAGGCTCAAGGCCAGAGTTCCCACCTGGCCACCTGGGCCTCCGGCACCGAGCAAAGCTTAGAAAGAGGTCTCTGCACTGCTTGCAAATGGGGACCCCTATATCTTGCTCTGCATCCCTCCCGGTGCCCTGAGCACCAGCCAGCTGGGCTTTGAGTTGAGTTGCAGATGCTGCCTCCCCCAGCATCTACCACCTCAGTCCAAGGCTCTGGGGAAAGTCAAGCCCTTGCCTCTATTTTTCCTGGGCAACCTTCCCAGAGGCTCGAGAGTTCTCTGCACCTGCCCTGCCGTCCTGCAGACCCTGCACTTCTCAATTTAACAACCAGTGTCCTACATGTCTCTTTCTGGTGGAGAACAATGATTTAAATCTCATATTGTCAATGGCATAACCACTCAGGAGCTTCTGCCATGCTTTTAGGAAGAGGCCAGGTCCTTGTCTGTTTCCTATTTTGCCTGCTTCTCCCATCCCAAACTGCCTAGCACATACCTGGCCTTTAAGAAGGATCTCTGGGCCAGGTTTCTCAGCAAACCTCTTGGTTAAGCAAACTGATCAGCGGGTTGGGCAAGCAGCTCCTAGAGTCCCAGAACAGGGGCAAGAAGAGACCTGGATGACATCCATTCTACAGGTGGGGAAAACTGAGGCCTAAACAACTCCCTGCCCACTAGGCTTGCTGTGGAATCAAGTGCCTGGCTGGACCCCTTGCCCCGCCCTTTCCACAGCAGGCATCTCTCTCCTTTCCTCACTTTTCTGCCCATTCCAGAGCCAGATTCTGGGCTGAGGCCATGACTAAGCTGTGTGACCCAGAGCAAGTAACAACCTCTCTGTGCCTCCGCTTCCTCACTGGTAAAAAATGAGGGTAAAAACAAGACCAGGGACTAAGCAGGATGCTGCCTAATGTTATTCAGCACACAGCCCAGCACATACCAATTGATCAATAAATAGTAGCTTTAAAAAAAAAAAACAGCCACATTGCAATTCTATTATACTTTGTGGCAACCATTCTACCCTGTGTTTGTTTTAAAAAAAGAAAAAGTGGGCCAGGCGTGGTGGCTCACGCCTGTAATTCCAGCACTTTGGGAGGCCGAGGTGGGCAGATCACTTGAGGTCAGGAGTTCAAGACCAGCCTGGCCAACATGGTAAAACCCCATCTCTACTAAAAATACAAAAAAAAAAAAAAAAAAAAAATTAGCCAGATGATGTGATGCACTCCTGTAATCCCAGCTACTCAAGAAGCTACGGCAGAAGAATCGCTGGAATCCGGGAGGCGGACACTGCAGTGAGCCAAGATCGCACCACTGCAGTCTAGCCTGGGCGACAGAGCAAGACTCCATCTCAAAAAAATAAAATAAATAAAATAAAATAAAATAATAAATAAATAAATAAATAAGAAAAAGTGGATGGTTAGAGGTATTGGGGAATTGCTGGTCAAAAACCACAAAATTTCAGTTATGTACGAGGAGTAAGTTTGATAGATCTATTATGTATGTCATGGTGTCATGCTGATTAAAATTAATAACATATTGTATACTTGAAAACTGTTGAGAGTAGATTTTAAGCGTTCTCACTACACACAAAAAATGCTTAGGAAGCGAGGTGATACGTAAGTTAATTGGCTTGATCCAGTCATTCTACAACATACGCAGATGTGAAACATCATGTTATACACCATAAATATATACAATTTTTATTTATCAATTTTAAAACTTCCAGCCTGGGCAATATGGCAAAACCCCATCTTTACAAAAACTACAAAAATTAGCTGGATGTGGTGGCACATGCCTGTAGTCCCAGCTACTCGGGAGGCTGAGGTGGGAGGGTCACTTGAGCCTTGGAGGTCAAGGCTGCAGTGAGCCATGATTGCCCCACTGCACTCCAGCCTGGGTGACAGAGCGAGACCCTGTCTCCAAAAAAAAACAAAAAAAGTTACTTTTAAGAAAAAGATAGCTGTGTTTATTAAGCACTGACCATATACACAAGCAGAATATGCATCTTTTTAAAAAGAGCACTGACTACAAGCACATTTTCATTTTCTTAGCTAATCCCCTCAGTGGGTGCTGCTCCCATCCTTCCTGTGCTGATAAAGCACAGAGATGTGAAGTCACTTGTCCACAGTCACACATGAGGAAAAGGCCACTTAAGCTCCAAATGCCCCCCAGGTCTGTCTTGGCCTCTGAAGTCCATGTTCTCAACTACTGTAGCTGCTATGGATCAAATGAAATGGGGTCTGGTGTCTTTAAGGAGCCAGCTGCAAGCCGGCTGACAAACTGGGGAACTAGGCAAAGGCAAACAGGGAAGTGAAGGGCCACATGATGGAGACGGGGCTCAGGAGGCTGGACAGGGCCTGGGGAGCAGTCAGTGCCAAGGGCCACAGGGCTGGGCCAGGCCAGCTAATGAAACAGCACAGACTCAGGCAGGACAGATGGCGTGCTGGACTGGAGCCCTCCTCTAGCAAACAGGGAACTCTGATGGGGCTCCCTGGACCACTGTCTCCATAGATTCTGGGCTAGGTACAGGCTCAGTGAGCAGGATGGCCAGGATCTATTAGTGATGCCTGCCAAGGGCACTCTCCTTGGCCCTAGTGTTTAACAATTAAGCACCAAAAAAAAAAAAAAAAAAAAAAAAAAAAAAAAAAAAAAAAAAAAAAAAAAGGGAGTTGTTGTTAAGAGTGCTATTCCTGGGTGGGCGTGGTGGCTCACACCTTTAATCCCAACACTCTGGAAGGCTGAAGTGAAAGGGTGGCTTGAGGCCAGGAGTTCCAGATAAGCCTGGGCAACACATTTGGACCCTGTCTGTACAAAAAGTTAAAAAAAAATTAGCCAGGTGTGGTCACGTGCGCCTGCAGTCCCAGCTACTCAGGAGGCTGCGGTAGGAGGATCACTTGCACCCGGGAGTTGGAGGCTGCAGTGAGTTGTGATCATGCCACCTCACTCCAGGCTGGGTGACAGAGCAAGACCCTGTTTCTAAAAAGATGAAAAAATAATAATAATAAAGTAGAAGCTCTTTCCATCACTCTAAGTGGAGTAGCTGTTTTAAGTGGAAATTAATCAAAGCCTTTCTTTTTCTCTTTTATATATATTTTAAAAGTACACCTTTAAGAGATTGAATCATTGAATTGTATCATGAGGTCTGTATCTGTTGGTTATCTGCTCCCAAGGAAAGGCTAACTCAAGCGTGGCGAGCTCCAAAGCCTCCAGAGGCCTGGTGGGCAAAGGACAGGAGTCCACTGGGGTGGGGAGGTCGCAGGGAAGAGTGGGAACCAGGGGACAGGAGGAGTCTGGACTCTCACAGGCAGCTCTCCTTAGCTCCCACTACTGCAGGTGCCTTCGGGACTGGTGCCCACTGGGGCTGGATCCTCCAGCTTCTCAAGAGATGTTGAAATCTGGTTTATATGCACACACACATTTTTCAGTTTCTAAACCACCACCTGGGTCAAACACAAACACAGAGGGGGCCAGACTCAGCCTGTGGCCAGTCTGCTCTCTTTGGTCACACTATTGCCCCCAGGTCACCTAAGGTGGCCGTGGCAAAGGGAAGAATGGGCTCGTGCGGAGATGCTGACCAGGCTGGCCTACAGCCCTGATGGCTTGTCCCGGTGAGGTCATCCAGGAAGCCAGGCATTGTTTTGCCCGGAACAAAGCCGAAACAATGAGCAAAAATATTCTGGTCGTAGTGAAAGTGAATTCTGTTGAGGAAATCGTTTCAGCATGCCGTCTCTGGGACAGGGGCTTGTTATCTACCTGGGGTTCAGCATCCTCGGGTGAGGTCCTCCCCTCTCCTGATTTAACTGCAACCTCCACCCCACCAAAGTACGGGTCTACCCTCAGAGACCCCCGACCTCCGCTAGAAGCCTCCTGCCTGGATCACACTAAGCCCTGCAGAAAAGCCTCTACCTCACCCCCGGCCTCATCAGCCTTGCCTTTCACAGATCAGGAGACTGAGGCTCAGAGAAGGGGGAAGCCTTATCCCAGGTCCCACAGCTACAGGACAGTGGGCCAGGATTTGCACCCACGTCCCAACTCCATGACCTTGGTGCCACCCTGGGGCAAGGTGACCTCTGGATGGGGACCAGCCAGACCACGTAGTTCTTCTTAGTCTGTGGTTTGCTGGGGAAGAGTGGATGACAGTGAGCAGGTTTTGCAAAGAACAAGCCTCTGGAACAACGCCGGGGGTGGCGAGACACGGTATGAGTCTAATAGACAGCCAACTTGTCACCTTCCCCTCATAAAAACATTGGCAGGTGAACATAAGGTCTGGGGACTGGGTCCAAACTGTTTTATCATCTCCTTGGAAGTGGCAGGACCTGGCCCAAAGCCCCAGAGAACCACAGTCTGGCAGCAGAGGAGAGGCAGCAAGGAGAGTGCCACCGTGCCAGTTGCAGGGGGAGGGGTGGAGGCACGGCAGGCTCCCGGTGGCAGGATGGCCTGAGAAGGGCCAGGATGAGGCAGGGTGGCTGGCGCTGCCCCAGATGAAGGTGTTTGAGGCACACACCATACTCCAAACGGAGGTGCCCCACAGCAGAGCCCAAGCAGCTAAGTCGGGGAAAGGGCAGTGGGCGAGGTCAGAAAGCTGGGTCATGCAGGCCAAGTCACTTCCCCTCTGCATCTCAGAGGTCCAGGGTTAGAACAAAGGTTTGAGTGGCTTTGGCAAGCAGTGGCTGTTAACTCACCCTACTATGTGCCAGGCACTGCTCTAGGAACTGGAGACAGTGGGTGAGCCCTACCAAGCTGACCTGCAGAAGGGGAGATAGACACTAAACACATAAATGAGCAATTATTTATGACAGTGCCCAGCACACAGAAAACAACAAAGTAGGCCCCTCTGCGGAGGTGACATTTCATAACAACAGCAGCTCGCTGAGGACTCACTGTGGGCAGGCCCTGTGCCAAGCCCTTTCCAGACACCAACTCACTCACTTACTCCTCACCAGCCCGGATGATGGAAAGAGGCCCAGAGAAGTAAAGCCACTTGCCCAGGGTCATACAGCTGGATTCAAACCCAGAAGCTCGGCTCTAGGGAACAAGCTTTTAGCCACACTGAAGCTGAGGCAAAGAACTGGGGGCAAAGAACTGGGGGAACACTGTTCTAAGAGCAGAGAACAGCAGGTGTAAAGAGGGCCATGGTGCACATAGTGAAGAAACAGAAAGCCAGAGTGTGGCAGAGAGGAAGAGGGGACGGGGCCCCCAAGGCCAGAGTTAGAACCTGGATTTATCCCAAGTTTTGTGCTGCCCCAGTGAGGGCTCAACGCTTTTGGCTAAAAGCCCTGGATTGTCCCTGACCACCAACCCTTCCCTTCTACTCTGAAAGGGAACTTAAGGGCCCATGTTGGGTTTTTCCCTGCAGGTACTTATGACTTTTTTTTTTTTTTTTTTTTTTTTTTGAGACAGAGTCTAGCTCTGTTGCCCAAGCTGGAGTGCAGGGTGCGATCTCAGCTCTCTGCAACCTCCGCCACCTGGGTCCAAGAGATTCTCGTTTCTCAGCCTCCTGAATAGCTGGGATTACAGGTGCCTGCCACCACGCCCAGCTAATTATTTAGTATTTTTAGTAGAGATGGGGTTTCACCATGTTGGCCAGGCTAGTCTCAAACTCCTGACCTCAAGTGATCCACCTGCCTTGGCCTCCCAAAGTGCTGAGATTATAGATGGGAGCTACCGTGCTCAGCTAACACTTTCTGGTGGGGCCTGTAGAGTCGTTAACCCCACACCTCGGCCGCCTGGGTTCCTCACCATGAGCTGAGAACCTGCGGGGTGGGTGGCCAGAATGTCTTCCCCTTGACCAAGGACCTAACACCTAAGACTGGTGGCACAAACACAACATCCTTGTGCAGGAAGCCCAAACCCTGCCGGCTCCATGGGTGAAGCCATGCTTTGAAAGGAACAGGGTCACCCTTTGCTGTAATGTGCTCTTGGGAAGTCATCTGCCCACTCTGCTCTGAGCAGGCACTCGCTTACCTGGGGCAATTCTCTCTGGGGGAGGTGGCGGGAGGGAACAAAAGCTCTGGCTGACTGAGCACCTGCTACACACCTGGCCCAGGGCCATCACAGGGGTACTGGGTCACCGTCCCACCTTCACAGCACTAACGTCCCACCTTCACAGCACTAACGACTAGAGAAGGAGGGAGGGGCTCGTTTTGTTAAAGAAACAAAAATTATTCTACAAGTTCAGAGGAAGGACAAGGTTCCGTGTCTGGTCAAGGGTAGGCTTCAAAGACGTCTCTGGTCAAAGAGTCCCTGAGAGCTGGGCCTGACAGCCTGGACACACAGAGGAAGGTCAAGTCTCTGGGATGCTGTCTGAGGGGACCCTGGACACCACTCAGTAGACTTCCAGGGCACTTGGTACCCACAGCTGGGCTGGAGGAGAAAGAGGAGCTTGGGGAGGGCCACCAAAATGCCTACCTTGGGTACTTGGAGGCCTGTTTCCACAGCCAGAGGCAGGGCCGAGAGCAGCCCCATCTGCAGATTCTGCACACATCGGGGCTTCTCCTGACCTGGGGAGTCGCGCACTGTTGGACTTGCTCTTAAGGCTGGGGTTTTGGGGTTGTTTTCCTGTTGCTATGTGTTTAGGCCAATAACAGCACAACGGTCACACTGCCTGCAGCTCTGCTCCAGGGTGCAGGGGCTGGGTGAAGGGTCAGAGGGAGCCAAGCCCCTTTTCCATCTCCTTCCCCCATGGCCCAGGGCTGGCTGGAGTCAGGCTGCTGTAGGGGCCCCTGGAGCCTGCGGAAGGAGTGGGTGAGTCAGCAGGCAGCCACCTCCTGGCACTGACTCACCAGCGACAGGACAGGGCTGTCACTCTTGCTGTCAGCTTCGCTAGCAGCCCAGCCCTCAGCCTGGTTTTGCCGGAAATGGGGGCGGGGTAGGGTAGACCATGAGCCTGAAACAGGCTCTGCAGAGCCCAGGATTATTTCTGGAGGCCACAAAAAAGAAACTCAAGAAAAGAGAAAGGTTGGTTGCCATTTCCTTGACCTTCTCCTTTTAAGCTGTAAGAAGCCTAAAGCCCTGCTCCTTGTTGGCTATGAAAAGCAGAGGGCAGCCCCTCCCTTGCTCTATAGAAACTGGAAGGATACAGGCCCCAGTGACAGAGTCAGCTAAGGGTGCACGTGCAGGAGCCGGGCCAGCCCCAACTCTGTCACTGTGGCTCTGCCGGATGCCACAGTGCCATGGAAACCAGTCAGGGCGCTCTGCTGTACAGCCTTGGGCAAGTCACCTTCTCTCTTCAGCCTCAGTGTTACCCTCTCTAAAGTAGGCACAATATCCCATCTACAGTATGTGAAACTCCTACCTCATTAAATGTTTGCAAACAACCTCCCCCTCCTTGTTCCTCTTTTAAACATGTTTTTCCCCCTGACGAGGATGTACTTTCTTCTTCCTTCCTACCTCCGCCCCACCTCACTCGGACTCAGAAATTCAGCTCGACCAGAGTGTGGTGCTAGAGGAACCAAACAGCCTGGGATTTAGCAAGACAGGGTGGGGAACTAGCACTGTCGGTCACCGGTGCCCACTGTGTTCTGGAGCACAGGTGCCTGCTCTACTTAACTGGAAGCCGATTCCTAGGCCCCCTCCACCATCCAGAACCAGCCCAAGATCCCCAGGGGTTCCTGAAGCACACGCTGTGGTTTCTCAAGCCCCAACACCCTTGGCTTGTGCTGTGCCCTCAGCCCGGTACACTCTTCCCCTGCCTAATGAGCAGGTACCCCTCACAGCCTCGATGGGACAGCCTCCAGGACAGCTCTGTCCCTGCGTTCCCAGCCTGTACTGTTGCTGTCTGTTACTCCCCAGTCACCCGGGTCCTGCTTCCTGACACCTAGTATTAATACAAGGCCCAGCACGATGAGGATTTTTCAGATGGAATGTTTAGGGCTTAGGGCTCTGGGGACACTCTGCATAGGGAGAAACAGCCTTCCACGTCAGGCATTCTGAGAGCTCCTCTACGAGGGCGACAGAGCAAACTGCAATGACAGATGCTGGGGTATGTGGACAGTGGGGAAGGGTGGACCAGGATGTGCTCCCAACATCTGAGCACAGTTTCCCATCAGATGGTCAAAACTCTACAGATGAACACCAGATCTTTAGGAAATCACTTTTCATTAAACGATGTCCATTCCTGAGCATCTTCCAATAATGACTTTGAAGTTAATTTTTCCTGCCCCTAAAGGTTTGCCAAGTGCCAGGGGATGCCCTGGGATCCCACACAAAATCAAAGACTCACAGTGGGGCTTTGGAGGTCTTGGCACGTCCACATCCAAGCCCATTTTACAGATGAGGAAACTGAGGCCCAGGCCACATAGCAGATCAGTGACAAGACAAAGCTACAGTCTCTAGCCTCCTCCACAGACGGCCCCATCAGAGCTGGAGGGAACTCATTTCACAGAGGGGAAACTGAGGCCTGAAAGATGTGGTGGAGGGGCGGGACATTCCCGACAACCCCAACTTGGTGGGATACAGTGGACGCCAGAGGCTGAACATAAGCTCTTCTTCCAAACTTGGGAGGATGAGGCTCATATCTAATTCTGTCAGGTTGGCAACTGTTGGTGCAGTGGTGGCAGCGACTTCCAGCACTACAAGATGGTGCCTAACAGCGGCTACTGCTCAGCCAGAAGAAAAGCTCAGCGCTAAAATCCACACTCGGGTGGGGCTAGGATGCAGGGAGGACCGACGCTTCTCAACTGTGGTCTTCCTACGTGCAGGGGCCATCTCCCAGGGCAACCCCCAGTGGTAGCCATCTCCCTCAACTTTCCATTGCAATTTAGCTTAAACTCTGGGGGTGCTGGGGACATGGTATACCTTCTGATGGCCTGTCACTCGTGGTGTGGCCCAAGAGGCCACACCAACCATTGGAAACTCCTTGGAGGCGTGCCCTGACCTCTGCTCCCACGTGCTTAGCCGGGTTTGTTTCTAGCAAACCCCAAATGCCTGCCATGTCAGCCCCCAGCTCAAGAACTATCAGTGACTCCCAGCTGCCTAGATAATAATCTGAACTTCTCCTCTTGGAATCCCAGGCTCACTAGAGTTGTCTGACTTGCCCCCAATCTCTGCCACCTTATTTCTCCTTTTGCCCAGCATGACTCTCTCCCCGGCACTGCCCCTTTCAAGTCTGTGCTTGGTTTGTGGGTTCTCTTACATTTAGGTAGATCCCACCCACCTGGAAGACCCTGGTCCAAGTGTCACCTCCCAGCAAAAGCCCTTCCCGCCCACCCAAGACTCTTCCGTTTAGCATCCTCCAGCTCAAATCACCCCCACCATTCACCAGACACTGCACTCTCATTCAGAACTGTGCAACTTTGGATAAAGTTCAAAGTTCTCCTTGGGAAACCTCAGTTTCTTGACCTGTAAGCGGGCCTCATAATCTGTAAAGTCATTCATTGCTGAAGTCTGTGGGATCTTAGGAGGGACTAGTGGATGACCAAAATCCTCACATGAGGAACATCAGAGTTGCCTGAGACACTGGCTAAAAATGCAGATGCCTGGGCCCATGCAGCCCTACTGACTGAATTTTCAAGGTGGGGGCCCACGAATCTGTCCTGTTTAACCAGCTTCCCAGGTGAATCTGAAAATCAGGTGAGGTTGGGAATGGCGGTGCTAATAATGAACTGGGAGGCACCTGGGCAAAACATCAAACAAAATCAGCTCAGGAAAGAGATTAAGGCTGGCTCATGACAGTGCGTGCATGTGATGCGTGTGTGCACACAGACGTCTCATCTGCCAGACTGTGAGCATCTAGGGGCTGGGCCAGGCTGAGTTTCACTTCTGCCAGCCTCACTAAGTCCAGGATCATCCCAACAGCCATTTATCCCGGACTTGAGAGTTTGCCAGAGAGTCTCTTATTCCCTATTGCTGCTGCTCCTCACCAGGCCCTGGCAGATGAAGACCTTGGCCCTCAACTTACAAATAAGGAAAATGAGGCTCAGAGGAGAATGACCTGGCCAAGGTTACTCCATAGCAAGTGGCAGAGCCCAGATGTGGACCCAGGACAGAGCCAACATGCCTTTATCCACTTGCTAAAGAGAAAGGGAGTTTGAGAAATCAAGGCAAAGGCTGGCAGGGGTGACCTAGGGCTCCTGGAGCTGGGCAGCTGAGTGAGGCCTGCATGTTTGAGACTGGGGGGAGAAGCCTTGGAGACCAACCCCGATTCCTGGGGGTAGGGGGGTGCAGAGGGAAAAAGAAGCCTGGCCTTGTCTCTGCAGCAGGCGAGGGGCACAGTTCAGCTGAGCAGGCCCCAGGCAGTGTCTCTAAGGACAGGAATGAGCTGCAAGGCACATTGCCTGGGACTTAGGGGCTCCCCTCACTGTCACCCAGCAGAGAGGAGTCACTTTCTCCAGTGGAGGCAGCAGGTGGGACTTCCCCAACAGCAGAAACACCTGTCCCTTAAACACCACCTCCCCAGGCATAGGGAACAATGGCAGGAAAGGCCAGCGGAGGCTCTGGTGACATTGCTTGACCAAGGTGAGGCTTGCCCTGCTCTGGACTGTGGTTCAGAACTGCTCTCAGGAGACTCAGCAGCCTGGAGGTGCAGGGTCCCAAATGTCCCTCCCACACACCTGCACACAGGGCCCCTCTCTCAGCAAAGGCACCCTCCCCAGGAGAGAAAGTTGTACACCATAAATAAACCTGTCTCTGCTTCAGGTTCCTCAAATATAGAATGGGAGTAATAACAGTACCTAAGTTGTGAGGCTGTTGAGAGATTAAAGAACCAAACATGTATGGACTGCTTAGAACAGTGCCTGGCATACAGCAGGCACTTAGAAAGTTCAAGCTATCAGGATGATGACAAAATTGACCGGCATTCTTCCTCAACTCATGGGCAGCCTGGGCTCTGAGCCGAGGCCCTGCTGAGCATCTCTTGGGCACCATGCCCGCCGAGTGCTTTACAGATCATCTTACAGGGCCAAGACCAGGGCTCAAACACTGGCCAACCGCTTCTGAGATTCAGGGTGTCACCCTAACAGCTGGGCCTCCTCCTAGCTGCCCCCTCCCTTCTATTCCAACTGTCTCTCTCCCAGGCCTCTCAGGGGCCAGCCTCCTCTTCTGCAGTGCATGTGACTGGGGGATCCTGGGGTCCCCATCAATATTCTTGCTGAGCAATGTGGGTCCCCTGTGTTGGTGGGTCCCTGGGGATCTGAGCACAGATGTGAAAACCTGCCATCACCTCCCTCCCCTAGCCCTTAGGATACAGTTAGGGGAGCATCTCAGGGCAGAAAGCAGAGTGGAGGAGCCGAGGGCCAGATCAGGGCCTGCAGTTCCCCATGCAAAGTACTGAGTACCCTTCTGGCCCTTGGGATGGTGGCACCTGCTAAGCTGGGGAGATGGAAGTTACAGGGGCTGGGAACTGGACTCGAGAGTAGAAAAGGACTTTGCTGTGGACCTGCAGAGCAACCCCAACAACCCACAGGAGGGAAGAGCAGGGCAGCTCCTTGGAGCAGGGTGGCCAGGCAGCTTCTCTCCACCTGCTGGCCCCTGGGACACCTTGGGCAGCTGGAGAGAAAACCTTCAGGAGAGGAATGTTACCTTGCTGGTGGCCCCCAGGATGGCTGCAACTGCAGAAGTCAGACACTGGGACCCCTCAACATGGCAGCTTTGAAACCCCACAGCTCCTGGCTGAAGGTCCTTGGGCACCGGGGACCCCTCCTTTAGGCATTATTGAATGACAGATCAGCCCAACAACTTGATGCCCAGAGTTCACATATAGTAAGCAGACAGAGGCCTGGGAAGGAAGGCGGGGCTAGCCAGGAAGCTCTGAAGCCAGGCTGATGGGGCTCAAACCCCAGCTCTGCAACCGTGGGCAGCATATGCTCTGTGCCTCGGTTTCCTCACCTGTAAAACATGGCTGATAATGGCATCGACCTCACAGGGTGGATGGCGATCCCACCAGGTTAATTTCTCAGGACAGGGCCAGGTGCCCAGAGAAGTGTACGTTAAAACTCCAGGTGTGAAGGGGAACATCTACTCATGCTGGGGCTAATCTGGAAGAGCTGCCTGCCTGTAGCAGGACTCAGGACAGCTGCAATTATTGTGGTTGGCTCTTAGGTCTTCCCAAAGGGCTTCTACTCTGAGGCACAGAAGCAGCCAGAGAGTGCGGAAGACACCCAGCACCCAGGGTCTCTGTGCCTCAGAGTACCTGAGCATGAGGTCACAATGCTCCTTCCAGCACAGCGCAGGGTGCTGGGAGGCTGTGTTTTCCAGGAAAGTACACCACATAAGAACGCTCTGCAGCAGAACTAAAGCCAGAGAGGGGTTCCTTTATCACAGAACCCCCATCGCCACGCCGTTTCTGGGAGGCCCTGCCATTCCCAGGCCCTGAAGGACACATTCCTGCTCATCCTCAGGTGCACCTTCCCCTGGGAAGCCGGCCCAGAAGTTTCTTCTTCCTCACCAAGACCGCAGGAAGCTCTAGGGCAGGGCCAGCCCTCCTCCCAGGTAGGGATGAGGAGGGTCCCGGCTTATTGTCATAGCAACCCTTGGTTCTCCTAATTCCACCTGTTCTTGTATAACTGAAATAATAACTGCAGCTGACATTGTCTGTCTGGCACTGTGACGGGCACTTTACATAATTCTAGCTAATAGAAATGTTTTAATCAGGCTAAATATTTTTTTCTTTCCTTAAATCATTTTTCACTGATTACAGCTGCTTACTTTTCTCCTAATTAGTCCGAAAGTAGCGAGACTGTGTAGCATCTTAGAGTCTAATGGGGCTTAAAAGCACACTCGAAATGCTTTAAATGTATGCAAAATCCTCCAACCTCGTGGCCAATCCCAGCTCCCTGGGCTGCAGGCTTGCATGTGCAGTTTGGGGATCAGCAGGTGGACGCAGTATTTTACCCAATCCTTAACCAGCCACCCTTTGGGATGGCTGGGGGGGGACTTACCCCAAATGGAGATGAGGAACTACGGCTCAGAATCAATAAGCGACTTGACCGAGGTTGCACAGCCAGGAAGTGGTGGACTGGAGTCTGGATCGGTAACCACTGCGCTCTGGGGCACCGCCTGGCTGTGACCTTAGATACCAGGAAGTCTCTCCCCCTCAACCTGACACAGGGGGAAACTGAAACCAGCAGGAGGCAGGGGAATTATTTTTCAAATTAACTCAAGGATTAGAATCCAGGTCTCTTGAATCAGCCCAGATCAAAAGTATTTTCACGGACCGGGTGGCAGCTGGCCTCAATCATAAGAGCAGCAGCTAACAGCCCTGGCTGCGCGAGGCCCAGTGCTCAATGCTTGCAAGGCATCTTCCCATTTAATTATACTCATAATTGGTGAGAGTCATGCATACCTGCCGTGATTACTAACTACTGACCCCGCAGGCTAGGGAAGAAATGTTTAGCCATTTAAATTCAGACTGGCCAGAGAAATTAAGTGGCTGATATCCAGGGGTGTGACCAATCTCAATGAAACTGATGAGGGGAAGGACCATGGGTAGTCTCCCAACCCACACCATTTTTGGAAACGCAATTGTTGCCTTCCACCCTCCCTGCCCCGAGTCCCCCACCCACCCCTCACCTCCTTAGAGCTTCCTTTCACTCCTGCAAAGTGTGTCACCCACTGCAGCCCCGGGTGTAATCAGCTTATTCTCCCATGTACAGCCTGGGCCATCTGAAAACGGTTCCCTTTACTCCTTGGGGGCAAGGATACCTGAGATTTAGGCCACAACTATATATAGCCAAGAAATCCGTCCTTTTTAATTGACTCATCTATTTATTTGGTCAAGCAGTTCCTGCTGACCCCCAGATGGCCGAGTTCTACATAATTCCTCCCGACAATGTGTGTGGAGAGGAGGGGCCCTCCCTGCCTCTGCTGCTTGGGCTCTGTATTCCCAGTGCAGGCAGCTCCTGCGGGACTCTGTTTCCCAAATAAGGTTTGCCTAGTTCCACCCTTTGCCTATGCTGCATCACCTATGTTTTAGTTGGAACCTAACACTGCACCCCTTCCCAGCTGCAAGTGGTGACCTCAGGAATGTCACTTCCCCCTGGGGGGCTCAGTTGCATCATCTGTAAAATGGGTCATCGTCGTGAATTACACAAGGAAGGTACAAGGAAGTGCCTCGAATACACAATTGGATTTGCTCTCAGGAGAAACAGGATACTCTGTGCCCAAGAAAGATTAGCCATCTTTCATGGCGTGCCTTCGTTCAACCAACACTTGACCTTGACTCCGCCCCTTCTTAGCATCCAGCTAAGTGCAGAGAGAGGCAGAAACAAACACCCCTGGGCTCCAGATCTGCCACACTGGGAAAATACCAGCTGAACGGTTTCTCCAGCCGGTGTTGTGTGTCAAACAGGCGGCTTCGACCGAGCTTCCTTCAATAGCGCCGTGTCCCCGTCCCCTCCCTCCCAATGCACTTCACGGGCTCCCAAAACCACGTGAGTCAGCAAACTGGGTTAGACACCTCGTTAGAGTGGGTTTCCTCTGGAGACTTGTGGCCGTGCCTGTGATTCTCCTGCAGCGGTGTTTGGTTGAAGGCAGGGTTTGTCTGTTCAGGAGCCAGTTGTCAAAACAACAAGCACTACCTTTAAGGGGCAGTTGGAACCATGAAATAAGGATTCCTGTTTCTGGCTGGTTCCCCAGAGTGAATCAAGACCAACCACTCTGAACAGATCCGAGGCCACTGAGCCAGACCCAACCCCACCCCCTACCCCAGGCAGCTCCTCTCCCCTCCCCATTGCCCAGAGCAGGACACCCCAGCCACGCTGCACTCCTTAGGGCTTCTACAGGCTTCCACTCTCTACCAGGCCTTTCCACGGGCTGTTTCCCCTACTGGGAATGCCCTCACTGTCTGGTGCCCAACTGGCATATTTTTGATATTCAAGACCTCAGGGAGCTTTTTTTTTTTTTTAACTTTGCGTGCCCAAAGCACCTTCAAGAGGCCCTCCCCATCCCTGACAGGGTCCTGATTTGTAGCATCTTCCCACACAAGCTCCCAGGCTGGACAGAGGGCAGCTCATTTCAGGGTCCCTAGCCCCAGCTGGGGCCTGAACCACAGCAAAAGTCCATAACTTTTGGATGACTGATCAGACTTTCAATTCTCAATGTTTATATGCTTAGAGATTTTTCCCCAAACTTCCCCTAACGTCAAACACTCTTGCTGGGGCCTTTCCAGTACTAGGCAGAGCTGGCAGGGGTTTGAAAAGGTGACTTTCTCAAATGGACTAGAAAGGCCAAAGGAAAACAAAAGGTCTTGACTCCATGACCTTAAGCTGGGACGACCCTTCTCCCCAGAATCATCCTGCAGGTCCAGAACCCAGCCATGAGACTTCCAGACTCGGCCACACAGGGATCGCTTGGCCCACAGAAGGCCACACTCCCTGATTTTGTCTCCTTTAGGGTGAGAGACTTCACTGAATGTCTGGATTGTTAAATGTGAATAAATCACCCCTGAATTATGACCAATATTAATTAATAAGACACATTTGGTATTTTCAAAATACCAAGATGCTTTCTCCTACATGCACTTGCTAACCCAGTAGTTATCATAGGGCCCATTTTACAGATGGGGCAACTGAGGCCCAGGCAGAAGATGGACTTGCCCAAAGAAGTAGCACCAAATACTATTCTCTTGACAGCACCAAAACAGGAAGGTGGTTCTGAGAGGAGCAGAGGCCTGAGGTCTCAAGGTGCTGTGTGACCTTGAGCAGGTCACTGTACTTCTCTGAGCCTCAGGAGGCTTATTATGAGGAAAGTGGATGAAAAGGTGGAGGCAGACAGGCTCATGAGCCCACAGTCACAAACAGCTTCCTTCTACCCACCTGAGACAAGGTCCAGCCTCCTGGCTCTTTACCAACTGCACTGTGCCTGGTGTATAGTGGTTGCTCAATATTTACTAAGTGAATGAATGTTGTCTCACAACATTCATGTGTGAGTGTCTCACACTCATCCCAGGTGTGAGATCACACCGAGGCATGAGAAGGCCTGGCACAGCAGGGCTCCCTCCCCTGGACACACTGTCTGTCCTTCCAGAGGCACTTCGTCCCCTTCTTCCTATCCAGAAGACACCTCTTGCCTGCTGGCTGTAGAGTCCTTTTGAAGTCCTCTGGGTTCCTCTACAGTTTTTCCAAAGCAAATGCCCATTACTAAGGGTGTCATGTGGACAACACACATGCCACCTCTTCCCACCTTGCCCCCTTGACAGACACTGCTAATCAATCCTGGCTTCCTTCTCATTGATGTGGACCCAGTCTTGGATTCCTCATCAGAATCTGGTCTCTCTGGGTCCCCAGTAACTTAAGGGACAAGAGACAGACCCTTGTCTGGGAACCCTTGTCCAGGACTGGCAGGATGCCCAGAAGAGACTTGAGGGGCTGTGAGACTAGCAGAAGCTCTCAGGAAAACTCAACCCAGAAAATATAAATGAGAACCTAGCCCCCTCCTTGTGACAGAGGTAGCAAAGGAGGTAGGAGGCGTGAGTCCTTTGCAACACAATGGCCCAGGTGGGACCCCACAGAGCAAGAGGAGTGAGGGTAGGGATTTGGAGGTGGGAGCCAAGCTGGGGCTAGGAATTGAAAGGCTGAAGAGCAGGGATGCAACTCTACCTCTGGCTGGGAGGAGGGTGGGGGTGAGAAGCAATGACAGGAAGCCAAGGTGGCCTGCATGCAGGCCCCCAGAAGGTGAGCCACTAAGCGGCCAAGCTGGGGTGGGGCCTGGACACCGGCCCTATGCTGCACGTGCTCTGTGCCTGACTTAGTGGAGGACGCTCAGCTCAGAGGAGAGATCCGCACCAGGGCATCGGCTCCTAAATCGAAGGGGTGGAGACTCACCCAAGCTCGGCACTGCCACCCCAAGAACCTACCCTGGGAATAAATGATTTATTCTATTCACTCTTTTTTCCATGGCGAATCAGAGGTCACACAGAGGGTTAGTGACTTGTCCCAGCTCTGCCAGCAAGTGTGTGGAGACATGAGTAGATAAAGGCACCCTGAGGGTCCCTGCGGGCATTTGGGTCTGAATACTGACCCCAGGACACCTTCCTTCATGGGTGCCTGAGGAGCCAGCCCTCCAAAACCCCCGAGGCTGTCTGCAGCCCCAGGGATCCTGGCGGTGCTTGCTTTTTAAGTCCAGGAGGTTTCTGGACTTAATTGTCCACTGACTTAGAACACATGGACAGATGGAAATGCCTTCCAGGAACTCCCCTCAGACTTCACTGAGGTGGGCAGCCATGGTCCCGAAAGTCCCTGTCCATTTCTGAAAAAGCCCCCTCCCTTAAGAAATCCCCCTCCGACCCCTGCTGGGTCCAAGAGCCGAGACGAGAAGATGCACCCAAGACATCCTCACTCCACCTGAGGCCCAAGCTTTCCCACGAGGCTGAGGCCAGAGAGGAGGCACCTGCCTGCCCTGGCCCCAGCTCCCAGCAGCAGCTGTGTGCAAAACCAAAGCCAAAGATGTGGGCTAAATCCAGGCTCCTGTCCTGACACGTGGCTGACTTCCAGTTTCTCACTGCCTTCCTGAGCCCCAGTTTTCTCACCTGTAAATGGGGGGCAGTAGTAACTACCCTACAAGATGATGTAGGTATCAAAGCTGGAAAAACCGTGCAAACTGTAGAGGGCTGCAGATGCGATTACTATGCATATATTCAGACTTCTCTGAGATAGAGGCACCAAACATAATCACAATACTACGAGCAATAACGATGTTAACTTCATTTATTGAAGAACTGCTATGTGCCGTTCTGAGCTAACGTTCACAGTTAGAACTGCTAACTTTCACCATTTTTCTTCCCTGACCCTCACAACCAGAGAAGGGAGCTTCTACATCAGGCCCGTTTTGACAGAGGACACTGAAGCCCACAGCGAGGTTAAACGATGTGCTCAGAGTCACAGAGCAGGGTAGAAACTGAATGACATTCACACTCAGGCTCACGGGACCCCTGAGCTCAGGTCCTAACAGTACATCTCTAGAGGATGGAGTATGTTTTTCAACCTCGAGTCTGGCCCAGTACTCAGAGCTATTTTTTGCTTACCGGCTTTTTCTCATCTCCCCCAAATGAGAAAGGCTGGCAGACTGGGGGCTGCTTCTCTGGGATGAATTGTTTTAAATCCCGTTTCCTAAAGTCCCGAAGGCAGGAGCTCCCCAGGGAGGTGCCACCCCTCCATCTCCATGCCCCAGGGCTGTCACTGATATTAGGCCAGAGTGAAAATGAGGGCAACCCCTGCGGGGTCAATGATTCATCAACACGTATGCAGCATCTCAAACACGTGCACCCCATTCGACCAGCAAGCCCACTTCTTGCTTAGACCAACGTGTAAAGACGCCCACTCAAAAGAAGTTCACTGGCTTCAGCTTTGCCAGACAAAAAAGTTCGGGAAATTGGCGGCACAACACTTTAAATCTACTTACCATGACTGAATTGTACACTTTCAAGGGGTTAAGATGGTCAGCTTTAAGTTATTTGTCTTTTACAACAATTGAAAATAGAGGCTGGGCGCGGTGGCTCATGCCTGTAATCCCAGAACTTTGGAAGGCCAAGTCAGAAGGATCACTTGAGCCCAGAAGTTTGAAACCAGCCTGGGCAACATAGTGAGACCCAGTCTCTAAAAAAAATAATTAGCCAGGCATGGAGGCATGCATGTAATCCCAGGTACTCAGGAGGCTGAGGTGGGAGGAAGGCTTGAGTTTGGAAGGTCAAGGCTGTAGCGAGCTATGATCACACCACTGCTCTCCAGCCTGGGTGACAGAGCAAGACTCTGTCTCAAAAAAAAAAAAAAAAAAAGCAGAGTGGTTTACAAGAGAAACTGTAACCAGCCAATTTCCCATCACTATGGGATTAATTAAATAAACACTGCTTTAGTCAAACAAATCATGGCTTACAACAAGGTCAGCAAACTGGCCACTGGGCCAAATCCAGCAGCTTGTTTTCTCTTGCCTCAGCCTCCAGAGTAGCTGGAACTACAGGTGCGCACCATCACGCACAGCTAATTTTTGTATTTTTAGTAGAGATGGGGTTTTGCCATGTTGGCCAGGCTGGTCTTGAACTTCTGACCTCAAGTGATCCACCCGCCTCAGCCTCCCAAACTGCTGGGATTACAGGCGTGAGCCACTGTGCCTGTTCAAAAATGTATGACTTTTATAACCAGAGTAAATAATAAATATCATTTTATTACGGTCTTGAGCCTTCTAGGAAGCGAATGTTGAGGTTGGCACTTCTGTTGAACAGGCCTGAGGTGGCCTTTTCTGACAACACTGGAAGTCATGGGCCTGTTATATCAACACTCCTATATGCACCAGTTTACAATGGGTGCGGGGCATGGGGGCAGACACCCCGTGGGAGATCTCACCACAAGCCCAGAGAGGGTCTCCCTGTTAAGAATCTTCTTTCTTCCTTAAGCTGCCCCAGGCACCGGGAGGGTGAATCTGATTTCTGGACTCAGCCCCATAGCTGAGGGGGTGGGGAGTTGCTCTAGGGGGGGCTCACCTTGGGGGATAAAATGAGAAATTGCATGTGGGGTGCTTGGCACTGATGTGCTAGGCCTTTTGCACACTTAACCTCACTGTGCTTACAAAGTGATGAGGTCACCCCCACCCCAAAATCCCAGTATCACCGTCTTTCTAACCCTCCTGGGTGCCACTATTGCTCCATTTCAGGGGTGGGTTACCTGAGGCTCAGGGTAGTTCTGTGACTCCTCCAGGTCACGAAGCCGGCAGGGCTGGAACAGAGATTTGAACTAGGGACTGCCTGACTCCCCAGCTCCATGGACTCCACTACATGGGTTGCCCCCTGTCAGCAATACTTTTTTGGGCTGGTCCATTAATAGTTCAGGCTCTGCTGAACAACTAACACACATTCCCATGTCCGCATCATGCCCCTTCTCAGATGAGAACCTGAAGGTCAGAGCCCTCAAGTGACGTGCCCAGTGAGGAGGGCGCACACCTAGCAGTGCTCAGACTTCAGAGCTGACAAGGTCTGTTCTTCCACCCTGTTCCTCTAGACACCCCTGCCATGTCAGGGGGCCGAGGAGCCCTTTCAGAAAGTGTTAAGCCAAGAGGGCTGCTTGGAGGAGCATCAGATAAGTCTGAGGGCAAATCTGCCTCTCAGCCTTTTCTATAAAATGGGCTCCCAAGCGCAAATACATCAGCAAGCCTCAAAAAGAGGAACATTGGCAACCTCTGTTTACTGCCTGTAACAGCCCATCCCAGGCAGGGCCCCTTGCACAAGACTCTATCTGGAAGCAGAACTCACATTCCAGCCTCACGGCAGCAGGAGCCTCATTTCCCAGGTGCTTTGACTACTCATTAACCAGGAGGAAGTCCCGGGGGAAGGGGAAGGGGCTGGGCCCAGAGGCCGTTCCCAGCCTGAGGAAGTGGGCTAGAGTCAGCTCAATCAGGTTCAAATCCTTCCCAGCTGTGTAGTCTTGGAAACAATCAATTCATCTCTCCAAGCCTCAGTTTTCTGATCTGTACAATAGGGATGACATCAGCGCCCACCTCACAAGGCTCCTGAGGAGGCTGTGCATGAGTCTGTGACGTGTTTAGCAGTGCCTGATGTGCAATAAGCGCTCAATGAATTTCTCATATTTTTTCAAAAAGAGTAAGAGCACACCCACTTCTTTGGGTTGACAGAGTTAACACAGTAAACCTCTCGGCAGTATATGAGCATGCTGAGTCCAGGAAGCGGTAGCAATCATTATTATTGACGTCTATAACTATTATGATGACGCCTGTGGAGGCTGACGTCGAGTAGGTCACCTCCATGCCTGCCCAGTGGCTGGCTGGGTACACACCCCTGCCCGATGTCACAGCACAAAGAATATGTCTCCATGGGGTGGGGCTGCTTGTGACCAAGCAACCTAGGCCAGCTGAGCTTGATGAAAAGGAAGGACTTGGTCCAGCTGCTAGCAGCAGCAGGTTGAGGAGCTCTGGGCCACAAACAAACGCTTGCCTAGTCCCGGCTTCACAGGGGACCCCACTCCAACCAATCCGAACCCTGGACCAGTGGGAGCTTAACCTTCCCCCTTAGAAATTTCTGCCCAGGAAGCCAGGGTTTTCTAATTCCAAAGCAGAGTCCACAGTGGGTCTTGACATCAATGTAAGGGGTCAAGGCCATCTTTTTTACTAAAGGAAGACAGAGCAGACCAGAGCACAGCAGATGGCGAGTACGAGGATGATCTGAGAAACTTCAATTTCAGGGTTTGAGTTTGACGTGTGTGTTTGTGTACATGCACACGCAGGCCACATCCCATTGTAAAATGTATTTAATGAACGCTGAGGATTAAATAAGACTCTGAAAGCCCCTAGAGCAGGCAATGTCTTAATCAGCGAAGGAGACATCCCTTAAACCCTTTTTAAAAACATAATGACGATCCTGAACTAAAAGAAAAATAAGGCTGCTGTAAACACTGAGACAATCAGTGCAATGCCATTAAGATCCACAGATAACAGAATCACGTCAATGTTAAATCAGTGTCCTGGGGTAGATAACTGTGCTAGGGTTATATAAGAGAATGGCCTTGCTCTTTTTTTTTTTTTTTTTCGAGACGGAGTCTCGCTGCGTCGCCCAGGCTGGAGTGCAGTGGCACGATCGCGGCTCGCTGCAAGCTCCATCCCCCGGGTTCACGCCATTCTCCTGCCTCAGCCTCCCGAGTAGCTGGAACTACAGGCGCCCGCCACCACGTCTGGCTAATTTTTTGTGTTTTTTAGTAGAGACAGGGTTTCACCGTGTTAGCCAGGATGGTCTCGATCTCCTGACCTCGTGATCTGCCCACCTTGGCCTCCCAAAGTGCTGGGATCCCAGGCGTGAGCCACGGCGCCCGGCCTGGCCTTGCTCTTATGAAAGGCCTGAAGGATTGAGGTGAAGGGGCATCATGCCTGCAATTTACTCCCCAATGATTCAGCAAAAATGGAAGAATGTTCACGTGACTGTTTTTATTTAACATATTAGTGAGAAAGAGATGAAGCGAATGTGGCAAATGTTACCCATGGGAAAATCTCAACGAAGGGCATAATGCGAGGCCACTGTAATACTCTTGCAACTTTAGCAAAGGTTTTCCATTTTACTTGTTTATTTATAATTTTATTTATATTATTTTTAATTTTTGCTGAGATGGGGCTCATTATGTTGCCCACGCTGGTCTCGAGCTCCTGGCCTCAAGCAATCCTCCTGCCTTGGCCTCCCAAAGTGCAGGGATTGGAGGCGTGAGCCACTGTGCCCTTGACAACATCGTGAAACCCCGTTACTCCAAAAAATACAAAAATAAGCTGGGCACGGCGGCACGCGCCTGTAGTGCCAGCTGCTAGGGAGGCTGGGGTGGGAGGATCACCTGAACCTGGGGAGATCGAGGCTGCAGTGAGCCCTGATGACACCACTGCACCCCAGCGTAGGCGACAGAGTGTGACCCTGTCTCAAAACAAAAACAAACCTTTAACAGAGACAGAGCCAAGCTCAGACCCCAATCCTCAGAATCAACTCAGTGAGGGCATCCTCCCCACGGCAGACTTGCCCCAGGCTACTCTGCAGCAGAGCCAGGACAGGGCACAGGCTGGATCTCCAAAACCAGTGCTTGGCCCATTTGCAGGGCGTCCCTGTGCCCTCTGGCACAGACTGGCTGGGGACCAAGCAGGCACAGAGTGGCCAAGCCAGGCCAGGGGATCTGCCACCTGGAGGTGAGGTGTGGACAAGGTCTGTGGGCCTCAGGGGTCCCGTCTTGTCCTCCTAGAGCCTGGGGGAGACACGGAGCTCCTGAGCCCCCCACCTTGGGTCACTGCACAACGTGTGAGACACCCATCCCACCTGGAGGTCCAAGGTCACTTACGTTTGGGAGCTCCTCAGAAGGGCTGTGGTTCTGGTTCTGGATCTATTGCAAAGAGAGGAAGCGAAGACGGAAGAAAGAGATCTGGTCAGAGGCAGACTGTGCACAGGGCCCCTAATTGTCCACCCACTTGTAACCACCAGACGTGTGTGCTGGGGAGGGGCTGACCAAACCCCTTGGAAGGCCAGGACGCTGAGGCTCACACATGCATACTCACACATGCCAACACAAGCTCACATGCAGACGCACAGACACAAGTGTAATCATATGCAGACTCCCAGCCCCACACACTTGCCTGTGTCAGCCACACACATGTTCACAGCCACACACAGACCCACATGGGACACACACTCACACATGCACTCCCACTCACTCACACACGCCCCTCTCTTGGATGCAGGGTCCCCAAAACTTAGTCAGCAGCAAGAACCATCACATTGCCCTTGGTCAGAGGGGAACAAGGTTTCAGCTGCAAATGGGTAAGCTGTTCCACAGCCCTAGCCACAGAAAGCCCACACTCCTGAGCGCCCCACCAGCTCAGTCACATAGCCTGACTATTCCCAAGGGGCGCAGGGACACACCAGGGCCAGAGTGAGGGGCCTCAGAGAAGATCCTTGGGGGATGTGGTATTCACCAACCAGTTCAGGGGCGAGAATCACTGTGCCTAGGAAATCTGCTGAGCTTTGCTGAGCCAAGCAGTCCCGGACGTGACTAACCCAGAAGACTTTTTTTGGAGCGGGGGGGTTCTGTTGTCTTTTTCAGTAGAAGCTCAGTTTGGGAAATAGGCAGCTGGGGGCAGATCACCTCCTCCTACCAGCAAAGCTCCTTGCCCTGAGGCTGGAAGGCTCTCCTGGATTCCTGGAATCTAAGTGTACAAAGTCAGGAAATCATTTCTTCTCAAATGAGATATTTTCAATGAACTGTTAAACTGGGATCAGCAGAAATGGGCAGTGGGTGTCTCAGGGGGAGAGGGCATGGGAGGGTGGGTCTGGGAGAGCAGACAGAGGCCTCCAGGACCCCTTTCCTTGCTGTAGCTGTAGCCCTGCCCTGGCAGCCTCCTTCCCAGACCCAGAGGCGCACTTGCCAGTGTCAGTAAATGCCAGTCCCGGCAGCCTACAGAGCTCCCTGTCCCCCAAATTAGATGATCTCATTGCTTTGTTAGGGCCTCCACATTCAACAGGCTCACACTGGCACCCACTGGGTACAAGGCACTGTGGAGTAGGAACAGTCAGTCAACAACTTATGGTGCACTTACTGTGCCAGGCACTGCACTGGGCACATGAAGCTCAGCAGTGGATGACAGAGCCAAGGTCCCTGAGCTCATGAGGCCTGGAACCACCGGCTAGAGGCTGGGCACATGAGAGGCCATCAAGGCTTCATTCTAGGCTCTGTGAAGTCTGGGCTGGATTAGTGATGTCTGCTGTGGGTTTGGGTGGTGGAAGTAGCAACGTAAACCTTGCTATCCTAGACCATACACAGGGAAGTGGGATAAAGTGAAAGATGAAGGCAGCCTGTTTAAAGCACGAGGTTAAGAGAATCAGAGGAAGGACAGCATAATTCTGCATAGGGCAAAACCTTACCAATTACAAGAGGCCAGCCCATCTCAGAGAGGAGGATAAGAATGGCACTAAAGGCTAGGTGTGCTCATGTCTGCAATCCCAGCACTCTTGGAGGCTGAGGCAGAAGGCTCATGAGCCCAAGAGTTCAAGACCAACCTGAGCAACACAGGGAGACCTGTCTCTACAAAAAAATAAAATTTAAAAATTAGCTGGGTATGGTGGCACATGCCTGTAGTCCCACCCACTTGGGAGGCTGAGGTGGGAGGACTGCTTGAGCCCAGAAGTTTGAGGTTGCAGCGAGCAGTGATCGTACCACTGCAGTCCAGCCAGGGTGACAGAGTGAGACCCTGTCTCTTAAAAAAAAAGAAAAAAAAAAGAATAGCACTAAAGTCCATATGTCTAGCCTGCTGGCACCCATGCCCCTTCTGGGGACAGCTTAAACCTGTTCCAGGAGGAGACCCACATAGGCCTGCTCTCAGCCCAAGGGGTCTAGATGGACTGACCCCACCTCCTCCTCCTAGGTGGGCACGTGAGCCAGCCCTAGCCAATCAGAGGGGGCTGTCTTGATTGGCTCAAAGATAGGCACTTGACCAGCCTGGTCAAAAACAGTGATGACTAGGACTTTTGCCAAAAATATTGGGGAAAAACAAGGCTCTTTCTTGGTTGAGATGGCTACATTGGGGCAGGGGGCGGCACTACACTGGTGAGCAGCTAGGGCATCCATGGAGAATGAAGCAGGCATAGAGAGACCCGGAGCCGGGAGACAGAGAGAAGGAAACTGAGTCCCGATGACATCTTTCAGCACCTGGACTCAGCCCCAGGCTGAAGTATGGCCCCAGGCTTTTAAGTTAAAAGAGTCAGTAAATGTTCTTTTTTATTTTTAATGTCAGTTTAGGCCGGGTGTGGTGACTCATGCCTGGGAGACACAGAAAGACTCATCTCAAAAATAAATAAATAAAAAAAATAAAACTGAAGTCTGTTTGAACTGATTTCTGCCATTTGCAAGATAAGAATCCAGACCTATACCCTGCCTTGAACTTGCTGCGTAATTTTATGCATGTCTCTGACACACTCCTCCCATTATAAAAAAGAGGAAGGATGCAGATGACAGAACACCTGAGGTTCCCGCAGCCCTGGCACTCTAGTTATCACGGGCAAGGATTAGGCCTGACCCTTCCCCCAGCCCCACCCCCGGCCCCAGGCACACAGCCAGAGAGGTCATCAGCCCTTCCCAAAGTTAAATACAAAGCAGAATTGCCTGGAGGGCTCTTGAAAACCCAGAATGCGGAGCCCTGCCCCCAAGGTCTAAATGAGAAGGTCTGGGGTGGGGCCTGAGGTTCTGCATTCTGCAGGCTCCCACGTGATGCCCATACTGCTGGGCCAGGGACAGCATTTTGAGGACTCAGAGTCACTACGTGTTCTACTTTTCCCAGTTTGCTGAGGACAGGTGCTCAGTGCAAAAATAAAGCCCCAGCCAGCAGAAGACCACGACCTCTCTGTCCTCAAAGCAGACGGCGATTACGGAGAATGCCTGCGTGGCTGCAGGGATGAACCAGCCTTTAAACAACGGAAGCAGCAGGTCCCAGCTCCTGTGGTCCCATCACTGCCCCTTCCAGCCAGCTGTGTTCCCTGGAATGTATTTAAATAATGGGGGAGGCTGTCAGAGGCTAAGGTGCTTCCTTGGGCTCCAGCAGGCTCCAGGCTGGTTTTCCAGGCGCCCAGAGCATCCCCAGTGGCTCCCCCACTCCCAGGCATCATGCCAGCCCCAAATCCCGCTGTGGGCCTTGTCCGGACACAGTGACCCAGGCCGCCCTGCTGTCAGCAGCCTGGCTAGCCCTGGGCTCTCCCCTGATTTACATCCGACTTGGCTGCCTTGAAAAGCCTCCTGTGGCTTTTGGAGCGAGGACACTGTTCAGTAGTGAAAGGCTTCCCCAACAGCAACCTTTCCAAGGTGGCGCTGGCCCAGCACGAATGCCGGCAGGCTCCCAGCTGTGTGACCTTGGGCAAGTTACCTGCCCTCAGCAGGGCCTCGGGTCTTCATGTGCAAAATGGGAATAGTGGTGTCTTTGGTGAGGATTAAGAAGAGGAGTTGACGAAGCACAGGATCTGGCTTTTAATGTATAGGAGGCTCACAACTGCACTATTTATCTCCTTGACTCAAAGAGTGGTCCCCAGACCAGCACCGTCCACAGTGCCTGGGATTTGGTTAGAAATTCAGGGCCCCAGGCCCCACTTAGGCCTGCTGTCTCACTGTTGTCACCCAGGCTGGAGTGCGGTGGCACGATCTCAGCTCAGTACAATCTCTGCCTACCAGGCTCATCCTCCCAAATAGCTGGGACTACAGGTGCGTGCCACCACACCCGGCGAATTTTTGCATTTTTTTAGAGATGGGGTTTTGCCATGTTGCCCAGGCTGGTCTCGAACTCCTGAGCTCAAGCAATCCACCTGCCTCAGTCTCCCAAAATACTGGGATTACAGGCGTGAGCCACCACACCTGGACGAGTTTTTGCTTTTCTTTTTTTAAAAGTCTGTTCTAATTGATATTCTACCAGTGGCAGAAGAGGAATCCACATTATTGTTCCTCGAGGCAACGTTCTTTACTAAAAGCCTGTTGCTACAGCTCTGCTCAGAGTAACTCTGGAACTCCTGTCCCCAAATCGGGACACCTCCTTTCAGAGCCAGGGCTAGGACATCTTGAAAAACCACCAAGAGGATGACTGCATCCTTAAAGGAGTCCCGCAGGAACAGCACCCCGTGTGGTGGCACGCGCTTCCACAATGGATAGAATGGTCTTTCCTCCCTTTATTCAGAAGGTATTTCCCTTAAACACAAAACCTATCTGGGCCACCCCTTACAGGGCCAGGGAGGAGAAAGGACTCACTTAGGTCACAGAGCAAGCCAGAGGACAGGGGTATTCTAAGCCTGGTGTTGCAGTGCCTGATGCAGGGCCTTTGATTTTAAAAGGGCATTAGCCATGCATGTGTAATCTTTTGTCTGACGTCCATAGCCCTGCCAGACAGACAGCTCCATGAGGGTACAGTTTGGTCTGTCTTGTTCACCAGCCACATCCCCAGGGCCTAGGACAGGGCCTGGAACAAGTGAATATTTGTGAGATGGATGGATGGATTGATGGATGGTGACAGGTGAATATAATTTCCAAGCCTGGAGCCACTCAGATGTTCAAACCATAGGTTCCCATTTCAGAGTAGAAGGAATTAGGCTCTCTTGATTTGTATGTTGAGCAACAACTGTGTGCCACACCCCTAGGCTGGATGCTGGAGCATCCATCCCTCCCCTTGATGTGTCCCCAGTCAAGTGCATGGGTATAAGGTAAGACCATAAAGGTCCGAGCTCAGGCCAGAGGAAAGGACCACAAGGCTCAGAGCAGGGCGAGCTGAAGTCCACTTTAACTCACGTCATCTTTTTTGAGTGCTTACTACGTGCCAGGCACTGTTAAGAGGCTCAAGGAATGCTTCCCAGAGCAGGCAGCTCCAAGCTCGCCCCTTAAGAGTGGGAATAAGGAGTGATGGGAGGAAGGGCCTTGCGGGCTGAGGGACCAGCATGGGCAGGGCTGAGAGAGCTGGACGCTTGGTCTAGCTAGGAGCAGAAACCAGCCAGACTACAAACAAGGAAAGAAGTTGTGGTAGGTGAGCGTGAACGCTGGCCAAGAGCCAGATCGTGAAGGGCCTCCAATGCCAGGCTAAGGAGGTTGGACTTGATTTCACAAAGCACTAGGGAGCCACCACTGAAGGCTTTTGAGCAAGAGAGTGACATGCAGAGAGCTGGTCCCCAGATGGTACAGAGAGGTATCCAGGAGGCACAGAGGCTAGTGAGGAGGCTGTTGTCTTGGGCTGGTGTGATGTCCACCTGCAGAGGAAACACCAGGTGTCATCTCTGAAGGAATGAATGTCCTTGAAATCATGACCTGAGTCTTCCCTCATGGTGCTGACTAGCCTTGGGGCAAGAGAGGATGTCCCTTAGGACCTCCCCCTTCCGGCACCCTTCACTCAGTAAGCATGACTCTGCTGAAATCGCTGGCCAACCACACTCCTCCACCTCCAACCAAGCAACTGGCAGCCTTGGGTTAAGGACTTTCCACTGGAACATGACAGTGAGTCACTTGGCATTTATGTGCAAAGAAAAGTCCTGGAAAGGAAGAGCCTCTCAGGGCACCCCAGCATGAGGAGGGACCACGCAGAGAAGTGGTCCTGAGCCTCTGGGTCGGCAAGGACCCGATGTGAGCAGAACCCTGAGGGCTCAGCCCTCTGCCTTCCAGCCTAGGCCTGCTCAGATACCTGCTGAGGGAGGAAGCCTTCCATTGCCAGCCCAACCCTTCTCCTGGAGACCACCAGCCCTCTCCCTACCTTCCACGTTCTATTCCATGCAGTGGCCAGAGCTGCTCACCACGCTCCTTCTTGAGCTTTCCAGGAACCCCATCCTGGGCTCTGGGGGTGTCTCCTGAGCAGCCAAACTGTAAGGAGTCTTTGCAATTGATACAGTTTTGCCCTCCCACCCACTTTCCAGTGACTTGTGACAAAACCAGGATGTGAGAGTCATGAACAATATCACCGAAGGTTTGAGGTGGAGGCATTAACCCTTTCCTTAAATCCCTCCCTGTCAAGGGGGGGTTCACACAAGCAATGAATGATGGGTGCGGCTGGGAGGGGGGAGCACAGGGAGCCACATCTGTGAACAATGGCTTTTTTTTTTTTTTTTTTTTTGAGATGGAGTCTCACTCTGTCGCATAGGATGGAGGGCAGTAGCGAGATGTTGGCTCACTGCAACCTCTGCCCAAGTGATTCTCCTGCCTCAGCCTCCCAAGCAGCTGGGATTACAGGTGCCCACCACTGCACCTGACTAATTTTTGTATTTTTAGTAGAAATGGGGTTTCACCATATTGGCCAGGCTGGTCTCGAACTCCTGACCTCGTGATCCGCCCGCCTGGGCCTCCCAAAGTGCTGGGATTACAGACGTGAGCCAGTGTGCCTGGCCAACAATGGCTCTTTTGATGGCTTTATCTTCCTGTGTTGATAAGTGCCTCCTTTGGGCCTCAGCGTCCTCATCCATAAAGTGGGTGGGCAGAGAAGGTTAACTGGATGATCCCACAACCCCAAAGTCCCCACACTCCACAGCCTGGGGCTGCTCTCCCTCAGACCTGAGGCGGCGTTCCCAGACTGGATCCTTGGCCTGCCTTGGCATAAACCATCTTAGACTGTTCACTAACCTCCTCCTGATAGGGATCTCCCCTCCCTCCTTGAGCACAGGTGCTGTGTATTCCTCCCTGCCCTCTTGGCCCTGGCCCTGTGCCTGGCACACAGTAGGCACTCATGAACGTTTGCCGTGCGGTCAGTGGGACGAGGATGGGCTGAGGCATCCGGTGGACTCTGGGTCCAGCGCTCCTTCCACCCTTTCCTAGCTGAGTGTGGGCTGGGGCCACCCATTTTTCTGATGAACTCATCTCTGAGACAGGAAGGGGGATAAAGCACCGTGGATGCTCAATAAATATGAGTTCCTTCCCTTCTCAGAATGCTGAATCGGCTCAGCCGGCTCCTCTGCACCCTCCGGGGCAAGTCCTGGGTGGGGGTATTTCATTTACTGAGCTGGCAGCACTGGGGGTGATCAGACAGGACACGCAAAGTCAGTGGCTCCCAAATGCAGGCTGGCTGTTTGGAATGGCCTGGCAGATCCGTGTGTTCTGACATGCAGTCCACATGGCCTGCTATTGGGATAGACCAAGTGGCAGAACCAAGAACAGTACCATGTCATTTTTGTTCAAAACAAAACAAAACTGGCCAGGCGTGGTGGCTCACGCCAGTAATCCCAGCACTTTGGGAGGCCGAGGCGGGCAGATCACCAGGTCAGGAGATCGAGACCATCCTGGCTAACATGGTGAAACTCTGTCTCTACTAAAAATACAAAAAAAATTAGCTGGGCGTGGTAGCGGGTGCCTGTAGTCCCAGCTACTTGGGAGGCTGAGGCAGGAGAATGGCCTGAACCCAGGAGGCGGAGCTTGCAGTGAGCTGAGATCACGCCACTGCACTCCAGCCTGGGCGACAGAGCGAGACTCCGTCCCAAAAACAAACAAACAAAAAAAAAACAAAACAAAACTACAGCTAGCTTCCAAACAGATCCCAAATAATGCCTGGATCAAAGAGGAAATCAAAACTCAAGTGAAAACTGATCCAGTAAGTAACAAAAAGGAGTCTATGTCCATATGCACACCTGGATAAAGTTTAAGCTGTATGCAGAGGGAAATGTATAACCTTATATTAAAAAGAGATATGATAGACTGCCCAGCATTTTCGAAGGCCAAGGCAGGCGGATCACTTGAGGTCAGGAGTTAGAGACCAGCCTGGCCAACATGGTGAAACCCTGTCTCTACTAAAAATACAAAAATTAGCCAGGCATAATGGCACGTGCCGGTAGTCCCAGCTACTCAGAAGGCTGAGGCAGGAGAATCGCTTGAACCTGGGAGGCGGAGGTTGCAGTGAGCTGAGGTCAAGCCACTGCACTCCAGCCTGGGTGACAGAGCAAGACTCTGTCTCAAAAAAAAAAAAAGAAAGAGATATGATAGACTGTCAATCAGGCAGGTGGACAGACTGAAGATCAGATTGTACTTTTTTATAATGATCCGAAAGGATCACTTTTTAGTTTATGCAGTTTCGTATTGCTTGAGGTATATTACTTTTATAATTAAAAGTGAATGGTTTACCAGTTTCTCAAAAAGTTAACACATATCTACTACCTTATAACCCAGCAGCTCTAGTCCTAGAGAAAGGAAAATATATGTCCACAAAAACACTTGTACAGAAATATGCACATAGAAGCTTTATTAGTAATAGCTGCCCCCCAGCTGGAAACAACCCAAATGTCCATCAACAGCATGGATGAACGCATTGTGGAACATCCATACAATGGGAGACTACTCAGCGATAAAAAAAAAAATCAACTCCTGATATACTCAACAGCACAGATGGATCCCAGCAATGTGAGGCAGAAAAAAATGGACAAAAGAGTATACACTAAATAAGTCCATTTATATGAGGATTTAGACTGGCAAAACTAATTTATGGTGACAGAAATCAGAAAGTGGGCCTGGTATGGTGGGGCATGCCTGTAATCCCAGCACTCTGGGAGGCCCGCAAGGGTGGATCGTTTAAGCCTAGTAGTTTGACACCAGCCTGGCAACACAGCAAAACCCTGTCTCTACAAGAAATACAAAAGAAACTAGCCAGGTGTGGTGGCGTGCGCCTGTAGTCCCAGCTACTTGGGAAGTGAGGTGGGAGGATCATCTGAGACTGGGGAGGTCGAGGCTGCAGTAGAGATCATGCCACTGCACTCCAGCCTGGGAAACAGAATAAGACTCTGTCTCAAAAAAAAAAAAAAAGAAAAAGAAAACGGAGAAAGTGGCTGTCTTGTGAGGTGAGGAGCACAAGACAACTTTCTGAGGTGCTGGAAATGTTCTATATCTTGATTTGGGTGGTGGTTACACAGGTGTATACATTTGTCAAAACTCATCAAACCGTAACAGAATCTTTGCATATTACTGCATGTAAATCATAACTCAATTTAAAAAACATTTTTTAAAAATCATCTAAGGTGGGAGGATCGCTTGAGCTCAGGAGTTCAAGACCAGCCCAGGCAACATGGTGAAACCTCCTCCGTACAAAAAATACAAAAATTAGCCTGGAGTGGTGGTGCATGCCTGTAGTCCCAGCTACTTGGAAGGCTGAGGTGGGAGGATCACTTGAGCCCAGGAGATCGAGGCTGCAGTGAACTGTGATGGCACCACTGCACTCCAGCCTGGGCAACGAAGTCAGACCCTGTCTCAAAAAAAAAAACCACAAGAAAAACTTTAAAAATACAGATTCCCAGGCTCCATCCCCCTGGAGGTTCTGATTCAGTATGTCCAGGCTGGGCCTGGGAGTCTGAATATGTTTGTTTGTTTGTTTTTAAGTATCCCAGGCAATTCTGATACCTGACCACAGTTAGGGCAGCCCACCTGCCTCCCCCATCATTCCCTCCCCACTCTTTTGTTTCAGGTGGTTTATTATTTGTATGTTGGTTTTTCCAAGAGAAGGGTGGTTGGCCACACAACGCTGGAGCTTTAGAAACAGAACAGCAATTCCTCACTCTCTCTGCTTTCCCTCTCGTAACCCTAACTCCCACCCTTGGCATCAGCCTCTGCCCAGGTTTCCAAATGAAGCCTCTGACCAGGTAAGGCAGGAAAGGAAACTCCGCAGACCTGTCCAGGACTGGCATAACTCACCTAGAGACACTAGGGCTGTGTGCTCCAGGGAGGTCAAAGCCAGCAAGTTAATGGCCTGTGTACCGGTTAAATAGCATGTCCAGGCCTTCACCCCCATGTTTACAGAAAGAGTTCAGGGCAAGACTCATTGGTACAGAAAATGCTTAGTGGCTCGGTGACTCTCCGTCTCCTGGACCCCAGTTCCGTTCCTTACTCACCATCAGGGTTCTCCTGGGCTCCAGGCTTGACTGGCTTCTGCCCCACTATCCTTAAACCCAGTATGACTCCTGCTGCCATCAGGAGAAAGCCCAAACCCACTTACACAGCATTCAAGGCCCTCCGGCTGGCACGGTGGCTCACACCTATAATCAACACTTGGGAGGCTGAGGCGAGAAGATTGCCTGAGCCCAGGAGCTTGAGACCATCCTGGGCAACATAGTAAGACCCTGTCTCTATTTTTATATGTGAAAAAATAAAACGCCCCCCTCCCCACCATCTGGCTCCTATTCCTCTCTCCAGCTAGGACCCGGGGAACCTGTTCTACAAACATGCTTGGCTATTTCACGCCACTGTGCCCTTGTGGCTACTCTGCCCCCTGTGGAGAATGCCAGCCCATCCTGTTTCTCCACCCACAGACAATGGCAACTCCGACACTGTGTCCTCTAGGAAGCGAAAGTGCCTCCTGCCCACTACCCCACCCTCACTGCACACTCAGCTGCTCCTTGGGTCTTCTTCACTGTATCCTACGGATGGTAATGGCCATTGCAGTTACCACATGCTTCTACCTCTGGGACAGGAGCTCCTAGAAAGCCAACACTCTACCTTGAACCCAGTGCCAGCCCAGAGCTGACCTTAACCAAGGTCTATTAATCAACTAAATGAAGCACATTAAAAAAGCGCTCTCATTCTCACTTGAAGGCTTCCTTAGGCATTTCCAGATCCACAGCTCCTGCCCAGAACCCATAAATTCAAACGAACGCTCTGGCCAAGTTGGCAAACACAGGAAAATGAGATGCAGCCCCAAAGAATCTGACTCTTGCTCATGACCTTCTGCAGAAGTGGGGAATCAGCATGTACCTGCCAGGGTGGCCCTGGGATTTCAGGCCAACCCCAATTCCCAGGCAGACCCCCTCTGGCTGCAGCTAAGCTGCATTCTGGGGAGCCCTTATAATTTACTTCTCAGCTTTTTCTATATACGGGAATGTGTTCAATGACTCACAAGTTTCTTATCATTCAGGACTTTTGGAAAGACTTTCAGAGAAGTACACCTCCCAAATCCTTTGACAAACTGACAGGCGGACAAGTTCAGGTTAGAAAACAGAGTCCCCAGAGCCCGGACTGCCTTGTGGAGGGCTGACCCCTGCAGCAGAATGGGTAGCAGGGCTCAGGGGAAGGCACAAGGAAGGGAGAATGAGTAACTAGGGACAGAAGCAAGGTGCAAATGGGTCCCATAGGCTCACTTTCCTGCCCTAAGGACTGGGACACCTTTGTTCCTCATTTTCCCCAGGCCCCGGTTCAATTTCAACTCCCGAGGATATCAGTGACCAAAGCCCCATGGGGCCAAAACTCACAGCTGAGCTAGGGAAAACCTTTTGAAACTTAATTTTGTCCAGTCAAGGCAAAGTCCCTTAGGTGGCTCTCAGTTTGTCCATCTATAAAATGGGTACTGCTCACCAGGCCTCCAGACTCTGAAAAGCAGATGTGGTCCAATCACCACAGGTTGAGGTGACGGGAAGGAGGCAGGGGAGGATGATTGCAGCTGAGCCATGGGTTAGTACAAGGGTGTCCCCAAAGGACAAAGCCTCCAGAATGCACCTTGGCCCTTGCCATACACCACAGTGACCCAGGACCTCGTGACACCCTCTAATCAGCAGCTCTACAGCCGAGCCCGGCTTTACAGCTTACTACAAGCTTATTCAGCCTCATCTCCCTCAATCCCCTCAAGGACGTAGTGAGGCCGGCACTGGTGTCCTTGCTGCCCAGGCAGCCAAGCCGAGGCTCAAAGAAACCAAGGGAATCAACCAAGGTCACCCACCCATTAAAACAAAGCATAGGACTTAAATCAGTTCCCTGGGGACAAGCTCCTACCTCTGGTCCCTGGTTTACTCTATAACCAGTCTGCCCCACCCATTTTACAGGTAAGGAAACTGAGGCAGAAAAAGGGTTGCCCAAGGTCAACTGGGGGCTGAGCCAGGCCTAACACCTCCCACCATTCTACCAGTCCCACCCTGTTGGGGGTTCTTAGCCGTGCTAGGCCCCCTTTGGATCCTCTCCAACACCATCTTGATGAAATTCCTCCCCCACCCCACCTCCTCATGCCCACCCCACAATCCCTGGGTGACTCCCTGGTCGAGAGGGAGGCAGGTGGTTGCTAAGCACTCACCCGCTCTCTCTCTCATAAAAATAAACTCCTTCTGGCTAGGAGACTCTGGACAAGATCCCCTCCCTTCTAGCCAACAAAAAATTAAAAAGAAATTTTAAAAAGATCTCCTCAGTGACATTTACTTGAACGTCAGCTGTGCCAAAGCGGGGGCCAATTTAGTGAAGTCCAAATGGAGCCATGCGCCAGTAAACCTCAGCCCGAAGACCCTCCATTCAAGTGTCTGGGCAATTACTGAGCTGATTTATTTCCCCAGACAGGAAACGGGGGCCCAGGCTGCCTCCCAAGCTTTTGGGGCTGGTCCTGGGGATGCCGGGATCTGGCAGAGGCCCAACAGTGACCAAAATAGCCAGGCCGGTGGCCCTACCCGGCACACACCTCCCTGCCTGGGAGAGCTGCCCACAGGTCTCCTCTCCAGTCCAGGCTGAAGTCCAGGCTGAAGCTTTGAGGCTGTAGGAGGAGGTCCCTGGAATTCTCTCTGTGTGGCTTCCCTAGTGGGAGGGGGACGAGAATCTCCTACTCAAAAGAGGAACCCACAGAAGGAAGAGAAATAGTCTGGAGGGGGAAGTGTCCTGCTGGCCCTGCCGGCTGTCCACTACCCCTTGGCTGCCCCTCCGGGCCTTGGTCCCACCACTCAGGACTGCTGGACGCTGGCGCTGCCACCTGCACACCACCTATGGAGTGCATGCACCTATGGAGCCACGCTGCCCTATCACCTCTCCCCACTCAGCGCCGGCCCTGGAGAACCAGCTCTGGCCATTGGACCCTCTAGGCACCAGGGACACCCTCTTGGGTACAGCCGAGGACACACGAGTGCCCACAACCAGGGACCTGGAGACACAACCACACTCAGGGACACGCACGTGCACCTAGCCAGGGCCTGGAAGACGCAGCCCCCCACACACAGATTCATGCAGACACAAACGGGGACACACAAGAGCACACATCCAAAGACAGCACACTCAGGTATCACACACAGAGAGGCACACACACACAGCCCAGCACGCAGAGAATAACAGACATGCACCGGAACACACATGTGCACGCTGCTGGGGACACGGTGAAACAGTCACCCTCAGAAACACAGACACAGGGATACGGAGGCACATGTAGGCATCCTGACGGAGACAGGCACACAGATATGCCACACACACACACACACACACACACACACACACACACACACACACACTCTCCTGCCGCCCGCACCAAGAGCCGGAGCCCTTTTGCCGGGGAAACAATAACAGCCCCGCCAGCGGGACTGAGCAGGCGACTCTCGGTCCCTTCCGCGGTGGTGAAAGGGGCGCCGGATGGGCGCACGCGGAGGGGAGGAGGCCGGGACTGCGGCGACGCGGGGATGGGGAGGGGCTGCAGACGGCGGGCAGCGCCGGCTGCGCGCCCAGCTCCCGGTCCCTCCGGTACCTGGGGTGGCTGCGGCGCCGCCCGCGCTCTGCTCGGCTGTGCCGGGTTCCGCCGGCCGGGGGCTGCCTGCCCGCTCGCTCTCTGACCCGCTGGGTGAACGCTCCGCACTCCCTCTTGGCGCAGCTTGTCCTCTGGGCTTGCGGTCCTCGGGGCTCGGCGTTGGCGGCGGCGCGAAGGAAGCGGTAATTTATAAGCGGCTTCTTCCTGACCTCGCGTGTCTGTTGTCTGAGCAGGCAGCTCTCAGCATCACCCATCCTGCTGGGTGGAAAAATACCAGCTCGGCCGGGCCGGGGGCGGGGCCGGGGCGGGGCCGGGGCTTCCAGCCCCGCCCCAAGTGCGGACACACGCGCGCACACATACACATGCACACACATACACGCAAACACGCACGCGCGCATGGGCTCGGACACACAAAGAACCCGGGCTCGCCGAGCGCGCGCGCACACCCTCATGCCGCGCGGCGAACGTTCGTTGCCAGGTGCGGCAGCCCGCCCTGGGCGCCTCCTGCCTGCGGAAGAAGAGCAGGACAGACCCGACCCGACCCGCCTAGTCCTTTCCTTCACAGCAGCCTCCAAACTCCACCGCTCGCCTCTTCCGCCAGGCTCCTAGGATGAGGCCCAGGGCTCCTGGAGCAGCCAGGTGCAAACCAGACCGGGCTCGCACTCCACTGCGTTGCCCTGGGCGATCGTCCACGTTCTGGGAGACTCGGTATGCCCCGGGAGGGTGGCCTGAGCTTGTGGTGTGAAGCCAGGTACAGAGCTCCAGAATCCTGGCCTTGCCATGGCTGTGTGACCCTGGGCAAGTGACTCAATTTCTCTGCCTCAGTGTCCTCATCTATAAAATGGAAAGGAAAATAGTAGCGCTTGTCTCCTCCGGCTGTTATGAAGATCCAAGGTTAACAGCGTAGAGAACTCGGAACGCACCCGGCATCTAGGAAGTGCCAAGCCAGTGTCAGCTAATGTGACTATTTTTAAATGGAGATGGGGAGTGTGCCATTATTCTTGTCCTTATTTGAATGAACGGGCCCTCAGGGACCATTTTCCACTGCCCCGCCCTGGCAGCATGAGAGGGAAACGCTGTGAGAACCCCGAACCCCAGCCTTCTCCTGTCCCTCTCTCTCTCTCTCTCTCTCTGCACCTGGGAGGCGGGGAGGAGAGAGCCGATCCTTCCACCATTTACACGGAGAATGAAAGAAGAAATACCGGCCAGGCGCGGTGGCTCATGCCTGTAATCCCAGCACTTTGGGAGGCCGAGGGGGCAGATCACCTGAGGTCAGGAGTTCGAGACCAGCCTGGCCAACATGGCGAAACTCCGTCTCTACTAAAAGTACAAAAATTAGCCTGGCGTGGTGCCGGGTGCCTATAATCCCAGCTACTCAGGAGGCTGAGGCAGGAGAATCCCTTGAACCCGGGAGGCGGAGGTTGCAGTGAGCCGAGATCACGCCACTGCACTCCAGCCTGGGTGACAAGAATGAGTCTCAAAAAAACAAAAAAGAAGAAGAAGAAGAAATACCACACAGGTCCGACCAAGAGCTGCCCCCACTCAGGCCAGGATCCCTGCCTGGAAGGGCTCTGCAGCCACTCTCCCTGTACAGCCCCAGGATGCTAAGGAGCATCCCGAAGTGACACTGGCTCTCCCTGGAGGCCCCTGCCATCGGACTCCAACCTGACCTTCCAGTGGGTGCTCCTCATACTGGCTCCAGCCAAGACAGACGAGGACCACTGGGCACATGCCCTTCCTTGCCTTCCTGTCACCCTTCCCACCCTTCTCTGCGGGCCCCGGGTGGCCCCTTCCTCCAGGAAGCACCTGGGGATCAGCAGTGCCTCTAGGGTCCCAGTGGCCCACGTGACATCTGCTTCTGGCCACCTGAGCACTCTCCTTTGAGTTCAGGGTCACTGTACCCTTTTATAGGTGAGCAAACGAAAGCTGAGGAAGAGGAGTGACTGGGTCTCCCACATCCCTCTGCTTCAGCTATGAGGTTCCCTCATGAACTGCAGGAATAGACGTCAAGCAAAAACTCCTCAGACGCCCTGTGCATGTGTGGTCGCACAGGGCACAAAGACTGAAGCAAAGGGGCAGGTCCTAGCGTGGGGAGGGGACTCCAGGATTGAAGTTTGAACCAAAAGGAGGCTTTGACTAAGCCACGAGCAGTGAAGCCGGCAGGAGAGGAAGCAAGTTCTAGCAGAGGTGCCTGCCGTGCGAAGGCCTGAGAGCAAGGTTGTTGGTGGCAGGGCTGAGCTTGAGGGTCTGAGAGAGTGAGCAAGGGCAGTGGCTGTGGGAGGAGGGAAGAGTTGTGTGTTCAGAGCTGCAACTTGGAAAGGCCCATGGGATCCTTTGACCTCCAGGTAGGCCAGCGGAGCCTCATGCAGGTAGTGCCAGCGCAAGACACACGAGTGAACCATCTATCCAGTTACCAGCTCCATGAGGGATGGGATCTGTTCTTTTGCCTCCATCAACTCCTGGAGTCTATCATAGGCCTGACACACAGTAGGTACTCAATAAGTGTTTGCTGCATTTATTTTAACGTACTTTTCTTTTTTTTCTTTTAAAACGGAGTTTCGCTCTTGTTGCCCAGGCTGGAGTCCAATGGCGCAATCTCAGCTCACTGTAACCTCCGCTTCCTGGGTTCAAGTGATTCTCCTGCCTCAGCCCCGCTAGTAGCTGGCATTACAGGCATGCGCCACCACGCCTGGCTAATTTTGTGTTTTTAGTAGAGATGGGGTTTCTCCATGTTGATCAGGCTGGTCTCAAACTCCCAACCTCAGGTGATCTGCCTGCCTCGGCCTCCCAAAGTGCTGAGATTACAGGCGTGAGCCACCGTGCCTGGCTTTAACTTACTTTTCTTTGGCACTTAACTATGTACCCTGCACAGTTAAATGCATTTTAATAAGTTAACCCTTTTCATCCCGACAACACCCCTATGAGATTGGTACAATTATTTCTTCCGTTTTATAGAAGGTAAAACCGAGCCACAGAGAAGTTAAGTAACTTCCCCAAGGTCACTCAGCTGGCAGATAGTAGAGCTGGAATTCAAACCTAGGCCACCTGGCTCCAGAGGTTACAATCTTGAATGAGGGGATTCTGGGTGGGCGATTGCCAGACAAAAAAACCCAGCCCCAAGGAGAGAAAGGAGGAGAAGGAGGCAAGAAGAGCCCCAACCTCAGCCCCAGGGAGAGGTGGCAGATGAGGTGGAAAAGGGATGGTCAGACCGGAGAAGGGGCCAGGAGGAGCCAATGCCAAAGCTAGAGGCATGCACAGGGTGGAGAGAGCTCAGTGCGGGAGGCCACAGACCCTAGCTCCACCTCAGCCCTGTGGCTTCCCAGTTGTGTGACTTGGGCCTGCAGGCCTGCTCTCTGAGCCTCAGTTTCCTCATTGTAATATGAGATAAAATACACCCTGCCTCAATGAGCCATTCTGAGGAGAGGAGAAGTCTCGAACTGGAGGCCTTAAACCGAATCCAGCTCCCAGATGTGCTTCTTTGGCTGTCACTGAGCTTTAATGTGTTTGGAGTTAATTTTTATGAATAAAAGCTTGGAAGATTTCACATTTAAAAAATCTGGCCAGGCTGGGCAACAAAGTAAAATTCCATCTCTATGAAAATTTTTTTTAGAAATTCGCCGGGTATGGTGGTGCATGCCTATGGTCCCAGCTACTCAGGAGGCTGAGGCAGGAGGATCACTTGAGCCCGGGAGGTGAAGGCTGCGGTAAGCTATGACTACACCACTGCACTCCAGCCTAGGTGCGAGAGCAAGACCCTGTCTCCAAACAACAACAACAACAACAAAATCTGAATGCCTGGTTTATCTTGAAATATGGCAAAATGGGGCCACCCAGGCCCATTAACCCCCTGTCTACAATGTCCTGGAGCTGAGGGGCATTAGCCACCCTCTCACATGGGCTCCCCAGGGTGCCACAGCTCCCTCCTAGCTAGTTTGCTCTTTTCTGTCACCTACCGGCCCTTGCAGGGAGCTGAATTTGAGACCCATGATGCACTTTGTGCACCCTGCCCCCTCAAAGATAACTGTGAGTACCAAGGGAAATGGAAAGCTTTGGCAACAAGAAGGGAGCTTCAAGGAAAGCCAGGCCGAGGTTCCCCTCAGAACCATAGACTAGCCTGAAATTCCACTGGGACTAATTCTTCTCATTTCAAGAATGAAAATCGATTGCTGGACAGAGCTCCCGGAGGGCCAATTTTCAGGCTGTAGTCTACAGCCGTCCACGTAGAGGCAGTGAACGAAATTTTTCAAAGCCTACTTTATGATTACTTTCTTTAGCAGCTCTCAACAGTAAAATAAAATTGATCTAGGACTTTGAACAAAACTTCTCGCCCCTTTCTAGGGAAGAGTTTGTCTCGTCTATCAGGCCACCAACAAGAGTTGTTGCAATGCCTGTGGGAGGTGCAGCCCACGCTGGGCCACCTGGCCAGCTCAGGGATCCTGCTGGAGATCGAGGATTGTCTGGTCGGCCTCTTACAACTCTCAGAACATCATCCCTGGGAGCAGCCCTGAAGAGACCAAGGGTCAGTGGCGGGGCTGCTGAGTGGCTGCCTCCCTGACCTGGCCAGCATTTCCTGGGCACACTGCAGTGTGTCCACGTCCCTGGGTGTGTAGGTGGCTGCAGAGCCTTGTCAGAGCATCTGGGCCTTCAGGGATCTGCTTCCTGCCCACTACCCTCCTCTTGCCTGCCTGCAAATCTCAGCTCCATCCCTCATGGGCTGTGTGACCTAGAGTGAATAATGTGACCTCTCTGTGCCTTGGTTTCTTGATTTGTACAGCCTGATTAATCATAACCCCTCTCCTGCAGATTGTTGTGTGGAGTGAGTGGAGATGATTGATGTGAAGCGTTGAGCCAGGTCCCTGGCACACAGTCTAACACTCTGGAAAGCAGGACCCCCACCTACCCCTGCCACCTGTGTGCTCCAGGCTTTCTTGCCTCCAGGCCTTCACCCTTGCTGCTCCCTCCTGCCAAGCACTTTGCCCATTGCCCTTCTGCAACCTGGGTCTCTGCCAAACTTGGAGCCCCAGAAAGGGAGCACGCAGGAAGCGGGGATGCCAAGCAGTCCCAGCATGGGGCCTGGAGCACAGTGGACCCCAGGAAACCCTTGCAGGATGTGGTCTGTGGGTGGCAAGTGCCTGGGCTCACTTCCTCTTCTCCCTCAGTGGGCACAGCAAAACTGCCCCAGAACTGGACAGACAGGGAAGGTGTCAGTACTGGAGACAGCTCTGCAGGGGACCGGGGACCCACAGTACATTTATTCATTCACTAGCACTGCAGACAGATGCTCTCCAGCTTCACAGACACCCCAGGCCAGGCCATGTTCTCTCCCTTCTGGGTGACTGCAGGGGATGCTTTCCTCCCTGGCTTCCTCTCCTCCCCGACAGCCCATCTCCACTCCTGGGACTCTCTATGGCATATAGCCATTGCAGCAAACAATTTGGTAGTTTCTCTTCTTTTCTTTTCTTTCTTTTTTCTCTTTTTTTTTCTGAGACAAAGTCTCTAAAAAATGCTGTGTTGCCCAAACTGGCCTTGAACTCCTGGGCTCCAGTGATCCTCGCACCTCAGCCTCCTAAGTAACCGGGGCTATAGGCACACCACCACACCCAGCTACTCTGGCAGTTTCTGATAAGGTTATAAATTTATTGTAAGATTAAACACAACACTATGAGCCAGCAATTGCACGCTCAGGTAATTGGCCAGAAAGAAATGAAAATATTTGTTCACCCAAAGACTTGTGAATGGCAGTGGTATTCATACAGTCCAAAACGGAAACAGCCCTGGTTGTATCTATCAATAGAATGGAAAAACAGATGGAAGGACTGCAACTCACAGGTGAAAAGGAACCGGCTACGAGAGGCTCCAAACCAAGGGAGCAGCGGAGTTTGTCTCCAAAACACCGAGCCCAGTGAGAGAAGCCAGAGCCACAGACCAGATGCCCTGCAGTGGGTCCCTTTACATGGCCTTCAAAGTCAGGCAGAGTGAATTGAGGGCCATGGGAATAGGAGCAGTGGTTGCCTCCAGAGGTGAAGTGGGATGGGGTGAGGTGGTGTGGGGTGGTGTGGGGTGGGTGGGGTATGAGAGAACCTGCGGGATGGGAAGGGGCTCCATCCTTACCTGGGGCAGGTCACTCCAGTGTGTGCTGTCGCGTTTCACTGTAGGAAGTGTAGACCTCAGTAAAAATCCCAAGGAAAACCCCCAGACCCACTCAGGCTTCCTTCCTGCTTTGAACCACCTCATGGCCCCCACCACACTGCCACTAAGCCACACTCCTGGCAGCCTCTGAGATACCCCCTACCTGACCCTCCGCCACTCTCCTCCTCTGCCTCCCTCACTCCCAGCCTCTCTGGCCCCCTGGCTTTCCCTCCAACTCCAGGCTCCCCTCTCTCTGCCTCAGGGCCTTTGCCCCTGTCTTGCTCCCTGCCCCAGGCTCTTCCCCTCAGCCCTTCCCAGGTCTGGCTCCTTCTCCCTAGGCCTCAGCTCCAGTGTCTCATCCCCAGAGACCTTCCCAGACCACCATGTCTCAGACAGCCCCGGCTGCCTCCTGCCTGCCCTGCACCAGCCCTGAGCCATCGCCTCATTTTATTCTCATTCTAACTTGGATAATGGGTGAGTGGACCTTGATCATTTACATATTGACCTGTTTATGTCTGTTTTCACACTAGACTGCCCACTTCATGTGTCCCCAGGGCCTACAGCAGTGGCCAGCCCCATGGCAGATGTCCAACAAATTCTGCTGAATGAACGGAGCTGGAGCTGCCTACAATTTTCCCCCACGCTCCCACCCCCATTCCACAAACTGCAAAACTAACCATTTGTTTAGCTATGGAGAAAGGGGCCAGTCTTTAAGACTGTGCATTCGGCTCCACCCACAAGAGCCCCCTCCCCTCCCCATCTCCCCTGCAGAGACCTGGTTCCAAGCCCTGAGTGGATCCTTAGTGGCTGTGTAACCCAGAGGGACCTCCACCTCCCTCTGCCTCAGTCTCCCCATGGATGGCATGAGGTTAGCCAAGGTGACCTTCCAGCCCTGCTTCAACTGAAAAGTGCATATACTCACGACAGGATGTTGTTAACATACGAATTTGACTCAGCAGGTCTGGGGTGGGGTTGGAGATTCTGAATTTCTTATTTATTTATTATTTTTATTGATTATCATTATTATTATTGAGATGGAGTTTTGCTCTTGTTGCCCAGGCTGGAGTGCAGTGGTGCGATCTCGGCTCACTGCAACCTCCGCCTCCTGGGTTCAAGTGATTCTCCCGCCTCAGCCTCCCGAGTAGCTGGGATTACAGGCATGCGCCACCATGCCCGGCTAATTTTGTGTTTTTAGTAGAGATGGGGTTTCTCCATGTTGGTCAGGCTGCTCTCAAACTTGCGACCTCAGGTGATCTGGCCACCTCAGCCTCCCAAAGTGCTGGGATTACAGGGGCGAGCCACTGCGCCCGGCCTTCTATTTATTATTTATATTTATATTTATTTATTTATTTATTTTTGAGACAGGGTCTTGCTCTGTCACCCAAGCTGGAGTGAAGTGGCACAATCACAGCTCACTGCAGCCTCGACCTTCTAGGCTCAAGCCATTCTCTCACCTCAGCCTCCCAAGTAGCTGGGACTATAGCCATAAGCCACCATGCCCAGCTAATTTTTGTATTTTTTGTAGAGACGAGGGTTTCACCATGTTGCCAAAGCTGGTTTCAAACTCCTGAGCTCAAGCAGTCCACCTGCCTTGGCCTCCCAAAGTGCTGGGATTACAGGTGTGAGCCATCACATCCCACATTTTTATTTTGTTTATTTTTTTATTTTTATTTTTTGAGACAGTCTCGCCTTGTCGCTCAGGTTGGAGTACAATGGTGTGATCTCGGCTCACTGCAACCTCCGCCTCCCAGGTTCAAATGATTCTCCTGCCTCAGCCTCCTGGGTGGCTGGGATTACAGGCGCCTGCCACTACACCTAGCTAATGTTTGTATGTTTAGTAGAGATGGGGTTTCACCATGTTGGCCAGGCTGGTCTCGAACTCCTGACCTTGTGATCCACCCCCCTCGCCTCCCAAAGTGCTGGGATTATAGGTGTGAGCCACTGCGCCCAGCCAAGCCAAAAGCCTACAGCACCCGTTATTCCCAGGTGGTCTCCCATCTAAGTACTAACCAGGCCCAAACCTGCTTAGCTTCACGAGATCAGGCACGTTCCTGGTAGTATGGCCATAGACTGCTTTTTTAACTAGAGACTAGGTGTCTCTATGTTGCCCAGGTTGATCTCAAACTTCTGGGCTCAAGCAATCCTCCAGCCTTAGCCTCCTCAAATGCTGGTATTACAGGTGTGAGCTACTGCGCCAAGATTCTGAATTTCTAACAAGCTTCTGGGAGACACCCCAGGCTGTGGGTCCACAAGCCACAAAAGGAGTCCTGAGAATGCAGGCGAGAGGCTCTCAAAGTCTGGCCCCCAGACTAGCAGCTTCACCTGGGAACTTGTTAGAAAAGCAAAGCACCAGCCCAACCCAGACCTCCTGAATCAGAAACTCTGTGGTGGGACACAGTCCTATCTAACAAGCCCTCCAGGAGCTTCCGAGGCAGCTGGCGTTTCAGAACCACTGCTACAGGAGGTACCAGTTCTCAACCTTGGTGGCCCAAGGAGAAACTGAAAAAAATCTGATGCCTGGGGTCCCACGCTCAGAAATTCTCATTTAAATGGGCATGAGATGGTGGTGGCGGCTGCTGCTTCTTTTTCTTCTCCTTCTCCTTCTTCTTCTTTTCTTCTTTCTCCTTCGTTGTTTAAAATAAAGCTCTCCAGGCAACGTGAATGTCTCATCAGTGCCGGATCCTTGAGCTAGAGGGTGCTGGGCCTCCAAGCATTCCGGTGGCCCAGACATCCCCAGGCAGGCCTGATTCCTCTGCATTCTTGCCCAGGCCTCCCAGTGACTGCCTTCTTATATTTGGTTATTTCTCCCTCCCTCCCCAAACACAACAATTCAAAATATTCTCAGCTCCCAGACCATAAACAAAGCGGGAGAGGAGAGTTCCCTGACTATTTTGTTCCCACTTATGGCCTGATCCAAGGCTGACCTGATTGGGCCCTCGGGACTGGTCATCTGAGCCGGGGTGGGGTGGGCCCCGTTCTCAGGCTGCCCCAGCTCCACTCCTGGATTCCCAGGATCCCTCAGCTCTAGATGACCCCAGGTATTCCCCAAAGCCACTTCCCCAGGGAAACAGAGGTCAGCAAGTGACTTGTCCCATGACACAGCGCAATGCCCAGAAGGTCCCTCTGATCTGTGGTTTCTAGCCTTGGGGGCAGATGTGTGGGATCTGGGATTCAGAGAGATGTGTGTTCAATTCCAGGATCTGCCTCTTACCAACTGTGACCTTAGGCACAGGATCAGCCCCAAATTGAGCCTCATTTTGTCCATCTGTAAAATGAGGATGGCACTAGAGCCCCGTCTAGGGTGAATGTGAAGGTCAGAGCCTGCACAAGGTGAGTGTTCATAATTATCACTGTCATTCTGATGATTTCTGCCAGGATGACAAAACCAGCAAGAATGAGCAAGAAGAGAGGGGCAGGGGGCACAGGAGGTTGTCCATCTGAGTCTCAGGTGCTTGACCTGGGCCCAGGGGCTCATTCTGGAGTATGGGAAGGGAAGAGACAGGTCCAGGTTACCAAAGGGGATCCTAGACAGGCCCTGGGGAAGGAGAGAAGTTAATACCCTTGTTGTGCAAGTGGCACCTCGGGTGGAGGTGACATTTGCCACATGGGAACTTGAACCTGGTCTCTAGAGGCATTATCATCCCTCGTGCTTTGATGCTATTTGTAGCCTTTAAGCCTGTTATTCTACACTTGTGTATTGAAAGGCTCGGGCCCAGCACTTTCCTTATTTGATAAATGTGTTGTCCCCTGTGGGTCAGTGGTCGAGAAAACCACTGGGATGACACCAGGACACCCCTGACACTGGCAGAGTTCTACCCCGAGACAACAAATGCTGCAAATACTGTCTCAGTATTGAAAAGTTATATGTCAGGCTAATACGCTGTTAGGTACAAACCACCCTGCCCTCCCGCCTTGGTGTGCTTATTTTCATGGTGAGCTGGAGGCCAGCTTAGAATGTAAATTCCCAGGCTCCTTGGAGCTGGATCCTGCAAGCGGTGGCTGGGGAGTGCCAGCCCCCATCTGAGGCCCTGGCCTGTGGCCTGCCCCTCACCCCTCCTCTCCTGCCATTCCAAGCTCCGTCCTACCCCTTGAGCAGCTCTGGTCCATGCAGAGGGACAACCCACCTTCCATTCAAGCTCAGCCCCCAAGCACAGCCCACCTTTCCCCCCTAAGCCTGGGTACACACCAGTGTGCCTCTCCGCCCTCAGCTGAATGAATGGGGGAGAGGCCCACGGGCAGGGACTCTGGGGCCTGGGGTACCCAGGGTTCAATTTAGAAGCTAGAGGGCGCTGGCTTATGATGGTCACATCCCCTGGACCCTGTGGAATGTGTATATGACCTTGTGGGAAGGTGTGCAGCCACAGGAGGGCCCCTCTGGGAACCCATAGGCATGGGCTCCTCTGTCTGGGGCCTAAGGGTAGTCCTAGTGCCTCCCACACAGCACCAATGCAGAGCCGAATGCAGGAAAGGGCTGGTCATGGAAAGACATACAATTTGTGTTATTATTATTATTTTATTTATTTATTTATTTATTTTGAGACAGAGTTTTGCTCTTGTTGCCCAGCCTGGAGTGCAATGGTGCGATCTTGGCTCACCGCAACCTCCGCCTCCCAGGTTCAAGTGATTTTCCTGCCTCAGCCTCCCAAGTAGCTGGGGTTACAGGTGTGCACCACCATGCCCGGCTAATTTTGTATTTGTGGTAGAGACTGGGTTTCACCGTGTTGATCAGGCTGGTTTTGAACTCCTGACCTCAAGTGATCCACCCGCCTCAGCCTCCCAAAGTGCTGGGATTACAGGCGTGAGCCACCTCGCCCGGCCTCGTATTATTATTGATGGTGACATGGAAAGCCTCCAAGGCTGGCCCTACATAAGACAGAGAAAAACAGGAACTCACAATCCGGCAGGGGGAAGGCATGAATATTTACTGAGCTCCTACTGTGTGCCAGGCACTGAGCCAAGTGCTCACAGATGCTCTCTCATGGACCTCTCCTAATAGCCTGGGAGGAGGGATCCATTTCGTGGATGAGCTGGGATTTGAATCTAAGTGTATCAGACCCTAAGCTATGAGCCCTGCTCCTTCCCGTGGGCCAGAGGAGCAACAAAAGCTAAGAGGAGATGACAGAGCAGCAGAGATAGGGCAGGAAGGAGATCGCCACACAGCCAGGACGAGGGTGAAAGGGGTGTCTGGTTTTGGACATGAGCCCTATGACCTCTGTCATTTACTGTGTGACCTTACTGACAAGATGCAGGACGGCTGCCTGCAGGCACCCCGCTTTTCCTTACTGATGGACTAGGGAAGTGAGAAGGAAAAAAAATCTTCACTTGGGTTATAATAACCTTTTGTGTGAGCCAAATTTTGCCCAAGTCCAGCTGCCTTGGAGCACAGTCATAATTCTGCAGTCCACCGGCTGTCACTGCTCGTGCTTACGACACACACACTGAATCTGTTTGTTCAGCCTTCAGGGTTTAATGCCCTGCTGTGTCCATGTGCTCAGCTCATAGCCACCATGCATGACTTGGGACTTCTGAATGGGACCAAGAAATATCTAACATGCGATTTCCTGGAAAGCACATAGGAGTTTGGCCCAGATCCAGACTTGGCAGGTAACTTGCTGTGTGACTGTGGACAAATGACTGAACCTTTCTGGGCATCAATTCCCTCAAACATAGAGGGAAGGTGGGCAGGGATGGGACACCCACCCCTGAAGCCTCAATCATGAGAAGCATCCCAGAATGAGACGTATTCAGGTAATAAGGGAGTTTTTCTCTTTTTTTTTTGTTATTTAAAAAATGGATATGTAATAGTTTTATATATTTTTGGGGTCCATGTGATATTGTGATACCTGTATATGATGTGCTGTGATTAGATCAGGGTAATTGGGATCTCCATCACCTCAAACATTTATCTTTTCTGACCAGGCATGGTGACTCACACCTGTAATCCCAGCACTTTGGGAGGCTGAGGCGGGCAGATCACTTGACATCAGGAGTTTGAGACCAGCCTGGCCAACACGGTCTCTACTAAAAATACAAAAATTAGCCGGGCATGGTGGTGTGCGCCTGTAGTCCCAGCTACTCCGGAAGCTGAGGCAAGAGAATAGCTTGAATCCTGGAGGTGGAGGTTGCAGTGAGCTGAGACTGTGCCACTGCACTCCAGCCTGGGTGACACAGAAAGACTACATCTCAAAAAAAAAAAAAAAATTCTCTTTTCTTTGTGTTGGGAACATTTCAATTCTTTTCTTCTAGCTACTTTGAAATATACAATAAATGATTGTTAACTATAACTTCCTTATTATAAATTTTCCCTTTTCAATTCTCATTTATTCAGTTGCTCAATCAAGAAGAAGCTGCCAGGCACAGTGGCTTGTGCCTGTAACCCCAGAACTTTGAGAGGCTGAGCGGGGTGGATCACCCAAAGTCAGGAGTTCAAGACCAGCCTGGCCAACATGGTGAAATGCCGTCTCTACTAAAAATACAAAAATTCGCTGGGTGTGGTGGTGGGTGCTTGTAATCCTAGCTACTCAGGAGGCTGAGACAGGAGAATCCCTTGAACCCAGAGGCAGAGGTTACAGTGAGCCGAGATCGTGCCACTGCCCTCCAGCCTGGGCAACAAAGAGTGAAACTCTTGTCTAAAAAAAAAAAGAAGAAGAAGAAGGAGAAGGAGAAGGAGCGGGAGAAGGAGAAGAAGAAGAAGAAGAAGAAGCCTCAGTGAAGTGCTCCAGCATCTTCACCCCCTTGGTCACTTGCTCATCTCCTTGATGAACAAAAGCGGCCCCAGATCAGAGCCATCGAGCACCTGCAGCCAGCAAGGTTGGCTGGTTTTCATTGTGTGCATTTTTAAGGCGTCTTCTATTTATAGAAAGGATTGTGGTCTTGCATTTGTAGCAGCGATGAAAGCTTTACTTTTTGGCAAAATGTGTGCAAGTTGTTTAGAAGTGAGTCTGTTTGAAAAAAAAAATTAAATGAATAATGATTTAGGAGGTGAGTTTGTTTCCTAGGGCTGCTGTGATGAAGTGCCACAAACCTGGTGGCTTAAAACAACAGAAATGTGTTCTCGCACAATCCAGAGGCTGGAGTCCTAAGTCAAGGTGGTGGCTCCCTCTGAGGCTCCTGGTGGAATCCTTCTTTGCCTCTTCCTGGCATCTGGTGGCCTCTCTCAGTTCTTGGCGTTCCTTGGCTTGCAGCTGCGTCACTGCACTCCTGGCCTCTGTCATCACATAGCCATCTTCCTCTGTGTCCCTGTGTCCAAATTTTCCTCTTCTTATAAGGACTCTAGTCTATTGCATTAGGACCCACCCTAATGACGTCATCTTAACTTGATTACATCTGCAAGGACACTATCTCCAAATAAGGTCACATTCACAGGTAGCAGGAGTTAGGACTTCAACATCTCTTTTGGAGGAAACACAACGTGACCCATAACAGATGGGTTGCAGCAAAAGGAAAATTTATGCAGGAAGACCTGACAGCTAAAAGTCTGGGGAGAGCTGCTCAGGCCAATCTCTTGGGAGAGGGACTCCGGCCCTGTGCAGGGTGGCTGGGGGCGACTTGGACAATCCCAACGTCTCTCCCTGAGTCATGGTTCCCTAGGATTTTCAAACTGGGTTCCATAGAGTCCCTAGGAGATCTGGGGAGATCCAGATCTCCAGACACCCAACATCACCTCCACTTTGCTCCAACCACTATAGGGGCAGTGGCAAAATTGTTTGACTAAAAGGCACCCAAATAATTTTAAAGATAAAAGCACTTTAAAATCATCAGGTTAGGCCAGGCGTGGTGGCTCACGCCTGTAATCCCAGCACTTTGGGAGGCCGAGGCAGGTGGATCACCTGAGGTCAGGAGTTCGAGACCAGCTTGGCAAACATGGTGAAACACCATCTCCACTAAAAATATAAAACTTAGCCGGGTGAAGTGGTGTGTGCCTGTGGTCCCAGCTACTCAGGAAGCTGAGGCACGAGAAACACTTGAACCCGGGAGGTAGAGGTTGCAGTGAGCCAAGATCTAGCCACTCCACTCCAGCCTGGGTGACAGAGCAAGACTCTGTCTTGAAAAAAAAAAAAAAAAATTAGGTTAGAGGATCTGTGTCTCCTCCCAGCCCCACACATTCTGATTTTAATGTACCCTCCTGCTCTGGCTAGGAAGAAAGGACCAGGGCTGCTGCTTAATTTTCTCTGGGAAGAAAGTGTCTATTTGCCTGTTTACACAGATTTCCCCCTCAGGAACGGTCCCCGTCTCAGCTGCAGAGGAAGCAGGAGAACTCAGCTTGGGCAGTGTCGCCTTTTGCTCCCAGGCTTCCACCACTCTGGGGACCTTTCAGTTCCTCTGACTCGCAGCTGCCTCCCTTCTGACCACAGGGAGCTTGCTCACACTGTTCCTTCTGCTGGGAACATTCTGACACCCTTCACTTGGCAGGTTTCTGTGCATCCTTTGGTCCTGTCCTTGGGGAAGTCTTCCCTGGTACTCCCTATGTGAGCAAGACCCCACCGCATTCCTGTTTCATAATCTATAGAACCATGGTTCATCCTGGGGTCCACATCAGACTCATCTTAGGAGCTTCTTAAAGAGATGTCTCACCCCCTGAGATGGATTCATGTGGTGTGGTGTGAGGTCCAAGAGTCTGCCTTTAAGAAACTCCCCAGCTCACTCTCATACACAGCCAAGGTTGAGAGTCACTAAGAATTATAATGATCCAGGCCAAGTGCAGTGGCTCATGCCTGTAATCCCAGCTCTTTGAGAGGCCAAGGTGGGCGGATCACCTGAGGTCAGGAGTTTGAGACCAGCCTGACTAACATGGTGAAACCCTGTCTCTACTAAAAATACAAAAATTAGCCGGGCGTAGTGGCGGGCACCTGTAATCCCAGCTACTTGGGAGGCTGAGGCACAAGAATTGCTTGAACTCAGGAGGTGGAGGTTGCAGTGAGCTGAGATCACACCATTGCATTCCACCCTGGGCGACAGAGTGAGATTCCATCTCAAAAAAAAAAAAAAATTATAATGATCCAAAGAACCCTCTATCCACAATTTCCATATTCAAAAAGTTTTGAAAAACAAAACAAAACAAAAACCCAAATTTGGTGGCAAAACTTGAAATTTTGTGAAACTATTTAGAAACAATTTAGCTCATATACTGTGGTTCTTTTTCTTTTCTTTCTTTCTTTCTTCTTCTTTATTTTTTAGAGATGGGGCTCTCGCTATGTTGCCCTGGCTGGTTTTGAACTCCTTGATCACTCAAGTGATCCTCCTGCCTTGGCCTCCCAAAGGGTTGGAATTACAGGCTTGAGCTATCATGTCCAGCCCACCTACTGTGAATAGTCATAGATTTTGCTGTAGAAATATCAATGTGATTGATTATGGGAAGCGACTCCACACCCCACTGGGGTGACGTGTAACACTTATGGAACATGCTCCGAGTTGTCCTTCTGATAGCCAGGCACATTTGGACTCAGGAACTTGGAAAGGGAACTGTGGACTCTGGGCTATAGTTGATGATGGCTGACTTTCTAGACTGTGTCCATGTGCTGGGCTGGAGAGAAGTACTTTACGCGCTGTCTTCTCAAATCCTCATTACCTGGGAAGAAGGCATAATTTCCAAACACATTTCATAAGGAGGAAATCAGAGCTCAGAGAGAGAAGTAACTGGCCCAAGGTCTGACAGCTAGAAAGTAGGAAGGATGGAGTTCCACCCAGGCAGGCCCCAAAGCCCCTTCATTTCACAGCCTTGGTCCTTAAGTGGAAACATCATTTGAGGGATGGTGCCTGTGGCATCTGTGTGTGCTGCTAGTTGGGGTGAAGACCAGGTCTGCATGGCTTACCATCGGCTCCTGGGACCCAGCAGGGTGTCTGGTGTGTGCTGGGGGCCCAGAGTTCCCTTGGGCCAGGGTGGCAAAGCTGGCGCACTTGTCCCCTTTCCTCGGAGACCTGCATTTGGCCAGGTGCCCTGTGCCTTGGCCATCCTTCAAGCCCGAGGGACAGATTTAGTGCCCTTAATCCTCCTCTTCAGTCAAGCCCCTGCTTGTCACCGGCCTGCCTGGGACCCTTGGAGCAGCCCTCCTGGTGAGGCCTGTCTCTCCAGTCTCAAAGGCCTGAGCTCTACCCGTAGAAAGGAGCCGAACAAAGGTACCTCAGTCTGGGTCTGTGGAGCGGGTGCTGGACTGGGAATCCACCTGGCCGTTTTGTTCCTACTAGCTGGGTGACCACGTGGCAGATTGGGAAGTGGCCATAATACTTGACAGCCCTCCCCGTCAAGAGGCAGGATGCATCTGGGCTGACCCTGTGTCTTGCTTGGGGTAAGAGAATGTGGTGGGAACATGGGTGCCTAGAGGCCTCTCAGCTTCTGCTCTTGACACCAAGAGTAGCTGAGATTACAGGCGCCTGCCAACACACCCGGCTAATTTTTGTATTTCCCTTGCCATGGGGACCAGAGGCCATGTGGGGGGAGGCCCACCCGCTGACTACCTGCTCATAAGGAGCCCCTCCAGGCCAGCAGCAGACCCACCCAACTGAGCCAAGCCCAGACGGCCAACCTGCAGAACTGACAGCCAAATAGATCTTTATTGTTGAAACCCCTTACTTTCTGGATAGCTTGTTACACAGATTAAGCTAACAAACACCTTCCACTCCAATCCTCTCTAGGCTGGTGAGGAGTAAATAAGATGACACTTTGGACAGTGCCCGGCACAAAGGATGCCCAATAAATGCTGATATTCTCCTGCTTCTGTGTCAAAATACTTGTTATCGACCCAAAGAAAAGGAAGGAAGCCTCTCCTCATGGTGATTTTTACTACTATTACATTTCACCCGGGACTGGTTCCCTTCTCCTTGCCTTGGTTAAGGGAGAGGCTCCTGTTGGTGCTTTGGGGTTAGATGTCCCTCAGGAAAGCCTTCCTTGACCAGGGTGTTAGACCATGGGGAACTCACAAGAACACCCAGGAAAAGCATTCATTAAGAGAGACAAGAATTCCAACTTCAAAGGAGTCAGTCTCAGAAGAGGAGCTCATAAAAAAGCCTGAAGAGGAATGGCAGGAGGCTGAAGGAAACCAGAAGACGGAGTGTCATGGAAGCCAAAAGAAGAGCGTGGGAATCAGGAGGGAGGGAGGTGAACAGAGTCGAAGGAAGGTTCAGTGCAAGAGGATTAACAGGTGATGTGGATGTGCCTACCTGGAGATCAGCCCTCCCTGGCCCTAGCGAGATGGGATTCCATGGAGTGGAGGTGCTGGAAGTGGCTCAAGGAGGAAGCCACATGCACACGTGAAGGGCTGAAGCACATGCATATTATGTTTTCAAACACTGTCTTATGTATGTGTTTCTTCAGCTTCCGTCCAGGATTGCCTTCTGTGCTAGGGACTGGGGGTGGCAGAAGTAAATGGGACAGTCTGCGCATTTCTCTAAGAGATGTGAGGTCCATCAGGAAACACAAAGATGAAGGAGGAATGAATAAATGACAGATGATGAGTGAAGTCTCACTGGGGACCCCACCAAGGGACCCCAGCACAGAGAGTAGGGCAGCCCCACTGGCATGTCTGAGCTGTGTGATCTTGGGCAAACGACCTCACCGCATGGGCCTCTGCGTCCTCACCTAGATCGTGGAGCTGGGACAGTGCCCAGCACTTTAGGCTCTTTGGTAAGGAGGAGCGGTGAGATCCCACAAAGGGACAATGCTGTGGGTGTGAGCGGCTCCCCTTGGCCGGCAAAGCCTCCAGGGAGCTCTGCGCTTCACCTTTTTTTATTTTTATAAAGCATGTCTGGGCGGGTGTGGTGGCTCACGCCCTGTAATCTCAGCGCTTTGGAAGGCCTAGGCAGGTGGATCACGAGGTCAGGAGTTCAAGACCAGCCTGACCAAGGTAGTGAAACCCCGTCTCTACCAAAATACAAAAATTAGCCGGGTGTGTTGGCAGGCACCTGTAATCTCAGCTACTCAGGAGGCTGAGGCAGGAGAATTGCTTGAACCTGAGAGGCAGAGGTTGCAGTGAGCCGAGATCGCACCACTGCACTCCAGCCTGTGCGACAGAGCAAGACTCCATCTCAAAACAAACAAATAAACAAAAACCATGTCTGACCAGGTGGATGCCTAGTTTTATGTTTCTTTTTAGAAAGAAAAAGGAAGTGGAGAAAGGCTTACATGGTGGGGGGTGGGGGGAGGCAGGAGGAAGGAGAGGATGGGGGTAATGGCAGCAGCAATGTTGTCTTTGTTGGCCATCAATTCGTTTAATCCTCACAATAGCCTAATGAGACTAGTGCTATTATTAGCCCCACTTTGCCAACAAGGAAATAATCTACCTGGGAGTGGGTCAGAGGCAGGACTGGAATCCTGGCTGCCTGACTCCAGAGGAGGCACAGAGTTGGTGCCTGTCTGTGCAGACAGCGCCAAGGATCAGGAGCTCACAGCCTTGTGCAACAAAGGGTTGAGCCCTACCTTCTCGAGTTGTCTAGGGGCCTCCCATCTCTTGGTGCTTTCCTGCTTCTCTTTTTTTGAGATGGAGTCTGGCTCTGTCACCCAGGCTGGAGTGTAGTGGCACGATCTTGGCTCACTGCAACCTCTGCCTCCTGGGTTCAAGAGATTCTCCTGCCTCAGCCTCCCGAGTAGCTGGGATTAGAGGCATGCATCACCACACCCAGCTAATTATTTTGTATTTTTAATAGAACCAAGGTTTCATCATGTTGGCTAGGCTGGTCTCGAACTCCTGACCTCAGGTGATCCTCCCGCCTCAGCCTCCCACAATGCTGGGATTATAGGCATGAGTCACCACGCCTGGCCGCTTCCTGTTCCTTCTTAGGGCTTCAAGGCACCAGGTGGTCAGTCCCAACTCAGTCTCTCCCCCAGGCCCCTGCCACCTTTGGAGACTGTCCTAATAGGCGCCCAAGACCCTAGCCCTGACTTGGGTCCTACCTCCCTGCCAGCAAAACTGGCCTGTCCTGTGTTCCAGGCTCAGGGCCACAGCTGGGCCAGGGCTCCCTGCTGTGGTCATTTCTAGCAAGGGGGCAGGAAGGGAATGGTCATGAGAGTGTGGCTCCTGGGAGTCCCACTAGGCCATGTCCTGGGTGCTTGGGCCTTCTCTGTGAAATGACATCCTGGCCAGGACCCCAACTCACAGGGCTCAGCACCTGTTCCTTAGGGCTCTCCCCTTCCTCCAGCCCTTTTGGGCACGATCACTGCAAAGGCTGAGGGGTGGGCTCTCAGGCCCGGGGCTAGGGGCTAGGAACAGCTTGATGCTTTGAGCGGGCACCAGCCAGCCTCCCAGTGGCTCCCTGGAATCTTGTGGGAAAAGCACCTGTGTGTGAGCATAGAATGTGCCATGGAAGATGCCAGCCATGGCCCGGGAGAGTTAGAGGCACTGTGATCCTGTTCAACTCAGTCATTGCCTTGGGTCAGGGGTGGAGCTGACTTCAGAGCTGGGCCAGGCTGACCCCTCTGTCAGGAAAGCTACAGCTTCGTGGGCATGGGGGCCTTGCCCAAGACCACACACAGGTGAGTGGAGGGGAGGGGAGGAGGGGTTCATCAGCGTGGTCCTTTCCAGGCATAGCAGTAGCGCTGATATTGCCACCCCAGAGCTTGGAGCCAGGGAGAAGGCTGTTCCCTCTTTCTGCAGTGCTGTTCCCACAGGCCCCCTGCGCAACCTCCGCCTCATGCTGGCAGCTCACAGGACTGTCTCCCAACCTCCCCGGTCCGTCTTCCCTCACCTCCTCTCTACCTCCCAGGGTCTTTCCTGAAGATCTCCATGGCTGTTTCTTCAGGCTCTGTGGGGACTTTCTGCATCCCCTCTCCAGGGCAAAGTTCACACTGAAGCTGTGCTTGCCGTGTGTTGATGCGTGTCACCCTCCGGACAGCTCCATAAGTGCAGGCTCTACCCTCCCTCCGTAAAATGTGGTCTCCACGCCCCCTGCCACGGGGCCATGTGGACCTCCCATGGTCCACCTGGATCAGTGTGGGGAAAGAGCCTGGAGCAGACCTCGTGCCCGGCCAGGGCCCAGCATATGTGGACACTGTCACTGTGACTGCTAAGGTCCCAGTTGCACAGACAGGGAATGGGCTCCAGGGGCAGAGGACAAAGCTCATCAGGACAGAGCTGGTGGGGTGCAGCAGGGGTGTTCTGGCTCCCAAGTCCACCAGGACCACGCTGTTAACCTTTCCACGATTTGGCTTTCACCCATTTACTGCATTCAGTGGATGTTGGCCCAGTGGCGTGGGAATCTGAGACTGAGATATTGCACGTTTGATTTAGGGTAGGCAGAACTTTCCATCTGTGCTATGAAGTGCTGATGTGGGTTGCCAGGGACAGAAGGGACTTCCTTCCTGGGTGGCTTTCTCCCAAAAGAAATGGCCCCACAAGCCTCAGCCTCCAGAGCTGTCTCTGAGTCTCCCCTCTGTGTCCACAGCCCTGCACCAGCCTCCTCCATGGTCTCCTGGTCTCCTGGTCTCCATCTCACTCCTCTGGTACTCTCAGCTTCTCTAAGATGCTTCTGCCCTTATCCCTATAATCTTCAGCAGCTCCTCTTTGCCTGTGAAACAGAGAACAGTACTCCAGCACTCCGGTGGCCTTCAGATCTGGCCCCACCCTCCTTTCCAGCTCTCCTCCTCCTTCTTCTTGCCCACATGTGCCTGGTGCTCTGCCCTCCTTGTCCTTGCTCCCTCTGTGCCCCACCTGACACTTTCTCCACCTCCACTGAAATCCGCTCCACGCTCCAAGCACCGAGCACTACCCCTCTCCGTGAAGCCTTGCTGTATCTCCCCGCCCAGCGGAACCTCTCACACACCAGGTTCTGCCCATCCTGCCCTCGCAGACTTTCCACTTACAGAGATTTGAGGCTTGGACCAGCCAGGAGTGGGAAGTCATTCCACCACTCTGATTTTCTATTGCCCCATCTGGAGAATAGGGTTTGAGGCCACCAGCTGTTCCCCACACCTGCTGGAAGGCCCAGATGCAAAAGAGCCTCACCATCTCCAAGTTTCAGAAATGCACTATGTCCACCCCTGGCCTTGTCTTCCAGTGGCCGCCCCCTTTCCTCTTGGCCAAGAGAACTCTTATTTAGGGGGAGGGGTAATAGGCACCACCACAGGGGACCTATCTGTATTGGTTCAGCAGTACCAGCCATCCCATTCTCTGTGGCCAACAACAGGCCTGTGGTGGGCATGGGACTAGGTTCTGGCCAATGAGACATAAGAGAAAGTCTGCGTGGGGCCTTTTGGGAAAGATTTCCCATCTGGAGAAAAGAGGGATTCCTCTTTGTGCAGGGGGAGCATCCATTTCCCCACTTCTCCCAGCTCCAGGGTTGACCAGTGAGAAAGTTATGTGCGTGCGTGCCTGCATGCGTGACTGTGTGTATATGTGTGTGCCTGTGTGTGCATGTGTGCCTGTGTGTGTGTAGGGAGGTTTTGGGGGCAGGGAGAACGAGGGAGAGATTGAAGGGGCTGAGATCAGAGGAGGCAGGGGCTGGATGACATAGCCTCACAGGCCATAGCCAGGACCTTAAATTTTATTCATTGTACCCTCAACCCTTTTTAATAAAAATGTCCTAAAATATAGAAAAATTTAAAGACTATAGAATAAGCACTCATATATACCCAACCTAGGTTCCACCACTGTTCATATTTTGGTGCATTGCCCTTTTTTTGCCTAGCCATTGGAAGGTAACTTGCAAACTTCGTGCCTCCTACTTCTACATATTGTTCATGTGTCTTTTAAAGGCAAGGTTGTTCCTCCATCTAAGCAAAATACCATTATTACCAGAGAAAATCAAATTCAAATACCTCCCTAATAGTCAACCCATATTCAAATCCCAAAATGTTTCAGATACCTGGGTTAGCTGGTGGACTTCCTTCCTCCCTCCCTCCCTCCCTCATTTCCTTCCTTCCTTCCTCCCCTGCTCCCTCCCTCCCTTCCTTCCTTTCCTCCTCTCTCTCTTCCTTCCTCCATCCCTCCCTTCTTTCCTTCCTTCCTTCTTCGCTGTCTTATTCCCTCCCTTCATTTCTTTCCTAGGATCTAGTGAAAATTTACATGTTGCACTTGATTGCTATGTCACTTTAAATTCTTTTAAACTCAGATAGTCTCCCACTCATTATCCTTGACATTGACTTTTTATTTGATTTATTTTATTTTGAGATAGGGTCTCACTCTGTCACCCAGGCTGGAGTGCAGTGCTGCGATCACAGCTCACTGCAGCATCACACTCCTAGACTCAAGCCATCCTCCCGCCTTAGCCTCCTAGGAAGCTGGGGCTACAGGTGTGCACCATCATGCTTGGGTAATTTTTTTTTTTTTTTGAGACAGAGTCACACTCTGCTGCCCACGATGAAGTGCAGTGGCACAATCTCAGCTCACTGCAACCTCCACCTCTGGGGTTCAAGCGATTCTCCTGTCTCAGTCTCCTGAGTAGCTAAGATTACAGTGCCTGCCACCATGCCTGGCTAATTTTTGTATTTTTAGTAGAGACGGGGTTTCACCATGTTGGCCAGGCTGGTCTCAAACTCCTGACCTCAGGTGATCCACCCGCCTCGGCCCCGCAAAGTGCTGGCATTACAGGCGTGAACAACCATGCCCAGCCAATTTTTTGTTTTTAAATTGTTTGTGGGCCAGGTGCAGCGGCTCATGCCTGTAATCCCAGCACTGTGAGAGGCAGAGACAGGTGGATCACTTGAGTCCAGGAGCTCAAGACCAGCCTGGGCAACATGACGAAACCACGTCTCTACAACAAATACAAAATTTAGCCGGGCGTGATGGTGCATGCCTGTAGCCTCAGCTACTTGAGAGGCTGAGGTGGGAGGATCACTCGAGCCCAGGAGGTGGGGGTGGCAGGGAGCTGAGACTGTGCCATTGCACTCCAGCCTGGGCAACAGAGCAAGACCACTGTCTCAAAAAAAAAAAAAAAAAGATCTGGGCTCAAGCGATCCTTCTGCCTCAGCCTCCAATGAACCACTGCACCTGGCCCTGACATAGACTTTTTAAAAAGCTTATTTATTTGATTATTTTTTAAAAATATTGAGATGTGCCAGACATATAGGGAACAAATCTTAAATGTGCAGCTCAGGAATTTGTACATGTGTAATCACCCAGATCAAGATACAGAACATTTCCAGCCTCCCAGAAGGTCCTTCTGGCTCCTGCCAGGCAATCCCTACCCCCGCCTGAGGCACCCACAGATCCTCATTTCTATCAGCACAGATTGGTTTAGGCTGTCCTAGAACTTCATGGAAATGGAACATGCAGTGTGTACACTGTGTCCAAGGCCTCTTTTGCTCAGACAAAGTGAGCGCTTCTCCACATTGTGGAGTGTGTCCTGCAGCCTTTTGAGCTGAACCGTAGGCACTCTGTAGATGAAGCACAGTTTACCCATTCTCCCACTGAGGGCTATTTGGGGTGTGTTTGGCAACTGTGACTCTAAAGAAGAGTCCAGGACAGTTGTGGTATCTGATGGTTTCCTTACAGTGACTTTTAATGGGTTCTGCCTCCCTGACTTTATATAAAGAGAAATGCCTTGAATAAGTTGAGCCCAAGTGTGGCTGTGTCTTCCTTATATCTCATGCCACCAAGAGGCCCAAAATGTCAGGTGGTCCCAATGATTTCAGATTGGTCATGTGGTGACCCCCCAGATCTCTCCACTCTAAAGGCAAGTTTTCATTTTTATGTCAAGGTCAGTGGAGGGTTTCGAGCAGCCAAGACATGATCTGATTTATCATTTGTAGAGACCCTGCTGAGCTCCATTTGCAGAATGGATTGTAAGGCTCGGGGCAAGGTCAGGAGCAGGAAGACCTGTGAGGAGCCTACTGCACCAGTTCCAGCAGGCGATGATGGTTCCACAGTGAAGTGGCTGGGTTCTGAGTAGTATGGTGCTACTCCTAGCACCTGCATACAGAAGGAGCTCAGTCAATGTTAGTTGCCTGAGCTGATCTTCCAGAGGATGGAGATCATGGCCAGTTCACCTTTGTGTGCCCAGCCTGGGGCCTGGCAGAGAAGATGTGCTGGTCCTACTTGGGTGTGCTTGCATTCGGGGAAACCTTGGCTTATCAGGTTTGACGCCGAGATACAGAAACAGAACAAATGGTGACCAGGCAGGCCTTGCAGCAGCTTCTGATTAGGAACATGCTCAACCCCTCCTTTCTGAACACTATGAATCACTGGGGAGGCCCAGTGTCTCTCCTCTGCCTTTAGGGAGCACTATGCATGTCACCCCAGAGTGACAAACAATGTCTGCCTCTTGGGAACACAAAGTTCCCAGCTGGGGGCTGGAACAGAGAACTCTCTCCCCTGCCTAGGGCTCAGGCTTACACCTCCCTGCCTTTGTCTGGGAGGTGAGGATCAGGCCTCTGCGGCCCTGTGTGTGATCTTTACTTGGCTGGCCATCCTCTAGCAACCTGGGGCAGCCTCTGCCTGAAATCCTGCTGGCCCCAAGGGACATGGTTGGAGCTCAGGTTTTTCATATCAGTTACCTATCACTGTGTAACAAATTGCCCCAAACAGAAAGACTCAAAACCATAACTCTTTGTTATATTCTGTGGTCAGGAATTTGGGAGTGGCTTAGCTGGGTGTTTCTGCTTGGGGGTGTGGGGTGGTCTCTCATGGGTCACTGTCAAGGTGTCAGAGGGGGCTGCTGCCATCAGGAGGCTTGCCTGGGGCCAGAGGCTCTGCTGTCCAGGCAGCTCACTCACAAAACTGGGAGTCGGTGCTAGCTGTTGGTGGGAGGACTCAGTTCCTCTGCACAGGGTGCCAGACCCGTGGCTTCCCCTAAAGGAAGTGGTTCCAGAGAGTGGGGCAGAAGCTGCAATGCCTATATGACTTAACCTCGGAAGTCACATACCATCATTTCTGCAATATCCTATGGGTCACACAGGTCAGTCCCCTTCAGTGTGGGAGGGGCCCACACAGGGTGTGGCTGTCAGGAGGTGAGAATACCCAGGACCTAGCTTGCAGGCACACAGGCATCAGATGGCAAAGAACAGGAAAGAGCCTCACCAGCCCTCTAGCCTCCTTGCCCATTCTCCAGGCATCCTGTATGCCAGGCACCATGCTAGGCCTTGGGCATCCAGTGGTGAAGCAAGCAGGCCTGGCCTCATGGAGTTTCCAGTTAAGCCCAGAACTCTCTCCATGCAGAAGATTCATTCAGTGAACAGAGCCCTATGCACCGCGCAAGGATGAACGCAGCCACCAAAGCCTGAAGCAGCCTCTTTAGCAAGAGTACTGCACACAGCCAAGTCTCAGATTCACAACCAGAGGTGCCAGGAAAGCTGGGCTGAAGGGCAGCAGGACCTCAGAGAACAGAGAAAGCTGGATCAGAGGGAGTCAAACACACATTCTTTCCCTGAAGGAATCAGGGAAGGCCCAGGAGGAGGTAGCATTTGAGCTGGTTTTGATGTCCAGGAGAATTTAGGCAAGTAGGGGACAGTGTCACATGGGGGGTTAGGGCCTCTGACCTCATGGGGTTAAAGTTATGATGCTGAGTCTGGGAGAGGGCCTAGAGATGACCTTGAGATAAATACCAATAGTAAAGGTAGCTTCATCCAGCCAAGCAATTTCCACACATCATCTTCCTGCTGCGGGCCCATCATACACCCATTTAGCACATGAGGAAACAAGGGTCACAGCTCAAAGCACCGGTCAAGGTCACAGAGCCAGGCCAAGCCAGGGCCAGGCCTATTCTCCGCCCTTGTAAGTGGGCACCCAGATCCCAGATGCAGGTGTGGCAGCTCTCAGCCCAGCTCCCAGAAACATGTCGGGCTTCTGGTGCTGGATGGGCCTCTCTTCTCCCCGGGCAGCAGACGCCTCAGGCCAGGGCTTCACAACAGTGGGAGGGGGTGGGTGGACTCAAGTGTGGGTCAGCCTCCGTGTTCAAGGTCAGCCATGTGACTGATTAGTGGGGCCTGTGAGTTGCACGGGAAGGGATTTGCAGGGATTGCTATGGAGTGAAGTGTCTTCAGACCTGACCTCTTTCCATGGGGGTAGCTACAGAGGCCTGGCTTACTAGTGGGCTAATGAGCTCTGGGGCCCCAAGTCTCAGGCTCGCCACACAGACCCCCACCCCCAGTCCGCCTCGAAAGTTAGTGATGACCTCAGTTGTTTCCACTGCTGGAGGAGTGTCTCAGTGCACCAGGCACTGCACAGAGGGCTTTATGTGTATGCATGACTGCCTTGAATCCTCTCAACACTCCATGCAGGGATTATTTCCCCACTTCACAGATGAGGAAACTGAGGCTTGGCAAGGTTAAGTAGTTGCCTGAAGGCACATGCAACCCCTAAGCAAGTCCTGTCAAAATACACCTCCAAAACAGCACTTATCCCCATTATCTCTCAGCTGGACAGCTGGAGAGAGGAGGACTACTGATGCTGAACAGGTCAAATTTTAACAAACCTGTATCTTGGATCGGTTGAACATAGACCTACCAGGCTGGGAGTGGTGTCTCATGCCTGTAATCCCAGCACTTTGGGAGGCCGAGGTGGGCGGATCACCTGAGGTCAGGGGTTTGAGACCAGCCTGGCCAACATGGTGAAACCCCATCTCTACTAAAAATACAAAAATTAGCCAGGTGTGGGCCCAGGCACCTGTAATCTCAGCTACTTGGGAGGCTGAGGCATGGGAATCTCTTGAACCCGGGAGACGGAGGTTGCAGGGAGCTGAGATTGTGCCACTACACTCCGGCCTGGGCGACAGAGTGAGACTCTGTCTCAAAACAAAAACAAAAACATACACCTACCTATGCCTCCGTGTCTTCACCAAAGCTAACCACTGTCTGGAACTTGATGCTTCTTGTTCAAAGTATATTTTTATTCTTTTACTATTAATACATATGAATGTATTGACAAATAATATATACCAAATATGTGTTTTTTAAATCTTCATGTAAAGTGGATCACACTGAATGCCTTCTTCTGGAACTTGCCTTTTCTCCTTCCGTAGTGTTTCTGAGGCTCATGATGCCAGCATGTGTAGCTGCCATTCATGCATTCTCACTGCTGTGTAGTATTTCATGCAAGGCTGCAACCCCTTTTGTTGTTCCTATGTCTGACTCCCTCTGATCCAGGTGGCATGGTTTGGGGTCCTGTGTTACGGGTGGGAAAACTGGGGCTCAGAGAGGTTAAGGAGCCTGTGTGGGGTCAGCCAGCTTCTTAAGGGCATAAAAAACTCTGTTGAGCTCCAAAGGGTGTGGTTCCCAGGCTCCTTTATATTCAATAATATGATCAAAAAGGGGAAGAGACATTCAGTTGGCCTAGCCCTGGGGCCACCTCAGTTCTCAGGGGGTGGCCAAGAAGGGGGGCTTGACCTGGCATCCACTGGGCAGGTGGCCCAGTGGTCAGAAACCACTCCCAGCCCCAAATCCGTCCATGACCTCATTTCACCCTAGAGGTAGCTTGGGGACACAGCATGCAGGCCACAGGGTGGACACTGGCTCCGTAAGACACCTCCTGCCAGGACGCCAAATAGGAGAGTCCTGAGCTGGATGCTACTCTAAGACTCTAAGCCTCAGTTTCCTGACTGATAACACGGGGATCATCACCATACCTGCCCAGAGGAAGGCTGGAACACTGTTCAGGGCATTGAGGTGCCTCTGTCCCAGCTTTGTCTGTTTTTATTCATTCGCTCATTCAACAAGCAAGCACTGGACATCTGTTTAGGGGCAAATGCTACACAGGGCTCTGGGGGGCTGAGAATGACTGAGAATTAGGAGCTAGAATGGGGCAGCAGACAAGCTGTCATCACAGAGAGGGTACTGGCTGTGTGACCCTAGGCCACTCTGCTCCCTCCGCATCTCTTTCCTCCCTTGTGGAATGTGCTTTGGGAGGTGCCTAGACCCTCACCTGGCTATAGGAAGTGGGGCTGTGTCTTTCCTCCTGGGTTCCTAGGCAGAGAGAAGGCTACAAAGCCACTGGTGAGCATCTTGGAGCCTGAAGCTGCCGGCTGCCGGCCCTGTCCCCAAGGTGGGCGGGCCCTGGTAGGTGGCTGTGGACATAGTTGGGCAGTCAGCTCATGCCCCAGACATGCAGGCATGTCACTGCAAGGACAGCCCAAGGAAAACCCCTCCTCCTGCTGTCTCTGCCACCCTCCTCTCTCCTCCTCCCTCCCACTCCCCTGGGTGAGGCAGCTGCTTCTCCCAGAATTTCCGCAGCCTGCCCCGGCTGCCCACCCTGCAAAGACCATCAATCCTTGGTGCCTGCACAGGCCCTGCCCATCCTGGCAGGGGCAGCTGCTGCCAGGGGAGCCTGCCCACCCTCACGTCGCTCAGGCACCAGCTTGACACAAACACAGACCAGGCAGGAAGAGCCAATTCAGGTCACCCTCAGAAACGGCTCAGGGCTCAGGCTGCCCAGGCCCTGAGGGGAAGCCTCCTCGGGGTGTTGCTGAGTGTCAAGGCCCCCACTCCACCCCTGTGGTTTATCTGTTTCAGAAAGACCCCATGGTGAGGGGATATGGGCTGAACAGAGGCCCTACCCCAGCTGGAGAGACGGCAGGTCTATTCAAGAGCCTGGGAATCGGGTCGGACAGCTTGGGTGTTGACATCGGTGCTGCCGCCACTTGGGCTGTGTGACCTCAGGCAGGTTGCCTGCTCTGTCTGAGCCCCGGCGTTCTCTTCTGTCCAGTGAGGACCCCTTGCATGGGGGTGTGGGATTCCATGGGACATGGAGGGGGCAGTGCCCTGCAGAGGGGCTGGCATTGAGGTCAGGAAACAGAGTTTAGGGGCAGGGTGGGGAGTATGTCACATGACTCCAGGATGAACGCCGACAGCAAGGGAAGCGGGACTGGTAAGTGTCAGGGTGTGGAGGTGTGGAGGTGTGGGGGCAGGTGGCAAAGGGAGAGAGCCAGAGAGACAGGGGGAGAGAGAGAGAGAGAGAGAAGGCAGGAGAGCCTAGAGAGACAACAAGTGAGGCAGCCAGGGAGGGGGACATTCTCGCTGTGGGTGGGGCACACTGAACCTTCCTGAAAGAAAGGCTCTTGAGCTGAGCCTGGAGGACTCCATAGAAGGGTTGGGTTTTGGGCTGGGGAGAGGGTCCAGTGAGAAGTTGATTGTGACTGAGGACAGGAGGGTGACATGTCCCCCAAACTGGTGCTTGTCGACGCCAGCAGGCAGACCACTTCCGGAGGGCCCTGAGGATGGTCCCACTGTCCTTCCCCAGCCATGGCCCTCCAAGGGATGGAAAATCATGGATGCAGAGAGACAGGTGGAGGAACTGAGGCACATGTGTAGTATCTACCCCCCTTACAACTTCCTCCGGAATGGTCCAGTTGTTCTCTTCTGCCCTAAAACTTCCTCAGAGTTTATTCTTCACCAGACAGAGCCCTTGGCCCTCACCCGCCAGCCTTGGGTGGGCTGCTGTGTGGAGACCCCAGCAGTCTCGGAGCTGGGTAGGAGGAGGAGGGGCTGCAGAGCCTGGACCCCGTGGGCGGCACACCTCTGGCTGAATCCGTGGGGTGGGGAAATTTCTTACCCTCTCTCACCTGCCGAGCGATCTCAGGCAAGTCTTAAGGCACATCTGGCTTTGACTGCCCATTGGTGGAACAAGGTGGTCTCTGAGGCATTTCCAGCTGCACGTTCTCACTTTTGAGAGCCCCAAATGTCTGTGGCAAAGAACCATGGATATATGTCCCATATCTCAGAGATGATGAGAGAGAGTGACAGAGAGGAACCCAGACAGAGAGTGGATACCCCACAGAGACAGCAGGCAGAGACAAGATGGAGTAGAAAAGAGAAGGAGAGAGAGGGGGCAGGGAGAGAGAGAGAGAGAAGCCTAGGAGTCAGATACAGTCAGGGACAAAAGTGGAGAGAACAGAATCAACTGCACACAGGTAGACACGGGGGTGGGGATACATAGATTGGAATGTGGGGGTGGGGAGCACCAGGGAGCCCAGCAGCCGCGTCCCCAGACAGCAGGCACAGGGCCCCAACGTGGGGCAGCTGGAGGCAGCAGCTGAAGCAGCCTCAGCCTACCGAGCACTCCTCCCTGCCCACCATGTCCGGCTTGGATCCAGTAGGACCCCTGGGGTGAGGAAAGGGTAATGGAGGGACAGTGTCAGCTAGGAACCACCCTACTTCCCCAGGTCTGAGAAGTAGGATTAGGAAAATGTTTCCAGAGCACCTGCTGTGTGTTGGGCTCTGCTGGGTCCCAGCTGTGCAGATCTGGGGGAGTCATTTTTCCCTCTGGATCTCAGTTCCACCATCTAAAATGGGGATGTTCAGAGATCCTGTCACACAATGGCTGAGTGCTAGGGTCCAGGGGCGGGGCTGCCTGGAGTGAATCCTAGCCCTGTCATGTATTAGGGTGTGGCCTCGGGCTGCTCACTTCACCATCCTGTGCCTCAGTTTCTCCATATATAAAGTGGGGGTAATCCCAGTCCTTCTCCTATGGTGTTGCTTTGAGGACTAGATGAATGAGTATACATGATGTCATTGCTTCCGAATGCTGGTTGTGCCCCAGGTCACAGAACAGTTGGGAAGAGAAAATGAATCCTGCTGGTAATATGCCTGGCTGCATGTCTAGAGCATTGGAACCATCCAATAAATTACATCATCCTTAATCTCCAGCAGGAACCTGTTTTGCAGATCAGAAAACTGAGGCTAAGAGAGGCAAGGCAACTTAGCCTAGACCAGGCAGCAAGTGAGTAGTGGGCAGTGATATAAACGCAGGCCTGGCTGATCCCAGGTCTCCAGCTCTGTCCAGGAGGGTGGCATGCCTGAGGCTTTGAAGTACAAATAAGATTTCAGCAGGTCATGGGGTGGGGCTGGCCCAAGAGGCTTCTGGGCTGCTGGCCAAACCGGAAGAGCATGAGGCACTTATGGGGAATCACTTGTCACCGGGCCTGGCCGGGACACCAGCTGAGGCAGTAGGGGAGTGGCTGAGGGCAGTAAGGACTCATCAGAGGCTTCGAGCAGGGGAGGAGCTGCTCAGATAGGGGGTCTGGGAGCTGTGCACTGGCCACTGTGGAGGCAGAATGAATGGGGGTGCTATGGAGAAGTGCTGGGCATCTCCCCAGGGAGGTCAGATCGGACAGTGCAAATGAGGTAAATTTTTTCCCTATGTAATAAGGCCAAATACAGTGCCAGAAGCCACCTCATGGAGGCAGGGTTTCCTCCCCGTTTCCTTCTCACCCAGTGGGCATAGCCACGGGAGTCTGGCCATGTGCCGGGTATGTGGCTTATAAAATCACCACCATAACCTCACGAGGAGCAGAGGTTACTGTTCCCATTTTATAGATGCAGAAACAGAGACACACAGGGTTAAGTGGCCTTCCCAAGGCCACATCATTGGTACTCCAGATCTGAGTGGCCTCTGCTCTCTCCCTCCTCACCCTAACCCACACTCCAGGTGGCAATTAATGGCCCCTGGGTTCCACATTGTGGGATGTTCAGAGGCCGGGAAAGATGAGCCGATAGTGGAAGGGCTTTCCCGGGAGGGTCCCAGCTGAGGAAGAGGCTGAGAGGTGGGAATGGGCAGGCTGGTGAAGGCACAGTGGCATCCCTCGGGGCCCTCAGTAAAGGTCTCAGTCAACAGGTGAACAATACCTGCGACACTAGAATGGTGAGTATGCATGATGACAGCAGCCCCACTTCTCACCATGGGTCGTGAGGTAAGAACAGCATTATGCCTATTCATGAATGACACGCAGGTATCATTGCCCATTTCACAGATGAGGAAACTGAGGCATGGGCTAGGGGCTGAGCTGGTCCCGGGGCCTAGGGCTTTGGGAGTCAGGGTGTGGGGTGATGCTGGTGGGAGGAGTGCTCAGGGCCTGAGAATTGCTCCGAGTAACAGGACAAAAGCTGAGAAACCTAATCATGTGTTTACCCAGCCTGGGGATTACAGCAGTGCTGCCGGGGGCTTGCCAGGGAGGTAGGCAGGTAGCAGCAGGCCTCCTGGGGCAGGGCAGGCAGAAGGGGTGGACTGGGCTGGCATTTCGCAGGCTGTGGTGTCTGCAAGTCACCAGGCTCGCTTGTGTCAGCTCACTTTGTAAAACGTCTTCACAGAAGTAGGGAACCCTGACTGTGCCCTAAGCCCGGGTGTAGGAACTTTGCACACATCAACCTTTACAATAGCCCTCAGGCAAGACAGGGGTCCTGCTGCTATCCTTACACTGTACAGGTGGGGAAAGTGAGGCAAGGAGACCCACCTGAGGGCATACAGCAATGAAGAGGCACAGCTGGCATTTGAACCTGGCTCACGTGGTCTCAGAGTCCTTGTGCTTAGCTCTCCTGCTACCTGATGCTATGGGCTGGGTCAGCTGATTTATTCACTTATTTATTTTGGCCACAGGGTCTTGCTCTGTCATCCAGGCTGGAGTACTTTGGTGCGATCATAGCTCACTGTAACCTTGACCTCCTGGGCTCAACGATCCTCCTGCTTTGGCCTCGTAAAGCACTGGGATTCCAGGTATGAGCCACTGCACCCAGCCTGTTCATTTATCTTTTTAGAGACAGGGTCTCACTCTATCGCCCCGGCTGAAGTGCAGTGCGCAGTCTTAGCTAATTGTAGTCTCAACTTCCTGGGCTCAAACCATCTTCCTGCCTCAGCCTCCCAAGTAGCTGGGACTGTAGGCACAAGACACCGTGCCCAGCTTAGGTCAGCATATTTAAAAAAGGAAACACCACATCATATCTGAGAAGAGGCTGCTATAAACAGAAGGTACCATGAAAACAAAGATAATAAAGACAGGACACAGTTCTCACATTTTCTGTAGATGCTGTTACCTGGGAGAGTTCAGAGCCAGAGACCTGCTTGCTGTTTGCTAAAAGGTCAGAACAGCAAGTGGCGGAGGGGAGCCGAGGTGAACTCCCGGGCCAGGTGGCTGGCCGGGACAGCATCTGCAGGGGATGAACTCTCTCCCAGGTGAGTCTGTTGTCTTTAGGGCTGCGCCAGGCTCTGAGTCTCCTGACTCGCTTAATCCTCACCACAGTGCTGAGAGTCCCCATCCAACAGGTGGCAGGAGGGAGGCTCGGCAGGGTTGGTCACTTGCCAGAGGTCCCAGTCAGGTGGGGCTGAGCTGAGGCTGACCAGGCTTCCTGGATTTCTTCTCAAGCTCCTGTGGGCACTTCAGGACCTGTCCATTCCACAAACATCTGCTGGGCAACATCCCTTTGTTCACTCCAGATGCCAGGCCAGTGTGGTTCCTGTTCTGGGTACCTGGAAGGAAGACAGGCCCCAAACCAGACCCCCTCCCATGAGAAGGCCCACTCAGATAACTCAGCCTGGGTCTAGGAAGGCTTCCTGGAGGAGGTGGAGCCCAGATGAGTCTGGCAGGAGGAGGAAGAGTTGGCCTGGCATTAAGGAGGCCTGAGCCTGAGCTTCACAGAGCACTGGGAGCAAGCATGGCCACCCCCAGGAGGTCACAGTCTGGTGGGGAAGCGGGGCTAGAAGGGCTGTGCACAGGAAAAAACACATAGCCAGTATGACCCAATTACCTTCCTTGGAAAGTGAGCCCCCCTCCAAGAAACTGGGAGGCCCTGGGGGACTCAAGCCCACTCCAAATCTTTTTTATTTTATTAAAATAAAAATTTAAAAATTTTAAAAATTAATTCAAATTAATTTAATTAAGTTGCTCTACCTGCTCATGGCAGGTACCAAAAAACAGATGCAGAGCTGAGAGGGCCTTTGTGCATGTCCCAAATGTAAACAACGGGGACATGGAGGTCCAGAGAGGGCAATGGATTTGCTCAAGGTCACACAGCAAAGCAGTGGCTGGCAGGGGCTTACACTCAGCTCCTCCTTCCTCTCTCCTCTAGTCTTCTTTGCCCCCTCATCCTTCAACTACCACCCCAAGGAGCTTGGCCCTCACTGTGCTTCCTACAGATTTCCTGGGTGCTTGCTCAAGTCCATGTCAATCTTGAGAACTCGGGGATGAATGCCCATAATGGTAATAATGGTTAACCTTCCTCAGCACTTACTGTGCTAACTGTTTCATGTGAGTTACCCCTGCCCCCAGTACTTGCAGAGCCTTATGAAGTGGATGCTATTACCAGCCCTTTTTTTACCGGGAAAGAGGGCCAGAGGGGTAATGTAACCGGCCTGAGATGGCACAGCAAGTAAGTGGCAGAGCTGGACCTGAGCTCATGCTGGCTGGCCTCTGGAGCCTGCCCGTGGAGCCTTCTAAGTCCCAGGCATTTAGTTACCTTCACAGTCCATACAGACACATCAACAGCCCACTCTAACTGCGTGGAGGATGCTCCCATGGAGACAGTGTACCCAGGTAAGAGGCCAGCCCCACCTCCTGGCTGCTGGAATCATCTCCAGGCATGGACAGCTTCGCGTTCCCAGTTGTACCTTTTCCTTAGCAAGTCTTCATGCTGAGCTGATGGGTGTGCTAGAGGAGAGAAGGCACTGGTGAGGACCTTGGCCGGCAGGCGGGCTGGCAGCCCCCAGGTGGGGTGGGGCCCCTCCGCAGCATTGGCTCCTGGCACAGGCGCTCATGCCCCTCTGCGCCACCCTGCCCCAGGATGGCACCGGGGCTGGAAGTTGCGGTTCTCAGCCTCCAGGCATGCTCTGCCCACAACCGCCTCTACCAGCCTGTTGGAATGTGGAGTCCTGGCATGGCCAGGAGGCCCAGGTGTGGTGGGTGAGGCCTCAGCAGAGTGAGGAGGGGGTCTCCCATGGGGAGCTGGGGCTGGCACTGGAATAAGTGATCACCGCATTTGAATCCTAGCTCTAAACGTCTTAGCTGGGGAGTTCTGTGTGGACTGCTAGAGCCCTGGTGTCATCTGTTAAGGATGCTGCTGCCAATCCCAGAGTTTGTCTCTCCTTGAAATGAGAGAATTGGAAAAGCAACTAGTTAGTGCCAAGCACATGGTAGATGCCCACAAATGATGGCGCGTATTCCTGTGTGAACCCATTTTGCCTCCTGGCCTCATTGGACATCCAATCCTGATTAGTGGGAGTGACACCTTGTAGGTCTGGGTTGAGGAGGATTCCAAGAACCAATCTGGTCTCAACGGGAGAAAGGTCTGTGTTAATTATGTCTGTCAGGCAGTGCGAGAGGACAGAGAAGTATGCGTGCCCTGGAGTCACCATTGTCCCCTACCCCCTCCTCTCCCCTCTCCTCCCCTCCCCGCATCACCTTCCCTCCTCTCTTCCCTCCCATCTCCTCCCCTCCCCTCTCTTGCTCCGGTTTCTGGTGGCTCTGCTTTCAAAATATATTCAGAAGCCAGTCACTCTTTACCATGGCCACTGCTACCACCTGGTGCAGCCAGCATCATCTCTCTCGCCTCCTCCCTTGCTCCTTCCTCCCTTACCCGTTCAGCCTCTCCTCTTAGGCCCCAGAGGGATCCTGTTAAACCCACATCTACCCTCGTCCCTGCCTTGGCGAGCAGCCCCGTGGCTGCCTTTCATTTGGGATGGAAGCCCAGGTCCCCACAGTAGACTGAGTGGTCTGACTCCCGACATTCCCACGCCTCTCCTTCCGCCTCTGTCCTGCTGGCTCACTCCGCCACACTGGCCCTCCCCCGCCCCCCAGCTCCCCTCAGGTGTGGAGTGCATGGCCCATGGCCTTTGCTCTTGCTTCCCCTGCGGGGAATGCTCTTCCCCCAAATGCCCACGGGGCTCACTCCCTCACTTCTTTGACCTCTGCACAAATGTCCTCGTGTGAGTGCAGGCTCCCTGCTATTTGAAATGGCAGCCTCACCCTCTGTGCCATCCTTACACCCACCTCATCCCTCTCCCTGTCCCATCCTTACTCACCCCCATTCCTACCCACCCCCATCCCTACGCCCGTCTCTTTATGATTCTCTGTAGCTCTCACCACTTCCTAACACTCTGTGCATTTTCTTTCTTTATTCGCTTACTATTTAATCCCCCTCAAGCTCTGCATGGGTGCTGAGGCTCTACGCTCCAGCCATCAGAATGGCTGGTCTTTCCCCAGGAGCCCCCTGATCCCTGGACCCTGGGCCCTTGCATATGCAGTTCCTCTATCAGGAAATCACCCTGTCTTTTCCATTCGGCTAATTCCTCAGTATCTTTTAGGTCTCTGCTTTGATGCCACCTCCCCAGCTCCTGTGTTTCTGGAACAGCCAACATGGGGGGCCTTTGAGGGCAGGGGCTGTGCACACCGAGTGCATTATTGTGTCCATGGTGCTGCCCAGGCCCTGATATACAGCAGATGCTCAATATGTGCTCAATGAAGGGTTTGCTGGCACCCAGAAGCAAAAGAGCTGTGCCTTCTGCTGCTGAATCCCTTTCTGCTGTCGTCTTGGGAGGGGAGTGCCGTTATTACTAACGATGTGTAGTAACTGTACAGCCACTGGTAGTTCCTTTCTGAGGCACTTTCATGCTGTTATTTCCTAGCTACGTAGTGAGACAAGCAGCTCACAGCCTGCTACTAGGAGTGGCTCAGAGAGGTCAGGAGTGTGTGTTCTAGGTCACACAGCTTCACCTTTCCTGGCCAAGGAGACAGAGCACGTTTCTCCTCCTGGAGGCCCCGGGGAGATCCACGTGGTTCCACCGAAGGCCTAAGGGTAAGGGTAGGGTTCAACACCCACAACTGTGGCAGCTGGATAGTGTGTCAGTGGCTATACCACGGGGGCTGAAGGATTCCTCACAATCTGGAAATCTGAATGATTTGGCTCCAACTGGCAAGAGGAAAAAGGAGGCAGAGCCTAGGGTTAAAAACAAGAAGAGAGGAAATTAGGGTTGGGTTCTGCCCACGCCAGCACCCTCACCCCCGCCCTACGATTCTGTTCCACAACCTCTGCACGGAATGTGCACACACCAGATCCCTTTGGAACATCTCCCCAGAATATTCCAGGCCTTTCCTGTGGTTGAGGGAATGGGTGCCAGGCATATCCTTTTCTCCGGATAATTTTTGGGGGACGTGACCCTTAGTGGGCCAGGCATACTTGGAAAAGTCCCTGGCCTTCCTTCCCCAAACCTCTTAGGAGTTATCTGTGGCCTATTTCACTTTTTCAGGCCCACCGAGGAATTTTCAAGATCACCAACACTTGGAGCTTTAAAATTCAAAACATGTTAAATGGTAAATGCTCCCATTACTGACAGAAATCTTCCCCAATGCTTCATGAACTTGCAGACAGGACTGACACAGCTAAGCTTTCCTGACTGATTCGGGGCCATGCTGTCTACCAAAGGGCTAGCTGTTAAGACAATGAGGATCAGGGACATTTGCCCTCGTACTGAATGTCCCCAGCCACAGTACTTACATAGTTCTTACATGTACCTTCCCCCTCGGTGACATTTTATATTTTCCAAAGATGGCCACAACAGCTCCCATCCCATTCTTCTTGTGGTGACACTCACACCCGTCTCTGAGAGGTGAGGCCACATATTCTCTTTTCTTGAATTTGGGTGGGCCTGTGACAATGGCAGGACAATGCTGAGTGGCTATGTCATAAAGGCAATACCCCTTCCATCCAATTCTCTTGGGATGCTCATGTTTAGAATCCAGCCACCATGTTGTGAGGAAGCCCACGTCACCTATGAAGACCTACACAGAAAAGACTCAAGGCCCCAGGCACTTGAGCTGAAGGATGAAAAAGAGTTAGTCAGCAGGGGAAATTGGGGAAAGGGTATCTGGTAGAAAGAAGGAACAGCTTGTGCAGAGGTTCAGAGGCAAGAGAGAATTTGGCATATTTGGGAAGCTGCAAGAGGTGCAGGGCAGGAAGAACGTATAGCGGAGCCCAGGGGTGATGGAGAGGTTGGCTGTGGCCAGGTCACAAAAGGCTTCCAGAGACTGATATGAGGGGAATGGGGAGCCATGGAGGGTGGTAGCCAGATGACTGCAGTGCTTTAAAACAACCTCTATGGCTCCAGCTGGGCAGAGAATCCACTGGAGGGGCTGACCCTGGAAGCAGGGCAAGGGGTGGGGTGGGGAGTGAGGGAATGAGCACCAGTGGGGGTCTAGATGAGCGCAGCGGCAGTGTGGATGGAGCATGAGAGCTTTAGAGGTGGGTGTGAGAGGTGCTGGCACCCAATGGGTCTCTTGGCCAGGGCTCAGGCTCGTTATATTAATTATTAAAGCCAATGTGTACTTTGGCCTGGGTGTAGAGAGAGAGTGCATAGGTATTTGTGTCATAGCACGGCCACTTGGGATCAATCACTGGCAACTGAACAATGAATGATTTGGGGTCAGAGCTGCAGGCCACAGGGGATGTGGATCCCAGAGTCTGCAGGACCTTGGGTGGCTCGCAGTTCCCCTCTTATTGCAATTAAGCTTCCATGACCGAATGCCTCCCGCATGCCTCAAAGATCGTCATGCCATTATCTCATTTAATTTTGGTGGCCTGTTTATGAGTATGAGCTAGGGGTCTATTTTACAGATGAGGAAACTGAGACTCAGAGAAGTTGGTAACCCGCCCAAGGCCACTCTGCTGGGAGGTAGCAGAACTAGAATTAGAACGGAGCATCTTTCGGAGGATGTGGAATCCACCAGCCTCAGGGAATGTGGACTGGTGTTTGGATTTGAGAGGAACTTTTAGAGGAAGGAAAACATTGTCCCTACAGGCAAGATGCAGGCTCAGAGACATTTCTTTGGAACGTCAAAATAAATGGGCCTGAGTCAAAGTCTGGATCAACCAAATTCCAAAGATTCTGTTTGAAGCAATGATCCCACTGCTAATAAGAGAAGAGAAACTGGGAAAGCCCCGGCCTCTGCTGAGCCCTAAGAGGAAGCGGGGGCCCAGGACACATGGGGAGGATGTGGTGAGTCTCCAGCCTAGACGATGGTCAGGGAGGTCAGAAGGGGCTCCTGGAGAAATTCTATCCCAAGACCTGCTGTCTCCTTGCTGACCGTTGGAGCTTTCCAGAAATTCAGAGTCTGCATTTGGCTGAGGTCTGGGTCTTTAACGATTAAATTGGCACTAGGGTGTGGGGACCCAGGGTAGCTGCTTACCAAGGCACAGATGGTCACTCCATCCTTGAGCGGGGCAAGGTTTAGAGGTTCATGATTGCATCTCTCTCATTTGCACATATTTTCCCTGGACATGGCCCCCTGTCCCCCGTGACTTGCCCTGCTAAGGGACTTGATGCTGCCTCTGGGCCCCCAAACCTACCATCTGCTTCCTCAGAGTCCAGAGGACCAAGTCTCAGGTCCCCAGGGCTGCTGTGATCTTTGCTAAACACCACCTGCTTCTCCAGCTGTGCCTCCATGACCCTGCTCATCACCTTCACCCCTCACTGCAAGGAGGCCGGGGTCGAAGAAGCCTGAGGCTGAGTGCTTCAAAGCTGTGTGACCTTGGGCAGGTGTTTCCATGTCTCTGTGCCTGGGCATCCTCACCTCCAGCACAGGAGGGTCACGGTGTAAGGCAGCAGAGTGTGTTAGAGCAGTGGGTGCTGACCTTGGATTTGGCTGGGGTTGGGGTTTGTACTAATTAACTGGCACCAAGGTAGGGGTAGGGGCTTTTTCAGTTCACAAGACACAGATGGTCCCTCCATCCTTGGGGAAGGGCAAGGTTTAGAGCTCTGTGGATTATCTCTTTCTGATTGGATGTGTCTCCCCTGGATATGGTGTCTCTGTCTCCTGGACCTGACCTGCCAATCTGGCTGCTGGGTGCAATCTCCTGGGGAGCAGCTCAGGATCAGCCCCTCTGGGACTCCACCTAGCCATCAGGACTGCTCAAAGCTCCCCTGTTGATTCCAGTGTGTAGCCAGTGCTGAGACCGGTGTTTCAGATCACTGCCTTTGGCATCAGACTCACATAAGTTCAAATCGTGACTCTGCTTCCATGCTGTGTGACGTTGGGCTTGGTTGGCAACCTCTCTGAGCCTCAGTGTCCCCCTCCCTCAACTGGGAATGATACTTTCTCATCACTGGGCTAAAGGGACTAAGTCACATAATTTGGGTGCATCACCTATACTTAGAGCCCAGAAAATGCAGTAACTAAAATAATCATGCTCACAGCAATACTCACCTTGCCAAGTGGAAGAAAACACTTGATTTGAGACTTAAAAGAAGCTCATCAGGCCGGGCGCAGTGGCTCACGCCTGTAATCCCAAAATTTGGGACGCTGAGGCGGGTGGATCACGAGGTCAGGAAATCGAGACCATCCTGGCTAATACGGTGAAACCCCGTCTCTACTAAAAATACAAAAATTTAGCCGGGCGTGGCGGTGGGCTCCTGTAGTCCCAGCTACTCAGGAGGCTGAGGCGGGAGAATGGCGTGAACCCAGGAGGCGGAGCTTGCAGTGAGCGGAGATCATGCCACTACACTCCAGCCTGGGCAACAGAGCGAGATTCCATCTCAAAATAAGTAAATTAATTAAATAAAATAAAATAACAAATAAATAAATAAAAGAAGCTCATTAAAAAGGCGCTTCTAGAGCAAGCTCAGAGGCTGCAGCCGTTGAGTTGAAATCCTCTCTCAGCAGGACTTGCTTGATATTTTCCCCCTCCACGGAAGGCTCTGAAATGAGTGCCATTCATGCTGACATGGGTGGTTAATTCCATATCTGTGTGGGGTTTCTACTTGGAGAAACAGCGGGGCCTGCAGTGTTTGACCCACTGATGTTTCTGCAGAGAGGGGCCTTGGCTCTGACAGCTAATCAGAGCCCCCCTGCTTCTGCACAGGGCCCCTACAGCGCTCTCCCTGGGCTGCAGGAGGGAAGGTGAGAGGAGATGGAGTCGGATTCACCCTGCTCAAGTGCACACCGTGTGTTAGGCATTTTATGTTCACGAGCGTGTGTCCGGCACTTCCTACTTGCCACATCCTGTTGTAAGCATTTTACCTGCATGTCCTCATTTCACTCTCAACCCCATGAGACTGGCACTACTATCCTCCATTTTACAGATGGGGAAACTGAGGCCCAGAGCAGTCACGTAACTTGCCCAAAGCCACACAGCTGGTCAATGGCAGAGTCAGGATTTGAACCCAGGCCAGCTGGCTTCAGGGACCATGCTCTCAAGTGCTCTGCTGGGCTATGTCTGTTACTGAATTTGCTTTTCAGGCTGCACGCTCAGGACAGTTGCCAACGGTCTACAGAAAAGGAAACTGAGGTTCAGGCAGCTGAAGCCCCAGGGCCACCCAGCTGGCCAGAGACAGAGACAGGAGTTGGCCGGGGCTGCCTGGCTTCAAAACCTATCTTTGATCATCTGTGCTGGGGCGTGAGCATCGAGTTGTTCATGCATTCACTCGCTGTAATCAATAGTTATGGAGTATCTACTGTATACCGGGCCCTGTTCTGGGTCCTGAGAAGGCAGAGACGATACAAGCCCTCTGCCCCCAAGGCCTTCCCAGGTGATGGGACACTGGGAAGTGTCTACCCCAGGGTCTGGAGGAGAGACTGATTCTGTCTGCAGTCGTCTGGAGGGCAACCATGAGGAGGTGATTTTCAGTTGGCTATCAAGGGATCTGTAGGAGTTCAACAGGAATCACCAAGGAGTGGAGAGGAAGAAATTGACTGTATGGGGGAGTGGGCTTACTACAGTTCTGGCAGGAGCCAGGGCCTTGAGCAGGGCCGGGGTTGGAGACATGCTGCCTCTGACCAGGGCCCTGGGTGGGGAATGTGACTTACCTCAGAAATCCTGACCACAGGTGGTCAAGGCTGTGAACTCCACCAACGTGGATACAGTAGAGAGAAATGGCAGTGGAATCGGAGTCCATGATGCCAGCTCCACTGCTCCCCAGGCAGCTGGGCAAATCACTTCTCATCCTTTTAAGCCTCAGTTTCCTCTTCTGTAAACGAGGACCCTAATATCCACATCTATCAGTCTCACGGCTAGCTGATGACCTGACTCTGCCTTTTCCTCTCATCCTGTCCCACCCTCTGCACCCCGCTTTGGCTGTCCCTGCTTCAGCCTACTCCCCAGCCTTCTGGTGCCCATGCATTTGCCTGTCCACTCAATTGGCCACTGATGTCCACTGGAGGGAAATTCCTGGAACACATTTCTAACCCTGGCACTCCCCTGTTCAACTTCCACGGCCCCCTATTGCTCCAAGACCACAGATTCTTTGTGCTCTGGGCCTTCTGCAAGCTGGCCATACCTGTCCTCTCTCACCCCGACCCTTGCTGGGCAGGAGACTCACGCTCCAGCCACAGAGCACACACGCCTTCTCCAGGGAGGCCACACCGTTGTCATGCCTCTGGGCCACAAGACAGTACATGCTGTCTCCCTGCCTGGGATGCTCATCTCCCAGGGTCTGGTGAAACCTCCACAAGCCAGATTAGCATCCATGGGGCTGAGACCTGGGGGGTCCAGAAGGATGAGGAGAGAAGAGGTGTTGGGGTGTTGCCAACACCTTCTGCTACAAACAACGTTCTCATCCAAGCTGGCAGCCAGACCCCAGGGCCTGGGGGGTGGGCACCAGGCCCCCAGGAGGAGGCAAGGGGACCAGGCAGACCCCACAGCATGGTTTCTTAAGCTGCCAGGACTCTGGAATGTGCAGTCGCATCCCGTCTCGTCTGCGGTCAGGGAAATATTTGGCTGAAAACAAACACTCTCATTCCTGATTAGGGCAACGTCAAGGACCCTCTGACCCAAGCGAGAGGTCTCACCCTGAGGGTGAGCCTGGTCACATCCGTTCTCCAGGAGGCCCACCTGGACTGTGCTGTGTGACGCCTGGTTACTCACTCCCCCTCTCTGTGCTCCTGTGTCTGTGCTCAGGGGAGAGACAGGATCCCACAGAGCAGTCCCGCACATGTGAGCACTTTTTCTTCAGGTTCTGTTTGGGTGCTGTTTTCAAGGGGCTGGAAACGTCTGAGGAGGAACCCCTGGAAGGCAACAGATCCCCCAGGCAGGCCTTGACACTTCCTGGAGCCGACCTCAGTGGCAGGTGGCTAGGAATGGTTTTTCCCAGGAGAGGTGGGGCTCCTGGAAACTCGGGTGTGCAGATTTGGTTGGGACCAAGACGTATAGATCTCCTGTCTCCCTGTCTGTCCCCTTCATACTATACCTCCGAGGCTGGGGTGCTCACTTCCTGTCCAAGTAGCCCATTGTTCTGTTGGGTGTCAATTTGTCTTCACCCCACCTGGAACTGGCTTCCCCTTAATTCCCCCCTTTCCTGCCACCACAGGCCTTAGGGCCCTGACCCTCCGCTTCCTCGCCCGGAGACAGCCCTGCAGAGGCCTGAGTATGCAGTGTGCCCCTGCTGCCACCCTGTTCTTGAAGGTTCTGTGGTTTTCCACACTGGCCAGGAGCATCTTCAGGCTGGCATCTCAGGCTGAGCCAAACTGGAAAGTGAGGAAAGTCGGCAGGGGGCATGCAAGGCAGGAAAGAAGTGTGTTTGAAGGAGCAGTTTAAGCCCAACAGACATGGTTCTAATCCCAGCAGTACTACTTTTGGGCTGCGTTGCTCTGGGCAAGAGACTCAAATTTCCTAAGCCTCAGTTTACTTATCTGTAAGATGGGAACAATGAAAGCATCTAGTTCGTGAGGCTCAAATAAGAGGAGCTGTGGGAGACTTTTCTGTGGCTCCAACATATGATGCTCCTCATGCCCCTGCCTCAACTTCCTTACCCCAGTTCTGCCCTTGAACTAGCACTCAGCCCTATGGGATGACCCCTTCCTCCCATCACGCTGTATCCTTCCCAGCCACTGTGCCTTTCTATCTGCTGTGTTCTCTGCCTGGCCGGCTCTTCCTTCTTCTTAGCCTGGCCCCCTCCAATGCACCATTTGAGAAGGGCACCATTCTCTTCCTTTCCTTTCTTGGGCAGAATGCATCTCCCCGCTCCCGGTCACCCACAGTCTCCATGCTGGAGTGGTTTCGAGGAGGGAAAACTGGAATACGGAGCTTGATGCTAGCCCTGTGCCTTTTGGTTGCAGGACTCTGAATGAGACCATTTTGCTCCCGAGCCTCAGTTTGGCTCATCTGAGAAATGCGGACAAGAACCAAGCTCCTGCCCAGTGCTCTCACACATTCTGTGACCCACAGAGGTGATCCTGGCACACAAGTGTAGCTTTGCCATATGTGCATTTCCTGGAAAAGCAAAGCAAAGTGGGTCTAACCCTCAGGGCCCAAGCAGTGAGGTTATGTAAGTTCCGAAACTTATTTTTCCCCGTAATTATGACAGACTCCTGGAGCCCTGGGTGAACGGGCCCTGGACCCAGCCCTTGCTTCTGCGCTTGTTGGGACATAGACCAGAATTAATGTAATTATCAGCTCGGGCCTCCTTCCAGGTAGGCCCTGCCAGGGCGCCTCCCTCTGGATTTCATTAAGTCTCCTGTCAACATTGTCCGCTCAGCGCTGTTGGTTTCCGAGTCAGCTTGCGGAGCCGCAGGAGGAACGGGCGCCAGCCCCAGCCCCGCGTGATGGATTTTGTTTACTCTCTTCTTCCCACAGATTCCTCCTTTAATAACCCTGGAGCCAGGAGGCAGGGAGGCGGGAGGCAGGGTCTCGGCGGAGGCGCTGAGGCAGCTCTCCTGCAGGGCTGCAAGGGCCGTGTGAGCAGCACTAGGAGGGCACTCTCTAGAAAGAAGCTACGTCTTAAGGAATAGAGGAAAATCTAGTTGATTCCAGGGAATCAACTTTTGGGAGGGAGCTTAGTAGTTCTGGAAGCTCTGATTAGGCTGAGGCTTGATCCTGGTCACACACCGCACCCTAGTCCTGGCCACAGACTTAGGCCTGATCGTGGTCCTAGAGCCCTGACCCTAACCATAGACTAATCCACCATCCTAGCTCATGGGATGAATGCAAACCTGGCCCCTGTCTGAGCTCAAACATTAACCAAGGCTTGGCCGGGCATGGTGGCTCACGCCTGTAATCCCAGTACTTTGGGAGGCTGAGGTGGACAGATCACCTGAAGTCAGGAGTTTGAGACCAGCCTGTCCAACATGGTGAAACACCGTCTCTACTAAACATACACAAAATTAGCCAGGTATGGTGGTGTGCACCTGTAGTCCCAGCTACTCGGGAGGCTGAGGTGGGAGGATTGGTTTGCTTGAACCCAGGAGGCGGAGGTTGCAGTAAGCCAAGACCGCACCACTGCACTCCAGCCTTGGTGACAGAGCGAGACCCCATCTCAAAAATAAATAAATAATAAATAAATAAATTAATTAACTTAACCCAGGCTGAATCCTAACCCAAGTTATAGACTGAGTCCTGAGCCCTAACTGAATCCCTGATCCTGACTCCAGACAGCCCTGACTGTGGTCATAGACTAAGCTCTAACTCCAGTCCCAAGCTGAGCCCTGGTCCCGGATGCTGCCAGACCACACACCAAGTTCTCAGATTCTATTTTCACAAGGCCTCCCTTTTCAAAGTATAAGCCTGTCTCCTGAAGAAGAACCAAGTCAGCCTGTTAGTGCTCATTCCTTGGTCAAGAAAGAGATGCTCTTGAAGGAATGGATCATGGAACAGCTTAGCCTTGAGGGGTAGGAGTCAGAGAGAAGCAGAGACAGTTACTTCCAAACATGAGAAGCTGAGCTGGACAAGTAGCCCACCAGAGAAATAGAAAAGTGGAGAAGAGGAAATATGGTATTGGGGGAAAGAGCAGCAGACTGCTCTACTAAGGACAGTAGCTGGAAGTTTTTTAATATGCCCTATTGAGAGTCATTCATTCATTCAGCAAACACTGAGCACCAAGCACTGAGCACCACCAATGAGCCTAGTGTTCGTCCATTCCACTGTGCATTCAGTAAGCATGTATTATATGCTATGGAACCCACATTCTGTTTAGTGGGGGGTGGAAGACTTCTCAGTCAGCGTCTCCAGAGTTATAAATTACCTTCCTCCCTCTCCTCCCTTACACCACCACACCTACACTGTGGATTCCTATGGCACTAAGAAATGAGTCTTAGAGTCAGGCAGACGGAGCAAGTCACCTTTCCTCTTGAACCCTCAGTTTCCCCATTTTTTTTTTTTTTTTTGAGACGGAGTCTCGCTCTGTCCCCCAGGCTGGAGTGCAGTGGCGCGATCTCGGCTCACTGCAAGCTCCGCCTCCCAGGTTCATGCCGTTCTCCTGCTTCAGCCTCCCGAGTAGCTGGGACTACAGGTGCCCGCCACCACGCCTGGCTAATTATTTGTATTTTTAGTAGAGACGGGGTTTCACTGTGTTAGCCAGGATGTTCTCGATCTCCTGACCTCATGATCCGCCCGCCTCGGCCTCCCAAAGTGCTGGGATTACAGGCGTGAGCCACCACGCCCGGCCAGTTTCTCCTTTTACTAGATGGGCAGTTGTGCAGTGTGAAGGAGATAACAGTTAAGAATACACTTAATGCAATATGAGGCATACAGTTGGAGCTTAATAAGTGTCCCTTCCTGGACTGCTGGGGTTGTTGGGAGGATGCAGTCATTAATGCTACACTTGGCAACAGTGATTGCCCAGTGGAAGGCCAACGACTGCTGTCTGGATGGCTGGGCCTCAGTTTCCCCATCTGTAAATTGTGGGGTTAGACTCGATGGTCCGTCTGTTCCAGCCACCCCTGGATGCCCTGTAGCTGGATTTCAGAGGAAAAGGTGATGGCAACACTCAGTCCCCAGAGCCCCTGAACTTAGCTGTGGGCTGAGCTGCCCCGGAAGTCAATCTGTGACAGAACAGAGTCCAGGGCGGTTATAAACCTAGCCCAGTGCATTCTCCCCCCAGCACTCACAGCCAGGGTTGGACAAGAGCTGACCAGCCCAGAAGTCATCAAGGCCACACTGGCCTTGACCCAGGTTCAGCAGGTAAGAGTATGGCCTCAGAAGGTCACCAACCCTCCCCTGCTCTAGGTCACAGTTTTCCCATGCCTCAAGTAGGGCAGTAGAAGGAACACAGTCTTTGAGGCGCTGATAGGTTTCAGTGTGAATCTTGACCCACCCCACACATGCTGGATGACCTCAGCTAACTTACTTAGTCTCTCTTAGCCTTAGTCTTCCCACCTGGAAAATGGGATGATAAGATCTCAATTTTAGGACTATGATTGAGAAGTGGAGGGGATGGTGACAACAGGCTCAGGCAGTGCCAGGTATACAGCAGGTGCACTATAGCTACAGGCAGGTGTGATCACTACTGGGCTTGAGCAGGGGTGTACACAGTGTTTCATGGCAGTGTCCAGGGTGGCTGGAGTCAGGAGAAGGACCAGACAGGATTTGGGGCCCCACTTTCTTTCAAGGGCAGAAGCCTTTTGATATTTTTTAATCTAATAGATTACTTTGTAAGAATTCTTTTGAAGAAAGAGGAAGGAGGCTAAAAAATATTGCCATGAAAAATGTTTAAGACTACTGGTTATATGAATTGCCAGGGCTGGCCAGGCACAGTGGCTCACACCTATAATCCCAGCACTTTGGGAGGCCGAGGCAGGTGGATTGCTGGAGCCCAGAAGTTTGAGACCAGCCTGGGCAACATAGTGAGCCCTCATCTCTACAAAAAATAAATTAAAAAATTAGCTGGGCATGGTGATATGTACTTGTGGTCCCAGCTACTGGGGAGGCTCAGGTGGGAGGATCAATTGAGCCCAGAAGGTTGAGGTGACTGTGAGCCATGGTCATACCACTGCACTCCAGCCTGGGCAATAGAGTGAGACCCTGTCTCAAGTAAATCAATCAATCAATCAATCAATCAATAGATAAATAAATAAAATGAATTCCCAGGGCTGAAACACTTACTGATTAAGGGCCTATTTCATGTGTGGCCCTGGGAAGGCTCTTGGGAGCCAATAAAAGGCTCTCTCCAAAATTTTTACTTTACTCATAGCCCTCGTGGGTGTCCAGGGGTCGTGCAGACTGGGGGTCCTTTCAGTCCATGGCAGTGAATTTCCCCCACGGTGCCCACTGATGATGGAAGAATACCAGTCGCTGTGTGCCTCACGATGTGCTGGTGCCCTGACCTCTGCAGAACATCTGATGGGCAAACAAGAGGGTAATCAGACCGGCAGGCATCTATTTCACAGATGGGGAAACTGAGGTAGGGAGTGGCAATGTGACCTTCCAAAGGTCACATAGTGACTAAAAGGTGGAGCTGAGACTCACAGGCAGAGCTTGGTAGCCCTGAGCCCCGGGCTGCCCTCCAACTCCTGGAGCCCTGGCAGTCCAAGTGAAGCTAGATGGGACCTGGCTGCACGTCTCTGCTCTCAGACCCCACCTCACATGTCACTCAGAGGCATCCTGGCTGGGGGGCTTGTTTGTGCTACAAGTCTAGTTTTTCATTTTTTTCTGGAGGTGGGGGATGGAGTTTCTGTCCCCCAGGCTGGAGTGCAGTGGCACGATCTCGGCTCACTGCCAACTCTGTCTCCCAGGTTCAAGCAATTCTTCTGCCTCAGCTGCCCAAGTAGCCGGGATTACAGGCGTGCACCACCATGCCCAGCTAATTTTTGTATTTTCAATAGAGACAGGGTTTTGCTGGACTCAAACTCCTGACCTCAAGTGATCCGCCCACCTCGACCTCTCAAAGTGCTGGGATTATAGGCATGAGCCACTGAGCCCGGCCTCAGGCATTCAGTTCTGTGATCAACTTGCCTTGGTTAAAACAAAGGAGCAAGAAATTTGTGGCAGGCATTTGATCCAGAAATGGGGTGAGCAGATGCGAGAGGGGAAGAAGGAGATACCAAGGTGGGCTGGGGGACCTGTGAGCCAGGGGAATTCATGTTTACAGGGCACTTGGCACCACGCTCTCGGTGGCTGTTATTGTGCCCATGGATAAGGAAATTGAGGCAAAGTGGCTGGCCAGCTGTGGAGCCAAGACTGGCTTTGGGTGTCTATGGCTCCCTGTCCAGTGCTCTTTGCAAGGCCAGCGAGTCCCTGTGGGCTGGGAGCCATTTTCTCCAGCCCTTCTCGGGTGGCCGTCAGAGACCCTGTCTAGCCGCAGAGCCTTCCCTTCCCAGAGGGCCCCTCTCCAGGGCAGAATTTCAAAACTAAAGCATGATGCTCACCTGGGACCCCAGCAAACAGCACAGGGGCCCAAGCCCCTCCAGCATTGTAGCAGTGGGTGTGGCTCTCAGGAATGCTGGGGCTGCAACCAGACAGACCTGGGTTCAAGTCCCGGCTTCACCGTCTACTCCCTGTCATGAACTTGACCACATTATGCATCCTGAGACTTGGTTTCATAGTCTGTGAAATGCAGGCAAAAAATATGCTGGGGAGGAGGGGATGAACTAGGAAGAGGAAAACTAGTAAAAATGAAAGTGGGCTGTGTGTCAATCCATCTTTCTGACCATCCCACACAGACTCCAGGCATGAGAAAGGCCACTAGAAGATCAGGAAGTGGAGGATTAACCCAGGCGGGGGCCCTGCTGGGAAACACAGGGCTCTACCCTGCAGGACCTCAGGGCCAAATCCTGTGTTGGGGCCACAGGATGGATTAGGCAGGCCTCTGCCTTTAAGGAGATCCCAGGCCAAAAGGAGAGGTGGGTTAACCTTACCCAGTCTAAGGGAGAAGGTGGACATTCCATCCAGTCTCAGGGGGGAGGCAGATACTCCATTCATTCTAAGTGGGGGATTCAGATGCTGTCTAACCTGGGCAGGGGACTGGAGGAGGGAAGAGCAATTGAGTCTAAGGAGGAAATGAACAGTCCATCCATTCTGGGGGTGTGGGAGCAGTGGACACACCTGTCCAGCTATATGACAGGCAGCTTTGATTTTGTATTTAGTGTTTCTGCAGTGGTTCAGAGTACCTGGTGTATATGCGAGGCTGCATGCATTCCCCATCATTTAAAAACTGTTTATAAAGCAGCTCCTCTGTAATCCTAGCACTTTGGGAGGCCGAGGCGGGCGAATCATCTGAGGTCACGCGTTCAAGACCAGCCTGGCCAACATGGTGAAACCCCGTCTCTACTTAAAAATACACACACACACACACACACACACACACACACACACACACACACACACAAATTAGCCGGGCATGATGGTGGGTGCCTGTGGTCCCAGCTACTCGGGATGCTGAGATGGGAGAATCAGGGAACCTGGAGACGGTGATTGCAGTGAGCCAAGATCACGCCACTGCACTCCAGCCTGGGCAGCTGAACGAGACTCCATCTCAAAAATAAAATAAAGTAACGTAAAATAAAATAAAGCAGCTCCTATGTGCTGGCTTCATGCCAGGTACTGGATGGAGGGTGATGGCCTTTGAAGCTAGCTGGGTGCTTTGGAAGCAGGCAGTGAGGTGGGAGTTAAGGATCCTCTTTGGGATTCAGAATGCAGAGGGGAGTGTGAACTGAGAACCCCTCTCTTGGGGCTGCCGATGTCAGGAACCCAGAGCACCAGAAGTTTTCCTTTAAGCCTTGTCTTCCCACAGTGCTTCCAAGGACAGGACACTGCAGGTACAGTTATCTGCTCTGTCACATCTGCACAGCATTGGTCATCTTGTTCTCTTCAGATACTGGACACTTGAAAGTTTGTCTCAATGATCTATTAATGCACTCAAACCACACTAAATTAGCTTTGTCATCTGGTCCAGGTTAGGCTGGGCAATTCTGCTGGTTTCATTTAGGCTCACCCAGGCAGCTGAAGACACCTTGGTGCAGCATGGTCTAAGTTGGCCTTGCCTGGCCTGGGGTAGCTGCCGTTGGCTGAGCCGTACATCTCCAGCAGGCTAGCCTGGGCTCCTCCATTGGATGCAGCCTTCCCAGAGCAAGCCACATGTGCAACCGCTTCCCAAGCCGCTGCTTACATTGCATTTGCTGCTGTCCCATTGGCTAAAGCGGGTCATGTGACCAAGCCGGCGGCCAATGTAGGAGAGGATTACACAAGAGGGGTGTGGCTCCTGGGCACTCATGGCTGTACCAACCTACGACCAATTCCCCTGAGCGCCAGGCTGTTTCCTGCCTCTGCACCATCGCCCAAGCTTTCCCCTTCGCTTGTTATGCCCTGCTGGGCGATCTCCTACTCGGGCAAGTCACAAGCTTCTCTGTGTCTCAGCCTCCTCCTCTGTAAAATGGGGATCACATGAGTTTAAGTTATTCTGAGGATTAAACAAGTTAACACACAAACATTTAAAACAGTGTCTAGCACGCAGTAGGTCCTCCAGAGATGCCAGCCATCACCATCACAGTGGTGATTCTTGGTATGACGACCCCTGCCCTCTTCAAAGCCCCGTTTAAGGAATCTCCTCTCTGAAGCTGTCTCTGGTTCTCTCCAGGCAAGCATCCTCCCCCAGGCCTGGCCCTATAATTATCTTTTCCTCATCCACCTACTCCATCTACAGTAGGATCCAGAGGGAAGGGAATCCCAGGGCCCAGCCCAGGGAGTGCGAACTATCTGATTTCCTCTGCAATTAGGGAGGCAAGACAGTCCTCGGTGGCCCCATTTGACAGAGGTGAAAACTGCCGCTGTAGGAGATGTGCTGATTTGCCCGGGGTTGCGCAGCTGGTAGGTGGGTGAGCTGGGAGTGGAGCCAGGTTGGGCTGTAGCAGCTGTGTTTGCCCTGCCTCACTGTCCAGCTCCCACCTGGGCCGGGTGTCGGGGTCTCAAAGAGAAGGCAGATACCGGCTCTGCCGCACAGAGCTCACAGTTTGGTGGAGGAGGAAGGCTCAAGCAGAGAGCAGGAGGTGTGAGTAGCTCTGTGGGCTGTGGGGGCCAGATGGGTCCTCGACCCTGCGGGGTCAGAGCTGGCTGCCCAGAAGACATGAAATGGAATAAGCAGAGTGACATGCTCTGGGCCACAAACAGGGTGTGTGGCCGCCCTGAACACATCACTGCAGCCACCTCCACAGCCACAGCCCTAGCCCTGTGGGTCATGGGGATGTGACCCTCCCCACTACCTCCCATCACTGAGGACACACCTCCTGGGCCTCCAGTAACTACCCAGGCCTCCACACCTGCTACACCATGATGGTGCAGCCCGCCTCCCCAACGCCTTCAGCCCTGTGGAAATTTTCTCTGGAGATTCTAATACCCCGGCCTCCTTGAGGTCAGTGTCTGCCCAGAGCCTCCCGGCAGGAGAGAAGAAACCCCACAGCTCTTTAGGGAATGCCTGCCTGTCCAAATGGACAAAGACAAGCTGTGCAGAAACCTCCCCTGGGAGGACTGAGCCATCACCTGAGGAATGGGAGTCTGTGGAAACGTGAGTCACCTCTGTGGGAATAAAGCCTTTCATCTGGACATCGAAATGGCCACCAGCTCCCTGAGTGACTTTGGGCAAGTCATGCCCCACTCCAAGCCTCAGAAAGCCGACCTGTGAGATGAGGATGAAAGTAACCCCCTCATGGGCCTGCCATCCCACCACCATGGCGCACTCCACCTGGTACGTAGTCAGTATTCAGGGAATGGTGGTAGGGCAGTAGTGTGAATAGCTTTAAACTGCAGGAGCTTTTAAAAACCTCTAGAATCTGCTGGGAAGAGTGGGGAGCACCTCAGTGACCAGTTAATGCATTAGGTAGTGGCCACGACTTTCACTAGCATTTGAGGCTTTATGGAGGGCTTGCTGAGAACATAGCAGAGTGCTGGGTATTGAAGCCCTGAAGAGTCATGTACAATCCACTTATAACCTACGCTTGCTCGCTTTAAAACAATACTCCTTTGGCCGGACACAGTGGCTCACGCCTGTAATTCCAGCACTTTGGGAGCTTGAGGCAGACGGATCACAAGGCCAGGAGTTCGAGACCAGCCTGGCCAACATGGTGAAAACCCGTCTCTACTAAAGATATAAAAAATTAGCCAGGCATGGTGGTGGGCACCTGTAATCCCAGCTACTCGGGAGGCTGAGGCAGGAGAATCACTTGAACCCTGGAAGGGAGGTTGCAGTGAGCTGAGATCGCGCCAATGCACTCCAGCCTAGCGACAGAGTGAGACTCCGTCTCAAAAAAAAAATTCATTTAATTGTATTTTACAGAGGGAGAATTTATATGTAGGAAGATTACCCTGTGTTAGGTTGGTAGGGCTGCCATTACAAAATATCACAGGCTGGGCTGGGGACTTCCACAACAGGAGTTTATTTTCTCAGTTCTGGAGGCTGGAAGTCCCAGATCGAGGTTTCGGCAGGGCTGATTTCTTCTGAGCCTCTCTCCTTGGCTTGCAAACAGTAGCCTTCTCCCTGCATCTTCACATCCATCTTCCCTCTGTGCCTGTCTGTGTCATTTTCTCTTATAAAGATGCCAGTCGATTAGGGCCCACCCTAATGACTTTGTTTCAACTTAGTCGACCCTTTAAAGACCCTGTCTGCAAAATACAGTCTTATTCTGAAGTGCTGGGGTTAGGGCTTTAGCATAGGAATTGGGGTAGGGGGCGGGAGGCACAGTTCAGCCCCTAGCACCCCTCTTTAAGTTTACAATCTGAGGAGTTTTTACAAATGCATACGCGACAGCCAAGATGCAGAGCAGATCATCGCCCCAAGGTAGTGCCCTCATGCCCCTGCAGACAGTCACCACCTCGCACCCCCACACCAGGTGAAAATGCCTGGTGGCCCCCTGTCGTGCAGGCTTAGTTTGTCTTCTCTGGAGTGTCAGGTAAGTGGGATCATGCCGTGTGTTCGTTTCATGGCTGGTGTTTTCCCTCCACAGAATGACCTTGAGGACTGTGACCGTTGCTGTGTGCATCTGTGCTGCTTCCCGTTTCATTGCTGAGTGGTGTTCCTGTAAATGGATATGCCACTGTCTGCTTCTTCACTCACCAGGTAAGGGACACACTGACAGTTCCAGGTCAGGCTCATGATGGGTAAAGCTTCCACTCACATCTGGGCACAGGTCTTTTATGGCCCTGCTTTTCATTTCTAGTTGGTTTCCCCACCTAGGTGTAAAATTGCTAGATTGCATGGGAGGTGGGTGTTTAGCTTCATAACTGCCTTGCAGGGTGATTCCCACACCCCCATCAGCCGTGTTTGAGGTCCTGATTGCTCCGACATTGATAGTTCAGTCCTTTTCACTTTAATTCTAAAGGGTGTGCACTGGCATCTCGTGGTTTAACTTGCACTTCCCTGGTGGCTGGTGAAGTTGAGCATCTTCCCATGTGTTTATTCGTCGTCACATTTCTTTTAACCATTTTTAATTGGGTTGTCATTTAGAAAATTGTGGTAAAAGATACATAACATACAATTTACCATCTTAATTTAATCAATTCAGTGACATTAAGTGCATTCATGTGTTGTGCAGTTGTCACCACCATCCTTCTCCAGAACTCTTTTTTGTCTTCCCAAACTGAACCCCTGTCCCCATTAAACACTAACTCCTCATTCTCCTCTCCCCTCAACTCCCAGCCCCAGGCACCCCGCCATTCTACCGACTGTCTCTATGAATGTGACTACCAGGATCAAGGAACTTCATACCAGTTGAACCATACAGTATTTGTCCTTTTGTGACTGGCTTATTTCACTGAACATAATAGCCTGAAGGTTTATCCATGTTGTATGATGTGTCAGAATTTCCTTCCTTTTTAAGGCTAAATAATATTCTATTGTGTGCAGAGATCAATTGTCTTTATCCATTCATCTGTTAATGAACACTTGGGTTGGTTCCACCTTTTGGTTATTATGAATAGTACTGTGATGAACATGAGTGCAAATATATCTGTTTGAATTCCTGTTTTCTTTTCTTTTTTTTGAGACAGGGTCTTGCTGTGGTACCCAGGTTGGAGTGCAGAGGCATGATCTTGGCTCACTGCAGCCGCCACCTCCCAGGAGTGATCCTCCCACCTCACCCTCCCAAATAGGTGGGACTACCAGCATGCACCGACACACCTAGCTAATTTTTGTTATTTTTTGTAGAGAGGGGGTTTTGTCATGTTGCCCAGGTTGGTCTTGAACTCCCGGGGTCAAATGATCCACCTGCCTTGGCCTCCTGAAGTACTAGGATTGCAGGCATGAGCCACCATGCCCAGACTAATTCCTGTTTTCAATTTTAGGTAGTCATTTGATTATTGAGTTGTAGAAATCTTACTTTTGGATTAATATATTAAAAACTATCACCAGTTAGCCATGTGTTAACTGCTTAGTTTTTCAACCAAACTTCAATCATCAGCCAGCCCTCACTTTCAGCCCAGATCGACGGGCTCAACGCTTGGTGATCGGTTAACTCCTTGTTTTTTAGCTAATGCTTTAATTAGCAATTACCATCTTTGTCTTCAGCTAAACATCATACTTCTCAATGCTTTGGTTATCAGCTAATGTCTTCTTTTTCAGCTAACACTTTAGTGGACATTAATACCCTTGTTAACGTATGTTACTTCAACCAGATTAGACCTGGCTGCATTGGGAAAGGAAAGTGGGGGGCTTGACAAGGAACGTGAAGACATTAAAGGCAAAACCTCTGAGTTAATGAAGGGAGTCCTCCAAGAGAGTTCTTTCCTTCACGAGCTGGAGCCTGGCTCTCCATGAAAGCTTTTTGAATGAATGAATGAATGGGTGAATGAGCGCATGAGTGGGTAGTGGGTGCAGGGCCACACTCCTTCTCCTGGGGATGGCAGAGCTTGCTCAGCCCCAGAGCCAGTGGCTTTCACTCTCACATCTTGCTGACAAATGATGCTACCCAGAAATGCTTGGAACGCAGTCATTTCAGTGGGGCATCTGAGGCCTGGGGACCATACTTTGGACCTTGGTATCCTCTGGCCCACGGACACCAGAGCAACAGCATCCTCTGCTGCACCCAGGCTGCCGCAGGGCTCTGATGGTGGCTCTGAATCTCCCCCTCCTGAGCCTTTTATTCCTGAGTTGGCCATGTGACCCCCGGTGGGGCATGTGACCTCTCTAGACCCATATCCGTGTGACCTGGCCCATGTGGGGCCCCCTGATCCCATCTCCTGCCTTTGCCCCATTAGCCTAGGGCACTCTCAGCTGGCTCCCACCTCAGGGCCTTTACACTGGCTCTTCCCTCTGCCTGAACCCTCTTCTCCCAGACGTTGGCTCCTTCCCTTCTTGGGGTCTCGGCCCAGAGGTCACCTCCTCAGAGATGGCTTTCCTGACTGCCCCCGGAGGCATGGGGTCAGCCCAGCTGGCTGTACCTTCATTCCCTGGGTGGTCTCAGTGCCTGAGGGGGCACCTGCTCACTGTCAGGCCCAGAGTCTCTGTCCTGAGTGTGTGGGGAGCACAGGAAACTGGGCTGCAGTGTTCGGGACCCTCCACCTGCTGGTTAAACCTGATAAGAAAACCATCTGCCATTTGCCGATGCCCTTAGAAGGATGGTATCTAAGCCAGATTTCACAGTTGGGGAAAAGGGCTCAGAGAGGGGAGTGGTTTCTCAGTGGCCACACAGCAGCTCGGGGTGGAGGTTGCACATCCACGCCCTGCTGGAACCCCCAGCTGCCTCTTCTGGCTCAGTCCCTGTCCCTCTGGCTTCCCTAAGATTGGCCCCTTTCTCTATAAAACTGGCCTCAGACTCCACAAAGTAAGGCAGCCAGTGGGTCACAGTGGGTCCACTCAGAGTGGCTGGCCCCTTTCTCTATAAAACTGGCCTCAGACTCCACAAAGTAAGGCAGCCAGCGGGTCTACTCAGAGTGGCTGGACCCTGGATTTCTATCACCTCTGTGTCTGAGTCCCATCTGCCTGTGAGTGCATGGGGCCTCTGTGTGGACTGGGAAGAGTGAAGTCAGGTGACCGACTCGCCCCGTTTGTCTGGGATGTTCTCATTCTGCACACTGCAAGTCTTGCCTCCTGGGAAACATCTCAGGACTGGGCAAATTGGTACTGCTGGTTGCACTCGAGGGAAGGGAGGGCCCGAGGGGAGGCCCAGCCCCTGCAAAGCCTGGGATGTGGGAATGGAAGTGTGTGAGCTGCAAATATGGCTGCCCTGGCTTGGGGAACCCCGCTGGGCTTGGGGAGCAGGAACGAGAGAAAGAGGAGGAACGTGATACCAGAGGCCCCAAATGCCAAGCACAAGATTTGGGCATAAGGCACCCATGTGACTTCTTGCTAGCTGCTCCTGGAGGAAGGAGCTGTTGGGAGAAGAAAACTAAGCCCCTGGGACTGGCTGTGGGCCCCTCTACCCTCTGTAACCCGCCCTGGAGACAGGAGATGGGGGCTGATCCTCTTGCCCCACCAGCCCCCTGGGCGTTCTGACACACTGGGTTCTTTCTTAGAGAAGAATTCAGTAACAAAACACTAAACAACACCCTGTGACTCAGCCCCTGCTTGAGGGACTTTGCAAGGGGTGGACAGAGAGAGAAGCTAGCCCCAGATAGCCGCTGCTCTGTCTGGGGTTCTGTAATTGGAAATGTTCTCCTGCCTGTCCCAAAGCCAGAGGCCGTGGGATCCTGGGGCCCAGACTGACCTTGGTCTGCTCCTCCCCAGAAGGGCTGTACATGCCTTTGGTTTAGGGGTGTTGGAGGCTGAATACAGTCAGGTTCTTGGCTTGGAGCCAGCTCGGCTACTAAAGGGCATCAGGAAAAGTCCCAACAACAGAAATGTTGACTGCATTCCCAGCCCGTTTTACAAACCAGCTCACAGAGGTTGAGACAGGGCACACAGTCTACCAGGTCTTCACCCTGTGGATACTCCAGCACCCAACCCAGAGCCAGCTGAGTCTGAGTTCGTGGAATGGAGGAGGCCGGAGGCAGCGTGTCAGCATCGTGGCGGTGCCTTCAGTGTACGTGGAATGGAGGAGGCCGGAGGCAGCGTGTCAACATTGCAGTGGTGCCTTCCATGCGCTCCGCTGCACCCGCTGCTCTTTCAGAGCTCCTCGGAGGGTTTCCTGAAGACAGTCCTGCTGCAAGTCTCTTGGTTCTCCCTGTGTGCTCCCCGGAGCAGCAGCAGCCTCCCCTGGAACTTGGCCCCTCCTCAGACCAGATGCTCTGGTGGGGGTATGCTCCTACTTCTGTGTGAACCCTCAGCCCTGCCCTGGGATTCTGAGGTTCACTCAAGGCTGAAAAGTCCTGCCCTAGTCCAATGCAAGAGAGGAAACTGAGGCCCAGGGAGGTCTCCCTCGCTCATGGCAGAGCCCAGAACCCAAACTGGTTGTCTTCTAGCTGCACCTTCCTCTTCCTCTGGGCTCCCCACCAAAAATAGGTGCTTTTCTTGGAATAGGATAACTTCTTTTGCCTTGAAAGTAACTTACTGATGTTTCTCCCCCCAGGACTGGGAAGTCCTTGAGAGTAGAAGGGACATCGGCTTCATCCCTGTCTTCTAAGGCCCCATCACCATGCCTGGCATGTGCTCATTAAATTAACGCCTTTTAAGAGCTCTCTTTTATACAGTTTACTTACTGGCTAACTTGCTCTTCTGCTCCCCCACCTCCACTCCTTGGCAACTTAACCCCCTCCATTCCTCTTGGGCATAGCCTGGACAGAGAGGGCAGTGTGAGCAGCTGTGCTCCATGGCTGATCAGGATAGCCCAGCACAAGGTCCCCAGCTCAGCCCAGTGTCTCCCCCTTTCTCAGGGTCTCTTCCCAATCCAGTGAGTTTTTTCCAGCTGAGACAGGTTGGCTAAGCTCAGCACGACACTATCCCCTGCAGTCCTCAGCTGCCTTACTCACATTCCCATGTCCCCTCCTCCCTTTCAGCAGTGTCTCTGCCTTTCTAGGATGTCTCAGCCCTTCCAACCGCCAGGCCCCTGGCTCTCAGATGCTCAGAATCACCACTGCTCTCTTTGCTTGGTGTCAGCCCATCTCTGCGCTCTTCCTTTCCCAATTGTCGGCACACTCTCCAGTGTTCTCACGCCCCTTCTCGTTCTAGGAGGGGGCTTTCCAACTCGGGACTCATCTGAATCAGGTGAGAAAAACTCCACAGCAGCAACGGGATTCAGAGGTGGGCTAGGTGGGTCCCACCCCTCCTCAGGGCCCAAGAAGTACAGGAGTGCACAGTAATCCCACGGGACAGGGCTCAGCACCACGTGATGTTTAAACACCTCATTCTAACCTGTGCCGGAGAAAGGAATTAGGCTGCAAGTGACCCCATGCCCAGGGCAGCTGCTAAACCGTTCAGCTCCCCTCCTTCCTCCCTCCCTGCCCCTGGCCTGGATACTGGTACCAGCCTCCCCCTGGGCTCCCGGCCTCCAGTCTTACCCCTCTCCAGTCTGTCCTTGGCACAGCTGTGACCATATCTCACCATTTATAACAACCCCTTTATAAAGCCAGTCTGAGTCCTCAGCCTGGCATTCAAGGCCCTTGACGGTCTGACCCCAACTAGACATCCCGGCTTCATCTCGCACCAGCACCGCCCATGCGACCTCGGACCCAGAGACACCGATCTCCAAACACAACTGGTCCTTCACACTTTGGGCCTCTGCACTGCTCTTTCGTCCCCTCCTCTGGGCCATTCATCCCATTAATGACTCATTCCACACTGACTACTAACCCACTGTGAGAGGCCCTGGATACTCTGAGATGGAAGAACAAAAATCTGTTCCCTGGTCTCATGACCCGTCCAGTCTGGGCTGGGGGACAGAAATGACTCAAAGGAGCACACAAATAAATGCACACGCTGGGACGGGGCTTCAGACGTGAGGGACACGACACTGGAGGGGTGACACGGGCTGAAAGATCCCGGTGGGCTCCCCAGGGGCGGTGTCTGAGTGGGAGTGAATCAGGAAGGAGGGCAGGAATAGAGTGTTCCAAGCAGAGGGAATAGCATGGCAAGGGCCCTAAGGCGGGTGGGAGCAGGGTGAGGCTGGCCGCACGCCTGGGCCAGGCTGGGCACTCAGAGCCTGCCATTTGTGTTTAATGCTCCTGGTTGCCGGCTTTAAATTTGTAATAACTTTATCTTTGATTTTGTGATGTTTTGGGGTTTGCTTTTTTTTGAGAAAGGGTCTCACTCTGTCACCCAGGCTGGGGTGCAGTGGCACAATCACGACTCACTGTAGCCTCTGCCTCCCAAGCTGAAACCCTCTTCTCACCTCAGTCTCCCAAGTAGCTGAGACCACAGGTGCACACCACCACACCAGGATCCTTTTTTCTTTTTTAGAAATGGGGTCACACTATATTGCCCAGGCTGATCTTGAACTCCTGGCCTTAAGCAATCCTCCTGCCTTGGCTTCCCAAAGTGCTGGGATTACAGATGTGAGCCACCAGGCCTGGCCTGAATTTGTGTCTGTGTGTGTGCGTGTGCATGTGTGTGTGTGTGTGTTTGAGATGGAGTCTTGCTCTGTCACCCAGGCTGGAGTGCAGTGGTGCAATCTTGGCTCACTATAACCTCCGCCTCCTGGGTTCAAGCGATTCTCCTGCCTCAGCTTCCTGGGTAGCTTGGACTACGGGCGCCCGCCAACACACCCTGCTAATTTTTTGTATTTTTAGTAGAAACGAGGTTTCATCGTGTTAGCCCAATGATCTCGATCTCCTGACCTCGTGATCTGCCCGCCTCGGTCTCCCAAAGTGCTGGGATTACAGGCGTGCGCCACCGCACCCAGCTGAATGTGTGTTTTGTAAGTGAAAGCCTGTGGGACAGTGGAGTGTGTGCCCAGGGGACTTGGAGCCTTGGCTTGCTCACATGGGCTCCTGCCTCCTGGCACCTCTCCAGGACATTAAAGGTCCCACCCATGACCTCATCCTCTGGCACCCCAGGCCCTACCCAATCACTGCTGCCGCCTTTCTCCAGGGGCCTGGGCGCTGGCACACAGAGGGTCAGGATCGGGTGTGTGTCTCAGGGAAGGGCAAGGCAGGAGCAGGCCTTGCTCCACACTGGCAGCACTGGAAACATTGGGTAGGCAGCTCCAGATGGCGGGGGGCAAGGCACCTAACACAAGAGACCTGCCCCAGCCGGGAAGTGTCGGTACCGTTGTGGGTTGCCTGTCTACCATGCATTGGAGTGGCATGCCCACGGGAAGGGGAGATGCCTGACTTGGTCTCCCCACTTGTCTGCGGCATGGCCTGCTGTTGGGTAGTTGGCAGGAGAGAAAACCTGAAAGCTGCTTCACACGTGCCCGATGAGTAGGGGAGCCTGAGTCCCAGGCCCCTGGGAGAGTCCCCCACGAGCATTCCTGCACTCAAGAGAATGTGACATTAAATTGTAAACACAAAACACCATGACAGGCCAAGAAAAAACACCACGATGGGTTGAGAAAAAACGACGCAAGAATAGAAGAGTTTCATATTTTAGACTTTTAATGACATTTCAAAACACAGCCTTTTGGCTGAATGCGGTGGCTCACACCTATAATCCCAGCACTTTGGGAAGCCGAGATGGGTGAATTGCTTGAGTCCAGGAGTTTGAGACCAGCCTGGGCAACATGGCGAAACTTCATCTCTACAAGAAATACCAAATTGTAGTGGCGCATACCTGTAGTCCCAGCTACTCAGGAAGCTGAGGAAGGATGATCGATTGAGCCCAGGAGGTTGAGGCTGCAGTGAACCATGATCGCGCTACTGCGCTTCAGCCTGGGAGACACAGCGAGATCCTGTCTCAGTAATAATAAGAAGAAATAAAATAAAACAGAGTCTTTCGAACAGGGCCCTAGATATTCATTCTATACGAGGCCCTGCAAATTAGGGAGTGGACCTGGGGCAGGACACATTCGAGGACTCTAGGCAGGCACTGTGACCGGACAGAGGAAAGCGGGCAGGGAGCAGGCTGCCGCCCACCAGGTCTGGAGGACTTGGCACATCCTCTCCCCAGGCTGCAGTGGTCAGAGTAATCAAATCCTCTTTCACAGGGAGAGGAAACAGGGCTCACGGAAAGAAAGGTCTCTTTCCTCTGAGCGGCCCAGACCCTGTTTGGCTGCAAGCCGGTTCACAGGATACAGCCTTTTCTGGGAGGGGGGTGGTCCTCACGCCCAGGGGTGCTCTTTGGGTACAGATCATGGTGGGGCGGTGGCAAAAGTGGGAGGGAGTGGCACAGATAGCCAGGGGTCTGGAGCCTGCCAATGCCCTAAGCCACCCACCAGCGTCCTGGCCCCAAATACCTGAACAGCCATTCTGAGCCTGCCCATCAGATAAAGGGTATTCTTACATCATGTCTCTCTCAGCCCCCAGCACTGATGGTGCCAGCTCTTAGCCAACCATAGGGGTGAGTTTCAAAACAGCAAGAACAGAAGTAGGAGGACGCTGGAGGGGCAGATATGTTTTTCCTCTGACTTTCCTAAACCTTCCCACAAAGCCCCTCGCTTCCCAGGGCCATGTTTTTGTGGTAAAGAGAGACCAAGGACCAGCATCTGCAGGCAGACATTCGATCTAGCCCTGGACTACAGGATCAAACTCAAGACACTCCGTTAAATTGGAATTTCAGATAAGCAAGCAGTTTTAAAATATATATATAAGTATGTCCCAAATATTGCATAGGACATGCTTATACTAAAAAATTATTTGTTCTCTATCTGAAATTCCAATGTAAGTGGACATCTTTCATTGTATTTGCTTAATTTTGCAACCTTACTTCTACCTAGCCTGTGACAGCTTCACCTCTCAACAGAAACTCCAAAACTATCTCCAGGGCCCCTGTGGTTCAAGCCCAGGCACACATTTTCAAGAAGCCCCAGATGAGAGTGACACATTTCCCCATTTGTGATCCAAGGTCCAGACAGCGGAAGGCTTTGCCTGAAGCCACACAGTGGGTATCTGACCTGGACACATGGGTGGTGCTTGGCACTTTCAAACGCCCCTCGGACCACCACTGGGTGAATTGGGTGTTGGTGGCTCCATTTTACAGAGAAGGAAACAGGTCCAGGAATGGGGAGGGTTTACCAGGGCTCACAAGAAGTCTAGCCCCCGTCTATAAGACTGACACTGACTAACACTAACCCTAGCCCTAACCGAAGGCTTCAGCCTCCCCAGTCACCACCCTCCCCCTGGCTTGATGGCTAACGATAGAAGGTTCTGGGAAATAGATGTGGTTTGAACCTCAGCACCTCCACTCACTGTCTGGGTGACCTGGGCCAGGTGCTTCCTTTCCTGGAACCTCAGTTTTATCATTTGTAAAATGGGGATGATGATGTGCCACCCTCCTAGAAGTAGTGGTGATGGAGTGAAGGAAATCTGTGAAGCCGATACCTTCTGCACATCCGGCCCTCAGTAGCTGCACCCAGCTCGTCCCAGCCACTCTCTGCCCACTCCCACCAGCCCTTTTCCCCTGTGCTGGCCCCAGAGGCCTCCCCTGATGTCAAGGCTGGGAGGTGGCTCGGGGGCCTAGAGGGAGAGACCACCACCACCCCCTCGAAAGACGTAGAGGCAGAGCAGACAGAACCGGGAGACTCAAGAGCCTGCAGAGCACCAGGCACAGTGGCTCACTCCAGCACTTTGTGGGGCTGAGGCGGGAGGATTGCCTGAAGCCAGGAGTTCGAGATGCAGTGAGCTGTAATCACACCGCATTGCATGCACTCCAGCTGGGGCAACAAAGTGAAACTCTGTCTCTAAAAACAAACAACAAAAAAACCCAAACCAAGGGTCCGCAGAGCCCATCTCATCTCTCACCTTCGCCCACCTCTCCTGTGCCTCTGGTGGCTCTGCCTCCAGGCCTCTGCGTGTGTCCCCTCTGCTCGTTATGCCCCTCTGCTGCCCATCACCAGGCTGGCTCAGAGTCTCCCACGGGCTGGAAGCCCACTGCCCCCTGGCTTCCCTAGGCTGCCCATATCTAGTGTAACAACAAGGAGAGTGACAATAGCTCACGCTCATCTAGTCCTTGGTAGTCACCATGCACTTCTAAGCACTTTGTGTATGTGGAGTCATTTAACTTTCACACCAGCCGTATAACATAGACTCCATTTTCACCTCCACATCACGGAGAGGGCAGCAGCTTCCCCAAGGTCATGCAGCTGGTCAGTGGCAGAGCCCGGGCCTGAACCCAAGCAGCACAGCTGCAGTCGGTCTGTGTTCCCAAGTCATGGCTCTGCTACTTCCCCAGCACCTCATACAGACCCAGCATGTAGTAGGTGTTCAATAAATCATTGTCAAATGGATGACAAGAAGTATCCTATCAGATTACACTTTGCTTTTTCTGGGTCTATGTTCCTGATAAAATCTTTACTCTTTGAAGGCCAGGACAAGCTGGTATTTGTCTCATGACCAGCACAGAGCCTGGTACACAGTAGGTGCTCAATAAATGCTTGGGGAATAAACAAAAGAATGAATGAACCAGAGGAGGTGGTTTAGAGGCCTAAAAAGATAAACAGCGAGGAAGGTGGCCCATAATTTCCCCTGCAAATGAAGCAGCAGTGAGTTGAACGTGGACACTAAGTCCATTCTGACAACCTTTGTTATGTGCTTGAGACGACTGGCCATGCAGGGTGACAAGGGGCACGCTGCCCAGGTGAGGAGGCAGCTGAGCTCCTGGAAGGCCCCCAGAGAGTGTCCTCTCCAGCATGCTTCCTGCTGGGTCACTTACTCAGATTTAAAAAAAAAATGTATTGAAATATAATCATATGCCAAAAAATTAAACCATTTAAAATGTACAGTAAAGTGGGTTTTTTTAGTTTATTTATAGAGTTGCATAACCATCAGCACTATCTAATCTTAGAACATTTTCATCACCCCAAAAGAAACTCTCTACCCATTAGCAGCTCCTCCCCATCTCTACCTCCTGACCCCCATGCCCTGGCAACCACAAATCTACTTTTGTCTCTATGGATTTGCCTATCCTGGACGCTTCATATAAATGCAATAGTACATGATGGGGTCGTTTGTGTCTGGCTTCTTTCACCTGCCTAATGTTTTCAAGGCTCATCCATGTTGTGGCTTGTGTCAGTACTTTATTCCTTTTTATGGCTGCATAATATTCCACTGTACGGATACACCACATTTTATTTATCCATTTATCAATTCATGGTCACTTTTTCTCAATTCTTGGCCATTATGCATAATGTTGCTATAAATATCGGTGTACAGGTTTTTGTGTGAAAAGATGTTTTCCTTTCTCTTGGGTGTATACCTAGGAGTGGAGTTGATGAATCCTATAGGAACTCTACGCTTAGCATTTTGCTCCTTCTTAGTTTGGAGGAGGTCAGGAACTATTTAACGGTAATCTTTCTTGAACAATTTAAAAATACATTCCAACAGCCAAGCCATCCTGTAGCATCTGCAAAGCTTGGGCTGAGCTCCAAATAGAGGGTTCTTGAAGGGACTAGGCACGTCTCAGTGAGTTCAAATCCTGCTTTGCCATTTGCTGTGTGACTTTGCTCAAGTGTCTCCACCTCTCAGGATCACAGCGTCCTCAGCTATGAAAGGGAGGTATTAACATCCAACTCGAAGGGATTTTGTGAGGATTAAATGTGATATCTGAAGCCTGCCCGGCATGCTGTAGGGGCTCAGTACAAGATGTAGATGTCAGTGCAGCAAACACATGTTTATTCCTGCCCTGTGCTGGCTGCTGTCATCTCACAGCTGGGAAGACTGAAGACCAGGAAGGATTGGGATTTTCCCAGAATCAGGGAAGTGAGTTCAAGTACGGGGGACCCTTCCTGTCCCTTAGACACATTCGAGACAACGGAGGGGTCAGGTCAGAGCACCCCCAAGTCATGCTGAAGTTCTCACTTTGACCCCTTCTCTTCCCGCCAATTGAAATCATCAGCTGTGCCTTGGGAGGAGGAGTCTTCCCCTCTCTGTGCTTCGGTTTCCTCGACTGTAAAATGTACTTCCCTCAAATGGTGGCTGTGACGATTAAGTGAGATAATGTGTGTAAGATTAAGCTCTAGAGGCTAGTATGTATGAAGTGTCCAGCACATAGGAGCTGTTGCTTCCAGCTATCAAGAGGGATGCAGAGGCAACAGTGAGAACTAAAACAGCAATCCAAAACCAGGCACACCCATCACAGTGGCTGCGAGGAGAAACACAGACAAATGGCAAGTTGGTGAAGAGGTGGAGCGACTGGAACTCTTACGTGCAGCTGGCAGGAGTATCAGACGGTATAGGCACGTTGGAAAACTTGGGCAGAACCTACCAAAGCTCAACATACACATATGCTGTGACCCAGCAATACCACCCCTAGCCGTTTACCGAACAGAAGCGTGTGCTTATGATCACCGAAGGACTTGTTCCAGAATGTGCAGCCCTGTTTGTAATAGCGCCAAGCTGGAAACAACCCACACATCTAACAACAGGAGACTGGGCAAATGGCCTGGGGTAGTTTTCTACAAGGGAATATGTGACAGCATGAGAGCGAACGAACCAGAGCAAACCAGACACAACCACCTGGGTGAATCTCACAGATGTGCAGTTGAGCAACAGCAGCCAAGCACCAAGGGGTACATGGTGCAGGATGCCATTTGTATAGAGCACAGGACAGCTACTTCTGCTTTCTGGAGTCAGAGTCAGGGGAGTGACCCCCTTGGGGGAAGGAGCATGTGGGGGCTTCCACAATGCCCGTTATATTCTGCTTCTCATTCTGGGTGACACGGGTGTGCTCAGGTTGTGAAAATGCATAAAGCTCTACATGCGTCATTTGTGCTTTTTTCTGCATGAATGTTTTACTTTGAAAAGTTTACTGAGAAATACAAGCTTATGCATTTTGCAAGAATGCGTGCAAAAGGGCAGGCATTCCACCCTGTAGACTGGTCACCTGTGCTGGCCAAGTTCGTCACCTGCATTGGCAAACAGGAAAAGAGAAGAGTAAATAAGGAAATTGGCATGGAGGGTGGTGCTTGCCTGGGCCAATGAGGATCATGTGCCTGGCACATGGCGGGGATGGGGGTGTAATTCAGTACTCAGCACTGAGGCTCAAAGGGAAAAAAATTTCTGCCCTAGGGATGGGGCTCTAGTGTGACTGATCGTTACAAGATTTAAAAAGAAAAAAGAAAAATGTAAATGCTTCTATGCCGAGGCCACACTTTCTTGCTCAACACCCCTCCTTCTGGCTTGCAGGTGTTTCCACTACTCTGCAGTTCCCAGTGTTGGGGACAGTGGACAAGTCTGGTGTTACCATGGTAACCACAGTCAATCTAATCCTAACTGCTTACCAGCACTCCTTTGTGCCAGGCACAGTACTAGACCCTTTGCACATATATTGTTTCATTTGTTCCCTCAGGTAAAAGACAGGTGGGTAATTAATCTAGCCGTGGTAAAAATAACTTGCATTTGGAGATTGACAACCTGTGCCCGAACTTGACCCTGGACAGCTGCACAGCTGTGCAAAGGTGGACACGTTCCTGGGTAGTAGCCTTCTATTTCTTGTCTGTAAACAGGGACGGTGACAATCTTGGCTGCTCAGTGCTGCCCCGAGGACTGGCCAGGCCAGGCATGCACAGTGCTCAGTGGGGTGAACCTGAGGCCCCTGTTGTTATTAGTAGGGCTGTGGTTTTGTCATTATTCCTGTTGTGAAGATGGAGAAACTGAGGCTCACAAGAGGCATTCATCTGTCCAAGCTGCCTTGGAGTGGCTGAGCTGGGGTTGAAGGCAATCATGCCAGCTTCCAACACCTCATCTTAACCCACTTGGCCAGGCTTTCCCCTCCAGGACCCCAGAGGACACACACATGCTAGACACCCACATATGGCAGGTGGGACAAGTAAGTGAAGGCCTGGCCTTAGCTATTTCCTTGGCTCTGTCTCAGGCCTGAGGCAACTGGTTCCCCTCGCCTATGGCAGGCTCTCGCAGCTCCTTCCTTGAAACTCTGGGGTGGGGGTGGGGTTCTACAGGCCTAGGATTTTTTCCTGGGGTGGGAGATGTGCCAGGCCCTGCTCTGCATGCCCTCATCCATCCCAATGACCCAGACCCTGTCTCAGCCTTGCCATTTGCTGTGGCAAGACACTCTAGCCCACTTACCGTGTCTCTCTGGGCCTCAGTGTCCTTTTCTTTAATATAAGGTTGAGCACCACACTGAAGGGTGCTGGTCTTTCAAAGTCCCTTTGGTTTCCTCTTCTGTCCCAAGAATCTTCCTCAGAGCTGAATTTGGAATTCAGCCTGCCCCAGGAGCCCAGAATGCCCCGGCCAACTTTCTGAAGATGGGGCTGGGGTTTTCATTTTAGAGAGGAGGCTACTCGCAGGAGTGGCTCCTGTGTTTCTTCCTGCAAGAAGTGCTTATGAGCATCTCCTGAGTCGGATGCAGAGATGAATAAGAGGGAGCCGTGGCCCAGATGGCTGCACCATATGAAGTGGAGGAGAACGGAGGCTTCCAGCCGCCATCAGACAGACAGACAGATGTACCCACTGCACCCAGCCCTGGGCTTGGCTCGCCTGCACTCTCTTCCCCAGTCTTACCAGGGGAGACATTGGGTAGAAGCCTTGTAATTGGAGGGAAGAGGATGTGACTGGAGACCTTGACACTGCAGGGAGACGATGCTCGCTGAGCTTTCCAAGCCTGGGATCTTTGTTCAAAGGAGATGGAGCAAAAATTATGCTAATAGAAGTAACATCAATTTTTCCAACGAGCCAGCAGTAGTACAAGTGGCTGTTGAGTGTGCATGCCTGTGTGCATGTGCATGTGTGTCTCTGTGTACGTGTGTGTGTTTGTGTGTCTGTGCGTGTGTGTGTGTGCGTGCGTGTGTGTGTGTGTGTTGAGAGATAAAGGAAGAAAACTCATCCTCATGAAGGAGATCTTTCCTTTCCTTTTAGACCTTTTGGGTTTAAAATGGCAGCATAGCCCAGTGGTCAAGGGCATAGCTTGGTGCCAGCTGTGTCCTCTCAGTGAGTCCTCAACTTCCTCGTTGCTTCAGCTGGAAGGTGGGGACACTGATGGCACTCACCTTGTTGGGTCGTCAGGGGACCCAGTGGATGGACACAGGGAAGGTGTTCCTTACAGTGCCTGGCTCCTGGGGGGGCAGCCTGAGGGTTTGCTGTTACGAATGTTAGGATTTTAGGGCAAAGGTCTCCAAACTTGAGGGAGCATATGGCCTCATGGTTGAATACTTATTTGGAAAGTACAGATGTGATTACTGAGCTAGTATCTTATGTACATTATAAAACAAACACAAAATAGAAACTAAAAGGTTCACAAATGTGTAATCTTTTCTTTACCCACCCAGTGACTGCTGCCCGGAGCTCACACTCTGGGCAGAGGGGGCTGGGCTGGGTGCCCCCATCCTGTGGGGTACCTGGCCGAAGTAACTGCAGAGCCCTCTGGGAAGTGAGGGATTAAACCTCCCCCAGGGTATTGGTGGGGAATGCAAGGCAGGCATTTGTATTTTAACATTTAATCCATGTGTCAAGGTCTGTTCTAACCACCTCACAACAGTAACTCATTTCATCCTTAACAAGGAGTGTTTCTGTGTTAGCTCTGTTTTAGCAGAGGGGAAACTGAGGCGCAGAGCAGTGAAGTAACTTGCCCAAGGTCACACAGCTGGGAAGGAACAAAGCCAGGCCTGGTTCCAGAGTGCATCTACCCACGGACAGGGCCTAGAGGAAAGCCCGTGAGACTGACACCCCTGACTTCCCCAAGGGCACGCTGCAATAGATGCCCTGACAACAATGTGATCACCGCCCCTGTTTACAGATGCAGAGGCCAAAGTTCAGCAAGCCGAGGGACCTGCCTTGGGTCTCCCAGCTGGTAAGTGGTGGAGCTGGGATTCGAACCCAGGTCCAACAGACTCCTCAGTCCATTGTCTTCACCACCAGCCGAGCTGCCTCCAGGAGAGCCCTGTTGTGGGAAGAGCACTGGGCAGGGAGTCCTGAGACCTGAGTTCTAGTGCTGACTTTGCCATTGGTTCATTGTATTATCTCAAGCAATCCCCAGAGAGGGCCTCAGTTTCCCCTGGGTAACATGGGGCAAAAGTTGAACTCATTGGTCACTTCCAGCCTTTCAGCCCTGATGTTCCCCAGTGCATGGTAGGGGCAAGGGGCACCACCAGAGTCCAGGAGAGAGAGGCTAGTTGGGTTTAGGAGACCAGGAGGGCTTCCTGGAGGAGGTGAGACTTCAACTAACCTCGAGGAGGGGCTCCCATGGACACATTCTACATGGTCTGAGTGGTCAGCCCATTTTACAGAGTGAAAAGCAACCTGCCTGAGGCCACACAGTGAGCACATGGTAGTCTCTGGATTTGCACCTAGGACTGTCAGAGCCCTACTCTTCAGCACAGTGGACTGAAGGAGAGGAGGTGACCCCCACCCCAGGAGCCTTAAGACATAGAACACCAACCATTAAGGCATCAAGCAGAGTGTGCCTGGCACAAAGTAGGTGCTCAATAAATGTCTAAGGGAGGAAAGAAGGAAGGAAAGGAAAGGGCTCATGGCAGATTCCGGCCTGGCAGGCTTCCCACCCACTGGCACCACCAAGCAGCTAGGCCCAGCTGGGCCCCTGTGGGGACAGAAACCTACAATATTTTGGGGCAGATTCAGATGCCACTGCGCAGAGCCTAATTAGACTAATTAGAGCAATGTTTTCTGCTCTGCTGGCTGCTCAGCCCCTTGGTGTGTACAGCCCTGGCACAGGAGAGGTCACTACCTTCCCAAGGTGAGGGCAGGGCCCTGCTAGGCCCTGTGGAGCCCCTGGAATTCCGAGCTTCAACCCAAGCTGGTCCCCAAGGCAGCTGATACATCTGGGCCAAATCGTCCCATGTGCCCTGGCTGGTGCCCACAGCAGAAGTGACCAGCCGGGGGTCAAGTGGGTCATGTAACTCAGGGCCCCCCTAGTGCAGCAGGGAGAGGAGCATACAGGCCACCCTGGGCCCCATCCCCACAGCATCCTTGACCTCCTTGGTTTGCACACCCCCTGAGACTGGAGGCTTGCTACCTCTCAGGCTGGCCTTGGCATTGCCCTCCTGGGCTGCAGAACAGGTCTGAGTGGGCTGCCTTGGCGCAGTATGGAGGCGCACCACACAGCTGGTGAAGCCCAGGCTTAGGAGTAAGACAGACCTGGGGGCAAGGACTCAACCTCTCCCTTCTTTAGTTTCCTGATTTATAAAATGAGGAGAGTCCTGGTGCAGTGGCTCACGCCTGTCATCCCAACAGTTTGGGAGGCTGATGTGGGAGGATTACTTGAGCCCTAGAGTTTAAGACAAGCCTGGGTAACACAGTGGGACATGACCTCTACAAAAAATAAATTAAAACAAAATTGGCTGGGCGTGGTAGTGCACACCTATAGTCCTAGCTACTGTGGAGGCTAAAGTGGGAGGATTGCTTGAGCCTGGGATGTCGAGGCTGCAGTAAGCTGTGATCACACCACTGCATTCCAGTCTGGGCGACAGAGCAAGGCCCTAACTCAAAAAATAAAATAAAATAAAAGGTGGAAAAAAATAGCGCATTTCTCAAAGGATGGCTGTGAGAATTAAACGGGTTAATATATGCAAAGCACTGAGGATACTGCCAGGCACAGAGTAAGCACAGTCATACAATTACAATGACATTTTAGTCAATGGCCGACCGTGTACGTGATGGCGGTCCCACAATATTTTAATGAAGCTGAAAAATCCCTATCGCGTAGTGGTGTCTTGATGATCCCGAGCCTATGTAGGCCTGGGCTAATGTGTGCGTTCGTGACTTCGTTTTTAACAAAAAAGTTTACAAAGTAAAAAAAAAAAAATTAAAAGTTTTAAAATAGGAAATAGCTTATAGAATAAGGATATAAAGAAATAAAATATTTTTGTACAGCCGCACAAGGTGTTTTAAGCTAAGTGTTATTAGAAAGGACTCAAAAAGTTTAAAAAGTTTAAAAGTTTATAAAGTAAAAAAGTGACAGTAAACTAAAGTGAATTTAGAGTAGCCCAAGTTTCCAGTGTTTCTGAAGTCTGCAGTGGTGCAGTCATGCCCTACACCTTCACGTGCACTCACCACTCACTCGCTGACCCACCCAGGGCAACGTCCAGTCCTGCAAGCTCCATTCATGGTAAGGGCCCTGTACAGGGGAACCACTTTTTATCTTTCACACCGTATTTTCACTGTTTCTTTTTTATGTTTGGATATGTTCAGGTCCACAAATACTTCTCACTGTGTTCCAACTGCCTGCAGTGTTCCGTACAGTCATACGCTGTACAGGTGGGTAGCCTAGGAGCAGCAGGCCATCCCATGCAGCCTAGGTGTATAGTGGGCTGTGCCACGTGGGTGTGTAAGGACACTCTCTGTTGTCTGCACGACAAGGAGATTGCCTAAGGACACATTTCTTAAAACGCTCCCCATCACTCGACACAGGATAGTGCTGACTTCTTCTGCCCTCCTGTGTGTGTGGAGTGGGGCGTGGTGTTTGTCCTCCCTCCACACTGACACTTCCCGAGGCCCACAGCTAAGAGGGCAGAGCTGGGATTCTGACTCTGCATCCAGTGCTCATCTGCCCTTAAGTCCTTTCTTATAAATAAAAAAAACCCCAGCAGAGTTTGCTCTAACCTCTAGCTTTATCCGGGGGAGAAAATTAAAATAGTTCACAACTGGCAGGACAAAGCAACCCACTGGCATGGATGCCAGCAGCAAACAGCCAAGCTGGATGTTGCAGGGCACCCAACGGCATCCCTGCTCCCAAGTGACATTTCCTGCCTTGGACTGCAGTTCTCTGTGGATGTCTCTGTCTCCTCTTCTAGGTCTTGGGCTCCTTGAGGCCTGGGCCACAGTCCTCCATTATGTCACCGCGCCATGGCCTGGCGCACAGGGTCCGGCACATAGTAGGTGCTTCACAGGCAGGCATTCATTCCAAGGCTACTACACGCTGGGCCCTACGCTAGGGACGGGGGATGTGGTGGTCAGTTCCAGGTCCCTGCCCCTTGGGAACCTCGTACCGTGGTAGGGAAGGTAGTCAGTGACAAGCACACAAATGCAGGAGGTCCCTGCAGGGCGTGGAGTGCCAAGAGTGAGATGCACAGGGAGCTGTGCGGAGAGCCGCTGGAGTAGTGATTTGCTATTTTAGGAAGGAATTAGGGGAGGCCTTCCTGGGGAGGTGACATTCATGTCAGACAGATCTGGGGGCTAAGAAGGAAGCAGCCAGGGGAGGGGTGAAGGAAGAGGTGATGCAGGCAGAGGAGACTGATGTGCAAACACCCCCAGGTGAGACTGAGTGTGGGGCGTTGATGGCTTGTAGGGGAGCCAGGGAGGGGCGGGTGGCAAAGATGCAAATGATGAGCCCCGGTCAAGGGTATGGGGATGATGAGAATCAATGGACAGGTCAAGCAAGAGAGTGACATCATCTCATTTATGTTTTGAAAGAATCCATCTGGGCTGGGCGTGGTGGCTCACGCCTGTAATCCATGCATTTTGGGAGGCCAAGGCGGGAAGATCACTTGAAGCCAGGAGTCTGAGACAAGCCTGGGCAACATAGTGAGACCCCATCTGTACTAAAAATAAAAAAACTTAGCCAGGGGTGGTGGTGCGTGCCTCCAGTCCCAGCTGCTTGGAAGGCTGACGGGGGAGGATTGCTTGAGCCCAGGTGGTGGAGGCTGCAGTGAGCTGTGATCACATCACTGCACTTTAGCCCAGGCAACAGAGTGAGAATCTGTCTCAGAAAAAAAAAAGAAAAGTAAAAAAGAAAAAAGATAGAAGAATCCCTCTGGCTGCTGAGAGAAGAATGAGTCGCAGAGAGCTGGAGGGGATGCATGGATGAATGAGGAACGATTCCTCCAGCAGCTTGGAGTGAGTAGCTTTTACTTCACAGCACACTAGAGTAATTACCCTCATTACCCTTGTTCCTCTGAGTCAGCAGGACTTCTGGAAACCTGAGCTTTCTCAACAACAAAGCAGAAGGAAGAACAATGAACTCACGCTGGTACAGAACGGAACAATAGCTGGTGGTGCGCATAGGCACCTGTGTTGTGGAGAGTCAGGTCACTTGCCAAAGCTCCAATAGGCTCCAAGAGCTACACATTGAACTGAGTTAAATTTTAACAGAAGAAATCTAAAAGGAATAGTTTGGGCTTGTCCCACAAATATACACGGTCCATACTGTGTTTTATTTATTTATTTAAGAGACGAGGTTTCCCTGTGTTGCCCAGGCTGGTCTCCAACAACTGGGCTCAAGCGATCCTCCTGCCTGAGCCTCCTGAGTAGCTGAGACTACAGGTGTGAACCACCACACCCGGCCGTACTGTGTTTTAAACAAATCTGAAATCTTTGCTGACATTTCAAAAGAAGACTTTCTGTAAAAATCTAGATATCTAGCTTCCTTGGAAAACGCCAGAGCTTTGGCAGCCCAAGGTCTGCATTCCCTCCTGGCCACAGTCAGGGAGCGGAGCTAAGTCTGCCTCTTTCAGATGTTTGCTGCAGTCCCCACCAGTCCTTACTGTCCTCCCAGTCTAGTCACTGGTTACATTAATGGTGCCCAGGGCATTTGAGTTTGTGATCCCTATTTTTGTTTTCAAACATAGAAAATTCTGATAATGCCAAGGTTTGGTGATGATGTGCAGCAGCTGGAATTTTCATCCTCTACTGTGGCAGTCTAAATTGGGGTGGCCATTTTGGAAACTACCCAGTAATTTCTAGTAAACTTGGAATTATTTAGTAAATTAGAGACATGTTTAACATGACCCAGCAAGTCCTGTCCTGCCTTTTTACCCTAGAGGAACTCATACCCACACCCACCAGAAGACATGCACAAGCACAATTTGCTATAACCTAGAGTAACCCAATGGCCATCAGCAGAAGAATGATAAATAGCTCTACGTTGGAATAGTATACAGCAATGAAAATGAATGAGTTATAGCTATGTGAATGAACAAATGAATGAATGGATGAATAAATGATGGAGACACAATGTGAGTGAAAAAAGCAGGTCTCAGAAGAATACAAACAGAATGAGTCCATTCCTATAGAGTGTCCAGACAGGCATACAAAACAATATGCTATGTAGGGAATAGACTAGAGGTAGTACAATTAAAAAGAAAATCAGAGGAATAACGAACGTAAAATCCCAGCTAGTGATTACCTCTGAGAAAGGGAGAAGGATGCATAGTAGTAATGTTCTATTTTATAAGCTGGTGGTAGAAGTTCACAGTTTGCAATATTATTATTATTTTAAATTATTATTAATATTAGTTGTTTTAGAATTTTTTTTTTCTTAAGATATATTTTGGCCAGGCATGGTGGCTCACACCTATAATCCCAGCACTTTGGGAGGCTGAGGCAAGAGGATTGCTTGAGCCCAGAAGTTCAAGACCAGCCTGGGCAACATAGTGAGACCCTGTCTCTACAAAAAAATTAAAAATTAGCCAGGTATGGTGGCTCACACCTGTAGGACCAGAGGCTTGGGAGGGTGAGGTGGGAAGATCGTTTGAGCCTGGGAGGTCAAGGCTGCAGTGTGCCATGATAGTGCCACTTGCATTTCAGCCTTGGTGACAGAGCAAGACCCTGTCTCAAAAAAAAAAATAAATAAATAAAAGATATTTTGCTGAAGACAAATATAACTAGGGCAGCATAAATTGTATACATCTTAAGTGTTCACTTCAATGAGTTTTTTACACTTGTAGTTGCCCTTGATATTATCACTTGAGCAAGATTTGAGAGATTTCCCACACCCCAGAAACTTCCCTTGTTTTCATTTGCAATCACCTTCAGCCCCCAGAAACTTGTGCATTGATTTCTTTCTTTCTTTCTTTCTTTTTTGATACAGAGTCTCACTCTGTCGCCCAGGCTGGAGTGCAGTGGCACCATCTCAGATCACTGCAACCTTCACCTCCTGGGTTCTACCAATTCTCCCACCTCAGTCTCCCGAGTAGCCAGGACTACAGGCGTACATGCCACCATGACCAGCTAATTTTGTATTTTTAGTAGAGACGGGGTTTCACCATGTTGGCCAGGCTGATCTCGAACTCCTGACCTCAAGTTGATTCACCCACCTCGGCCTCCCAAAGTGCTGGGATTACAGGGATTACAGGCATGAGCCACAACACCCCACCTTGTGTGTTGATATCTTTCAGCGCAGCTCAACTTTGCCTGTCCCAGAGCTTCACGTAAATGGACTTGTACAGGATGTTCTCTCTGGGGTCTGGCATCTTTCCCTCAGTGTGCTGTTTTGGAAATGTATCCAGGTTATTGTGTCTATCAGTAGTTCATTTCTTTTTATTACTGAGTAGTATTCCATAGTACGGATGCTCCACAGTTTTATTTATCCACATCCCTGGTGATAGAAATTTGGGTTGTTTCCAGTTTGGGGCTCATATGTGTGTGACAGCTGTCACACATATTTGCATATGAGTCTTTGTGGAGACATGTTTTCATCTCTCCTGGGTAAAGAAGCTGGGAGTGGAATGATTGAGTTATTCAGTAGATGTCTGCTTAATTTAAGGTATCTTAAAAATCCCATTAGCTGCCTGACTTTATAGGAAACTTGCCGATGTTTTCCCAAATATCTGCACAGTTCACACATCCTCCAGCAGAGTCAGAGCCCCAGCCGCTCCTCATCCTCATGGCACTTGGTGTTGTAAGTTTTACAAAAAAAATGCAGCCATTCTGGTAGGTGTAAAATGGCATCTGGTTATAATTATAATTTTAACATTTTGTGTTTCCTTGGTGCTGAGCATCGTTCTATGTGCTTATCAGCCAGATACCTTCTTTTGTATCTGTTCAAGTCTTCTGCCATGTTTCACAATTGGATTATTCATCTTTTCTTTTTTTTTTTTTTTATTTTTATGACGGAGTCTCGCTCTGTCACATAGGCTGGAGTACAGTGACGCTGTCTCGGCTCACTACAACCTCCGGCTCCTGGGTTCAAGTGATTCTCCTGCCTCAGCCTCCCGAGTAGCTAGGACTACAAGTGGGCACTACCAGGCTCAGCTAATTTTTGTATTTTTAGTGGAGACGGGGTTTCACCATGTTGGCCAGGGTGGTCTTGAACTCCTGACCTCAAGTGGTCTGCCCGCCTCGGCCTCCCCAAGTGCTGGGATTACAGGCGTGAGCCACCGAGCCTGGCCAGGATTATTCATCTTGTTACTGTTCATTTGTAGTTATTTATATGTTCTCAAATAAACCCTTTGTGACACACACACACACACACACACACACACACACACACGCAGAGTCAATATTGTTTCCCAGTCTTTGGTTTGCCTATTAGTTTTGTTAATGCTGTCTTTTAATGAGCAGAAAATTTGAACTTGGATGAAATCCAACTTATCCATTTTTTTTCTTTTAAAGTTAGTGCTTTTTGTGTCCTGACCAAGAAACCCTTGCCTCTCTAATGTTGCAAAAATATTAATGTGTTTCCTTTATAAGCTTGGCTTTGCTTTTTACATTTAGATCCATTTCAAATTGATTTTTGAATCAATTGCAGCAGTTGACATATATATTTTTTTCTATATCTATGTCTCATTGTTTCAGCACCATTAGTTGAAAGTGCTTTCCTTGGCCAGGCATGTTGGTTCATGCCTGTATGAGCCAACAGCTCCCACTTCCTTTTGGGAGGCTGAGGTGGGAGGATCACTTGAGGCCAGGAGTTTGAGACCAGACTGGCAACATAACAGGACTCTGTCTCTACAAAAACAAAAAAATTAGCCAAGTGTGGTCGTATGCACCTGTGATCCCAGCAACTTGGGAGGCTGAGGCAGGAGGATTGCTTGAGCCCCAGCAGTTGAGGCTGCAGTGATCATGATTGTCTCAAAAAGGAAAAAAAGTGCTTTTATTACCCTATTGATTTGACTTAATTTGCTTTGACTTATTGTTTTAAAATTATTTTTTAGTGGTTATAATCTTCTGTTGTATTTATATTTCACATTTGAAAAAAGGCTGCCCTCTCAGTGCCACCTCTGTGCAGATATCATGCTCAGGGCTGGGGAGAGTGTGGTGTTATGACAGCCCCTCCCTGGCCCTGTGGAGCTGACAGTCCAGCAATGAGACTGAGATTGCTGAGTCAAATAATGAGGTGGATATGGTTTCTCCCTCATGGAGGAGAAATTAATGGAAACCAATTGCTAGACGTGTGCCGAGGGAGGCCTTCCCAGGGAATATGTTAATGTGAATAAGATCTGAAGGTCTTAATGGACCACAAGCTCGAGACCTTCCTCCTGTACATCTCAGACCCTCTCCTCTGTTCTGTCTTGTTTTGGGATCTTTGGCTCATCTTTGAGAAAGGGTCAGAGCAGACAGAGAAAAATCTAGAGGTGGCTACAGAGCAGGGAGAGGGCTGGAGGTCCTGTCCTATGAAGAGCGGGAGACAGGTAGCTCTGAGGTCCAAAGGGCAGAGCCAGGACATTCCCATCTTCTAGATAGGCATAGGCAGGCAGACCTCAGCTCTAAGCAGGGAAGTTTTACCTGGGCATGCACTGTTCAACATCTCTATAGGATTCCAAGGGAGAGAGAGGTTTGTCCTGAACCTCAAGTCCCCTCTTCATTATGGTGTATTATTTGAAGGCTTTCCGAGGCTTCCAGTCCTCCACACCAAGTTCCTCTGACAATAATGGCCACCTTTGCCCTTGAGCTCTGTGGCCACTAGTCAAGGCCCTCAGATAGGGACCTGGCCCTTCCAGGCTATTTACTGGAAGGACGCTTTGGTTCCCCTTCACGCCCAGCAGCAGAGTGGGAGGACCCAAGAAAGCTCTGCGGAATGCGCCGCCAGCCCCTTGGCTCTGTCTGGAATTTCACGGGGACATTTTGCAGTCACTAAACTTAGCACCAGTGCCTATGGCTTCTGGGTAGGCCCAGGCATGCCAGGGGCTAAGAATGAATCACAGAGTGAGTTGTCAGGAAAAAATGTGATGGGCTGGGCTCTGGGGACACGTTTTACTGTGGGCAGGGGGCACGGTCCTGAGAGGGAGTCTCTGGGACCCCTGGGACTCCTGGGATCTCTCCCATCCTGTTCTCCTTGGCCCAGAGATGCAGCCCTTACCCCAGAAAAGGGTCTATGCTCCATGCTTTTGGGGCTGGGGTGTCTGGTCTATCATGTATTCCACAAATATTTATTGAGGGCCTACTATGTGTCAGCCACCCTGCCAACCCCTGAAGATTCTGTGGGGAATTTGGCAGACGTCGTCTTGCCCTATGGAGTTTAGATTCTCCTGGGGAGGACAGATGGGTTCAGACCAAGGGGGCTACGGGAGCTGAGAGGTGGAGTCCCAGGCAGGGGAAATCGAGGGGAGATTCCTGGAGGAGGCGTCTAAATGGAGACCTGGAGGTGGAGGAAGAGCTCAGCTGGGGAAAGGAAGGAAGGGTGGTTCAAGCCCTTGAGGAACTAGGAGCGGTTCCCTGACACCCGGCCCAAATGCTTCCCACCCTACCATGATGCCATTTGGACTTTTCGCCTGTTTCCTGGAGACTACGTCACATGAGAGAAAGAGGCCACTCTTAGGGGTTGGGCAGACTTGGTCTGGAATCCAAGCTCCCACTTTCTGTGTGACCCACAGTAAGCCAGCCTGCCTCTCTGAGCGTCAGTTTCCTCTTCTGTACAATGGGGGTAATAACGGGTCCTCCTTCCAAGGGCCAGAGTGTACCTAAGTGAATGTGCTGGGCACAGTGTCTAATGCTCTGCAGATTGTCGGTAAAGGGAGCTCTTCCAACCTGGCCTGCAGTTCCCATCCTCCATCAGTCTGTGAGTGCTGCCCCTTCTCCAAAGCCCTACCCAGGGACTGGCCCAGGAAGGCAGTGATACATGCTGCTGGGGCCAGGAAGCTTTGTTTTTCATGTAGTCCCGGGGCTGTGGCTTGGGAAGAAACGCCAGCTACGTGGGGAGGGTTGCCCAAGTGCCTGGATTGAAACCCTCGTCCCCTCACCAGCCCCGCCTGCCTCCCGGGGGGACAAAGAGAAGGTCAGCCTCTCTTCTGTGGCCAGCAGCTGTCAGTGACAGGACCCAAGTGCTGCCCTTGGTTTCTTTCTTCTATGCGGATGTGGCCCTGGTGGCTGCCAGCCCTCAGATGGACAGGAACAGCTTTCCGCTGCCCTCACTCCAGGGACGCGTATGCACCACTGACCCACATCTGCCAACCAGTCCCACAAGATTATGCAGGCAAGGGCAGGGGTCTGGGAGCCCCATTCCTGTCCTGTCTGCCTGTTTCAGGAGCTTCTCCAGGCCTGGGGGGTGGGGGATAAACCCCACCCAATGCTTGACCTCTTCCTGGACTGCCAGCCTCAGGAAATCCTGCCTATAATTTGTCACACATTCCCTTGGGGCTGCTAAGCTTTTATTTTTAGGATTTATTGAGCACCTCCTGTGTGACCCAGGGTCATCTCATGAATTACTCTACCCCATAACCTGGGGGCAGGGTCATCCCCATGGTTTAAAGACAGGGGATCATGGTGCAGAGAAGTGAGGTGGCCGCCTGAGGTCACACAGCCAGGAGAGGGTAAGCTGGGAATGGAATCCAGCCTGCTGACTCCGAAGCTCACTGACGCCAGGAAAGGACTCTGAACTCAGCAAGGGAACCCCTACCTGTTACAGACGAGAAAGCTGAGCAGCAGGGGGAAACTGTCAGCAGCCATGGGTGGCAGAGCCCGAGTTTGAACCCGAGCCTGTAAACTGAGACCAAGGACTCTAAGGGGACAGAGCCAGGTTGCCTGCAGGGTCTAGCAGTGGATACGGGCCAGATCTTGGACTCTGGATAATCCAGTTCAAATTCCATCTTGCCCTAGCACCGTGCAGCACACACAGTGAACGTGCAGTAAACATGGTAGAGTGGATGAAAGCGAGGCGGGAGTGAGGACGACCTTGTGAGTGCCCTTGATCTGGGTGACCAGAATGACACACTAATGAGCCAGGCTGCCTGGAGCTCTCTTATCTTCATATTCAAATGGCACCCCCCCTCCCCACCAATTCCTCTGGCCATGGTTGATTGGGTTAAGGGTTGGCACCAACTGGGTCAATCACAGTCCACCCTCCCTGGCCATGGAAGAGTGGCCCAGGCATAGACAATCTAAACTGGGCCAATGAGTCTCAGCCCAGGAATGTTTTTTTTAAAACTTGGGACACAGAAGGTTGAGTTCAGAGCCTATAAAATACAAAACTCAGGGGCCAGAGGCAACTATGTTTCCATTTATGTAGCAGCAGTGACGGTGACAGCAATAGTCTCCATTAGGATGGCTTTCTCCTGCAAGTCAGAACAAATCTGTCCCTCAATGGCTTAATAACTAAAGTTATATTTTCCTCATGTGACAAGACATCTAGAGACAGGTGACCACAGGCATTGGTTCGGCCACTCAATGAGGTTAGAACTGGAATTTTGTGGTTTTCTTGCCTTTCTCTTATGGGTATAAGATGGCTGCCTCTGCTCCAGTCATTACATCTGCATTCAAGGAAGGATAAAAAGGGGAAGGGCTAGGCCAGTTGTGTTCGACATTTTTTTTATCAAGGATACAAAAACTTTCCCAGAACTCATAGCAGGTGTCTGCTTACATCTCATGGCTGAGATGGTGAGGCTGGGAAAGAGCATCCTGCTGAAGAAAATCAGGGATTTTATTTTATTTTATTTTATTTTATTTTATTTTATTTTATTTTATTTTATTTTATTTTATTTTATTTTATTTTATTTTAGACAGGGTCTGGCTCTGCAGCCCAGGCTAGAGTACAGTGGTGCAATCATACCTTACTGCAGCCTCAACCTCTTGGGCTCAAGTGATCCTCCTATATCAGCCTCCCAAGTAACTGGGACCACAAGCATGCCCCACCATACCTGGTTAATTTTTTCATTTTTTTGTAGAGGTAGGGTCTCGCTCTGTTGCCCAGGCTGGTTTCCAACTCCTGGGCTCAAGTGGTTCTCCTGCCTCGACCTCCCAAAGTATTGGGATTACAGGTGTGACCCACTGCAGGGCTCGGCCAGGGCTCTTTTAAATGAGAAGGGATGCTAGGTGGGCAACCACCTGCCTCTGTCCTGTGGCAGTCTTCAAGGAGTAGCGATAAGGGATGGGGAGAGGCTTGTGGTGACATCTGGGTGGCTGATTCTAGATTTTGGCCCAAACTTTCCCTTGGATTCTGTGATTCCTTAAACACTACTTTTGGGCTAAGGTGGTGTAAATGGGTTTCCACACTAGCTCAAGAACTGCTCTGGATGCCAGGCCCATTGGCCCCTTCTGAGGACGGTGGCTGCCTAGGAATCTGTGCCCATCAGGGGCCATGATTTGGGTCATGATCTGGTCACCATGCCAACAGTGGGTGGCCCAGTAACCTAGGACCCAGGACCTGGCAAAATGACAGTCTCCTCTCATGGAGGGAAATGCAATGGGGTAGCCCAGCCCCAGGCTTCCCAAAGACAAAGGAAGAGGTCTCCAAAATGTGCCAATGTGCTGGGTGGCAGACAGCAGCCACTACCCACTCTGGTGGAACAAGAACTGTGAGAGACTAAAAGGGCCTCTCCGGGGAATGCAGGAGATGGGGCCACGCTCAGTTCTGTGAGATCATGTCAATCTTGGTGCTCCAGGCAGAATTGGCTTCATATGGGGATAACAGACTATAGAATTTGATGACCTGGGTCCAAAGCCTAGCTCGTGCAGAGTTAGCTCTCTGAACTTCAGTTTCCCCACCTGTCAAATGCGGCCAATAATAGTTCCCATCTCTGTTGGAGATTTAATGAAATGTAGTAAAGCACTTGGCATACTGTCTAGAACATGGTAAGTGCTTAAGAAATAGCAGTAGTTTCAGTAGTTTTCTAAAAAATTGTTTTTGTTTTAGAGACGGGGTCTTGCTATGTTGCCCAGGCTGGACTCAAACTCTTGAGCTCAAGTGATCCTCCTGCCTCAGTCTTTCGAGTAATTGGGACTAGCGGTGGGTAATAAATAATAGTTTTAATATTATGATTATCATAGGCCCTCAGGAAACATTTGTTAAAAGGAAGTAAAAATAAATTAGGTCCCAACATTAGCCTTGTCACAGCTTGGGGTCACAAATATGGACATGGTAGGGTGTTGCTGGGCTGGGCAGGAAGCAGTTAGTATTCCCCAGCTCTCCTGGGTAGGCTCTGGCTGAGGGCAGCACGATGACTTCACAGGCAGATGTTCCCTGTCTCCTCTTTCGGATGAATGACGGGCAGCATTTGCCACCATAACATGCTTCTGGAGGAGCTGCTGGACTGCCCCACATGGCACAGGCCAAGAAAAGAGCCTCTTGACAGCTCTACTCCAGTATCTGAAATGCACCAAACAGCCCTCCAGAAAGACCTCCTCACATTCTCTGAGCAAAAGGCACCACTGCTCAATCAGAAACATGGACTCTGTCCGCGATGCCTCCTCTTTTCTCATTCCACTTCCAATCTATCCCAAGTCCCACGACTTTACCCCAAAGAGCTCTCTAGTCTGCACCCCTGTCTCTGATTCATCACCCAACATCCATCAGGTTGGCAGCTGTAACAAACAGTCCCAGGTCTCAGGGCTCAACACAAGGAAGGTTTGTCCTTTTCAGCACAGTCCAATGCAGTGAATGGTGAGTCTCTGCTCCATACAGTCATTCAGCAACCCAGGCTCCTTCCAGCCAGTGGCTTTGCCACCCCTCAGGCCTTGGAGTTCTGCATTGGACCCTCTGCAGGAGGCAAGCGGGAAAGAGAAACAGCCCAGAGGATTGTATGGGAGAGTTTCCTTGGCCAGGGCAGGAAGTTCCTTACATCACTTCTGCCCACATTCTATTGGCCGGAACTAAATCACATGGTCCTACCTCACTGCAGAGGAGCCTGGGAAATGTAGTCCAGCTGAGTGCCCAGGAGAAAAAGGAAGTAAGGCAAACACACAGCATTGTCTCTCCAGAAACATGCTTGTCCACATCCCCTTCATCTCTTGCCTGGTCTCCTTGAATTTGTTTCGGCTCTCTCCCGACTCTTCTCCAAAGAGCAGCCAGAAGGATGTTTTCCAAGACCAGAATCTGATCATAGCCTTTGTCTGCTTCAAACCCTCCCATGATTTCCCACTGCTAATAGGATACAGGCCAGCTTCCTTCCCAGCTAAGTTACGTGTGAACTGGCCACTGCTGACCCCTCCACACCCAGTTTTTCCCAGTTAAAAATCTCCCCGTTTTTCAGCTTGAGAACGTTGGTGATTTTCTTATTCAAGGTTTGCTCATTCAACAGAAATAATATATATGTATTTTTAATTAAGGTGTTCTAGGAGATCTTTTGAAGAGTTATGTAAATATAATATGAGAATGTGTTTGGGATTTTTTTTTTTTAGAAACTCAAGCCTTCTGAGTTTAGAAACTCAGGCCTTCTTTATTTCTAAAAGAAAAAAAATTTTTTTTTTTTCCCCTCAGACTAGGTAGGGTCAAATTGTGTCTCTGAAGTTCCACAGCAAACATTTGAACAATACATCTCCAGGCCTTGCTGTTCAAAGCCCCTTGCAATCAAATCTAATCTTAACCCAGCTTCCCAGCTGCAGGTGGTGATGTGTTGGTGAACTGGCTCTCTGGAGGGGGAAAAAAATGTTCTGACTTGTAGAGTCTGCCGATTTCCATGGTGCAAATACTTCCACAGTGGCAGATTTCAAGCTCCCAGGGTGACATTGTCAAATGCAGCATTGGAAGAGAGATGCACAGTTGGCTCTCATCAGCCAGTAGGACCAGCCCAGAGACTCTGACACTGAGATAATCTGGAAATTCCCATTATGCTGATGAGTTAACTCGGGCTTGATGAGGTTATGTAATTTGCCCCAGATCACACAGCCACAGAGTGGCTAAGCCAGGATTCAAACCCTGCCTGTATGGATCCAGCCTTTGTATTTAAGCACCTTAGTTTCCTGCCCTTTCCTTCTTTCTCTTCCTAACCAACTCCTGTTCATTCCTCGAAGCCCTGCTCAAGAGCCCTACTCACCTCTCTGAAGCCCTCCCTGACTTCTGGAAGACTTATTATGCCAAATAATGTTTAGATATGATATGATAGAGAAAGAAGTTGGGGTGGAAAGGAGATTTTCTGGGGAGCTGAAGAGAGAGAAGTTGGGGGAAAAGAGTGGGAGATGATGGAACAGAAAGCAGAAAACAGGAAAAAAAGAAAAGCAGCAAAGGAGATGTAACATGGCCACTGCAGATGTGTTAAATAGAACAGAAACTAAACAGCATATCCTCATAAGCCTTCTGAAACATGCTGCCCAGGAATCGCAAACTCCAGCGTCTGCAAGGGACTTGCAGAGGATGAAGATCAGGAAAACAGACCAGGTTTACAAGACAGCAAGGGGTAGCAGAGAGGGCACCCTGTCTCACAGGGACAGCCCCTGCTCAAGCCCAGGTGACTGTGGCCAGAAGACCCCAATCTCATGCTCCCTATGCCCCAGCTCACTGGTCCTGGTCAGTCTGTTTACTTATCTATTTTCTGAATTGGCAATCACAGCTAGCAGCCTGATAGGGCTAGGGGTAAGACAAGAGAGGCACAAAATTTAAAGAGGCATCCAAAAATCATTTCCAGATTCCAGGGGGAGTCTCAGACAACCGGAAGGCAACGCCTCCCGACCTCCACACAAACACACACAGTGGGCACACAAGGGTGTGCATACGTGCACACACTTAACAGGTGAGGAAACTGAGGCTCAGAGAAAGAAATGCATTTGCTACTGCCTCTGCCTGGAGTGTTCTTCCCCCACTCATCGCCTGGCTGGTGCTTCTTCGTCACTCTGCGCTGCACACACTGGTACTCAGGGCATGGCCCCAGTCCCGGGCAGCAGAGAGTGCACAGGGATGGGGTTTGCGTTGACTCTTTGCTCCCCGGCTGTGTGGCATTAGGCAAGCTACTTTAGCAACTTGGTGCCTCTGTTTCCTCATCTACATGATACTATGAGGTCTTCCTCTAGAATGCTCATCAAGATGAACCTGGAAGATGCCTGCAGAGCACTTAACACAGTACCTGGCCCAGAGTGGATGCTAGATACATGCTGGGCAAGATAAAGTAATGAGAAGTTGCAGGCATTAAGGATAGCCAGGTAATTAGGCCAGACTGTGGCCAGCTTGGAGCACCGCAGTGCTTTAGTGGGCACTGGGGAGTCATTGAAGGTACTTGAGCAGGGTAGTGACTGGCCGAAGGGGAGTGTCCTGGGACTTATTCTGGCACTGACTGTGTTGTTTATCAGTGGCTGGGTGAAGACCTTAGCTCCAGTTGAGACATGAAGGAATTGCCAACAAAAGCGCCCCGGGAAGCCCTGGAACAATGGCTTCTCAGTTGCCTCTGAGGAGTCAGATTCCTGCTGTCCAAACCACCCCACTTCCTGCTCCGAACCTGCTGGGAGCTGCGGAAGGTGCCTTTATCCCCTGGTAATGAGCCAGGGGGGGAAATATGAATTCATCCCTGGGCCATTACCAAGCCCCATATCCAACCTGAAACCTCTGCCAAAGGTGCCTGCACAGGCTAAGGAGACTGGCAATCCCAGCCTCTGGAGCTTACTTAGGCAAACAGCATCCCTAAAGTGTCTTTCATATTCCGTGTAGATGGCTACATCCGACATTAGCGCTTTGTTTGCACTTCAAGTTCAAAGAAAGTTTAGAGTGTTAAGTCTGAGATTAAACCCAATCTGTGGTTAAGGTTCCATATTAAAAGAAAGGCCTCTCTGTCCACCAGTGGGCAGGTAAAGGCTATGAAAGTATATAGATTAGCTTGGTTTAGAAGCTTAAGATCATAGAGTCTTAGTCTTATCTCACCCCTCTGTTTGTTGTTAGCAAACTGTCACCTGGTTAAGGTAAAAAACATTCTTCTCAAGGGCACCCAGCTAACTCAGTGTCAGGGTGGGATAGAGTTTGCCTCACTGGATTCTCAGTTTTGAAGGCACACCACACAATAAAATTGATTTGTCAAAAAATCTTCGTTGAGTGGGTGCAAATTCAATGTGGTTTGTTTTCAAAGCCTGTGCTTGACTTAGCAAGATGGAAAAAAAAGAAGACTGTCTAAAACCCGGTTCATAATTCAGAAAGATTTTTTTAAAAATCTGGCTGGTTTTAAAGTTGTAGGTTTCCAACTTCTTAAAAGTTATTATTTTTTAAGAGGATAATTTATTTTGGTTCTTAACTTTAATGGAAACTGGTTGGCAAAGGGTCTCTATGATGACCACATGGGGTCATCAACTGGTTGGTGAATTGGCAGTGATAGTCAAACCTCTCAGGTCTAAGGGAGGAAATAGGTTGAGGGCAAGCATCCCCATCCCCTCTACATCTATGCTGCGCATGGGCTTTGGAGGAGCCCAGCAGTGACTACGACTCAGTCTCAACATCGGGAAACTCAGGGCCATCTTTTTCCAACCAAAAAAGTTCACTTTCTATGTACCAAAGTCCATCTGTGGCACTTAAACTCCCAGAAATCTTTGTATGAGCACACAACCATATTTAGGGTGCCATATTTGCAGTGATGCAAGATTTGAAGCAGCCTAAATGGCCTTTAGATAGGTCAGTAAAAATGGGCACATTCAGCCTGTGGCCCAGCACTTTGGGAGGCTGAGGTAGGAGGATCTCTTGAGTCCAGGAGTTGGAGACCAACCAGGGCAACATAGGGAGATCCCATCTCTTAAAAAAAAAAATAGCCGGGAGTGGTGGTGCGTGACTTTGGTCCTAGCTACTCAAGAGGCTGAGGTGGGAGGATCACTTGAGCCCAGGAGGTCGATGCTGCAGCGAGCTGTGATCGCGCCACTGTACTCTCTGGGTGACAGCGAGACCTTGTCTCAAAAAAAATAATAATAATAAGGGGAGCAGGGGCACATTCAAACAATTTATTGAGACAGTCACTGAAAGGAAAAAAAAGTGCAGCTCTATACACCAATGCTGAGAGATCCAGAAGCATCGATCTGGGAAAAGGATGAGGGACAGAGCAGGCTGGTATTCTCCCTGGAGAGCAGGAGTGTGCACTCACCTTGTGCCTACGTGCCTACGTGCAGAAAACATTTCTGAGACGACGCAAAAGAAACGAATAGCTGGTCTGTGGGAGGGAGGCTCCGCCAGGGGAGGGAAAGGGGCTGACTTTTGGTTGGCACTGGCAATTTTGTTTACCATGCACAGGCATTATTTTTCAATGAAAAAGAGTTCCTTATCCAAGAGGATTAAAAGCGCACACCCACACAAAAACTCCTACATGACTGTTCAAAGCAGCACTATTCATAATAGCCAAAAACTGAAAAAAACTCAAATGTTCATTAACTGATGAATGGACACATAAAATGTGGTGTATCCACACAATGGAGTATTATCCAGCCACAAAGGGGAATGAAGTACTGGTACATGCTACAACATGGATGAACCTTGAAAACATCATGCTAGGTGAAAGAAGCCAATCACAAAAGACCACATAGTGTATAATTCCATTTGTGTGAAATATCCAGAATAGGAAAACCTATAGAGACAGTGTAGGGGTGAAGGAAAAACTTTCCATTCACTCTCAGAAGGTTTGCTGAAAAATATCCTGTTTTAGACCCGTGATTCCATAGTCACCCATAGTCATTCCATAGTCTACAAAAGATAGATTAAGAGGAGAAATGGAATACACATTTATTAGCATGCACTGGGGAAATATTACAGAGTGACTATCCAATATCCCAATGGGGTATGGATCCTTCTCTACCCTACTTCTTAGGGGAAAGGGAGATGGGGAAGTGTGGATGATGTTAGGATAGCGAATGACTTTTAGGGGAATTCACTGGGCTTGAAGAACATATAATGGCCTGGGACAAAGTCTGTTGGGCCCGCAGAGCAGACAATGGTTTATGACAAAAGTCTGTCCAGGTGTGTTGACAGACTTCAGTCTTCCTGCGATATGAATTCGTTAAAGAAAAATCAGGGAAGGGACAAATGGTAATTGTTTTCTTCTTTGGTGAGTCCAGACTTTACACAGATAAGGGAACGTGAGAGGCAAGCATGGAGTTGGGGGAAGTCAGACAGACCTTGAGGCTTCTTCAGTTCTGTGTGTCACAGTGCCATATTTTGGGGTATCTGTTTCTGAGCCCCCAAAACAGAAAACAGATTTGTGGTTGTCTGGAGGTGAGGAGGCTGGGGAGTGACTGCTAATGGATATTGGATTTCTTTTGAGGGTGGTGAAAATGTTCTAAAATTAGTGACGCATGAATATACTAAATATAGTGAATATACCAAAAGCCATTGAACTGTACACTTTAAAGGGGAAAATTTTGTGATGTATGAATTGTATCCAAATAAAGTAGTCTTTTAAAGAAGTAGTTACTATAGATGCTAGTTTCCTAGAGCTGCTGTAAAAATGCACCAAAAATGGGGGCCCTCAACAGAAAGGTATTGTCTCACAGTTCTGGGTGCTGGAAGTCCCCTACCACGTTGTGGGCAGGACCCTGCTCCCTCTGCCTGCTTCAAGGGGGGCTCCTTCCTTGCTTCTTCCAGGCCTGGTGGTTGCTGGCAGTCCTGAGTGTCCCTTGGCTTGTAGACCCATCATCCCGGCCACGTAGCCATCTTCTCCCTGTGTGTGTCAGTATCTGTTCCAAATTCCCCCATTTTATAAGGACACCCGTCATACTGGAGTGGAGCCCACCTTAATGAGCTCATCTTAACCTTGTTAAATCTGCGAAGACCTTATTTCCAAATAAGGGCATATTGCCAGAAACCTGGAGGTAAGACTTCAATGTATCTTCAATGCAAATGTATCTCAGTGTAAATGTTTTTCATAAAGGGACTGTATCTGCCCAGCAGGGGAGAGAGGCCACATTCAGAGAAGGTTAGCATGATACACTTGGAGGGCTGCAGCTATGTACGTTCAGCATAAAGGAGATCTTTCCTTGGGAATCAGGGATGGCTTCCTAGAGGAGACATTTGAGCTGGACTTCTTGTTGGGTAACTATGGAATCAATTGTCTACAACAGGCTATTTTTGAAAGTGAAACGGGGCACTGCTAATCATGACAGTAGGAGAGCACATATAAACCAATGCCAGGTAAACCAGACTCTATGGTCATCCTGGTCTTAAGAGATGGTGAGAATTTGAATATGCAGAGATTGAGGAGGAGAGGAAGGAAGGGCATATCTGATGAAGGGAACAGCAGCTGCAAAGGCTCAGAGGTGGAAAAAATAAAAAGCACCAGACGCATGCTGGGAAGATCTCAGAGTATTGGGAAGCTAGGAAGAGTCTTGAATGCTACCCTCAAGAGTTAGTAGTCCTCAGCCAAACTCCAAGACTAGTCCCTTGTGGTCAAACCGGGGGTCTCCTGGAGGAGGGGGTTTCCTGCTTCACTTTGAAGCCCTAAGGCCATTGTGCCAAGGAGACGCTGTGGAAGAAGGCACAGACACTATAAACCCAAACCAGAATCCCGACTAGCACAGAGTCACTTTGCCCAGCAGCCCAGAAGCATGAAGCCAACTTAGAAGGCCTGGACAGGACCAGACACCCATGGATTAATCTGCAGACATGGGCCAGCAACCTGTGGAAAACACACCTTTCTTTGCTTCATGTCTCAGCTCTGATTAGAGTCTGGAAGCCAAGGGAGTGTCCGTTTAGTTGTTAAAATCTTCAACAAACTCTTTTTATCTTTCTGGAAACTTTCCTACCATGATGTTTAATAGCCCACGTGTGTGTGGTGTGTGTGTGTGTGTGTGTGTCTGTGTATGTCTTTTGTTCTTTTCTTTGTTATTTTTGGAAAGGGATGCGTTGAAGATATCAATTTCTGGATCAAGTGAAAGCTGGTTTTTAGTCACTTAATCCCTTGGAAAGATATCAATCATCACATGTTTATCTTGCAAAAAAAATTTTTTTAAAGGGAAGTTTACATTTGGACGGGGTGGGATGCGGTGGTGGAAAAAGCATTTTACAGCAAAATGCTGAGGTCTGTGTGCCAAAAGGAGGACTCTGACCTTTCAGCCCACGCACTGCACAAGGGCTGTGTGCTCTTCTCCAGGTGCATGTCTGCCTGCGAAGGGACCCACCTCCTTTGCCCCTTGCCTCCTCACCTGTGCCCTACACCGCCAGGAGCAGCTCAGCCCTGACTGAGCCTTCCCTGCTGCTCCACCTAGCGCCGTGACCACTCCAAGCTGGCTTCATTGTCCGCTCTGCTCCCCAACTGATGAATGTTGGGGTACCCGGGAGCTCAATCTGTTGCCCTTCTGTCTTCTCTGTCCATGCATGCCCCTTGGTGGTTTCCTCGTTCCACATGCTGATGATGCCAAACGTGCATCTCCTTGCAGATCCCACCCCAGGCTCCAGACCTGTGTGTGCAGCTGCCTCCTGGATGCCCCTCGGTTGTCTAATGGACATCTCAAACCTCACATGTCTCCACTTGAAAAGGATGAGTTTCATGGAACCTGAGCATGCCCATATGCCCCTACTCCCTTGTGTGCCCCCACACCGTGCCTGCTCTTCCTTCAGTTGATCAGGTGAAAACCTCAGAGTCACTTTTAACACCTCCATTTCTCTCCTGTGCCAACAACCAAATTATATCCAAAATCTGACCACTTCTCACCACTTCCACATGGACTGCTGTGTTCAAGCCACCACCATCTCTTGCCTGCATTAGTCCAGCAGTCTCCTAGCTGACATGGGACTGAGATTCAGAATATTTGGGATCAAGTTCTATCCCTGAATACACATAGAATGCTGTCAACTTCATGATGCCTCTACTTCCTTATTGACAAATGGGAGAGACACATATTATGGACAACCTCTATCCAAATGAACTTTGCAGACCATGAAACATTACATAAATCAAACCCATATCCAAAAGAGAGGGTGGGGGTAGGAAGGGAGGAAAGAATGAAGGAAGGGAGGGAGGAAGGGAGGGAGGAAGGGAGGAAGGGAGGAAAAAAATAAAGAGTAGAAGGAAGAAAGGGAGAGGGGAAAGAGGGAGGGATGGAAGAAGGAAGGAATGAAGAGAGGGAAGGAGGAAGAAACGAAGGGAGGAAGGAGGGAAGACAGAAAGGCAGGAGAATGAAAGTCATTTTTTGGAACACTTATCCCACAGGTCCATTGCATTTCTGTCACCATCTCTAGCATTGGGGTATAACCCAGAGTTTCTTTAATTTGCAGATGTGCCCGGGGAGACTGTGGGAAATGTGTGATGTGCAAACCTAAAGCTGTCTGAAGAAAGCTCACCTCCTGTCCCCGTGGATCTGCAGGTCTCCCCATAGACAACTTCCCAGGTTGAGAGGATGCCTTGTTCCCTGTGGCCACAGACTCCATTTAGTAGGAAGAGGAGGGATCAAATTCAGCCACGTGGACTCCAGGGAAGTCCATCCATGGCCCTGCCATGTAAGAAGGTGACCCCAGGACACAGGCTAAAAACTGCACCATGATGGACCACGTCATATCCTTGCCAGTATTTTCCATTCCTTTGGGTAGATACGAAGGAGTGTGATTGCTGGATCATATGGTGAGAGTGTGTTTAGTTTTGTAATAAACTGCCAAACTGTCTTCCAAAGTGGCTGTGCCATTTTGCATTCCTATCTTGCTTGCAGCTCTCCCATGTTTCCCTAGTGCCCTCATGAGAAAGCCCAAATCCCCTAGCCTGGCTCATGAGAACCCTCAGAACCTGACCCTGGCCTTCCTTTGTGGTCTCACCGGGCCAAATTCAGAGTTCTCCAGAATTTGAAGGAAGTGATTACTCCTGGGAAGACATAGAGCGAGGCCAGGCCACGTGTTGGCATGGGATCACGTGGATCTCGCGGCCTGACTGTGACTGCCAGACAGCACCAGCACAAGTGTCCATTTGCTGCTGGTGTGTCTTTCACACCTCTCAGGTAATTGATAGACTTTTAAAATATAGGATTTATTTTTTAGAGCAGTTTTAAGTTCATGGCAAAATTGAGTGGGAAGTACAGAGATTTCCCATACACCCTTTAATATGGCTTGGATCTGTGTCCCCACCCAAATCTCATATTGAAATATAGCCTCCAATGTTGGAGGTGGGGACTGGTGGGAGGTGATTGGATCATGGGGACAGTTTTCTCATGAATGGTTTAGCATTAACCCTCTTGGTGCTGTCCTTATGATCGTGAATGAGTTCTCCTTAGATCTGGTAGTTTAAAAGTATGTAGCACCGCTCCCCTCTTGCTCCTGCTTTCACCATGTGATATGCCTGCTCCCCCTTTGCCTTCCGCCATGATTCTAAGTTTCCTGAGGACTCCGCAGAAGCTGAACAGATGCCGGCACCATGCTTACTGTAGAGCCTGCAGAACTGTGAGCCAATTACATCTCTTTTCTTTATTAATTACTCAATCTCAGGTATTTCTTTATTACAATGCAAGAACAGCCTAACATCCCCACCAGAATGGAACATTTGTTATAATCGATGAACCTATGTGGGCACATTAGTATCACCCAAGGTCCATGGTTTAGATTAGTGTTCACCCTTGGTGCTGTGCATTCTGTGGGTTTGGACAAATGCATAATGGCACTTATCCAACGTTATAGCATCACACAGAGTAGTTTCACTGCCCTAAAAACCCTCTGTGCTCAGCCTATTCATCCCTTCCTCTCCCCAACCCCTAGCAACCACTGATCCTTTTCCTGTCTCCATCGTTTTGTTTTTTCCAGAATGTCATACAGTTGGAATCACATACTATGCAGCCTTTTCAGAGCAGCTTCTTTCCCTTAGTAATATGCATTTACATTTTCCATGTCTTTTCATGGCTGGATAGTTCATTTTTTTTAGCACTGAATAATATTCCATTGTCTGGATATGCCACAGTTTATTTACCCATTCACCTGCTGAAGGACATCTTGGTTGCTTCCAGGTTTTGGCAATTATGGAAAAAGCTACTGTAGACATCCACATGCACTTTTTGTGTAGGCATAAGTTTTCCATTCCTTTGGATAGATATCAGGGAATGTGATTACCCGGTCATATGGTGAGAGTATGTTTAGTTTTGCAATAAACTGCCAAACTGTCTTCCAAGGTGGCTGTGCCATTTTGCATTCCTACCGGCAATGAATGAGAGTTCCTGTTGCTCCATATCCTTGCCAGTATTTGGTGATGTCAGTGCTCTGGATTTTGGACATTCTAATTGGTGTGTGTAGCTGGACTCTTTTTCATGGAAGAGCGGGCAGGACTCAGGCTTGGAGTCCAGGCAGGCAATAGCTTCCAGCTAGAGTTGAATGGTTTTGCTTCGTTTCACCATCTTGACTTCTAGTTATCTCTCTTTATAGCAAGTAGTGTTTACTTTCTAGATAAATAATAATATGAAGTTTCCTTTTGAAACAAATTTATTTAAGTTAAAAAATCATATTTAGAGAAAACCATTAGGTCAAAAATAGTCTAGGTGGCACGTGGATAAAGTTTAGGGAATTCTCAATGAAACCATAGTGTTTGCTGTTCTCTGTACCCCCGGGCTGTTTCTGACCTCCCTGTCTTTGCTCTTGCTGTTCCTCCCACCTGGGTCACCTTTCTACCTCCTTACTTGATCAATCTTCCTCATTCTGTGAGTGTCTTTCTCAACCCCACCATCCTGCTGCAATCCTAAGCTGACTGTCTTCCGTAATGGTCCCCAGCCCCTGAGCTGCTCTTCCTGGGGTGGAAGGGTAGTGGCAGCCCTTTTCCTCTGTCATTTATTGGTCTCATGGACTCCTAATGGTCTCTTTGGAAGGGTGCCTTTCTTGCTAGACCAGGAGTTCCTTGAGGGCAGGGCGTAACTGGGGCTTCTCTGTGCCATCTCTCTACCTCCAAGATGTTTGAATTAAAGAGAACTGGGCTTGAGGGTGATTCCAACTCACTGGCTGGTTCCCAGAGATGGCAAACTCCAGAGGGGAAGTGACCCTAGGGAGATGGTGAATGTAGCCTTGGATGTTGTCTCCTCTGATCCCTTTGTCCTCCCCACCCCCTGCTTACATGTGTCCTTCAGCTGCTCCAGGGGCTCCTGGGCAGGCTGCCTTCCAGATGCTGCTGGGCCCCCAGTCCCAGCCTGGAGCAAAAATGTGAAAGCACAGCTCCCTTGCCTGCCATCTGGAAGGCTTGCTGTAGGATGTGATTCCTGTTGCAGAGCTCCCTGGGTCAGGTGGGCTGCCTCCTGCAGCCCTGCTTGGTTGGCTTCCTCCCCTCCATGACCCTGCTTCTCTGACGTCTTTGCCTCTTCCATCCCTTGCACATGAAGATGTGATGCAGGGAACCCAAGTTGGGATGGGTGTTTGGAGTTCTGGGGGCCCAGGTGGAAACATCTGGCAGGTGGCAGGATGCACAGGTCTGGAAATTGGGAGAGAGGGTGGGGCCAGAGATGAAGAGATCTGGGGGTCGATGAGGTGGTAGAAATCAGCCGAGGGGGTGAGATCACCCAAGGAGAACCTAAGGCCTGAGAAGAGGCTGAGAAATACCTCAAGCCCCGGCACTCGAGGCTCACCAGCCGGGGGAGGAGGAGCCAGCCAAGGAACTTGAGGAGGAGCCCTGAGATGTCCAGGAGGAACTGGCCAGGGTGGCCGGAGGCCAAGGGAGGAGCACGCCTCTGGGCATCGGGAGTCAGATGGGACCTAGAAAGGGCCCTGGACTGGCCAGGCCTTAGACAGGAGAGGTCCCAAGGAGGGATGGAGACCAGGCCAGCACGGGGAAGAGGGAAGAGCCGGGGTGGGCGACTCCTTCGAAAGAGGTGACAGAAAAACAGAGGCAGAGGCCAGAAGGGCCTGAAGTCCAGGGCGGCTTTTGTTGTTTGTTATTTGGGATGGGTGCACATGGGACATGTTTAAATTCTGGTGGGAAGCCAGTATGTGCTGGAGGAGGAGGGGCTGGAGCAGATGCTGGAGAAGGAGGAGAGAGGGGCCAGAGGCTGAGAAGCCCTGAGGAGCTTAGGCGCTGGCCTCGAGGAGGAGGGGCCCACAGCCACATTCCCAGTGGCAAACAAGCAGAAAAGAGAAATGTCCCAGTGGGAGAGGCGCGGCGGGGCTGGCGATTGGGGGAGAGAGACTGATAGCACCCCTGCCTGTGGATTCCATGCCCCGTGTCCTGCTGCAGGTGGGAGGCCTGGGTGCCAGGCTGGAAGTGGTCACTGCCACGTGAGGGAGACAGAGCTGCCCTATGGACAGGGCTGGTGACAGCCCTGCCAACGCTGATCCTGACCAGAAGCCAGGGTGGCCACCAGCAGCTCAGGGCCAGGTCTTGAATTAGAGACAGTTACAGAAGCTCTGCTGTGGCCCCTCCCCAGGACCAGGGAGAGAGGGAAGAAAGGAGGCACCACTGAAGGAGGCACTCACTAGTTTCAGTCCGGCCTCACCGATTTCACCCTGGCCCTGCCCTGCTCCCACTGAGGTCTCAGAGCTGTGGTTTGGCATTCGAGGTCATGCCACTCTGGCTCCAACCCACCTCCCCTGCATCCCCACCCCAGCCCTGCACAGAGGCAGCACGTTTTTCCCTCTTCCGTCAGCACCACCTGCCCCTCAGTGTCTGCTTTTGCTCAGAGCATCCTTCCCTCCGAATTTGAGGACGGCAGCCTTATAGATACAGATTCAAGTTGCCCTGAATATGTGTTCCGAGTAGCAGCAGTTGTTCCTGGGTTTTAGAGGAAAAAAGAAGGCACAGTTTCTAAGTTGAACATAGGCAATTGATTGACTACTGTTCTTGTATCACCAGTTCCAGGAACATGAAGATAATAGGTGAGGGTTGCACTGTGCAACTTGTGATGGCATTTTAGGTAACTTAATCAGCTAGTCTTGAAATTATGAGGAAAGAAAGGACAAAAACACCTCCATGGGCCTGATATATTTTGCATGCGTCACATTCTTCAGACTGCTCTGAGGGACTTTTTGTTTTCATCTGATCATCCTGCAAGATTTCAGGGCCCTCCAGCCAGAGAGGGAGAATGCACCCCCATGGGGAAGGGTGGGTGTCTCAGTAGGAGGGTGTTAGAAAGAACCTATTATAGGATTGGGGCTTTGGGTGGGTGATTTGGGGAGAATCTGAGGAAGTGAGGGTTCGTTAGATTGGCTGCTGTCAGAAAGTGGGGGCAATCCTATGATTGTGGATCTCAATAATGCTAACCTGCAGGGAGGGAGAGTAGAAGGAGGATGAGCTAGAATTGGTGGAGGCCTAGCAGTCACCCATTTAAGCCAAGGGAAGGAGTCAAGAGGGGGTGTTTCGTATTCCGTGGGTGATACAGGGACCGTGCTTCTGTCCAGTGACCTCACTCTGTCTCCCTTTATCTTGGTCTCAGAGCGCCCTTGGCAGAGGTTGGTTTCGTTAGATTGTTTATGTCCCACAGAAGGACGGCGTGGCCCAGCTGTGAGCACTGAGCCAGCTTCCAGATGGCAGGAGCTGCCCCTTTTTTTTCTCTCTCAGTCGTCACCTTTCAGAAGCCTCTTCAAAGCTTCCACAGCAAACACCTCTGTTTGAGGGTTTCATCTTTTCCTCCTCTGCACTTTAGAAACACTCTTTTAAATTTGTGTACAGCATACGGACCCTTCAGCGTGCTCATCTTCACAGCACGGCTCCTCCACGTTTTTTTTCGTCTGCACGCACCCGTGGAGCCACCACCCGGATCAAGATCATTTCCACACCCAAGAAGGCACACCACACCCACCCAAGGTGACCAAGCCTGGCCTGTGTCAGCGTGGCCTCCCTGGAATGTCACATAAATGGAATCCCCAGGCATGTACTCCTTCTGTTTACCATCTCGTCGGCCGGCTTCACCCATGCTGTTGCACGAGGCAGTGACTTCTCATTTTTATGGCTGTGTGGTACGCCATAACCAAAGGCCACCGCTGCAGTTCACTGGGAACAGAAACGGTTTTCAATGCATCGTGCCGGGACTACCGGACGGCTGCTTGGAGAGCCGCGAACCTCGGCCCTCAATTCATCTGTATATAAAAATGACTCGAAAGGGATGCCAGGCTTGGGCATGGAGCATGGTGACAGTCTGCATGGCCCTGTGACACAAGCGTTTCTTCAACAGGACACAAGGATCCCTAACTGGGAAAGAAGAAATTGATATGTTGGACTTCATTAAAATTAACAACTTCTCTCCATCAAAAGACACCCTTCAGAAAGTGAAAGGGCAAGCCTCAGGCTGGAAGGAAATACTTGCGAAAGATTTCCCCCGTGCCTCCCATCTTGGCTTATCTCTCTCGGATGATTTACTAAGTACTTCAGCATGCACTCTTCTCCCTCTTCTCTTTCTCCTGAGATTCGGAAGACTCAAATGATTTAACTATAGGGTCTCAGGCTGGGCACAGTGGCTCACGCCTATAATCCCAAACACTTAGGAAGGCCGAGGCGGGAGGATTGCTTGAGTCCAGGAGTTCAAGACCAGCCTAGGCAACATGGCAAAACTCTGTCTCTACCAAAAAATGACACAAAAATTAGCCAGATGTGGTGGCGCGCCTGTAGTCCCAGTTATTCCAGAGGCTGAGCTGGAAGGATCACCTGAGACCAGGAGGTTGAGGCTGCAGTGAGCTATTATTGCACTACTGCATCCAGCCTGGGCAATGGAGTGAGACCTTGTCTCAAAAAAAAAACAACAAAAAAAAAACCCTGTAGGGTCTTAGTTGCTGACCAGGGCTTTTGCAGTTGTAATGGTCCCACTTGAGACTTCCACAGTCATGTTAATTCTGCCCACTGGATTGCGAGGCAGGTGAGGTCATTATTTCCACCTTCCAGCTAAGGCAGCTGAGACTCAAGGAGGTGAAGGCGCTTGCCAAGCTCACACAGCAACATCCCCAGCTGACGTTTTGGCTGGGCATGCCTGGTACAGAGTAGGTGCTGAATATGTGCTTGGAAGTGGATTTCTCAGCCCCAGGGCTCCCCAAGCCTGTGCATGTGTGTTGCAGGCAGGGAGACTGAGTATTCAGGAGCGTTCCTAGCAGAAGACAATTTCCTTACTGGTTGTGAGTGCCAGACAAACACTGCAGGACACCCATAGGCTCCCTCCTAGTGCCAAGAAGCAACCAAGCCCCAAGACCACATCTCTGCCCTCAGCCTTAACCTTCTGTCATGGCCCAGGGACACCAAAGAGGGATGGCAGGACACCAACACAGTGCTTATTTTCCCTCCTGGGACTCTGGCCACTTTCCATCTGTAAGCAGTGCCCAGAGCCACATCCAGCTCCAAGGTGAACACATGGCCACTGCAGAGGGGAGCTGGCTCCTGCCTCACCAGGTCTCTAAGCAACTCCACCCTTCAGGGGTGCATTGTGGCACAGAGGTGCCAACTGCTCCTCAGCCCCCACCTTCCATTCAGTGCCTGGCATTTCCTGCTGGGCACCCTGTGTCCTGTTCTTCCCATCACGGCTGCAGTTCCAGGATCTGTAGCCCTCAGAAATAACAAAAGGCCAAAGGAAAGAGCGAGAGGGCCCACCTTGCAGAGTCACAGGGAGGACGGAGGTGATGTGCACAGGACCTGGATTCTGCAGAGCGCGGGGTCCAGGGCTGGCTCTGTGATTTGTTGACTGTGTGGCCTTGGGTGGGTTCCACAACCTCCCTGAATGTCTGGTAGGGCTCTTTCTGAAGCTCATGACCAATCCCCTGCCCACTCAGTCCAGCAACCTGGGCTTGCAGGCCTGTAATGGAGGGATGCCAGCAAGGACAGAGCACAATAACGTGTGTGCCAATGTAAACGATAAAGTATGGTGTCCTCATACATTTCATAAATATTTGCTGAGAAGCTTCTAAGTTCTGGGCACTGGGAGGGATCCAGAGATGACTACAGCATCTCAGGGAGCCCAAAGCCAAGGGGAGGAGCCAGGACAGGGTCTTGCCATCTGCCGCTCACCCCCACCCTGTGCTCTGGGGACCGCTGCATCCTCAGGCTGTGGACTAGGAAGCTGAGGGTCACCCAGACAAGAGGAGGTGCTGGAGGTCACACAGTGAATATGCCTCGCTGGCCTTCCTGTCTGGCGTGTCTTCCTCTGCCCCCATCCAGGTAGGCTGGAGTTGGGTTTTGATGGAGGAGATTTTGGTTAGGAAGATGAGAGTGGTGGTAGCAGTTCAGGGCCAGGGGGAGGGACAGGAAGCACCAGATCAGTTTTGTGGGCAGCAAGTAGGTCAATGTGGTTAAGACACAATTGTCCCTGGGGTAGCAGGACAAGCAAGGGGATGAGCAGGGAGACAGGGTGCCAAAAGGCTCTGGGGAGCCTGAGGCCTCAGCCTGAAGCCACAGGAGTGTCGCCTGCACATCTGGCCAAACCCTAAGCTCTGAGCTGGGGACACACAGGGGAATTGAGCACTTCTCTGACCCCAGGAGCTCATTGCCTTGTCAAACAGTCAGAAGTGGAAAAGGGAAAGTGCAGGTGGTTGAGGAGCCAGGGAGCCGCTGGCCCAGCCTGGGCAGCAGGGAGGGCTTTTGTGGGGATGCAGGTCCTAGCCTGGATCTGAAAAGCTGAACAGGAGCCAGGTAGGTGGAAAGGGGTGTGGAGGACCCAGAAGGAGCGGCGACAGCAGAGGCCAAGGCTCTGCAGCTGGAGCCAGCGTCTGCATCTGCGGTGGCAGGAAAGATGAGAAGGGACTCAGCCCAGAGGAGAGAGGGAACCCGCCCTGAGCAAGAGGAGAGATGCCTTTTCCTCAGGGTGGGCAGAAGGAAGGAGAAGGCAGAGGGTGGTTTTGTGGATGCTGGGAGTGGGGTGCTGAGGACTGGATAGGGGATTAGGGTGACAGGTGGTACCTCTGTTCTCATTCCCACCATTCCCCGCCACCCCTCTACCCCACTGCTCCAGCCATGTGGGTCCCCTGGCTGCCCCTCCAGCATAGCTGCACTCTCCTGTCTCCAGGCCTTTGTGTGTGGGGTTCCCCTGGCCTAGAAAGCCTTCTCCCATTGTCTGCAGGGCTCACTCCTAGTCATCACTCACCTGTGCTCGTGTCTCCTCCTCTTATGGGTCTTCCTCGGCCACCCTCTTCTCCCTGACCTCCTGTTTATTCTGCTTTGCTTTTTTCCTGAGAACATACTACTTCCTGACATAGTATATATTCATGGTCTTATTTGCTTATTTTCTGTCTCATCCAATGAACATGTAACTCTCAGAGAATTTGTTGGTTTTGCCCTGGATGTATGCCTGGCACTTAGTACCAGGCATGCAGTTGGTGCTCAATAAAAGGGTGTTGGGTAAAGAAGTGACCCAATGAAGCAGGTGAGAGGTGGTGAGGTAGAGTCACTGGTGACTATCTTTTCTCCCTAAGACACACTTGGGAATTATTTACCCTCTGCACACTGACTGGGCAGGCGGACAGCCTTCCCCTGTGCCTTGAGCTCCTAGCCCTGTCTGCTCACCTCTGTGGAGACCCTAGGTTCCCACCCTTGGCCCCTGGTGTTGGCAGAAGGGGTCAGGCTGGGAGGGACAAAGGGACTGTAGTTTTGCTGGGAATGGGCATGGTGAGAGGGCTGGAGTTGAGAGGTTCACTCCAGATTTCAGGAAGCTTCCACATGCTTGATCCCACCACCATTCCCAATGCAGGGAACTCCTGGATTGCCGTCTCCACCAAGCTGGCCCCGGGAAAGGCCTACGGCCATTTTTGCAAATCAACCACATATCTTAAGCCCCATAAGCAACTGTGAAATAATATGAGATGAAACAGTGGCCACTTTCAGGGAGTAGAATCAATAGGGGTGGGGGCAACTCGGACCTTCTCTTTTACTTTATTATATGTCCTTTTATGCCATTTCAGTTTGTTTCAAAAATGAAATATTTAGGTCTAAAAGAAATGAAGACTTTACCTTTCAGGTGATTTTTCCGACATGTGAAATGACACACAGGCAAGGGAGTTCACCAGCATGGTTTGCTTCAGCGAGAGATCAGAGCGCCCTAAGTGAATGCCAGTGGGTGTTGCGAAATAGCCAGCGGGGCCTCCATGTAAGGGAATCCTGTGGACAGTAAAACAGAGTCAGGCGGCTGCAAGGTTCCGGCACGGTGCAGGGCATACAAAGCCCTCACTGGGGTGCGGGCAGCATCACACGCTCCCATTTGTGTAAACGATGTTTAGAGTGTCTCTGGACCAGACACACGACAACCAGCAGCAGCGGCTGCCTCTGGGCAAAGGAACCGGTGTCCCGGGCTCACAGGTGGGAGGGGAATGACTTTCTTTTTATGCTCTTTGGTACCCTTAAGATTTTGTATGGAACCTCCTCAAAAACAACTAGATAGAAGTTTAACAACAATTTGTTTTTAAAACATATCAAAGTTTTAGAAATAATTCTTTTTGAAAGGCATGGGGGAAGGGAGATAAAAGATGACAGATTTTTGTTCCAAGCACTGACGCACTCTTTGACCAGTGGGTAAGTCACTGGCTGTCTCTGAGCATCAGTTTCTGCCAAGTGTAAAATAAGCCAAGTCTCCCCGCTCAACGTGAGCAGTGTCACACAACTCCAGGGGGTGCCATTCACATTGCAGTCCATGTGACTGATCCCCTTGCAACTGTGCAGTGCGCAATGTAGGCAACTGGAGGAGGTGGCCCGGATATGAGGCGGAAATGGGAGAGTGGACAGGAGAGAGCTTGGCTGTCATGAGGGGTAGGGTGTGCACATGTGAGTGTGTGGAATGTGGCAGTGTGTTCCTCTGAGTGGGTGTGTACTTTCTGCTGATGTGAGTCCTACAGACACAGGCTGAGGAAAAGAGATCACCTCCTCTCTCCCAGGCTCAGGCTCCTGGGTCTTAAGAGCCAGGATTGAGAAGGGCACCCGCAGGGTGCTGAGGTTTCCCACTCCATCTTCCAAGGGCCCGCCACCCAGCAAGCTGTTTCTTCAGGCCCTTTCCATGTTGGCTCAGAACCTCCGTCCCCACGGTTGGGGTAGGAGAGAATTCCTCACGTCAAGATGCTTTCTGCTTTTCCAAGTGCAGAGTCAGAGCTAACTTGACTCAAATTCCAGCCTTGACTCTTTCTTTGTCACTTGATTAGAAACAGCTCTGACACTTTCTATTCCTGGGACCTTGGGCAAGGACCTTCAACTCTCTGAGCCTTAAGTTTTCTCATCTGTGAAACGGAGGCAGAGATGGTGGCCACCGCACAGTGTTGCTGTGAGTGTTAAATGTCCAGTGAGGTTTGACAGGTGGAGTGACTCACGCCTGTAATCCCAGCGCTTTGGGCGGCCAAGGTGGAAGGATCGCTTGAGGCCAGGAGATCGAGCCTGGGCAACACAGAGAGACCCTGTCCCTACCAGAAAAAAAAAAAAATTAGCAGGGCACAGTGGTGTGCACCTGTGGTCCCAGCTACTGAGGAGGCTGAGGTGAGAGGATCGCTTGAGCTCAGTTCAAGGCTGCAGTGAGCTATGATCGTGCCACACAGCATTGCAGCCTGGGTGACAGAGTGAGATCTTGTCTCAGAAAAAAAAAAAATTTTAATGTCCAGTGAGGTCAAGCACATAGTAGGCACTCAGTCAATGCCAATTCCCAATATTAGCTCCTATGGACTCTTGGGTACTCCTTATATACTCTGGGTGGGCTATGTTGATACAGACAGAAAACACCTGAAAGGAAACATACCCCACACTCTCAGCAGTGGTTGTCTGGGGAATAGGAGGGTGCTATTAAGCGCATGCATGATTTTAAAATCAGTAAAGTTGTTTTCATTCTGAAAACGAAGAAACAAAGTGAAAAAAGAGAATAGGTGAAGCCCAGAGGAATTTTAGGGTAGTGAAACTACCTAGTATGATCTAGTCATGGCAGACACGTTATGATACATTTGCTCAAACCTATAGAATGTGCAACACCAAGAGTGAGCCTCACATAGACTATGGAGTCGGGGTGATGATGATGTGTCAAGGTAGTTCACTCATTAACAAGTGCACCTGCTGGTGCCCCATGTTGGTGGTGAGGACACTGTGTACGGGGTGGGGGTGGGTGTTGGTGGTGAGGACACTGTGTGTGGGGTAGGGGTGGGTGTTGATGATGGGGACACTGTGAGTGGGGCCTTCTACCCTGTGCCAGCTGGGTCCCTGACACAAGGCCAGTGCTCGTAAACATTTGGGGCCTTTCTTACCTGGCCTGGGCTCTCTCATGAACCACACTCCCTCTTCCACAGTCAGGGATCTGGGTACCGCCCTCTTGTGTAGGAAGAAGATGCCACCCCCTTACACCTTCAGCAGGGAGAGGGGTCTCTCAGGTTAAGACCTTGGGTAGAGGAGGGGGACATCCGTGTGCAGAGGACCCCAGCTAGCCAGCCAGCCTGGGGCCAGTTCCTGGGGGCCCCAACTGATCCCCAGGATGACCTTCAATTATATGCCAGCAGGCTGGGTCAGAGAGAGCCACACAGCCCCTACTGGGCACACAGATGGGCACCTCTCCAAGGCCTCACACTTAACCTCAGGATGGGGGTGCAGGGGGCAGGGGCCCAATTCCCATCATCCTTCTCAGGTGGCAGAGAGTGGCCTTTGCCTCCTGATTGTTGTGCGACCTTGCATGGCTGGCATCCTCTCTGGCCCATCAGGTTCTGTTGATCCGGGTTCCTGACAAGCCCCAGGGGCTTTCTGGGCTGGGCCAGGGGTCTGCATGGCAGGGAGGTGAAGCAGAGGTCTAAAGAGTGGGCTGGGGCCAAGCCTGGGAGACTTCCAGACAAGCGCCAAGGTGCCGACCCCTCAGACACGCTCCAGGCCTCCCTGGCAGCCTCTCAATCCAGGCCTCTGGGGCTCACGAATGGCGGGGCCAGCAGATCTACAGGGGAGATGGCAAGACCACCAGGACTTGGCAGAAAACAAGCACAGGTGTCTTCTGCCAGACTGCCCAGCCTGAAATCTACAAGAGGAGGAACATTTACAGGAAGTGGCTCTTCTGGGCTCCTTCACCTGAACCCTGAGACAGGAAGCAGACTCTGGCCAGGGTGGTGTGGTAGGTGGGTGAGGACCTGAGCCCCACTTTTAATCCACCTCCTCCTCTACCCCGCTGAGTGCCTTCCGGTGCAGCACTTCCCTGGTGGAGCCTCAGAGCCCAAATCATCATTCTGTGGTCACAGACAGTAAGTGCCCTGTCCGTCTTAAACTGAGAAGTCCACCCTGGAGTGACAGATGCCTTCAGGAATGGCTGGTAGTGACCATGGCTAAGAGTCTGTTCAGACAGGCATGGGCTGGAGTCCTGGCTCGCCCACTGGAGCAACTGGGTCATCGTGGGCAAGTGACCCTCCCTCCTGGAGACTCAGTCTTCATCTGTAAAGTGGGGATGATACCAGTGCCCCTGCTGGAAAGATGTAAGGAGCTGATGTGAGCCTAGGTGTCAGTTGCTTGCACATTTAAGCCCTCAGTAAGCCATGGCCCTGTTACTATCCTTCTTATTGACAACAGCCATTGTGTTATGATTTTTAGTAGTAATAATCATCCTATTATCGCCCTACCTTCATTTCCTCACCCCTAAAATGGGGACAATAAGCGGGCTGACATCATGGTGTTGCTAGGAAGGTTGAGTGCTTAGGGCAGGGCCTGGCACAGCGTGAGCCCTCCGTAAATGACCGTCATTCTTATGATTACTATCATTGTTATAGTCTTCTAAGCGCTGGAAACGCTCAACAAGCCAGCACAGGCTCTCCAGGAAGCCGGCATTCCTAGGCCTAAACTGGGAAAGGGAGGTTCAGGGCAGCGAAGCCACGTGCCCGATCACACAGCGGGATGCGCTCCACGGCCTCCACCCCAAGGGCAGCCCCCACCCGCATCCCCTGCCCATCTGCGGGCGTCAGTGCCTCCAGGAGCTGGCAGCGGCCCAGGCGGCGGCGGGCCAGGGAGGGAGCAGGCGGAGAGCGCACGCGGGGCTGCACGTGGGGCGCGCGCCAGGAGGGCCTGCACGTGTTCGCCCACGCAGGGCCAGGAGGGTCGGGCCAGGCTGCGGCGGGGACGGGGTGCCCAGAGCCTGCGCGCTTCCCGGGTGTTCTCACGGCTCTGCGCGGGCGACGGCCGGAGCGCTGGCGTTGGGGGCATGGAGGTGCTGCGGATGCCAGGTGAGAGGTATTGTTGTCGGCTACCAACGCCAGCCCTCCCAAAATCCAGACTTCCTGAGTCAGAGCCCCCAGGGAAAAATCAGAGTGGCAGACACGAGCTGTGAACCCATCCTTTCTTTCTTCCACCCCTACCCTCACTTTCACCCTCAGCAACCCCTGTTGACCCTCTTTAAAACTGATTGCAACGCCAGCCACCTCTTCACAGCCCGGCAGTCCCCAGGTATCCCTCCAGCCACCACCCTCTCCCGGGACTAGGCAGTGGCCTCCTCACTCCGCCAATTGTCCTGCTGCAGCAGGCGGTGAGGCTGCTGTGAGCCACCTTGACTGTAAAGAGGGTAGAAAAAATAAGAAGAGGGATTGTTTGTGCTCATATTTGCATAAGGAAGCTATAATACCTTATCCTGGTAGTTAGATGAGCCCAGTTTGGGGCCCACTTAAGAAAAATAATGGAAAATTAGGTACCAAGATGAAAAAAGGAATCACAGGAAATTAGAAATTTTAGAAAGCTTACAAATGTCACGAACATCACAAAATCCAGAAAAATAACATTTTTATCAGTTGTCTGACATACTTTTATCCTTTTTTCCCCAACATGTCATTGATCACCTTTATATGATGACAATTTTGTCATATTCATAGAAAATTAAAAGATAATTCCGTCTTTCCTCTAATGTGGCCTATTGAATAAAGTTTAGGAAAGTTTCTTTCAGTTTCACAACTTGTACTTGGAAATGTTTTCTATAAACCCAGACACACACACACACACACACACACACACACACACACGCAAACACATTTTAGCACCACTGTCAAATCTGGAAAAACCTCCATGAAGTTTTTTCATATTTTGGTTGGTTACAGATATCCTCACTGCCTTTAGTAACACTATAAATCTGTGCCCTACAAACAGAAATTCTGATGAATTGCATTTGGTATAATCCTCCCCAAAAAGAAAAAAAAAACCATATTGTGTATTTATGATATACCCTGCATTACTGAGTACATTCCTGACAAGAGAGGGCTTTGTTTGGAAGCAGGCACATGGATGATACACAGAGAAGCCAATCCTCCATTTACAGTCTTACGTAGTTAATGGTTGAAGGAATTTTCTATAGAGTAGCTTCTCCTTCACTTTCTGCATACCTTCTGTGCTGGGGGGGCAGAGAATAAATTCATATCATGATGGGAACTCTGAGTCACTGTCTTTGAATCAAGATCTAGGTTAGTTAGCAAACTGAGCGGTAGGATGGTCCTAGAAACTATCTCCGACACCTGGTGGCTAGTGGTAACCTAACTATGCATGGAAGGACTTTGAACTGCATAAATTTAGCTCAGTAAACCCAAACTCAGTGTATTTTCAACTCTACTAACCCTAAGCTGGGTCCGCAAAATGCCCACAGCCACTCCAGTGCTAATCAGGATGAGAGAAAGAGCCAGAGATGAGATTCACAGTAGAAAGTGACAGTGATTTTAGCTGTTCGCAGGTAAACTATATTACTTTTGCTAATTTTACACCTGACACAGTGGTGGACCGTATCTGGGGATGAGCCTGTGTGCGAAACTCTGAAGCTTAAGTTTTTGAACTTTATCATAAATCCGGTCCTGTGCCATACATTCCTCGTCTGTAAAATAAGGATAATTATAATACCACTACCTGCTTCGTAAGTAAGTTATTATATGCAAAGCACTTAGAGCCATGACTAGCAAATACAGGCATAGCTCAGAGGGACTGAAGGTTCTGTTCCTGCAATAAAGCTAGTATAACAATAAAGTGACTCACTCAAGTCTTTTGGTGTCCCAGTACATAGAAAAGTTAATGTTTACATTATACTGTAATCAGTAGAGTGCAACAGCATTACACTCTACAAGTGTGAAATAGGATTGTGCCTAAAATAGTAGTACCCTATTGTGTGCAATAGTATTATGTCTAACAAACATACAGACCTTAATTTAAAAATACTGTATTGCCAAGAAATGCTAAGTCTCATCTGAACCTTCAGCAAGTCCTAATCTTTTTGCTGGTGGAAGGTCTCTTGCCTCAACGTTAATGGCTGCTGACTTATCAGAGTGGTGGTTGCTGAAGGTTGGGGTGACTGTGGCAATTTCTTAAAAAAGACAACAATGCGCCGGCCATGGTGGCTCACGCCTGTAATCCCAGCACTTTGGGAGGCCAAGGCAGGTGGATCATGAGGTCAGGAGATGGAGACTGTCCTGGCCAACATGGTGAAACCCCATCTCTATTAAAAATACAAAATTAGCCGGGCGTGGTGGTGCGCGCCTGTAGTCCCAGCTACTTGGGAGGCTGAGGCAGGAGAATTGCTTGAACTTGGGAGGCAGAGGTTGCAGTGATCCAAGATCACACCACTGTACTCCAGCCTAGTGACAGAGACGGACTCTGCCTCAAAAACAAAACAAAACAAAGACAACAGTGAAGTTTGCGCAATCAATTGACTCTTCCTTTCATGATAGATTTCTCTGTAGCCTGCGATGCTGTTTGGTAGTATTTCACCCATAGTAGAAATTCTTTCAAAATTGTGGTAAATCCTCACAAACTCTGCTGCTACCTTATCAACTAAGTTTATGTAATATTCTGAATTCTTTGTTGTCATTTAAACAATGTTCACAGCCTCATCATCAGGAGTAGATTCCATCTTAAGAAACCACTTTCTTTGCTCATCCCTAAGAAACAACTCATCATCCACTTGACTTTTATCATGAGATTGCAGCAATTCAGTCCCATCTTCAAGCTCTACCTCTAATTCTAGTTCTCTTGCTTTTTCTACCACATCTACAGTTACTCCACTGGAGTCTTGAACCCTTCAAAGTCATCCACAAGGGTTGAAATCAACTTCTTACAAACTCCTAATGTTGATATTTTGACCTGTTGCCATAAATCATGCATGTTTGTAAGGCATCTAGAAGGGTAACTCCTTTCCAGAAGGTTTTCAGCGTACCTTGCCCAGATCCATCAGAGTACACACTATCTATGGGAGCTATAGCCTTATTGTGTCCGGAATTGGTGGGTTCTTGGTCTCACTGACTTCAAGAATGAAGCTGCGGACCCTCGCGGTGAGTGTTACAGGTCTTAAAGACGGCATGTCCGGAATTCATTCCTTCTGATGTTCAGATGTGTTCGGAGTTTCTTCCTTCTGGTGGGGTTCGTGGTCTCGCTGGCTCAGGAGTGAAGCTACAGACCTTCGCGGTGAGTGTTACAGTTCTTAAGGCGGCACGTCTGGAGTTGTTCTTTCCTCCCGGTGGGTTCGTGGTCTCGCTGGCTCAGGAGTGAAGCTGCGGACCTTCGCGGTGAGTGTTACAGCTCATAAAGGCAGTGTGGACCCAAAGAGTGAGCAGCAGCAAGATTTATTGCAAAGAGCGAAAGAACAAAGCTTCTACAGTGTGGAAGGGGACCCGAGCGGGTTGCCACTGCTGGCTCAGGCAGCCTGCTTTTATTCTCTTATCTGGCCCCACCCACATCCTGCTGATTGGTCCATTTTACAGAGAGCCAGAGTGGTCTGTTTTGACAGGGTGCTGATTGGTGCGTTTACAATCCCTGAGCTAGACACAAAGGTTCTCCACGTCCCCACTAGATTAGCTAGATACAGAGTGTGGACACAAAGGTTCTCCAAGTCCGCACCAAAGTAGCTAGATACAGAGTGTCAACTGGTGCATTCACAAACCCTGAGCTAGACACAGGGTGCTGATTGGTGTGTTTACAAATCTTGAGCTAGATACAGAGTGCCCATTGGTGTATTTACAATCCCTTAGCTAGACATAAAGGTTCTCCAAGTCCCCACCAGAGTAGCTAGAGACAGAGTGTGATTGGTGCATTCACAAACCCTGAGCTAGACACAGGGTGCTGATGGGTGTGTTTACAAACCCTGAGCTAGATACAGAGTGCTGATTGGTGTATTTACAATCCCTTAGCTAGACATAAAGGTTCTCCAATCCAAGTCCCCACCAGAGTAGCTGGATACAGAGTGTGGATTGGTGCATTCACAAACCCTGAGCTAGACACAGGGTGCTGATTGGTGTATTTACAATCCCTTAGCTAGACATAAAGGTTCTCCCAGTCCCCACCAGAGTCAGGAGCCCAGCTGGCTTCACCCAGTGGATCCCGCACGGGGGCCGCAGGTGGAGCTGCCTGCCAGTCCCACGCCCTGCGCCTGCACTCCTCAGCACTTGGGTGGTCGATGGGACTGGGCGCCAGTGGAGCAGGGCGCAGCACTCCTCGGGGAGGCTTGGGCCGCGCAGGGGCACACGGCAGGGAGGGGAGGCTCAGGCATGGCGGGCTGCAGGTCCCCCGAGCCCTGCCCCGCGGGGAGGCAGCTAAGGCCCCGCGAGAAATTGAGCACAAAAGCTGCTGGCCCAGGTGCTAAGCCCCTCACTGCCCGGGGCCCGCGGGGTCCGCCGGCCGGCCGCTCCGAGTGCGGGGCCTGCCGAGCCCACGCCCACCCGGAACTCGTGCTGGCCCGCAAGCACCGCGGGCAGCCCTGGTTCCCACCCGCGCCTCTCCCTCCACACCTTCCCCGCAAGCTAAGGGAGCCGGCTCCAGAAAGGGGTTCCCACAGTGCAGCGGCAGGCTGAAGGGCTCCTCAAGTGCCGCCAAAGTGGGAGCCCAGGCAGAGGAGGCACCGAGAGTGAGCGAGGGCTGTGAGGACTGCCAGCACACTGTCACCTCTCATTATGAAATGTGTTTCTTCAATCATAAGAAAGTCAAAATGACTCCTTGATCCATGGGCTGCAGAATGGATGTTGTGTTAGCAGGCATGAAAACAGCATTCATGTCCTTGCACATCTCCGTGGGAGCTCTCAGGTGACCAAGTCTATTGTTAATGGGCAGTCATATTTGAAAGGAATATTTTTTTCCTGAGCAGTAGGTCAACAATGGGCTTAAAGTGTTCAATAAGCCATGCTGTAAACAGATGTGCTGCCACCCAGGCTCTGTTGTTCCATTTCTAGAGCACAGGCAGAGTAGATTTAGCATCATTCTTCAGGGCCCTACTGTTTTGGAAATGGCCAATGAGCATTGGCTTCAACTTAAAGTCATCAGCTGCACTAGCCCCTATACAAGAGAGTCAGCCTGTCCTTTGAAGCTTTGTAGTCAGGCGTTAACTTCTCCTCTCCAGCTATGTAAGTCCTAGATGGCATATTCTTCCAGTGAAGGCTGTTTCAGCTATATTGAAAACCTGTTGTTAGTGTTGCCACCTTCATCAATGCTCTTAGCTAGTAGATCTGGACAACTCGATGCAGTTTCTACATCAGCACTTGCTGCTTTTCCTTGCACTTTCATGTTACAGAAATGGCTTCTTTCCTTAAATCTCTAAATCAACCTCTGTTAGCTTCCAACTTTTGTTTTGCAGCTTTCTCTCCTCTCTTGAGCCTTCATAGAATTGATGAGTAAGGGCCGGGTGTGGTGGCTCACACCTGTAATCCCAGCACTTTGGGAGGCCGAGGCAGGTGGATCACTTGAAGTCAGGAGTTTAAGACCAGCCTGGCCAACATAGAGAAATCCCATCTCTAATAAAAATACAAAAATTAGCTGGGCGTGGTGGCACGTGCCTATAGTCCCAGCTACTTGGGAGGCTGAGGCAGGAGAATCACTTGAACCGGGAGATGGAGGTTGAGGTGAGCTGAGATTGTGTCACTGCACTCCAGCCTGGGCAACAGAGCGAGACTGTGTCTCAAAACAAACCAACAAACAAACAAACAAACAAACAAGAATGGATGAGTTACGGCCTTGCTCTGGATTAGGCTTTGGCTTAAGGGAATGCTGCGGCTGGTTTGATCTTCTGTCCAGACCACTCAAACTTACTCCATATCAGCAACAAGGCTGCTTCACTGTCTTATTGTTTGTGAATTCACTAGAATAACACTTTTAATTTCTTTCAAAGACTTTCCTTTGCATTCACAATTGGCTAACTATTTGGCACAAAAGGACTCACTTTTAGTCAGTCTTGGCTTTCGAGGTGCCTCCCTCACTAAGCTTAATCATTTCTAGCGTTTGGTTTAAAGTGAAAGATGTATGGCTCCTTCTTTCACTTGAACACTTAGAGGCCATCATTGGCCTAACTTCAATACTGTTGTGTTTCAGGAAATAGGGAGGCCTGGGGTGAGGGAGAGAGATGGAGGAACAGCCGGTTGGTGGAACAGGCAGAATACACATATTGATAGATTAAGTTCACGTCTTACATGGGCACAGTTCATGGTGCCCCTAAACGATTGCAATAGTAACATCAAAGATCACTGATCACAGATCACCGTAACAGATATAATAATACTGATAAAAGTTTGAAATATTCTGAGAATTACCAAGACGTGACACAGAGACACAAAGTGCACATGCACTGTTGAAAACAATGGCGCCGAGAGACTTGCTCAACACAGGGTTGCCAGAAACCTTCAATTTGTAAAAAACACAATGTCTTTGAAGTGCCATAAAGTGAAGCCCAATAAAACAATAAAGGCATGCCTGTCATGCAGATGCTAGGTAAACATTTGCCAAATTAATGAATGATGAAAGAGCCTTGTAAGCTGTAAAGTGCCATTCAAATTCCTTAGTCCAGCTAACAGCCGGCAGAAGCCAAACCAATTCATTGGAGTGCTCACATAGCAGATTTTTTAAAAGCGTGGCTTGAAGAAGGGAAGTAAAAGCTTGTCTGCAGCAGCGGCAGAGTCTGCAGGCCTCCCCAGAGGGTGGGGTGGACTGTGAGAAGGCCGTGGTCATTCAGCCTCCACTCACAGCCTCAGGAATGAGGACTCCCTGCCTCTGGAGGCAGTGGCTCCTTGGTCATCTAAACTCTCTCCCACCCCTGACTCCCATGCTGGCTTCATGTTTTTCTCCCAGGGTCAAAGAGAAGAGGATCCAAGCCAACAGACGGATATTCAGAAAGATGAGACAGGGGGAAGGTTAAGTCATCCCAGCCTTGAGAACAGAAAGAACAAGATGTTCAAAGCTCTCTGCAGAGCAAGCAAGGGGATAAGGAAAAGAGTGGGAAGTCATCTAGTGGAATATGAGAGAAATGTGGACAAAAGGAGAGGCAATCCGTGGAGAGAAAAAGCGGGGGAGTGGGGAAGGATGAAGCTGAGAGGGGCTCCTAAGCGTGGAAGGTGCTGACCTCTCCATTCTCACAAAGTGCGGTCATTCATCAACACCCTCTGTCAGACACCCGCCGTTTGGACTACAGTAGTGAGCAAGACAGACAAAAATCTCTGCCCTTGTGGAGCTTAAATTTTGGTGGTGGAGACAGAAAATAAGCAAGCAGAGGATGAAAGTGTATGAAAGCAGTAAGGACAATGCAGAAAGTTGAAGTAGAGTGAGGTGGTTGGAGGCACCAGGGGCTATTTTCCATCTAGGAGGTGACATTCATGCTGAGACATGAATGAGGATAAACAGCCAGTCAAGGAAAGATGAGGGAAGAGTGTTCCAGGAAGAGGAGTGGTGAGTGCAAAGTCCCTGGGGTAGGAATGGGCTTGGTGTGTTCAAGGGAAGGAGTAGAGTGAGCCCAGAGAGTGTGGCAGGGCATGAGTGGGACTGGGGGGCAGGGCGTCAGACACAGGATTTTTAGTCAGGGTAACAAATTGGAATTTTATTGTAAGTACATAGGGTTTCAAAGAAAATATCACATTCCAGTGTCCACACTGCCGGGGTGCTTTAAAAGTAGTGTTGAGAGAGAAATCAATCATTCATAGAGGGTTCGTTGTGAGCCAGGCTCTGGAGCAGGGTCTCTTGCAGCCTTTTTTCCATGTGATTCTTACTGGTAACAGAACTAGAAAGCCGCTGAGTTCAAGTCTGGCATGTGTTCTACTATAACACAACTTCACAGCCTTTCCTCAAATGAATGTGGATTCCTTACAGTTAATAAAGTGCTTTTATATGCACCTTACCTCATGCGCTCTTACAGAGTGCTGTCACCTCTTTGCAATGGCCTTTGCAATGTTTCTGAGACCTTGAATGATGAGTCACAGCTCTGCAGCTGTTCTTTATCCTCAGCTTTCAGCAGCTTCTCTCTAAACAGGATCACTATTGATGTGAACTCGGAGTTGGATACAGTCAGCATCCGTGGAAGTTAGAGGCAGGTCACTGTGAGCCCATGTGGTGTCTTTGCTCAAATCAGAAAATGACTCCCTTTGCTCAAGATACTTCTAGCTTCCAAAAAAGTTGTAATAATTATTTTGTTAGAGTGTCCTTTGCAGCCATCTGCAAATAAATTACCTCTTTATGTATGTGAACCTACACTATTTTTGATATGAGAGAGGCCCACTTAAATGCAGCGACCTTGTGGAAGGCAGAACCTGAATGACTTTCATGATTTTCTACACCCCTGCACAAAATGTTTAGAACAGCAAAGCTATGAGTCCACGCAGAAAGGGAATCCATCTGGAAATGGCCACACTAGGACATATGCATGAACACATGCGATACCCTGGGGGTGACCATGACTGTCCAGGTTTTCCTAGAGCTGCTCCCCTTCACAGGACATTCAGTTCTGGTTCCCTCTCCCACATCAGCATGCTCTCCACCCCTCTGTAACACTGCCCCCATCCTAGTCACATTATGCACCTGCTCCAGGGTATGAAATGGGTTGAGCAATACTGGGTCCTTTTACAGTTCTCCTGGGATTGTGAGATGAAGTCCCTGAACTGTGCCCTGGGAAAAATCCCCCACTGTGACCCTGGGTGGTATTGGTCTCCAACACTCACCACACCCACGTTCCCCTGTGTGGCCAGCACCACTTCTAATGCCAGGGGGCGCACCTTTGAATTCTTCCAGCTCCTAAATTTAGAAACATGGATTAAATCTAAATAAATGGATAGTTATGTAACTTCTTGTCCCTTTTCACTACCCCCTCCCCTTGGAATAATCAGCCTTAATCAGCTAATGATGGGGCCCTGAATACAACCCCAATCCCCTGGGAAGCTATTGGGCTTACATAAGGAGTGACATTGGCTGGTATGCTTTAAAATACATTCTCTCATTCTGTCTTCTCTCTCTTTTTTCTCTTTCTCAATCTCTCCTACTCACCCATACATTCTGACACAGACACACACACACACATGCACACACACACACTCTCACTCCCCCAAACATGTCCATCAAGTGCTGAAGATGCTTAGCTAGCCTGGGATCAACTATATGCAAGCTGAGAGAAAGGGTTTACTCCTCAGGAGGTTCAAACTTATCACCTAAAAATAAATCACCTAAATCTGTAAATGACAGCTCATGCAGGAAGGAAGGGGGCTCTTTGCCATAGAATTATAGACTGTTTGAGGAAAAAGGGAGGGTCATTTGAGAACTTCCTAATCATCAGAACTGTCCAGCAATGGAATGGCTACTCTCAGGAAACAGTGAGCTTCCCGTCACTGGAGGTGAGTAAGCAGAAGTTGGGGATAATGGATAAGGATTCTTGCAATGAGCAGAGGCTGAATGGTAGCTTTTATGCAGGATCTGCTATGTGCCAGAAACTGTGCTCTAAAGGTATCGTAATGAGATGACAAAAAAGATTCATCTCACATGCCAAATCCTACCTATTGGGAGTGGCTGCCTGGAGCTCTGGACATACAGAAGATTCTGAGGGTCAGTGAGAAAGAATATCTTGAATGATTAGCAGTGTCTGTCATGGCTGCAGGATAAGCGAACAGAAGGTATCGATATGCTATTTGCCAATGATTTATTTTACTGTTTATTAATCCCTTTGTTGACGAGGAAACCGAGATTCAGAGGTCTGCGGTTGGTAAGTGGCAGAGCCAAGATTTGGACCCAGTCTAGCCAAAACCAGTCTGTGCTCATGGCCACTATACTATTCTTCCCCTCAATGACGTGAGGAATGGCGCTGGGGCTGCGTCCCTCATTTGCAAATGCTGTTGGCATGTGAGTTTTAGCCTCTGAGCTGTGGGTTCCAGAAGGTCATCTACTGGATCTGAAGGCTGACCCAAGGAGAAGACACACGTGCCACTCTCTGAGCCAGGACAGACTCCCTCCGTCCACCACCCGGCTCTGACTCCCAGCAACACTGGGAAGTGGGCCTGCCATGGATGATCAACACTGGGAAGTGGGCCTGCCATGGATGATCAACACTGGGAAGTGGGCCTGCCATGGATGATCAACACTGGGAAGTGGGCCTGCCATGGATGATCAACACTGGGAAGTGGGCCTGCCATGGATGATCAACACTGGGAAGTGGGCCTGCCATGGATGATCAACCTCACAGCACAGATGAGGAAACCGGGGCAACCAAGTATAGGCCATCTCTCCTCCTTGGATCCTGTGCTTGGTGGCACGTGAAAGCCCAGCGTTCCTGGCCAGAGAGCACATTCGACAGCAAATGCAGTGCAGAGGGACCCAGCAGGCACCTTGAGCCACAGCAGCCACTTCTCAGCCCAGCTGCTTCCTGCCAGCTCCCTGAGGCCATTAGCACCATGCCATGAGTCTTCTGATCGGGTTTCAGGCAGCCCCCAGTTGCAGGTGGAAATTACCCCTCCCCAACCACGTGATACCCCACATAGACACCTGTCCCTCCAGGTCTCAAACTGCTGGTGCCACAGCCAGGTAACATCAGTACCTCCCTCCTCTCCTGCTGGCCTCTTTCCAACAATTTCTTACTTCCCTCTCATCAGTCTCCCATCCTTCCTGTGCCAGAGCCCTCTCAGCCCTATTGTTCAGCTTCTGTCCTTACCACTTCCTCTGGGGGAGATCTTTTACCCCAATCCTTGCTAAGAAACAAAGCAATCAGGAGAACAGAGAAGATTTCAAATGCCAAGAACTTAAGCATGCAAAGTCCTAGAACAAGAAGGGGAACGTAACATGGGGCTGGTCCCTGTCCCAACCTTCCACTCTCTCCTTTGGTTCAACCTTCCACTCTCTCCTTTGGTTAGGATGGGGACATTGGCCGAGCACGGTGGCTCACGCCTGTAATCAACACTTTGGGAGGCCAAGGTGGGTGGATCACCTGTGGCCAGGAGTTTGGACCACTCTGGCCAACATGGAGAAACCCCGTTTCTACTAAAAATACTAAAATTAGCCTGGCGTGGTGGTGGGTGCCTGTAATCCCAGCTACTCAGGAGGCTGAGACAGGAGAATTGCTTGAACCCGGGAGGCGGAGGTTGCAGTGAGCAGAGATTGCACCCCTGCACTCCAGCCTGGGTGACCCAGCAAGACAATGTTTCAAAAAAAAAAAAAAGATGGGGGACACTGAAATCACAAAGGCAAGGCCTACACATTAAGGCCACTCAGGACCATGGCTGGGACCTCAGAGTTAAATAATCCACAGGGAATGGCTGTGACCTCAGAGTTAAATAATCCACAGGGCATGGCTGCTTTTGTATTCTGTCAGATGGTGCCTGAATTGTGCAAGGCAGAAGGTAGGAGCCATGGCCGTGGAGGCGAGGAACAGAGATGGGGTGTCTCCTCCCTGCTGAAATTTAACCTTGGTTCCTCTTCAAAGTGTCAAAGACTTTTACTGATGCTGCAGGAGTGCCTCCACGTTTAAGATAAACCCCAAGGTTCACCCTTCCAAAAAGATAAGTCGAGGGTTGGAAGAGGTTTCTGGTTGCAACAGAGGTACCCTGAACTGCTGCTTCTGGAGTGGATTTGAGCATTTTTTCACAGCTTATTAACTGGAAGCTGCCTGAAAAATCAATGAGACCAGTCATTTCCAAATTCTTGGAATCAGATCACTTTTTGCAAACAAAATCTTTCTGGGAACCTCAGTTCATTTAGACGGAAAAAAACCCCACAAGATGTTGAGGTGAGATGGGTCCCATGACCCCTCCAAAATTACATGCAAAATATGCATATGCATGAGTTTCCCCTGGCTGGGGTCCCTAGTTATCTTGTGTCTCCAAGGGCTACCTGTCCCAGGAAGGGCTAAGAGGGTCTGGAAGTCCTGCTGACAGTCTAGGATGCCAGTGATTGTCATGTCTATTTCTGTTGCCTGCTTGTTTTGCTGAGCTCTGTTGCTCCAGCTGACGTTTAAATGAGTTTGCATTCGCAGAGCCCACACCAACTGGTGCTGTGGGTGCAGTGGGGGTGGGGGGATTGAGGAGAGCCCAAACTCAACAGATGGAAGGGGCGTGGCTGCGGAGATTAATGTGGTCCTAGATCTCCAGGAGTTGCCTGGGAGCATCTGAAATGCTTTAAAGAGACAAAGCAAGGTGCTGCTGGAAGACCTGGCATGTGGGCAGGACAGCCTAGTTCCAGCCTCTCTTCTTTCGATGTGCTGTGTGGCTGGGACAAGACTCGTTTCCTCTCTGTTTTTACTTGTGCCGTGAGGATCAGTGTTTCCCAAAATGTGAAGTTCATGGCACATGCCATGGCCTTAAGTAACATCAGCTTACTAACGGAGAAACTGCGTCTCTCCTGCTTCCTTTTTTTTTTTTTAAATGACACAGCCTCAGGAGGTCCTGATGACATGTGCCCCTCCTGGTTCCTTTTGAACCTTTGATTCTGACCGCATCCAGGGTGGAAGGTCAGGGCGGTGCCTGTATCTGGGATACCCCTCTAACCCCTGTCAACCCCCCTGGCAAAGCCCTGGCCACTGGCGAGCCCTGGGCAGGCCATGGTGCCGAGCTGGACAGTAGCACATGTTGTTTTCTGTGCATGGCTGCATTCTGATTACATACGGCGACACTAGTGCCCTTTCCAGCAGTGAAGTGAATGAAGTCTTCTAGATTTTTAAGTGATTTCAGTAAAGAAAATGTTAGTACAGGAGGGATGTGGCTATGACACAAATGTGGAGGTGGAAAAAGCCTGACGGGCTGACCTGCAGGGTTCTAAGAGACACTGCCACGTTGGATTCCATCCACCTGGACCCCCGGAGAGGGTCCCAGGGGGCCAAGCCCTCCCAGTGCCTCCAGAGCAGCAGGGGAATGTGGTGGGGTGGGTAAGGGAGATGCTTCTCAGGGTGCCAGGGGAGCTGTTCTGTGGGATCTGTGGAGCCGGGAAGATTGAGGACAATGAAAATCACTTCTGAATAGCTTAGGACATTACTCTTTCATGAAAACAATGTGGCTTTCTTGTAGGAATGAAGGCAAATTCACAGCTAGCTACTGTGGGCAATATCCCTGGGCCCCAGGTAATGTTGGTTCCCTCTTTGACCTGGGAGATCCTACCCCAGGCAGCAGCCTAGACTCCGGATTCTGGCATCAGACCTCCTGGGTGTGACTCCTGTGTTACCTGCATGAACCTGGGGTGCTCCTTCAAATTTGGGTAGGGCCCTGGCTTGCAAGCAAGCAACAGAAAACAGGCTCAGCTAACTTCAGCTAGAGATATGGGGCCTTATAGGAAGTATGAAATACAATTCTTGGAGTCAACATCTCAAAATCTATGGGATTCAGATGAGTGGGCCTAGGTAGCAAGGACAAGGAGACAGTCTTCAGTGTGAAGCAGCATTGGATGTGGCCTGTTTATGTCATATGATTTGAGTGGGGCCAGCCCAGGAGAGAGTGTCTGATTGGCCATGCCCAGGTCATGTGCCTACCCCTTGGTCAGAGGAGGATAGGGCACCTTGACTGACAGTCTTGACCTAACTGCAGCAATGAGGGTGGGAGGTTTCCCAAAGGGAAACTGGGGTGCCCCTCCTAGAAAAAGGGGTGAAGAATGCTAGGCAGGCAAGGAACACAAAAGTGCACCAGGCCCCTTGCCTCGGGTGCCTTGGTTTCCCCTTTATAAACAAGACTGAGTGTGGCTCAGCCCTTAAGGGCAGCTGAGGGATTCAATGATGTCACACACGTAAGGGTCTGGCTCTCTGTAACCGACACTCCATAAATGTCAGAGATTGGTTTTTAAAATAGTTTTTAAAATTAAAAACAGTGCACAAAACAGCCACTGTCAGCCAGATGTGAGCCTAACAGATGCCACATGCTCCTTTTGGCTACACCACAGGGGCCTTCAGGCGGGCAGATGTAGGTTCAAATCCAGAGTCCACCAATGAGTAGCCATGAGGTGCCAGGCAAGTAACCTCAGCCCTCTTGGCCCCAGTGGTCACATCTGACTGCCCGCTCTGCCTGGGTACCAAGCCTAAAGTCTAGATGTCAGCTGTCAGCACAGCCAGGCTGGGGGCTGAGGAGCTAGTGGGCGCCTCCCATGGTCCCATGGCTGTCATTTCTGAACATCAGCCTATCTGGAGAGGATGTACCAATCAGCCATACCACAAAATTGCGAAGTAACACACCACCCCAAAACTCGGAGGCTGGTGGTGGGAAGGCTGTATTCCTGCCCCTAGAGTGAGGTGGGGCCAAGGAGGGGAGGCCTGCCACCCCTGCACCATCCCCAGGGTGCAGAGATGGTCCTGACCAGAACCACACATCCACACCAAGGACCAAGGTCCCAAATGCCCCAGATTCCTGAAGCCAGTGACTCAGCCAGGGCTCCCAAGCTTGCTGTTTCTGGTGGGCACAGGGGCAGACCAGTCCAAGGGACTGGGTGAGTGAGGGATCTTGCACAAGAGAAACCACTAGTGAGCACCTGCTGTGCTCTCCACAGCTTCGTCCTGCTGCCACTGACTCTGGAGCCAGAGCGCTGGGATCAAACCCCAGTGCCACTGCCCACAGCTCATATGACCTTGGGCAAACCGGTTGCTCTCTCTGTGTCTTGGTATTCTTATCTGTAAAATGAGTTCCAATGCAGTTCTAACGTCCAAGGGTGTGAGAAGGGTATCCCAGCTCCAGAAAAGACAGGAAATTTGCCTACCTTTCCTCTGCCTTCTTGTTCTATCAAGGTCCTCAGCTGATTGGATGGTGCCTGTTCACATTAGGTGAGGGCAATCTGCTTGAACGTTCTTGAGATGCAGAACTGACTTCAAGTGGCTCCTCTGAACTTCTCACGATGTGAAGTAACACTTCCTTATGGTATGCTTATGAGGGTTTAAATGAGATAAAATTTGTGGAGTACTTAGAACAGTTCCTGGCGGTAAAACAAAACAAAAGAAAAGAAAACAAAAAGCACTATGCAAGCGTTGGAAGTGTTTGCTGTCTTCATCATCATCATTATCATCATCGCCGTCACTCCCATTACCCCTTTACCAGCGATGGCAACCCTTTGGGCTTCTGGGATGACTTTAAAGGAGAGAGAGACATATCTGGCTTCAAGAATCTTAGTTTTGTATTTCCCTTGACCTCCCTGGAAGCTGAAGGATGTGTAGTGCTGACAGCTAACATTTATTGAGTGCTTGCTGTGTGCCAGGCCCTGTGCTATGCTTGCTGCATGGATGACCTCACTTCAGTCCTACAAAGTAAGTGCTATTATCATCCCTGTCTCCCTTGAGGACCCGAGGCAGAGAAAGGTTAGGTCACTTGCTCCTTGTGTGTGCCAGTCAGGGCTCGTGTCTGCAGGCATTAAAGCAGAGCTTGGCCTTCTTAAGATGTAAAGGAATTTCCTGGAGGGATATCAGGTAGCTCACGGAATCTTCAGGAAGTCTGGAGAACCAGACTCAGAAAAACAGGTAGGAGCCAGGATGAGGGAGGCTGAGGGGGCACTGCCGAGGGGCCACTCCCATGAGCTGGGAGCACCGACGAGAACGGGGTCTTTGCCATTGCTGGGCCACCTTGGCTGCCGCCATCTCTGTGCGTAACTGCTCCTCCACCCCGCATCTTTGCATCTGTCACAGCATATTTAGTTTCTGGGTCGGGGCCCATGATTTGGACATTAGGAAGGAGAGAGAGGGAGGATCTTGCCCTTTTAAATTTTGTAGTGGGAGGTGGGCCCTGCCTTCCCCAAAACTCCACCGGCAAGGGGACAGATTCACAATAGGAAGGGGGTTGTATTATGCTGTTCTTGCATTAGTATAAAGAAATACCTGAGGCTGGCTAATTTATAAAAGAAAAAGAGGCTTAATTAGCTTATGGTTCTGTAGGCTGAACAGGAAGCACAGCTCCAGCATCAGCTTCTGGGGAGGCCTCAGGAAGCTAACAATTATGGTGGAAGGTGAAGTGGGAGCAGGCATGTCACATGGTGAAAGCAGGAGCAAATTGGGGAGGGCGGTGCCACACACTTTAAAATGGCCAGATCTCGTGCGAACTCAGAGTGAGAGCTCACTTATCACCAAGCGGATGGTCCAAGCCACTCATGAGGGATGGACGCCCCCATGATTTAAACACCTCCTACCAGGCCCCACCTCCAGCATTGGAGATTACATCTCAACATGAGATTTGGAGGCGACATCCAAGCTATATCAGGCGTCCGAGTAAAGAGGAGCCAGACAGGTGGCTAATGGGATGGCCGTCATCTCTGAACATCAGTCTCTCTGGGAAGGATGTACCAGTCAGCTGTGCTATAAGAATGCAAAGTAACACACCACCCCAAAACACAGTGGCTGGAAACAAGAACCATTTATTGCCAAGAATCTGCAAGTGGACGGGTTAGGGGAATTTGCTCATGCAATTATGGAGGCTGAGAAGTCCCATGATAGGCTGTCTGCAAGCTGGAGAACCAGGGAAGCCAGTAGTGTGGCTCTGTTCAAGGCCAAAGGCCTGAGAACAAAGGGAGCTGATGGTGCAACTCTTAGTCGGAGGCTGAAGGACTGAGAACCTGCAGTTCTAATGTCCAAGGGTGGGACAAGGGTATCCCTGCTCCAGAAGATACAGGAAATTTGCCCACCTTTCCTCTGCCTTCTCGTTCTATCTAAGTCCTCAGCTGATTGGATGGTGCCCATTCACATTGGGTGAGGGCAATCTTCTTGACTCAGCTGCTGATTCAAATGCCAGTCTCTTCCTGAAACAAACTCACAGGTACACCCAGAATTACCAGCTATCTAGGTGTCCCTTAAACCAGTCAGGCTGACACCTGAGATGAACCATCACAAATGCTCGACACCTCTACCTACTAGCCAGGGGCACCAAGGAATCCTTGGCTTGGATCACCTGGCTGCGGGGGTGTCTGTTGGTCCACCCAATATGTCTGTCAGCTGGCTAAGGAGACAGCAGAGCAGAGAGATAAAAACTGAGTCCTTGAGAACTTTCTTGAGATGCAAAATTAACTCTGAGTGGTTTCTCCGAACTGCTCATGGTGTGAAATGGCAAACCTCTTTGCTGTTTAAACTACTTGTAGATGCTCTGTTTCCTGCAGCCAAAAAGCATCCTCTCTGACACAGTAGTTCTTGGATTGGGCTATTTCAAAGGAATGAGAGGATAAGTACAGCCAACACTTCTGGAGGGTTTTCAGGTGATGTCACTTGTCCCAGGTCAAACAGGTAACAACACATTGCTGAGTCAGAATTTGAACCCAGCAGGCTGGCCCCAGAGAAGCGCTCTAACCCACAGCACCAGGCACAGTACAGAAAAATGCTTGACTCATGGCACATACTATGAAGCAAATCAGTGACTCTGTTCCTTTTGAAGTCACAGACTTTGAAAATCTGATTTTAAAACTGTAAACGTTAGAGTCCTTCTACCCCCACCCCAATGCACAACCCCACCCAAGTTTGCAACCAGTTCCAAGGGGTTGGGGAGGACATACGTTTCTCTGCCAAAGATGCAGAAGCCTTTGGCACCAGGCCACAGGTGTGGGGTCGGGGAGGAGTCAAGGTTGCAGTGATAATGGGCAGGGAAGGACCCCTTAAAATCCAGAATTTTAGCAGGTGCTGCCACCGAGAACACATTTGGGAGAGGCCCTTTTGAATGTTGAGCAGGGATGGCACATAGTTTTCCTCTCTGGAACCAACCTTGAATGCCTGGTGGAAGCTGCCTGGACGCGTGCTATAAAGGAGCTGAGGCTGGGTGCGAGGCGGTGGTGGGGAGAGTGGGATCTCTGCGGGGTTAGGAAGTCCTGCCCACGCTATGCACTTGCCACCCATTGGAAAGGTGCTGGTTCAGAATCGGAGACCTAGGTTCCAACTCGGAGTTTGTCAGCTGTGGCTGTGTGGCCTCAGATGGTCTCCTGCCCTCTCTGGGCCCTGGCTTCTCTGTTAAATGAGGGGCAGCATCAGATGATTTCTAAACTTCTCTGCTGGCAAGGCCCCTCCAGACGGCCGCTCTCTAAATAAAACCCTCTCTCCTGCATGCCAGCCTGTGATACTGCGCCTCAATCCACACAAATAGCTGAGCTGGGCACATTCAGCTCTCCTCAGCTTTCTCTGCAGACCTCTTCAAGCACATGTCTGGGTCTTCTCCTCCTGGGTCCAAGGGTAGATGGTCTGAGTTCCCCGCAGACAGCTCACAGGCTCCCCCATGGGGTTCAGGAGTGGTCGGAAGGGCAGGAATCAGCTCCACCCGTGACACCCCCGCCCACTGCCGCTGGGATGCCCCTCCACACCTCCACCCATCCATGCAGTGCTGGACCTGGGGCACCTTCCACCTCCCCACTACTTACTTTTGAGACTTCCCTCCCCATCTTGCACCTGTAGCTCTGTCTGCATTGCTCAGTTTAAAAACCGTTAACATTTGATTGCTTTACTCCAAGTCACAGGAGGGCAGGACTGCATCTAATTATCTGTGTAGCTGGCACACACCACCATCCCCAACCCCCTCCCAGCTGCTAGTGCTGGGTTATGGGAACCCAGCTGTGTGCCCTTGGGCGAGTCACTGAGGGTCTCAGAGAGAAGGAGCCTGTGGCTGCCCCCATTAACTGCTCCATCCCCAGGCTCCTCTTTTGCATTCCCACTCCTCGCCCCTCAGAGTCCTCCCCAGGCTCAGAAAGGTCTGCTTCCTGCAGTGCGACACCGGGCGTCTGCTCCTGGAAGCCCAGCCCAGCTGCAAGGGGCTGGCGGAGCAGGTCTTGGGCAACTTTGCCTGATGCTGGCTTCTGGGCATAGACAACTTTTCCCAGAGCCTCAGAGTTAGGAAAAACTCCCAGTTCCTCCTCGGTGGTTCCCATGGGAATGCCCTGAGGTGCTGTTAAAATACAGAGTTGCAGATCTCCCCATCCCACCAGACCTAATGAGTCAGCATTTCTGAGACAGGGCCCAGGAATCTGCATTTTAACATGTGACCCAGGTGACATACAGGAGACTGATTCAGCTCACATTTCTGCTCCAAAATTCCTTTTGCAGCACCCAAGCCCACTTAAACTTCTGGGGTGGGGAAAGGAGGCGAGGAGGCTTACTCCCTCCCACTCAGTGAGCCCATTCTGGGCAGCCTTGGCCGGGAAAGGCCTTCCTTCCTGGGGCTGCCCTCTCCCACCCCTAGGGTGCCTCCTCAGGGTGTCCCTGCCCCAGCACAGCTCTCAGGGCCTAGGCCTCCCGCCACCCCACTGCAACCACATCTGCTTTTCTCTGGCTCAGCCTCATAGACGTTGAGGCTGGTGCGGGAAGGAGGGCTGCCTGCAGGTTGTGGTGAAATGTGGGATGGTGGGAGCTGTGAGAGGGGACCTGGGGCCAGGCCTAGAGAGACAAAAACAGTTATATAGAAAACCAGGGTCAGAAATGGGAAGAGAGGCCAGGCACAGTGGCTCATGCCTGTAATTGCAGCACTTTGGGAGCCCGAGGCAGGTGGATCGCTTGATCCCAGGAGTTTGAGACCAGCCTGAACAACATAGTGAGGCCTCATCTCTACAAAACAGGACACTTTTAATGAAAGGCACTCAAGGTGTCTCTGGAGGGCAGTGGCAATGGGCACACTTGGTTTAAAGCTTGCTCAGGGATGATGGGCAGCTCAGAGATGAAAGAGATGAAGGGTCCTGGGTTCCAGTCCCACTCTGTCCTTTCCTGACTCTGTGGCCTGGGGCCGGTCACTTTCTGTCTCTGAGCCTCAACTTCCCCTCTAAACAATGCAGATACTCCTTTCCCGTACCCATGGGTCTCTACTGAGTATTCAGAGTGCCACGAGGGTGAGGACACCAGGCACAGTGTGGCCGCTCACTTGGTGACTGTGGCCTTCTCTGGAAATCCTGCACATGACAGGTCCTGAGTCCTGGGTCTTTCTGTCCCTCAGCTTTCCTGTCCTGGCAACAAGCTCAGAGTCACTGCTTCTGCCACCAGCCCCCACTGGCCAGCTGTGATGCTGTTGCTGGCCACTGTGGCAAGGTCCCTTACCCTCAGCATCCACTTCCCCTCTGCTGTCCGCATCATGCCTCAGAAATACCCAACTGCTCCCAGCTCCCCAAAGGCCAACTGTGCCTTCTGCTCAGTGCACGCTCTCACCATCATTTTCTCATGGAAATTCCTCCAGATTGCACTGGAACATTGCTCCTTCTCGAAAATTTCACCTTTTCCCCTCTCCTCGCCCCAGCTTGACCAGACATACCCCTTCGTCTGCAAACCCTCTCTACATTTCAACCACTTCAGTTCTGTTCCTGGCACACACACTGTTACAATATATCTGCTGTATGTCTGGCTGTGTGCCCTCACTACTGTAGCTACACTTTGAACAGACCAGCTCTATGAACCTCAACTTCCCCACCTGGCAAGTGGGCCACACACCCACTCCCTCTCAAAGCTGTTGTGAAGATTTCAAATAATGCATGTCTGGCGTGAGGCAAGGTGCCCAGCACGTGGTAGGTATCTAATAAATGGTGGTTAAAATGCTCGCTCTCTTATCCTAAGTGAAGTGACTTAGGAACAGAAAACCAAAGACTGCATGTCTTCACCTATAAGTGAGAGCTAAGCTATGGGTCACAAAGGCAGACAGAGTGGTATAATGGACTCTCAGAAGTGGGGAGGGTGGGGGGAGGGGTGAGGGATGAAAAGTCACCTATTGGGTACAATGTGCACTATTTGGGTGATGGGTATATGAAAAGCCCAGACTTCACCATACAATTTATCCATGTAACAAAACACCGCTGGTACCCCTAAAGCTATTGAAATAAAAATAAATAAAAGTCTTTAAAATGTATGCTCTGTGCTGGAGGCTGTACCCCTAATGGTCAGTGGGGTTGTGTTTGCTTGTGTGACAGGATACAGTGTTGATGTTCCCCTGAGAAGGTGGGCAGACCCCTCGCACCCACCTGTTCTCCCCAGCCCAGGAGAAACAGGCTCCATCCCTTCTCCAGCTCCCAGTGGGTGGGGTTCACTCCCTCAGGTCAGCTGCCTGCTGGGGCCTCCCAGGAAGAGCTGCGAGCCCCAGCCCCCTTCCCAGCCATCGGGCCGGCCGCGCCCTCCTTCCTCCTTCCTCACCTCCAGGCCTCTGTGGTCCAGCACACTCTGCCCAGCTGCAGGGACTCCAGCTGCAGGGACACCCCTGCTCTGACCTCTGAAGCTGATCCTCCTGTGTCTGGACTCCACTGAAGCTCTCTGTGTGGCTCGAGGAGGGTGTCTTTCAGCCTCCACCATCCCAGCTGGGATCTCCAAGCCCCTGTCCAGGGATTGCCAGGAGTCCCAAGCCTGGCCAGGGACAGACCTGAATGGGACTTCTGCTGAGATGCTGGGGGAACTAGACCCTCTCTCTGCTCAAGAACAGCCTGCAGTTGCTGGCAGCCACCTTCCCACTGAGGAGGATGAGAATGGCTCCTGAGAATGAAGCCAACACAGAAGAAGCGGAGTCAAGAGAAAGGACATGTGTACTGTGTTCTCTCCAGTAAGTCACAGATTTCCATTTGTTCATCTGTCAATTGGAGACATAATTTGAGCATGTGGTTCCAGCCATGCCTGAAACCCCAGGGCTTGCCGGTTATAGGAAACAGTATGTCTCACCACCCTCTGAGCCAGGTCTTCTGTCAGAGGCAATGAACTGCAAGAGATTCCACTCATGCAACAGAGGAGCTGAGGCACGAACCCAAACCTGCCTAGCAGAAAACAGCCCCCAAAATAGGGAATCCCAGACAGTTGAGTCCTTCCCACAACTCCTGGGAAGCAAGGCTCACCCCGACAAAGACGTGGCCACCATGATGCTTCCTGTGAAACCTATCATCAGTGAAGAGGTGGTGGGGAGCAAGTGAAACAATGCGGGCCCACCATCAGTGAGCGAGGCCTGCATTACCATTCACAGTGCCCTGGGAGAGCAGACTGGAGAGGACGCATGCCAGGTGCTCTCGAGGGGAGTTTGGAAGCTTTCTGGCTGAACAGCATCACATGGGGAAAGGGCCTGTGCACTTTGTGGTCTGGACGCCCCCTGTAGGGAGGGAGGAAAACTTACAGAGCTTCCTTAGATCTCTTGTTGGGTAAACTAAGGCCTGGGGGAAGCCATTTGCCTGAGGCACTTGGGCAGTTGGTGGCCGATGTGGAATGAGAACCCAGGTCTTCTGATTCTAGCCCAGGCTGGCCCCACTCAGCTGCAAGGAGCTGCTTGACAAGGTGCTCCCAAGGGATCGGGGGTGACCTGCTCCCCTCATGTTCCCAAGGCCTGGTACATGGTGGGTGCTTGCATGGGCTAAGACCTGGAGAATGAGTGGGATTAGACAAGTGGAGGGAGTGAGGAAGATGCTCCAGGTAGAGGGCATGGTAGGAGCAATGGCCTGAGATCCTTCTGTTCAACAACAACAACTACTACCTCTGCTATCCCCAATGAGCGATCACCATATGCCAAGTGCCAGCCAAGCATTTCACAAGCATTGCCACATTTAACTCTCACAACCACTCTAAGAAGCAGACACTGTTATCAGCCTTATTTTATAGATAGAGAAACTGGGGCTCAGAGAGGTTAAGTGACTCTCCCAAGGTCACACAGCCAATAGCCAGGGTTCAAATAAAGATGCTCAAGTCCATGCTCTTGGTATCAACACAGACCTGCTTTCTCAGTGGGTCCTCTCCAGTGCTCCATTCCCTCACCTCAGGAGAGTAAGGGGTCTAAAAGGCCCTGGGGAAAAGAGACCAGGGGCAGGAGGGAAGCCCCCAACCCTCCTGCTGAGGTGTCACCCAGGCCAACACCTTCCACACCGGGGGACTTCCCAGGGGCCTGAGCTGCCCATTCAAGCAGCGTCCCTCTGTGGTTTTGACTGTACAATGTCAAATGTCCCTGTCTCCAACCTGTCCTTGGTCAACCTTTAGACAGGCCCTGTCCCTGACACAGAACTAGGCACGCAGGTTGGGGATGGCTAGAGGTGAGTTAGGAGGCGGGGTTGACTCTGAGGGCCGGGACTTGAACTCCAGACCAGACTGAAGCAGGGAAGAGGTGAAAGCACCTCTCCATAAGACATGCCCACCAGTGTCATGTCAGTTCACCATTGCCATGGCAACACCCAGACGTTACCACCCCTTTCCATGGCAACAACCCGATGACCCGGAAGTTATCACTCTTTTTCTAGAAATGTCTGCATAATCTGCTCCTTAATTTGCATATAATCAAAAGTGGGTATAAATATGACTGCAGAACTGCCTCTGAGCTGCCACTCTGGGCACACTACCTATGGGGTAGCCCTGCCCCGCAGGGAGCAGTACCTCTGCTACTGCTGCACACTGCCACTTCAGTAAAAGTTGCTAACACCACTGGCTCATCCTTGAATTGTTTCCTGGGTGAAGCCAAGAACCGTCCCCAGCTGAGCTCCAATTTTGGGGCTTGCCTGTTCTGCATCACTGGGGCCTCCCTCAGGGATGGAGTAAATGGAAGGCCATAGCTTGCAGCTAGCAGGAGGAAGCCGTGCTCACAGGGGCTCCTGGGGCAGTATGTAGCTGTCTGGTGGCTGCCTGCAGACCTCTGGGTTGCAATACACCTGCCTCAGAGGCAGGCCCCCCAGCCAGTGGGAGAGTGCAGTGGGGGCTGGACGACCACTTTGTGGGAAGACTGCTTCTTAGAGCCACAGTACTTGCAGATGATGACCACAATAGAAGGGCTGACGCTTGCATAGCACTCACTGTGTGCCAGAAACGGTTCTAAGCGCTATCATGCAAGTTTACTCAAGCATCCTCTTGACTGGGCGGGGTGACTCACGCCTGTAGTCATCCCAACCCTCTGAGAGGCCAAGGCAGGAGGATCACCTGAGGCCAGGAGTTTGAGACCAGCATGTGCAACACAGTGAGACGCCATTTCTACAAAAAAATTTAAAAAGTTAGCCAGGCATGGTGACGTGCGCCTTTTGTCCCAGCTACTCAGGAGGCTAAAGTGGGAGTGAAGGGGTGACCTGCCCCTCCACACCTGTAGGCATTTCTCGTTGGGTGGGATGAGAGACTGAGAAAAGAAAGAGACACAGAGACAATGTATAGAGAAAGAAAAGTGGGCCCAGGGGACTGGCACTCAGCATACGGAGAACCATGCCGACACAGGTCTCTGAGTTCCCTCAGTATTTATTGATCATTATCTCTGCCATCTCAGAGAGGGGGCTGTAACAGGATAATAGGGTAATAGTGGGGAGAGGGTCAGCAGGAAAACATGTGAACAAAAATGTCTCTGTGTCATAAACAAGGTTAGAAAATGTGCTGTGCTTTGATGTGCACATACATAAATATATCTGATGCATTAAAGAGCAGTATTTCCTCCAGCATGTCTCACCTCCAGCCTTAAGGCAGTTTTCTCCTATCTCAGTAGATGGAACATACAATCGGGTTTTACACCGAGACATTCCATGGCCCAGGGACAAGCAGGAGACAGATGCCTTCCTCTTATCTCAACTGCAAAGAGGCCTTCCTCTTTTACTAATCCTCCTCAGCACAGACCCTTTAAGGGTGTTGGGCTGGTGGATGGTCAGGTCTTTCCCTTCCCACGAGGCCATATTTCAGACTATCACATGGGGAGAAACCTTGGACAATACCTGGCTTTCCTAGGCAGAGGTCCCTGCGGCCTTCCGCAGTGTTTTGTGTCCCTGGGTACTTGAGATTAGGGAGTGGTGATGACTTTTAACAAACATGCTGCCTTCAAGCATTTGTTTAACAAAGCACATCCTGCATAGCCCTAAATCCATTAAACCTTGAGTCGACACAGCACATGTTTCTGCGAGCACAGGGTTGGGGGTAGGGTTACAGATTAACAGCATCTCAAGGCAGAAGAATTTTTCCTAGTACAGAACAAAATGGAGTCTCTTATGTCTACTTCTTTCTACATAGACACGGTAACAGTCTGATCTCTTTCTTTTCCCCACAGGGAGGATCACCTGAGCCCAGGAGGTCAAGGCTTCAGTGAGCTGCGATCTCACTGTCAGGCCTCTGAGCCCAAGCTAAGCCATGGCATCCCCGGTGACTTGCACGTATACGCCCAGATGGCCTGAAGTAACTGAAGAATCACAAAAGAAGTGAAAATGCCCTGCCCCGCCTTAACTGATGACATTCCACCACAAAAGAAGTGAAAATGGCCGGTCCTTGCCTTAACTGATGACATTGTCTTGTGAAATTCCTTCTCCTGGCTCAAAAAGCTCCTCCACTGAGCACCTTGTGACCCCCCACTCCTGCCCGCCAGAGAACAACTTTGTAATTTTCCTTTGTAATCCCTTTGTAATTTTCCTTTACCTACCCAAATCCTATAAAACGGCCCCACCCTTACCTCCCTTCGCTGACTCTCTTTTCGGACTCAGCCCGCCTGCACCCAGGTGATTAAAAGCTTTACTGCTCACACAAAGCCTGTTTGGTGGTCTCTTGTGAGCTGCGATCTCACCACTGCACTCCAGCCTGGGCAGCAGAGCAAGACCCTGTCTCTAATAAATCAATAAACATCCTCTCAGCAGTTCTATGAGTGGGTGCTACTTTTATCCCCACTTCACAGATGGAGACACTGAGCTCATGCAGGAGAGACTCCTGGCAGCAAGTTAGGGGCAAGGCATAAACCAAGATCTCAGCCCCATCAGCGGGTAAGGACTGGCGCAGGAGGCAGTCCTGGCATTTTCAGGCCCACTCCCTTCAGAAAGTCAAGTGTGGGCTCCTACCAATTGACAATGCCAGGGCCTAGTAGGAAAGAATACATGGGCCAGGAACTGAACGTTGCGAGGAAGAAAATACAGAAGGCGCTGGGCGTGGTGGCTCACACCTGTAATCCCAAGAGTTTGGGAGGCCAAGGCGGGTGGATCACCTGAGGTCAGGAGTTTGAGACCAGCCTGGCCAACATGACGAAACTCTATCCGCTAAAAATACAAAAATTAGGCCGGGCGTGGCGGTGGCTCACGCCTGTCATCCCAGCACTTTGAGAGGCTGAGCTGGGCAGATCACCAGGTCAAGAGATCGAGACCATTCTGGCCATCATGGTGAAACCCCGCCTCTACTAAAAATACAAAAATTAGCTGGGCATGGTGGCGCATGGCTGTAATCCCAGCTACTTGGGAGGCTGAGGCAGGGGAATCCCTTAAACCCGGGAGGTGGAGGTTGCATGAGCCGAGATCGTGCCATTGCATTCTGGCCTGGCGACCGAGCAAGACTCTGTCTCAAAAAAAAAACAAACAAACAACAACAAAAAATTAGCTTAGTATGGTGGCGGGTGCCTGTAATCCCAGCATCCCAGCTACTTGGGAGGCTGAGGAAGGAGAATCACTTGAACCCGGGAGGCAGAGGTTGTAGTGAGCCGAGATCACGCCACTGCACTCCAGCCTGGGGGTCAGAGAGAGACTGTCTTAAAAAAAAAAGAAAAAGAAAAAGAAAACACAGAAAGCTCTTCAAGACAGCCAAACTAAAATCACACAGAGAAACCATTCTTCATTTTTTAAATTGGCAAAGACCAAAACAATCTGATAACATCTTGTGCTGGTAAAAGGTAAAGGGAACAGTATCACCTAGACATTAGTGGGAGAGCAAGGGAAGGACACCATTAATCTGTCAAATGCTTGAACCCTTTGACTAGCATGTGGATATGTGGAGCCCACAGTGTGAGAAAGAATGTCTGCTTAAAGTTATTCGTTGCAGTGGTGTTTAGGGTAGCACAAGTTTGGATAGTTAGGTCCCCAACAGGGAACTGGTTAAATAAATTATGCTTTATCTGTACAATGGAAATAAGGGAGTTCTTTACATGATGATAGGGAACTATCTATAAGCTATATTAAAGTAAAAGGCAAGGTGTCTAGACATTAAAGAACAAATTGATAAATTGGACTTCATCAAAATTGAAAATGTTCACTCAGCCAGGCACGGTGTTCATACCTGCAATCCTAACATTTTGGGAGGCGGAGGCAAGAGGATCCCTTGAGGCCAGGAGTTTGAGACCAGCCTGGCCAACACAGGAAGACCCTGTCTCTACAAAAAAATTTTAAAAATTAGCCAAGAGTGATGGCATGCCCCTGTAGTCTCAGCTACTTGGGAGGCTGAGGCAGGAGGATCACTTGAGCCCAGGAGGTCTAGGCTGCAGTGAGCTGTGGTCGTACCAATGCACTGCAGCCTGGTGACAGAGCAAGACCCTGTCTCAAGAAAATAAAAATGTTCACTATGTAAAATCTCTGGATGGAAAGACAAGCCCCAGACTGGGAGGAAGTCTTTGCAGATCTGCAAATAATCCGATCTCTGATGAAGGACTTGTATCTAGAATGTATAAGAACACTCTAAACTCAATAGTAAGAAAACAAACACTTCAATTAGAAAACTGGCAAGAAACACATACAGATACTTCACCAAAGAGGATCTGGGGATGGCAAATCCATAAGCACAAGAAAAGAAGTTCAGCATCACGGGTATCAGGGAGACGCAAATTAAAGCTATGGTGAGATATCACTACCACCTATCAAAATGGCTAATATAAAAAACAGGAACAATGACGAGTGCTAGCAAGGACGCAGGGCAGCTGGAGTCCTCATACTTGCTTCTGGGTATGGCCTCTCTGGAAAGTTCGTTATCAAGTTAAACACACACTTACCATATAACCTGGCAATTATTACTTCTGGGTATTTATCCCTGAAAAATGAAGACAGGTTTATGCAAAAACTTTTATATGAACATTTATCACAGCTTTATTTATAACAGCCAAAAGTTGGACACAGCACAAATGTCCTTCAGCAGGTGAGTGAATAAACAAACTGTGGGACACCCATGAAATGGAAGACTGCACAATAATAAAAGGGAATGGACTATTGATAAGCACAGCAACTTGAGTTGATCTTCAGGGCACTATGCTGAGCAAAACATGCCAATCTCAAAAGGTTATATACTATATAATTCCATTTATGTAACATTGTCACAGTGACATAATTATAGTAATGGGGAACAGATCAGTGGTTGCTAGGGATAGGGTTGGGGGAAGGTGCAATTCTACAGTGTTAACATGAGGGCATTTCTTTGCGGTGCTTGGAATAGTTCTACAGCCTGATGGCTACAAAATCTATCTACATGGGAAAGTTTCAGAGAATTATGCACCAGAAAACAAAAACAAACAAAACAATTATTACATGTAAAAACTGGTAACATCCAAATAAGGTCTGACTTAGTAATACTGTACCCATGTCAATTTCCCGGTTTGACAATGTAGCATGATTATGTAAGATGTTAGCACTAGGGGAGCTGGGAGAAGCTGGGTGAAAGGTGCATGGGAACTCTGTACTATTTTTGCAACTTCATGTGGGTCTTAAACTGTTGCAAACTAAAAATTTTTAAAGTAGAAATGGTTTGGGACTGTTTCGCTCAATTTGATTTTTTTTTCTTGCTGTAAAAAATAATAGCAAGGTGAAGAAGGTATGTAGAGAATACCATTTGTGTGAAAGATAAATGCAGGAGTCATCCTGTGTATGATAGAATATCTCTGGAAAGATACAGAAGGAACTGGGAATACTGGAGCCACATGAGATGCAACCGAAAATGCACAAGGATGAGAAAGAAAGCCTGATTTTCCAGTTTTCCTCTGAGAATTTTGACTTTTTTACTGCAGGTGTCTACCACTGTCTTAGTTTGTTCTTGCTGCTATAACAAAATGCCATAGATTGGGTGGTTTTATAAACAAAGAAATTTATTTCTCACAGTTCTGGGGCTGGAAAGTTCAAGGCCAAGGTGCCAGCAGACTTGGTGCCTAGGGAGAGCCTGCTGTCTTATTCATAGATGGTGCCTTCTTGCTGTGTCCTCACATGGTGGGAAGGGCAAGGGAGCTCTCTGGGGCCTCTTGTATAAGGGCACTAATCCCATTCATGAGGGTCCCACCCTCATGACCTCCTCACCTCCCAAAGTTTCCACCTCCCAACACCATCACCTTGGGGATGAGGGTTGCAACACATGGATTTGGCATTCAGACCATAGCAATCTCCATGTAAATTTTTAAATTTAATTGTCTTAAAAACTAAGAGTAGGACCCAAGGCAGTGGGGGAACTGTGGAGCCATCAGTTTGGCTCTGAGATCCTTGAAGGGTCAGCTCAGTAAGGAGAGGGAAAGTAGCCTAGGGACAAGGATTTTATCAGGAAGTCAATATTTTGTTAAGCTCAAGGGAGGCTCTACACACACACACACACACACACACACACACACACACAATTAATGGGGCAGGGAGGGCACTGGGCTGAGGTTGGCCAGGCCTGGGAATTGACGTCTTCTTCACCTGTGTTATAACAACAGCAACAAGGGGTAGGCATCACAGCCTCCACAACCGTGGACACTCACCGCAGGCCAGGCACTCAGCCAAGCACCTCTCAGGGGTTAACTCACGTTATCCTCTCAACAATGTCACTGTACAGAGGAGGAAGCTGAGGCACAGAGAGGCAAAGAGACTTGCCCAAGGCCCTACCTGACTTTGTAGCCCTCTAACACCTCAGGCCTCCTGACCAGCCCCAGGCCCTGGACGCTGAGGTGACAGGACACAGGGGTGGAGCAGCAGGATGGGCGGATGACAAATGTCTTGAGCACTTGCTTGGCCTCGGGCACAGACTCACTCATGGATCCTGCTGGGGAAGGGCAGGCAGACAGCACACAGGGCCACCCAATGGCAAAGATGACTGTCAAAGAGGCAGATGTGAGCAGCCCTGGGCTGGGGCAGGGGAGGCGGGAGTGATCTAGTGAGCTGGGAAAGGCTGGGGCTTAGAGGCAGGTATTCCCGGGTAGACCCCAGCTCCCACCTTGGCAGATGGCTCCTGTCTCTACTTGCCTTCTGATTCCTTCTTTAAAATGAGGAGCATTGCAACACCTGCTCCCGACCCAGGCTGCTGCCAGGCTCCAGGGCTCAGGCAGGGGACAGCAGGAGCTGCAGAAAGCCAGCTGGCTTCAAAACCTGAGAACGGCCCAGACCCCTGTCAGCAGGTGTCAGGGGAACTTGTGACACACCCATGCACGGAATATCATGTAGCTAGGAACAAGAGCAATTACAGTCACACGCAGCGTGGGATCTCCAAGAGTGATGAGCAAAAGAAACCAGGGAAGGAAAAGTACAGACTGGACCACCTCATTTACATGGAGTTTCAACTAGGCAAAACTCACCTATGGTGTTAAAAATCAGGATCGCGGGGACCTCTGGGGAAGAGGCAGAGAGGCTTTGGGGGACGGTGGGCACAGATGTGCTCACTTTCGACAACTCTTCAAGGGGCTGGGAAGTGGTGACCCGAGACAGGGCCTCACTGACCCCCAGTTTCCTCCTCTGGGAAGAAGATTTCACAAATGGCCCTGCCTGTTGAGGGTGTCGCGAGGGTCAGATGATGGCAGGTGACTTGTGGGTGTGGAGATGCCCCATGAGAGGCCACCATGGAAATGGTGGGTCACGAATTTTTGAAGCAGAGGCCTCTGGTGGGAAGAGCTCCCAAGAGAGAGCCCCGTGTCCTCTTCTATCCACTGCCCCTGCCTCCACGGCTGGAGGCCCTGGGCAGCCCTGGTGTGCGTGGGACCTAGGGGCCTCTGCCAGCTGCCCCAGCTTCCCTGGGCCCGGCTCCCAGAACTCTCAACCAGCAAAGCCCATCCAGCCTGAGCTAGGGAAGGATTCAGGGTGGAAATCCAGAGCCGGGGGCTGAGAGGGAGGCATCTCGGGCAGGGTGGCCAAAGGCTGGGGTGGGCAGAAGCCAGTGCAACGGTAGCCTTCCTCCCTCCACTCCTCAAAGCCCCAGCAACACTGCATCTCCACTGTGTTTCCTGGGACAAGCCACGGGGCCTCGCTGATCCTCAGCCTTCTCATCCATCAGGGGTCTGTTGTGGGGGTTAAATGAGATAATCAACTATTGGTGCTGAGTAAACAGCAGCTGCAATTGTCATTTTTACTGCTATCTCATTGTGGGGAAGGCTGTCTAGGGCATAGAGATGGAGAGGCTGTGAGGGTCCAGAAGAAAGCTTAGATTCATACACTACCCTTGTATACACTTTGCAAGTGAGGAATGCAAAACCCAAGGTCAGAGGCAATTAGGCCAGGGAGCCAGGGGGGCCCCCCAAGGCCCAGCCTCCTCAGTCCCTGTACTGACATTCTCACGTGGACTGCTTCCCACATGGCCACTCTGGAAGATGTACAGAAGGCAGAGAGGCTGCGGGCCAGCCTGGAGGCGGGTGGGAGATTCCCTGGGAGAGTGCATGCGCACACACACATGCACACACACTCGCCACGGTGGGAATCCCACGTTAGTCATTCTGTTTTAGGACTGGGAGCGTAATATGGAGCCGGCTTGCGCTGGAAGAGTGGGAGACGCAGATGCACCCTCTAGAACTGCCAGAGGCTTCTGCATGACTCAGAAAACTGGAAGAGGCCCCGCTCACCACTGACTTCAACTCTTCATTTGGAAAATCTGTTCTTTTTACTTATGAAATATTTCAGACATATAGAAAAGTACAGAAAGTAATGTAACAAACACCTGTGGATTTCTCACTTGGCTCCAGTTCTTTATTTTAATTAATTCATTTTATTATTTTTTTTTAGAGACAGGGTCTCGCTCTGTTGCCCAGGATGGAGTGCAGTGGTGTAATTACAATTTGCTCCAGGTTCAAGCTCCTGGGCTCAAGCGATCCTTCTGCCTCAGTCTCTCAAGTAGCTGGGATGTCAAGTGCATGCCATCATACCTGGCTAGTTTATTTTTAATTTTTAGACGCAGGGTCTCATTATGTTGCCCAGGCTAGTCTCCAACTGGCCTCAAGCAATCCTCCTGCCTTGGCCTCCTGAGTCCCTGGGATTACAGATGTCTGCTACCACAACTAGCTCCAGCTCCAGTTCTAACAGGTTGCTGGTCCTGCTCCTCCTCCTTCACTGATCATTTTCGGGATATAGTCAGAGCCCTCAGGCAGCCCTCTCTGATTGCATTTCTGTCTTTGTCTCCCTCCCGAGGGAATTAACTCCTTGCATCTGGAGTTTACCTTCCCATATTTGTTTTCACACATACATCTGTATCTATAAACATTGGTTTTGTTTGCTCTCAAACTTAATGGGACTATGCTGGATGAGTCACCCTTCAGCTTATCGTTTTGACTCAACATCACGTTATGGAGGCTCCTGCACACGGCTGCACAGAGCGTGAATCCATTCATCTGCAGTCTGTACATAAGCCACGATGCATGAAGCCCTTCTCCCGAGGATGGACTCCTAGGCCGTCTCCAGTTGTTTGCCCTCAAGTCAGCTGAACTTGTCTTCCAGAGCACTTGTGCAGAGTTAACCTCAGAGTGCAATGGCTGGGTCACAGGGTCAGGGCGTCTTGCGCTTCCCTTGATGATGCCCAACTGCTTTCCAAGGTGGGGATGCCACTTCACACCCCCACAGCTGCATAGACATCACAGCATTCCACACTGTGAGCAGACCAAACCCTCCCTTCTTAAGTGTGTAGGCTGAGATTGTGGGGAGGCAAGGGGTCCAAGATACCAGAGTCAGGGGCAAAAGGAGCCAGTACTGGAGCCCAGGTCTACGGATGTTGCAGTTATCTATTGCTGTGTGACAAACAACCCCCATGCTTAGTAGTTTGATTTTGCTCATGAATCCACAGTTCAGGCAGGGCTTAGAGGGGAAGGCTCATCTCTGCTCTGTGTGGTGTCAGCTGTGACAGGTTGGCGGGGGGGACCATTTCCAAGATGGTGCACTCATGGCGAGTTGGGGCTGGCTATGAGGGGGAGCTCAGGGGAGGATAAGGGTGGGATGAGGGTCTTGGTTTCATTCCACTCAGCCTCCTTACGGGCTGCTTGGGCTTCCTCAGGGCCTGTCTGGGTTCTGAGAACCAGTATCCCAAAGCTGTCATAGTGGCTCTTCTGCCATACTCCATTGGTCAAGCAGCCACAGGCTGCAGATTCCAGGGGAAGGAGGGGCTAGGTTGCACCCTGCCTCCTGATGGAAGGAACATCAAAGAATTTGGGGGTCATGTGTGAAAACTGACGCACCTGACTTCTGCAACATGCCTTCAATAATGTAAGGTTCCAGATGCTCCGACAGGCAGAAGGTGAATGAGTAGCAGTGTCCGCTAAGGACCACCCTTGTCATGCATGACTCCAAGCACCCAGAAGCATGCAGACCAACAAGGACCTAAAGCAGAGCCTCCCAGAGTCCTGGGCTCCAGTGATAAATCTGTTGATATGCTTTATTTGCCTGGAAGGAGAGGTTTTTATGTAAAAATAACTATCGGCTGTATCAGTCTATTCTTGAATTGCTATAAAGAAATACTTGAGACTGGGTAATTATAAAGAAAATGGGTTTATTTGGCTCATGGTTCCACAGGCTGTACAGGAAGCACAGCAGCATCTGCTTCTTGGGGGGCCTCAGGAAGCTTCCAATCATGGCGGAAGGCGAAGGGGGAACAAGGCACTTCACATGGCCAGAGTGCGAGGAAGAGAGAGGGGAGGTGCCACACACTTTTAAACAATCAGATCTCGTGAGAACTCTATCACAAAAACAGCACCAAATGGGGAAGTCCGCCCCATGATCCAATCACCTCCCACCAGGCATCACCTCCAACACTGGGGATTATAATTCAACATGAGATTTGGATGGGGACACAGAGCCAAACCATATCGTCAGTGTTTCAAAACTGGTAGAAGATTTGGCAACACTGAACTGTCATTTCCAGACGGCCCTGCTGGCCAAAATAAGGAGCGACCACCGGATAAATCCTCTGGTTTACTGCAGTCCCCGACATCCTGAACTGGCCGCTATGGGCCCTCAGGTTGGCAAACCCTAGGTCACGAATTCTAAGACATTAGAAAGACATTGGGGAATAATCATTCCCCAGTGGTTATTAGTGAACACAGTTCAGCGAGTACAGCTGGCAGACAAATGCATGGTGCTGATACGAAGTCCTCAGAAGATGTTCAGCTCTCTAGGAAGAACAATCCCAGAAGGCTTTCCAGAGGAGGTGACATCTCAGTAGTCTTGAAAAATGAGAAGGATTTGGGAGGCCAAGGCAGGAGGATCACTTGAGCTGAGGAGTTTGAGACCAGCCTGTGCAACATTGAGACAGCATCTATACAAAAAAATTCAAAAATTTGCTGGATGTGGTGGTGTGTTCCTATAGTCTCAGCTCTTGGGGGAGGGGACTGAGGTAGTGTTACAGTAGGTAGCTAGTCAGACATGAGCAGGGCAGGAGAGGGCCCTGCCTCCGGATCAGGAATGTGAGGTGACCATCAGGTGACGGTCAGGCGGTTGTTAACTGTCCCTCTAAAATAATGATAATTGGTTACAGCCAGTGCTGGGAAAGCCGGTCTCCCAATAGATAGAAACACCTGAAGCTGGTGATCAGCCGCTTCCTGATAAGATCTCAGGAGTTGGGTGAGTGGGCTCAAGCATGTGCATTAAGAGGCAAAACGGTGGGGTTTAATTGGTATATGAACTTCCTCTAGGAATGCTAGACTGGTAAGAGAAGAATACCTCCAGTGAGCACGTGCACAACTCCAGTAAACACACTGTGCTGGCCGGCCACTGTGCATGTGGACAGCCACCCAAAGGGAAGAATCAGGGGAGAAGGGACACGACCCCCTGGAAGCACTCCAATGTATAAAACCCCAAGTCAAAGGTCAAACCATACACTTGCACCTCTCAAGTCTCCTGCCTGGCCCTCTTTTTGAGTGTACTTTACTTCCTTTCGTTCCTGCTCTAAAACTTTCTAATAAACTTTCACTCCTGCTCTAAAACTTTCTAATAAACTTTCACTCCTGCTCTAAAACTTTCCTCAGTCTCTCACTCTGCCTTATGCACTTTGGTCAGACTCTTTCTTCTGAGGAGGCAAGAACTGAGTTTGCTGCAGACCTGTGTGGATTCACCACCACTAACTGTGGGAGGATCACCTGAGCCCAGGAGGGCAAGGCTGCAGTGAGCCATGATTGCAGCACTGCACTCCAGCCTGGGTGACAGTGTGACCCTGTCTCAAAAGAAAAGAAAGAAAGATGGGAAGGAGTTGTAAATATTCAGGCCTCCAGAAGCTAATGAGTTTGGTCTCTAGTTGGACATCTGAACTTTGAGATCAGAAAAGAAGCAGAAGCAAGTTTCCTCTGGATATCTCTCCCTGCAATCCCAAATCCAATCTCTGCAATCCCTGGTGGAAATAAAAAGCAAAAATGGAGGCACTAGTAGGTGATGATTTGAAAAACATCCAAAGATGCCATGATATTTTCCTCATTGCTGGCCATCCTGCCTCAAATGTCACCATCAGCACCACCATGTAGATTGCAACATTCCGTAGAAAGCACTTATTACTTGAGGGGGAGGTCATTTCTTCACATAAATCACTCATTTGCCCATCAGTCTGAGGCAGTGTGGATTCATTAAGCTGTCAGATTAGCTAGCATAGAGGAGTGCCAGGAAGGAGATGGGGGAGTGAGTGTTGCTAAAGAGAAGACAGCTGTCCTGGGTGATGCTCTCTGCTGGGAGCAGAGCCCAGAGTGGGAGCCCTGAGCACACTGGGGTGAAGGGTCAGACAGGAGGCAGGAGGAAGAAGGTGAGAGCCTCAGGGGCCACCATTCTGCAGGACCTCAATCTCTCTTTTCCAACTGTAATTTCCTCTTCCACCTGACCTTAGTGTGGACTTCTTCACACTAAAGTTCTGGAAGTCTAGGATTCCATAAGTCTAATCTTCCAAAATACTATGATCCCAAGCTGTTATGGATTCTCAGAGTTGCAAGATCATTTTCTTAAGTACGGAGATAAAGATGATAAAGTATTGATTAAGATGGCGTTATCTTTGAAAATGCCAGCAAAGATACTGTGGTTCTAAGGTTCTCCTTCTAGGTGTGATGTTCTCCAGGGTCTAAGTTTTAAAATTCAGTCCTTCTAAGATTTTATGAAGCCATCAACATTTCCCATTTAGACTGAGCTGGAAGCCAGCAATCTGCAGTGAATCCAGTGATTTCTCTATGTTCTATCCGTACTGCTATTTTTCTTTACATTTAACATTTAAATTTAATTTAAAGTTTTTCTTTGGACTTAATCTCATTCTAAATAATAATAGTACATGAAACTGTGGGTTTGAAGGACAAATTCTATTTTTCTAAAAACCGACCAAATAAGCTCTGGTAACGTAGCTCCTGGCACCTCGAACCATCTCAGGCACCACAGGCAACTGGGATACCACATTTCAGAAGCCATTGCCAAAAACGCCAGTCCCTCAACCCCCAACCTATTTCTGCAGGGGAGAGCAAAGCCATCCGTTTACAAATGGGCCGCAGGTCACACCTAGGGCAGGAATTCTTTGGGCACTGAGAATGGGAGGTCCACCCATGGGTCTCCAGGGAAGGTCTTGCCCTGCTGGGTGGAGGTCGGAGTCTGGAGGTCAGGCGTCCTGCTAAGTGGAGTCTCTTGTGGACTGGAGCCAGCGGGGACCCTATGCAACACCGCCATCTAGTGGCCAGAGTGCAAGGCACCGAGGGCAGGAACTTGGAGACAAGTTTGCAGGTCCTGAAATTGGGAAAGCTGGAGAAAAGATAAAGGGACTAATGATTGAGAAACAAATAATTCGATAAAAATAAAATAAATTGTAATATGGAATCTAATCAAGTCCTAAATGGGCACTACAGAAACAACTTATGTGTCCACCATGGGGACTTGGTTAAAGAAATTATGGGATATCATCTTCGGGAATAGTGTGCAGGCATTGTCATAAGTGCCATGAGTGCCATGCTGACATGGAAAGATGCTCAGTTGAGTGGGGAAGAGAGCAGGAATCAGAGTGTCACCATGCAACTTATGCAAAATGTAAGTATAGATCCATTTCGGGCTCACATCTAGAGAGAATGTCCCCAACTCACCATCTTTCCCATGGCAGTAAATGCACCCCATTTACATGGCTGCTCAAGCCAGAAACCTAGAAATCACTCAGCCTCATGTCCCCCACCCTGACTGTTACACCAGCGCATCGCCAAGTCAGTTCTGTCTCTGAAGCCCACCGGCTTGTAATCCTCTCCACGACCACCACCTCTGGCCGGACCAGCATCATGTCTGGCCTGGATGACTGCAGGGGCCTCCAACCTTGCCCTTCTGCATTTTCCAGTACACAGCCCGGAGAATGGCCCCAGCGCCAGCTGGATCATGTTGCTTCCCTGCTTAAACTCCTCCTGCAGTTTCCTGCCTCACTAGAGTAAAAGCACCCTCAAGCCAACCTTGTTCCATACCCTTGACCCCTTCTCTCTCTGCTCCTGCTCACTGGGCTCCTTCAGGTCCTCAAATCTTTTGAGTTCTTTCCCATCCTGGTCTTTCCACCCACTGCTGGTTCCCGGCCCTGAGACAATCCTGGCCCTGCCCCATCCCTGCCAATTTCTACTCAAACCTGGGCACAATGCCGCCTCCTCAGAGCAGGCTCTGTGGGTGATATAGGATTTCACTTTTGTATCTTCTGATTTGTTTGGGAAATAAGTATTATTTTGCTATGATCAAAAAAATCAGATAATGTTCATTTTAAAATAAAATCAAATGTCTAGACCATTGGCACATGGTGAGTTCAGAGCAGGGGGAGGCTCAAAGGCTAGGGAAGGCTTCCTAAGGGAGGGGGAGCTTGAAGAAAAGGAAGCATTGAGCCCAGGAAGGCAAACAGAATTCCAGAAAGGGAAACTTGAACAAAGGCATAGAGGTGGCAGGGCAGCTAGAAGAGGTGGCACCTACTGATTTTGCTTGTTTAAAACCCTTAATTCTGGTTGTAACACCCATTTTTTTTCCTCTGAGGATGCACATTTCCCACATCCTCAGATCATGTGTTTCTAGTGAGGCTGATTCTCATGATATGGGTGTGTGAATTCAGCTGGGCCAATGAGAGCCTTTCCTGAGATTGTTGCTGCACCTATTGAAAAAAGTGTTGTCTTTCCAACAGAGTTGTCAAGCTGGAAGGATGCAAGCCCAATCTTTGCCACCACAAAGGAAGATAATAAAACCCATACGGGAGAAAACAGAGCCACAGATGGAGACAGTCACATTCCTGGTGACAGTGTTTGAGCACCTGGATCCAGCCCAACCTGAGGCCATTTTCTCCTAGGCTTTTTAGATCTGTGAACCAATAAATCCCCGCTTTAGGAGTTGGGCTAGTTTATCGTGAGTGTCTATCATTTATAACCCAAAAATTCCTAAGTTCCACACTAAGCTGGCTGGAACAGAGGCTTGCTATGGAAGACAGTGAGGGAGGCTGAGCAGACACGGCAGAAACAACAAATGTCATGGCCATTCTTTGGAGGCAAGGCCTTTATCCCAGTGGACTGAGGCATCTAGTGTGGGAATTGGAGAGTCTGAATCTCTGAGCCAAGCCAGAAATCTGAAACAACGATAGGCCCTCTCTCTTGACTGCCCACAAGCCACATTGTGTCTTCATTGACCCAGAAATCCTTTGAAAGGAGACCCAGGGACAGAAATGGCCTGGAGCAGCTCCTGTTCTTGGCTTCTTGGGGCTTTGGAAGGAAACCATCTAAGTCTTCCCAGACCGCACTGGGAAGGCCAAGAATCCACAAGACAACTGACCAGCGGGGAGAGATGGGTGAGGGTGGGGACCATTTGGGGCATTTTCCACTGCTCTTGCCCTGTTTGTTCGTGGTCGGTCTGACTGCTCCTGAGGGCCCTGGTCTCTGGCGGGGGCAGGGAGGGGGTGCTGCGGGGCTGGTGGAGGCAAGGGACACAGGCCTGTAGCTCTAGCCCAGAGTTGGGGCCCTCCTAGGAACTGCAGGATGGTGTGATACATGGAGACACCCCCAGCGCCCTGGAGGGGCAGTAGCTATGTCCTGTGCCCTCCCATCATGCCTAGCACAGTTCCTGCCACAGGGTTATATGCATGGCACTAGTTACCATTCAGAAAACAGATCCCAAGTGCTTGCTGGGAGTGAGTAGAAGAGGAGTTCACAAGGACCGAGGTGCGTGATCACGTCAGTGTCACTGACTTGTGTCTTTGGGGCTGACTTGTGCCTTTAGGGCTGTCTCCCATTCCGGCCCTCCTGTAACCGTCACATCCGGTCTCCACAGGGGCAGGACTCCCTCTGAAACCTCTGGCCTGACACCAGCCACATACCACTTTCCAGCTTTCGAGAGGTGCAGCTGAAGATGTGAATGAAAATCAATACATATGGGCAAAGATTCATTAAAATTCAATACTTATTCATGTTTTTTTTTAACTCTCAGCAAAAGAGGCACAGAGGAGAACTTTCTTAATCTGATAAAGAGTTTCCATCAAAGAAATGTGTGTGCGCGCACGCTCACACACACACACACACACAGCTAACATCATCATTAATGGTAAAATACTGAATGCTTTTCTCCTAAGGATAGGAACAAGAAATGGATGTCCGCCACTATCATTTCTATTCAACATTATACAGCAGAGCCCAGTTGTTTCGATGAGGCAGAAATAAAAATAAAAATAATAAAGTTTGAAATGAAACATACAAACTCATTATTTAAGATGATAATATTGTATATGGAAAAAATCCAAAATCCAATAATAACCTATTAGTATTAATGAGTAAGTTTAGCAAGATTGCTGGATATAATCAACATACAAAAATTAGTTTAGTGTGTATGTGCTGGCAACAATTACCAAATGAAAATTTTGAGGTGCCATTTACAATAATACCAAAATAATCATCAAATACTTATGAGTAAGTCTAATGAAAGAAGCACAAGACCTCTATGACGACACAAAACAGTGTAGAGAAATTAAAGAAGACCTAAATAGAGGACTGTAGCCTGCTTGTTGTTTGACCAGCTTAATATTATTACAATATTAAGTTGCCAGATTGATCTGTATGTTTAATACAAACCCATTCCAGCAGGTATTTACAAGAAAATTGGCATGCTGTTTTCAAAATTTATGTGGAAATTCCAAGGACCTAGAATAGGTAAAGCAATCTCACAAGAGTACGAAGCTGGATGACTTAATGTACTGGATGTCAAGGGTTTTTTCTAAATCCAGAGTAAGAAGGCAGTGTGGCATACTGTGATCCTAGTCAAGTGGACCAATACAACACAGTAGGGAGCCCAGAAACAAACCCACACGTGTTCAATCCCTGGATTCACAAGAAAGATGCACAATTCAGTGAGGAAAGGTGATATTTAATAAATGGTATTAGTTCAATTGGAGAGTCATATGGGGGAAAAATGGGCCTACCTCATATCATACCCCAAAATTAATTCGAGATCCATCATAGACCTAAATTAAAACAAAAAATCTTCTGGAAAATAAAATACAAGAATATCTTCATGACCCTGGGGTAGACAAAAATTTCTTAACCAAACAGGTTGAGAGATGTTTGAAATACATCTATGAAAATAAATACCAATATCCAGAACATACAAAGAACTTTTATAAATTAATAAGAAAAAGACAGGCTAGGCACAGTGGCTCATATCTGTAATCGCAGCACTTTGGGAAGCCGAGGCAGGAGGATCACTTGAGCTCAGGAGCTTGAGGCCAGCCTGGGCAACACAGCGAGACCATGTCTCTACTAAAATTAAAAAAAAAAAAAAATAGCTGGGTGTGGTAGGGGCACCTGTGCTCCCAGCTACTTGTGAGGGTGAGTTGGGAGGATTGCTTGAGCCCTGGAGATCCAGACTGCAGTGAGCCGTGATCACGTGACTGCACTTCAGCCTGGGTGCCAGAGCAAGACCCTGTCTCAAAAAGAAAAAGAGAAAGAAAAAGACAGACATCCCAGTTTTTAAAGTGGGCAAAAAGCTGTGAACAGAGACTGCACCAAAAAGCACATCTAAATAGCCAATTATCATATAAGCATTATTAACATCTTGGAAATGCAGATTAAAGTCACAGGAAGATGCCATCACACTCCTCACTAAAATGGCTAGCAGGTGTGGTGCACTGGCAGCTATACTGCTGTCAGCAGGTGGCCTGCAGCTGTCGGCTCCTCCAAGGTCTACCTCTGCTAGGAGAGCCACCCCGCCCTAGGTCATGGCCCTCCTGGGGCAGCCCAGATCAGGCGGCAGAGTGCAGCAGGGCTTAGAGGTCAGCCTTTTGTTTCCACTGGATGTGGGTCACGCTGCTGGGCAGAACTCACGCCAGCCAGCTCCCTGCTAGGTTAACTGGGGCTTTGTCTAGCCTGAGTCACAGCTCAGCTCTTCTCTCTGCCCCAACTTGTTCCTTCCTTTTCTCTTCACAGGTGTGGATCCCCAATAACTGTCTCCAGATCCAAACTCCATGGCCAAATCTGCTCCCAGAGAAACCAGCCTGCACAGTGAGGATGTGGGTATGGAGCAACTGGAACCCTCAACTATTGCTGTTTGGATCATCACTTAACACCACTTCAGAAAACTTTTGGCAGCATTATATTATATATTAGTATTCTAATGCTAAACTCAGTCTACATAGACCCTAAGACCTAGCACATTCTCTTCTAGGTAGATGCCCAACTGAAATCAGTGCTTATGTCCTCAGAAGCCCTGTTCACAGAAGCTTGATGCGTAATAGCCACAACTGGCAACAGACCAAATGTCCATCATCAGGAGAATGGATAGACACGTGGGGGGCAGTTCAATGCAATGCTAACAGCACATCAAAAGGAAAAAGGCTGCTGCTACACACAACATGGATTCAACACACAGGCTTTGTGTTCAACAGAGGAAACCAGGCACAGAAGAGTGCACATATCCTGTGTGTATATACACAGTACACACAACTTGTGTGGCTCCATTTACATGGTGACCAAACCTAGGCACAACTAATCTGTAATGATAGAAGTCTGGAGAATGGAGAAATTGAGGCTGGAGGGAGCTTGCTGGGGAGCTGCAAGTGTCCAATATATTGATTGACCCTGGGGGTGGTTGTATGCTTATATACACAGGCAAAAGTTAATCAAACCCCACCCTTAAGATGCACGCACTTTGCTGAATGTTACACTTGATAAAAAAAAACTAAGTTAAGAAATAGAAGTTCCAAGCCTTCACAGTGACCCACATTTACTGAGAACTTACTGTGTTTCAGGGCCAGTCATTTCATGCAGCAGATCACTCCATGCACACACACACACACACACACACACACACCCCAACAAATACATAAATACATCCTCAACACACACACACCCCAACACGTATATACTCCAATACATACACATCCTAATACACACACCCCAACACACACATATGCCCTCAACACACACCCCAACACACATACCCTCAAAACACATACACTCCCTAACACACACATACTCCAACACACACACACCCCAACACACACACACCCCAATACATACACACCCCAACACACGCACTCCAACACACACACCCCAATACACATATACCCCAACACACACCCCAATGCACACTCCAACACACATCCCAACACACACATTCCAACACACACCCCAATGCACACACACCCAACACACACACATCCCAACAAAAACATACTCCAACACATACATGCCCCAATACATACACACCCCAACACACACACACACAGCAACACGCGCATACTTCAACACGCACATACTCCAACACACACACCCCAATACACACACACATCAATACACACATACTCCAACACACACATACTCCAACACACACACCTTAATACACATATGCCCCAACACACACACCCCAACACAAACATCCCAAAACACACATTCTGACACACACATACTCCAACATAGCCCAATACCCACACACCCCAACACACACACAATCCCCCCACGGACACCAACACCCACATACTCCAACACACACATACTTCAACACACATACCCCAACACACGCCTTAAAACACATACCCCCAACACACACACAACCCAACACACACAGTTCAATACACACACAGACCAATGCACTCATACACAGACACACACACACACACACACACACAGTCTCACACATCCCCAGCTTCAAGGCACAGCTTAAAGCTAAGCCTGGGGAGAAATAAGAACCGTAGGTGCAGTTACGTGGTCTAAACTCTGGGATCCAGGCGTCTTGTCCTTAAAGTGGAAGTGATACTGCTCCCCACCTCCCAGAGATATTAGGGACACAAGACATTAGGCACATTCCAACACACACCCCAATACACACACACACAACACACACACACCCCAACAAACACATACTCCAACACATATACGCCCCAATACATACACACCCCAACACACACACACAAGATATTAGGGACACAAGACATTAGGCACAGGCTCTCAGAATGTAAGGACTGGCCATTGCAGGCCCTGCTGAGGGAGGACAGGCCCGAGGAACACAGGGTGTTGTGGGGAACACAGGCAAGGAAATTACACTCGTGGGACCTGGGAGGGTTGGGGCGGATATTGGTATAAATCTTTGCATCACTTATTTCAGTTTGCAAATCCCACAAGTACCAGTTCCTTCTGCAGCCTGGGAGGGCTGATTACACTAACTCCACCTACAGAGAAACCAAGGCTTACATTGTTGGGGGCCAGGAGAGCGATGAACGATTGCATATCAGTGCTTGTCCTTGGTTTTTGAAACACAAGGAAAATTGTGATTTCTTTCAGAGGACTGGCAGGTTTGGAGCTCACAGGAGCCATGGATCACTAAGTGGGAAGAGGTACAGCCAGGCGAGGAACCTGAGGCACAGAGATGGCAAGTGGGTGGCCCCAGGTCACACAGCAACTTAGTGGTGGGGCCAGAATCTGCTCAAAAATAAGATTTTAATTCTACACCCAAGATCGGCTGTTGATACAACATGGAATAAAAGTGATGTGGGAGAAGTGAAAAGTATCTCTGCTTTCTCCCCAGTTCCTCAAAGACAAGTCTCCCTGTTGACTAAAACACCCATGCAGCTCCCATTAGAACAGAGACCCTGTCAGCCTCCTGTCTTGCTGGAAGGCTATTGAAGATGCAGATGGGAACCACATGCAAGACATCCTCCAGCCACACTCACAGCATTCCAGCCAGAGGGAATGGAAGAGAACTCAGACCTCCTTAGTGTCACCCTTGGGACACAGGCAAAGACATTCCCAAAGATCTAAGGCCTCAGACCAGGCCATCTGAGAACAAAAAGATGGAAAGTCCCAGATCTCAGGGCTGGGCCGTCAGGCAGAAAACAGCCCACAGTCGGTAAGCACACTGTAGACTCCAGAAAGCCCAGTCATCCCGGACACAAAACTGAGGCATGCCTAGCATGCGCTTAGGGCTGCCTTCAGACAAAACTCTCTTGGCAGTGGATGAGAGAAGTCCTAGCAGAAGCTGGACCTCGTGCCATCCCTCAAATTTCAAACTGGGCCGCTTATGTGGTGATTGGTAGTTAATCCACTCAGCTGGGACCCTGGGCCTTCTGGCTGTCTGGAAGGCAGGCAGAGGAGGATTTGGGTTCTGGCTACTCAGCCAAAGTCCAGTGACCACTGGAAAATTGTGCAACAGACATACCACGCCTGCCCAGGTCTTTCCAGCATACCGGCCCCAAGGCCTTCCCACAGCCTTGCTTGACTCACCCTGCACCTCTTGGCTGAGTGAGCCCCACCTTCTAATGCCTCCAGTTCTACTGTGCGACCAATCTTCCCATTTAGGGCCCACCCTACTTCGCCCAGCACAGAAGATGCCTCCACTGTTTTCCAACCTGGACATCTTGCTCCCACCCTACCCCCTCTGTTGCCCCCACCAGTTTCTCCCCAGTCCCACAACCAGGACCTAGCAGGGAGGCCCAGGGGCTGGGGCCATTGTCCCAAGCACATCTGAAGGGTATGAGCACCTTGTAACGCCCTTGAATGCTTCCTGGTAGAGATGATGAAGTAACTGCTCAACTCAGCTATCTGACCTTCACCCACTGGGGTCAGCTGTGGAAGATTAGAGGATGCAAGTGGGTGGCAGCGTCTTCCTACCCTCCAGACACTCCTAGTTCTTGAGGTGAGGCTGACACACAAGAAAGGAATGACCACCCAGCACCGGGGACACATTTCAGGCTGCACGAGAAAGAGGGCCTCCCTCAAGTCCGCACAAGGTAATCGGGTCTTCATTGGAAGCAAGTACAGCTCAGGGTCGTGGAGATTCAGGGACAGGCTTGGAACCCAGGTGGCCTTATAGGATATGGAAGTCAGGGCTGAAAACAAACTGAGTAAAATGCAAAACAGCTGCCTCGCTGGGGCCACACATGGCAATCGGCCTCTCTCTGTCTCTTTCCCTAGCTCTCTCTGTGTCTACCTCTCTCAGTCTCTTCCTTCGTCTGTCACTCTTGGGCTCTCTGCCCTCCTCTTCGTCTCTCTCTTAGCCTTCCTTTATCTCTCTCTTTCCCCTTTTCCTCCTCTCTTCTTTCTTCTCTCTTTCTGCTTCACCTTCTTGCCACCGACTGGCTTCCTCTGCTTTCATTCTGCTTCTGCTCCCCATGACTGTACCTGGCCAGTGTCCAGTGCCCAGGTCTGTGAATTCCTGTCCTGGCCCCTCTGGCCACAGCACACTGCCCCCAAAGGAGCCCACAGAAGTGAGGCTGCAGAGTAGCTGCACTCTACCCCAGAACCCTAAAGGCAAGAGAATTAGAAGAAGCTCAGAGAGGATCTAGTCCAGCTAAAAAACAATTAAGATGTAATTTATATACAGTAAACTGCATACATCTTAAATGTGCAGGTTGATGGCTTCTACATGTCTACATGCACATAATGCCACTCACATCAAGACCTGCCACATCTCCAGCTCCTCTGAAAGTTCTTCTCCCTATCCAGTCAATTCCTACCTTCCCAGAGGCAGCAACTGGTCTGAATCTTTTCACCATGTTTTTTTTTTTGTTTTGTTTTGTTTTTTGAGATGGAGTCTCGCTCTGTTGCCCAGGCTGGAGTGGAGTGGCCCAATCTCGGCTCACTGCAAGCTCCGCCTCCCGGGTTCACGCCATTCTCCTGCCTCAGCCTCCCGAGTAGCTGGGACTACAGGCACCCGCCACCATACCTGGCTCATTTTTTGTATTTTTAGTAGAGATGGGGTTTCACCATGTTAGCCAGGATGGTCTCGATCTCCTGACCTCGTGATCCGCCCACCTCGGCCTCCCAAAGTACTGGGATTACAGGCGTGAGCCACTGCGCCCGGCCTGTTTTCACCATGTTCTAAAACTCCTTTTGCAACATTCTGACAGTAAGAGAAATCTGACATAATTGACTCCATCTTGCTTCTAACCTCCAAGCTGTCCTTGGTCAATTATGGTGTGGACCAAGCTAACCTTGGGAGGAATTTATAGTTTGACCTATAGCAAGGATGATGATAACCTATCCCAAAATTAAATTGCCTTTGTAAAACTAATGAAAGACCACAAGGTTAGGGCTGTGAGGGGGGCCTGAATTCTGCTAAGATGTATGTGTAGTTAAATGTAACCAGCCATTGTCCCAGAGGTCACAAGATTTGGAACGTCCCCTCTTACTCCTGTAGATAACATCACTATTGCAGAGCCTAAGATTGACCTTTTGGGATGTCTTTTCAGACTCTTGCATTTCTCATAACTGGCTGACTCCACCCAGACCTGTGATTCATCCAGTTCTGTGGCCCCCACCCAGAGGCAGACTCAGCACCTGAAGACCGTCTTCCATACTCTTGTGATTTCATCCCCAACCAATCAACATTCCCCATTCCTTAGACCCCTCCACACCAAACTATCCTTGAAAAACCCTAACCTCTGAGCCTTTGGGGAGACTGATTTGAGTAATAACTCTGTCTCCCGCATGACTGATCTCCTGTCAATGAAATGTCTTTACTGCAATACCATTATCTCAGTAAATGGATTTTGTCTGTGCAGTGGGCAAGAAGAACCTGTTGGGTGATTACAGATTTGTCCAGTGCTGTCCAAGGGAGAGAATATAGTCATGGGTTCTTAGTTTCTCTTTCTGGTTGGGCCAGTAAATCCCCTTCCTCATCCCTCTTTTCCGCTTATCACTAGAGACAGAGGTGAAAATCCATGGCTTCAGACTGCTAAAAGCCTAAAACAAAACAAAACAAAACAAAACAGAGCAGCAACAACAGCAAAAACAACAACAAAATAAGGTGGACTGGACCAGCTTAAGCTCATAGACCTTATTTAAGTGGACTCACACTGGATGCAGGCCTCTGACTCGGGCGCATTATGCTCAGCGTGGTGTATTGTTGTGTGTATCTGCAGTGTCTTAGTCTGCTTGGGCTGTCATAACAAACACCACTGGCTGGGGGGCTTAGATGACAGAAATTCATTTTCTCACAGCTCCAGAGGCTGAAGTCCATGATCAAGGTGCCAGCCAATTTGGTTTGATGAGGGCTCTTTTCTTGACTTGCAGACAGCCACCTTTCTTGCTATGTCTTCATGCAGCCTCCTCTCAGTGTGTACATGGAGTGAGGGAGAGGGGGTGAGGAGAGGGAGGGGGAGGAGAGAGGAGGAGGAGGGTGCTTTCTGGTGTTTCCTCCATAAGGACACCAATCCTACTGAATTAAAGCTTCACTTAACCTTAATTATGACCTCAGTTAACCTTAATTACTTCCTTAGAGGCCTCATCTCCAAATATAGACATACTGGGGTTAGGGCTTCAGCATACACATTCTGGAGGGTCAGAAACATTCTGTCCATAACAAGCAATTTGTTCCCTTCATGGTTGAGTTGCAGAGTAGTATTCCATTACATGGATTTGTTGTATGAATATATCTCAACTGGTTTGTTCACCACCTGTTGAAGGACATGAAGTTTGTTTCCAGTTTGGGGCTATTTATTATGAATGAGGAGAACATTTGTATAACAGTCTTTGTGTGGATCTGGATTAACCAACAAAGGGAATAACCTGGAGCACACGAATGAAAACTCCACTGGTGGTGAAGTCTTCAGGAATGGCTCCATCCAGAGGCTCCAGACCGCACTCCATTTCTCTACTATGCTTTCAGCTATATCTTTGTGTATGCGTGAGGCTGACCTTTCCATCCCTTCTTACAGCTCAGTGTTTCTCTTTTGCTTACTCAATCAGCAAACATTTATGGAGCCAGCTCCATGCCAAGCACTGCACTATGAGTGGGAAACAATGGGTGAGTAAGCTCTGTCCTTGCCCTCTTGGAGCATATGGTCTAGTGAGAGACACGGACAGATGGACACATAAGCCCACAAGTGCTATATACAAGCCCACACCTCCAAGTGAGAAGAAGGATTCTGTAAGATGAAAGTCCAGCTACTCGGGAGGCTGAGGCAGGAGAATGGTGTGAACCCGGGAAGGGGAGCTTGCAGTGGGCCGAGAACACGCCACTGCACTCCAGCCTGGGCAACAGAATAAGACTCCATCTCAAAAAAAAAAAAAAAAAAAGATGAAAGGGAGAGATGTCAGTGACTCTCCTCTCTGGGGACAATGGGGTCAGGCCACAGAGTCTTTTGTTGCTTTCAGCTCTGTGTTTTTCTCTGTTGCATCCGTCTTCCTGTAGCGGCCCCAATGAAGTCTCCTAGATGTCAGATGTCCACACAGAGCCTATTTGTTTGCTTCTGATCACAGACTTGTTTGCAAAGCAAGGCTTGTGAAAGCATTTCCAGTCCAACTAGATGATTAAAACCCTGCAGGAGAATTTCATGTCCTTGGGGCTGGGGAACTCAATGTTCCACATTGGTGTTTCTCTCTCCTTAAGGACCTTCCATGCAGCTGCTGGGGCTGGTGGGATGGATTATTTATTGGCCTGATTAAATGTGTCCTTAAGCTATAAAACTGGTGCCAGAGTCTTGGGCCACACTTCCAGCACGAGACTGATTTGTCTCCTGAGGGAAGAGCTCTAAGAATTGTGGCCTGTCTCTCCTCCCACATGATTTCAGGACTGGGAGATTCTGGATAAGCACGAGTGTTCTGCCCCAAAGGGTTTTTACTCAAGGGAGTCTTCATTTTACAACTATTCCATTTATGCCTGATGCACACCAGGCATTGGGCCAGACTCTGGGCACAGCAACAAGCAGGACAGACTCGGTCTCTCCCCAGAGGAGCTCAGAGCCTGGCGGGGGCAGATACCCATGAAACCATCACTCATGTATTACATACGTAAGTATAAACCATGGTGACTGCCACAAAAGAGGGACACAGGGTTTTTAAGTGACCATATCAGGGGGACTAGACTTAGATGAAGTGTCCAGTGACATCTCAACTATGGAGATCTGAAGGATGAGCACAGGAAGGGAGGGGAGGCAATGGAACAGCACATGCAAAGGCACCAAGGGAAGAGGAATCAGGGCACAGTGAGGAGGTGTGAGGAGGTAAGAGGAACAGCATGGGCTGAGCAGAATGAGAACGGGGAAGAGTGGTTCAAAAGGGTAGAGGGCCAGTCACACCAGGCCCTGTGGAGTCTAGAGTTTATTCTTAGAGCCCTGGGGAGCCATGCAGGTGTGAGCAGAAGGTTGGTGTCCCTGCTCTCCTTGACCACCGCATGAGACCTCCCACAGGCAGGCTCTTCCTCTGACCCTTCCTGCTGCAGGGTCTTTCTAAAGCATCTCTTATCCCACCATTCCCAGCCTTAGAACCTTCCAATAACTCTTTACTGTGGATGCAACGTCAAATCTCCTTAGCGAGGGCTTGAGGTCAGAATAGTTGGTCAAGACTTTGAAGAACAAGCAAGTGACTGGGAGTTTGTTGGAAGTCATTGTTTGCTGTCTTTCTTTTCCTTTGAATAATGTAGTGCTATGCACTCCTTTTGGGCAGAAGTCATGATACAACCTTTTCTTATATTCCCAACAGAGGCCAAAACATGGGCAATATTGTCATCCTCATCATCATTATCATCTTCATCATGGGCTCCATTAATTAGGCCAAGCATTTTATACGCTGTATTGGTTAGCTGTTGCTGTGGAACTTAACAGCCTAAAATAGTGATTTATTATCACAACCATTTATTTTGGTCACAATTCTGTGGGTTGGCAGTACAAGTTGGGTTTGGTGGGGTAGTTCTTCTGGTGTTGACTGGCCTCTCTAACATGTCTGTGGTTAACTGTGGGCCAGCAGGCTGCCCCTGCTTCTGGGGATTGATTGACTGTTGGCTGGGTCAGTGGGGATGACTGATTAATATGTCTTCATCCTTCAGGTGAGATTGGGCCTCTTCATATGGTAGTGGCGAGGTCTCAGCATAAGAAGAGATACCTACTCAAAGTGAGAAGGGATAGTTAGTTGGCCACATCGAGTTACAAGGCCATCCATATTGAAGAAAGTGAAGAAAGAGACTCTGCCGCTTGACAGGAAGCAAGGCAAAAGGACATGGATATGGCAGGTTGTGAAAAATTGGGTCACTTTTGAAAACAATCAATTTCACAGGTATTATCTCATTTCCTCAAAAAGACAAAGTCAAAGCTCAGTTTTACAGGTAAAGCAGCTGAGGCACAGAGAAGAAAAGGAGCTTGCTCAAGGAGCTGCTAATAGAGTTGAGATTCAAACCCCGGTGTTTATCACTCTACAGACAACACGTTATTAACCCCTGTGAGTTACTGCCCACTCCACTCACAGACAAAGACCTAAGGAGGTCAGCATCCCAGGAGGCCACTGTCTTTGTCATCATTGCCATCATCATCACCATCATCACATTTATTGAATATCTGTGATGTGCAGATGCTATCAGTGCTTTACATGGATTAATTCATTTATTATAATTCACCCAATGTCCCTATAAGATGTACATTAATGATTTTCCCATGTAACGTGGGTCAGGATTAGAAATTTCATGACGACTTCACTCATTTTGATATTCCCTCTATAGCACAATATCTGGCACATAGGTCATACCCTCTTGCCATATGTTTGCTGAATGAATGAGGGCAGAAGTAGGGGAGTGAACAAGACTCAAGGCAAACAATCATTAGCCCAAAGTCACACAAAGCAGGACTAGATCTCAAGATCCCCCATCTCCTTGCCATGTGGCCCCTGGGCAGCCTTGTTACCTGGATCTGCTGCTGCTCCACTCCCCCAAGGTGGCTGAAAATAGAAAACAAGATTCGGGATGTGCTGTTCGGTCTTCCAGCAGGTGCCCCCAAACCAAACATAGTCCCAGAAACGTAAATCTGAGAATGTTTTGAAACTACCTAGCACAGTGGAGAGAGCACTGGGCTCAGAGTCTGAAGACCCATGTGTGCCACCCTTGGTTGATGTGTGATCCTGGATGGGTCACTTGGAGAAGACCAGACTTTCCTCATCAGAAATCCAGGGCTTCAGATTTTACATCCTGTTTACATTCCAGGACTGTGCGGGAGATAAGAGGAGCTCACAGATGCAAACTCTCCGTGAAGCTTGTACTTGACTCAACTCATGGACCTCTCCGGGTTTGCTCAGCTCCACTGGTTGCACCCCCACCAACACCCCCAGCCTCACTTACTTGCTCAGGGGAGCACAGGCCCCACACCAGCTCATCTCCTAATTGCCACGGGCTCCACCTCCCACGGGGCAACGTCTGCACCTAGGCCTGGCCTCTTACCTTCCGTGGAACCACAGCAACTCTGGTGCCCTGGTCCAACCTGACTGGTCATGCAGAGGCTCTGGCTTGTCTCACTGTTTCTAGACCCAGATGAAGCACTCTGCCCTGAGATGTAGCATGTGGCTTCCCCAGCAGCTGTCTGAAGGGGCCACAACACTTTCAGGGGAGTTAAGGCCCGTAGGGTCAATTTGGACCAGTGAAAGACAGATGATGGAAAATCACCAGGAGATGCCTCTTTCTTCCTCTGCTAGTCTTGGCTCTCTGGAGATGTTACATGGCTGAGTGACCTGGTGTGCTTTGCTCTGAAGCTGTGACATGCTCAATCATGCACCACCCTGTGTTTTCTTTCTCTCCTTCCCTGCTTCACTTCCCGTCTTCCCTCAGTCTTCCCCCAGCTCACACCCTGGAATGACACACAGGTACCTGAGCTTCACTGGAGAATCTGTGGGTTAGGTAACCTAGTCGAAGATAAAGAGAAGAATTTGAGAAAGTTGTCAATTTGCAACCACTCAAAAAATCAGAAGAAGACTGTATCTACTGCTGGCAAGGATATGGAGCAACCGGAATGCTCTCGTACGCTGCTGGTGAGAATGTAAAATGGAACAGCCACTTTGGAAAATGGGCAGTTTCTTAAAACATTAAACATACACCTACCATATGGCCCAATCTTTCCACTTCTAGGTATTTATCCAAGAGAGAAAAAAATACATATGTCTACACAAAGACTTGTACGAGAATGTTTATAGCAGCTTTATTTATAATAGCCTCAAACTGGAAACAACTCAAATGTCCCCCAACTGGTGAATATATAGACAAATGGTGGTATATTCATACAATGGAATTTTACTCAGCAATAAAAATGAATAAACTCTGGATACCCACAACATGCGTGAATCTCTAAATAATTATGCTAAGTGAAAAAGGCCAAAGAAAGTACTGTTTGATTCCATTTACATAAAATTCTAGAAGACGCAAACAAATCTATAAAAACAGAAAGTAGGCCAAGGATTGCCTGGGGACGGGGGTGGAGGAGGGGTGGGTTGTAAACAGGAGGGCACGAGGCGACTTTGGGGGCAATGGAAATGCTTGCCATCTTGATTGTGGTGATGGTCTCAACGGACCACCTTCATAAAGATGTGAAAAGGGGGGAAAATCACCAGGCCTATAAGTGAACCCAACCAAATCTTTAGGGAACGATCACTCCGATGCTATTTAAAGCATTTCAGTGCACAGAGAAAGAAGGAAAACTTCCAAATTCCTTTTGTGAAACTAGCATAATTCTGATACAGAAAACCTGGCAAAAGGGGCCCATTAATGAGTGTGCCGCTCTGCGCACACCTGTGGAGTTATTATTGACTCTGTAAATCAGCTACACTGCAGTTGACCTACTTTCACAATTTTTTTCTGTCTTTAGTTTCCAGAAATTTAATTGCATTGTGTGTTCCTGTGGATCTCTTTGGATGCATTCTGTTTGGGGAAAGCAGCAAGCAGGTTTACCAGATGGGATCAAGAGGGAAGAGGAAGGAGGCCAGCCTTGGAGGCTGATCCCAGTGAGAGGGCTTCTCCTAGAGGGGTGCCAGGGCCAGGAGCCTCCAAGACCTGTGCGTGGGCTCACTGATGCCCCTCTCGCCTCTCTCTGCTTGTCCCTCCCACCCTGACCCACCTGCTGCTCTCCACGCCCATGGCTCCCACCTTTGTTTGTATCTCCACTGTCTCTTGCCTTTTCTTTAAAAATCTGACAGTCTCTGAGCCCCCTCTCCCTGCAATCCATCCTCCATGATGCCAGAAATCCAATTATGTAACAGAGCTAGGATCCAGCCACTCCTCTGCTCGCTTCCTGTTAGGGGCTGTGCTGCGTCTCCTTCTCCACCCCAGAAATTTTTATGTTGAAGTCCTAATCCCCAGTATATCAGAGCATGCCCATATCTGGAGATAGGGCCTCTAAAGAGATAGTCAAGTTAAAATGAGGCTGTTAAGGTGGACCCTCATCCAATCTGACTGGAGGTCTTATAAAAGGAGGAGATTGGACACACAGAGACCCCAGGGCTAGGCATATTCAGAGGAGAGACTGTGAAGACACAGTGAGAAGGTGACCACCTGCAAGCCGAGGAGAGAGGCCCTGGGAGAACCCAAACTTGCCAACACCTTGATCTTAGACTTCCGGCCTCCCGAATTGTTAGAAAATAAATGTCTGTTGCTTAAGCCCCCTAGTCTGTGTATTTTGTCATGGAAGCTCTAGCAAACTAATACTGTCCTCATCTCAGACTCTGCTCTCCTGTGGCCCACAGAACAGGTGCAAACTTAGGACTGCACAGCCCAGCACCGCAGCCTCCTTCCCCGCAATGCTCTAGCAACGCTGAAAGGGCTGCACCAAGTTGTTCATGTCTCTGCGTCTCTGCAATGCCACTCCCTCTGCCTGGGGCAGCCTCCCCTCCTTCTTGTCAACAGGCAGAGGCTCTGCTCTGCAGGTCTGACTTGTACATCCACCACCTGCACTCAGCATAGGACCTGGCACTGGGCAGATGCCCCTGAAGGCTTAGAGGGAGGAAACAGAAATGTCAGAGGGGCTGCATTGGTGGACACAGGCAGGCCGGCTTTGTGGTCGTACCACCTGCGACTTACACAGCTTCCAAGTATCTCTTATTTAGGTCAATGTTTTCTTCTTCTTCTTTTTTTTTTTTTCTTGATGCCCAGTAAAGTTCAACTTTATTGTAAATTTTTTGTTTTTTGAGTCGGGGTCTCACTCTGCTGCCCAGGCTGGAGTGCAGTGGTGTAATCATAGCTCACTGCAGCCTGAACTCCTGGGCTCAAGTGATCCTCCTGCCCAAAGTTTTCTTCTTACTTAACCTTGGTTTCTCATTTTTCTACAATGACCATGAACTTTTCATCGTAATAACAAAAAGAAAAAAAAAAGGAGTAATAAAGATAGGACACGTGATGAAAAAAATCACTTTTCAAACACCCAACACATACTGAAAGTACAAATGACATGGTTTTCTTCCATTTTTCATATTATGTTCCTGTCTGCAATCCATAATCATCTCTCTCCAAGTTCAGGAGATCCTCTGAGGCAGGTCCGGTGCTGCTGCGACTCCCCTGAGTAATATGAGCACAGACTTCCCAAGCTCAGATAGGAATCAAATTGTCCTCGGAAGAGACTTGGAGCGGAAGAAGCTGGTGACCTGGAAACACAAAGAAAACCTCAACAAAAGCCTGCTCTCTCACCAAATGGCCAGGAAAAGGCAGCTTAGCAAGAGAGAAAACTTTTAGGCAACCTGTTCTACTCCAGCTAAACACCACACAAATCATACAAAGCAAATGGTGAGTGGGAGCCTAGACGCCCCCACTTGTGAGGCTGTAACAAGGATCCCAGTAGCCTGGCTGGAGCGGTGTCCAAGAAGGCCAAGTAGAGAGCCGAAGGCCTCACCCTCGCTGGCTGGCAATCAGCTCATCCTTCCCCACCCTCATGGAGTCCACCCACATGGAGACTCTGGATTTTCACTCCCACTCAGCAATAATGTGGAGTCTCTCCCTCTCCCCACTCTCCAGTGTGTCCAAGGAGGTCTTGGGAGGGTCAGGACTTTCAGCAGCACCCAGCAGCAATGAGGCCACCTCCATCAAACTGTCAGTGAGACTGCTGGGGAGCAGGAACTCTCTCCCCCAACTTGGCAGTAATAAGAACCCCCACACCTTGGTGTCAGCGGAGGCTGAGTGGGAAACCTGGACTTCTACTTTCACATGTCAGCCACGAGGAGTGCCACACACATGCCCCAGTGAGAACAGTTCAGAGAAAGCTAGCTACAGAGAAGGCTTCCATAAGGCCCCGAGTCTCATCGAAATACAAAAATTTCCAGGTTTTAATAAAAATTCACTTGACATATCAAGAATCAGGAAGATCTCAAATGGAATGAATAAAAGACAACTAATCGATGAAGGTGATGGAGATATTAGAATCATCTGAAAAGGATCTCAAAATAGCCATAATAAAAAGAACAGAAAGAAAGCTATAAAAGGAGGACCTTTGGAACATCAGGAAAAAAGAAAGAATATAACAAAAAAAAAATGGGTAAACCAAACAGGCTTTCCCTTTCCCCCAGATAAGCTTCCCTAAATCATGTTTGATGGATGGAGCAAATATTACAACACCGGCTGCTGTGGTTCCACATGTATGTAGAAGAAAAATTTAAGACAGCTATTAACAGGTGCAGGTAAAGGGACAGAAAGGGAGCTAAGGTTTCTATACTTCACTTAAACTGGTAAAATAATTACATCAGTAGGCTGATAAGTTATGTATACATAATTTAGTACTTAGAGAAACCATCAAAAGTCTATATGAAAAGATACACTCAAATACACTATTGATAAATCAAAACAAAATTACTTTTATTTTTAGAGACAGGGCCTTACTCTGCCACCCAGGCTGGAGTGCAGCAGTGTAATCATGGTTCACTGCATCCTTGGTATCCTGGGCTCAAGTGATCCTCCCACCTCACCCTCCCGAGTAGTTGGGTCTACAGGTACGTACCATGGAACTTGGCTATTTTTTTAAAAGTTTTATATAGAGCCCAAATCTTGCTATGTTGCCCAGGCAGGTCTCTAATTCCTGGGCTCGAGGGATTCTCCCACCTTGGTCTCCCAAAGTGCTGGGATTACAGGCATGAGCCACCATGTCTGTTCCAAAATAGAATTTTAAAAATGCTAGTGTAACCCACAGGAAGGCAGAAGAAAGTAAACAAAGAAATTTAAAACAGAATCTGGGTGCTTATAGTCCTAGCTACTCAGGAGGCTGAGGTGGGAGGATCACTTGAGCCCAGGAGCTCAATGCTGCAGTGAGCTATGATTGCACCACTGTGCTCCAGCCTGGGTGACAGAGTAAAACCCCATCTCATTAACATAATAATTAAAAAAGAATTAAAAAGAAATTAAAAACAGAGAATAAACAGACCATTTAAAAATGACAGACCTAGCTTTATAATATCAATATTTATATTAAATATAAATGGGCCAGCTACACCAATTAACAGACAGAGATTGGCACAGTGGATTAAAAAACATGACCAACTCGGCTGGGCGCGGTGGCTCACACCTGTAATCCCAGCACTTTGGGAGGCCGAGGTGGGCGGATCATGATGTCAGGAGATCGAGACCACTGTGAAACCCCGTCTCTACTAAAAATACAAAAAATTAGCCCGGTGCGGTGGTGGGCACCTGTAGTTCCACCTACTTGGGAGGCTGAGGCAGGAGAATGGCGTGAACCCGGGAGGCGGAGCTTGCAGTGAGCCGAGATTGCACCACTGCACTCCAGCCTGGGCGACAGAGCGAGACTCCGTCTCAAAAACAACAACAACAACAACAAAAACATGACCAACTCTATGATGTCTACAAGAAACTTACTTCAAATATGATAATATAGACTGGTTGAAAGTAAAAGGATGGAAAAAGATACATCATACAAACATTACTTAAATGAAAGGAGGAATGTCTATATTAATAAATGGTAAGGTAGACTTCAAAGGAGAGGAAGTCAGAGACGAGAGGGACATTACATAATGATAAAAAAGATAACCCATCAAGAAGTCATAGCAATCCTAAATGTGTCTACACCAAACAAGGGTTGCAAAATACGTAAAGCAAAAACTGATAGAACTGAAAGGAGAAATAGACAAATCCACAATTATAGTCGAAGACTTTGCACTGCTCTTTCAACAACTGATAGACCAACTGTATGGAAAATCATCAAGGATATAGAAAACTCAACAACACGACCAACTGACAGGATCTAATTGGCATTTATAGACCACTCCACCACTAACAGCTGAGTACGTATTATTTTTAGGTGCCCACAAGACACATATCAAGATAGACCATATCCTAGGCCATGAAAAATGTCACTGAGTTTAAAAGAATTGAAATCAGACACAGTATTTTTTTGAATACAATAGAATCAAACTAGAAATCAATAACAAAAAAAAAAAGTGAAAATTTCCAAACCTGTGGAAAACAAAAAGACATACTTCGAAATAATCAAAGGCAAAGTCTTCAAGGAAACAAAAAATCCATTGAATTGAATGAAAATATACAACATACCAAAATTTATGGGAAACAGCTAACACAGTGCTGAGAAGGAAATTTACAGCACTAAGTGCAAATGTCAGAAAAGAGGAAAAGTCTCAAATCAATCATCTAAGCTCTCATATCAAGAACCTAAAAAAGAAAAGCAAGACAAATCCAAAGCAAACAGAAAAAAGGAAACTATAAAGAGCAGAAATTGATGAAACTAGAAACAGAGAAAATCAATGAAACAAAAAACTGATTCTTCATACAAAATAAATGAAATTTCTAACCCTCTAGCAAAGCTGATAGAGAAAAAAAGAAAAGCCACAAATTACCAACATCAAGAAGGAAACAGAGGATATTCCTACAGACCCTACCCACATCAAAACAATAATAAGGGAATAATATGAACAACTCTATACACATAAATTAGACAACTTAGATGAAATGAAACAACTTCTCGAAATACAAAAACTACCACAACTCACCCAATATGAAATAGATCATTTCAATAGTGCTCCAATATTAAGGAAGTTAAATTTGTAATTTTAAAAAACTGTCAAAAAAGAAATCTCCAAACGTTCAAAGAAGAATTAACATCAATTCTATACAATCTCTTCTAGAAAATAGGAGGGTATTGGCCAGGGTGCAACCACTGAAACAGAACCAGTAAGAGATACATACTAAAGGATTTATTGCAAGGAATGGGCCTACACTACTGTGGAATCTGGCTGGGCACTCTGAAACTGGGCTGTCAGTACAGGCAGTCTGAACCTCTTGGGCACAACATGAAGCTGCAGTCCACAGGCAAAATTTCAGGGAAATTTCACAGGAATTCAGGGAAACTGCAGTTCTGCTTGTAAGATCTTTCAATTGAATTAGGCCCGCCCAGATAACCAAAAATAATCTATTTTAAGACAACTGATTATGAATGTTAATCACATCTACAAAATACCATCACAGCTACACCTAGATTAGTATTTAATTGAATAACTGGGGATGAAAGCCCAGCCAAGCTGTCAGATAAAACTGACCATCACAGTCCACCCTTTGTCAAATTGGCACCCAGATCATCTCCTTAAACCATACATAATTATCCAAATAAACAAGATAGCTAAGTCACACTTCCATCTAACATGATACAAACACCCTGAGTACAACTGAAAACACATTAACCCTTTTCCCAGAGCAGTGTGCAAAGTCCTTGGGTGATGTTCACCCTTCCCTTTGGTAGCCTGTAAATACTGTGATGTAAAGTTAACTATTATTCATACACCTTATGTCATATGATAAGGGCATAAGAAAGGTAAGAAAACAAACATATTTGCTTAACAGATATATACCAACATGTACATAACAAAATAAGGCAGAAATAGTTATAGCTATTACAGTCCTCATTTCTGCAACTGCACATGGTCGTAGCTGGCATTTATAACCACCTTCTTCCACTAACCATTCCATAGTCCCTCTGCCCTCAGCAAGCACCTCAGCTGGTCATGCTTTTTTACCTCGTAGAGTGACCCAAACTTTCATTTTTGAAGGGTGTAGGCCATTAATAGCTCTGCCTGAATTGGGTTGACAGGACATGGTAGTACTAAGAGAAGCCCTAATAGAGCTCTTGTATTTCAGGCATGTTCTTCCTTTCCTTACCAATGGCAATATTTGGCATATCTCTATTGCTATGGCATGCCATGTACTACCAGTGTCCTCTTTGCCAGGGGTCCCCAACCCCTGGGCTGCGGATCGGTACTGGTCCGTGGCCTCTTAGGAACCGGGCCATACAGCAGGAGATGAGGGGCAGGCGAGTGAGCATTACCACCTGATCTCCACCTCCTGTCAAATCAGCAGCAGCATTAGATTCTCACAGTGTGAATCTTATTGTGAACTGCACATGCAAGGGATCTAGGTCGCGTGTTCCTTATGAGAATCTAATGTCTGATTATCTGAGGTGGAACAGTTATATCCCTAAACCATCCCCCAACCCAACCATCTGTGGAAAAATCGTCTTCCATGAGACGGGTCCATGATGCCCAAAATGTTGGAGATGGCTGTTCTTTGCCACTGAAAACAGAGTCATTAGTGTTTTAAAATCTAATCAGATTAGAGAACCAATTCCAGAAGACCTTGAACTGATTTGGAAAACTCTTCCTTAAGATCGCGATCCTCTAGAGTGACTTCTAGTACCAAAGTCTGTATCAGCCAGGGTTCGAACAAAAAGAGCCAGTAGGAGATACATATTAAGGGATTTATTGCAAAGAATTGGCCTACATGATTGTGGAGACTGGAGGGCTGTCAGGAAGGGGAGGCTGGACTTGGGCATGAACTGAAGCTGCTGTCCACAGGCAGAAGTTCTTCTTCAGAGAAGCCTCAGTTCTGCTCTTAAGGACTTTCAACTGATCAAAGCAGGCCCACACTGATTATCTGGGGTAACCTCCTTTACTTGAAGTCAACCGTTCACCTTTGTCCTAATGATGCCATGAAGAAGACCCAGAATGTACATTTTCTACCACTCAGCTGTGTCTAACACAGCTAAAAAGTGTAGGACCTGATCCCGAATTGCCTTTTCTGGAAGCATTTCTGCAAGGAGTTGAGCCAATTCATTCTGGGAACGTCGTTCTGGGGAGCCGGCTGGAGCTAGAGAAGCTGGAGAGGGAAACTGGCTTGGCCAGCCCTTTACAAACAGCCCTTGTCCAAGTGGCCCCTATCCCAGGAGCTGGATATTGAGACTCGGCATCCACTGTGCAGCCAGTGCCGGTTTAATCATTCCTGCAGCCAGCAGGGAAGGTGCTATGATACCCAGTTTATAGATGAGGCTCAGAGAAGGGTATTTATTCAAGGTCACACATTAAGTGACTAACCAAGCTGTTGAACTCCAAATCCACCCTCCTTCTATTATAATGGAACCCATGACCTCTGATCCAAAGACCTCAAAGAGCCCAGTACCTTTATACCATTGAGAAGAGTGGTATTAGGGGACCCCAGAAGATAGGGGATGAGGACTGCTCTCAGTCCATGTGTGTTGGTGAGTTTATTCAATGAGAGTCCCACATTCATGTGGCTGTAGAAATTTGCTCAGACACGGGCATGTGACTCAAACTAGGCCAATGAGAGTTAGTCCTGGGACTTTTGCTGAAACCATTTAGAAAAGATGCCCTCTTTCTGTTGAGACTCTGTGGAGTAGATAGAATGTTAGCTTGAAGCTCCTGATGGCATCCTGCCATTTCATAGGGAAAAATCTACTTGCTACTGCAGTCAAGCCAGGGAAAAGCAGAGCCAAGACACGGAGAGAGATTAATTTCTGAGAATCTCTTTGGAGGGTCTGGATTCAGCCATGCCTCCGTAGGCCTTGATTTACACAACACCCTTGACACACAGCTCATCACCTTTTTAGTTGCCCTTCTGTTCTTGGGCTGAAACCTACCTCCCTAGAACTTACACTGACTAGTTCTAGCTCTACTAATCCAAGGGGCAGCAGAAGGCTCTGAAGGCAAATAAATGGGTTTCAAATCCCAACTCTGGCATTTCCTCTTCAAATGTCAATTTAAAATTGGGAGGAGAATACCTACATTAGAGGGATGTTGTGGGGATGAAGGACTATCACAAGTGCTTTGTTTTGGTTATATTGTCATATTGCCACTCTTATAGTCATTGTTATCTGATTGTGAGTGCCCAGACAGCAGGGACCTTGTTTTATTTCACTCAGCCTCCCGAGTACCTGACAATAGTTGGCACAGAGTAGGTGCTCAATAAATTCTGGTTGAAATAAGCTCCACCAGAGAGAGCTACTTGGGGACAGCTGTGATATCATTCCAAATCATCTGTTCTTGTCCCTGCTCTCATCCTCACCATGTCTTTACACAACGTGGATGGTTTTCCTTCTTTAAAAAATTGTACCAACTCAATTATTTTGTGAATATTTGTCAGTTACAAACAAAAGAATGAAAATAAGCTACCACAGTACCAAAAACCCAGATGTTTGGGGTTAGTTTTCTAATACAATACTCAACTATTTTACTTATTTCATGTTTTTCTTAAGAAACAAAACAAAAGCAATCTGCCCTGCAATTTGGACACTAGATCTTTTTCTCACAGCGCCTCTTGCCGTCTGCTGGGAGTGGTGTGGGCACGCTTGGCAATCATGAGCAGCTGCTGACATGGGACAAGCGGGGAATGGGAAGCAGCTGCTTGGCCCATGCTGTCTCCTAAGCCCTAAATTGGTGACGAGGTGTCGCAGACAAAAGACAGGCAGTTTTGGTTTGGGTGGAGGCTCCAGAAGCAGCAGTGAACTCCTCTTGCCAAGTTCACCCGGCAAAGCAGAGTCTGCCTGGCTGGCCACAGTGTGCCGGGCAGCCACTGTCCTTAGAAGCAGTGTGCACCCAGAAAGATAAGCCCACCAGGCTGAGCCACCATCTCCCTCTGTCTGATGGAGGGACAGAGGGAGGAGGAAACATCAGCCGAAAGGCACTGATGCAAAGCAGAGACCTCATCTTCATCTCTTGTCCCACAGTGGCCTTGTAGCTCCATGTCATGATGCCACCCCACACAGCAGCCAGAATCAGTCACCTTCTGAAAACACAAACTAAATCAGACATCAGCAAACTTTCCTGCAAAAGGCCAGAAAGAGAGAAAGTATTTTAGGCTTTGTGGGCCAGCTGGTTTCTGTCACAACTGCTCAGCTCTGCCTTGTAGTGTGAAAGCAGCCATAGACAACATGTAAATGAATGGGTGAGGCTGTGTTCCAATAAAACTTTATTTACACAAACAGTAGGTGGGCCAACATGACCTGTGGGCTATAGTTTGCCAGCCCCTGGATTCTATCATTGGACCCTCTGTCATGGCTCCTCATCCTCTCAGAATAAAAGCCAGCTACTAACTGGGGGCTTCAAGGAGCTGCCTAGCTTGGCCCCTGCTGACCTCTCTTCCTAGACGTCACTCCCTGGTCACAAGCCAAGCTCATTCCTGCCTCAAGGCCTTTGCACTCACGGTTTCCTCTACCTGTAACACTCCCCTACCCCCACTCCACACTTTCATATGACTCACACAGTCCCAGTATTAGGTCTTAACACAAATGCCATTTCCTCAGAAAGGCTTTCTGTCCCCTCAGCCCTCTGAAGTGACTGTCACCTCCCTTCCAGTCCCTTTTATCACAGCACCTTGTTTCATGTTCTGCATAGCACTCATCACACTTTGAAATGATCTCTTCTGTTTAGTTGTTTCCTTTTTTATTGTCGTTCTCACCCCTAAGCTCTGGCAGGGTAGGGAGCCTCATCTCCAGTGCCTGCTGCCCATACAGTTGGAGTACAGGAAATATTTGGAGAATGAATGAATATGCGAATGGATGGAGACCTCAGTAGCCTCCTAACTTGTCTCCCTCATCCCCTCCCTCCCTCAGTTTCATCACCCACTCTGCGGACAGAGATATCTTCTAAAAATGGTTATCACATCATGGCCTGTCTGCATCAAACTCTCTAATAACTTCCCATTGCTCTTAGAATAAAACTTAAACTTTGCACCATCGCCCCAGAGACTCTGCAAAGAGGGCCTCCTGGCTGCTTCTCCCAGTCCGTCTCTCCCATTCTGAAGAGGACGCTGCCTGTAGGGTCCATCGATGTGACCCCAAAGGGTGCCACTTGGCGCTAAAGGTGTTTTTGCACTGATATCAGAAAATAGGTTATGTTCCAGGAATCCTCTCTGAATAAAAGAATGAGGCCATGAACACCTGACTCATGAGAGGCTGGGAAGTCATCCAGTTTCCTCATCTCACCCCACCCAGGTCAGGCTCTCTCCTGTGACATGCTTGGGTAGAAACAGAGAACGTGCACGATCTTTCAGACTGACGCCAAAGCCCAACAGGGCTCACGCCTTTGGGAGGGTGGGGGTCATGGAATGGAGAGCTTTAAGTGCTTTTTCTGGCCTGACTGAAAACTACATGCAAATCAAAGTGAAAAAGAGAGGGGTGGGGCTGCTAACAGAATAAGTATTCAGACTTGTGGACTCCTTACGCAACCATGTAGTTTATATTGCTTTCTCCAAAGTTGAAATTCCACTTGATGAAATTCTACAGCAGAGATGAGATCATGTGGACAGCCCACAAGGGTCTATATAGCTCTTTGCTTGGGCTATACTAAGGTGAAAGATTAGAAAGTTGCCACCTCTTATCATCTTCTCAAATAGGCCTGGAGAGTAACATCAAAGTGGCCAAAAGCAGTACCAATTTTCTAAGTGACATTGCACAAAGTATGTAATCCAAGTTACAAGAATATCTGTATTTTTTTTCATGAGAGTTAACAGAAGTATTTTAGGTGGTGGTAAACGTGGCCCATGAGTCCTTCTGTTTTTTCTGAATTGGCCTTCCTGAAAAGATGATCGCTAGTGTTCTGCAGTGCAGTGTTATCAGCAAGACACAATGTACACCCCACTTCTGGTCATTTTTAAATCTAGGCCAATGCACCTGGCATCATACCTTTTCCAACTTATAAGTGACCACTTGGACCCACTGTCCTCCGATCTTAGTTGATCTTGACTTGTTTTCACTTTATCTCATTTCTCCTATTGTGAATATTTGCTTCCCACCCTGAATTCCTCTCTCTTTCTGACTATCTCTGGATTTTGCCCTTTCCTGACACCTGGATCCTGGCTCTCCTTCTAGAAGTTTAGCCCAACTTGCTTATACCACCTTCCCCTCATTCCACCATTTCCTGGGGCCCCAACTGATGCCCAGACAGATACACCTTGGCCCTGAGCCCCTGAGCACAGAAGAGGAGACCATGTTAGGTTATAATGACATTGTGAAGAACAGGACAGACATGGTCTGCCCATCACTGCCCTTTTCTTTCTTTCTTTCTTTCTTTCTTTCTTTCTTTCTTTCTTTCTTTCTTTCTTTCTTTCTTTCTTTCTTCTTTCTTTCTTTCTTTCTTTCTTTCTTTCTTTTTCTTTCTTTTATGAGACAGAGTCTCATCTGTCACTAAGGCAGGAGTGCAGTGGCATGATCTCAGCTCACTACAACCTTTGCCTCCTGGGTTCAAGACATTCTTGTGCCTCAGCCTCCCATGTAGCTGGGATTACAGGCATGCACCACCACACCCAGCTAATTTTTTGTATTTTTAATAGAAACGGGGGTTTTACCATGTTGCCCAGGCTGGTCTCGAACTCCTGAGCTCAGGCAATCCGCCTGCCTCGGCTTCTCAAAGTGCTAGGATTAAAGGCACGAGCCACCGCACCCAGCCCATCAGTGCACTTTCAACCTCGTCTACAACATCCCATCCACCACTTCTCCTCCTCTACCACAACACCTCCAAGGACAGGAAGCTTACAACTTCCTGGGACTGTCCTTTTCACTTTCTGACAACTTTATCAGAAAGCTCCAGCTGTCAACGAGCTCTCAAGCCCTGAAGTAATCTGTTTCCTGCAGAGTGCTGATGGTGTGGTGTGAACTCCAAGGCAGCTGTCATCATACACTCATTCGCCTATCGCTGGCTGAGACTCCCGCTGGAGCATGCGACATAAGTTAATCACTTCCACTTCTCACCAGCGGGGCTCCTTGTCCTTTTTCTGCCTCTGGCCATTCATGCTCAGCAGACAACTGATAGTCACAGCACTGACTGGAACATAGGCAAGATTCCGGGCCAGCCAGATATAGCCCATTATCGCTGCAGCTACAGTGTGCAAGCTCATTGAGAAGTCAGGGAACACTTTATCAATGAGGAGGCTGTCCCAGAAGCTCTGGCGTTGGGTTTCACGTGAAGGGATGAAGGTGAAGAGAAAGGCTCCAGAGATAGCAGGGCCTGCTTATCTGAAATGCTTCCCCCAGTGAAGTCAAAGTGCCACAGCCATCTCAGGTGGAAATGAACCATAGAACGTCAGAGCTGGAAGATCTCGGAGGCTTTACAGAAGGAGAAAATGAGGCCCAACGAGAGTATCTGGATTGACCAAGGTCATATAGGGAAACCATCTAAGAGACTCAGGTCTCCTACAAGAAAAGGAAGGGCTCTTTTGTCCTTTGCAAGCTGAATCAGGGTTTGAGAGGGAAGAGAAGGGTTTTTGAAGGTCTTCATGCTTTGCATGTTTGCTTTGAAAACATACAAAAGGGTTAGTAAGGAGTCAGGAATGAGCTGTTTCCTCAGAATCCCAGTTCACAACTCTCATTACTAGATGACATCTTGAACATAACCCTGAGATCCACGTGGAAGTAAATATAAATCCACTTACTTGTTGGTTTAATCTATAAATATTTATTGAGCAGAGTCTCATTCATTCCTTTAGCAGGGCCTCTTCCCAGCTGCAGAGGTGAGCTGGGCATACAGTTCTCACTTTCATGGAACTCAGGTTCTAGCCGGTGAGATGGGCAATAAACGAACAAGCGAATATAGAAAATGAGATGGGGATACATGCTGTGAAATTTTAAAATGCAGCTTAAGGGCATAGGAAGCTCTGGGGACATGGGGTTGCCATTGATAACAGGGCAGTCAAGGAAGGTATTATGGAGACGCTGATATTGAGCAGAACTCTGAAAAAATGAGGAAGCAAGTCTCGGGGCCATCTGCAAAAAGTACTGCAGGCAGGAAAACCAATGGTGCAAAGACCCTGGGGCAGGAGTGAGCTTGTCACATTTAAGGAACATCAGGGAAACCAGGGAAGCTGGAGAAAAGGGTGCAAGAAGGAGAGGGGTCAGAGATGAGGAGGGAGGGTGGAGAGTTGGTTGGGGGCAGGTCAGGTAGGGCCTTGTGCACTGCTGTTGGGACTTTGGATTTGTTCTGAGTAGATGCAAGTCACTGAAATCTTTTTAGCCAAGAAGTGACATGACCTGACTCTCCTTTCCAAAGGTTGCTGAGGCTGCACGGTTGAGAAAGAGCGGCAAGAAGGCAAAGGCAGACACAGGAGGACCACCTCTGACGATGGTGATGAATTGGACGTGGGGAGGAGTCAAGGCAACACAGAGGTTTTGGCCTGAGCTCATGGACAGACAGAGTTGTCATTTACTGGGATGGGGAAAAAAGCAGGAGGATCAGGGTGGGGTGAGAAGAGAGCCAGGAGCTTGCTTTGGGCCATGTGTAGTTTGACATATCTACAATCTCTAAGGGGAGGTTGCAGGCAGGCAGCTGAGTATAGAGTCAGTCGTCCAGGAAGGAGGTTAAGCTAGTAATACTGATTTGGGAGCTGTTGACTTACAGGAGGCATTTAAAACCTGTGTGCCTCAGAATGAACATCACCAAGGGAGTGATTGTGGTCAGAGAAGCGGAGACCCAGGCCTGAACCTGGGAGCCCCCAGCATTCAGTGGTCAAGGCAGTCAGGAGACACCAGCAAAGGGGACTGGGAAGGAGTGGCTGGCGAGGGAGGAGAAGCAGAGGAGCGGTCTGCAAGGGGAAGAGAAGGCTTCAGGAAGGTGGGGCCCACAGCTGTGTCTACTGCCGCTGATGGGCCAAGAGAGAATGAGGAGTGACTGTAGTCCCTGGGATTCAGCCACTTGGAGGCGCATAGCTGGCCTTGACAAAATATTTTGGTTGTGTAGTGGGTACAAAAGCCTGATTTTGTGACTGTGATGAGAGCAATAGGAGACAAGGGGCATGAATGATTCTTTTGAAAACTTTTATTATCAAGAGGAGCAAGGAAATGAGGACCTAGGTGGAGGGGGTTGTGGGGTCAAGAGGGAAAACGGCACTCAAAGTTTCTGAAAATGCTGTCCCTCTTCACACCTCATGTTTCCATCAGCCAGGGACCTGTGGGCTTCTGGCCACGTCCCCTCTTGCCCTCCCTCCTTATCACAACTTCACTGCCACCATCTATCTACCTTGGAGAACTTCAGGGCCCATCTCAACATTTCTGTGCAGTTTAGTTGGGAGAAAGATATTAATCAGATAAACACACCAGTAAATATAGGAAGGCAACTTACTATAAGCATAAAATGGAAAAGCAGAGTGTCCTTTGAAGGAGAATCATAGAGGGAAATGGTCAATATGAGGGGGCTTGGGGGAAGTCTCTCCAAGGAAATGGCTTGAAAGCTAAAATCTGAAGGATGAGTAATAATTCACCAAATGACAAATGATGGGAAGGGTGTTCATAAAATGTGGAACACCTGATTCTGTCACTATTCGGGGTGCCACTGTGTAACCCACACAGACCTAGGGGGACCGAACAAAGGGAGTGAATGCGGGAATAAAAGACAAGAGACAAAAGAGTGTATTTGGAAGAAGGAGTCAGGGGGCACTTTGCTTCTAGTAGACAAGGGCCCTGAGCTTTACACAGCCCTCCATATTTATTAGGCAAAAGAGATAGTGAGAAGGGGGGTGGAAGAAGGGGTCAGCTGCTCAGTCCAGAGTAGGCTTGCAAGACTGCATTCCTCGAACAACAGGCTCTAGATGTCGCAGTAGATAACCTCAGTGCCAGGGAGTGATTGCCTCCAGCAAACCTTCTGTCGGCAGGAGCAGTTGTGAGTTTGCCCACATTCTGCATTCATGATAAACAGTTTGCTGTTTGATCACATAGCCTCCAGTGGAATGCCGAATCCTACGGGCCTTCGGCTCCCTGCATATCCCCCTTTCTGTTTATGAATTAATTGAAAGAACATAAGGCCAGGCTGGGCAGCTCTCATTCTCCAATTGGCAGTCCATCTGATTTTACAGACTATAAACAGAAGACAGAGACAAAACAACATTATTCCAAGAACCACATAAAAGATGTAACTGTGGTGTGTTAGATAGTTCCAAGGGTTGAGGCTCTCCAGGCCTTGCTGGAATCCGGTCCAGTCTTCTAAAGAAGGCTCAAATTCTTGAGTTTGCCTGTTTAAATCAAGAATTTTGTTTTGTAATTCACCAATATCAAAGGTGATGTTGGATGTGAAAGCTCCCTGAAAATGGGCTTCCACAAGGTCCCACGGATACTTACTTTGGTTATATTCTAAGTTGGTTACACAAATATGAGTGTGAGTAAAATGACAACACAATTGTTGCTGCAATTGCAAGCTTTGTTCTTGTTCCCCTAACCATAGAACCATGGATTTCAACATTACCACTTCAGTTTGTAACTCAGTGTTAATTTTATTCTGAAGTAGCCACGCTTGGCTGGCTGTGCATGTCCAGTTCTCCATGTACTAAGCTGTTTGAATAGAACTATGCAAAGCTACAGAAGATATCACAACAGAAGTTATTGGTGTGATCAAGGAAACAATAGCAAAAATTATCGTGCCTAAGGCTCTATGGACACAATGAGTTAGCTGAGTTAGAAGAAGTTTTTACAAAATGCAAAGCAGGTGTGGCAGCCCAAGGCTCAGACAGATTAACGGGAATCCATAGCCCAGGGATGAGACCTAAAATCAACAAAGTAGAGATATTACATGTTTGCAATGTGCTATGATTAATGCAGTGATATAACTGGCAAGATTTATAGGTCAATTGGGTATTGTTTACCTAGAGCTGGTCCTTCTTAGCTGCCAAAAAGACATAAGGATTAAAAACACAAACTGTAAATTGAGTGGTGATACTCTTTACAAATGTAACATTAGAACTGTGTCGTGACTCCGGTTGGCCTTCTCTCCATCTTTGCACTCAGGCTTAGCTGACTCATGGCTTGTATCAGAGGGACTGGGCCCATGGTTGGCCACCCTGTGTTCCTCCAGTCTCCCATTCCATAGTCGCACGCACCTTGAGGGCACCCACACGGTTTGTCCATCTCCTGTAAAAACACAAGCATGCCTTCTTCCCCTCATCAGTAAATCCACTGGACCTTTCCATTTTCCTTTTTCCGGCGTTTTCCATAACACTTTTGGATAAACTTTCCTCTTTTCCTCTAACATTTGCCAATGTCTTTCTGCTGGAGTCTTACCATCCATACCAGCAGTCAAAAAATTTAAAGTAAATAAGGCTAAATGTAGTTTTGATTAAGGTGGTAGTTGGCCTCCTATACCCCTTTTTTGTTTTTTCAGCATGCGTTGTAATATTTGATGTGCCTGTTCTATAATGCCTTGTCCTCTAGGATTATAAGGAATTCCTGTTTTTTGGGTTATAGCCCAAAGCTGTAAGAAATTTTGAAAAGCATGACTAGATTAAGTGGGTCCCTTGTCAGTTTTTGTTTAGGTAGCCCCATATGAGCAAATGATGACAGTGTAGCTGTACATGAACAGCTGTCTCACCTGTTTGGCATGTAGCATGCAGCATATGAGAATAAGTGAAACAAATTAAGCAGTTCTGGGTCTAGTGTACTTTTAACTGTAGAAGCTTTTATGCAATGGGCTACATTTACAACATAAGCTGAATCACAGACAATGTTGACAGGATCTGAAGCTGTAAGCTGTAAAACCTGAATGACTACAATTAGCTCTGAGCATTGAGCTAAAGCACCAGGGGTCATTATTGTTTGAGTGTGTTTAGGTCCATAGATAGTGGCATGACCTTTGGAAGAGCCATCAGTAAAATAAGTCTGTCCACCTGGAATAGGCGTGTGATGAGTAATCACAAGAAGAATGAAAGAGTGGATTTTATAAAATTGTAAAATTTTGTCTAAGGGGTAGTGGTTATCTATAGCACCCACGAAATCTGCAAAAGAGTTTGCCAGGCAGTCACCATTTCCCAAGTTGCGGCTTGTTGCTGGGAGTCTAAAGGAACAATAATTTTGTCAGGATCATATCCCATAAGCATTTTTGACCTATGCTTGCCCGTAGATGCAATTTGTGTAATTAAAGAAAGAGAAATTTGCAAGGTTTTGACTGTTTGATTAGGTGGAAAGAGCCATTCTAATGGTAAGGCAGTGGGCGGAGGAGAAATATCAATGACCCCTGTCAGAAATCCTGACACCTTAGCCCTTTTCTATCTGTTTTTCCAGTTACTGATACCGGGTTAGGATTTCATTGTAGAAACCTCCCCAAACCTTTTCCACTCTGATATCCCATGTTCTTCTACATTTTAAATTCTGAGTTATCAAAGTTTTCATTTGTAAGTCTCCCATCCCATGCTGTAAGTAAGTCTCGACCCCATAAATTGATGGCTATATTTGCAACATAAAGTTGAAAAGTACATGACTGTCCATCTGGACTGAGACGAGGTAAAATCTCAGCACTCTGTTGAACACGTTGAGCTGTTCCTACTCCCACTAAGGATGTAGAAGTTAATTGCAAGGGCCAGGATGGGGGCAATTGTCTTTAGATATTACTGACACATCAGTTCCCGTATCCATAAGCCCATAAGATTTCTTTCCTTTAATTTGTACTACACATGTGGGTCTATTAGAGGCTATGGGTTGGGATAGATAGATTTCCCATGTAGTTGTGCTCCCAAACCTTTTATTTCCTCATTTCTCCTTTCATGGAGAGGGGTGTAATTTGCAGGGAACAAGCAATAATTGAGCATTATATTCTTCAGGTTCAAAAACCCAAAGATCTTGTGACATTAAAACTACTTGAATTTCTCTTTCATAATCAGAGTCAGCAACTCCTGGGACTATAGTAATGACCTGCAAGTTAAGCCGGCTTTTGCCTAAAATTAGTCCTGTGTATCCTGTTGGTAAAAGTCCCCAAATACCAGTGGGAACTTTGATAGGTTTGTCTCCACCAACTAACGTTACCTGTTCTCTGACTGCGAGATCTAATCCTGCACTTCCTGGTGTTCCTGGGGGGAGGGAATCAATGTACCTCCGGGAACCCATCCCTGAAACAGGGTTGAGGTTTGGGCTGGGAATGCCCTCATTGTTTGTGGGGCTGGGGTCCAGGCCCCCATCTCATTTCCCGACAGGGCTGTGCCAATCTGATGAAATTTTGAGCAGCACTGATTAGCCCAGTGATTTCCTTTGTTACAGCAAGGACAAAGTCCTGGCATTTTTTCCGCTGTGGGGCAGGGTGGGGGGAACTGCATTGTAAGATCCTTTCTGTCCTGAGATCTGGTGGCATTCCTTTTTTAAATGTCCAGTTTTTCCACAATTATTTTCCCATTTTAGGGTTTGACCCTTGGCTCCTTTTAGATTTGTCAACTACTAAATTAGCCATTGCTTCAGCTAACATTGAAGAGCAATGAAGCTCAGTTCCTACATCTTGACAAGTTCTGAGAAAATTTCCCATGTTTTTTGTACATCTCACAGGTGCCAGCGCACATTTACAACCTGTGTTTGCATTACGCATAGAGGTCCTAAGGGCTCTCCAGCTATGGCAGCAGAGCATAAAATTCTTTGTATTGGGGTTTCTATTTCTGCTACCAAAGGAGGCGGTACAGATGTTTCTGCAATTGGAGGAGGGAGTATAGGTCAATTCTTATCCTCCCTCTCCTGTTTTTTATTTTCAATTGGAGCTGTGGGTGGGACAACATATTCTTTCAGATTTAGATTCAGCCTGCTCTCCTGCAGAATAAGAAGAAGATAATGTCAGAAGTACAGTATGAACTGAACTCCAAGTGAAGAAAACAGAAGAATCAACTTTAAGACCTTTTTGATGAGCCCGTTTTAATCCTTCTCGTGCTCTGTCCCAATTTTCCACATCAAGAGTGCCTGCCTGGGGAAACCATGGGTTATGCATAGTAACATTTTGTGGCTTCTGCAGGAGGTTAGTTAGTGCCTGCGAATTAACCTGAGCTCCAGACTGTCTCAACAGAACTTTAAGCAGCTGCACATAATGTTTGTCTTCAACAGACAAATTCTTCCCCTTGTTAGCCTGATTCAGAAAACTTCCGGTTCCCAGCACTTCCTTAAAGCACTACTCCCAGTACCTCCTTAGGGCACTGACCTTATATCCGCTGCTGGCAGACCCGGCCCGGCATCCCTGTTCACCTTTCAATTTCAGTTCCTCTGCTCCGGCAGACCTTCTTCGTTCATGTCCTCATAGTCCCTGTGTTCGGACTGTTGCCTGTTCAAGTGCCACTTGTAGCCTGCATGGACCTAGGGGGACTGAACCAAGGGGGCGAACCTGGGAATAAAAGACAAGAGACAAAAGAGTATATTTGGAAGAAGGGGTCAGGGGGCACCTTGCCTCTAGTGGACAAGGACCCTGAGCTTTACACAGCCCTCCATATTTATTAGGCAAAAGAGATAGTGAGAAGAGGGGTGGAAGAAGGGGTCAGCTGCTCAGTCCAGAGTAGGCTTGCAAGACTGCATTCCTCGAACAAGAGGCTCTAGATGTCACCATAGATAACCTCAGTACCAGGGAGTGATTGCCTCCAGCAAACCTTCTGTCGGCAGGAGCAGTCGTGAGTTTGCCCACATCCTGCATTCATGATAAACAGTTTGCTGTTTGATCATATAGCCTCCAGTGGAATGCCGAGTTGGTCATTTCCCATGGGCCTTCGGCTCCCTGCAATAAAACTATGAGCAGTGATTGAGGACAGGACTGGAGGCAGGCTGGGCTCAGATACTGCAGGTTCTGGTAGACTGTGTTAGGGAGGCTTTTGTTGTTATTACTCATTCCAAGTACAATGGGCAGCAATTCAGTGAGCAAACTGTTATGTCTGTCGAAATGGCCCATTTTTCTGTGCTTGAAAAAGAAGGAAAACAGTCAGAAGCAAGACACTAGGCTTCCTCGAAGGAAGGAGGAGAGACGTGGGGCATCTTATCCTGGGCTCCCCAAGAAGCAGACCTTCAGTCACGGATTTGAGTGCAAGTAGTTTATTTCATGCCAATCAGTACTGTAGGGGAGTGTGAACCGAGACAGAATGCAAGGAGGCAAGAAAGGAATTGTTAACATACAACCTACCCCCGTGAGTACGTGGAGCCAGTGGAGGACACAATGATATCCTGACGTCCTCCATGACATCTTATCTGAGGTTGGGCTGGTCGAGGGCTGCAGTTGGGGATATGGCATTAGTACTCTAGGCACTTCTAGGCTGCCATGCCTGTGGTTACAGCAGGCTCCAGCAGCCAGAGGAAGCCCTCGGCAAAGAGATGCATGTGTTGGGATATAGAAGTCAGGCCAGCTTGTGTAGGAATGCTGAGACCTGGGGGATACTGCTTTCCCATATTAAGTCCACTCCCTCCTGATACTGCTTCTTTCAGGATTTTGCCTGTCACAATTTCTACAAAGAAGTTAAGAAAGAGGGTTTGTGAAACAAGCTACAGACCCCATCAATTACCATGAATTCTAAGGTCATCATTGGTGTTCATTGTCCCTGTGTGTCACTACTCATTCTGCATAGCCCTCATACTTGACCACCACTCCTGCATATGAGCTTGCTGGTCTGCTGAGGTAACTGGGTCATCATCCCTAGAGGTTTGAAGCCCTGGTCACTGTGCACTGGGCAGACTATCATTGCTGCAATTGCCCATAAGTGTTGTCATTGGGCTGTGAAACACCAAAATGAGCCCCACTGAATCCCCTGAGCTTTGGGGCATCCTCTTCTCTGACCCCACTATCTAGCAGCAGTGCTATTTCCTCATGATAGGCAGAATCTGATATTCCTACAAGTGTAAGAACTCCTTTCTTTGCCTACTGCTCTGTTGGCATGAGAAACCTAAAATGACAAGGAGCAGCTACAGCTTTAGGCATCCCTGGGATAAGTATCTTCTCCCCATCAACCCCAGACATGCTGAGGGACCAGCATTACTGGTCCAGTGGAGCCTAAAGTTAAAGGTATTCTTGAGATGAGTCACTGTGTACAATGGTGATGGGGCCACTTTTATTTCCACTGCTTGTTTCCCATGTAGTCTATCTGATGGGGCTCCAGCTCCACATAATGCCTGCTGTTTTGAAGTGCACGTTGCTTCTCAAAAGTCAGCACCCCAAAAGTGAAAATGGCAGAATAGGGAACTACAAAAGCCCATCCCTCCACAAAAGGAGAAAATAAACTGGCAAAAGCAGTCAGAATCAACTTTATTGGAAATTGGGAAACTAACTAAAAGTTGACAGCAACCAAGACAATATTTAATCAAGAAAAAAACAAAAAACCACCAGAATCTTGATAATAGAGCTTCATGGTATTTAAATTACCCTGGCTCAGCAGTGGCCTTGAAGATAACAACCAACAACCCATATTCCTTGTATAGGCTCCTAGTACATAAGGGACAGAATCGACCTAATTTCCAAATAACTTTGGTTGTTTGTTTTGACCTGTCTTGTGGCTCCCTGAAGAATTGACTCATTGCTGAGATCTCCAAGGGCTAAGGCAGCTACTCAAGGGGAATTTGTTGAAAATTTTAAAAGGCAAATGTAACAGCTGCTGCCACTTGGGGCAATAGATAACGGTTGGGACAAACTAAAGACAAACCAAAAGGTTGGGAAAAAGGAGCGGGGATTAAAACACATTGGGAAATAAAGGCTTTGAAAAGCTCTCACATATTTGTGGGAATCTAGAAGCCTGCTTGCATGCCCAGAAATGGGTGCATGCTCAGGAAAGACCTGAGAAGTTTTCACTTCTGGCTGACCTCAAGGCTCTCCACAAGGAGGAAGTGAAGACTAAGGCAGAGTGGTAAAGTGCTTCTCCAGGTGTTGAAGGTATACTCCAGCATGCACATAGAGTCCATTTGCTGACACCGAGAGATTTTATTTTCTTTTTTTGTTCCAGGCAAAGAATACATGTCTGTATTTAAATCACCAGCTGACCACTAGGCTAACAAAACAAAGACTTCAGTGGCTATATACAACAACAAATAAAGTCTTTTCAAAATTAATTAAGGAAAGAGAACTAAGCAATCAAACAACAACAATCACAAAAAGCAGCTGCAATAAACCCTGGTGGGAGGAAGATGATTTCCAGATGTGCCATATCATAATATTCAAAATGTTCAGCTTTCAACAAAAAATTATGAGTCATGCAATGAAACGAGAAAGTGTAGCCCATACACAGGAAATAAAGAAATAATAGAAACAGTTCTTGAGGAAGACAAGACATTGAACTTACTAAACAGAATATAAACCAACTATTTAAAATATACCCAAAGAGCTAAAGGAAACTATGTACAAAAAACTAAAGGAAATAATGAGAATTATATTTCAAAAAAATAGAGATTACCAATGATGTGATAGAAATTGTAAGGGGAACCAAGGAGAAAATCTAAAGTTGAAAACTACAATAATTAAAATAATTTTTTTTCAGAGAGATTCAACAGCATATTTGAACAAGTAGAAGAAAGAATCAGCAATCTTGAAGAAAGGTCAATTGAGATTACTCAGTATGAGGAGCAGAAAGGAAAAAAATAAAGAAAAACGAATGAAGCCTAAGATACCTGAGGTACACTTTCAAGAGTACCTAGGAGTTTCAGAAGGAGAGGAGAGGAAAGAAAAGGAGAGGAGAGAGGAGAGAGAGAGAGAGAGAGAGAGAAATAATAGTTGAAGTAATAAAGGCCAAAATTTGCCAAATTTGATCAAAGACATGAATATACACATCCAAGGACCTCAAGTCTCAGTGAAACACTTCATAATCAAACTGTTGAAAACCAAAGACAGAATCCTGAAAGCAGCAGAAGAGAGGTGATTCATCACATACAAGGCATCCTTAATAAGAAATACAGCTGGTTTTTTATCAGAAACGAAGGAGGCCAGAAGACAGTGGGATGACTTACTCAAAATATTGAAAGAATAAAATGGTTAACCAATACTTTTATATCCAGGAAAAATATTCTTCAAAAATGAAAGAGAAATGAAGACATTTCCAGATAAAGAAAAACTGAGAGAGTTCATTGCTAGTAGACCTGCCCTGCAAGAAGTGTAAAGGAGGTCGTTCAGACTGAAATGAAAGGACACTAAAAAGAAACTTGAATCTACATGGAGAAATGAAGAACACCAGTATAGGTAATCATGTAAATAAATAGAAAAGTCAGTATAAAGGCATTTGTGGTTTGTAACTCCTCTTTTTTTCTATATGATTTCAAAAATAACTACATAAACAAATAATAATAAATATACATTGATGGGCACATGATGCATAAAGATGTAACTGATGACAGTAACAACATAAGCAGATGGGAGAACAGAATACAGAAGTAATGTTTGTTATACTATTGAAATTAGTTGGTACTAATTTGAACTTATCTAATTGTTATAAATTAATTGTAATCCCCAGGCAACCACTAAGAAAATAACTAAAAAGTATATAGTAAAATAAACGAGAAGGAAATCAAAATGGCATATGGAAAATATTTATCTAACATAAAAGAAGGCAGCAATGAAATGAAATTGAGGGACAAAAAATATGAGATATAGAAAAAATAGCAAAATGGCAGGAGTAAGGCCCTCTCCATCAGCAATTACATTAAATGTAAATGGTTTAAACTCTACAATTAAATGACAGATTTTTCAGAATGGATTAAACAAACAAACCATGATCAAACTCTACACTGTCTCCAAGGACATGAATTGAATGAAAGTGAGAGAACAGAAAAAGGCAACACATGCAAATAGTAACTGAAAGAGAGTTGAAGTGGCTACACTGATATCAGACAAAATAGACTTTAAGGCATAAATTGTCACAAGAGACAAAGAAGGACACTATATAATGATAAAAGGGTCAATCCATCAAGGATATATACAAATTACAAACATATATCCACCCCAAAAAAGAGACCCAAAATATATAAAGCAAAAACTGACAGAATTGAAGGAAGAAATAGACAGCTCTACATATTCTAGATATTTCAACACCTCACTTTCAATGACGGATAGAAAAACTAGATGAAAGATAAACAAAGAAATAGGAGACTTGAACAAGTTTATAGTGTTATAACTATAACACTATAATTATAGTTATAGTTATAAACCAACAAGACCTACCACATATACAAAACACCCAAGGACAACAAAGTACATATTCTTCTCAAGTGCACATGAAACATTCTCCAGGTAGAACATATGTTAGGTCACAAAACAAGTTTTAATAAATTTTAAGATTGAAATCATAAAATGTATATTCTCCAATCTCAATGGGATGAAATTAGAAATGAATAACAGAAGAAAAACTGGAAATTTCACAAGTATGTGGAAATTTAAAAACACACTCTTAAATGACCAATGGTTCAATAAAAAAATCACAAGGGAAATTAAAAAATACTCTGAGATAAATGAAAATAAAAACACAATAAAAAATTATGGGATGCAGTGAGAGCAGTGTGCAGATGGATATATATATAGCTGTAAATGCCTACATTAAAGAAGAAAGATCTCAAATAATCTAACTTTATACCTTAAGGAAGCAGAAAAAGAAGAGCAAACTAAATCAAAGCAAGCAGAAGGAGGGAAATAATGAAGATAAGAGCAGAGATACATGAAATGGAGTAGAAACAATAAAGAGAATCAATGAAATTAAAAGTTGGTTCCTTGAAAAGGTGTTTTAAAATTGACAAAACTTTAGCTAGATTACCTAAGCAAAAACAGAGAAGATTCACATTACTCAAAAAGCAGAAATAAAAGTGGAGACATTACCAACGACCTTACAGAAATAAAAGAGTATAAGCAAATAATACGAATAATTGTACACCAACAAATTAGAAAACCCAGATAAAATGGACAAATTCCTAGAAACATACAGACTACCAAAATTAACTCAAGAAGAAATAGAAATGCTGAATAGACCTATAACAAGTAAAGAGATGAAATTAGTAATCAAAGAACTTTTAACAAAGAAAATCTCAGGACCAAATAGCTTCATTGGTGAATTCTACCAAATGTTTAAAGAAGAATTAACATGAATGTTTCTCAACTCTTTCAAAAAATAGAAGAGGCAGAAACACTATTTAACTCATTTTATGAGGCCAAAATTACTCTGATACCAAAGTCACACACAGACATAACAAGAAAAAAAAAGTAGAGGCTCATATTCTATGAATATAGATGTAAAGATCTTCAACAGAATACTAGCAAACTGATTCTAGCAGCATGTTAAAAAAATTATACCCTGGCCAGGTGCGGTGGCTCATGCCTGTAATCCCAGCACTTCGGGAGGCCAAGGCGGGCGGATCACGAGGTCAGGAGATCGAGACCATCCTGGCCAACAGGGTGAAACCCCGTCTCTACTAAAAATACAAAAAATTAGCTGGGTGTGGTGGCATGTGCCTGTAATCCCAGCTACTCAGGAGGCCGAGGCAGGAGAATCACTTGAACCTGGGAAGTGGAGATTGCAGTGAGCTGAGATCACGCCATTGCACTCCAATCTGGGCGACAGTGTGAGACTCCATCTCAAAAAAAAAAAAAAAAAAAAAGAGCTAAGTACTCAAATAGACATTTCAGGAAGATATAGAAATGGCCAATAAGCACACGAAAGATGGTTATCTTCATTAATCATTGGAGAAACACCAATCAAAACTACCACAAGGCTGGGCACGATGGCTCATGCCTGTAATCCCAACATTTTGGGAGGCCAAGGTGGGCCAATTGCTTAATCCCTGGGCTCAAGATCAACCTGGGTAACATGGCAAAACCCTGTCTCTACAAAAAAAATGCAAAAATTAGCTGTGCATGGTGATGTGCACCTATAGTTCCAGCTATAGGTGCCAGGGCAGGAGGACCACTTGAGCCCAGGAGTTTGAGGCTGCAGTGAGCTGTGATTGTGCCACTGCTCTCCAGTCTGGGTGACAGAGTGAGACCTTGTCAAAAAAAAAAAAGGAAAGAAAGAGAGGGAGAGAGGAAGGAAAGAAGGGAGGGAGGGAGGGAGGGAGGGAAGGAGGAAGGAAAGGAAGGAAGGAAGGAAGAAAGGAAGGAAGGAAGGAAAAGGAAGGAAGGAAAAGGAAGGAAGGAAGGAGGGAGGGAGGGAGGGAGGGTGTGTGAGATATCACTGCCCAGCTCCTAGAATGGCTATGATTTTAAAAACAAAAAATAACAAATGTTAGCAAAGATGTTGAGAAACTGGAGGGAGGAATGTGAAATGGTGCTGCTGCTGGGAAAAAGAGTTTGGCTATTCTTCAAAAAGCTAAACAGAATTACTATATGAGCCAGCCATTCTGCTCCTAAGTACATACCCCAAATAACTGAAGACAGGTGTTCAAAGAAAAAGTTCTACAAGAATTTCATAGCAGCACTATTCACAACAGCCAAATGAATAAACATAATATTGTATATCCACACAATAGGACATTATTCAGACATAAGAAGGAATGAAGTACTGATTCATACTTCAACTTGGATAAAGACGTTTTGCTAAGGGAAGGAAGACAGACACAAAAGGCCATGACTTGTGTGATCTCATTTATATGAAGTGTCCAGAACAGGTGAATCTATACAGACAGAAAGCAAATTAGCTGTTTTCTGGGGCTGAGGAGAGGGGAAAATGGGAATGACTGCTGGATGAGTCTAAAGTGTCTTTTGAATGAATGAAAATGTTCTGGAATTAGATAGTGGTGATGGTTGCACTATCCTGTGAATGCACTAAAAGTCACTGAATTGTGTATTTTAAAATGGCTAAAATGGTGAATTTTATGTTATACGAATTTTACCTCAATGAAAAACAGTATAGCATGCCAACCGTGCCAGGTATCTCCCCTAGGCAGGCTCCTTAGCTGTGCTTCTAGCAAAGAGCCAGCAAGCAGCTTCTGCTGATGCCTTCCTTGGAAAAACCTGTCTGTTCTGTGGCCATGTGCCCACTTTCATACAGCTTTTGCCATGCACTGGGTCCCTTGGTGTAAGAAGAGGTGATACGGAATCCTAGGAAGGTAAATCAGATCCTTTGTGAGTTCTCAGACGGTGGTGCTGGTCAATGCACTGTTGGTGGGAAAGTCAACGAGGAGAAGCGGGGCCAAACGGCCTGAACTGTGAAGGCCTGAAGGGATAAGGCCAGGTGTCAACAGCGCATATTTCAAAAAAAGAAGTTCGAACTCAAGAAAATTTTCCCGGCCGCACACTGTGGCTCACGCTCGTAATCCCAGCACTTTGGGAGGCCGAGGCGGGGGGATCGCGAGGTCAGGAGATCGAGACTCATCCCGGCTAACACGGTGAAACCCCGTCTCTACTAAAAAAAAATTCAAAAAATTAGCCGGGGGTGGCGGCAGGCCCCTGTAGTCCCAGCTACTCGCGAGGCTGAGGCAGGAGAATGGTGTGAACCGGGGAGGCAGAGCTTGCAGTGAGCCGAGATCGAGCCACTGCACTCCAGCCTGGGCAACAGAGCGAGAGTCCATCTCAAAAAAAAAAAAAAAAAAAAGAAAAGAAAAGAAAAGAAAAAGAAAGAAAGAAAGGAAGGAAGGAAGAAAGAAAGAAAGTGAAAAAAAAGAAAAAAAAAATTTCCTGAGATGTCCTAGGCCATACAAGCACTTTTGGGGTGGGGCCCCTGGAAAAACAACATGACTTTCCACCTCTGTTAAAAGCCAAAGCCTCTGTTTTCCGTGCAGGATCGTGATCAGTTTACATACATTGTCTCTATTGATTCTTTCAGCAACTCTTTGGGATACACGTCCTCATTGTGCAAATGGGAGAATTGTTTCCTGTAAAGCTAAGTAACTAGCGTGTGATCGCAGGGCTGAGAGGTGGAGGTGTCTGTGAACAGGGCTGCTGCTTTCCGTGATCCGTGCTCTTTCTGCAATGAAGTTTGGCCGATACACGGCAAGTCGGCCACCACTGACTGCTCCGGGGCTCCTGGCAGACATTATTAATCAATCACAGCTTCTTTTCCCTCCGAGTCTGGACTTAGCTTTACCATCCTCTGCAAAACAGCCCTCGGGCAGCCACTATTAACCATAACTGGCACATCAGATGAAAAATCCTCTGCCATCCCAGGATCACACACGAGTCTGTCTCCCTCTATCTGAACTGGCATGTCCTGAATCTGCCTTTAAGCCAACAGAAGAGTCCAAGTCAATGCAAAAGACCGCTGTAGAGGATGTAGCCATTTCTTGCCAGAGGCCTAAATGAGGTGTGGTTTTAAGAGCCCGGGGAACAGTGGGCCAGTTGAAGACGAACGGACAAGTCAGGAAACTCAAAGAAGGCAGGAGACCAGGGTCCCAGCCCCCTGTCTGCTTCATCACCAGAACCGGCCAATCAGTGCCAGTAATTGGAAGGGGCACATGACCTGGGCTGGGCCAACCATAATGAATCCTGGGGCTTTGGTTGGCGTTTCGGGAATGAGGTGGGTGACTGAGCTGCAGAATGTCCACTAGGGGCTGCTGCGCCATCCTGTCACCACGAGGGGAACGAGGGGAGCATCTGACTGAGAACGGAGTCAATAGCAGGGTGAGCAAAGCCAAGGGACGGAGCAAGACCGATTCTTGGTGGCATAGCCTGCGCTCCTGAATGCAGCCATGTCTACAGTCAGCTCCCGCTGCTCTTTTTTTTTTTCTTAAGTCAGTTTGAGGTTTTATTTTGTTGTTGTTAATTGCTAATGAAAAAGTCCTTGATACTGTCATCTATTTGTCTCCCATAACTGTTCTTTGCCTTAATTTTCATTAAAAATTATGCCCTTGGCCCAGTGCAGTGGCTCACACCTGTTATCCCAGCACTTTGGGATGCTGAGGAGGGATGATTGTTTTTGAGGCCAGGGGTTTGAGACCAGCTTGGGCAACATAGTGAGGCCTGTCTCTACAAAAAGTACACACACACACACACACACACACACACACACACACAATTAGCCAGGTGTGGTGGCACACATCTGTAGGCCCAGCTGCTTGGGATGCTGAAACTGGAGGATTGCTCAAGCTCAGGAGGTCAAGGTTGCAGTGCGCCATCATTATGTTGTTGCATTCCAGCCTGGGTGACAGAGCCAGACCCTGTCTCAAGAAAATAAAAAAATGCCCTTCATCATTGTGGACTGAGCATCTCCCCCTTATCTTTACCCAAATTATTACCCCCTTCTCTGCTCTTCCTGCTGCATGCCAGCCTAAAGGACCTCCTGGGCTACCTGCTCCAGCCACCCCCACCGCCACTTCAGGTTTATGACAGGAAGCCACCAGGTGAGCCTCTCAGTGTCTTTTAGAAAACCTCCTTCTATGTCAGGAACTTTGTATTTATTACCCCATGTTCCCTATGAAGAAATCATGGCATAAGCTCCTCTGAGAGAGCAGTGCCAGGAAAATGTAGGTGCCATTATTATCCCATTTTCACAGTGGGAAGCTGGGGCCCTGAGAGATTACGTTTTTTGTCTAAGGTCATGAAGTTGTTCTGTGGGGCCAGGATTTAAACCCAGAGTTTCACCATTGCAGTATCCTGTCCCATTCAGTGAGGGGCCACCATCGCTGTAGTCAAGCAACCACTCCAGCGGGCTGACGTGTGATGGCCTTTTTGTCGCTGACCACCCGCCCTTCCCGCCTTCCCATCTTCCATCTACCCCAAATCTTCTTTATAAGGAGTCATCTACAGCTGGAGAAGAGGGAGGGTGGTCATGTTCAGCCCCTGTGCTCTCAAATGCAGGCGTGAAAACAGTCACCTGGGATGACTTGAAGTGAACTTGCTCCACAGTTATCTTTTTCAGCACACTTGGCTTCAGAATCAGCAAAACCTGGTGCAATAAAACCTGGGTCAATCTGCACTTTACTATCCTGCTATCTCTGTTAACAACCATTTGACAGTCCTACCTGGGAGGTGTGGCTGAGAGGAATCGTGAACCTGGAGTTAAGACATATATCCCAGGCCTGGCCTATGGACAACTTCTGGCCGCTTTTTCTCTTTCCTCCGCTGATCATCACTTTCTACATCTGTAAAATTGGGAGGTGGAGAGGTGGGGTCTGATAAGAGTTTTATTTCCCAAAGAATTTTCCATAAATTGAAAAAGAAAGAAAACACAGAAGGCTTCCCCCTCCTGGGCCAGTAATTTTGGGAATACGGTGTAGAACAAAGTTAAACAAAAGTATATTTCCTACAGGACTTCTTGGAAACCTCAGTCTGCCCTTATGCGTTGTGGGTCCTAACAGGGAGGTAGACCACGTAGCACTTCCCACACTTCCGCAACACAGGAAACCTTCCCGGGTACAGTATCCTGTGGCTGTGTGGTGTGAAAAAGACTTTGGGAAAAGTTAGATGCGGTCATCTGTAGGATCCCTTTCAGCTCTGAGAAGTTAAAACTCAAAGTGCATTATTTTGACTTAGGGCTCTGTGAGATGCTGAACTATATGTCCTGAATGATGAACAACCACAAAAATCATGGTCAGTAAAGTTAGATGAAGTTCACTTGTAATTGTAGAATTGTAGTCGCTGTGTGGCATGGATGGTAATGACCCAACAAACAGGCCTTGGGCCTTGCTGGACAACAGGGAGCTATGCAGTAAGCCATCCTCGCAATTCCTTTTTTGGAAATCTGAGGATATACAGATGACCCTTTCCACACCCCCAAAGCCTAGGTTGAATATAAAGTCAGAAACTCATGGCTTAAGGAAGGTGCCTTAGAGACTCTGTGTTGCAAAATGAAAAAGGCTTTGAACTTTCGGAGAAGGACCAGACACAGAAAAACCAAGGTCTGTTGCTGTCCGTGTTGTCTGCAGGAAAGACAAAAAGCAAAATGAGCTAACAAGCATCTTTGTGAATCCTCCTGAGGAAGAAATCAGTTCCACAGCAGCCCTGATTACTAATTATAAAAATGTGCATAATGTCATTGACACTCTACTTGGGGAGTTTTCTTTATTGCTTTATTTTGGTGAGTACAGAAAGTACCCATAGAAGAGAAATTAATGGATTCACTCTTGACTGAAGTCCTCCAAGTCAATTTTCACTCAAAATTGAATTTTCCCATGAGAGTTCCCAGGAAGGAGAGGGGTATAGGGCAAAGAGTGTGGCTTTGGAGTCAGACATTTATTCAACAAATGTGTATCTCAGTGGCCACTACGTGCCAACCACTGAGAATACAGCAGCAAACAGGAGTCAGAAATCCCAGCTGGGTGCAGTGGCTTACGCCAATAATCTCAGCACTTTGGGAGGCTGAGGTGGGAGGATCACTTGAGTCCAGGAGTTCAAGGCCAGCCTGGGCAACATAGTGAGCTCCCATCTCTACAAAAAATTTTAAAAATTAACCAGGTGTGTTGGTTCATACCTGTAGTCCTAGCTACTTGGGAGGTTGAGGCTGAGGCGTGAAGCTTGCTTAAGCCCAGGAGTTTGAGGCTACACTGAGCTGTGGTCGTGCCACTGCACTTTAGCCTGGGCCACAGAGCTAGACCTTGTCTAAAATTTTTTTTTTTAAAAGTCTCTATCCTAATAGAGCTGCCACCCTGGCTCTGTTGCTCATCAGCTGTGTGAGCTTAGACAAGTCACTTGATCTCTCTGAGCCTTAGCTCGTTACAGCATGGTCACAGGATTGTTGGGAAAGCTAAATGTCAGATCTTATTTGTAGCATGTCTGGCCCAGGGCCTGGCACATAACCAGCCTTCTAGAAATGGTAGTGGGAATTCCGACTCTTGTAGCCAGAGGAGGAAAAGGGAGTTTAGATGGTTTCAGAGGGCTTCTCTCCGAAGGCTGAGCCTTTAAGGGAGGTATAGGATGAGCAGGGGCATCTGAGAACAACAGTATACCTCCATGAATAAAGCCTCGCTTTTGCTCTCTGCACCTCACCTGACCCTCCACTCTCTCCCGGGTTCACCAGCATAGACAGGTGCTGGGCTGCTGACCCCTAGGCCCCAGGCCCATCCAGTTGTCTGTGTTTTCACACAGAGCCAGCTTCCGAGTCACAAGGTCAACCCCACCTGCCCTGGCCTCCTGGGTCCCCTCCAAGGTTGCAGACATGCCTCCATCCCAGCCTGGGGCAGGCATCCCTGCCAGGCACACAGAGGCCATCAGGAGGCAGGTGGGACAGATCAGTTCCCACTATACCCAAGAGCAGCTCAGTCATATCCCTGGGAGGCTGAAGATAGGGGCTCTGTGCTTGGCCTGCCACTCTCTTGCCTCCTGCCGTGAGCTGCTTACCTATGCCCTCTGAGTCCAGTTCTCCCTCTGTAGACAAAAGGGGTTTGATCAGACCACCCTTTGGTCAGTCCCCCAGCTTCATCATTCTGCAAGGTCCAACTGCTCCTCACACAAAACGCCTGGCAGAAATTTGGAACCAGTCAAACCTCAGTTTGCTCAGTGTTATCTCCACTGGATGAGCTCAGTTTTTCTGTCTGCAAAAGAGTGGGGTTTATAATCCCCACTTTTAAATCAAGACTATTGACACACTGGAAGGAACATGGGTCTTGAGTCGGATAGGCTTGAGTGTGAATACTGGCTCTGCCATTTGCAAGGCAACTCACTTACTCTCTCTAGTGAAACTGAAGCCTCAGTTTCTTCATCTGCAAAATAGGCCTGTAGTATCTCCCTTGAAGAATTGTCGAGGTAAATGAAGCAAGCTATGCATCACACCTGCACATAGCAGAGGATTAAGGCTGGGGAGCTGTGATTATTGTGGTTGTAATTTACTCTAAAATGAGGGCCTGGCTAAGCTGATACCATCGCAATTTCTACTGCTGTGCTCACCCTCTCTGGGTTTTTGGTGCTGGGGTTCCTCCAGTCTCTCCTCAGTAACAGAGCTTCCTGTGGCTGAAAGCTACATCCAGAGGGATTCCGGGGGCTCCCAGGATTCCTTTCAGGCTACAGAGTCCATGGTCCATGCAACCCTTCCTGTTGAAAGTTATATTCTCAAATACATATGATGTGTCCTCAAACATATAATAGCCTCCCTCCCTGTTCTCCTGGCTCGTGTGCTGTAGCAGACATAAATCCCTTCTGTGTGTCATTCCAGTCTCACATTTTCTCACCCCACAGAGCCCTTTGTCCCTGCGCACTGCTGCACAGCTTGGATTGTCTATTCAGAAGAGGATGTGGCACCAAAAGGGACTAGAATCTCTGAATCTTAAGGTTGGAGGAAAATGAGTGGTACTTAGTTGAACCCCTCTTCTGATTGAACTTTCTCTACCCCACCTTTTGACGAGGGTTCATTCACTCTATTCTTACTTTCAAGGAAGGGGAACTCACTAAAGAGAAAGGTGGGGCATGTCATCACCCACACAGTTGCCAGTTAGCTGACTGGCTTTCTTGGAAAAATGACATTCAACAGCAACAGAAAAGCTTCTATCATGGGCAAGCCATCTGGGAATAATAGCTCCAAAGAACAATACTGTTTTCTTGTCCACCCCCTCCTCAACTCTGCACTTTGTGGTCACAAAAAAATGAAGATATGACATTTTTTTCTCTAGAATAACACAACTTTGTTAATGTGTCTCTTTTATTCACCCACCCATTAAACATTCCCGTAAGGAATCTACTTCATATGCCCACAGAGAATGCATTTCAATTCCCAACATAATGAGCCAGCTTCCAGAAGGAGGAGAAGCATTTAGAGGAACAGATAAATCATACCCTCTGCCAAATACCCTTTTCCACCTTCCAACGGGGAGCTCAGAGCCATCCTAGGATGTGACTCAGTGGGGAACATTGTTTTCATTGTGCAGCTTCAGAAACTGAGGCACAGAGAGGTGAAGGTCACCCAAAAAATGTGAGGCGCGAGCATGCACTAAATCCCAGGAATCTAAGACCTCCCAGCATAGTAATCCAGCCCCTAGGATAAATGTTTGTCTTGCTAGCCAGGGAAATTTACTGTGGCCTTTACAGAAGGCTTCTTCAGGCTCAAGATTATAAACAGGGAAACAGGACCTGGCAATTAGTTGAGTGATTCACTGGCAGAGAAAGCTTTCAAGTAGGGAAAGGATCAGTGAGGTGAAAAAAAAAAAAAAAAAAGAAACATCTTTTAAGAAGTTGTAGCTCCCCACCCCCACTCCTTTACATTGTTTTAATTCTTCATGCTCAGTGTCTTCATTAAACATTTTTGAAGTGGGTTTTTATTTGGTTACTTTGATTTGCTTCTTCTGTCAAGGTTATTTGATCTCATCTCCAACTTAGATTACTTCTAAGGTTGAACTGAACACAATATTTGCCCAGTGAAACAGACAGCCTTCTTGCTTATGGGAAGTATAAGCTTATGGTCCATGCAACCCTTCTTGTTGAAAGTTATATTCTCAAATACACATGATGTGTCCTCAAACATACAATACCCTCCTTCCCCCTTCTCCAGGCTCGTGTGTTGTAGCAGACATAAATCCTTCCTGTGCGTCATTCCAATCTCACATTTTCTCACCCCACAGAGCCCGTTGTCTCCTCCAAGAGGCCATGAAATAATAAAAAACAGATAAATGAAATAAATAGTAAATGATAAAAAAATTAATAATTTAAAATACAGATAAATAATAAATGACTGAGAGGCCATGGAATCATAAAAAACACAACTGGAAATGGCTGAGATACAGCGTGTTCTGTTTTGCTGCGGTGTTGAGGCCATGGACACAGGTGGGCGTGACAGCTCCGAGGGAGCCACCTGAGGAGTGGCCAACTCAGCAGCTTCTCTCCTTTACGCCCCTTGTTACCAGCAGTGGAGACAGCATGGGCTTCCCAGCTCTGCCATGTCCTTGCTGCATAACTTCAGCAAGTTGGGCAAGCTTTCGGAGTCTCGGTTTTCTCAGCCAGTCCTGCTCACCAGCAGGCTCCGTGGTGGTGGGGCTGTGCCTCTGGTGCTCAGCACTGTCTTCTTAAGCGCCTAGCAGGTAACAGGCATTCGGCACGTTTCTGCTACATGAAGGAACAGAATAAGAGTACTCCTACCGCTGTTGCTGGATCATGGTGAGGATTAAATGAGAAACTGTAAATAAAAGCCTAGAGTGTTTTAGATGTGCATGACACAGTAGCTCTTCCATTGCCAGATGCCTTCCTTCAGTGTCAGCACGGGGAAAGAATCCAGATGTTGCACCAAATCCAGATGAAGCCCCTTGTTCTGCAGATGAGCAAACGGAGCCTCAGATCTGTAGATCTGTTCATTTGTGCATTCATTCATTTCACATAGAGGGGACTATCAAGACAGAAAGAGTCTCCATGCTTATGAAGCTTACCTTCTAGTGGGAGGAGACAGTAAATGAGTAGACAAATATATAAACAAGAATAGTGTCACATACTAACAAAGTGCTATGGTGAGCAAGAACACAGGGGAGTGTAATGGAGGAGGGCTGGGAATGGGGGGGTACACTGGTTGGGGGACTAGGTGTGGCCTCCCTGTAGAGGAGGCATAGGATGTAAAAGTGGACCTGAATGACCAGAGGGAGAGAGTCATACCAAACTCAGGAGCAAGAGTGTTCTAGAACACTGCCTTTTGGGTGTTTGCTCTCATTGGTCTCTTTTGCAGGAAGAGGGGACATGACTTTTATTTTGACATAATTTCAGACGTAGAGAAAAATTCCAAGCATAGTACAAGGAAATCTCGTCTTCTCAATCCACTAATTGTTTACGTTTTGCCTCATTCTCTGTCCTCTCTCTCTAAGTATACAATATACACATCACACACACACACACTTTTTGCAGAACTATTTGAGAGTGCACAGTGCGAACATACTGCCCTTTCACCCTATACTTCAGTGTGTACTTCCTAAGAATAAGAACATTCGCTTATATAACCACAGTCCATATCTAATCTACAATGCATAGTTAAATGGTATCAGTTGCTCCAACAATAACCTTTTTAAATTGCACATATTTTTCCAGGCCAAGGGTCACATATTACACTGAGTCCTCATGTTTCGTTAGTTTTCTTTAGTCTGGAACAGTTCCTTAGCCATGCTTTGTCTTTCTTGACCCTGACATTTTTTTAAAGAGTGCAGGCCAGTTATTCTGTGGGACGTCCTGTCATTTGGGTTTGCTGATATTTCCTGAGGATTACTTTCAGGTGACACCGTTGTGGCAGGAACACCACAGAAGTGATGTTGTGTCCCCCTCAGTGCATCACAGCAGGAGGCACGTGGCGCTGTTTGTCCCTACGTTGGGGACATTAACGTTGGTTGATTGGTTTAGGTGGTCTCCTCCGGGTTTCTCCACTAAAAAATTGCCTTTCCCCCCTTTTTAATGAATGAGTAATTTGTGGGGAGGCACTTTTAGAATGTAAGTGCTCTGATCCTCACTAGTTTTAGCATACTTCATCTTCTACAACTTATTAGTTGCCACTGTACTGTAAGGAAGAGATTTTCCTTCGCCCCATTTACTTTATTTATTTTTATTTTTATTTTTTTGACACAGTATCTTGCTCTGTCATCCAAGTTGGAGGGCAGTGGTGCAATCACAGTACCCTGCAGCCTTGACCTCCTGGACTCAAGGGATCCTCCCACCTCAGCCTCCTGAGTAGCTGGGACTACAAGCACACGACCAAGCCCAGCTAATTTTTTGATTTTTTTGTAGAGACACTATCACACTATGTTGCCCAGGCTGGTCTCAAACTCCTGGGCTCAAGTGATCCTCCAGCTTCAGTCTCCCAAAGTACTGGGATTTCAGGCGTGAGCCGCCATGCCTGGCCCTACCCATTTATTTATATAATCATATATTTATTTATATAACTATGAACTCATGGCTTTTTATTTTATTCACTAGGTTATAATCTACTGCTATCAGACCATCTCAGATTTGATCAATGAGAGCCCTTCAGACTGAGTTCTGTGTCTTTTTACACAGCCCCACCATTCTTCAGGTATTTCCTTGCCTTCCGGCACAATAAGATGTTTTGGGCTCATCTGGTATGTTCCCTGCCCCAGCCCTGGAATCAGCCCTTTCTCCAATAAGCCTGGTTCTTTTGGTGTTAAAAGATATTTAGAATCCAAGATCTGGGGGCTGGGTGGGCTCCTGCCACCAGGTGTGTTACCACTTCCAGGACCTCTCTGGGGACAGAGCTAGAAAGCTTCTTGAACTCTGATGTGCATATGCATGACTAGGAATATTGGTGAAGTGCAGATCCTCATTCATTGGGTCAGATCTGCCCACAGGGGTGCATTGGAGACTCTGCCTGTCTCACAAGCTTCCAGGGCGTGCAGATGATACCGGTCCACAAGGCTCATCTTGAGCACCAAGGATGTAGGACAGTGGTTCTCAAAAGTTGGTGTGCATGGGAGTCACCTGGAGGGCTTGGTAAGATACATATTCCTGGGCTCTACTTCCAAAGTTTCCAATTCAATAACCTTGGGCTAGGACCTGAGAATCTGCATTTCTAACAAGTTCCCAGGTGATGCTGTTCTTGCTGATCTGAGACCGCACCTTGGGAACCACAAGATCTAGGACACTGGTTCCTAAAAGTGACTACACATTGGAATTCTTGAGGAGGTTTTATTTCCGTTTTTGTTTTAAAAATGGATCTTTAAGGCCCCAGAGATAATTAAACTGGTGTAAGATGTGGCCTGGGCATTGAGAGTTTGATGACCTCCATGAGTGGTTCTGTTGCCCAACATGATTTGAAAAGATTGTTCTAGGAAGAGGTAGGAGCAAATGCAAAGGCCTTTAAGAAGAAATGAGCTCGATATTTTCAAGGAATGGCAAGGAGGCCAGTGTGGCTGGACAGGAGTTGAGGCCAGAGAAACCAGGGCGGATTGAATCAGGAGGCGGTGAGATGGGTCAGGATTGCGGTTGTTACTCTGGTGAGACAGGCAGCCACCAGAGGGCTTTACATAGGGTGATGCGATCTGAAGGCCTTCACCAGGGCCTTCATCCAGCAGTTTCAAGGCCAGCTCTCCTCCTGTCAGTCAAGCGCTTTCTACCCAAAGCAGTTTGGCTTGTGATGAGTAAAGGATGAAATAGCTTCACAGCCTTCTCTAAGTGCTCCCCATACTTTAAATCTTGCCCATGGATTTTGTTCAGAGTTACTGTCCAAGGCTTTGAAACCCCTGAAGGGTAAGTTTAGGCACAATAATAAAGTATTACATCATGGGAGAAGGACTTGTGGATGAGGGACATTCAGGAGTGCTTTGCTTTAAGAAAACTTCACATATGTTGCACAACTGTGAATATACTTAACAGTACTGAACTGCACATTTATGAAATGGTTAAGATGGTAAATTCTGTTATGCATTTTTTACTATAATCAAAAATAAAAATTAAAAAATATATAGTCACAATACTTTTACAAATATCTACTATACTTCACTAACACGAAAGTGACAGAAAAAAAATACGCTGATAGTATAAAGAAGCTAAAATGTAAGTTGATCAATTGATGCACATCATTTACATGTTGAACAATTCTCAAAGATGTCAAGGGGCAGGAATGATCCTTCAAGGAAAAGTAACTTAGACCAAGAGAATTTTAAAGCTTCAGGAAAGGCTGATATTCATCATGTATATGAAGACAAGCCTGCCAAGCACTGAATTCTCCAATTTGTTCATTTTTCCTTGTTCCTCAGGAAAGTCAGCGTGGGTATTTCATTACCATATGGAAAACTATGTTGTGCCATTAAGAATAATAAAGAATTTGGCAGGGCGCGGTGGCTCACGCCTGTAATCCCAGCACTTTGGGAGGCTGAGGTGGGCGGATCACCTGAGGTCAGGAGTTCGAGACCAGCCTGGCCAACATGGAGAAACCCCATCTCTACTAAAAATACAAAAATTGCCAGGCGCGGTGGCTCACGCCTGTAATCCCAGCACTTTGGGAGGCTGAGGTGGGCGGATCACCTGAGGTCAGGAGTTCGAGACCAGCCTGGCCAACATGGAGAAACCCCATCTCTACTAAAAATACAAAAATTGCCAGGCGCGGTGGCTCACGCCTGTAATCCCAGCACTTTGGGAGGCTGAGGCGGGCGGATCACGAGGTCAGGAGTTTGAGACCAGCCTGGCCAGCATGGTGAAACCCCATCTCTACTAAAAATACAAAAAAAAAAAAAATTAGCTGGGCCTGGTGGCACTCACCTGTAGTCCCAGCTACTTGGGAGGCTGAGGCAGGAGAATTGTTTGAACCTGGCAGGCGGAGGTTGCAGTGAGCCAAGATTAGGCCACTGCACTCCAGCCTGGGCGAGAGAGTGAGACTCTGTCTCAAAAAAACAAACAAAAAAAAACCCCAAAAAAACCCCCAAAAAACAAAAATTAGCCGGGTGTGATGGCAGGTGCCTGTAATCTCAGCTACTTGGGAGGCTGAGACAGGAGAACGGCTTGAACCCAGGAGGCGGAGGTTGCAGCAGTGAGCCGAGATTGCGCCATTGCACTCCAGCCTGGGGATATGAGGGAGACTTCATCTCAAAATAATAATAATAATAATAATAATAATAATAATAATAATAAAGAATTTAAGCCAAGCCTTAAAAAAAGAAAGAATGTATAAAACTATGAGCTTGGGAAATGGAAAAAGTTGGGGACAACTATTCACTTTAACAAAATAATTCTTTCTGTGAGGCTTTGCGCCTGGTTTCATCTATGAAATAGTGTTCTTCTAGAGCACAAAAAGCACTCGACACAGTGTTGCAGAAACATGACAAGCCTAGAAGAGGCCGGCTAGAGGCCTTCTGCAATGCCAGGTCCAATGGTGTGATAATAGCTTGGAGATTTTGCTTATCTGCTTTATCTCCCAAAGGGCATTGCACAATATCAGTGTGCTTGGATTGGACAGGATTCCAGTGACACGGTTCATGTTCTATTTTGATTCTGGCAGTTGGTAACCTTTCTTCTAGGAAAGAGGAAATAAAACACCCCATTGGTGATATTCCGTTGTTCTGAGCATACGAGGGTGGTAAGGCTGCCGGGGGCAACTGACCAGAGGCAGGTGTGGTCCCTGGGTCATTTTTAGCCACACTCCCAGGCCCTGATATCTGGCAGGGAGGTCTGTAACCAGCTCTGTCAACCTGCCATGAGGATGACCTGCCCTTTCCCTTGGTTATTCAAGTCCCAGGTTTTTCCTGAGCGGAAGCTGACAGTGATGTCATTTTCTCGTGATATTGGCGGGGTGACCTTGTTCATGGAGCTGGTTTCATCCATTTCTCTTCTACCTTGAAGCTGAACTGAGAAAAACATTGCTGAGAACCACAGAGAGGGAGGGCAGAGGACGCTGCAAAGGGGAGGCTCCCCTGTTCCCTCATCTGATTCCCAAACCCTTATCATGACCAGCTGTTAGCCATCCCAGTTTCTAGCAGAACTCAGCCTGGAAAAGTCATACAGGAAAAACAATGCAAGGAGAGATCGATGAAAAAATTTTTAAAAAATGTTGTAGTAGACTCAGCAAGGCAGAAACTATGGATTCATGAAGAACAGCTTGGATCCTTGTTATAAAGACAGATAAATATTTACAGGTGGTCTTTTCAGAAAGGCATTCAGGAGGAGACAAGAAGCATCTTATTTAGAGCTGCTGGCCCAATTAAGGGAATCAAAGATGTCCTGAGCTCCGACTCCATGGCAGGACCTGAGCTCCATCCTTGATGGACATCTTTTCATCCTCAGCCCTTCTTCCTGAGGTGGGCACTGTCACTATCCCCATTTACAGAGGAGGAAACTAAGGGTCAGAGAGTTGGAGTCTGTTATTCAGCTGGGAAGCAGCAGTGCTAGGGTTCACATGCATGGCTTTTTCACTCCAAATCTGTAGGCTTTTCCTAGCACACACCAATGTCGGCTTTCAGATACTGCTACCAAGAACTCCAAACCTAGGCTCTTTTAATCAATAGCAGAGTGATTGAGTCCTTTTCCTGAAACTCACATTGTTCAAGCTCAAAGGACACTGTATAGATGAGGACTCCAAGGCTAAGAGCAGGAAAAGGGATCTGCTCAACAGGATGGCAGAATCTGGCCTCAGGCCGCAAAGAAAGCTCTGTCCACCCATTATTCAGCCACGTGCACAGAGCCAGCGCAGCAAAACCCATCTCACCTAGAGTGCGGCTTTGTTGGTGATCTCGGTTCAGCAGGATATGGGCACCACGGGAATGGTATTTTCCCTTACAACTTTCTCCCTGGGGCCTACATATTATGTAGCTATTGTAGGGTTGGAGTTCCACAAACTGGATTTCAGAGCTCGCTGGCCAGTATTAGCTCATGTTGATTGCAAAGCAAGGACTGAAGTGGAAAAGCAAAAGAGCACAGCACCACCTGGTGTTGGCAACTAAGACATGCAGGTTCAGGAGTAAAAACAACTCCCTGCATTTCCCTTCGTGTGAGGAATGGAAGCCCAGAATGGGCGAGGAGCTCGCCAAAAGTCACAGAGCACACGGTGATCGAGCTGAGTCTGACGGGTGTGATTTCCAACTCTGTGCTCCTCCCACGAGGCCTGGCCAAGGGAAGGAAAGCACAGTCTTCCCCTTCCTGAATACCAGCTTGAGCAGGGTCCCCATAGCACCCGCGAACTCAGAAGACCCTTTCCTTCGAAAAGGGAAAGGACGGTGAAATGCTGGCCTGTGATCGGAAGGAGGAGACCGTGTAGCTGCAGGAGCAGCACATTGCACGGGTCCAGAGGCTACAGCATGAGCGGCACCACTGGAGCTGGGGCACACAGTGGCCCTTATTTAGGCTTTAGAACTAGATTAGCCTGGACTCGCGGTGGCCTCAGGCAAGTCTATTTCACTGTCTTGGGCTCTTCATCCCCTTCTGTGAAACGAAGGTGCTGAATGACGCCTGGACTTCCGAGGTCTCAGACTTTTGGCTCACTCTTCCCATGCCGACTGGCCTCCCTGCCGACCCTCCACCAGGAAAAGCCTCATCTCAGAGCCTCTGCGCGGCCTCCAGTTTCTGGAAGAATGCTGTTTTGCCAAATCCCCTTGGGGCCTGTTCCCTCCTGCTATTCAGATGTCCGCTCAAATGTTCTCTGCTGAGACAGACCTCGTCTGAGCACTGTTCCCCCTCACCCCCCACAACACCATGTCACCTCCCATCTCCTCACCCATTTCAGGTCCTTCCCAGCTCTTAGCATCGTGCACATAGTTGGTCTTGCTCAGGCCTCTGTGGACAGATCCTGGCACATAGCGGACATCTGAAAATAACTTTCAATGGAACAAATCAAGTTATTTCAAATTCACCATTCTCCTGAAAACTATCTGGGGAGGAAAAGAGCAGGGACAGTTGGAATAAGCTGAAGGAGTGGCCTCCCAGTGCCCCTTCCACCTCTGTGCCTCTGACCCTGGTGTCAGTGATTTGGCAGTAACATCCCAGCACCACCCTAGCCTGCTTCTAGGGCCACTTCCCAGCCCTTACAACTGACCTTAGGACAGAAGCTGTTTGTCTAGCCGGTACGTGACACAGCAGGGACTCGCAGCCAGGTTTCTCTGACCCCGCTGCACTGCTAGACCCTGTATGTTCAGTTTTCCACCTCACTAAGGGTCACTCTGGGGCTCGTGTCAACACTCAGAGCCCAGATCCCTGCAGCATTGCAAGTGGATGGGATGAGCACCAAGAAAACATTCCTCTGGAGTAATCAATATCAGAAACTGCAATGGGGCATGCTGCCTCCACATCCAGGACATTTCTAGAAGCAGCCAAGAAAATAAGAACCTACATGCTCTGGTTTATTAAAATTGGGCAATGAATCTAAAAGGAATTTAAAGCATTTGGCCTTATCTTCCTCATTTCTTGGTATTAGTTTTCTATGTAAATTAATAACTAGTTAGGTATCTAGAGTTGGCAAATACTGACACTTTCAGGTAAATGGTAATGGGGAGGATGGCCACGAGGGTAAAAAACCGGGGAACACTGTCCAATTGTGGGAAGGAAACCACAAGTGTCTGGAAAACAATGTGCAAAGTTCACCTTCTTTCAAACTCCCATTTGAACCTTCCATCCACAGTGCTGATCACAAAGTCCTGTTGCACTAGTCTTCTTGTCATTTAAATATTCATTTAACATTTATTGAAGACAAATTCTTGGCCAGGCCCTCTGCCAGGGGTTGTGAATATGGTCTCTGCCTGTAAGCAGCAATTTGTCTCATGGGGCTTAGTGTTCTTCAGTCCACTCTGTTCAACTACCCTGCCCTCCCCAGAAGCTCTGAGGACCCCCTGATACCTACCCCCAGCTTAACAGCCCTCTTGTGTTGCAGATCTCCTACCTAGACCCCTCAAGAGGACTCGGGCTACCATCAGGCCCAGTCAGCCAACAAATCTGAGCTCCACCCATACTGATCCCCACACAGGTTGCTCCAGAACCTCCTGGATTCCAGAGCAATAGCTTAAAGTCATAGTGTCAGTCTGAGGTGTGTTCCAAGAAATTTGTTACTAATAGGAAAGTACCAAAGGGATTTTTCTATAAGTTGGGGCAGACTAAAAGTTTTCCTGTGTAATAGGCATTGTGTCCAGCTCCATTTCCCCTTTCCTCTGGTTTCCTTCAGAGAACGACCCCTCCTTCTGCACTTAGACCATACAGCTCAGGTGGGGATAACCTTGCTCTTAGTTCCAGAAATGGGCGTGTGACTGAGGCCTGGCCAATCAGAGCCCCACATTCTCATGGCCGTAAAAACCAGCCCACAGATGGGCACAGGGACCAAGCAAGGAGGATGAGACCACTTTAGCTGGAGGGCAGGTAGGCTGGAAGTCTGCATCTGCTACAGGGAAGAGCTTGCCCACGAATGAAATCCATGTAGTTCAGCAGAGCTGAGTGACAGAGAAACATCAACTGTGCTTCTTGATCTAGCCAGGATGACTCCTGGAACTTTTATTAATTTTCTACATTGAACACAGCTGAGCATTACTCACATCTGACATCTGTTCAAACAATAACATTTCTCCCCTCCTGGCAGCAGGCTAAAAGCAATATGGGTAATAGCTAAGTATTATTTGAGACAGGGTCTTGTTATGTTGCTCAGGCTGATCTCGAACTCCTGGGCTCAAGTAATCCTCCCGCCTCAGTCTCCTTAGTGGTTGAGTTTACAGGTGTGTGTCACCGCACCCACTTTAGCTGATTAAATAAAAGGGTGTGTGAAACCACTTTCTGCCTCTTAGTGTGAAGAGGGATAGTACTCTAGTTTGGGCAAATCTTCAAAAATCACTATTTGAAATTTGAAAATCGTCCATTTGCAGCTAATGATTAAGTTTAACTTGGGATACTCAAGTTACTTTTCATTTTGGGCACATTTCATCTCAAAGATGTGGTCCCATATTTTGTCCATTTTTCTTTGTGGGAGGCAATGGCAATTCATATCGGCCTCTCATAAAACAACCAAGACCGGGATCCAGGCATGATACTTGCTGAAGAGGCTTCCCTTAGGCTAATCTGACACCTCATTGCAGAAACCACCAGTCACCAGCTCCACTGACCACCTGCCATCCAGCTGGCTGGAGCCGAGTGCTCTGCAGACTCAGAAGTCCAAGGCGTGGCTCCCAGGGGCCCTCACACCATAACCCCTCAGTGGACAGCACCACTGCAGAGGAAACCTCAGTGTGGACCATGGCAGGGCCCTGCTTGAGCTGTCTCTGTTGTGGATTGAGTCCCAGCTCCAAAAGGACTCACACATTGCCTCCCCTCCCTCCATTTCCTGACACATAGGTGGCTATTCTGCAGTTAACCTTTTATTGTCCCTCCCCTTGTATCTTAGCAGCTAGGAAATGAAGTAGGTTGGTATGTTTTAGTTGTGTGTGCATATGAGAGTAACAGTGTCAGATATTAAGGTTCATGGGTTTTAGAAATGTGTATAATCAAGTCCTCACAGCCAAAAGTTTTAGTGTAAACTATCAGTTCCAGGAGAAAAAGGAGAAAGATAACTAAGAATGAAGAGAAGAAAGTGTCCAGGAATTCAGTGTGACTATCAGAAACCACTAAAAATGAATGCAGTGCTGGGGAGAACTGCAGACTGGCAGAGCGAGGCCAGATGGCCTGTCACCCCACGCCTTAGTGAACACCAGGAGCCAACAGACTGCCCAGAGCCAGGGCCTTGGTACCACACCCACACCACAGGCTCACACAGGTAGGAGGCAGGCAGGTTCAATCTTGCTGCCACATACTAATGACCACAGGCGGCCTGAGGTCTTTGAGGTTGTTTCTTCTAACATTCTGCAGGAGGGAGTTCATTTTTCAATACTGAATGGGCTGCTGTAAACAGGTTATCTCCTGGGACCACTACAGCTTAAGGACAAAGCGTGGGGATGGCACAAGTGAAGGGAGGGTGTCTCTCCTGCCTCCTCACCTAAGATGAAGCCTCCATCAGCTCACCCACACTTGTTTTTCTCTTCTCCATGAACTTGCAGGGGCATGTACCATTAGTAAGGAAAATAAAACCTTTTAAATATGTTTACTGAAAGCATCTTTCTTGCACAAGGCTTAAAGTACTGTGCATTTGTGAGCATATCGTGCTTGATAATGAACACGCACACACATTCAGCTCATTTACAGACAAACCATCCACAAGTTGGATTTTCTACATTTCAAAATGGAATGACCATAGCGGAGGATGTCAGGTTCTAAGCCCTGTCTTGATAAAGTTTGAGAGATTGTAACACGCTTTTACTTTCCTCTTTAGGTTTTAAGCATTATGTGCTGACTGAAGCTAGAAATAAAAACAGCTTTGCTTTCAGCCAATTTCTGCTTTACTGTGTCACTGAGACATGTTGTTTGAGACCCCTCATCATTAATGGCCAATGATCCAAGAGTGGAAAAATGGTCTGAGTCATAATTATAAACAGGTTATGATCAAGCTGAACGTCTGACCTTAGAATTAAATCAGGCCAGAGAAAAGAGAAATCATGCTTTGCTCTGTCTTCTACTGCAGGGTTGATGTTTACAATGTCCCTCTGCCCCTTTCTCCCATATTTGGGTGCTCTTCCCCATGCTCCTATGGCATCCTGCATGTGCATGATTCTATCAGCACTAATCTTACTGCCTGCAATTGTTGGTTTAAACATCTGCCTCCCCAGAAGACTTGAGGGCAGAAAACTTTTTTTTTTTTTTTTTTGACACGGAGTCTCGCTCTGTTGACCAGGTTGAAGTGCAATGGTGTGATCTTGGCTCACTGCAACCTCTGCCTCCTGGGTTCAAGCGTCTACTGCCTCAGCCTCCTGAGTAGCTGGGATTACAAGTATGCGCCACCACGCCTGGCTAATTTTTATATTTTCAGTAGAGAAAGGGTTTCACCATGTTGGCCAGGCTGGTCTCAAACGCCTGACCTCAGGTGATCCACCCACCTTGGCCTCCCAAAGTGCTGGGATTACAGGCATGAGCCACCATGTCTGGCCCAGAAAGCATTTTGATAAAACTCTGGTTCCCAGCACTCAAACCTGGTGCCTCAAACACAGTAGGTGCACTGCAAATGTGTGCTAAGTGAAGGTAAGACATGCTTACTTTAAATAATTCACAAGACAGAAGACCGCACTTAAAAAAATCTACAAGGAAACACCAATTTAAAGAAAAGAAAAATCAGTAAGTATCTGTGAGAATAATGGAGCAAAAGAAGTCCTGAAAGAGTTCTGCATCTTGGTGGTCATATTTATTGGAGAGCTTGAGAAAAATGAAAATACCATTTAGCTTAAGAAGTTGTGAGTTATCTGCAAATCAACTCATTTCAGGAGTGGAAGAATCCCCGGAATTATTTCTTAATATCAAAATGTATGCAGGTTTCTCTTATGAATGTTTTGTACTTTTAGAGAGGCCACTGTACAAAGTCTCCCGTTTTCCATACAGGACAAATTCTTTGTTTCAGCCAACTCTCAGTGGAGGGGCAACCAGGACAACGCCATCTCCCCGGACAAAGAGCATTGGAATATTCCGTTTCGTTGACTAGAAGAGAAAAAAAAACAGAACATATTTGTACAACTGTGTATTACTGCTTATTGTTTGTGACAGAAATGTTAAAAAATGGATTCATCATGACACAAAAAAATTGGATTAAAAAACCTGATCACTTCCCTTGGTAGCACCAAGAACCAATCCATCAACTGCTTCCTTTCGACAATTGTGGCAGAGACTGGAGCTACCCATTAAAACTCACTCTTCTCCTCCTGGGCACACAGCTGGACTATGTTTCTTATTCTTCCTTGCAACCAGATGTAGCCATCGGATTGCTTTAACCAATGGCAAGTAAACAGAAATGACAGGACTATATCCAGACTGACCCAGAATGCCCCTCTGCAGTCGTTCCTCTAACACTAAATGAACTAAGATAATGGCGAGAGCTCAGGGGATGGCAGAGCCACTGATAGGTGAAGCCTGGGTCCTTGACTTGCCACCTGGAAGAAAGCTATTGTGCAGATCTAAACCCCACCAGGGCTGTCATATGGGCAAGAGATCAACTTCTACTTTGCTGAGCCATTATGTGTTACTTCTGGGTGCTACTGTGGTCACACATATGGAATGGATACCTTGAAGCATGAGCTTAGTGGTCAGGCCTTGGGCAGTAAAGAAACACATGAATGTTCGAAATCCTAATATTATGCCTTGGCAAAATATTAGATAAAACTTGGAATGTAGCCCAAGGGGCTCCTAAACTCACGAGCTCTGGGAGAAGAGGCTGGAAAAGCCAAATGTTAGTAGATGTTGCTGTTAGCCTAATGTATTTAGCAGGGCAGTAGAAGAAACAGAAAAGCTCAGGCAAGAACTAGTTGGTTTTCAAGCAGAGATGAAAAGAAACAGGATTCACAGGGTTAGAAAAGCCACTGGCTTTTAGACCCCAAGTTACAGAAATAAGTATGAAAAAAGGCTTTGAGAAACAAGGCCCAGCAAAATTTCCCAGGTAAACAAACTCAGCCCTGAGGCAAAGATCAGATTAAGGGTGTTGTCTTTCCACCCAAACTTTTGTAGCAAATGGCCTCAAAGTAGTCAACATTAATTTCAGAAAGCAGAACAGGGGTGAGAAACTGAAGAAATAAAGCAGTCCTAGAAACTATGCCTAGGGAAGAGCTTAGACAGGTTACTGGCCCTTTGAATTGTTTGGATGTAAACAGCTCAGAAACCTATGTTCTAAGTTTTTAAAGAAATTGCATTGCCAAAGAAACCATAAGCCTGGCCAAAAAAAACCTTTGACTATTTGCGTCTTCCAGCATAATAGAAGTTGGCCCTGAAAGCTCTGCGGACCCCATTTAGGGTTGCCAGATTTTGCAAATAAAGATGTAGGACGCACAATTAAATTTAGTATAAGTTCCAAACATTGGATGGGACATATTTGATCTAATTGAGGGATTTCTGCTGCTACCAGGACAGGGAGCATTCATGCCTTCCCAGTGGGATTCACCACTGTTAGGGACCAGTAACTGTCTTATGTTTCTCATTCCTTCCTTCTCTGGGAAGAGAGTTTTTGTGGTGGATATCCTGTCCCTGCTGTGTTTATCATAAATGTGGGAGGGGTAAATTATTCATCTTCTTTGGGGATAGGTTTCTGTACAAGTGACCACATGTGGTCTGACGGAGAAAACCGAAAGTCACGTGGCAGTCCTGCACCCTGAGCTGGATATCCTGCTTGCATCCTTTGGGGGTACAGATGGTTCTGTCTGGGAAGTAGGATTCTGCAACACCCACTATCGTTGATCTCTGCAGCAACTTGGCCATCAAACTCACAAAACTCGGCCAGGCACGGTGGTTCACACCTGTAATCCGGCACTTTAGGAGGATGAGGCAGGTGGATCATGAGGTCAGGAGATCAAGACCATCCTGGCTAACACGGTGAAACCCCGTCTCTACTAAAAATATAAAAAAAAAAATTAGCCAGGTGTGGTGGCGGGCACCTGTAGTCCCAGCTACTTGGGAGGCTGAGGCAGGAGAATGGCGTGAACCTGGGAGGCGGAGCTTGCAGTGAGCCAAGATTGCGCCACTGCACTCCAGCCTGGGTGACAGAGTGAGACTCCGTCTCAAAGAAAAAAAAAAAAAAAAACTCACAAAGCTCAAGATAGCCAAGGGCACACAGCTTTATACAAAGGAAACACAGCACATGCCAGCTGGGCAGTGGCAAGTGTCTCAGAAGTCTTTACAGCATTCCAAGGATTCTTCCCTAGCTACCCAAATGACTGCTTAGTTAGCAGGTGGGTGCAGGAGCCACCCTGGCTTAACTGCGCCAAGCTCCACACCAGAACCAGTATCGTTTACAACAGTTCCATGAATGTGGCTTTACAGTCACCAAGGAGGGGGCACACTCCACTACAAGGGTTGCATGCTCTCAGGGAAGACCATTGCTATGGGCTCCTAACAGTATTCAGAGCTCATTCACAGTTCTCTCAGTTCAGATGCAGTTTACAAACCAGGGGCCTCTTTTTAAAATACAGCAATATTTTTTATTAACACAGCTGACATTCCAATTTTATCTGTTTCTAGGGAAAATGAACTGGTAAGTTAACCCATGGTCATTTTTCCATAAATAATTTTTTTTTTAAAGCCCTTTGCTCACAGGTATATACAGACACTGGTTGCCAGTGTGGGTGGGGGGGAGCAGACTATGGCAGAAACTGCTAGCTGTTCATAAAAATTCCTTCTTCCTTCCTGGGCACACAATTCTACTATATTTCCCAGGCTCCCTTACAGTTGGCTAGGGTCATATCACTGAGTTCTAGCCTAAAAAATTTAAGAAGAGGTGTAGTACCTCCAGGCTGATTCATAAACTTCTCATGTACACTCCTCTACTCCTTTTTGTTCCCACTGGCTGGATGTGAAATGACGACAAAAGACTTAGGGGTTGGTGGAGCCAGAAGACACAAGGAGTCTGGGTTCCTGAATGACTGCATGGAGGAAACCTACGTAGAATAATTACGTCATTGAGAAACAAACTCCAGCAGTGCAGAACCACTGCACATCTGTGACTGCTGAGCCAGTACATGTTTAGGGGGTACCTGTTACCACAGTCTAGCCAACACGAACTAATATGCCCACCAGAGTATACTTTCAACAACCCATGTGTGAGGAATCTCCCCTGGGCTGTCTGGTCATAACACCCAGGCAGGAGATCTGGCTACAGATAAATAATTCCTGAGAAAGAAGGCGACTCTAGTACAAGGAGTTCAGTGTGTAAACTTAAGTGCTCTAGGTTTAAAAAAAAAAAAAAAAAAAAAAAAAAAGGATGCTATAAACTCAATATCAGAGAAAAGTATTAAATTTTCTAGTAATGGTGATGAATTTCACCCAGAATTTTTTTTTTTAAGTGTGCATGTGTGTCTGATAGGTGACAAGGCTTGGATCTGCAGTCCTTGTAATGAAATAGAATCTTCTGTTTAAAAATTATTGAGTCAACCTGCAATGAAATCTGAAGTTCACTCATACAAACATTTAGAGTGCCCATTATGTGTCAGGTATTATGATGGGCAGTAGACGCAGAGAGATGAATAAAACATGGACTGTCCTCCTAGAATCCCCATTCTAGAAATAAAAAGAGAGAAAGTATGAATTTATTCTGCAGGTATACTCCCACATAAGAAAAAGATAAAACTGAGATTTCTCCTCTCTGGACAGGGCATCTCTGTAAAAAAGGCAGCAGCCCCAGTCAGGGGCTTATAGCAGACTTAAACGTCTCTGCCTGACGGCTCTGAAGACAGCAGCGGACCTCCCAGCACAGCGTTCGAGCTCTGCTAAGGGTCAGTCTGCCTCCTCAAGTGGGTCCCTGACCCCCGTGTATAATGACTGTCAGCTCCCAGTTGGGGCCGACAGACACCTCATACAGAAGAGCTCTGGCTGGCATCTGGCAGGTGCCCCTCTGGGTTGAAGATTCCAGAGGAAAAAACAGGCAGCAATCTTTGCTGCTCTGCAGCCTCCGCTGGTGATATCCACACAAACTGGGTCAGGAAACTCCAGCAGACTGGCAGCAGAGGGGCCTGACTGTTGGAAGGAAAGAAACAAACACAGATGTGCTAAAAAGGATTAGCACATCTACTCAAAGACTCCATCTGAAAGTCACCAACATCAAAGACTAGAGGTAGATAAATCCACAAAGATGGGGGAAAAACCAGCACAAAAAGGCTGAAAATTCCAAAAACACGAACGCCTCTCCTCCTCCAAAGGATCACAACTCCTCGCCAGCAAGGGAACAAAGCTAGACGGAGAATGAGTCTGATGAACTGAAAAAAGTAGGCTTCAGAAGGTGGGTAATAACAAACAACTCCGAGCTAAATGAGCATGTTCTAACTCAATGCAAGGAAGCTAAGAACCTTGAAAAAAGGTTAGTCAAATTGTTAACTAGAATAACCAATGTAGAGAAAAACATAAATGGCCTGATGGAGCTGAAAAACATAGCACAAGAACTTCGCAAAGAATAAACAAGTATCAATAGCTGAATCAATCAAGTGGAAGAAAGGACATCAGTGATTGAAGATCAACTTAATGAAATAAAGACAGAAGACAAGATTAGAGAAAAAAGAATAAAAGGAACAAACAAAGCCTCCAAGAAATATGGGACTATGTGAAAAGAACAAATCTACATTTGATTGGTGTACCTCAAAGTGACGGAGAGAATGGAACCAAGTTGGAAAACACTCTTCAGGATATTATCCAGGAGAACTTCCCCAACCTAGTAAGACAGGCCAACATTCAAATTCAGGAAATACAGAGAACACCACAAAGATACTCCTCAAGAAGAACAACCCCAAGACACATAATCATCAGATTCACCGAGGTTGAAATGAAGGAAAAAACGTTAAGGGCAGCCAGACAGAAAGGTCGGGTTACCCACAAAGGGAAGCCCATCAGAGTAACAGCAGATCTCTCTGCAGAAACCCTACAAGCCAGAAGAGAGTGGGAACCAATATTCAACGTTCTTGAAAAAAAGAATTATCAACCCAGAGTTTCATAACCAGCCAAACTAAGCTTCATAAGCGAAGGATAAATAAAATCCTTTACAGACAAGCAAATGCTGAGGGATTTTGTCACCACCAGGCCTGCCTCACAAGAGCTCCTGAAAGAAGCACTAAACATGGAAAGGAACAACCAATACCAGCCACTGCAAAAACATACCACATTGTAAATAACATTGACACTATGAAGAAACTGCATTAACTAATGGGCAAAACAACCAGCTAGCATCATAATGGCAGGATCAAATTCACACATAACACTATTAACCTTAAATGTAAACGGGCTAAATGCCCCCAATTAAAAGAAACAGACTGGCAAACTGGATAGAGTCAAGACCCATCAGTGTGCTGTATTCAGGAGACCCATCTCACATGCAAACACACACATAGGCACAAAATAAAGGGATGGAGGAATATTTACCAAGTGAATGGAAAGCAAAAAAAGCAGGAGTTGCAATTCTAATCTGTAATAAAACAGACTTTAAACCAACAAAGGTCAAAAGAGACAAACAAGGGCATTACATGGTAAAGGGAACAATGCAGCAAGAAGAGCTAACTATCCTAAATATATATGCACCCAATACAGGAGCATCCAGATTCATAAAACAAGTTCTTAGAGACCTATAAAGAGACTTAGACTCCCACACAATAATTGCGGGAGACTTTAACACCCCACTGTCAATATCAGACAGATCAACGAGACAGAAAATTAACAAGGATATTCAGGATTTGAGCTCAGCTCTGGACCAAGCAGACCTAACAGACCTCTACAGAACTCTCCACCCCAAATCAACAGAATACACATTCTTCTCAGCACCACATCACACTTATTCTAAAATTGACCACATAATTGGAAGTAAAACACTCCTCAGCAAATGTAAAAGAACAGAAATCATAACAAACTGTCTCTCAGACCACATTGCAATCAAATTAGAACTCAGGATTAAGAAACTCACTCAAAACCGCACAAATACATGGAAACTGAACAACCTGCTCCTGAATGACTACTGGGTAAATAATGAAATGAAGGCAGAAATAAAGATGTTCTTTGAAACCAATGAGAATGAAGACACAACGTACCAGAATCTCTGGGACACATTTAAAGCAGTGTTTAGAGGAAAATTTATAGCACTAAATGCCCACAAGAGAAAGCAGGAAAGATCTAAAATTGACACCCTAACATCAAAATTAAAATAACTAGAGAAGCAACAGCAAACAAATCAAAAGCTAGAAGAAGACATGAAATAACCAAGATCAGACCAGAACTGAAGGAGATAGAGACACGAAAAACCCTAAAAAAATAATCAATGAATCCAGGAGGTGGTTCTTTGAAAAAAATCAACAAAATAGACTGCTAGCCAGACTAATAAAGAAGAAAGGAGAGAAGAATCAAATAGACGCAATAAAAAATGATATAGGGGATGTCACCACTGATCCCACAGAAATACAAACTACCATCAGAGAATAATATAAACATCTCTACGCAAATAAACTAGGACCTCTAGAAGAAATGGATAAATTCCTGGACACATACACCCTCCCAAGTCTAAGCCAGGAAGAAGTCGAATCCCTGAACAGACCAATACAAATTCTGAAATTGAGGCAGTAATTAATAGCCTACCAACCAAAAAAAGTCCAGGACCAGACAGATTCACAGCTGAATTCTACCAGAGGTACAAAGAGAAGCTGGCACCATTCCTTCTAAAACTATTCCAAACAATAGAAAAAGAGGGAATCCTCCCTAACTCATTTTATGAGGCCAGCATCATCCTGATACCAAAATCTGGCAGAGACACAACAAAAAAAGAAAATTTCAGGCCAATATCCCTGATGAACACCGATGCAAAAATCCTCAATAAAATACTGGCAAGCTGAACCCAGCAGCACCTCAAAAAGCTGATCCACCACGATCAAGTCAGCTTCATCCCTGGGATGCAAGGCTGGTTCAACATATGCAAATCAATGTAACCCATCACATAAACAGGACCAATCACAAAAACCACATGATTATGCCAGTAGATGCAGAAAAGGCCTTCGATAAAATTCAACACCCCTTCATGCTAAAAACTCTCAATAAACTAGGTATCAATGAAACATATCTCAAAATAATAAGAACTATTTATGACAAACCCGCAGCCAATATCATACTGAATGGGCAAAACCTGGAAACATTCCCTCTGAAAACCGGCACAAGACAGGGATGCCCTCTCACCACTCCTATTCAACATAGTATTGGAAATTCTGGCCAGGGCAATCAGGCAAGAGAAAGCAATAAAGGGTATTCAAATAGGAAGAGAGGAAGTCAAATTTTCTGTTTGCAGATGACATGATTGTATATTTAGAAAACCCCATCGTCTCAGCCCAAAACCTCCTTAAGCTGATAGGCAACTTCAGCGAAGTCTCAGGATACAAAATCAATGTGCAAAAATCACAAGCATTCCTATACATAAATAACAGACAAATAGCCAAATTATGAGTGAACTCCCATTCACAATTGCTACTAAGAGAATAAAATACCTAGGAATACAACTTATAAGGGATGTGAAGAACCTCTTCAAGGAGAACTACAAACCACTGCTCAAGGAACTAAGACAGGACACAAACAAATGGAAAAAGATTCCATGCTCATGGATAGGAAGAATCAATATCATGAAAATGGCCATACTGCCCAAAGTAATTTATAGATTTAATGCTATCCCCATCAACCTACCACTGACTTTCTTCACAGAATTGAAAAAAACTACTTTAAACTTCATATGAAACCAAAAAGAGCCTGCATAGCCAAGGCAATCCTGGGCAAGAACAAAGCTGGAGGCATCATACTACTTGACTTCAAACTATACTACAAGGCTACAGTAACCAAAACAGCATGGTACTGGTACCAAAACAGATATATAGACCAATGGAACAAAATGGAGGCCTCAGAAATAACACCACACAGCCACAACCACCTGATCTTTGACAAACCTGATGCACACAAGCAATGGGGAAAAGATTCCCTATTTAATAAATGGTGTTGGGAAAACTGGCTAGCTATATGCAGAAAACTGAAACTGGATCCCTTCCTTACACCTTTTACAAAAATCAACTCAAGATGGATCAAAGACTTAAATGTAAGACCTAGGACCATAAACATCCTAGAAGAAAACCCGGGCAATACCATTCAGGACATAGGCATGGGCAAAGACTTCATGTCTAAAACACCAAAAGCAATGGCAACAAAAGCCAAAATTGACAAATGGGATCTAATTAAACTAAAGATCTTCTGCACAGCAAAAGAAACTATCATGAGTGAACAGGCAACCTACAGAATGGGAGAAAATTTTTACAATCCATCCATCTGACAAAAGGCTAATATCCAGAATCTACAAAGGACTTAAACACATCTACAAGAAAAAAAACAACCCCATCAAAAAATGGGCAAAGGATATGAAGAGACACTTCTCAAAAGAAGACATTTATGCAGCCAAAAGACATATGAAAAAAAGCTCATCATCACTGTCATTAGAGAAATGCAAATCAAAGCCACAATGAGATACCATCTCATGCCAGTTAGAATGGCGATCATTAAAAAGCCAGGAAACAACAGATGCTGGAGAGGTTGTGGAAAAACTGAAATGCTTTTACACTGTTGGTGGGAGTGAAAATTATTTCAACCATTGTGGAAGACAGTGTGGTGATTCCTCAAGGATCTAGAACTGGAAATACTATTTGACCCAGGAATCCCATTACTGGGCATATACCCAAAGGATTATAAATCATGCTACTATAAAGACACATACATATGTATGTTTATTGCGGCACTATTCACAATAGCAAAGACTTGGAACCAACCCAAATGTGCATCAATGATAGACTGGATTAAGACAATGTGGCACATATACACCATGGAATACTGTGCAGCTATAAAAAAGGAGGAGTTCATGTCCTTTGCAGGGACATGGATGAAGCTGGAAACCATCATTCTCAGCAAAATATCACAAGATCAGAAAACCAAACACCCCATGTTCTCACTCATAAGTGAGAGTTGAACAATGAGAACACATGGGCACAGGGAGGGGAACATCACACACCAGGGCCTGTCGGGGGCTGGGAGGCTAGGGGAGGGATAACATTAGGAGAAATAATGTAGGTGACGGGTTGATGGGTGCAGCAAACCACCAGGGCACGTGTATACCTTTGTAACAAAACTGCACGTTATGCACATGTAATCCAGAACTTAAAGTATAATTAAAAAAAAAGATAAAGATAAAATTATTTACAGCAGAATAGGTTTTACTAGCAAAATATTGGAAATGGCTATCTGTCCATCAACAGGAAAACAGTTAAATTATGGTACATCTACACAGTGAAGTACCATAAAGCTAAAAACGAAAGCACAAGGAAGCTATGTATGAAAGGGAAAGAGCACTGTGATAAAAAAACAGGGGAAGGGAGAATAACTAACACTCATTAGCATATGCATAAAGACACGAGAAGATTCTCAAGAAACCAGTAATAGTGCTTATGTCTGGGGGTGGGGTGTAAAGATGATGAACAGAGGCTGGAGTGGAAGACATTTTACTGCACTGTGTTCCTTTCTGCATTTTGTAATTTTAAGACTGTGTGAGTCTAGTATCTATTCAAAAAGTTAAATTAAAATGGAAGCAATTTAAAATGAGTAAGAAAAGAAATATGTGTTAAGTACTATACGGTGATATGGACCATATGGTCTCAGCATGGACCATAAAGAGTTAGTTATGTATGAGGGAGCAGGTCTAGAGCTGCTCTAATATGAGTGCCACTAGTCACAGGTGGCTCATTAAATTAAAATTAAATAAAATTAAATGTGCAGTTCCTTAATCACACCAGCATCCATTTGAAGTGCCAAATAGCCACATGTGGCTCATAGCTCCTGTAATGACAGCATAGATAGAAATTTTCACTGCTGCAGACAGTTCTATTATTACAGTGCTAATCTACAGAAAGGTCTAGAAGAGCCATCTGATGCTGTAGAAGGCCTTCGGGCAAGCAGAGGGAGCAGAGGGCTTAGTTACAAAAGGGCACAACGTCCCCAAGAGAAACTGTCTGGTGAGCCAAACTACGAGGTGTTTGGTGAAGGAAGGTAGTACACATGATGGACAGCCGAAAAAGTAGTCTGGGTCAAATAACACAGACTGTTCACAATCTGTAAAATGGAAACTCCAATTATGGAGGACCAAGAATCAGAAGAGTAAGACTGACTGCTTTCCACCTTCCCATTTATAAGTCAGCAGCCAAATTAATTATTTAGAAGTCAATTATGTAAGTTATAGGGGGAAAAAAACCCAACAACCTGATGGTTTATGGGTCCCCCATACTGTTTTGGTGGTAAAACGTTGATGTTCATTAGTTATTTCAATAGACGAGAGAGAGAGCGAAATGTAAAATGGGCCAAGGTAAGAAACCATTTAGTCTGGTTTCCCATCTTGGAGAGGAGTAACAAGAGCGCACAGGAGAGTGAAGTAGTTGTTCTCCATGGCACTGAACCAGATGCAGACACTCTCTATAATATCACTGTCTTTGCTTTCTATGTCTATAGTTAATACACATTTACACACTAAAGTATTCTCAGTCATCCAAAGATTCAATTTTAAATGTTTTACCCAATACATCATGGCAATGTGAAAAAGAACTCATTAACTAAATAGACTTTGCTTACTGTTCTCAGCTGCAACTCTAGGCGCAAGAGAGGCCACATGCACGCAGCACGCAGCGTTCAGGAGCTAACCAGCCCCAGTAGCCTTTCAAGGCAGCAATTAATCTTAATGGAGGTCAGTAACTACTGAGACTCTGTTACAGACACCCCACCCAGAGAAATGCACATGTGCACAGACACATAGCACCTTCAAACAGTGTCAGGAGGAACCGCACTTGGAGCAGACTACTAGGGATGACACAGGTGGACCCTGCTGTTAGTTCACTGCAAACATGGAGTAAGTGGCAGTGTTCCCTTCTCTGTAATAGACACCACAGTTGAAGAGTCATTTCTGTCACAAGCAGAATTCAAGACAAGAGCATTAAAATGCTTATGAAGAGTCTACTCTCATGGTAAAATTCTTATGTTAATGATGTTACATGAATAAAGCAGAATATTAAAGCCACATATTCCATATTTTATCACATTTAAGGTATCATTTGTAAGCTTAGTTGAGCTGAAAAAGGATAAATTTTGCCAATTAAACTATGACACAATTCTTTTTTTATCACATCACCTGTAAGATGCAATCAGATTTTTAAGATGCTAAAATTTAAGAAAAAGTGCATCTTAGTACTTATGATTGTGTCCATGTTAAGAAAACAATAACCACTAAACAATAGTTAATAAATGAAATTCCTAAAGGGGAAAAAATGCAGATTTTAAAAAATGCTATTCTTTCTTGGAGAAATAAGCCAGCAAAAATACATAAATAAATAAGTAAAAATTTTAAAAAAAGAAAAAAATGCTAAATGTTTACACTCAGAAGGAGAAAGAACACTAGCAAAGGAGTCAGGTGTGGTCAGAGAGAGGAGGAAAGCCAGGATAAAGCAGAACTACAAAATCCAGTGAAGGCTAACAGTTTAACAGTGACAACGTGCCTGTCACTATCTGAAGGCTTTTCATGTAGCCCTCAATGAATCCTCCACAGTTGTATGAAGTGGGTCCTATCATTACTCCCATTTTACAGACAAGGAAACATATCCACAGACAGGTTAGGTGAGCTGGCTCAATTAAAAAGGTGGTAAGCAAGGGAGTCAAAATTTGAATCCATGTAGTCTTGTACTCTGAGCCCACATTTTAACCACTATGCCCTGGCAGGGTCAGAAACTGTCTTTCCAAATCTTAAAGACCTTTCTTTCTGCTACGGCCTGGCATAGTGGCTCCCACCTGTAATTCCAGCACTTTGGGAGGCCAGGAGTTCGAGACCAGCCTGGCCAACATGGTGAAACCTGTCTTTACTAAAAACACAAAAATTAGCTGGGCGTGGTGGCACATGCCTGTAATCCCAGCTACTTTGGAGGCTGAGGCACGAGAATTGCTTGAACCTGGGAGGCGGAGGCTGCAGTGAGCTGAGACTGACATTGCACTCCAGCCTGGGTGACACAGTCAGACTGTCTTTAAAAAAAAAAAAAGACCTTTCTGACAAGATCACTGGTGATAACTAATAAATGTGATTTTTTTTAAACACTGAAGAAATAAAATGAATCTGCATAGCCCAGTGAACTACTATTTTCTAAAGAACCAGTGCCTGATGTAACCAAATCATGCATGAGTAAGAGATCCATTTGAGGTGCAAGGCAGATTAATGAATTTTCACCTAACAAGAGTACGAAAAGTTTACTGTTACCGTTTCAGATTCCAGATGGCAAATAATCTTTGACTGACTACCACTTGTTCAGTTTGGGTGTAGTATCAAAGGTAGAACATTCACAAAACAAACTCCTTCCTTTCCAACTACCTATCTGTGTGGTCAGATTTGCTTCAATTACAACAACAACTCATGATAGATTTAACGCAGAAAAAAGATATGAGAATCTTCTAGCTGTTATCGATTAAGCGGGGCATTAAAGAGATTTGCAAAAATGTAAAACAAAGACATTCCTCATTAAAATTTTGTTTTAGAAAATAGTTATTGTTCATAAAAATGTTACTTACAGTAACACGTGATAGGTTTTTTTTTGTTTTGTTTTGTTTTGTTTTGAGACAGAGTCTTACTCTGTCCCCCAGGCTGGAGTACAGTAGCACGATCTCAGCTTACCGCAACCTCTACCTCCCAGGTTCAAGTGATTCTCCTGCCTCAGCCTCCCGAGTAGCTGGGATTGCCAGTGCCTGCCGCCACGGCCGGCTAATATTTTGTATTTTTAGTAGAGACAGGGTTTTGCCATGTTGGCCAGGGTGGTCTCGAACTCCTGACCTCAGGTGATCCACCCGCTTTGGCCTCCCAAAGTGGTGGGATTGCAGGCATGAGCCACTGCACCCAGCCTTTTTTTTTTTGAGACAGCGTTTCACTCTTGTTGACAAGGCTGGAGGGCAATGGCACAATCTCAGCTCACTGCAACCTCCGCCTCCAAGATTCAAGCAGTTCTCCTGCCTCAGCCTCCCAAGTAGCTGGGATTATAGATATATGCCACCACACCCAGCTAATTTTTTGTATTTTTAGCAGAGACAGGGCTTCACCATATTGGTCAGGCTGGTCTCGAACTCCTGACCTCAGGTGATCCACCTGCCTCAGCCTCCCAAAGTGCTAGGATTACAGGTGTGAGCCACCATGCCTGGCCAGGTTTTTTTTTTTTTTGAGACGGAGTCTCGCTCTGTCGCCCAGGCTGGAGTGCAGTGGCGGGATCTCGGCTCACTGCAAGCTCCGCCTCCCGGGTTCACGCCATTCTCCTGCCTCAGCCTCCCAAGTAGCTGGGACTACAGGCGCCCGCCACTACGCCCGGCTAATTTTTTGTATTTTTAGTAGAGACGGGGTTTCACCGTTTTTTTAGCCGGGATGGTCTCGATCTCCTGACCTCGTGATCCGCCCGCCTCGGCCTCCCAAAGTGCTGGGATTACAGGCGTGAGCCACCGCGCCCGGCCCAGGTTTTTTTAATGAATAAATATTTAAAAAATTTTTCAGTTTCAGTTTCTAATAAATTAAGTATTAATAGATCAAATCCACAGAAAACGAAAGAACACTGTCCACTATTACTGTTACACACTATTATACATAGCCACCTTGCATTGTTGTATCTCACTGAATCTGGGAACCCTATGAGGTAAGTGGTAGTATTCCTGCTCACCAATGAGAACTCAGCTAACTTAATTCCCTTGCCCAAGGTAGCCCAAGTAGGAAGTGGTCAAGCCAGTACTGGCAACAGGGTCTGTCAGATGCCAGAACCCTTGCTTTTAATTGCTATGCTCTACTGAGTCCATAAGTAGGTGTCAAAACATGACAGGCTTCCCATAAATATGGGTTAAGCTGTTCGAGAGAGAACAGCTGATATTTGCAAAGCAATGAATAGAATTGCATGACTTACTTTATATATCTCTTCATATGTTTCTTCATCAATTTCTATAGTAGTCACAGTTTCTTCCACATCTCCCAAGATCATATTTAAATGTTGATCATAAGCCTAAAGTGGGAGGGTACAGAACCAAGAAATTTAATAATCAAATTACAAAAATGATAAAGGCTTAACAATATGCAAATTGCTCAATTACAACTAGGGCATTTGATACTTACATCACAAACTTTTACATGCAAATAAAAAGTAATCCTACAGTACTAATATACTGTTTCTTCACAAGTCACTTCCAATGATTACTTAATTGACCTGATAAAAATATAAAACTGCTTATATTGCCAAAAATAAATTTACTTCAAATCACTTGAAATTATTTTTAAAGTCTCCACCCCACTTGTTATCTAAGGCAGTCACATCATTTATAATATTTAATTATGAAAAACAGCAGATTCATCTTCATCATTTATCAGTAGACATCCTTCAATTTCACCTATAACAATCTGACAAGAAAAATACAGTAAAGAAGATAAAATCCTTTGTTTACTGGTAAGATAATGCCATTGCAGTCTTCTAAAGGCACACAGTAGACCACATGTCGCAGAGAGAAAGTAAGTAGAGCAACACCCTGCCCATTTCTAACCTATCCAGAACTTAAATGTGTTTAGTACCTGTGGGCTCAATCAATAAATGTTACAGCTAAGATATTCAATCCAAGCTCCAAAGTTCATTCATTTTACTAAAAGGTGCACTTTCTGGGACCTTGTTCAGAACTCAAGTTTACTTCTAACAACGTGTTACATGGTTCACCTGCTCACATCAAAATAAAAGTCACTTGTCAGCCATGTGGGGAACTGCTAAGCAGGGCACACTAACAAGATCAAACATGTATAGCTGAGAGGCACAAAACAAACAGAAAGTTGGGGCCATTTAGGATAGAGACCATCAAGTTTACACAGGGAACTGAAGAAGCCTCCAAGAGCCACAAACTTAAGTAATTAAACTCAATTCCATTTGTATTCCCAAAGTTACCACCATTCCTTTCCTGGAGTCTCTCTTCCTTTAAGGCCAGCTGTAGATTGTCTCCCTGGGTCCCTATTTCCTTTCCAAGCCCAGAGGTTCTTTATCTTTAGGTTTTGTGGAAGGCGGAACCACAGTACTTAAGAGTGGGGCTCAGGTCAGACAACCTAGATTCAAATTCTGGCTCTCCCTTTACCGTCAAGTGACTGTACCTTTCTGAGCCTGAGCTTCCTACACTGCAAAGCAGGAATAATTAGTATGTATCATCATAGGGTTGTTATAAAGATTAAATGAGATATCACACACAAAATGCTTAGAATAATAGTACCTGGTCTATAATTAATGCTCAATAAATGTTAGCTATTTTTAATCACTTTAGGGTAGAGTAGCAATACTAAAAACAACACACTTAGGAAAGTAACAAGTCATTAAGGAGAGGCAAAACCTTCAGGGTTCTCTATGAACAAATGGGATTATTTCAAGGGACCAATTCTACAGATATTTTGCAGATATGCACAAAGAAATATGTAAAAAAATGCTTACTGCAAGTATTTACGTATTTGTAGCAAGAAATGAAAAAAAATCGATCACTATCATATACAGAATCCTAGGTAGTCATTAAAAAGAATAAACGAAAATTAAATGCACTCATGATCAATTTCCAAGAAAGATTAAGTGAAAAAAAAAAAAGGTACTGAAAAACATGTATGGCAAGATCCATGTTTTGTAGAGGTAGGGTGTACATAATGCAAGTATGTGCACATGTACATATATGAGTGTATATGTGTAAACATACAGAAAAGGTAACCCAATTTTTAAATTTTATTTTTTGTAGAGACAGGGTCTCTCTATGTTGCCCAGGCTGGCAACACAGAGAACTCCTGGCCTCAAGTGATCCTCCTGCCCCAGTCTCCCAAAGTGCTGAGATTACAGGAATGAGCCACTGCACCTGGCCAAGATAATCCCATTTTTAGTAGTGATTACCAGTAGAAGAAATGGGATTTCACTTTTTACTCTATATATTTTTGTGCTGTTTAACTTTTCCTAATAAAACACATATTTGTGTTTTAAATTTAAAAAACATTTACGAATGGAGGACAAGTAAATATTATTTACAAATAAACAGAAGGGAAAAATGAAGGGAATAAAAATGTTCTATAATAAACGTATTTCTATTAAAAGAAAAAATGTTAAAAATGTGAATACATGCCGCTTTATTTGGCTTATGTGATATGGGTGACTTTCCACCACCCTCTCTTCCTTCAAAATACCCTTTCACTCTGGACAGGTTTTACATTTCAAGGGAGTGGGGGTAGGAAGGAATCTGATTTCAAGGTAACTTGATAAATTTACTTACATGTAATCTGCCTCGAAGCTCTCGGTCATTTCTCATTTTCACATAAATTCGCTCATCTAGGCTGAGCCTGATAAGATCCAGGGGCTCCTCTACAGTGTTGGTAGTTTGTTGCTGATAAAAGAAACAGGATTAGTAATGTAGTACTAGAGTCAGAGTAGTGCTTAAATCACTGCTATGCTGTGTGACCATGGGCAAGTTATTTAACCTTTTTCTGCCTCAGTCTCCTAATCTGTAAAATGGAGATAATAGTGTCTACCTAATACTGTTTTTGTGAGGCTTAAGTGATATACATGAAGGCTTAGAACAGAGCTTTTCACATAATACGTGCTATATAAATGTAGGTTAAAACACACATACATGAGAAGTTACACAGCAAAATAATCATGACTATACTTTGTTCCCTCAAAATCCAAACTGCCTGACCCAATTTCAGGGCATAGGGTCTCAGGGACTTTAGCTTTATCTCAAATATTATGTAATCATTGGAAAAACACTCACTTAATGCCTACCATACACTAGTCAGAATGCCAAATAGAGGTGTAGGTTTATGGGAAGATTATGAATTCAGCACAGGTTGAGTTTAGGCTGCCAACTGGTGAATAAGATAAATATATTTAGTAGCCAGTATAGAACACTGGTTGAAAGCACTGGCTTAGCCGGGCATGGTGGCACATGCCTGTAGTCCCAGCTACTCCAAGGGCTGAGGTGGGAGGATTGCTTGAGCCTGGCGAGGTGGAGGTTGCAGTGAGCCAAGATCGTGCCACTGCACTCCAGCTTGGGCAACAGAGTGAGACTCTTGTCTTTTTTTTTTTTAAAAAAAAAAAAAAAAAAAAAAAAAAAAAAAAAAAAGGCAAGCAAGCACTGGCTTTGGAGTCAGGCAGTCCGGGTTCAACTCCTGGCTGTGACCTGACATTTATGAACTGAGATTAAAAATCATGCCATCTGTAATTCTCAGATTCTTCATTTGTAATTGAGAAAGCCACAACCTTCTTTCTGGGTTCTTATGAGGATTAAACTAGTTAATGCATTTAAAAACAGTGCCAGGAAAACAGAAAATATTAATATTTAGAAATGGTTCCTATTGGCCGGGCGTGGTGGCTCACGCTTGAATCCCAGCACTTTGGGCGGCTGAGAAAGGCAGATCACCTGAGGTTAGGAGTTTGAGACCAGCCTGGCCAACATGGTGAAACCCCATCTCTACGAAAAATACAAAAATTAGCCAGGTGTGGCGGCACGCACCTGTAGTCCCAGCTACTTGGGAGGCTGAGACAGGAGAATCACTTGAACCCAGGAGGCAGAGGTTGCAGTGAGCTGAGATCACGCCACTGCACTCCAGCCTGGGCGATAGAGTGAGACTCCATCCAAAAAAAAGAAAAGAATAGAAAAAAAAAGGAAAAGAAAAGATTCCTATTAATATTATATTATTACAGAACTGCTGGAAACATTGGTTTTAGAGGTCAGGGCTAGGATGACTTGGGGTCACCCACATGGAAGGGATGGTTGCAGCCGCTAAGAGTTAGAAAGATTATTCAAGGAGAGCTTCTTCAGTAAGTACACAAGGCCAGTGGAGGAAGGTAACTGAATTGGTAACAGGCTCTGAAGATTCAAAAGGCCTGATGAGAGAAAAAAATAACCTAACTCAACTGGTCCCTATGTCCCTCAGTTCAACAAGTGTTTGTTAAAGGATCAGATAACCAACTGTTAGATTACAATGATAGAGAAGTCACAATCCCCACCCTCAAGGAGCTCATTCTACTGTGGAGAGGCATACAAATAATTATAATACTGTAAGAATATGCACATGAAAAAGCCCTACTGCTACCTAAGCCTCTGTCTGGGATGCCCACTGTCTGCTCTTTTCATCCTGTAGCTTTAAATATTGGCTTCTCAAAGAGGCTTCCTCTGATCATCTAACTCATTCACTCAAATATTTTTTGAGTGTTTCCAGCACTGTTCTAAACCCCAAAGACAAAAGAATGAACAAAACAAAATCCCTGCTCTTATGGCATTTACATTCTAGTGGGGAGAGATTCACATTAAACAAAGATGCATACATTTAATATGAAAAAATAACTCTCTATGAAGAAAAATGAGGCAGGGTAACCAGAGTAGCGGGAGTGCTATTTGGGCAGAAGTCCTCTCTGAGGAGGTCAGATTTCAGTAGAAAGTTTAAGTTGTGGCATGATCTCCAAAGATATTTGAGGAAGAAAAAGACCAGGTGAAAAAGCTTCTAGGACCATCTGTTATTCTGCATACCAGTTCCTTGTTTCCTTCACAGCACATCACAGTTCCTGGAAGTCTTACATATTTATATTTACTTTTATCTGTTCTCCTCGCAAATATAAGCTCCAAGTAATGGCAAGGATCTCTTATATGTCGATGTCAGTGTCCCTGGCCCTTAGAACAGTGCCTAACCATACAAAGCTGATGTTCACTCTATCTGCTGAATGAATAAATAATTGTTGCGCTCACTAATGATAACAACTCCTAACTTTATTACCTGGCTTTCTATTGGAATCCTGACAGCTCCATGAGGTAGCTAAGGATAATAATCTACAGATTTAAAAAAATGAAGCGAAGAGTGTGAGAATAGTCATCAGGTGGGCTTCTAACAGGAAAAGGTCTCAGGGCCTACGGCAAAATTCGGAGGGGGGGTTACGGAAAGGACAGGGTGGATTAGGCCATGGTGACTTGGAGAGAGGAGGCACGACTGGCCATTTTTCCTGAGTCTGGAAAAAGCAGCCTAGTACAAGAAGCTCCTTCGAGCGACCTCCTTAAAATACACTTACCTGGTCTACGTCGTCCGCCATGTTTCAAACCCTGCGCCCTTTCCCGCCTCTCGCGAGAACACAAGAGCAACGTCAATCTCCGGAAACGTGAGGATACAATACACCGGAAATAGAGAGAAACCTGTTGTGCTCTTTCCTGCTTCCCGCAGTTTTTTAGTGGCCACGGGTATGGGGTGGAGCTTCCTTTAGGGGCGTGACTAGGCCTCCAACGAAGGGGCGTGGCCAAGCGCACCGCCTCGGGGCGGGGCCGGCGTTCTAGCGCATCGCGGCCGGGTGCGTCACTCGCGAAGTGGAATTTGCCCAGACAAGCAACATGGCTCGGAAACGCGCGGCCGGCGGGGAGCCGCGGGGACGCGAACTGCGCAGCCAGAAATCCAAGGCCAAGAGCAAGGCCCGGCGTGAGGAGGAGGAGGAGGGTGAGAGCGAGGCCCAGCGGGCTTCGCGGGAGACGCCGCCGGTGGGCGGAGGAGGCCCAGAGGCAGGGCGGGAGTCCAGACGCGGAGGCCTGGTGGAGGTTGCTGCGCGCGTTCCGCGCCGTGGGGGCAGCCCGGCAGGCTGCGGCCGGCCCTCCCCGCTGTCCCCGCGTCTTTGTCCTGCGCACCCAGAGCGGTTTCCCGCGAGCTTCGCCCGATCCAAGCTCCTGCGTAGCTTTTTTCCCGCTCCCCGTTGTCCAGAGGATACAGATGTTCAGGGTTGAACTCGGAGAAGGCAGTTATTTGTGTCCCAGGAAGACAGACGGACGGACCAGGACGTAGAGTGATGCAGTGTGCTGACTCCCGAATGATAACTTCAGCTGAGTCTCACCCAGAGTTCCACAGTGGGATCCCACCTGACTTCCCCTCATGGATATTTGATAGGCTTCTTACATTTGTCATGGGCAATGCAGAACTCATGGTTTTCCTCTTTAAATCTATGCTTTCCTCCGTTTTTCCAGTCTCAATACTTGTTATAAAGCAAAGCCCACCTTTTTCTTATGTCCACACATCCAGTCCGTCAGCAAGTCCAGTCAGTTCAGCCTCAAGAGTGTATTTCAAATTTGTCCACTTCTCTTCATTTCCATGACCACAGCCCCTGTCCAAGTCATCATCACCTTTCAGTTGAGTGACTGCAGTTTCCTCTTTACTGGCCTCCCAGCTCTGCATCCAGCAACCCAAATAATCTTAAAAAAAAAAAAAATCATGCCCTGCTCCTGCTTTAAACTCCCCTTGGTTTTCCATTGCTCTTAGCTTAAAATCCAGTTGTTTTATCCTGGCCTACAAGATACTACATGTTTTGGCTCTTGCTACCTCTCCTGTTTCTCTTACCACTTGTTTCCTTGCCAGATACCCTCCTTATTGGCCTCCTTTCTCTTCCTCAAATATGCCAAGTTATTCCTTGAGTCTTTTCCTTTGATGTTCCTTCTGCCTAGAGTGAACCCCCCATGGCTTTTACCAGGGCTGATTTTTTCTATTTCTTCAAAACTCAAGTTAGACATTCCTTGAGCAAACTAAGGTGGTCCTTCCCAGATACCCCGCGGATACTAAAACCTGTGATGCTCAAGTACCTTATATCAAATGGCCTAGTGTTTCCATGTAACCTATGCACATCCTCCGACATACTTTAAATCATCTCTAGATCACTAATAATACCTAATACAATGTGGATACTATGGAAATAGTTGTCATGCTGTATTTTTTAAATTTGTATTTTTTTTCCCGAAATATATTCATCTGTGGTTGGTTGAATCTGTGGATGCAGGGCCCGTGGATTGGTAGGGCTAAATGCTAAATAAATATTTTATTTATTTTTTATTTTTTTCGAGACAGTGTCTCACTCTGTCGCTGAGGCTGGAGTGCAGTGGCGTGACCTCCGCCTCCTAGGTTCAAGTGATTCTCCTGCCTCAGCCTCCCGAGTAGCTGGTGTTACAGGTGCCTGACACCATGTCCGGCTAATTTTTGTATTTTTGTATAGATGGGGTTTCGCCATGTTGGCCAGGCTGGTCTCAAACTCCTGACCTCAGGTGATCCGTTTGCCTCGGCCTCCCGAAGTGTTGGGATTACAGGCATGAGCCACTGCGCCCGGCTAGTAAATATTTTAAATAATTGCAAAATGCAGGCTGTAGAAGGAATTTCTGGGTCTCCTGAAAAAACTGGGTAGATTAGACTAGGTAACCGGCAAAGGCTATCACACTAGATTCTGTTTCTATACCGGTTATAAATTCATCATCCATTAGGAAATAGTGAAATGGTAATAATTCGTAAACTTAGGAGGTGATTTACCTCATATGTAATATTACGAGTTCCATTTTATTCACTCATTTACTCATTCAAATAACATCTTTTGAGTATCTACTATGTGCTGTACATGAATGAGGTGACATGAGAGATAAACATATCTTGGAGGATCATAGAGTAGTGTTGACATGACATTTACATGTAAAACATTCAAGGCAAAGTGTGCTAAATATTGTGGAAGAAGGTACAAGGCTTTGTAGCTTCCAAAGGATTAATCAAGTTTGACTGGCGTGATCGGGGAACGCTCTCTGAAGTAGTTTGATCTGTGATTTAAAGGATGGTTGGTATTTTAGCAAGGGGTCACAAAAAGGGGCCGGTATTCTAGTCAGAATGTAATTTGGATATATGGCAATTAAAAATTTACGGTTTTAATCTGATGGAAATGCTACCTGTATTCTTCCCAGCTCAACACTTCACCTCGGTTCCAGCTTGGTAGAGCTTCAATTCTTAGTTTTATGCACTTGGGTGAATTATTTTGGACAAATGTTTTAGCCCTTCTGAATTTCCTCTGTGAAATGTAATAACTGCCTTGCGGGGTGGCTGTGAGTTTTCAGTGGGATAGCATATAAAGCCAAGAGCTTTAGCTTTACCCATGTTAGGTAAATTAGTTGGGCTAGCTGGTGTCATTCAGCCTAAACGGAGGTAAAGATGCACCCAAGTTTATTCTGCTAGCCAGAGGAGCTAGCAGTCAGTTCCCAAGGCAGCTTCCAGGATCTGCAGAGTTACAACCTTTGTTGTGGTTTGGTGGTTTTGTGGGGAAGCATAGACTTAGCAAGTATGGTTTGGGCTGCAGATGACAATAATTTGGTGACTGTCAGTGTAGTTGCTAACACTGTAATAGTGTAGGTTTTAATAGCACCCCTGTACATGCAAATGAAGGTGATACTTGGCTGCTTTTGACAAATAGGAGAAAAGAAAACAGGCTTCCACATGATTTCCTTTGTGTTACTAAAGCACCTCTGGTTTCTTTTCATTTCTTCTCTGTGTTAACACCTTCAGTGATATCCATTAATTCCTTCAACAGCTGTTTATTGAGCGCCTACTATTTTCACACACTGTTCCAGGTACTAGGATAATATTGAACAAGACAGATGAGGCACCTGCTCTCATGATTATAATCTGGGGGGAGGGGTACTTAGAGCAGATAACAAGTTAAAAAAAAACGGATTCACATGATGATAAGAGCTATCACCCTGTGCTAAGACTGCTGTGATAAAACTTATTTGGGTACATAGCAGAAAATGCTTCTATAGATGAAAAGAAAAACCCTCAAACTTATATGGGGCTGGGGGAGAGGCAGCTAAATGGGAATCAGTGTCAGGGAAGGCCTTTGTAAGGAGGTGGCATTTTGAGGCATTTAGTGTAATTTTGAGCCATTCATAGGAAGTTCTGGGGAAAAGAGTTCTAGGCAGAGAGAACAGTGTGTTTAAACACTCTTAGGAGGGAATGAACTTGGCCAGTTGGCTGGACACAGCGAGCGAGGGGCTGGGTAGGAGAAGTGAGCAAGGGCCTGAGCTTGGATACCAAGCTAAGGAGTTGGAATTTTATTCTGAGTGCTATGAGTTGCTGCTGGAAGGTTTACTCCGGTGTTCTTATTAAATCCCAGTAGATGGGCAAGCAGACCACAGTGGTAATTCCTGCCCTACTGAAAGAACACTGAACTCAAGGAGTCTGGTTAGGCATATTAGATAACTCAAGATTTTGGAGAGTCCTGGAAAAGAGTCTCTAGATGCTTAGGGACCAAAAAATAGCAGAGAACAGAAAGTCACCCATATTTCTGCCATCCAGAAATAGCCACCATGAAATAGTGGTCTGTTTCCTTCTAGTCTGTTTTTTATATAGCAGAAAGCATACTGTAAAATCAACTTTGCATGAGTAACATTACATCATATATCGTTTTTCTTTATCTTAAAGGATGACTCAATTATATTTTGTTGTGTGGCTCTGCCATAAGTTACTTAACAATTATCTCATGGTTGGACATTCAGATTATTGTTAGATGCTTTTGAATACTATGAACATCCTTTTGATTCAGAGTTTTTGTGTTTCCTTTATCCCCCTTTCCCTTTTAACTCCTCTACCTTTCTCTTCAAACGGAAATAAAAGCTGTGCTTTTTAACCAACTAGAAAAGTTTGTGATGCCTCTGAAGTATCCTCCTACGTGCATTTTTTTAGATTAGTAGAAATTGAAGTGTTTAGCATCTTTGCCTATTATTAGAGGGCTAACTACCATTGTAAGATCCAGAAATCTTGATTTTAGGGGCACCCTCCTCAAACTGTCAAATCTTAAGCTTTATGCAACCTCTGGCCTTGGAGTAGGCAATCTGTTCTCAGATTTGAAAAAATTAATTTTGAAATAATTTGTACTTCAAAATTTTTCCTTATTTTTTGGTTTCCATACAATGTTTAAAAATGGGAATGCATAAATTCCTTTTTTATAAAACATTTAAAGAAACAACGGAATCAATGATCTAACATTAAAATAAATGCTCCTTTGTTATGAATTTTATTAACATTTAATCATGATTTCATTTAGATCAGAAGGGAGAGTCTTTTTTCCCTCATGCAAAAGTATATTCTTGTGGAATATAAATACCCATCCAGAGAGTCAGCAAGACAAACAATGAAAAGACTGAATTATTAAATAATTTTATATTTTAGGTTAATATTGCAATCCCTTTTGGAACCTCAATAAAAGGTAGAGTATTTTTATTTTCTAAAATTAATTGAAGCAGAGTCATGCAAAGACAAAAGATTTATTTCAGATTCAAGATAATTTGTGTGAATATATTTGCAAAATAGAAAACTATCCTTCCCTGCCATATTATTTGTTAAAACTAATCTATTAATATAATTATTATATGTAAATAAACCATAATTTTAGATACCCCAATTTGACTAAAACCAGCAGCTTATGCATTTTTTATTTCCCTTTAACAAAAAAATAATTACTTTAAGAAAATACTTTTGAATTATTGCTGTCTTTTTCCAACTGTAAGTTTGCTGAGGTGGTTGGTATATGAGTGCCATTTGGGTTACATTGGAAAGGTTTCAGAGCAGTATGTGTTTTGAGCAGTTTGGTCTTGAAGGTTGGCAGAAATGTAGATTAATAGTAATGATGTTGTGGTAAAACTTGGACATGTTTATGTACTTAACATTTTACTTAGGAGTACATTATCCCTAAGACAATTAATTTTGGCAGATAATAAATAAGGTGCTAATTAATGGATGTTGTATTTTCCTGGCAGGAGGTTAGCTGACATTTAAGATCTGGAAGTTAGGTTTTATTTGAGTCCTATGGTATTTTCTGTAGTCATAGGAGAAGTAAAGTGCTGATAAAGGAAGATGGTTTTTACTGTGAATATAGACTAGCCGCAGGTGGGAAGAAGCTGAGAGCTGGTTGCTGACCAGACAGGGGATGGTGAACCAGTGATGGAGATGGGGTTTGGAGACAGGTCATAGAGCCGTTTTATGCCCCTGCCCATAAGCTGCACTGCCTCCACCTTTCCTTCCACCCCTCACCTTATGTTCTGTGTTGTCACCTAGATGCCTTTGAAGATGAGAAACCCCCAAAGAAGAGCCTTCTCTCCAAAGTTTCACAAGGAAAGAGGAAAAGAGGCTGCAGTCATCCTGGGGGTTCAGCAGATGGTCCAGCAAAAAAGAAAGTGGCCAAGGTGACTGTTAAATCTGAAAACCTCAAGGTTATAAAGGATGAAGCCCTCAGCGATGGGGATGACCTCAGGTGAGATGTCTGCAAAGCTTTGTCTCGGGTCTTGATTTTTCTCATCAGAGAATTGTGAATAATGAAAACCTCTATTCTTACTTGTCACTGGGGTCCATGGAAGATTGGATCTTTAAATTCTTCTAGGTACAACTCAGACCGGTAAGAGCTGGAAACTTTTCAGATAAGAACAGTGACAGCATGCAGTAAGTGATTTATTCATGCTTCCACAGCTGGACAGTGGCAAAAGCAGGAGAACCCAGGTCTTCTGACTCCTGGTCCAGTGCTCTTTCTACTACACAAAAATATTAGATGTATACAAAATATTTACCTGCCATTCCAGCTTTATCTCATACTACTGTCCTCAAGCACGCTCTTCTCCGGCCCACCTGAGCTTCTCATCATTCACTGAACACATTCTCCTACTTTCTACACCTGCATTGTGCTCATGGTATTCCCTCTACCTGGAGTGCTTGCTGGCTTCCATCTTGAAGATGCAGATCTGAAACCACCTACTCCAGAGGCTTCACTGATTCTTCCCCCTTCTCTCCTCTGACTTCCTGTAGCGCTTCTAGGGAGTGTGATATGTCTGCCAGTTATTGTTACCATGCCACATACCCAGGCTTACTACCCTGTGACCTCTCAGAGGGCTGGAACCATGTGGGGTTCCTTTTCATATGCCCTGTAGCATCCATTGCAGGCCCTTTTATTTGGCAGAAACTGAACAAGTATTTTTGCAATGAATGAGCATTTATATTAATATGTTGTGAACAGTGATTATGAGCCCAGGGAACACTTGATTTTCTGCCTCCTAAGAAAGTTGAGGGGTGGGGAGAAGAGGAAGAACAGAGGGATAGTTTTTCATTTGCTTCATAAACAAATCCTCACTGCCAGTATCAGCTTTTCCAGCAGCCTCTAGTCCTGGGATGGGAGAGTAGTCCAGTAGAGGGCACAGGAAGGGACACGGGACAGCATGATGATTTTCCGCCATGATCCATCTCTTCTCCTTTTCTCTAGACTTCCCTTCCCGTCCCGCCCCGTCCCGTCCCCATCCCGGTCCCGTCCTTAATGGAGTCTCGCTCTGTTGCCCAGGCTGGAGTCTAGTGATGCAATCTTGGCTCACTGCAACCTCCGCCTCCCAGGTTCAAGTGAGCCTCCTGAGTAGCTGGGACTGTAGGTGCCCACCACCACGCCCAGCTAATTTTTGTATTTTTAGTAGAAACAGGGTTCCACCATGTTGGTGTCGAACTCCTGACCTCAGGTGATCTGCCCTGCTCAGCCTCCCAAAGTGCTGGGCTTACAGGCGTGAGCCATTGCGCCTGGCCTTCCCTAGACTTTTCTGAAGAATACCTCTGAACTTACTGCTTTCCAGTTGCCTCCCCTCACTAGTTGAATTCTATCTCCAGAGACATATACATAGAGATAGGCCACGATACTGCCAAGGAAAGCTCTGGGTCCCCCTTTCCCTCTCCCCTGAGCATTGACTGTGGTCATTTCTGCTATGTTCATTCTAAGGGGAAATTTTTATTGCTGGTGTTTTGAGAGAAAGTGGTACTCTAAAAAAAGAGTGTATTATTAGAGCTCAAGATTGATGATTGGTTATTTTAAATGTTTATACCAAAATCCTAGATAATATTCTCACTTGGTACCAAGTGCCAAAGTTTACACAAGTTAAAAGTAACTGGATACTCTAGACACATTTTATATATGAATTTGCAGAAATATATTACGTATCAGCAAGTACTTAGCCTTGAGCCATTGTTTAGCCAGCTACTTATCTATGTTATTATCTACTTAGCTAGCTAGCTGTCTATGTCTCTTGTTATTTATGACTCACCTATGTGTAGTTACATCCCTGCTTGAAGTTAGAATGCTATGAATTTCAGTCTCCTTACATCATATTTCTTAAAGATGGAAAAGAAGTCTGAGTAGGCTTATAGTAGGATATATAAATGGAGATTTTATTCTGTTCTTTCTGGCCTCCAACTGCACATATATCACACAGATATCACAGTTCTGGAACTCATTATTATTTTGGTGTCTTCTAATTTTTCCTTGTCATGTCCAGGCACAGCTATGTTTTCTTTCACACGATCTAGATTGTAGGTTTTTTAACAGCACATCTGGTAGTAATTAGACAGATGATCAGAGCACATCTTGATGAGATTTGGAACACATGTTGATGGAGGAAGTGAGGCTCAGAGCTTACTAATCATCTTTAAATAGTTGCAACAGATTCTCAATAAATAGGAGGGGTTTTAAAAATTCCATTTAGCTTGAATGGAACACTAGGATGTCTGAGTCTTCTTCATCTTCCTTCCTGTGGTCTTTACACAGGGACTTTCCAAGTGACCTCAAGAAGGCACACCATCTGAAGAGAGGGGCTACCATGAATGAAGACAGCAATGAAGAAGAGGAAGAAAGTGAAAATGATTGGGAAGAGGTTGAAGGTGAAACATCTTTCTTTGTTTTCAGAACTGTTTGGTTCTGTTTGTTTTTTTGTTTGATTCTGTTTGGAGTCAGATCACTAATTGCAATCCTTTTGTTTTCTTTTGAGCTAATTAGACCACAGATAAGGTTGTACTAGGGACTTGCTTTGATATATATGGAAAAACTCATGGCCAAGTTACCAAAGAAGGCTGTTTACTCTCTTCCTCTGGTGACTGTCAATGGGGTAGATATAAATAGAGAGGCAGCACTATTTAGGAGAAGGAGCACAGGCTTTGAAAGTAGTTAGAATTGGGTTCAGTGCTCAACTTTGCCACTTAGGTGGCAGTGTGAGTGAGTAATTTAATCTTGAGCAAGTAACTTCACCTCTCTGAACTGAGTTTTCTCATTGGTAACACTCTGTAAACACTGAATGTTTAGTGTGAGCCATTCACAGTATAGGCTGTAGGATTATTGTGGGGAAAAGAAAGTTTGCAAATGTAATGGGCCTAATGTATCATACACTCACAGTAAATACCAGCTAATGTTATCATCCCTGATTCCTTCTGTCTGGCCTGACTTTTCCTCACCTTTTTATTTTGAAAGTGTTCAAATTTATAAAAAGAGTGAAAAATGTAATATATGTCCTTCACCTAGGTTCATTAACATTTTGCCACATTGAATGTATGTTTCTCTCTGTAAATATTCATTGTGGAACCATTTGAAAATAAGTTGTAGATATTCTGATACTCCACTGCTGAATACTTCAGCCTGCATTTCCTAATAATTAGACATTCTCCTGCATGACAAAATGACCTCATCACACCTACGAAAATGAAAAATAAGTCCCCAATTGTTATGAAAGCATCCTTTATGCCTGTTTCTTTTTCCATACCAAGATCCAACCAAGCCTTGTATTTGGTCTTTATGTCACTTTACTCTCTTAATATAGAGCAGTATTTCCCACCTACCGCCTTGTTTTGCTTTTCATAGCACTGCCTTTTTTGAAGGATCCTAGTCTTTTGTTTTGTAGACTGTCTCATGTTCTAGTTTTGTCTGATAAACAGTCACACATCTCATGGTGGTGTTAAACTTGTTTCAATATCCCCTGTATTTCTTGTAAACTAAGTCCAAAGACATGTAATTTTGATTAAACTTTTATTTTTTTTCCAAGAATCCTTCCTAGATGATGCTTTAAACCTCATCTTGCATTGATTAAGCCACCTCTAATGTCAGGTTGTTCCTCTTCTAGTCATGCTACCTTTAAGCTAGCTGTACTACCATGTCCTTTTGACATGGCCTCATTAGTCTTTGAGAACATTTTTGTTCAGCTTATACTTTTCTTGCTGTAGACTTGAAACCAGCCTTTTTTTCTTCAAGAAGCTGTGGTTCATTTTAATAGAGATTCATGTATAGAGACCAAGATCTGGCATTAGATGCATTCTTTGCCAGTAAGATGTCATGGCTTCTAGGCCCAGAGCCTCTTTTAAGGAACTTTTGCTAATGAAGTTTTCAATTAGATCCAGTTCAGCAAGTTCAGTCCTTCTCAGCTACTGTATACAAGCAACGTAGGGGGTGAAGAGATGAAAAGGATATATTTTTTGTCACTTACAAGTTTATAATTGAGAATGAAAGATGGACACCTGAGTCATGACTCTATACAAAGCAAATTGTGCTAATTGTTATTGTGGTAATACAGAATACAGAGAAAAGGAGATTATTCTCACTTGGGTTTTTTTTTTTTAAAGAGTTTTAAGTATATACATACATGCATGAGTGTCAGCTTTTTGATAGAGGGGTCTGTATCTGATTCAACCCAGTATCTCTATGCTTTAGGTTCTTTATCTAAAGACTGTCTGGGTTGTGTGGGTTAAATGAGACACACGAATATATAACACTCAGCACACTGCCCGGCACATGGTAGGACTCAGGGCAAGGCATGTCTAGGGGTCTCTGTGGGCTGTCTCCCTCACATTCATGCCTCACTTCCTCCTTCCCAGCAGAACCTTGATTCTGTTCAGTACAGTAGCTATTATTATTGTTATTACTATTACTGATTTTTAAAAATGCTTGTTGATAGAACTTAGTGAGCCTGTGCTGGGTGACGTGAGAGAAAGTACAGCCTTCTCTCGATCTCTTCTGCCTGTGAAGCCAGTGGAGATAGAGATTGAAACGCCAGAGCAGGCGAAGACAAGAGAAAGAAGGTAAGCTTAGGCCCTTGCTTCTAGGCTCCTGTCACATGCAGTAGGCAACAGCTGCTGCTTAGGAGGACTTTGGAGAAACTTGTAGGGGACCAGGACTGAGTATCAAAGTGGTCGAGAACCTTGGGTCAGGAACCTGATTTACCTTTAGAGACTTGAATGAGACACCTTCGTGTCCTGGCTGGGGCTGGTGAGGGATGAGGAGAGGGAACTCCTGTGTGCCAAGGATTGAGCAGGTCATCCGTTATCTTACCTAATCCTTAGAACAGTGTTGTGAATGAGGAGCTAAGTAACGTTCAGACGCTAAGTAACGTTTCAAGAGTCACTCAGCCAGTAATGGAAGAGCTGAGACCTAATCCTTCTCATTGACTTGGCATTCACATTTTCCTCACCATGTCATGCTGCAGGACTTGAGGCAGTGCCCGCCGTGGTAGGGAGCCCCTATCCTTCCCAGCATCCCGGAGTACCTCTGCAGCCTCTGATGGCTTGGGAATTCCAATGTGCGATGGGCACATTACTAGGCACAGAAGAGGGAGATAATACAAATCATTCAAGAAGTGTCAAGTTGTCTTGAAGATTAATGGGATACAGACTGAAAAAGAGATTTTACACTAGAACAGTGTCACATAAATGATGGTGTGTTAATTTAACATTAATAAAGGTAATGGTTGCTAAGGAGAGAGTCAGTAGTCGGAAGAGTTGGACAGCCAGAGAAGACTTCCTGGAAGAAGTGAGCTTTGAGGCATGTAGGTGAGGTGTGATCTGCTGCTGGTTGAGAGGAGGGTTGTCTGGGTACAGAATGTCCCAGGCCGAGGTTTGCTGGTGAGAAGGAGCCAAAGAGCCTGCAGGAAATAGCTGGCTTGCAGACGGACTTGAGTAGCACAGCCTTGTGTAGGGAAACAGGGAGAGTGATTCACTGTCATCCGAGGAGAAGGAATTGCCTGGGGGAGTGGAGTCTGGTTTCAGTTCCCCCCTTCATTCCCAGATTTTTCACTATTTGTTGCAGTGAAAAGATAAAACTGGAGTTTGAGACATATCTTCGGAGGGCGATGAAACGTTTCAATAAAGGGGTCCATGAGGACACACACAAGGTAAGGGCAAGGAATGATGGGGAAGGACTTTTCCTTGTCGGTGCAAAGAGCTTGTGCTCACCGAGGCTTTATTTCTGGCTTTGCTGCTCTGTGGCCATGGCAAGTTTCTTACTCTCTCTGAGCCTTTGCATCCTCATCTGGGAGGTGGGGGTAGTAATAGTGTCTGTCTTGGAGGGTGGTTGTGTATTATAGGTAAGGTAACTTGCAGCACAATGCCTGGCATGCAGCAGAGGCTAAATAAAGAGCACTTGCCTTCCATCTCTCCTTTCAGCCATTTAATGTCATTAATTCTAATCCCAGCTGCAGGCACTGGCTTTTGACTTTAGCTGACAGTTATTGAACACTTGCACACACCTAGCAAGGTGCTTGGCATGGTGGGGATAGAGACTTGGATAAAGCTTATTTCCTACAATTGAGGAGTATCTGATCTCTAGATGGAACAAGGACTTCCAAACAGAGAAACTCAAGGCTATGCCTGGAACAGTGAAAGAGATCAGCGTGGCTCTGTGGAGCTGGGGAAGGCTTTATGTAGGGGAAAGGATTAGAGCCAGGTCTAGGAGAAAAAGTTGAAGACTCTAGCCAAGTTGTGGAGGGGACGGCGAGGTGCCCAGCTCACCTGCGTGTGTGGAGTATGTAGGTGTTGGGGGGTGGGGGTGAAGGGAGGGTGGGCTTTGGTTTCCCTTTGATGGATGGTGGGCTGCCTGAGAGGATAGTGATGGGATGGGTGAGTTGCTTTGTGTGCAGCTACTGCAGAAATCTAGAGGTGCAAGGATGGTGACGAGGTTAGAGAGGGGTCGCCTCCCTCACCCAGGCCTGGGGCACGAAACGAGACAGCTGTGTGCCTTTCACCTCTTGTTGGGTGCTGGAGGTGAAAGAAAGGGAAGATGACTCTCAGGTTTGAGGCCTGAGTGAGGAGAGAGAGGCAGCACTATTGATTAAAATAGGGAGGCTGTTAGTCGGGGGGGAGGAAGCCAATGTTGAAGGGAAAATGACACAAAGCAGTATGTGAAAAGAGGTGAAGAGGTCATATAATCATTTCAGTAGGTGGATGAAGGGTGGGTTTTGGGGTCAGAGGAAGGGCAAAGATGTGGAGCCTGTGACAGAGAAGGTTGGGCTCAAACACCCAGAGAGGTGGCGAGAGCAGCCCAGTGAGCCCAGTGGGGTGCATCCCGCCGGCTTCCACAGGCTTCCAGCAGTCTCTCCAGCTCCACTCCACTTGCCTTTTCTTCTGATCTCGTGGAGCAAACCCCAGACATGGCAGCATTTCATCCAGAAATCTTTCAGTATGTATCTCTGAAAGACAAGACCAAAACAAAAACAGTTTGTATTTTGAAAACAAAGCAATTTGTATTTTGAAGCTTTGAGGTTTGATGATTCCTTTGAAGGAATGAGTATACAGAGAGAAAAAGAGAGGGTCAAAGACAAGCTTGGGAAGTGGCCAATGCTAGTGTTTTTACTTTCTTATATGTAGAAATGGCAACACATATTTCTTGTCCACAGCATGTCTTGACTTTGGCAGCAAAAATTCCTCCTGGTGTCCGGCCTTCCTTCCATGCTGCCCCTTCCTCCTTTCCTCTTCACAGGTTCACCTTCTCTGCCTGCTAGCAAATGGCTTCTATCGAAATAACATCTGCAGCCAGCCAGATCTGCATGCTATTGGCCTGTCCATCATCCCAGCCCGCTTTACCAGAGTGCTGCCTCGAGATGTGGACACCTACTACCTCTCAAACCTGGTGAAGTGGTAAGGCCCTCCGCTTGTCCTGCAGAGCTGGGGAGTGTAGGATTTGTGTTTCTCTCAGAGGCTGGGTTCAGGTCACTTCCACAGACCTTCCCTGAGGCGGTAACTATGTATCAGGTGGTGGGCATGGCATTGAAGATAGAGAAATGCCAGGTATGATCTTGCCCTGGTAGAGCTGCCAGACTGGTGGGGAGACAAATACATACCAGGTAATTACAGGATGGCATGAGGAGTGCCCTGGAAGGGGTGTTCTGGGGACTGCAGGCTCACATAGCAGGGGCGCTTTTCTCAGCTGGGAGGTCTGGGAAGGCTCCCCAAGGAGGTAAAGTCTGAGCTGGGTCTGCAGTGATGATAGGAGTTAGCTAGACGGGCTGGGGAAAGTAGGACAGAGGCAGGCGGGTCTCACGATTCACTCCCTCTTTTTATTTTCTTGGCTGGAAATGAAAATTCCCCTTTGCCCTGACCTCTGACACAAGGAATGCCTGCTTTCTCCCCAGGTTCATTGGAACATTTACAGTTAATGCAGAACTTTCAGCCAGTGAACAAGATAACCTGCAGACTACATTGGAAAGGAGATTTGCTATTTACTCTGCTCGAGATGATGAGGAATTGGTCCATGTAAGTGATCCTCCCGGATCACTGTTTTTTATCAGTACTGTTAACTAATGATAATGGCAGCCATGTGCCAGATGCCATTCCAGGTGTGTTACCGACACTACCTTATTCAGTCCTCATAATGACGTTGATAGCTGCTGAAGCCCAGAATAGCTACATGATGCCTCTAAGGTCTTTTCCTTGGTGAGCCTGAGAATCGAGATTGGGATCAGAGTCTGAGTGGAGGGCCTGTATGCTTTCCTCCCTATCGCCTCTAGTTGTGGTGTACCAAAAAGCCCGTAGTTTTTGGTCAGATGTGCTAGAAATATTTTCATTAATTTTTCCAATTTTGTCTTCAGAAGTCCCAAGGAAATGTTTTTTCAAATTGGATGCTGAAGTCCTTGAGAATGTGTTTTTGTATCTCACATTTGGGTGTTGACACTGGCAGGCAGCAGTGCAGTGAGGAGGGTTCTGTCCATAAAAAGGAATCGTGATGGCAGAGTGCTCCAGGGACAGGCAGGCTTTATCAAATGCCTACAGGCACCTGTAGGTAAGGCTCTGTCTGAATAAAACAAAAACAGAGATGGAAATGTGGTTTTATCCCTAGAAGATTCCTATTAATCCATACAGTTCAATCTGGGAGTCCCAGATTCTCTGGAGAAAAAGATGGTTGACATCTTTAGTTCTCTTCTTCCGTGTTGGCTTTAACAAGTCTAAGATATTTGGCAAGGCTGATAATTATGTTATAATGTGCTGCCAATTTTTTTGTTTGTTTGTTTTTGTTTTTTGAGACAGAGTCTCTCTCTGCCGCCTAGGCTGGAGTGCAGTGGTGCAATCTCAGCTCACTGCAACCTCCACCTCCTGGGTTCAAGTGATTCTCATGCCTCAGCCTCGCGAGTAGCTGGGATTACAGGTGCCCACCACCATGCCTGGCTGATTTTTGTATTTTTAGTAGAGATGGGGTTTCACCCTTCACCCTGTTGGCCAGGCTGGTAACTCATTAATATTTTAGTATTGTCCTCCCAGACTTTGTTCCTGTGTATGTGTGTACGTATGTATTTGTTTTGTTTATTTGTTTAAGCAAAATAGGATCACACAGCTTTTAAAGAGGGGGTACAATTCAGTGACCATTTAGTACATTTACAATGTTGTGCAACTACCACCTCTATTTCCAAAATGTTTTTGTCACCCCCAAGGGAAACCCTGTATATACGCATTAAACTCCTCATTGTTACCCCCCTGTCCCTGCTCGTGGCAACCACCAATCTGTCTTGTGTCTCTGTGGATTTACCTATTTAGGATATTTAGTATAAAAGAAATTATACACTATGTGGCCTTTTCTGCCTGTCTTTTGCTTAGTATAATGTTTTCAAGATTCATCTGCATTTTAGCATGTATCAGTATTTCATTAATATTTATAGCTGAATAATATTCCATTACATGTTTATACATTTTCTCTATCCATTTATCCATTGGCAGACATTTAGTTAGTTTCCACCTTGTGGCTGTTGTGAAGAGTGTTGTTAATAATGTCTATACATATATTTATTTACATACCCTGTTTTCTGTTCTTTTGGGTATATACCTAGGATTGAAATTGCTAGGTCATATGTATATTCTATATGTAATTTTTGGAGAAACCACCAAACTGTTTTCTGCAGTTACTGTACCATTTTACATTGCCACCAGCAATGAACGAGGATTCCAAATCTTTACCAACACTTGGTTATTTTCTGATGTTTTGATTATAGTCATTATGATGGGTGTCAAGTGATACCTCATTGTGGTTTTGATAGCATTTCTCCAATGACATGATGATGAGTGTCTTTTCATGGGCTTCTTGGTCATTTGTGTATCTTTTTTGAGGACATGTCTGTTCAAGTATTTGCCTATTTTTTAATTATGTTGCCTTTTTGTTGATGATTTGTAAGAGCTCCTTGTATATTCTGGATATTAGTTACCTATCAGATACATGCTTTCCACATGGTTTCTCCCATTTTGTAGGTTGCCTTTTTACTTTCTTGATGAAGTCCTTTGATACCCAAAAGTTTTGAATTTTGACAAAGTCCAAGTTACCTATTTTTCTTTTGTTCTTTTTGCTTTTGGTGTCGTATCTAAGATTCCATTGTCAAATCCAAGGTCATAAAGATCGACCCCTGTGTTTTCTTGTAAGAGATTTATAGTTACTGCTCTTACATACGTTGTGAGTTAATATTTGCATATATCAGGTAGGTGTTCAATATCATTCTTATGCATGTGGATATCCATTTGTCCCAGCATTATTTGTTGAAGAGACAATTTTTTCAATGGGGCTTGGATGGTCATGGCATCCTTTTCAAAAATCAACTGGCCATAAATGTATGGGTTAATTTCCAGCCTCTCAATTCTATGCTGTTGGTCTACATGTCTGTTCTTACGCCAGTACAACACTGTTTTGATTACTATAGCTTTGTAGTAAGTTGCGAAATCAGGAAGCCTCAGTGTAACTCTGTTCATTTACAGTGTGCTTTGGTTATCTGGGGCCTCTTGCAATTCCATATGAATTTGATGATCTGTTTTTCCATTTCTGTGAAAAAGCTGTGGAATTTTGATAGGGACTGCACTGATCTGTAGATTAATTTGGGTGCCATTGCCATCTGGTTATTAGGTCTTCCAGTCCATAAGCATGGATGTCTCTCCTTTTATTTTTGTCTTTAATTTCTCAGCTGTATTTTGTAATTTTCAGTGTACAGCCTTTTACCTTGGTTAAATTTTTTCCTAGGTACTTTATTCTTCTTGATGCTCTTGGAAATAGCATTGTTTTCTTAATTTCTCTTTTAGGTTGTTCATTGCAAATGTATAGAAACACAACTGATTTTTTTGTGTTGTCTTGTACCCTGCAGCTTTGCTGAATTCATTTATTAGCTCTACTAGCTTTCTTGTGCATTCTTTGAAATTTTCTATGTATAGGATCATGCCATCTATGAGTAGATCATTTTACTTCTTCCTGTCCAGTTTGCATGCCTTTTTCTTGCCTAATTGCTCTGGCTAGGACTTCAAGTACAATGTTGAATAATGGTGGTGACAGCAGGCATCCTTGTTTTGTTCCTGATAATTAGAGGGAAAGCTCTCAATCTTTCACCATTAAGTATCATACTAGATCTGGGTTATCACGTTGACTCAGTTCCCTTCTATTCCTAGTGTTCTGAATTTTTTTTTTTTTTTTTTAATCATGAAAGCCTGTTGGATTGTCTCAGGTGCGTTTTTCTTTGTCAGTTGAAATGATCCTCTGGATTTTCTTTCCTTCATTCTATTAATGTATATTTAATTGATTGATTTTCTTATGTTGAACCATCCTTGCATTCCTAGGATAAGTACCACTTGGTCATGTTGTATAAGCCTTTTCATATGTTCAATTTGTTTTTTAGTATTTTATTCAGGATTTTTGCATCTATATTCATAAATTGGTTTATTTTCTTGTGATGTATTTGTCTGGCTTTGGTGTCAGGGTAATGCTTGCCTCATAGAACAAGTTAAAAAATATTTCCTCTTCTAACGTTTGAAAGAGTTGGAGAAAGATTGAGGTAAATTCCACTTTAAATATTTGCTAGAATTCACCAGTGAGGTCATCTAGTCCTAGACATTTTCTTTGTTGGGAGGTTTTTGAGTTCTGACTCGATCTGTTATTACAGATCTGTTCAGATTTTCCATTACTTCTTGAGTCAGGTTTGGTCATATATGTATGTTTCTGGGATTTTGTCCATTTTCTCTATGTTATCTAATTTGTAGGGATCGTACAGTTCTGTAACCTGATTTTTTTCCTCAGCAATGTACATTGATAGATTTCTTACTAAAGGTGGTGACTGTGTATGCTTGGGTAGCACTAGACTGTTTCCAGAGTCCTGTCACCTGCATTATCTTGTCTAATCCTCTTTAGAGTCCTGTGAGGAAGCCGAGGCAGGGATTATTCTAGATGCAGAAATCCAGGCTTAGGGAAGTCACTCAGCTAGTGGTGAACACTTAGTTATCCAGACTTCTGGACCTGTGCTCCTGTGCCATGCTGTACAAGAAGAAACTGAGAAATTAATACTGGTACAATGCCATCAGCTAAACTACAGACATTATTTGGATTTTCCACGTTTTCTCACTGATATCCTTTTTCTGTTCCATGATACCAGTTTGTATTTAGTCATCATGTCTCCTTAGTCTCCTCCAGTGTGTGACAGTGTTTTGGGCTTTCCCTGTCTTTCATGACCTTGACACTTTGGAAATTTTTAGCCGCAGAAGAAACAAGGCAAAAGCAATCATTTTTCTCACCATAACAATGGCTTCTCACACCGGACTTTCTCCCGAGGCTGTGGCAGTAATCAAGGAGAGATGCTGGGACCTGGAGACCCGTGTAGGAAGGCCTTGGCCGAGTACATTATCACTGTTGCCATTGGAGTTAAGTCCCCTGAGGGGCTCCCAGACTTCCAAGTTAACAGCTTTCAGAGCTGCAGACTCAGTTAAAGATTCAATGTGGGGAAAATTGGAAAACAGGGAACAGACCTGGTGATCTGACGATAATGATACTTTCTACTTCTTCTTCCCAAAGTGGTATTTCATTTTATTATTTTAGTCACAAACGCAACACATATTGACTACAGAACAATCAGAAGGTAGGTAAGCAGAGAAAAAAAGCATGTAAACACCCATAACCCAGTATATGGATGCTTTTTCAAATATACGTGTATGTCTAAATTTATATATACATATTTTTCTTATAAAAATGTAATCACATCATACTTTTTAAAGGAAAACTTCTATTTTCCTTTAATATATGATGAGCATGTTCCTGTTCTTCTACGAAGATAAACTTCTGCATCATCGTTTTTAACAGTGTCTGGAGTTTCCGTCGCCTACTGTTAGACAGTCTGGCTGTTTCCAGCTTTTCCCTGTCTTGAACAAGCACCATAACAAACAACATTGAACTCATTACATCTTTAATTACTTTCTTAGGATAACTATGTTCTTCCTTTTCATCATAGATATTCTTACTGATTCTCCGGGCTCTGCAGCTCTTGACCCGGCTGGTATTGTCTCTACAGCCAATTCCTCTGAAGTCAGCAACAGCAAAGGTGAGGTGCGCAGGGCTGCCAGAGAAGAGGAGCAATTGACAGGAAATTGTCACACTTAAAAAAATTGATCATTATTATATTTTTTAAGAGCTGGTATTCACGGAGTGTGGGTTCTTTCGAGCCTTGCACATACCCTGTGTTAGGGAAGACTTGGGCATGTGAGTGGGTATCTAGCAGCCTGAACTTCACGTGTGCAGAGTGGCCTGTGAGAGGCCTCGGCCCAGTGCTGCTTTTGTTCTGTTCTGTAAATTGTGTGGAATGGTGCCTGTCCTTGCTTGCTCCGTGGAGTGCTGATGAGTGAAGCACTGTGGATTTTGAGGTGGTCTGGGTTAGCTTCAAGAAGCTAAATGCTGTACTCATTGGGGTATTGGCATTGTCTGAAGCCTGATGGTCTAGAAGCTGATTTTCATAATATCTGTATTCTTAAAACTACAGCTGTATTAAGTCCATAAGTATTTGTTTGCAAAATGCGTATGTCCAAGGTGGGTAGTAGTACTGCTGAGGAAACTGAAACTCGGAGGTTAAGTAATTTACCTAATTTACGTAACCAATAAGAGTTAGAACTGGAATTCAGACCCATGTTTGGCTGTCCAAATCCCATGTTCTTTTCTCTTTACAGTTAGGGTGAAAAGAATTATACTGTGGCCTTATCTAAGATGCTACAGATTTTAGCCAATACATACATACAACCCTGAAGGATAGCTGGTTGATCACTGTCTGAGCTGGGGACATCTTGATGTATTGGTTCTCTAGCTGGTGACTTAACCCTATTAGATTACAGGATTTCTATCATATCATTAGCAAAAGAGGGGGGAGAAAAAAAAGCAAAATTTCTTATTCTGTTTAAGGGAAAGAAACCTTCCAAGGAAAGATTGACTGCGGATCCAGGAGGCTCCTCAGAAACTTCCAGCCAAGTTCTAGAAAACCACACCAAACCAAAGACCAGCAAAGGAACCAAACAAGAGGAAACCTTTGCTAAGGGCACCTGCAGGCCAAGTGCCAAAGGGAAGAGGAACAAGGGAGGCAGAAAGAAACGGAGCAAGCCCTCCTCCAGCGAGGAAGATGAGGGCCCAGGAGACAAGCAGGAGAAGGCAACCCAGCGACGTCCGCATGGCCGGGAGCGGCGGGTGGCCTCCAGGGTGTCTTATAAAGAGGAGAGTGGGAGTGATGAGGCTGGCAGCGGCTCTGATTTTGAGCTCTCCAGTGGAGAAGCCTCTGATCCCTCTGATGAGGATTCCGAACCTGGCCCTCCAAAGCAGAGGAAAGCCCCCGCTCCTCAGAGGACAAAGGCTGGGTCCAAGAGTGCCTCCAGGACCCATCGTGGGAGCCATCGTAAGGACCCAAGCTTGCCAGCGGCATCCTCAAGCTCTTCAAGCAGTAAAAGAGGCAAGAAAATGTGCAGCGATGGTGAGAAGGCAGAAAAAAGAAGCATAGCTGGTATAGACCAGTGGCTAGAGGTGTTCTGTGAGCAGGAGGAAAAGTGGGTATGTGTAGACTGTGTGCACGGTGTGGTGGGCCAGCCTCTGACCTGTTACAAGTACGCCACCAAGCCCATGACCTATGTGGTGGGCATTGACAGTGACGGCTGGGTCCGAGATGTCACACAGAGGTACGACCCAGTCTGGATGACAGTGACCCGCAAGTGCCGGGTTGATGCTGAGTGGTGGGCCGAGACCTTGAGACCATACCAGAGCCCATTTATGGACAGGGAGAAGAAAGAAGACTTGGAGGTAAGGCCTTGGCTGCCAGGGGCTCCAAGACACAGTCAGGTTATTAAAATTATTCCTGTTTTTGAGCACCTTATATATGCCCAGCACTATGTTGGGTGTTTTTAATGGGTTGTCTCATTTAATTGTCACAGCCATATAAAGCTGGGGCAGTTGCTGCCTTAATTTTAGTGTAAAAAGTTGTGGAGTTGAAAGATGAACTGCCGCGGTGCTTGAGCCCAGGTCTGTGTGGCTTTGGAGCCTGTATACTTTTAGTTATTGCCCAGTTATAAATTTGGAGCTTTAAAATAATTTATGCAAGTAATATAACTCAGACTGAGTGAAAGAAGGAATAACCCATGGATATATTCTCCCCCCTCCCCCATCATGCGTGAATGTAAAGATGTACGTGCAAACACCCCTCATACATAGAACACTCACCTCCTGGGAAAGAGGGGTCTCGGAATGAGACAGACATGATACTGTCTCGGAATGAGACAGTATCTTCAGTCTATTGAGAAGGCAGACCGGGAGGCAGAGACTTCTAGAACATGACAGCTATGTCACTTGATCCTAGAACCAGCACTGACACCAGGAATAGTGCCCGAGCCGCCTGTGTGTATGGCAGTGGTGGTGGTGGGTGGAGCTTGCCATTTCTACACAGGAACATGCCCAGATTTGTCGCAGGTTTATTTCCAATCCCTCAGGATAGGTAAATTGCAGATTTATTAATCATTTCCTATAGGAGTGCAATGCATCCCATATTGAGTGTTTGCTCCAGGGGTGCATTTTACTTAGTAATGCTAAGTAAAATGGGTGCATTACTAAGTTCATTTTACTTAGTAATGACAGGTTAAGTGGAAAGTATGCAGATGGTATCGTAACTAACCTACCTAAAGCGCAGTGGAAGCTGAACGTGCAGCGTCCTCTCCCACTCTCAGCAACTCCACATTGCCAGTCCTTTCTAGTCTGTTGGGGTTTTTGAAGAGATGCCAAGGGCAAGCCTTAGAGAGCCTAGTGAACAGGGTGACTTACAGCAGTGAATTGCCTACTGAGAAATGAGCAATCTCAGAGAAGGGCAGAGAGAACACTGTCATAGTGGACGAAGAGAAAAGTCGCAGGGTGAGAACCGCTGCTCTCAGTTTCCTGTGAGAGCAGACAGGTAAGCTCACGCTCTAGAAGAGGATTGTCCCTTTGAAATAAGACCTTCTTACTGAAGAGCACTGTGTGTTTTTCTTCCTTGCAGACCTTTAACACATCTGCTGGGGCTGGGTTAGGTGTCTAAGCATTCAAATAGGTTAGACAACTTTTTGAAGTTGCCACAAGCCACAGATTTATTTGATTCTTTAAAGCTTTTGATTGATCTGTAACTGACTTACTGGCCGGAGGTACAGATGCGATGTTACAAAACCATTAGTGTTCATGAAACCTTGGCTCCACCATCTGTTGTCAGAACAAGTTAGTCTAAGGATCATCTCCCTCAAACTTCATTTCCTCTTCTAAATAACATGCTCAACCTTGTCTGTCTGGCCTTTGCAGTTTCAGGCTAAACACATGGACCAGCCTTTGCCCACTGCCATTGGCTTATATAAGAACCACCCTCTGTATGCCCTGAAGCGGCATCTCCTGAAATATGAGGCCATCTATCCCGAGACAGCTGCCATCCTTGGGTATTGTCGTGGAGAAGCGGTCTACTCCAGGTGCGTGAGGCAGCCTGGTTGGCCTCAGGGGCTTCCTGATGGCATGGGATTAGCAGCCTTCTTCCTAGGCAAGGGTTGCTGATGGGAGCTCATCTGACTGGACAGCATTCTCGGGCTGAGCCAGTGTGCGTGTGCTGTGTGTGTGTGATGTGTAGGAGAGAAGAAAATTTGAAAATTAAAACAGGGATTAAAAGAATGGCAGGGGAAAAACAGTTACAGGGAAAATAAAATACAAAGTAGGAAAAATAAAATTTAAGATAGGGCAGTATAAAACACACCCCACAAATATAAGTCAAAAACATACAAAAGGAAGGAATAAAGGATTTGATTATGAAAGTTAAAAGTGAGTGGATTTTTCATGGGTACAGAGCCCTGTTTGGGATGAAAAAGTTCTGGGAATGGATGGTGGTAATGGTTGTACAATGTTGTGAATGGACCTAATGCCACTGAACTGCACACTTAAAAATGGTTAAAATGGGCCGGGCGCGGTGGCTCACGCTTGTAATCCCAGCACTTTGGGAGGCCGAGGCGGGCGGATCCCGAGGTCAGGAGATCGAGACCATCCTGGCTAACACGATGAAACCCTGTCTCTACTAAAAATACAAAAAATTAGCCGGGTGTGGTGGCGGGTGCCTGTAGTCCCAGCGACTCGGAGAGGCTGAGGCAGGAGAATGGCGTGAACCCGGGAGGCGGAGCTTGCAGTGAGCCAAGATCGCGCCACTGCACTCCAGCCTGGGTGACAGAACGAGACTCCGTATCAAAAACAAAAAAATGGTTAAAATGGTGTATTTTATGTGACTGTGTTTTATACCACAGTAAAAAGAAATAGCTAAAAAAAGAGTGGAATAAGAGCAAAAAATGAATAAAATATATATAAAATTAAAATTGAAAAATGTTAATACAATTTTGAGGTAAGAAAAAAATAGAAACAGGAATTTTGAGAAATGGGAATAAAAAGCAAGTAAAATAAGTGATTTTAAAAGACATGGGATGTACAAGACCAAGAAATAGGAGATGTTCTTAATAAATGAGAAAACAGGAAGGTACAGAAAAGAGAAAAAGGAAGCGTAGGGAAACCCACATGAGAGTGGGCGATTTGAGTCCTCCCACTGGGGATGACTTCCTGCTTGTCAGCCCCCCATGGGAGTCATGCTGGACCCTCTCTTCAGGGCTCTGCCCTGTCTTGGAGCTTTCTGTTTGATGTCGGTGGGGGGCATGATGCCCTGGGCAGGGGCAGGGCTTTGCTGTTCTGGGACTTTAGCACCCAGCAGTCAAAGGCAGCAGGGGGCCTGGGCTGCCCTGATAGAGGCTTCCTCTTATGGGTATGTACGGGTAGTCGGGAGAAAGCCTGTTGGGAAGAGAATGCAGGCGTCGTCCAGAGGCACCATGTCAGTGACAGAAGGAAGCATTAGAGGTGCATATTTATTGATTTATTTTTTATTGTGGTAAAATATTTATAAATTTTTTATAATAATTTATAATATTTATAAATTATATATATTTATATATATAAATAAATTTATAATATTTATAAATATTATAAAATTTACCATCTCAACCATTTTTTAAGTGTACAGCCTACAGCATTAAGCACATTCACACTGTCATCCAGCCATCACCACCATCCATCTCCAGATTTCTTTTCCTCTTCCCAAACCAAAACTCCGTCCCCATCAAAAACTCCGAATTCCCCTTCTCCAGCCCTGCACCCACCATTCTCCTTTCTGTCTCTGAGTGTGCCTACTATAGGGACCCATGTAGGTGGAATCATGCGGTATTTATAGTCACATCGTGACTGGCTTATTTCACTTAGCATAATGCCTCAGGGTTCATCCATATTGTAGCATGGGTCAGAATTTCCTTCCTTTTTAGGCTGATACTCCATTGTGTGGGTGGACCACATTTTGTTTGTGCCTTCATCCATCAATGGGCACTTGGCTCGTCTCCACCTTTTGGCTGTTGTGAATTATGCTGCTGTGAACATGGGTGTGCAGATAGCTCTTCAAGATTCTGCTTTCAGTTTTTGTTTGTTTGTTTGTTTGTTTGCATATACCCAGTACAATTACTAGGCCAGATGGTAATTCCCATCATTTTTTTAGGAACCACCTTACCATTTCCACCGCAGCTGCACCCATTTTACATTTTCACCGACAGTCCACAAGGTCTCCACTTTCTCCACATCCTCACTGACACTTGTTACTTTCTGTGTTTTGTTAATAGCCATTTTAACGGGTGTGAAATGGTTAGAAGTTCACATTTATTCTGAGAGGACTGTGTCCATTTCCCTGCTGTTTTCCTTAGGAAGATGTCCAGATGCTGCCTACCTGTCAACCCCTAAGACCCCTTTTTTACCCGCTCCTGTCTGAAGACCACGACCATGACATAATCACTCCTCTGGGCAGTCAAAGATGTTCCGCCCCCAGTGGGAGCATGAGTGGAGCTTTGAGCTCTGGCAGGTTGGTGCTACTGGCAGAAGCGCTGCTCTGGCACACAGGAAACGTCTGGTCCTCCCAGCAACCATGTGCGGTAGAAAGGGCAAGCTCACTGTCCCTAGTTGGTAGGTGAGGACACAGATGCTCCTTGACTTAGGATGAGGTTGGATCCCCATAAACCCATTGGAAGCTGAAAATAGGATATCCTAAGTTGAGAATGCATTTAATATACCTAACCTGCCGAACCTAACCGGACCTCATGTAGGTGGAATCATACGGTATTTATGGTCATTTTGTGACTGGCTTATTTCACTTAGCATAAAGTCCTCAAGGTTCACTCCTGTTGTATGTAGCATGGGTCATAGCTTAGCTGAGCCTCCCTTAAACGTGCTGAGAACACATTAGCCTACAGTTGGGTAAAGCTGTCTAACACAAAGCCTATAATGAAGTATTGAATATCTCATGTAGTTTATTGAATACCGAAAATGAAAAAGAGAATGGTTGTATGGGTACTTGAGGCACAGTTTCTCCCAAGTGCATATTGCTTTTGCATCATCATAAAGTTGAAAAATCTTGAATCAAACCACTGGACTTTGGGGACTGTCTGTACTGAGGCTCAGGAAGGTAAAGTGACTTGTCCAGGTGGCCCAGCCAGGAAGTGGCACAGGCAAGGTTCAACCTCCATCCATTGTGCTGTGCTGAAATTCAGCCTCAGATTCCTCTGTGGGTAAGGGTCTGAACCTGCACTAGGAGGAAATGGGGTGCCCTTGCTCATTGGAGCCGCTCCCTGGACAGAGTGAAGGGGGTGCAAACTAATGAGATGGGCGTGCCTTATTAAAAATGGCTTGGCAAGGGAGGGGTTGAGCCTCATTGGAAAGTAGATTTGCACGGCTTTGGTGAGCTCTTAGCTCGGGAGGAAGAGTGAAGCCAGAGGAACTTTGCCTGCAGGAATCATTTGACTGTTCCATGTGCAGGTGTCTTGATTCTGTGATAGCTTATTAGCTTATTATAGTTGGCTTCTCTGCAGCCTTCCTTTGGGTTCACTGCCCCCTCCTGGACACTTCCCTCCCCCACATGGTGTTAACAGCAGATCAGAGCCTCAGCAGGTGTTCGCTTGGTGGTGGTAGTAAACGTGAGTGTGCCTGCGCACAGCGGCCTTTACCCCATCCTGATAGTCTGCAGCTGGAGCTCTCACAGGCTCTGGACAGCAGAGGAGAAGAAAACCTATGAAGGGGAGGAGTGGTGGAGGCAAGGCACAAAGGCTGCAGATTAGGGTTTGTAAGTGGACACATCCCCCAAAAGACAGGCAGTCCACGTTCAAGGCTGTTTGCCTAGCACAGCTTCTCTGGGCCCCCTAGGAGCTCGGCCTGCTCCAGGGTGGCTGAACCTGAGGAGGGAGCCTGCAGGGCTGCGCTCTCCACTGTCCCGCATTCCCGCAGTGGGGCTGTGGACTGAGTTACCTTTGTGTCCTGTGTTGGTTCCACAGGGATTGTGTGCACACTCTGCATTCCAGGGACACGTGGCTGAAGAAAGCAAGAGTGGTGAGGCTTGGAGAAGTACCCTACAAGGTAACTGGAGCTGGGGGGTCCCTGTGGGGAGTGGTGACACAGGCCTGTAGCTGAGCGGGAGAGCTGGGGGCAGAGAAGTGATGATGAGCCTCCCAGTCCTGCCCAGGATCCTGATCAGAAATGTCTCACTTTCCCGGCTTGAGCAGGATTCAAGGAGGAGAGAAACATTTAAATTGTCTTATTAATAAGACATTTGTAAGAAATGGATCTTCCAAAACACAAAAGAAATCTAGGCCAAAAAGTAGGCCTCAGACTCCTGTTGTGAATTCAAAGGTTCTACAGGTTGGAATTGAGTTACTGGGTCCTGGGAGGTCAGAGCCCTGCTTTATAGCAGCACGTTCTCCAGTCAGATTGCCCTTCTGTTTGGCAGTTCACTGAGCATTTTGCATGTATGTGATCTCTGTTGCCTCAAAAGCCATAGGAATTGGCATTATGATGCCCATTTTACAGATGAGAAAACTGAAGCTCAGGGCAAGTGACTTGTCCAAGTCCCCACAGTTAGTAAAATGGCAGAGCAGAGCCCAGGTGAGAATCCCAGGCTCTGCCTTAAAGCCAGTGCTCCTTTCACACTGTGCTGCGGCACTGTTAGGCTGGTTGCTCTTGAGGAACACGAACCGAGCGAGGTCCCACAGAGACTATTCACAGGACACACAGCTCCGTACGACCGGAAGTGTACAGTGGCTGATCACAGAGACCATTTACTTCTCATCAGACCCCAGGAGTCCTTGGGGGTTGCAAGACTCCGGGAAGCTGAGTGGGGAGTGGAGGGGCCTCCGCTTAGTGGGAAAGGCTGCAGGCGCTGGTCACAGTCACTGCCAGCAGCAGGCTGGAGTGGGCGATGCCCCCTGCCTGGGCCTGCAGGGTTGCTGAGGATTTTCTCTGCACCATCTCACCTGTCTTTTGTGCTGGAACCAGCATAGCAGTGTTCAGTTGAAATGTAACGTGAGCCACACATTTAAATTTTTTAGTAGCTACATTAAAAACCAAAAACAGGTGGAATTTTAACATTAAAATATATCCAGATATATCTAAAATACTATTTCAGCAGTAAGAAATATTTTAAAGTGTTGATGAGATATTTAAATCCATTTTGTTCCTAAGTCTCTCTAATCTTCTGTGTATTTGACTTTCTGTACCTTAGTTCAGACCAGCCACGTTTCAGGTGTGCAGTGGCCACACGTGACTGGTGGCTGTCATGGTAGCACAGTTCTGGAATCCCAAATCTCTCAAATTCACCCCTTGTTCTGATCCCCACCACCCCAGCTCCTGCCTCAGTATCTTTTGCTTGGGCAACAGCCACAGCCTCCTTCCCAGCCTGAATCCATTCCCCTGTCAGTCACTAGGCTCTTTCTGTGCATCTTGGCCATCCTTGTCCCACCTTGGCCAGCGCCTTTAGTCTGAGTCCCGCACCCTCCCCATGGTGCACAGTGATGTTCTGGTGCTCACTGCCTCTGCATTCCAGAGGACTTAGGCCCCAGGTCCCAGTGTTCTCCCACCTCTGTGCCCTGTGGGGTCCAGCCCTGTTCTCTTGGGCAACCCCTTGCCCCTTTAAGCCTCTGCTCAGGCGGGACCTGTTTTGAGCAGCCTTTCTTGCCTCCACTGTCCTCAGGGCTGGGCAATGGCTTGCCTCTGAGCTCCTGTTCCACCCTGTACTCATCACGCTGAGTCGTAGCTCTGTCTCTTCCCCTGCAGGAGCCTGAGCTCCTAAGAGCAAAGACTGTCCTCGCTCCATCCCTCCTTCATGACTGGGTCATGGCCTGGTCTCCAGGAGATCCCAGTGGAAGTTTACTGAACAGTGTGCTGGGTGAATGGCTTCTCAGAAAGGGACGGTTGTCAGAACTCAGAGTCCCTCTGTCCCTGAAGTGGTGACAGAGAGGGTGCGCCCAGAGATCATGGCAGGAATGGACATGAGAGCTCGCAGGCCACCCCCAACCTGGGGAATGGCTTTTCACATTTTTAAAGGGTTATAAGAATGAGAAGAATAAAGAATATGTGATGGAGGCCACGCATGACCCTTTACAGAACAAGCTTGTGGGCCCCTGCACTAGAGGAAGTCTGTATGCTGAGGCCCAGGGGCCAGCCCTCAGCCGCACGCCCATGCCTGACTCCTCTAAGAGTTACGTGACTCTGTCCTTGCCTGTCCTGCGCCCCTCTCACCACTTCACTCCCCAGGGAAGATCTTGGCCTTGGCCACTGCACGCTGTTGGGGAGCACACTGGGAGTCCTGAACTGTCAGTGCTTTCTAGGGCGTGTGAGCAGACATAGGTTATATGTTGAGACACAGGCTCTACTGATGGACAGTTACCTGAATTGTAAATCCTGGTTCTTGTCACTTACCAGCCATCAGCTCTTAAGTGACTTTGTCTCTCAGTCTCAGTCACTGCTATCAGTGATGACAGCACAGAATATAGGCTAGTGGATGAAAGTGTGGGCTCTGGCCCTTACGAGCTGTGTGACTTTAGGCAAATCATTTACCCCGTCTGTGGTGTTCATCTGTAAAATGGAAACAATAATAAGACCTACCTTGTGGGTTTGTTGAAAAAATTAAATAATAACATATAAAGCACTGAAGATAGGCTGGGCGCAGTGGCTCATGCCTGTAATTCCAGCACTTTCGGAGGCCAAGGCAGGTGGATCATTTGAGGTCAGAAGTTTGAGACCAGCCAGGCCAATATGGTGACACCCCATCTCTACCAAAAATATAAAAATTAGCTGGGCATGGTGGCGGGTACCTGTAGTCCCAGCTACTCAGGAGACAGGCACGAGAATCACTTGAATCCGGGAGGTGGAGGTTGTAGTGAGCTGAGATCACACCAGGGCACTCCAGCCTGGGCAACAGAGTGAGACTCCGTCTCAGGGGGATAAAAAAACAAAAAACACCGAGAATAGTGTCTGGGACAGAGAATGTTCCATAAATGTTAGCTAGTGCTTGTAGTAAGAAAAGGGGAGCAGCCGGGCACGGTGGCTCACGCCTGTAATCCCAGCCCTTTGGGAGGTTGAGGCGAGTGCATCACCTGAGGTCAGGAGTTCGAGACCAGCCTGGCCAACATGGTGAAACCCCCGTCTCTACTAAAAATACAAAAATTAGCCGGGCGTGGTGGCAGGCACCTGTAATCCCAGCTACTCAGGAGGCTGAGGCAGGAGAATTGCTTAAACCCAGGAGGCAGAGGTTGCAGCGAGCCAAGATTGCACCACTGTACTCCAGCCTGGGCGACAGAGCGAGACTCTGTCTCAAAAAAAAAAAAGGGAGAAAAAGCACCCCAGCTGGTAGGTGTGTTCTGAGGGTTCACCAGGTACCAGGCATGCGGCACTGAGCATGGTGCCTGGCCCGGTGCTGAGGAACTGGATGCCTTTGTTGTAAACGGTGGCCGTGTCCTCTGGTGCAGATGGTGAAAGGCTTTTCTAACCGTGCTCGGAAAGCCCGACTTGCTGAGCCCCAGCTGCGGGAAGAAAATGACCTGGGCCTGTTTGGCTACTGGCAGACAGAGGAGTATCAGCCCCCAGTGGCCGTGGACGGGAAGGTAAGGGCAGCATCAGAAGGGCTCAGGACCAGGCCGCCTTGTTCCCCTGCTGGCCAAATGCTGACTTGCTCACCCGACACAGGTGCCCCGGAACGAGTTTGGGAATGTGTACCTCTTCCTGCCCAGCATGATGCCTATTGGCTGTGTCCAGCTGAACCTGCCCAATCTACACCGCGTGGCCCGCAAGCTGGACATCGACTGTGTCCAGGCCATCACTGGCTTTGATTTCCATGGCGGCTACTCCCATCCCGTGTGCGTGAGGGGCCTTCGATGGAGGCTAAACACAGGGATGGGGAGGGGTGGCTCCAGAGATGGGGATGGAAAGCTGGCATGGGGCTGCTGGGAGTTGAGGCCTGGTGGCTCCAATTTTCAGGATGTTACACTGGATTTGCAAAGTCAGTGCTTTACCAATTCTGGCTTCCCTCCAGAGGGAACGGAGCCAATGAAACTGGCATCGTAATGCTGGATTAAAACGTTCTTCCCAGGTTTAGGGACTCACAGGCTAGTGAGCAAAAAACAGTCAGCATCTTTCCCCGGCAGCTGCCTGGTTAGTGAGCTCTGTTCCATGATGGGTGAGGCTGGATAGGGGCTTTCACCCCAGCTTTCTTCGGCAGAATCTGGGGAGGAAGAGGCAGTGCCAGCTTCCACAGGCCTGCCTTCTGCACGGAGGATGTGGGACACTGGCTGACCCGCGACATCCTTCAGGACCCCTAGTGCTCAGATGTGGCCCACTGTCTTCCACAAACTGGGGAGGGAGGAGAGGCAGAGCAGGCAGCAGGTTCGAGGGTTGACATCGCGTTGTGTCCCCACAGGACTGATGGATACATCGTCTGCGAGGAATTCAAAGACGTGCTCCTGACTGCCTGGGAAAATGAGCAGGCAGTCATTGAAAGGAAGGAGAAGGAGGTAAGCGCATATGCAGGACTGAGGGACAGCAGAAGCGGGAAGCAACACTCAGCGGGTGGCCTCTTCCTTCCCCAGGCCGCCTCCGTGTGCTCCCAGGCTCTTCCCAGCCCTCTCTGACATCATGGCAGGCACCCGAGGGAGCGAGCACTGAATACAGCAGGCTCCTGCCCACCCCGCAGACTATCACTGTCCCTGAGGAGCCTGGGTCCGGGCTCTGGGGTCTACTGCCCCTGCTGCCCACACCTGCCTCTGTCTTGAATTGCCTGTGTCCAGGTTCTGGAAGACCTCACCCACTAAAGATTTTGGAGTCAGTAACGATTAAAAAGTTATCTGTTTTTGTGGCTTTCAGGTATAGTATATCACTTTGTAAATCAGATCAATTTTTTGGAAGTGAGACTTGGTGTGAAGGAGAGGCTATATTCTAAAGTGGTGTATATATCTGTCTTTACATTCACAGTTTCCATCTTAATATTTTTCCTGAAAATGTCAGTGCTTAACACTTTTCTCCCACTTCATTTTTGCCTGCAGAAAAAGGAGAAGCGGGCTCTAGGGAACTGGAAGTTGCTGGCCAAAGGTCTGCTCATCAGGGAGAGGCTGAAGCGTCGCTACGGGCCCAAGGTCAGTGCAGGTTCTTTGCAGAGAAGACAAGCTCAGGGTCAGTTTCTTGGAGATGCAGCTCAGAAAGGCCTGGCCCAGATTCTGCCCCAGCCTCAAGTCAGGGATAGCTTTGTGTTAGGACACCTCAGTCTTCTGTCTCTAAGGCCGCTTGTTTTTACCTTGTTGGGAAAGGTGTCCCTGGAGTGAGGCCTCAGCTGGCTCTTCTGCCCCAAGCCCTGTCCCAGTGTCCCCGTTTCTACTGTCCACATGAGCAATGCCATGGGTCTGATTTGGCGCTGAACACATAGGGAGGGCCAAGTGTCCTGCATTTGGTGCACCCTTCCGCCTTCCAGTGTTCCCAGTGCCTGTGACCATGCTGCAGGCCTGCAGTGGCCCGCTCAGTACCTCTCTCACAGCACCTGCCATGTGCCAGGCCAGGCTTGGACACAGGTGTGAATTTGACATGCAGCCCTCAAGGGGGCCCCTCCCTGGGGCAGATGGACCCTAGGCCCAGTTACATGGTATAGTCAGTGCTGTGTCAGACACAGCAGAAACTGCTCTGGCATGTTTTGTTCCCTCTCTCCAACCCTCTGTGCTGCCTGTTTGCCTTTCAACATTTTTTTGTCACGCTCCTCATTCCAGTCCCTCTGGTGGAGAAAAGCCCTTCATCTGACTTTATGTTCTGACCAGCTCCTTGCCGCCTTCTCCATCCAAACCCTCCCTAGCCATCCCAGCTGGCAGGGAGTGCCGCCTCAGATCTTAGGGCTCCGAGGGCTGAACTGTGCATCTTGCCCGTTCAAGACATCATGTGCTTTGGTCCAGAAATGAGGTAGCAAATGCAAGGCACGAATCACAGGCATCCCCAGATGAGGCAGTGTGCTCCTAGAGGGCAGCTTCCTGCCCAGCCATCATCCTTGTGTTCCCCTGCACTCAGCTCGTAGCAGGTGCTCCAGTGTCTGCTTGGATGCACCCCAGGCTGGGACGGCTCAGTAAGAAGGGTCTGGGCTCTCTCCCTGCCCTGTCCCATGCCCTTGTCCTCCCAGAGTTACACAGCTTAGGGCAGGCTGGGAACTTGCTGCCTCTTCATGGGGCTTCCTGGTATCTGATTACTAACCCTCGCCTGTGTCCTCCCACCACTGCCACCTGTCCAGAGTGAGGCAGCAGCTCCCCACACAGATGCAGGAGGTGGACTCTCTTCTGATGAAGAGGAGGGGACCAGCTCTCAAGCAGAAGCGGCCAGGATACTGGCTGCCTCCTGGCCTCAAAACCGAGAAGATGAAGAAAAGCAGAAGCTGAAGGGTGGGCCCAAGAAGACCAAAAGGGAAAAGAAAGCAGCAGCTTCCCACCTGTTCCCATTTGAGCAGCTGTGAGCTGAGCGCCCACTAGAGGGGCACCCACCAGTTGCTGCTGCCCCACTACAGGCCCCACACCTGCCCTGGGCATGCCCAGCCCCTGGTGGTGGGGGCTTCTCTGCTGAGAAGGCAAACTGAGGCAGCATGCACGGAGGCGGGGTCAGGGGAGACGAGGCCAAGCTGAGGAGGTGCTGCAGGTCCCGTCTGGCTCCAGCCCTTGTCAGATTCACCCAGGGTGAAGCCTTCAAAGCTTTTTGCTACCAAAGCCCACTCACCCTTTGAGCTACAGAACACTTTGCTAGGAGATACTCTTCTGCCTCCTAGACCTGTTCTTTCCATCTTTAGAAACATCAGTTTTTGTATGGAAGCCACCGGGAGATTTCTGGATGGTGGTGCATCCGTGAATGCGCTGATCGTTTCTTCCAGTTAGAGTCTTCATCTGTCCGACAAGTTCACTCGCCTCGGTTGCGGACCTAGGACCATTTCTCTGCAGGCCACTTACCTTCCCCTGAGTCAGGCTTACTAATGCTGCCCTCACTGCCTCTTTGCAGTAGGGGAGAGAGCAGAGAAGTACAGGTCATCTGCTGGGATCTAGTTTTCCAAGTAACATTTTGTGGTGACAGAAGCCTAAAAAAAGCTAAAATCAGGAAAGAAAAGGAAAAATACGAATTGAAAATTAAGGAAATGTTAGTAAAATAGATGAGTGTTAAACTAGATTGTATTCATTACTAGATAAAATGTATAAAGCTCTCTGTACTAAGGAGAAATGACTTTTATAACATTTTGAGAAAATAATAAAGCATTTATCTAAAGATTTGGCTCTATATTTTCTTTCAGATTTTTTTTTTTTTAAGGGGTCTTACTGTCTTGCGCAGGCTGGACTCCTGGGCTTGAGTGGTCTTCCTGAGGGCTTTGCCTCAGCTGGCCCTCACAACCACCGTGTGTGGTGGAAAGGCATTGTTCGGGAAACAGTCCCAGCTCCTCAGGACTGCAGGCACCCACACACCACTGCCGTGCCCAGCTTCTTTCAGATTTAAGTCGGTAATAACACCCAGGTGACAGAGCAATGTATTCATATGTTGAGACAGCATGAAAGAGTCCATTTTGTTTTCATGGAGGCTGGAAATTCATTACATATGGAATTCTTCTGTATTTAGTGAAGAGATGTTAATCTTTGAGAGGAGCCATTAAAAATCGGAGTCACTTTTATCCAAGGGAAACAAACAAAACACTTGAGTTATGACTCATATGTGGCAAGAGGCTGGCTGGAACCTCTTGTTGAGAAACAGACTGGGGTTGCTATGGAAACTGGTCTCACACTTCCTCACCAGAGCTCGGCCCTCCTATAGAGGCAACTTGTTTTCTGTTATTTTTTTTTTTAAATTATTTTTTGAGACAGGGAGGGTTCCACTCTTGCCCAGGCTGGGGTGCAGTGGTGTGATCCCAGCTAGTGGTGTGATCCCAGCTGACTGCAGCCTCAAGCAATCCTCTCAGCCTCCTGAGTAGCTGGGACCATGGGTATGCACCACCACGCTTGTCTTTCTGGGGTTTTGAGATGATGGCATTGCCATGTCTCTGCAGAAATAACTTCTTCAGGCATATGTCAGCTACAAGGAGGCATTATTTAAATGAAACAGTAGGTTCTGAGAAACAGAAGAGTAGGTTTGGGAAAGTTCTCACTCACGTGCTTGTAAAAAATAAAGCAAACTGCTAGCATCAGAGTGGGCAGTTAGCAGCCGCCTTTCAGAACAGGAAGCAAAATGAATGAAAAATTAATGCCTCATGTGTCAGGCATTCTATGGGCTTTGTCTCATTTGGCCCTCACAACAACTTTGTGAGGTGGACAAGTGTTATTCCCATTGTACTGATGAGGGAACAGACTCAAATCGTTGATTTACCCAACATCACAGCCAGTATGTAGCAATCTTTGGCTCAGAACTCAGGTCTCCCGTGTCAACTCAGGATGCCTCTGGCAGTGGAGCACACTGCTGCCCCTTCCACTTTTTCTAGCACATTCTGAAGATGCATGAAGCCTGAGTCATTCACTTTAAATCAAGCCAAAACAAAGTGGGCTTCAGTGTGGACTTCTGAGTGCTAGATACTGAGTTGCCCTTAAAAAAAAATTAACTTATTTTAAGCACTGAAAGCTCAGATTTCCACAAAATTCAGTTCTCAATAAATCCTATGGCTGAATTCTTTACAGACATTTTGGAAAGAATGCCAAAAAAAAAAAATCTGAAACTAAAAATAGGATGTTTGTTAAAGTCCCACACCAGAAGATAATTTAGAAATTTATTACAAAACTTTTAATAAAAAATACAATGATATTACAAATTTGGTTTTCCAAAGCTTTCAAATTTTTCTTAACATTATCTTTCGTTTTAAGAACACTTTTGAAGTCGGCAGTTATTTAAAATCCTTACTAGAAAAAAACCAAAGCCCAAGGATTTTGCATTTAGTCATCATCTAGGTATACAGCGTGTTTTCCGAAAGCATCCTTTAAGAGTTTGGAGATTTGATGAAATTGCTCATGTAATAAGCAGTTAGTGAATACTATTGAATCCTAAACCCAGATAAGTCATCTTGGGCTGGCTGTGTTTTTCATGTGAAGAAACTCATTTATAGCACAGGCACCCCAGGCCAATAGAGATGATTACAGATCTCTGGTTTCAGAAGTTCTGACCCCTTATTCAGCTACCAAATACTTAATTGCTAAAGGAATTACTCCCAGCAGGCACAAAACGGTTTCTGAATATGACAGAAAAGGTACACAAAGAATCATTTAAGACATCCTGGTTACAACATACTTTATCTTTAAAAGGGTGTGAGAGTAGTTGGGGAACTTAGAAATTCTGTGACTTAGGTGTGGGTGGATCTTATTTAGGAAGACTAAAGCTATGGACACAACACGTGAAAGAACCACTCAGAAGCAGCCCTAGGAAGCCCAGGTGCCCACATCGAAAGCACTCCCAGGTGAAAGCAGCCAGGCAGGCGTGGGCATTGTACAACCAGCCTCAGGCCTCAGTTCTTGATTGTGGTTGACGGGGCGTCACCATGAAGGAGCCCATTTAGTATAAAGCTTCCAACCTTTTCTCTTAATCGTTTCTTTAATCTTTTAAACCATCTTCAAGTGCATAGGGGAGTTTCCGATGCCAGAGGATGAAAGCAAGTGCTTTCTCCACCCTCTCCTCCCAGAGTGAAAACAAATCCTTTTGCTGATACTTGTTTCAAAAGCATCCATTGTAAAGCTTCTCAGTGACACAAAATACTGAGAGGTAACTTTTTATCAATCAAACCACATACCCCAATTTAACACCTTTCAGTGCTCTGAATTCAACTGACAGACTAAAGGGTGTTTCCTGTAACAGTCTGAAATATTAAGTGTTTTTTTTGTTTTGTTTTTAAATCTTATTTCAGAAAACTTCCTCTTGGGGTAGGAAAGTACACATGAAGCAGCAAAGTAACGAAGAAAAACTTAAATAGGGCCTTCAGAGATCCCACACACTACAAAGATTCTGCCAAGCCATAAGATAAGTGTGAAGCCCAGTATATGTCCAGCTTTTCTCCTCAGGACATCTTCAGTGTTTCTTCTCTTTTAAACACCACATCAGGTTCTAGCCACAGACTTGTGTTTTGGGTGTGCCTGCTTTGAGGGGTCCATGCCCAGTGTGTCTGCTGGTGACCCAGGACTCAGCAGTAATGACTAACGGCCGCCCTTCAGGATCACAGATGTGCTTGGTGGTGGTGGCAAAGCATGGCACTTGTGTGCAGTGATGAGAAGCAGCACACGGCAAGGCTGAGCCCTTTATCAGCAGGCCTCCGTAGAGCGTGTCTGCGTTGTCAGCTGCCAATGGGCTGAGTGGCTGGCCGTACCCACTCAGTCCAAGAGAGGAAGGAAACAGCAGGAGAAGCTGTCAGCTTGCCATTCATGAGCTGCTGCTGCCCACCAAAGCTGCTTACTGGCAAGAAGAGATGTGGGGAAGACATGAGCTGGTGAACACCAACCTGGTGCACATGCTGCCAAGTCTGGCCCCTGAAGAGGAGAGGGAGTGCAGAGTCCAAAATTGACCGGGGCTCCTGCTCTGGCATGGAGCTGGGTCAGAGGTGAGAGAGGACCTGGATCCTAGGGCTCACGCAGGTGTCGGGCGGGTGCCAGGGTCTTTTCACTCCAACTTTTTGGCTGGCACCCGTGTCCGAGCAACAAGGATGGGCACAAGGGCCAGGCCGGCAATGAGGAGGGCCCACAGGGGTCGGTAGAAGAGCCAGCCAGCCGCCACGGTCAGCAGGGTCAGCGAGGTGGCCACACAGAAGGCAAAGGCTTTCAGGCCAATGTTGACCAGGTCTCGGAAAACAGGAAACCAGTCCACTGTGGAAAGGAGAAAGGTGATGAGGTGCCACCTGCTCTACACCTCACCAGCTCAGCAGATCTCTCCTGTCCCTAGATGAGGATGGGCCCATGTTGCTACATGCATGAGGAGGGGAGAGGATCAGTGGGTGGAAGGCAAGGAGCTTCGTTCTGAAAGCTAAGGGAGCACAGGAGCCTCTGCTATGAGCTGCGTGGTTGGGCACATTGCCTAAGCCACCCACTCTACCCTGATCCAGGGGAGAGGATGTAGCAGTGCTTTGTAAACTTTAATACTTTATGTGGAGAGTAGTCTGAGGCCAGTATAAAGACATTTGCCTGTAATGCTAGAAATAACCTGGGTCCTGCACACTCATACAAGAGGCTGTGGGTGGAGCCTCCTGAAGGTGCCTATTTGGGCCTCTCAGCCATTCCTAGAGGTGTTGGTTCATTCATGCAGCAGGCTGTTACTAATGATTTATGTGCCCAGCACTGAACCAGCAGGTGCTAGAGGAAATAAATTAGCCTAAGCATTGGCCTCTCCTCAAGAATCTCACAGACTATTGGTCCAATAGGATAAAGCCCAGAATCCAGCTAAATTCATGAGGAATTACCCTATTCTTGCCTTGTGTGACCTCTCCAGGTTGGCATTCCATAGCTGATGTCCACTCAGGGAATCTTCGCTCAGTTCCCAGGAGGCCACCAATGGTCTGGAATCACTGGGTTTGCAGAGCAAGCCCTGGTGCCCCACCATGCCTGCAGCACACCCTGCAAGCCACTACCTGGCCTCATCCTGATCTGTTCCCATACAGCACTGCTACTCAGCCCTTATAATAAGCAAAGTTCATGTTTCTGAACGTTGCCTGTGTTAGGCACCATGTGCACCATCTCATGAAGCACTCATGCCCACCCTGTAAGGTAGGTACTCTTCTTAACTCCATTTTACCCACAGGGTCACTGAGACTCAGGGAATTAAGAAACTCACCACCAGTCCTCCTGTTAGAAAGTGCCAGAACCAGGATTTGAACTCAAGACCGTATGGGCCCAGAGCCTGGGCTCTGAGCTGTTGCTCTAAGTCTTGTCTGTCTCTAGCTGTGGAGTCTTACACACGTTGGTATTTATCAAACGCATGGGGAACTGTGTGCTTCCCTGCTGCGCTCCCAACTCTCCCCACCCACCCTGGGGGTCCCTCCACACTCTAAGTCTGTCCTGAGTCTGGCGCATTCCAGACGTAGAGTGAATTGGGATCACAGACATCAGAGATCCAAAGAAGGGCCCACTGAGACAGACACGAGGAAACCAAGGCTCCAGAAGGGAACTGGTCTCCCCAGGGTCACACAGGCAAGAAAGAGGATTCCGTTTAAATGCTCATCTCTCGCTAATGTGCCCACCACGTCACTGGTCTTTCTGAGCACAATTCAGCTGTCCAAAGAAAGGCTCAGGGAGAGTCCTTCCCTTCCCGGGCCTGTTTTCCCAACTGTAAACAAAGGAGGTGGTCCCCCCAGCTCAGACAGCCCAAGATGTGCAGCCAGACCTCTTCTGACTTGTGCATGCTGAGTGGGGAAGAGGTTTCTGTTGGCACCCAGAGAAGACTGATGCAATCATGTGACTGGAAGGGACACACACCAGGGAAAGGCTTGGATGGAGAGTCCTCCGAGGAACCCCATCCTCCTGGGCCCAGAACGCACTTAGTCACCCTGGGCACTCAGATCCCGAACCACGCTGGGCCACAGGTCTCCTACTGGGCTCACTGGTGCCAACCTCAGGTCAAGGAGTGGCCCAGAACTCTCCTTCATGCTCCAGACTTGCTGGCTGCCCAAATCTAGCCCAGGTTTTGGAGTGAGGAAGGAAGCATGAGAGTTTTGGGTGTTTCCTATTTGCCACATTTCATAAAACTCTGCATGTAAGGGGTGAGGTGACTGAAGCTGAGATGGGAAGGGAACGGCCAAGCATCCAGAGCTTGGACGTGACAGATTTCAAATGCAGGTCTGGCAGGCTCCCATGTGGTATTCAATTGTGGATCAAAGGAATGAGCAAATGATCGAGCCAGCAGATGGACGAACCTTCAGGCTGTGGAGTGAGACCAGTGCCCCAGAGTTGGCCCCACCCAGCCTGGCCCCTGGCAGCTCCTGCCCTCAAGCCTGCCTTCCTCTGCTCCCTCATCCCAAGGCTATGGAGCGGGGACACAGAGATGAGCCAAATGCCTGGTATCTGCACAAGGGCCATCCCATCAGGCTGGAAGGGCTGAGATGATGCGACAGGCAGAGGAGGCCCTTTCAGGGTGCAGGAGGGAGGGCAGTGACCCACCCCAACACCTACCCAAGGTGTAGAGGATCCGTGTCATAAGGTTGAGGCCCATGAACATGGCCATCCAGCCAGCTGCCCGCAGGCCCCAGGTCTTCATGGAGTTGCTCCTTAGTTCTCTATGAAACACCTCCTGCAGGACAAGGTGGGGGCAGGTCAGGATGCTGAGGGCCAGTGGCGTACCCAGTCGGCAGGGCAGGTCCTGAGGGGGCTGTACCAACTCGGGAGCTGTTGGCCATTTCTGAACAGGCCAGACGGAGTGGGGGCAAGCCTCCTATAGGGCTAAGTCCTTCTGCCCATCTGGCAGAGCACAGGGCAAGGCATGAGATCTCTGTGGAACGTACGGGCCTTCCTCAGCTCAGAGCCTGCCAGCACCTGGAGCCCTCAGCCCACGGTCTCACCTGGAATGAGCAGGACCCTGCCCACCACCCCTGAGCAGGTTGGAGGATGTCTGCTGGGCAGCATGCTCTGCGCTATGTGTGTGATCTGTTTAATCTCAGAACCTCTCCACATGGCTTGGGGACACTGCACCCTCCTTCTCAGGCTCCATCGCTGTCGCTGCCCCTCTTCCTGTCCATTAGATGCTGCAATTCTTTAGCTGCTTCAGTCCATACTCTCTCCCCGGACATCCCATCTGCTTCCTTGGCCTCCACATGCCGTGACCCTCCAATTTAAAGCTGCAGCTCTGGCCCTCTCCCGGGCCTCACAGCCCTGCAGCTCCCACCACCTCCACCACCTCCTTGACATTTCCACTTGACATCTCAGCCTGTCTAGTGCTGACACTGGCGCCTTCTCCATCTCAGCACATGGCACACCCACCCACCCACTCACATCTATGGGAAAGACATGGCTCGCTCCTCCCCTACCACCCCATCCAGTCCAGGCCACATATTCCCGAGTCTCTTACCACTGTCTGCCCGCAGGAGCCTCACTGGCCCTGCTTCTATCACCCACTCTGTGTTCTCCACACAGTCACCTGCCAGAGCCCTGCCACACCCCCCGGACACCGACCCTGCTGCCAGTGCCCTGACCCTGCTGGCTGCTGTCCCCAGTCCAGGTCAAGTGTCCTCTCGCCTGTGTATCTGCGCGTGGGTTTGCTCTGCCTACAACGATTGCCTGCAGTCATGCCTGGCCAGCTTCCTACATATTCTTTTGAGCTTTGCTTGAACCCCATTTCTTCAGAGGGCTTTCCCTGACCCTCTGATCTGAATCGGGCCCTCTCTCAGAGTCCGTAACAACAAAAACAGGTCACATTTATCACTCACCATTTATTTGATACTGTCCTAAGTGTTTTACAAGTATTATTTAATTCTCAAATTCACTCAGTGAGGTAGGAATACTTACCTCCACTTTACAGATGATGAAACTGAGGCTCTGAGAGAATAAGTCATGTGCCCAAGGTCTCACCTCAAGCAGTTAACTAAACGCTACATTTCCAAGAGCAGGGAGCATGTCTGTGAAGTACCTGGTGTTCAATGAAAACTTGCTGAATGAATGAATAATCCTCAATGACCAAACCAGTTAGGGATGATGTGACTATTACTAATAGTACTTAAACATCTTCCCCTTCACAAATGAGGAAACAGGCTGAGAGATCAGCACCAGCTCAAGGTCCTGTAGCAGGTGGGAGGCAGTGCCAGGGCCGTCTGCAGTGTGCCTGCTTGGGCAGCTGTACTCTCCTGCCCCTGGGACTGGAATCGGGGCATCCTGACTTTTGCCCTGAGCTGCCTGCCTGGCTCTGGGCCTTTTTTCTACTTGGCAGAGACCCCAGACCTTGTGTGGGGGTGGGGGCTGGGCTGGGGGAAGACAGGGCTTTGGGGCTGCTAAGCAGCAGGAGACCCAGGGGGTAAGGAGGCCGCCTGAGCATCTGCACTGCAGGGCCTTCCTTTCTGGGGCATTACCTAAGCCATGGGCCCCATCCACTCCTCTCTGGAGGGGCGGCTGCGTGAGCTGGGCCTCAGCCCTGGGAGAGAGAGCAAGGCCTGGACTGGGCCTCCTAATTTTAGAAACTCGCTGGGGACCCTCAGCTGCTGGTGGAAGGGTGACTCATGGCCTTCTAGGCTGGGAGGTGGCAGCCCTACCCTGAGGTTGGTAACTGGGCTCCTGGGCAACAGCCTGACCACACCCTAGCCCTGGCCAGGTACCAGGAGTTGGTGAGGCCCAAGCACCACCACAAGCTGGAGGCTAATGGGACAGATGGCTGCTGAGGATCTAATAATAGGAACAAAAGGTCACAGCTAACCCCTGATGCCTGTCTGCTGCCTTGACCCTTTCTGGCCACTCTGGAATGAAAACCCCAGCAGTCCTGGTTAGGGCAGGTATAGAGTGCCCCACCAGGGATACCTGTGTTCATCAACAACAGAAAAACTAAAGACTCAATTCTTCTGCTGCAGAGAAGGATTGCCTGCCTAGAGAAGACAGGCTAACTTTTAAGGCACAGAACTGAACTAATCAGCACATCTTGGCACCCCTTCTCCTTGGGACCCGGGGTAGGCATAGCCCTCCCTATTTACAATGGGAGAGGGATACTCAGGTAGCTGAGGCCCAAAACCCTTCCCCGCCCTCCTAATGTTCTGGAAGGACACAGACTTTGGTGGAGCCCCCCCACCCACTCCCTCTCCCCGCTCTGGGCTGTGGCCACAGCACTCCGGGTGCCCCCTTAGAAGGTGAACCCTTTCGTGCCCAGACTGGGCTGTTCTTGCTGGAACTGACTGATCACTGATTCTTCTAGGGTTAACCCCTTCTCGTCAGCAAAACTCACTTGTCAGAGGCCCTGCTTGATCACTGCAGAAACGGATGTTCTACTCTGACGTCCACTGGTATCAGAGCACCTGTTCTCCTCTTTCCAACACTCGGCACGATGCATCAGTACTTACGAGTTTCTGTCACTCTCACTCCTCTACCGGACAGTCTGTGAGGCACAGTGAGTTTAGTGCCTAGCACAGTCCTGCACACTGAGGGTTCATGACAGACTCAGCATCCACAATCCAAAAACCCAAATGCTGAAGTGCTCCAAAATCCAAAACTTTCTGAATGCCAACATGACGCCACTAGTGGAAATCCCACACTTGACCCCATGTGACGGGTTGCATTGTATAAAATCACCTTCAGGCGATGTGTACAAAGTATACATGAAACATAAATAGATTCTGTGTTTAGACTTGGTTCTCATCCCCAAGAGATCTCATTATGTATATACAAATACCTGCAAATCCAAAAAAATCTGGAATCTGAAACACTCCTGGTCAAACACTTTGATGAGGCATACTCAACATTCCGCTATTTCTTCTTCTTGCCTCATTCACTGGCTATGACCCCTGGTAGTGTGATCTTATTAAATAACCACTGGAAGGAAGGAAGGACATGCTTGTTCCTCCACCGTACGAGTAGGGCACAGCACTCACCTCTGCTGAGAAGTCCCCGTGGTGCAGGAGCAGTAAGGTATCCCCAGACTTGGTGGAGAATGGGACTAGCTGGTCACCCCGCTGCCGGGCAATCACAGTGACCTGGTCAGAGGACCTGGTGTTAGAGCTGAGGGGTGACCAGCGGGAGACACGCCCACGAGAGCCATGGCCCACCCTCCCGGGACTGGGTGCCGGCTGGGGAAGTGAGCACAGAAACCCTGGGGCTTCTCTCTCTATACATCCATCTGGGATGCATCCACCTCTGCAGCTCTGGCTGAGCTGCTCCATTCAAAGCTCCAGGCATTCAAAGCTCTTGGGCAGTGCGCAGAGCAGGGGATGGGGCAGGACTGCACATAGGCCAGGAACGCAAGACCAATTATTGACAGATCAAAACGGGCTTGGGGAGAGGGTCTGTGTGTGACTGGAACACCTGTCATAAGGTGCGACTATGAGACCCCTTTTGAGCTGCCCTTCTTAACGTGGGGTCCATGGATGGCTGTGGGGACATGGGAGCTCTGAAACTGCTCAGAAGCGTGCCTGGCTGAGAGTGTGTGCGAGAGTGTGCCTTTCCCCAGGGAAAAGGGGGTCCAAGCGCTCCTGACATTGACCAAGGTGTCTGTGTCCAGGAAAGTCGTGAGGCTCTGACTTAGTGTCTGCCCCTGGGAAGCCAGGTTACCACGTGAGCTGGGCCCAGGTCAGGGTCATCGCCGCTCAGTCCAGCATAGGAAAAGGAGACACGCAAGTCTCCCACCTGGGGGTGGAAGAGAAGCAGGGAGAGTGAGGAACGGAGTAGCTGGCCCAGGCCCAGGTCCAGGATGCCTCGGCTACGCCCCTCAGGCTCTTCTCCCACCTCCACACCCGTGCCCAGGCTGTGCCGTCACCCAGAGGGCCTCTCCCACTCAGCTGCACTTGGCCAAGTGCAGCTGTGCATGCGACTGAACTGAATCTGCCTGGCGCAGGAACCTGATCCTAGCGCCCTGACCCTCCTATTTGGAGAGCCCAGGCCTCTCCGCACACCTCTGGATACTTGGGATTTTCGCTGTGGTAGAAAAAGTCTCCACGGCGAATGATGTCCACATGAGGGTCCTCCAGCTTGGATAGGCTCAGGGACTTGAAGTTGTCGACTTTGTCGATGAGGCCTGAGGGGACCAGAGTGGTTAGAAACCCAGGGGACCAGGTGAAAACCTCAATCTGCAAAGTCCCTGGCCTGACCCCCTTCCACTGCACCCCTGGAGCCTGCACACGTGGCACTCCCACCTGCAGTGCCTCTTTCTGACTCTGTCTCGTCCACGGCTTCCCCTGGGTTAGACCATCTCCTCCAGGAAGCTTTCCCTGTGCCCTCTCCCACCAAGTCAGAGTGACCACAGCACTGGGAGTGGCCTTAGCCCTTTTCCCTTCCATCAAGGTTACGGCCATCCACGTCCAAGCCTGACTCACCTCCTGGGTTGAGAGCTACTTGAGGGCAGGCCCAGCTGGCACACAGGCACCATCCAGCAACAAAGCACACAGAAAGCGGCCAGGCCAGGCCCAGGATCATCCAGCCTCCCCAGGACTATCTGGGCCCTTGGTATCCTCTCCCACCTTCATGGGTCAGGCCCAGGAACAGAGCCCCAGGGTTACTCTGGCCCATGGTGCCACCTTATCCCTTGCAAGCTTCTCTTTGGAGTCAATGGGGGATGCCTGTGATAAGCTAGTGCCTTCCTGGGACAGGTGGAACTCAGAGAGGGGGAGCCCTAGGCTGAGAGCACTGAGCCACCACATGTCTACTACTAGCCGGAGTCTGCTTGAGGAAGGACTGTCTCAGCAGAGTCTACTCAGCAGACACCGGCACGCAGCAGGGTGAGGATGCATGCCTGAGTCATTCTCTGGAACAACCCAGATTTCAGAGGAACCTGGTAGGATGGAGTGGGGTGGGGGTTTCTACGTCAGCCCTTGCTTCCTGGGGATTCGCCTTCCCCTGGCCCCCAAAGCATGGTGCTGGGAAAGGTGCAGACTGATCCTGTGCCTTTAGCCCTCTGAAGGCTGAGTACTGGGAGCTCCGGCCCTAGGGGGGCCTTGTGCTTCTGGCACGAGCTCCTCTGGAGAGGCCTGAGACTTACCTGACGAGAGGAAAAACCTGCCAATTTGGACAAAGGGGGCTGTTGCCATGAATGACTCCACTGCCATGGCACTGTGGGAGAGAGGAAGCTGTCAGAGATGGGCACCGGTGTGGGAGCTGCCCGGGTCCCTTTGGGTTGTTTGTGCTGGGCAGGGTCCCCACCCGGGGGTTCCTGCAAGTCCAGATTAGCCCAGGCGCAGCAGACATCTTGTCCTGTCCACCCCCAGGGGCCCTGTGCCCCCTCCCCTGGGCTGAGCACCCTCACTCTGTCTCCTGTTCCCCGGAGCTTCCTACCCTCTTGCCTAGACCCCTGCCAGCCTGTCCTGCCCCACCCACTGCTGTCAGATGTATCTTGCATGGACTTTACACCCCTCACTAGCCCCTCCCAGAGCATTCCATCCCAACCATCTTACTGGCACAGCCCAGACCATTGCTGAACAAGGCCTGCTCTCTAGCCACACCCAAGTGTTATGCCCGCCTCACCACTGGCATGCCGTGGAGCTAACCTCCCTCTGCTGAAATCCTGAGAAGCCTGAACAAATGCCGCTGCCTCTGGAAAGCCTGTCCTGATTGTCCTCCCACCCATGGCAAACCATTAACAAAATGCTTCCCCGGCCCCGTGTGTGCAAATCCCCTTAGACGCTTAGTGCAGGCCTTATATTTGTGACTTGTTTGCGGGGAGCTTGTCTGGGGTCAGGGGAGACAAGTCTCTGTGTTCCTGGTGCCCAGCACAGGGCTTGGTCTCAAACCCATGTCCCACATTTTCAACCCACGAGGCAGGATTAACTCAATCCTGTTATTCAGATGAAGAAACTGAGGCTGGAGACCTGCCAGTGTAGACAAAGCTGCACTCAGGCCTTGGGCCTGGCTCTCACCTGGGGTTTTTGTGGCCAATCTCTCGGTCGAAGTTTTTGCTGTTGATGATTTCTGACCTCCATTCAGTGTCTGCTCAGGGAGAGGAATCAACTCAGAGCCCGGGTAGGAGTGGCACGCGGCTGAGACCCACCAGCCCAGCTCCTCCTATCTCACAGCCAAAGGGGTGGGTCAGGGAGCCTCAATGGATGGGTGGGAAAGCAGGGCTCTGAAGACTTGCACCCAGGGATCCTGATGCCTGGTGCTGAATCCTTCCCATGGCCCCACCAACAGCCCTGCTGTCCAGCCACCACTGTGGGCCCCCACCATGGGCAGAGACCACGTAAGGGGCCCAGCACTCACTGTAGGAATACCTCGTCTCCTTCTTCACCTGCCCATCCTCGGTGTACTCCCTGCAGGGAAAGCAAAGCAGCCACGGGGGTTAGCCTCGTCGCCCCAGGCAGTCTAATCTCTAAGCATCTGAGCAGGAAGCAACCTCAGGGCTACCAGATCAGACTCCCCAGATACGGCAGATGCCTTCTCTACACCAGCCCCAAGACAGGGCACTCACTCCTGACAGACAGCCAGCTCCTGCCCTCCAAGGCGCTACCTGGAGGAAAGCGCTCTCCCATCCTGAGCTGAAATCTGCCCGCACTGGCCTTACACCAAGGGGCCCAGCCCTGCCCTTTGGGCTCAGAGATCTGGCTGCATCCTCTGCTCCAGGACAGCCCTGCGGGGGGCCTCTTGAAGCTGCCCTTCTCCTGCTCCTCCCACCACCTCCCCACCTGTCGGTCACAGTCCATATGATTCAGGTGGGGCTGAACCCACCCCCAGCTCCAGGTGACCCCAGCCCTGATCAATGAGAACCTGCCCTGGGACTCCTGTCAGAAACGATAAGCTGTAAGTAGAGCAAAGATGGGACCAACACAGCTGATGGGAAGGCTGAACACAGAGAGATGCAGTGGGGTCTCGGGGTTGACATGCTGATCCTAATGACAGTGTTTCAGGCCTGCTCCAAGTCATGCTTCAAGCTTGTGCATCTCTGGAACTTCCCAGATGTGGGAGCAACTCAATCCCCCTTTCCTCCTGGAGCCACTCTTCACTGGATTTTTGCCACTTCCAAATCACTGGCTATTAATTTGGGGATCATTTCACACTTTTCTGATAGGAAGATGTTATACTTGAGTTTCAAAGGTATCAAAATGAAAGACATCTGCATGTTATCCTGACACCTACACTTCACTCCTCCTTTACCCCAACAGAGTTTTCACCCCAACAGCTCACCTGGACTCCTCAGTTTCTACCCATTGGTACATCTCCACGTGCCTCCGCAGTTTCACAGCCGGAAGATGGACCCCATAGTTTGGATCAGACAAAAGCTTCAAACAGAATCAAAGAAACCAAAAAAATAAAGGATAACATTCACGTCAGCCCAGAAAGCCTGGCTCAGGGGAAGCTGGACTGGAAGAGGAAGAAATAGAGAAGGGGACAAGGGTGGAGAGCCCTACACTGCTTTGCAGGGGAGAATCGAGGACACTCCCTGTCCCAGGTTCTTTACACACAGTGCCTGTGACTGTGACCCTCACAGTACAGGCCTGGGCTGCATGGCCCAATGGCATGGTGCCAACAGCGTACAGGGTGTTCAAATAACAGGAAAGCTCTGGTGCCCAGGGTAGTTTTGTGGCCTTGCACTGGACACACATGGTCATCAGAGTCATGAGAGCACCTCCCTGAGTGCCAGCCACTGTACCAAGGCGTTAGTTACCTAATCTCACCAAATCCTCAAGGCTGGCCACAAGCTTGTAACCATTACCGTCCCCATTTTATACACGAAGACACTGAGACTCAGGATAGACAAGTCCACACAGCTGCTGAGTGGTAAAGTCGGGAATCACTCCCATGTGTGACCATCTCCAAGGCCCATGCTTTCAAATCCTCAGCCAGACAACATCCAGGATGAGCCCCGAGCCACTGGCAGGTCAGCATCCCCTGCCAAACCTACCTTGGATGTCCGTAAGGCGCCAATGATGTGCACCAGCCTTCCTTCATTCTCCGGAGCCACACTGTGGATGCTGTCGGGAGACACCACAAGCGAGAGCCCCTCAGCCAATGAGGTTGCCGTCTTCAATGCGCGGCCCTGGGAGCAAAGGGGAGTGGGGATTTCAACAGCTCAGGGGTGGCTCAGCATGACTGTGCTTGTTGCAAAGTATTAGGGTAGGATGGGGCCTCCGGGAGCGCTGAGACCCATCTCCCCACCGTACAGTTGGAAAACTGAGGTCTAGCAAGTGGAGAGTAAGGACTGGAACCCAGATTCCTGCTTTCCCAGGGAGACTTCTTCCTACTGCCCCATTGGTTCCCACTAGCCCCCACCAATCTTAGCACTGCCCCAGTGGTGGGAACAGCTGATGTTTCTGCCTGCCTGTCCCTTTCTCCCCATTTTTCTCTGCCTTCTTTTTTTTAATTTTATTTTTATGTTTAAGTTTTTTGTAGAAATGGGGTCTTGCTATGTTGCCCAGGCTGCTTTCGAACTTCTGACCTCAAGCGATCCTGCCTCCTTGGCCTCCCAAAGTGCTGGGGTTACAGGCTTGAGCCTCCATGCCTGGCTCTCCTCTCTCCTACTCAGCCCATGTGGTTTACCTGAGTCTATCTGAACCCTGGTCAGATTATGGGACCCAGACCTTGCCAGTCAGAACATGTGAGTGCGCCCTGGACACGGAGACTGATTCAGAGGACGGAGAGCCAAGCCAGGACACTGAGAGATGGCCCTGTAACTGCTGCTAAATTGATTTAGAAATATACTGTTGCATCATGAGGCCCTATTAAAAAAAAGGAGAAAAAGAAAGAGAGAGGGAGAGAAAGAAAGAAACAAACAAACAAGAAAGAGAGAAAGAGAGAGACAAAGGAAGGAAGGAAGAAAGGAACAAAGGAAGGGAGGGAGGGAGGGAGGGGAAAGAAAGGAAAAGAAAGAAAGGAAGAGAAACAGATGGTTTTTCTCTTCCCTGGGCTAAGTGGTTGGATGTAGGCCAGTTGCTGGGGCCACATTTGCCATCACAGATGAAGTGCCTGCCCAAGAAAAACACCATAATAGAGAAAAACAGGCAAAAGATGAAGAAATGGAGATTCCTGGTGACCCAGCATGAACACCTGGATCCAACTACGCCTGAGGCAGGTGCTAACCCCTGGATATTCAGGTGTGTGAACTGATCTACTCCCCTTCCTGCTCACATCAGCTGTGGGATGGATCACAATGGAAAGAACTGTGATTAACTCAGTATCCTCCTTTCTCTTTTTAAAATCTAGGCCCTTGATTACCAAATCCAGCCTCCGGGTTCATCGCCTTTGCTCTCTGACATGGTGGGGACTCTCACTCTGCACAGGAAGACCCCAGACATTTTACCTCATTGGTGAAAATTAGGTAGAAGGAGAGCAGGAAGGCCATGAGCCCCACAAACATCCCACCCGAGGTCTCGCTCAGCCGTTCCAGGAAGCCTGGCTGGGAGCTGGTTTTAACTTTGACATGTTCTCTCCGGGTACTGGTACTGGAATACTGAAGAAAAAGAAACAGTAACAGAATGAAAACTAGTTTTTAAAAATAAATTAAATTTGCTATTTATTTATACTCAATTTTTTTTTTTTTTTTTTTTTTTTTTTAGTTTTAACTGTATGTGGTAAAAACACACAGATATTCAATGTACAGTTTGGCAGGTTTCCACAAACGTATATTCCATCTGACCAACATCTAAAGCAAGGTACAAAATATTTCCATCACCCCAAAAAGTTTCTTTGTGCCCCTTTCCTGCCAATTCTCCCCCTCTCCACCAACCAGAGGTAACTGGTGGGGATGGGGAGAATCTGAATTTGAATTTCTCCTACCGTAGATTAGTTTGTTTCTTCTACAACTTGAGAAAAATGGAATCAGGGCACCAACTCCTTTCTGCCCAGCTTCTTGGACTCAGAGCACTGCTTTTGCAATTCATTCATGTTGTGGTGTTTATCAGGAATTTGTTCCTTTTCATGGCTGAGTAGTATTCCATTTATGACTATACCACAGTGTGCTGAATCATTCGTCAGTGGATGGGTATCTTGACAGCTTCCAGGTTTTGGCTGTTATGAATAATGCTGCTGTGAATATTCATACATGAACCTTTATGCAGACATGTGCTTTCATTTCCCGTAGGAATATACCTAGGAGTACAACTGCTGGCTCGTGAAGAAGATGTACGTTTAACTTTTTATGAAACTGCCAAGCTATTTTACAAAGAGGTTATTAGAGATGTATTTTTAATTAAATTCAGCAAACAGTGGCTGAGCTTTCTGAGGGCAGTGCTAGCCCTTGTGGGGTCAGAAGTAGACAGTCTTAGGGCAGTGAGGTCACAACCATAAACAATACTAGAAGGTCACACAGAGGGTCCTGTGATGGGGGTGGACTTGGTGCTCAAGGAGTGACCCCTTCCACCTGGGGTATCAAGGAGGCTCCCTTGAGTGGAATCTTAGAGGCAGATCTTAGGGGAAGAGCATCCCTAAAGGGAGAACCGTATCAGCAGTGATGAGGAAGTAGGAAGTGGTTCTGGGGGAGCAGCTGCCTGTCTGCTTTGGCTGGGTGGGAGCAGTGGAGGAAGAAAGGGCTTGGAGGTAGGCATTTCTGGGCAGGTTCACAGTGGGCCTCAAACTCAAGGGTGAGTGGATCAGGCTTTGGTCAATAACAGAGGCATGATTTGGGGTGCATCCACTGCTGATCAAAAGTGTCATCGTCTAGGGCAGGATTCTGGAGCCAGAAGAACTGGGTTTGCATTTATGCTCTGCCACATACCAGCTACGGGGTCTTGGGCAAGCAACTTCACCACTTTGTGCCTTCCATTTCCTCTGTGCATAGGGTTGTGGTGAGAACCAAAGAACACAGTTATTGGGTAGCTCAGGGCCTAGGGCGTGGTAAGCACTGGACACGTGTTAGCTAGTAGAAATGTTACCAGATTTCCCTACAACTGATACTGGGCTGGCACCAGGCTGGGGGTGAGCTGACAAAAGTCACAAAGATGTAAAGTGGGGCCCAGCTAAGACAGGCCCCATCCTGGTATTGGGGGCCAGAGGAGTGATTTGACTCAGAATCTCTGCTTGAACAAAGCTGATGTCGCATTCTGATTGTCTTTGAGTACCACCAGCCAAGGCCTCCAGTGACCAGATGTCCATGAATCCAGAAGTCGTCTTGACTTTCCATGCCATTTGGAAACATTAGGTGAGTGAATCACCACATAGGGGCAGGTGACCATCACAATGATGACAATGGCAAACACACCGGGTCTATCACAGGCCAGCCCACAGGCAAGCCCAAAGAGCGGGATGTCATAACGACCCCATTTCACCGATAAGAAAATCGGGCTCAGGGTTACGTCATCTTCCCAGATCACACAGCTTCTAAGAGGAAGAGTTAGGATTCAAATCCGGGCAGACTGGAGGCTACTCTCCCATTACTCATTCCAGTCTGTGCTCCCCATCTCTTGGGCTACAATGTGAGCTGAATGTTGGGAGCCAGCTGCAGGCAGCAATAGGAAAATAAGGCGTGTCTTCCTCTTGGGCCTCCCCTCAGCCAGCATCAAGATAAGGGGCTCAAAGACGGCCTTGGAGGGAAGGAAGAGAGGTACAGGAGGGTGCCCCTCAGGCTAGGGGAGGGGTGAGGTGGGCAGTGACATGACAAACCCAGCCCACATTCTGAACCAAAATTCCCAGTAAACATGGAGGATCATAAAGGATCTATATATCCACACATATTTATATATACATATAGTATGTATTACATGTATACACACATTATATAAACACACACACACACGCACACACAGACGGACATCCCCAGTGACACATCCCCTCCCAGTCCTAGCACTCAGGACTTAGAAGAAATGAGCAATGAGTGGTGGGAACAGAGGCTGACACATAGGCCCTGGAAATGGACAGAACTGGATTTGATGCCTAGGTTCACCAATCGCTTGCTGTGTAAGCCTGGGTAAATTGCTCTACCTCTCTGATTCTGTTTACTCACTTATAAAGTGGAGAGGGGAATAGTACCTTCACCACAGGTACTGCTGCTGCTGTACTGATTGAGAATTTTGTTGCCTCCCTGCTCCATCCCGCTATCTTCTTCCTCACCCAGCCTAGTGGCTGCTGTAAATGTGTACTCAGCTACTGGATGAATCAAAAAATGCTTGGCAGCAGAGAATACTCAAATGCATGTATATTCCTTGGTGAGGGGTCAGGTCTCAATGTACCCAAGATGATCTCTATCCACTGGGACCATTTGTGCTACCCTGCAAGGACAGGCTTGTTTTCAAGTATTAAGTACCTACCACACATCAGGCACTGTGCTAAGCAGTCTCCCTTAAATATCACAGTAACTGATCCATGAGGCTACATAAACCTGGAGAGATGAAAGCCACACAGCTACTGGGTGGAAGAATCTGGATTGCCCCCAGGTCTCCCTAACTCCAAAGCCTGCCCTTTTCAGCATATTTCCGTGTCACAGCATGCCAAGCCGGCCACGAGAGCTTGGGCAAGTGCCTTCCCCTGCTAGGGAAGTTCCCCATCTGTAAAATATGGTGGTGGTAGTGATGGGAGCAGACAAAGAGTCCACATACTACAGACAGGCTGGTCTCCTGACTGCCCTCTCGCCTGGCCGAGCCTGAGTCTCTCCGAATACCTCTGAGGCTTTTCTAGGTACAACATTCAAGGCTTCTAACCCTCCTGTGGGCCCGAAATGTCCTGGGAGTGTGGATGATACTAACCCGAGACAAAGTGTACTAGGGCTGTGGGTGATGCACACCCTGGCCTCTCAAGGGGTGTGGGAGGCAGAGAGGACGCTTGGGGACAGAGGCGGTGTCTGGAAATAGGGTGTGACAGGCAAGGGGAGAGCTGCTAGGACACTCTACCAAAGCAGGAGGGAGGGTGTGTCTGGGGCTGGCTGGGCTCCTAAGCGGGCCCTAGAAGCACTTTCACAGAGGAGGGGAGAGGTGAGTCACCAGCTTCTCCCACACCCAGCGCCCTGGTAGGAGGCGCTGCTTGTTGAATGAATGTTGGGCTTAAATAGTTTCCCGAGAAAGGCTAGTTGCAGGGAGAAGAGGCCTTGAGGGAACAGCCCTCAGCCAGGCCTCCTCCAACCAAATCCTTGCTAGGGGGAGGAGGGGCCCCGACAGTAGAGAAATGCTCCCTCTCCCCCAACTCCTTCGCTCCCAGCCCAGCCTAAGCTTTTTGGAGCATCACAGACTCGGTTTACAGAGACTCCCTAGGGCGGAGAGCTCTCTGCCCGCCTGGACAGCCCTGTCTGTCCATTGCTGGACAGCTCCACTTGGGCTGGATCGCCTTCCTCCCTCCCAAGGGACTGGCGCCCTCTCTGAGGTCGCGTCCAGCTCTCATAATGCGCAAGTTTCAGGGCCCCAAGGTACAGGAGGGAACTGGGAATGCAAGGAGGGGCCGCGGAGAGGCGTACAAGCAGATCCCAGTACGGGAGCAACACCTCCGAGTCCGCCTCCGCACGAACGCCGAGGACGAGGCGAGCCAAGGAACACGGACAAAAGAAGCCTGGACAGGCCGCGAGATGAGCAGAGGGATGAGCTGGCGAAGGCACAGACACGGCGAGCAGAGGGAGATGCGGGCCTAGCCGCACGGAGGAGCTCCAGGCGGCGAAATGGACCTAGAGGACCCCGGGGAAAAGCCCCAGGGCGACGGGGAAGCCTGGGTGTGGCCCGGCTGGCCCGGGGATACTCACATTCGCGGCCATGGTGGGACCCGGCTCGCTGCCGCCGCCTCGCGCTGTTCAGCTAGGAAGTGGGCTGACGACTGGAGCGTGGTGTCCAGCGGCCTCTTGCCAGCCCCAGCTTCGAAAATCCGCGTGGACTCCAGGGCCAAGCGGGACTTACTGCAGTTACCTCCCCCTGTGCCCAGTGTTTCTGCGCATGCGCGCGGCGAGACGTCCTGGAAACTATACGGTCCGGGACATTGCAGTACCTCATTGATGCGCCTGCGCACTGCAAAGCTTTCGGGGAAATGTAGTTTCTACTGCCTGGAGAGCTGTCGAGGAGCGCGCGACCTGCTGGGAAATGTAGTTTCCGGCTGAGGTTGGCCTGGCCGCGGTTGCGAGGGCGCCGAGGCAGGCGCGCGGCGGGCAGGCCTGGGAGGGGGCGGGTCCGCGCGGGCTTCGGAGGAGCCCGCCCTGCCAGAGGAGAGGGAGGTCACGGCGTAAAGGTGCAGCTGCCGCCACCGCCGCTTCTGCAAGGTCTCAGGGACGGGCTGCAGCCATGTCCTATTGCCGGCAGGAAGGTAGGGAGGGCGGGCTGCCACGGAGACCGGCCTACGAGGGCCTGCGGGAGACACGCGGGCCCCGGCGCCCCGCGACCACGCCGGGCGCGGGCCACCTGAGGCGCGGCCCAGGTGCCCACCCTGGGACACTCGGAGGCGGGCCGGCTGGGGGGTCGCTACTCCTGTTTTGCGGATGAGAAAACCGAAGCTCTGGGGGGAACGGGGCTGGTCCAAGGTCACAGTGAAGCCCGAACCCTGACCTCAGAGGGGCCTGTGCGTAGGAAGTCGTAAACTAGGTCCGGTTGGGGCACGGGAAGTGCCGAGCACGTTGCGTGTGGCTCGAAACTGGGAATGTATGGTGGTTAATTATCACTACCGCTCCTGCCATACCCCACGTGTTTACATTTTGCACGCGCCTTTAAAAGGCGCGTCCCGAAAAGTTGCCACTCGGGGTAGCGTGTGCTGTGCTGGAGTGCTAGGAGTTCCACTAACGGGAATGTTTTTGAGCCCCCTGCTACCTGTCAGGCACTGTTCAAGGAAACTTGCCTGGCTTGTCTCACAGATCTCGCTGCGACCTTTGTAAGTCAGGCTCTGTTGTTGGTCACATTTTACTGAAGAGTAAAGTTAGACACAGGAGACATGGCTAAAGCCACTCAGCCAGCAAATCGTGGAGCTGGGGTTTGAGCCTGGGCATTGTGACCCCAGAAGAGCCTTATCCAATCTAGTGCCCAGTGGATTGCAGGGAGAACCCTGCCTACCTCCCACCCCAAAGTTGAGCTCCGACCACCTACTGCTTCCTTGATGTTACTCTACCCAAGAGCTCAGAAGTACCCGAGCCACAGGTCGGAGGGCCTCCCCACACACTGCCACAAACTGGCTCCTTGGCCCTGAGCTCCCACCTAACCCCTCCAGGCCCTGGTATCCAGTGTTGTAAAATGAGATGTTGGGCTTCATTGATACGGCAAATACTCATGAAGCACCTTCTCTGCGCCAGAGAAGGGGGATGGATGGTTATAAAACTACAGAGAGAGTTGGAAGTCCCCCAGAAATTCTTTGGTGAATACTCCAGCTCCGTCAGTTAATTCAAGCAATCTGAAGCCCAGAGAAGGAGGTGGCCTACCTGTAGTTACACATCCAGTTAGGAGACTAGCTCAGCCTAAAATTCTGAGCCTTTTCCCTGGTGGCGCTGTCTGCTTCTAGAACCTCTCCTCCTCTGGGTCGTAAAGCCATAAGACTCACTCTTTAATGAGTACTATTATATTTCCGCTGATTACTACTTAATGTGTGCCATAAGCAAAAGTCCTCTGCCCTCACCACTCTTGTTTTTAATTTCGAGTCTTTCTCTAATTTACTTCATTTAGCAAATAATTTTTGAGCCTTTGGGTATAATGAGGCTGTGCTGATAAACAAGACCCTCCTCTTTGAGGATTTACAGGAGGCAGTTTTCTCTGGAAAGGGGAGGCTAGGTCCATCTGCCTCCAAAACATGGAGCCCTATCTTTTCCTGCTTCAAAGATCTCTCTTAGTTCGGAGAGGAGTGAGAATTGAAAGCACTCACTTATAGGCCTTCCTTAGTATTTATCTTGTGCATACCACTGTCCCCGTAAGAAGTCCCTAACTTCCCCCCCTCCGCCCCCCACTGATCCTTTATGCTTCCCATAGGATTTTTAAAAAATGATCCCAAACTGCTTACTGTATCAGAGCTTATGTGATCTGGCCCTGTCTGCCTTTCCAGCCTGGTCTCTTCCCACCCTTTTGCTGCCCAGCCTCTAGCCTCTTGGCTATTCCCTTGGTTTGGTATATCCTGCCTTCAGCTCTTCCGTGGCTGACTCCTCATCCTTTAACATTTAGCTCCAATATCACCTCCTGACCCTTTGTGTCTTTCACATCCTGAACTGTCTGAAATGACCTTTTTTATTTTTTGCCATCTTACTTCCTGCCTGTCTTCTCGCACTAAGCTGAGAGCATCAGATGGGCTGTGGAATCCCCAGCATCTAGCACAGGGCTTGGTGTACAATGGGTGCCCACATCTTTATTGAATCATGCATTTACCTGCCCTCTGTTCTGAGTGAATCACTTGCCTGTACAAGTTTATTTCAGGGGTCCACCTGCTACCCAGCCTTCAGGTTAAACTCGTTGGTTTGGCATTCAAGGGCTCTCAGCCTCGCACCTGGGCCTTGGGCTAGCCACACTTCTCCTGTGTCAGCACCATAGTGTTTCTTTCTTAGTTTCCTCTTTCTAATGCAGAGCCTGCCAACTCCTGTTCAGTCAACAATTATAGAGCACACGTGATGTGCCAGCCATTGGGCATATAGTGGTGAGCAAGGTGACACATTCTCTGCCCTCCTGGCATGGTGGAACAGATTGCCATTAAAACATCACCAGACAAATGCATGATTACAGACTGTCATAGGTGACATGAAGGAAAAGCCCAGCATGCTATGATCGTTTAGTGAAAGGCTCTATGGGGTCTGAGAAGGCTTCCTGAGGCTTCAGACATCCTTTTAAATGCCACTTTCTTAAGAAAACCTTTTGCAATCCTAAACACGTGTGAGCGAACACTACTTAAAACCCTCCTTTTGCCCTCCAGGCTTTGCCCAGGATGGTTCCTTCTGGAATGTCTATTCCCCTCCTTCCCTCCCTGAAGCTCTTTGTCAGGGACAAAGGTAGGATCCCTCCCCTTCCGTCTTCTCCACTGGATGCCTGTGTCGTATTCATCTGTGACCACCAGGTACTACCACAGAGCTGGAGCTGAGGAAGGTTTGTTGAGCTAAACTTCTAACACTTGCATTCTTCTTAACACTCTGTCTGAAAGCCATTTGTGTATTCTTCACAGACACTTGATTCTGTATGGGGGAGTTGTATCTTTCAAAGGGGTTAGATTCTAAACATGAAAGTCCTTAGCAGTCAGATTTATCAAACTCTTAGAAACCCCTTACCTCACTCAAAATACACCACAGGCACCACTCCCTCTGGCTTTAGATCTCTTTCTTGGGTTGAGCTTCAGAAAGTAGTGGTTGGAATTGTATCACAGGTGTATTGAATCAACTTAGCCAAAAACGAAAGAAAATAAGTCCTTAGTGCAGGTTGCCATTCTCAAACATGACCCTGGGGAGTCAGCATCCATGGGAGACAATAAACTGCTTCCTCTGCAGGACACAGGGGCATTCCTTCTGGGGTGGATGAGCTGAGAGATTCTGGTGTATAAAGATCCTCCCCTTTCATGGGGGAAATCAAACTACTCATCCAAGGGATTTTTTGGTCTCACTCACTTAATGGTGATAACCATTCTGTCTTCCTGCTTTCTGCTGGGACTGGGTGACAGAGCAGGAGTAGCGTCATCTCGGACAAACACTGGCACATTAAGTTCCAGCTCCCTTTCTAGCCTCATGCATTTCAAGGAAGTCACTTCTCTTCTAACTACAAGCAGCCAGAAAGAGCAGACAGTAAAACACAGACAAGACAGCTGGGACACAGAGGGAGGTGGGGGGAAAGTCTCTTGGGTGACTGCCAAACTTCACCCTCATACAATGGGCCCCAGTAAAACTGTGGGCCTTAATAAGCACATTCCTTTCCCTTCAGGTGTACTAAGATAGGGAAGCTAAAAGCAGTCTTGGGGGGATATGCCTGCAGCTGCAGAAAGATGTATGGAAACAGACACACCAGTCTGCCTCCCAGATAAGCACAACAAAGAGACACAGAAGCAGTCCAAGCCACTGATAAGCTCTCCCACCCTGAATCCTTAAAAACTCTTAGTCTGTAAGAGAGTGTGGCTCTGACCTAACTCAGCCAGCAGCCCCTCTCAGGTTTGTTTAAAATAAACCTGTCCCTGTTGACTGAAAAGCCACCCTTCGTGTTTCTCTCCTCTTTAATTCTTACACTTGGGTCTTCAAGCCCTAATCCAGAGTTGTTTCTCCATTCATTTTTTTCAACAAATATTGAACACCCACTTTGTCCTTGGTACTATTCTGGGCTCTCAGGATACTGCAATGAACAGAATAGACAAAAATCACTGCCTCTGAGGAGCTGACATTCCAGTGGGGGCATCAAGTGGTAAACATACATAGTATGTTGGGTGACGAAAAGCACTTTGGAGAAAGATAAAGCGGGATAAGGGAGATGGGCAGTGGTCAGGGACGGTGGCATCTGAGCAGGAGGTGAAAGCAGGGAGAAATCGCTGTGAGGGTACCTGAGGGAAGGGAAGGTGCTCCTGGAGGACAGAACACCCTGTGCAAAGGCCAGAGGTAGGCATGTGCTCAGCACATTCAAGTAAAAGCAGAGGCCAGCGTGGCTGGAGTGCAGGGAGTGATGGTGGGAGATGGGGTCGAAGAGGTGAGGGATGCAGCTCTTTCTGGATGTATTTGAAGATCGAGCCATTCCAATTTGCTGTTGGAGATGTGAGAGAAAGACGGGTTGGGGTGGCTCTACCGAGAGTAAAACTAAACAGCTGGGGGTGGAAGGTGTCTTTGTATCTGACTGCTCACTCAGTTCTGTTCTCAGCCCCACCCTGAAGTCCTGCACTCAGAGTAACCCCTCGGGCCTCCAGTTCCCCACTCTGACCAAGGTTCTGGGGTGGGGACTGAGTTGATTCTGGATGACCTCCTCCTTGTGCACTTTGAGTTCAGCTTTCTTCACTGGTTAAGTCAGAGAGCACTCGACCATCAGCTCTCCCATTTCCAAAACATTATTGACATCTCTGAGCCTGTGATTGTCTCTTTTCCTGGCCATGCTATCCTTGATGCCCTTTAAAAATTGCTGTCAAGTGGGATTCCAGCTGACAGCAGAAACTCATTTCACCTCCCCAACCACGTGAGGTAGGTAGGTGGAGCTGGTGGTAAGGCCTGGTTTCTGAGGCCCAGATGGTACCTGAGCTCATACAGTGGGAAGTGCTTAAGCCCAGATTTGAACTCCAGTTCTCAGACTCTCTGTGATATTGAAATATTGAAGCCACTGTGCACCAGAGGGTTTAAGGTAGTTTTCCACCTCCTTCAGAACATGCATATTCAACTGCTTTTAAAGCTTATCTTAGAAATAAAAACACAAGCACTTTTAAATTTTATTTCTCTAGAGAAATTGCTGACAAATGTCATGAGAACTACTAGTCTAGCTGATTGTCCCACTAGTTGGCATCTTACGACTAGTCTGACCAGTCCTTTCTTTCACAGTTAGGTCTGTTAGGAATAGGTAAGCCTTGTCCTTGCATCAGTCCTTGAATCGACTTTTAAAAGTTCCAGAAAGCAAAGGCCCTCTAGGACAGGCATACAATGGACAGTTTGTAGGGGACATACTCCAGATCTTTCAGACCAGAGTTCCTGTTCCTGTTCTGCCTTCATTTACTGCATGTCTTTTGGTCTGTTTCTCAGATCCTGTGGTCTCTGTAAAATGGAGATAAAGTAATACCCACCAGTGAACTCACAGATGTAATAAAACACATTGCATGGGACAAAAATGTGTAAAAGATACAGCTGTTACTGTTCTACTTTCGATCCAGTGTGAACTGTGCTGCAAGGGAAAATGTCCAGGAAGGCACATGTGAGGACCTGGCCCAGTGGGAGGGACCTGGAATTCTCAGTGGGATTGTGCTAGGCTGGTGTTTCCTAACCTGGCTGTGTATCACAGTCACCTGTGAAGCCCGTGAGCTACATGGACATGGCAGAGAGCTCGATTCAGCTTTTCTTGGGTGAGGCCTGGTCTCTCTATGTATGGCAAACCCCAGGAGGGCCTCATACTTTACCACGTTTGGACCCTTTGCTTTCTGTGCCTGTGACTGGGCCTCCCCGTTGGGCTGCGCTGAGCTGCCATCTCGGTAAACAAAACTGCCAGAGCTGAGTTGCGAAATTTGCATCAGCTCATTCTGCTTAGCGTTCAACATTTTTACAGATTGCTTTTGAGTATTTTGGAAACTGGCCAGAATAGTAGAATCAAGGTTACTAGGTACTTTAACAAGTCCTGGCTGCCTGGTCCAAAAGCTTTCCCCAGTCAGCCACAGGGGAAAAGCAGCCTTCTGTTGGATGACATGCAAGGTATTGAGGCAGAGGCCAGCTCTGGGAGCAAAAGCCTCCAGTGGGTTGGGGGTCCTGGCCCCGTGTGCTGAGGGTTTTTTGTTGTTACTCTGTTCTAGTGTAAGAGACCCTGTGCAGTGTGGGCATGGCGTAAGGCACCAAAGTGCCCTCCCTCTGTCCCCTGAACTGTCCTTCTCACTGGAGATGTCGCTCGGTTTTTGTTGTCACTGCCCCCTTCCTTCCAGAAGCCTCTTCCTTAATTACTTCAGCCCAAGCATGGGCCCAAACCTTTTTCCTTGCTTTCCCCTCAGCATAGCTGTGACTGAACTTTTCTAAATATAAACAAAAAGTATAAAGTGATCAGAGATGCCCGCAGCTTTCACAGGGCCACGTTTCTGCAGGTCCGGCCTCTGCGCCCACAGTGGCCACTCACTCAGAGCCATGCACTGTGGCTCTCTGCCAGGCACTTTTGGCCATACCTGAAGAAGTCTTCTTAAATGCTTGGCACCTCCTATCCCCTTCCAGATGAGGGTCCCAGTACCCCAGATCTTCTAGGATCAGAATGCATGGTCAGTTGGTCTGTAGAATTTGTCATTCACCTTCACCAGGAAAGTACAAGAAAGATCTTGTTTGTTTACTTGGCAAACATTTCACTTGGTTCTAAGCTTTTTGGGGCCGAGGTTGGGTCAGAATTTATTGTATTTATTCATTGCCCAAGGTGCACAAGCTCTCAGGCAGTGCCCAGTCATGCTAAGTGCTCAGTGTCAGCTGTCGATTATTCTTGTGCAAATGTTGGTGCGGGGCAGTATGGGTGTGTAGAAAGGATCTCCAACAGTGTAGACTTCAGAGCATCCTGTCCTGTGTGGCCCAGCAAGTTACTACTCACAGCCTCAGGCTCACCACCATTAAAAGGGGATGCTGCTACCTCCCTCTCAGGGTGGCGATAGGATGGAGGAATGAGCTCACACGGAGGACCAAAAGATGGACTGGCTCTGTCTGTTCTCTGGGGACAGCTGGAGAAACTGATGACCCACCGTGCAGTGTGGGGTACTGAGGACAAGGTGCTCCTTGCCCACAATGGGAATATCTGACACATACCTGTGGTGTGGTTAGCTGATGGCCAAAGTTTTTAGGGAGGTGAGGTAAAGTGTTGACAGCTACAAGGTGTAGCAGAGAGGGCTGTAAGGACCTCCCTTCTGCTTAACTCAGCCTTGGTTTTCTGTTGTACTCCATGGGGGCTGAGGGTGATAATACTTCATAGGGGGTCACTCTAAGGCAGTGAATGCACCCACCCTGGTTTGGCCAGGACTGATGTGCTTTTCTGTGCTCACCCAGCCTCCAGTGAGGAGAAGCTCCTAATATAAAATGCATTTGACTCTCACTGGTCTGTTTTCCTGGAGCCCTCAGACCTTCCGGCAGCCAGGCCCCAGGGTGAGGGCTCTGGTTGTGAACAAGGTGCTCTGCACTTTAGGCCTGCTGGCTTTCCCATGCTGGTCCTCACAGGACCACAGTCCTGACCCTAACCACTGTTGGGTTTGTCCTAAAAAAATAAACTGCAGATGGTCACAGTTAAAAAGATCTGAGAAGTGCTCCTCCCACTGCCCCCCTCCAGTTATTATACTTGTTGGGAAATGGTCCCCCGGCCTCTTGGACTGTGGGGAGTGGAACGGCTGCAGTGTTCCTCACCTTATGACCCTTCCTTCTTCCGGCCACGATTAGGAGCCCAGAGGCCTAGTGGGGGTGCTGGCTGTGGTCCCTCTCAGACCACCTGTGTCCTCAGCCTTTCAGAGGCAGGGGCCTGTGGCCGCATCAGCTATGTGGGCTGCAGTGATCTGTAGGCTGAGGACCCACATCACTGCACACTCACTTTGCCAATGTGCTCAGTCTTCCTTCAACTTTTATGCATTCTGAACCCTGTGGGTCAACCCCAGGACACTCTTTTTCTTCAGTGCTTCTTTTCCTGCCCTGCCCCTTATCCATCCGCTTTTGTTTGCTACCCCTAGCATATGAGAGCAGTTTGATAGTCACCTCACATAGGGATGGCATATGGGAGAGTCTTCAAACTTGGTTTGTGTGGCGGCTGCTTTGGGTTTAAAGCTGATTCACTGCTCTTGAATGAAATATTTCTTCCTCTGTTCTCCAAACACTAGGGAAGGATCGAATCATATTTGTAACCAAAGAAGATCATGAAACTCCAAGCAGTGCAGAATTGGTGGCTGATGACCCCAACGATCCATACGAGGAGCATGGTGAGTGACATGTGGCCTCCCAGGGACCCACACCAGGGCACTGGGGAGAAGCTCAGTGTTCTTAATTCCTTTCCCATGTTTTCCTAGCCAAGGCCAAGTTTTCAGGTATCTATTCTCAGCCATAGACCATCTCTGAGGGCAGTGGTTTATCTTCCTCAGAGGTTTGAGGGACTGTGCTTTCCAGCCTTGTTCTGATGTACTTCCCTGGCACAACAGCTAAGTTTTGGGAGAGGGTATTAGTAGATTCCAGCAGTTATAGGTAGGTTAAGGTGACAGGGCTTTTGCTCAGACAAGTTGCCAGACTGAATTCTGCCACATCTACCAACTTTATTAGCAAGTAGACAGTCATTCACCTTGTTCTGTAAGGTTGGTGAAGTCCCTGCTGTCTCTAACTGCTCCAGCAAGCACCTTACATGAAAAGGTCACTTGCCACAGACAGCTTTCTAGCAGCAGGAGTCAGCTAACCTAGTCAGAGCTGTTGCTCACTCCTTGGTTAATGGCTGAATATAACAGTGGTCGCTTAGGCCTAGGACATTGTTCCAAAGGATTTGGGCTGCTAAACTCACTAGATACTTACTACTGCAGACCGTGTGAGGTGGATGTGTGTGTGCAGTGTCCATGAACAATCTACGTATTGTACAGTAGTCACTTCACCAATCAAAAACCACTTCTGATGTCCATGATGACAACTAATCTTCTAGTGCTAACTGGTAATTGAAGAGCTTGAAGCAGCCGCCTCGAGAATATGGGCTCCTGATTGGAATTTCTCAAATGCTAACTGATGTGTGTATATTCCTTGTAGGACCCTTCACTTGTTGCCCTGACTGCTCCTAGGGGTTAAAGCATAAAATACATATCCAGCACCCAGTGGGAGCAGTGGGAAATGCAGACGTTATACAAAGTGTTAGCATTCTGAGAAAGACAGCTGCAAGGGTAATCTTGATCAGGGCTTACATGTCAATTCTAGTACCTTGCTTATCTTTAGATCCATATTAAGCACATTTCATTAATTGATCAAGACTGTGGAGGCCTGCAGGACAAATCGGGCCTTGTTTTGTTTGCCTCACAGTGTTATTAAAAGCAGTACGTATCTGCCTTTAGACTGGTCTGCCCCCTCCAGATCCCACCATTCTTTCCTGTCCCTGTTGTTTTTTTTTACCTGCTTCTGTCACTTGCAATGTATCTGCTTGGATAGTAGGTATACCATATGATGCATTTGGCTTTACAGCCCCTTATAGTGAATACTTTGTAAAAAGAAGCCTATAAAACGCAAAGAACTCTGGGACCCAAGTTTCAAGCTCTTAAACTGCAAAATTAGTAAGTGGACCAAGTAAGCCACCATTTTATGCCATCTACCTGCCTTCCAGCATCCAGCTCTGCAGCTGAGATGGTGCTTGGAATAGCTAAGAGTACCAAGAAAAAAGGTGGCAGAATTAATTTTCCTAGAATCAAAACATCAAGAGGGCCTTAAAGATCATCTGATCCAATGAGAAAACTGGGGGCCTGGGCGGGGGCGGAGACTGACTCAGCCAGAGACTGGAACTTCAGGCCTTAGACTGCATGTTTGACAACACACTGCATCTGAGCTTTATGTAACATGCCAAAGGTACCCTCTGTGTGGATTTATATTGTGTCCCTGAAATGCAAATTGGCACCATGTGCTTTGTGAGGAGGTATCTCATTCCAGCTTACCTGCCCCTAAGAAACAATGAAACAAGGACTCCTGGAGACCTAGGTTATACATTTTTTGTTATGATTTTTTTTAATCAACCACCTGGTCAATTTGTACTGGGTTGTAATTTTTAAATGTCAGTATTACCTCTTTTGGAAACTGGTTGTGCAGGTTTGTGAGCAGATTTGAAGCTCCAGGGGGCAGCATTTGCAAATGTTTCTCCAGCACTGAGGTCCATTTCAAGAAGTGGTGAGATGTAGGGGAAGGGGCATGGACTCTGGGAATCCTGTCAGCCCAGTCTGCAGTCCTCACTTGGACCATGAACCCCAGAGACTGCATGAGTAAACTGGGGTTAGTAGCACCCACTGCAGAAGGTTGTCAGAAGGCTTATGTGAGTTACCAAACGTAGCTTAATGCAGGAGAACTTGATCTGCAACTGCTGATGGTCCTGGGGGTCTGCGCCTGCTAAGGGGGCAGCACTAGTTGGCATCGTCCTTGCTGTCCCCATTTTACAAGTAAGGAACAGGAATAGCTACAGCAGATCCATTGATCAGTGGAGCTTCCCAAGCTGGAATTGAAGGCAGGCGGGGTTTCGCCTAGGACTTTGGACGTTAGTGCAGAGTGCCAGGCTTGGGTACTGCCCTGGAGTGAAGAATCATGTGTAATTTCACAGGACCTTTTAGAGGCTCTCTTAGAAAGTACTTTCAGTCTCTTAATAAGAATCATGTAAGAAACTTCTGTATGAATCATGTCTTCACAAAGCTGAAAATGAAGCCATCGTTTTGAGAGCATTTTGGAAAACCAAGAAATACTATTTAGATGTGAATAAAGTTCAATGATAAGAAAAGGTATAAAAGTCAAAAGTAAGAAGCCTATTAATATAGTGAAAATGAAAACCCATCTATAACCTTGCTTCCTGCCCAACACATATGTGCAGTTTAACAGGTTTGGTTGATTTTTACAAGAATGCACTCGCACTAATGGTATGCCACCAGCTTCTCATTGTGCAGCATGTCTTGGACATCTTTCTTCGTCAGTACATAAGGAGCAACCTCCTCCTTTTCACCAGTCCCCAGGCTATGCTGAGCTTCTGAGAGCAGCTGCAGGGCAAGAGGGGCTCAGGGGGGCAGGGAGCATGGGGGTGGGGTGGTCCTGATCATCCATATGGGGAGGGGGATTGGAAAGAGGAGATCAATACCTCAGTTCCTTAAAGTGTTTGGGCTTTCAAAAAGCTCCTCACTAACCATCCAAGTGATCTCCTCTTCTTTGGGCTAAATGGGTCCCGGTATTTAATTCTTGGAGCACAGCCTCAGAGCACTGAGAGGTGGCTTAGAATAAATTAGTGTCACACGTGGAGAAATATGTCATTGGTGGCTTCTCTCCCAGGTGGGCCAAGGAATGCTGGATATGTGCTAGGCTTTAAACCTAATCCAAATCGAGGTGTGGGTCCATAGGCAACAATAGTTCCTGTTCTGCACCCCCTCAGTAGCCTGTGAGGACTGGACTAGTTTTGTATTTTCTGAAACTTTAGAGAACATCTCTCTATCTTCCTGTTCTAGGATTGATACTGCCAAATGGAAACATTAACTGGAACTGCCCATGCCTTGGGGGAATGGCCAGCGGTCCCTGTGGAGAACAGTTTAAGTCAGCCTTTTCCTGCTTCCACTATAGCACGGAGGAGATCAAGGGGTCAGACTGTGTAGACCAGTTCCGGGCCATGCAGGAATGCATGCAGAAATACCCAGACCTCTATCCCCAAGAGGATGAGGATGAGGAAGAGGAAAGAGAGAAGAAGCCAGCAGAACAAGCAGAAGAAACAGCTCCCATTGAGGCCACTGCAACCAAAGAAGAGGAGGGATCAAGTTAATGAAGGCCACAAGGCACTGGGCACCAGTCCTTTTGGAGTGGACCTTTTGCAAAAGGCCTTGTCATCACCTTCCAAGAAAGTTTCCTTCTGTTGTCCTGTGCATTATAATATACAAAATAACTTATTTTGATGATCAGAGGTCTTGAGGTCTTGACATCTTGACATATACACTGAAAAAAATGGGGGTTGTATGTATGTGTGTCCTACCCAAACCTGTGGCCGCCACTTTTGAATTCTCAGATTGCCCTGAATTTTGCCACTTTTAAATAATGTGCTGAATAAGCTCAGCAACTAAAAACCATTACCCAAGAACGTTTCTTGTGAGTGAGCTGATTTATTCTGATTCATTATATTCCTTTTGGTAGATTTTATACCCCTTGGGGAAATAATACAACAAAAACATCTCTTAAAAATGCTGGGATGGGGCCATATCTACTAGCAGAGGCCAGATGGTCAGATATGATTTCTGCAAACCCATCTTGACCTTGAGTATGTGAAGGGGTACTGTACTTTATTCCTGATACATTTTGGTTTCCATGTAGGTGTTGAGCTCCTGGTTTTCTGTGTTTGGATGATGAAGATTTGGACCCTTCCATTCATAATCCCTTTCTAAGTGAAGGGAGAGGCTGGCTTGGCTGTTCCTTGTTATTCCGAAAGCCCTGGTTTGGGGCCCATGTTCACACTGGCTCTCAGTCTAGTCAGGTGCAATGTTCTTGAGAGGTGGGGACCTAATTATTACCAGAGTAGCAGCAAGAGAGGAAACGTTGTGAATTAAGTATTCAATTAAAAGGAAACATGATTTCTACCTGATTTTGAATGTGTCCTTTGTTTTCACTAGTTAAAAATGTTTTCTATATAAAAAAGTATAAATTATGAACAATTCAATTGAAATTCCTCTTGAAAGATATTGGTAAACCAATTTGAGTCCGTTAAAATTTTCTGTGTTGAGTTCAAAGGAAGCTTACTTATTTTATATGTGAGCAGATGCCTTCACACAGACATTACAGTTAGTCTATGAGGTGGGGAAGGCTCTTCCTGTTTGAAAATAGATTAACTTGCCTAAGGTAACTGCTAGACAGTTTTCAGGCTGTGGCATAGTAATGCCTCATTTGTCTCAAATGTGTTAAGTTATTTATGTAAAAAATTGCCTTAAAACTTAATAGCTTGAAACGAGGAATCTGGGCATGGCTTACCTGGGTTCTCTGGCTCAGTGTCTCATGAGGCTATGATACTTGTAGTCATCTCAAGGTGGGACAGGCCTTTCAAGATCGCTCGAAGTGGTTTCTGGGAGGGTTCAGTGGGTTGAATCTTGTGGGCTGTGGATTGAGGGCCTCAGTGCCTTACTGGCTGTTGGCCAGACACCTCCTTCAGTTCCTTGCCACATGGCCTTTGCCTTAAAGGGTCAGCTCACAACATGGGAGGTGGCTTCCATCAGAGCAAGCGAGAGAGCAAGATGGATGCCAGAGCCTTTTCATCACCTAATCTCAAAACGGACATTCCATAACTTTACCATAGTCTATTTGTTTGTTAGAAGTGAGACACAGCCCACACTCAAGGAGAGGGACACAAGAATACGAGTAACAGGAAGCTGCCTGCCACACTGGAGAATGAGGCGCCACCATGTTAAAGCTTGAAGGCATGGTTAAAATGCAAGGATTTGTGGTTGGGAGGTGTATGGAGGTAGAGAACTGCTTTCTATATCCAGAGCTTTTTTAAACCTTGCTTGATTAGGAGCTAAGAACCTGGAGCTGGCCAAGCATGGAAGGCATGACAGACCCTAACGACTTCTTTTAACAGAGTTTTGCACATTTAAAAACGATATTTCTTTTGTTAAAATTTTGGTCACAATCAAGGTGTTACTGTTTTGTGACCATGTCATGTACCCCATTTATTTGATGCATTCATGGAATCTACAGTTCCAAGCCCTAGGGACATAGAGTGATTCATTCATGGTACTGCCCATGAAGCTACAATCTAGCCAGGAAGTCAACATTTACTAGAAAGCAGAAAGGAATGGATGAGTGTTACATAATGGTGCTGGATTTTCAGGGCTGGGTTCTTCCAGCCATGGTAACTTACAGCAGAGATTCTCGAACTGTCTGCCCAACTCGACTTGGGTTAGGCAAAAGGTTCCATCCTTTTCCACTTATCACTGGAAAAACAAATTGGTGATAAGGAATTGGCACCGTATAAGCAATTGGAAGTGGGTGGAGATTATGCTTTACTACAAGGGGTTTGGATAATTCATATTTAAGTTGCTGTGTATCTTTAAATGTAAGAACACCAATAGATCAAAGAGTTAATGATTCAGATAAATGCAAGTTGATGATTTTTAAAGAACAGCAATAATTGAAACAAAGGGCTGCTCAAAATAACACTGATTTGGAAATGCAATTACCAACACAATGTTTTATGTCTGTTTTGTTTTGTTGTGTTGTGTTTTAAGAGAGTTTCGCTGTGTTGTCCAGGCTGGAGTGCAGTGGCATAATCATGGCTCACTGCAGGCTCAACCTCCTGGGCTCAAGCGATCCTCCTGCCTTAGCCTACCAAAGCGCTGGAATGCTCAGCCTGTTTTGTATTTTTGTGTTATAGGCAAGTGCAGCATATCAGCCAAGCTTCTTAATAGAACACTACATTCTAGTCCTTAGTTCTAGGACTGTACAGATTTTAACATGTATTTATTTTAGAAACAGGGTCTCGCTCTGTTGCCTAGGCTGGAGTGCAGTGGCACAATCATAGCTCACTGCAGCCCTGGACTCCTGGGCTCAAACGATTCTCCCACCTCAGCCTCCCAAGTAGCTGAGACTATAGGCGTGCTCCACCATGACTGGCTAAGTTTTTATTTTTGTAGAGATGGGGTCTCACTATGTTGCCCAGGCTAGTCTCAAACTTCCGGCCTCAAGCAATTCTCCTGCCTCAGCCTCCCAAAACACTGGGATTACAGGTGTAAGCCATCATGCCCAGCAGAGACTCATTTTCACATAACGGCTGCTTTCTTGTAGTTTTGAGACATTATGGGTTACTAAAATATTATGAAGTTAAAATCTGAAGTCTGATATAAAATGGCATAGTAATTGCACATGAACAGGCTGGCTACAGCTAAAAGCAGCTCTTAGATTTTCATAGTGGAGCCAGAAAAGCAGAAATTTCATTCCTTGCCTTTTTCATGAAATAACTAGCCCAAGGTTATATTGTTAATGGATATATCTCAGGAAAATGCGAGCATTGAACACTTAATATATCGAATACTATTAAATTTTCAGTTATGGTAATGCCACTGTGATTATGTTTAAAAAGGAAAATCCCTACATTTGATAGAAATATATTGACTTTTGTTGATGAAGTTATATTACTAATGGGATTTGTTTCAACATAAGATGGAGAAGTCGTAGGTGTAGAAAAAAGAAGATTGGCCATAAGTTCATGACTTTTGAAGCAGGGTAATGAATGCAAAGCTAATATTATACTATCCTTTCTGTTTTTGTGTGTATTTCAAGTTTTTCTATAATAAAAAGTTTAAACCTTGGAAAAAGATACCATAAACAGGGTAAAAAACAGTTGCAAACCCAGAGAAGGTATTTGTAGCACATATGATTGGCAAAAGATTAATATATAGAATATCTAATGGACTCCTAATAATAAAACTACACATAAGCCAATAGGAAAATGGGCAAAAGACATGAACAGACTATTCACAGAAAATGAAACAAGAATGTCTAACGTTCATTTGGAAATATATTTATCCTCATTATTCATCAAGGAAATACAAAATAGAAAATAAAACAAGTTACAATTTCAAACTTACCAAATTGAGGAAAATGAAAAACGTTGATCACAGTGTTGGCTAAGAGGAAAACTCTTACACATTGCTGGTATGGGAGGTAAATTTATAAAACTATTTGGAAAACAATTTAGCATAAATGAATGTAAATAAACACAGGCATAATTTAGAAACAAGCAAATTCTGTGGTATGGACCATAGAGAAAATATGGCACATATGACCAGGAAATATCTTTTTTTTAAAAAAAAAAAGTCCCCAAAACATTTATTCACCAAACTTCCTAACTCAATTTTAAGCAAAATGTAACAATGAATTAATAATCTGTGCAAGTGCTGACAGGCATGCAGACTGGTGTGACCTCTATGGAAGGGATTTTGAGACTATCTAACAACAACTACAGATGCGCATTTACCTTTTGAGTAGGTAAGCCCACTGCTCGGAATTTACCCTGAATCCACATCTCCACAAATAAAAAACAAGATATGCACAAGGTTATTCATTGCAGCATTAGATGTAATAATACAAGACTGCAAACATCCTAAATGCCTATCTACAGGAGACTGGTTGAATAACCACGGTACATTACACAATTGAGTACTATGTAGCCATAAACAAGAATAAACATCTCCATGAACTAATATAAACCAACTTGCAGGCAATGTTAAGTGAAAAAGTAGATATGGTATGTCCACTCAACAGGCCTACAAGTTACAGCACTCAGTAAAATTAAGTATGCCTATAGTCCAGATCTTGGTTTCCAAAAACCAATCTCTCATTAAAAGGGCTCCTTGGAAAAATGGCTGATTCCAGGTCAAAGGCAGGGGAAATGCAAGATGAGCCTGGAACATCTTTTTGTGCCAGAAAGTAAGAAAATGCTCAAAGATGAATGGGGGCATGTAAGAAGGACACAGCTATAACTGTTAATAGTATATTACCCAGAATACATAAAGAACTCTTACAACCCAATTATAAAAAGTCAAATAGGCTGGGCGTGGTGGCTCACATCTGTAATCCCAACACTTTGGGAGGCTGAGGCAGGAAGACACTTGGGAGCCTGAGAGGCCGGGGCTGCAATAAGCCATGACCATGCCACTGCACTCCAGCCTGGACAACAAAGTGAGACCCTGTTTCAAAAACAAACACAAAAAACACAAAAGGCAAATAACCTAATTTAAAAATGAGCACAGAATTTGAATAGACATTTCTCCAAAGATACATAAATGGCCAGTAAGCACATCATAAGATGCTCCTTAACATCATTAGTCACTGGGATACCTACCACCTTCACACTCACGATGTCAGCTGTAATGTGAAGAAACTCAAAAAAACAAAAAGCCAGGCTGTGTGTGGTCCTCACACCTATAAGTCCAGCACTTCGGGAGGCCAAGGCGGGAGAACTATTTGAGGCCAGGAGTTTAAGACCAGCCTCGGCAACTCCTGTCTCCAAAAAGTAAAATAAAAAATAAATATGGCTTTACAATGTTATTCTTTCCAGAATTTCTGATAATTTCAAGTGAGAGAGGTAAACATTTTTAGTTATATGATCAGATACCCCATACGATTCGCAGACAATTTAATCTATCTCCAGTCAGATGATTTACCATAAAGAAAGCCACCAAAAATTGTAAGCAGTCTGGATTCGTGTTTATTGAAACCAGTAATTAGAGACATCTTTTTTTCCCCAGCACTAGAAAGCAAGGTTCCACATAACTGCGTACTGCACCTGCATAGAGCCACATCCCTGGACTAAGGCTGTGGGGGATAATCTGCAGTCATAATTTTAAGTTAGAAGCACCCATAAATTTAGTATATAGACGACAGTGAACTTTCACTTATAGCATCAACATTGTTAAGGTCATGATGTACAGAGCAGTCACTTTCAAATTCATTAAATTGATAAAACATGACAACGTCTTCAGTTTAAATACTGATTTTAAAATGCCCATAAAAAAAGTGCAAACAACGTAATCTAGCAGCCTATCTGTTGCATTTTTAGGAATGACCAATTCATGGTCTTTATCTTGGCCATGTATTCAAAGTTGGGCTTTTCTTTCTTTTTTTATTTTAAAGACAAATAGCAGATGTAGCCATTATACTGTGTATAAATGTCATAAAATTGTCGTTCACAGTCTACCATACAAGTGTATGCTGCAAATAAAATGAATTTTACTTTAAAATGTAAAGGCTGTTTATTATTTGGCCTTTGGTTTCAATACTTGAAAACCCCAAAATAACAAAACTCATCTCCCTTCCTCCCACCTCCCAAAAAGAACCCTGCAGCTCCACAGACTAAGTGACCCCACCTTTAGTGTGACCATAAGCTCTTTGGCATCTATTGATGACCAAGAAACATCTAAAACAATATTCAAAGGAGCCTTGTTTACATGTTCCTAAAAGATTGGGTAAAGATATTTTGTTTGATTCATGCAATGTCATTCTATAAGAAGTGCTGATGAACTACAGCTTCACATGTCAACAAGGATTATTCTCAAAACAGAAGGCTTAGTATAGAAAACAACTTTCCAGGAATGAATCCAGAATGATTCCATATATATATATAAGCTGTGAAATTAACAAAAATCTTAAGATATATTTGTATAATATATAGCAAAAACTTTAAAATGAAAAGATAAATAACAACACGTGATTTATTTAGGAGATTTTTTGGTTCCATGCATTCAGAAAAAGATACATAGTGGCTTCAAATACATCAATAAACTCCCATTTTGTATAAGCTAAGTGGTGGCTTTCGTAAGGTTAATTCTTTTTAATATAATAATTATTATTCTTTAACATCAATTTCTCAAAAGATAATAAGGAGAAATATAACTTCAGAGATCCCTTGGAATATTTTGGGGGCATTTGCAAAGTAGGAGTCTTTTTTGTTTTTCCATGTGGATAGCCAATTGTCCCACCATATTTGATAATTGACTTAAAGTGCCACCTCTGTCAACACTAAGTTTACACATATGGGTGGATTAGTTTCTCGACATTCTGATTCATTGGTCTAATTGTATAAACCTACATGAACACCACATGGTTTTATTTACTGTAACTTGAAATTATACTTGATATCTAACAAGCCAAGCTTTCTGTCCTTTATTTCTCCTCTTATTTTTATCCTCTCCCTTCCCTACTTCCTTTCTCTTCTCTTTTCTTCTTCTGTCTCCAATGTTTATTGTTATTCTGGCTGCTTGTTCTCTGATATTAATTTTAAGATCGGATTGTAAATTTCTAATGTAATCCTTTTGAATTTTGATTGTTTATTAATTTGGGGGCTAATTGTTATACAGGGGATTCTGTGTCTTCCTATGCATGACTATAGCATAACTCTTATTTGGGCCTTCATTTGTGTTTTTATTAAGTTTTCCATTTAAGTTTTTATATATTTGTCCTAGGTACCATGAACTATGAATGGTATTCTTTTTAAAAATTGCATTTACTATTATGTATTTGCTAGGGAATGAGAATACTGTTGATTGAATATGGATTCTATATATAGCCATCTTGCTGAAGTAACTCCTTATTTCTACAGGTTTCTCATTCTTACTGTTGAATATTACATTTTGAAAATCGTATGATGTGAAAAAGGTGATTTTCCTTTCCAATAGACTTAATTTTTTTCCTTTAGAGCATCCCTTACAATACTGAATAGCAGAATTTCACATCAGCACCATGGACATACTAATGACTCTAAAAGGAATGTTTCTACTTCCTTATCTTTAAAAATGTTTTCCAGCCGGGCACGGTGGCTCACCCCTGTAATCCCAGCACTTTGGGAGGCCGAGGCCAGCGAATCACAAGGTCAGGAGATCGAGACCATCCTGGCTAACACGGTGAAACCCCGTCTCTACTAAAAATACAAAAAATTAGCTGGGCGTGGCAGTGTGCGCCTATAGTCCCAGCTATTCGGGAGGCTGAGGCAGGAGAATGGTGTGAACCCGGGAGGTGGAGCTTGCAGTGAGCCAAGATCACACCACTGCACTCCAGCCTGGGCAACACAGCAAGAATCCATCTCAAAAAAAAAAAAAAGTTTTCCAAAGATATGCTCGTAGACCATTTAAAGAAGTTGTCTTCTCATTTGGATTGCTAAAATATTTTATTGTGAATGAATACCAAACTTTCTAGATTATATTCTTCTGCATATATAGATATGATCATATTTTTCCTTTAATATAATAATGTGGTCACTTACTTGGACAGATTTTGTGATACTGAACTCACCTTGCATTATTGAGATAATATTTTATTATGTAGTCTTATGGTTAAATCATTGCTGAATTTTATTTTCTGACATTTATTTATGAAAAGTCCATCAGTGTGCACAATACAATTGGTATATAATTTTCTCTTATTTAGCTCTGTTTACTCTGTTTTGCTCTTAAGGTTATTCCAGTCTGATAAAATGAGTTGAGTATCTTTCCATATTTTAAAATTATTTTAATTTTATTTATATTTTTATATTTTATTATTTAAGGATTATATATTTACAACATTAAAAAAATTCCTACAATCCTATTTTTTGGTTCAGAGGGATTTTTACTAATGATTCAGTTGCTTTAATGACTTGATTTATTCAGACATTTTTCTTTAGTTACTTCAGAAATGAATTATATAATTTAAAAGTTTGAACGAATGAACATATATAACACTGTATCTCATAAAAAGAGATTGCACATTTTTTCTGGCACCCAAAGAATATTTCAATAATGACCATAAATTAGACTAACCAATTAGTAAATTATGTCAAATCGATATATAATAGGCCATGATCTCTATCCTCATTATAATTAAGCAAATTATAATATAAGATATAAAATATAAGGTATTAACAACAAAAGGATAGTTGATAAAAATTGCCTATCTACTTTGAGCATGTTAAACTCCAACCTAAACGACTCTGGGACTGTGAAAGATATCAAAACTGAAGTTTGGGACAGGAACAAATTTTCTGTGAAGGAAGTATTAAGGATACATATCTTGAGTTCAGTTCCTGAACTGTAGGAACTACTAGCTTTATACACCCTGGATATAAATAATTCAATTTATACAAATATCTTTTTTGTTAAAATGGGGACAGCAAGTCCTAATATTATGAAGCACAGAAAGTAAAGTATTCAATTTTTGAATTAGAAACACAGCATAAAACATAAGAAACATTAAAAAAAGCATAAAATGCTTATTATAATAACAGAAGGAGCATTGGACATCACAAAATCAGTATTTCTCATGAGACTCTGTGGCCTAACATAAACGTCTTAGACACTCTTCTCTTAAATGTACAGTAGTGGTTTTTCTGCTGACATAACAGACTAGAGACACAGAAGGACCTTCTGTAACAAATATGTAATAAGTCATTCAGTTAATAGGGTTGCTCCTAAAAAAAAAAGAATATGTTATAAGCCATGTATAAAGTAACTTTTTAAATGTGTAACTGACTTTATAAAATACTATGGGAAATTCTCAGGGGATTAAAATGAAGAAGAATCTGGAACTGGGAAACCAGGTTCCCCTTAGGTTTTTTTTTTTTTTTTTTTTTTTTCTTTTGTTTTTGTTTTGTTTTTTTTTTTAAGTAATTTTAACTTTTAGATTCAGGGGATAGATATGCAGGTCTTTGTTACATAAGTATATTGTGTGATGCTGAGGTTCGGGGATATGAACGATCCTGTCACCCAGGTAGTGAGCATAGTACCCAATAGGTGGTTTTCCATTAAATCCTTGCCCCCATCTCCCTCCCTCCTCTAGTAGTCCCCAGTGCCTATTGTTCCCATCTTTATGTCCCTAAGTGCCCAATGTTTAAGTTTCCACTTATTATGAGAACATGCAGTATTTGGTTTTCTGTTCCTGTGTTAATTCACTTGGGAGAATGTCCTCCAGCTGCAACCATATTGCTGCAAAGGACACGATTTCATTCTCTTTTGTGACTGAATAGTATTCCACAGGCTATACGTACCAAATTTTCTTTATCCCATCCACCATTGATGGACACCTAGGTTGATTCCATGTCTTTGCTATTGTGAACAGTGCTGCAATGAACATAGAAGTGGTTGTGTCCTTTTTGTAGAATAATTTCTTTTCCTTTGGGCATACCCCCAGTAATGGGATTGCTGAGTCACATGGTAGTTTTGTTTTTAGTTCTCTGAGGAATCTCCAAACAGCTTTCCACAGTGGCTGAACTAATTTACATTGCCACCAATAGTATATAAGTTTTCCATTTTCTCTGCAGCCTCACTGGCATTGTTATTTTTTGTCTTTTTAATAACAGCCATTCTGACTGGTGGGAGATGATACCTAATTGTGGTTCTGACTTGCATTTCTCTAATGATTAGTGATATTGACCATTTTTTCATATTTGGCCACTTGTATGCCATCCTTTGAGAACTGTCTATGTCCTTTGCCCACTTTTTAATGGGGTTGCTTTTTTTTCTTATAAATTTGTTGAAATTCCTTAGAGATGCTGGACATTAGACTTTGTCAATTGCATAGTTTGCAAATTTTTCTTCCATTCTCTGGGTGTCCATTTACTCTGTTGATAGTTTCTTTTGCTGTGCAAGAGTGCTTTAGTTTAATTAGGTCCTACTTGTCAATTTTTGTTTTTGTTGTAGTTGCTTTTGGGAACTTAGCCATAAATTATTTGCCAAGGCTGATATCCAGAATGGTATTTCCTAGGTTTTCTTCTAGGAATTTTACAGTTAGAGGTCTTACCTTTAAATCTTAATTCATCTTAATTTTTGTATATGGTGATAGGTAGGGGTCCAGTTTCATTCTTCTGCATCTGGCTAGCCAGTTATCCCAGTACCATTTATTGAATATGATGTCCTTTCCCCATTGCTTATTTTTGTTGACTCTGTCAAAGATCAGATGGTTGTAGGTGTGCAGCTTTATTTCTGGGTTCTCTATTCTGTTCCAATGATCTATGTGTCTGTTTTTGCACCAGTACCATCCTGTTTTGGTTACTATAGCCTTATAGTATGGTTTGAAGTTGGATAATGGGATGCCTCTGGCTTTGTTCTTCTTGCTTAGGATTGCTTTGGCTATTTGGGCTCTTTTTTGTTTTCATATGAATTTTAGAATAGTTTTTTCTACTTCTGTGCAAAATGAAGTTAGTAGTTTCATAGGAATAATGTTAAATCTGTAGATTGCTTTGGGCAATTTAAATGATATTAATTCTTCCAATCCAGGAGCATGGAATGTTTTTAAATTTGTGTCATCTGTGAATTCTTTCAGCAGGGTTTTGTAGTTCTCCTTACAGAGATCTTTCACATCCTTGGTTAGATGAATTCTTAGGTATTTTATTTGTTTTGTGGCTACTGTAAATGGGATTGCCTTCCCAATTTGGAAACCCAACTGGTTTCCCAGTTCCAGATTCTTCTTCATTTTAATCCCCTGAGAATTTCCCATACTATTTTATAAACTCAGTTACACATTTAAAAGGTTACTTTATACATGGCTTATAACACATTCTTTTTTTTTTAGGAGGAACCCTATTAACTGAATGACTTATTACATATTTGTAACAGCTTGAATATTACTAATGTATAGAAATGCTACTGATTTTTTTCCTTTCCTATTTCGATGCATTTTATTTCTTTCTCTTGCCTGGTTGCTATGGCTAGGACTTCTAGTACTATGTTGAATAGGAATGGTTAGAGTGGGCATCATTGTCTTGTTCCAAGTCTTTTTTTTTTTTTTTTTTTTGAGACGGAGTCTCACTCTGTCGCCCAGGCTGGAGTGCAGTGGCGCAATCTCGGCTCACTGCAAGCTCCACCTCCCGGGTTCACGCCATTCTCCTGCCTCAGCCTCCCAAGTAGCTGGGACTACAGGCGCCTGCCACCACGCCCGGCTAATTTTTTGTATTTTTAGTAGAGACGGGGTTTTACCGTGTTAGCCAGGATGGTCTTGATCTCCTGACCTCATGATCCGCCCACCTTGGCCTCCCAAAGTGCTGAGATTACAGGCGTGAGCCACCGCGCCTGGCCTTGTTCCAAGTCTTAAGAGGAATGCCATTTGGTATCATGTTGGCTGTGGGTTTGTCACAGACAGCTCTTATTTTGAGGTATGTTCCTTTGATGCTTAGTTTGTGGATGGTTTTTTACTATGAAGGGATGTTGGATTTTATCCAAACCTTTTTCTGTGCCTATTGAGATGATCATATGGTTTTTGGTTTTAATTTCATTTCTGTGGTGAATCACATTTATTGATTTGTATGTGTTGAACCAACCTTGCATCCCAGGAATAAAGCCTACTTCATCATAGCGAATCAACTTCTTAATGTGCTGTTAGATGTGGTTTGCTCATATTTTCTTGAAGATTTCTGCTTCTATGTTCATCAGGGAAATTGGCCTGAAGTTTTCTTTTTTCTTTCTGTCTCTGCCAGATTTTGATATCAGGATGATGCTGGCTTTGTAGAATGAGTGAAGGAGTCCCTTCTCCTTGATTTTTTGGAATAGTTTCAGTAGGATCTGTGCCAGTTCTTCTGGGAGATACTTTAAAAGCCCTAAGTAAATAGATGTCCTCTGTTCAGTACAGGAAGTCACAAAGTTTCTGAGATTTCAATTCTCAGAAACATATCAGTTTAAACATTCATTGCAAACTCAATCATAATCTCAGCCGCATTTTCTATAGAACTTGATAAACTTAATGTAAACTGTATTGGAAAGGCAAATATTTCATTATCCAAAACAATCCTGAAAAAGAATGAAGCTGGAGGACTTATACCATTTCACTTCCAGTCTTATTACACAGAGACTCTAATTAGAACAGTGTGGTATTGTCAGAAGGACAGATACATATATTAATGGAATCAAATAGATACCAAAGAGATATACCTTCTGTGTATATGGCCAACTGATTTCTGACAAAGGTACAAACCAATCCCACGAAAAGGAAAGTTTTTCAACAAATGATGTTGAAATAACTGGATATCCACATGAGAAAAATGAACCTTGATTAGCACCTCACAGTATACACAAAGTTTAACTCAAGACAGATAATACATTTACCTACAGAAGCTAAGAATATAAAGATTTTAGCAGAAAAAAATACGATACTATCTTTACAATTTAAATTCTTTATTTTTATTGTGATGTATCAAATTAATTGATTTTCATATGTTGAACTACTCTTGCGTCTCAGGAATAAACCCCATGTGGTCATGGTGTATGATTCTTTTAATTTGATATTAAATTCAGTTTGCTACTATAAAAAAATTTTAAAAAATAGGCAGAGATTTCTAAAGACACAAAAAGCAATAGCCATAACAAAAAACAATAAATTAGGTTTCATAAAAATCACATTCATCACGTCACACTTTAAAATATTAATAAGAGCCATATGCTGAGAAAATATTCAGAAAGCACTTACCTGCTTTATTTAGATTTGTATCTACATTATACAAAGAACCCCTTAAACTCTAGTATAAAAAGACATAAACAGAGACTTTACAAAACAAGACAAATAGGTAGCCAATAAATGAAAAATTGCTCACTACCAAAAGTCCTTAGAGAAATGCAATAAATATGCCAATGAGATTTCATTAGACATTCACTAGAATATCTAAGATGAAAAAGGCTGAAACAACAAAAATATTGGCAAGAATGTGAGTCAACCATCATCTCACATATTGCTGGTGGGAATGTAAAATGATACAATGACTCTGGGAAAAGTTTTAGCAGTTTAATTGAGTCAAATATACACTTGCCTTCTTGTTTTTGTTTTTGTTTTTGTTTTTGTTTTAATTTAGACAGGGTCTCCCTCTGTCACCCAGGCTGGAGTGCAGTGGCCCAATCTCGGCTCATTGCAACCTCTGCCTCTTGGGTTCAAGCAATTCTCATGCCCCAGCCTCCCAAGTAGCTGAGACTCCAGGTGCGTGCCACCACACCCAGCTACTTTTTGTATTTTTAAAAAACATTTTCTAATTTTATTTTTATTTTATTTATTTATTTTTGAAACAGAGTTTTGCTCTTGTCCAGGCTGGAGTGCAATGGCACGATCTTGGCTCACTGCAACCTCCGCCTCGTGAGTAGCTGGGATTACGGCCGCCCACCACCATGCCCAGCTAATTTTTGTATTTTTAGTAGAGACAGGGTTTCGCCATGTTGGACAGGCTGGTCTCGAACTCCTGGCCTCAAGTGATCCACCCTCTTTGGTCTCCCAAAGTGCTAGGATTACAGGTGTGAGCCACCACACCCAGACTTACACTTACCTTTTCATTCAACAATTGCACACTAATATATTTACCCAAGTGAACTGAAAACATCACCATAAAAAAGACTTGTACATGAATTTTCAAAGTAGCATTCATGATAGCCAAAAATTGGAAAGAACCCAAATGTTCTTCATGTTAAGAAGCAAGTGAATGAGCAAATTGTGGTATTTTAATTCAATCGAACACTACTCTAAAATAAAAGCAAAAATAACACTCAAACACATGGTAACATGGATTAATTTCTCAGACATTATTAGACACAAAAGAGTAAATAGTGCCATATTTCAGTTCTATGTCCTAGAAAACTAAAAAATAATCTAAGGAGAAAATGATCAGAATGGTGGTACCTCTAGAGTGGGAGGACTTGACTGGCAAGGGATATGAGTGAACTTTCTGAGTCAATGGAAATGTTTTATATTGTAATAGGCATGTGAATTGCACAAGTGCTTCAATTATCAAAATTGTATGGCTAAGGTTTGTATATTTAAATAAAGTAGATTTTGATTCTACACTGAATTATAAAATGATAATGATGAGGAGGAGAATGAAGATGATTAACAAAGGGATTATAGCCAGTGGGTGGAGATATAGATGATAAAAGAATGGAGAATTAATACATAAGGAACTCATATAGCCCAATTGAAAAAAAAAAAAAACAAATAACCTGACTTAAAAATGGGCAAAGGACCTGAACAGACATTTTTCCAGAGAAGGCACATAAATGGCCAACAGGAATATGAAAAGGTGCTCAACATCACTAATATTGGGGAAATGCGAATCAAAACCACATGAGACATCAAAAAGACAAAAGCTAACAAGTGCTGGCGAAGACATGGAGAAAAGGAAAACCTTGTACCCTGTTGGTGAGAATGTAAATTAGTACAGCCGTTCTGGAAAACAGTATGGAGCTTCCTCAAAAAGTTAAACCTAGAACTACCATATGATCCAGCGATCCCAGTTTTGGATACATATCTAAAGAAAATAGTATCTTCAGGATATATCTGCACCCCCATATTTACTGCAGCATTATTCACAATAGCCAATATATGGAATCATCCTAGGTGTCCATCAGCAGATGAATGGATAAAAAAACTGTGGTATACTGTATATATACAACAGAATGCTATTTAGCCATAAAAAATGAAGGAAATTCTGCCATTTGCAGCAACATGGATGAACCTGGAGGGCATTATGCTAAGTGAAATAAGCCAGACACAGAAAGACAAATATTGTATGATCTCACTTACATGTGGAATCTACAAAAGTTAGACTCGTAGAAGCAGAGAGTAGAATGGTGGTTCCCAGGAACTGAGGGATGGAGAAATTGGGGAGATGTTAGTCAAAGGGTACAAATGTTCAGCTATAAGATGAGCAGGTTCTGGGGCCCTTGTGTACAGCATGGTGACAATAGTTAATAGTGTATTGCGTGCTTGAAATTTGCTATAAGAGTAGATCTTAAGGGTTCTGTCTACAACAAGGAAAAGATAACTACCTGAGGTGAGGGATGTTTTAAGTGGCTCGATTGTGGTCATCATTTCACAAAGTATATGTATATCAAATCATGTTGTATACCTTAAATATATATAATTTTTGTCAATTATACCTCAATAAAGCTAAAAAAGTGGCAGAAAGTTTATAATTGCTGAAGCTTGCAAATGAATACATATTCACTAAGTTATTGTGTATATTTTCTATGTTTAAAAAAAATTCTACATTGCAAGAAGAAAAAAGAAAAACCAATAATGATTTTTTTTCATGTCCAATGCACACCTTTAGAATGGTGTTGCTTAATTGTAGAAAGTGATAAAGAAAATTTCTTTTCAAACCTGGGAACGTAGGCGTAACTAGCAGCTCTGATGACTTTCTTACTTGCTTACAGATTGCTGCTTGAAGAAGAGCTGAACTTAGCTGGCTGCTGTGTCTGCTAGATGGGGCCTCTCTGCTGCCCGCTGTAGGAGACAAACTTTGTTGCTTGGCATGTGTGGTTACCACCCTTTATGCCCATCCACCTGCTGCTCAGGCTGTCTGGTTGGCAGCCACAGATCAAGTGCTCCAGATTTCTGATGAGGGGCAGCAAGGGCTGACCTGGGCAGTAGACCCCACATGCCATGGACTGGGTCAGCTCATATTACTTACAGACAAGTGATGGCTTATGGCACTTTTTATTAAGCCAATAACCTCGGTGGTCTGTATTTTGCCTAGCAAGGTACATATTAAAGTATTTGCCTCAGCATTTTACTTTCTCCTCTTTAAACCTCCTTGAATGGGGAGAATTTTGGGCCCCTTTCTTGCTTTCTTCCTAACTAATTTTTTAAAAATTGAGAGTTATTCAAGATCAAGTTGTATAACATTTTCCCTTCCACAGAATGATCACATTGGAAGCCTGGGGGTTCCTCTACTGCCAGAGAACCTTTTGTTCACACCACACTGGTCCGTCATAATGTACTTCTCCTTTGCTGCCCTGGAAGTCGCAGGGATTGGGTTTCTCAGTACCTCAACCTCTCAGTGCAAAGCTTCCCACCCCTCGGTGTGTGTTCTCCATCTCCTGAAGGGTCTGGGCCACCAATAAGCAGGGCCGGGCTGCACATTTATGTCACTTTTAGGGCCACTTTAGGGATTCCTGGAAAGTGGGAAAAAATAGACTCCAAAGGGATTTCCTCCCTTCCCCCATGGCCATAAGAGGTATTCTACATTTTATTTAATCTGAGAGAAATCTGGGAACCTGAACTGAGAGAATGGAAGTCATGGGATACATGACCAGTACCACCTGGAAGCCACGTGCTCCCTGTGAGAGCAGCCCCAGGGATGAGTGTGCCTCACACACTTCGGGGAGAGGACACGCAGAGCCCCTTCTGAACTCGCGGGAGGTGGCAGGAACCTCTCATTCCAGAGTAGAGGCATTACAAAGTGCGAGGTGGCGTTGGACTAATTTGATTTGGGGATTGAAATTAGAGAATTTGTATTGTCTACATGACTTCAACACTTCCAGTCCCTCCATGCGATGTGACAAGGGAGCTTAGAGCACGTTTTGAGCACAGCTCTTCCCAGATTTTATTTTTTTTGAGACAGAGTCTCGCTCTGTCGCCCAGCCTGGAGTGCAGTGTCCCAATCTCAGCTCACTGCAAGCTCCGCCTCCTGGGTTCAAGCGATTCTTCTGCCTTGGCCTCCCAAGCAGCTGGGACTATAGGCACACACCACCACACCCAGCTAATTTTTCTATTTTTAGTAGAGACGGGGTTTCACCATGCTGGCCAGGCTGGTCTCAAATTCCTGACCTCAGGTGATCTGCCCACCTTGGCCTCCCAAAGTGCTGGGATTACAGGATTAAGCCACTGCATCTGGCCACCCAGATTGTTATTAACCTGGAGAGAATCCAGTAAAATTAAGAGGCAGGGACATTTTATTGTTACTAAAATACAAAGAATGTGATGTGATGATAAATCGAAGTGGAAGCTGTTTAACAAGAAAATCACACTTTTATTTCATAATTGGGTTGATCAGGGAAACTGATTCTCACACAGGACTGTTTGGGTTAGTATTTGTTGTGTCTTTGGTTCAGTATTTGTGATGAAGCACCTCTGCATTTCCCTGTTTCCTTACCTCGGAATAATAATTTCCCTGCCCTTCTTTTTTCTCAAAATACACATAAAATATTGATCCTACAAATAGCCAAGTGTAAGTGAAGTATACAATCTTTTCAATTTGCAAAAGCAATATGTAATTCTCACCCACAGTTATTCGGGGAAACAGCTCCCATTCATACAACCAAATATTTTTCAAGTTTTTCTTCTTCTATCCTGGAATTCATGTTTTCACAGCATCTCTGTACTGGCATCTAGTTGGTGATTTTGCCTTCCCTGACTGTGTCAGCCATTTCTCTACAGTTCTCTACAATTCTCAGCTCAAATTGTGCCACAAGGTAGAGCATTTTGCTCTGTATACACATGGTTCCAAATGTACTTGCATGGTGCATTGTAAATACCACCTCTCAGAGCCCTTTTGTGTTGACAGTAAAGGCGAATTTGGCATGTATGATAATGACAAACCAAAGTATGCTCTTTCATGTATCTAAGGTACCTTCCTAAGTGCTGGATGTGAATCGTAGTATTTGCACATCATCTCAACCCTGAGAGATGTGCATGATTACACTGATGCTGCAGATAGAGAACACAGATGTGCCCTCCCTTCCTTGCTTTCCCCTGTGACCTGTATACCACAAGGGCATTAGTACCGAGCTTGGACTGAGGTCTACTGGGGGGTTTCCTCCTTCCCTTACTGTCTCCGCTGCTCTCCTGACCACTGGCTCAAGAGCAGTGATCTGAGGCTTCTTCATGAGTGTGTGGCGTGTTTGATGACATCATGTATCACAGGACTGCCCATGAGTTCAATAAATGACAGGATGATACAGTGTCTAGAGTGGTGCTTCTTTGATTGGGGTAGTAAAGGGGGTCCTACCTGTGTTACCTTTCTCCTGAAGGAACCTCACACTTCACTATCCACTTTGGGAGATTCTGGTGGTGACTTTTCAAAGCAATGCTCAGATTTCTACTGACACTTCTTACTCCATTTATGTTTGTTTTTTTTTTCCTATTCTGTCCACTTAGCTTTTCCTTCTTCTAGTAAGCCTTCTCAAATATGACCTCTTTCAGAATTTCTTCCATGTTATATTTCCTGAGATCTATGTCATTACATCCAGAGCTTCAGGAGTGGCTTGTTTCCTTCAGTGTGTAAAATGTGATTTCTGTGCTTGGCACATCACCCAAGCCAGGTGCTGTCTCAGCATCTATGACTCCTAAGGGCTGAATTTGAGGTGGGCCTTCTAGCTCAGCTTCCTGATGGACAGGGCTTCATTCTGTTTCCTGTTATCCTAAACCATGCTGTCAGGTGTGAGTCAGGTGTGAGTGTCATGAGGCCCAGCTGAGAGAGGACACACTAAGAGGATTTCTTTCAGCTTGTTTAATGAAGGGTTCATCATAGTCACCAGAATGCTTTCTCATAAAAACAATCTAGTAGCACAGAAATAGCTACATACCTTTATATTATTCACATATTGTATAATATTGATATAAATTTAGGCTCTTTATATTCGATGTGTATGTTTCACTGATACAGTTGCATGTGATCTCACAAGCTGGAGACAGTTGAGTGATTAGAGTTTTATTTTCTGTTGTCTTTCCTGGCACTCCATGGGAGCAAATAAAAGTAAATGCTTGGAAATGCATCAAATTATGTCACTTTCTTTAGTTGATATTCTGGGAAAGGGAGATCAAGTTTTCTAGCTCTACCTGGGGAATTTCTGCTACAGAAAAAAAATAAGACTTTCCAGTATTTTTGAAGCAATAATCTACCTAAAACATGGTTTCCTGAATATTATTGAAAATTCATGGCATCTGCATTTTCCTGCCTTTCCTTAAACATTTATGTTGGCAGGACTGCAGTCCCTTAAGAAATACTGAAAATATTAGTCCTATACTCAAAACTTACAAATATGAAAACATGCTACTTATTGGTTTACAACGTTATTTGTAAGGCTCAATTAAAAAAAAAATAAGAATTAGCAAAAAACTTGTATTTCACCAAAATAAAAAGAGACAAGTTTAGAATTTTTAATTTTCTTATCTCATTATTTTAAAGTGTTATCTGTAAATGCTATTATGTGTCTTTTCAATCATATATATATATGTTTTTTTTTTTTGAGACAGAGTCTCACTGTGTGTGCTACAAGCTCCGCCTCCCAGGTTCACGCCATTCTCCTGCCTCAGCCTGCCGAGTAGCTGGGACTACAGGCACCTGCCACCACGCCAGGCTAATTTTTTGTATTTTTAGTAGAGACGGGGTTTCACCGTGTTAGCCAGGATGGTCTCGATCTCCTGATCTCGTGATCCACCTGCCTTGACCCCCCGAAGTACTGGGATTACAGGCGTGAGCTACAGTGCCAGGCCTCAATCCTATATTTTTAAAACATCCTCAGGATAGATTTTGTAACTTACATGAGATAGAATTGTAGAAAATAGGACTTCTTTCAATTTAATATATGTTATAAGTGCATGAAAGACACAGAAGACCATTAAGCACTGTGTGCTTAAAGAGCGTGGGACACGTAAATCTCAGAGACAGCTGGATAATTAATGTTTTTTGTTGTTTCTCCTGAGCATATCACAGGAGTAACCTTACTTTGCTAAATGTTTGAATAAAGAAAGTGGTGTCATTTTAATTGATTAATACTTAATACTTTAATACTAATAATTACTAATTACTTAATACTTTAATTAATACTTTAATTGATTAATACAAGATTTTTTAAAATCCTACTATAAATTTTCTATTTTAGAAAACAGAAAATGTCCAAGTGTTTTAGATCAAGTACCCACCTAGGCTCTGACTTCATAAATGCTATCCTATGTTCATAGCTCCTAAATAGTTCAGCCTCTCCTCAGTAACATACACTAAAGAACTATACGCCCTAAAGTAGGTGAGAAAACTATTGATTTTCAGATGACAAATCTGAAAATATGTGACTTGACCAATTATGCAATGTCATGTATGTATAAGGTTTGAGATAAAGTAGATACCTGTATTACTCAAGTGAAATATTCCACAACTAGCTCTTACCAAATTTCCTAGTAGAATTTTAACACTTGGGCGCCATGACTGAGAAAATATCCTTTCTGACTTCAGGAAGACATGAAAGCTTGAACTCCTAGGGAGAACCATCTCTTATGGTAGAAGTGGAGCGATGTCTTCTTGTGGGGAAAAGCAAGAGAGATCAGATTGTTACTGTGTCTGTGTAGAAAGAAGTAGACATAGGAGACTCCATTTTGTTATGTACTAAGAAAAATTCTTCTGCCTTGAGATTCTGTTAATCTATAACCTTACCCCCAACCCCGTGCTCTCTGAAACGTGTGCTGTGTCAACTCAGAGTTGAATGGATTAAGGGCGGTGCAGGATGTGCTTTGTTAAACAGATGCTTGAAGGCAGCATGCTCCTTAAGAGTCATCACCCCTCCCTAATCTCAAGTACCCAGGGACACAAACACTGCGGAAGGCCGCAGGGACCTCTGCCTAGGAAAGCCAGGTATTGTCCAAGGTTTCTCCCCATGTGATAGTCTGAAATATGGCCTCGTGGGAAGGGAAAGACCTGACCGTCCCCCAGCCCGACACCCGTAAAGGGTCTGTGCTGAGGAGGATTAGTAAAAGAGGAAGGAATGCCTCTTGCAGTTGAGACAAGAGGAAGGCATCTGTCTCCTGCCTGTCCCTGGGCAATGGAATGTCTCGGTATAAAACCCGATTGTATGCTCCATCTACTGAGATAGGGAAAAACCGCCTTAGAGCTGGAGGTGGGACCTGCGGGCAGCAATACTGCTTTGTAAAGCACTGAGATGTTTATGTGTATGCATATCTAAAAGCACAGCACTTAATCCTTTACATTGTCTATGATGCCAAGACCTTTGTTCACGTGTTTGTCTGCTGACCCTCTCCCCACAATTGTCTTGTGACCCTGACACATCCCCCTCTTTGAGAAACACCCACGGATGATCAATAAATACTAAGGGAACTCAGAGGCTGGCGGGATCCTCCATATGCTGAACGCTGGTTCCCCGGTTCCCCTTATTTCTTTCTCTATACTTTGTCTCTGTGTCTTTTTCTTTTCCAAATCTCTCGTCCCACCTTACGAGAAACACCCACAGGTGTGTAGGGGCAACCCACCCCTACATCTTCTAATTATGTCTGTGGAAAAAATTATTCCAATCTAATTAAATTATGACGCTAGTTACCACTGTTTCCATGTGCTTAAGAATGGAGAGAAAAGAAATTTTGGAATGTGGTCCTGCTAATAATTGATAAGTTGACTCTACTCATTTAGACTAGGGTTTTCTGGCATGAGTTTTAACTACATAACTATCTTCAGGGATTCAGAGAAAAGACTTTAAATCCCATCAATGTCCTAAGAACAGAGATTGTTGAAAGTCTGCTATTTTGGTGCACATTTCTCCATGCCCTTTTAAGCATGAATGAAGCTGGAAATTTATTAAAATAACTGCATTCTCTCAATCACATGTACAAGGAATTATATAAGCATAATAGTTGAAATTTCAGTGGAGATCATTATTTGCCAAATACTATCCACATTTGATACATTTAGTTATTTTTTTTCGCACAAATAACATCTCTAGAAGTAAGTAATATGATTCTCTGTATTTACAGCTGAGATAATCAGGGTTCAGGTGTATAGATGACCACTGTAGACCACACATTTAGTAAATGCCAGATCGAGGTTTAAATTCAAGTCATTTGGCTTCAGAGTCCACACTTACCAACATTTGGTCTCTTATGATTAAGAGTATTTCCCTGTGGTCCCAGATGCTCAGGAGGCTGAGGTGGGAAGATTGCTTAAGCCCAGAAGGAGGAGGTTGCAGTAAGCTGTGATCACACCACTGCACTCTAGCCTGGGTGACAGAGTGAGACGCTGTCTCAAAAAAAAAAAAAAAAAAGAGTATTTGCCTGGCAATAAACAACCAAAATAAAGATAGTGCTGAGATAATATAAATGTATACATGGCTATACCATTGATACTCATTGTATGAGGGGGGTCTCATTTCCACATCTGTGAAATTCTCCTTAATCAAATAGTAGAGCTCATCCTATGTTCTGTACCTGGAACTTTACCAGGTTTCTGCAAATACAAATGGAAACAACTCATTGCTCCTGCCTATGAAGAAGTAGAACTATGGTAAAAATAAGAAAATGCCTTCCCAATAATAGGGAGTTGTACTATGGAAGTAATATGGAGGCCCAGCAATGGGAATCATAGTCCAGCCATGATGGCATAGTCATGGGAGAAGAGAGAGGGTGGGGATGGCTTCCAGGAGGGTGTGAAGAGGGGGTCCAGTACTGAAGGGGGAAAAGATGCATCAGAATTAATTAATGTATTTTGATGATGGCAATAGTGTTGGTTGAGATTGGTGAAGGTAGTAATATTTGTGATATTTTTGTTGCTTTTCTCCCTAGACATTAACTATGTGCTTATTTTCCCCATAAGATGAATAAAAACAACAAACTTTCCAGTTTCATAGCCATAAGAAATGCTGCTTTCTCTGAAGTCGGCATTGGGATCTCGGCCAATGCCATCCTCCTTCTCTTCCACGTCCTCACGTGCCTTCTCAAGTACAGGACCAAACCCACTGACCTGATCATTGGTCACGTGGCCCTAATCCATATCGTGTTGCTGCGTGATATGTTGTTGCCCAAGGGGTTCATAGCTACAGATATTTCTGCGTCTCAGGATTCGGGGGATGATATCAAACATAAGTCAGTTATCTACAGGTACAGGTTGATGAGAGGCCTCTCCATTTCCACCACCTGCCTGTTGAGTGTCCTCCAGGCCATCAACCTCACCCCAAGGAGCTCCCGTTTGGCAATGTTCAGAGATCCTCACATCACAAACCGCGTTGCTTTCTCTTGCTGTGGGTCTTCCACATATCCATTAGTGGAAGCTTCTTAGTCTCCACTCTTCCCTCCAAAAATGTTGCCTCAAATAGTGTTACATTTGTCACTCAATCCTGCTCTGCTGGGCCCCTGAGTTGCTTCCTTGGGCAGACAATTTTCACACTGATGACATTTCAGGATGTCTCCCTTGCAGGGCTCATGGCCCCCTTCAGTGGATACATGGTGATTCTCTTGTGCAGGCATAACAGGCAGTCTCAGCATCTTCATAGTATCAACCTTTCTCCAAAAGCACCCCCAGATAAAAGGGCCATCCAGAGCATTCTTTTGCTCGTGAGTTTCTTTGTGTTCATGTGCCTTTTCCCATTTGCTGCCTTAACACTTCTGTCAAAAATTAGTTGACCATAAATATGTGGGCTGACTTCTAGACTCCCTCCTGCTCCATCAAACTATATATCTATTATTTCACCAATAAAACACTGTCCTATACTAAGGTAGTGCAAATTCTCCAGCTTTGTTCTTTTTCAAAGTTGTTTTGGGTTTACTAAGTCCTTTCCATTTCCATATAAAATTTATAGTCAATTTGTCCATTTCTACCAAAAAAGCCTGCTGGGATTTTGATCGAGATTACCGTGAACCACTAGATCAAGTTAGGAAAAACTGACACCTTAGCAATGTCAAGTCTTCTGATTCCTGAAAATTGTACACCTCTCCCTCTATTTTGATATTCTTATATTTCTCTCATCAGTGTTCTGTGGTTTTCTGTGTGTAAGTCTTGCACATATTTTACCTAGTTTATTCCTAAGTATTTCATAACATTTTAATGTTATTCTAAATGGTTTGCTTTTTCAATTTCAACTTCTGACAAGTATACAGAAATACAACTGATTTTTGTATACTGAACTAGCACACTTATTAGTTCTAATAGCTTGTTGTGGATTTCTTAGAATTTCTTTTACATGGAATGATCATGTCATTTGTGAGTAAAGACAGTTTACTTTTTCTTTTTCAGTCTGAATATCTTTTATTTCTTTTTCTTGCTTTATTGCACTGGCTAGAACTTCCAATACAGTTTTAATAGGAGTAGGGGTAGGGGAGGTAAATCTCATCCGTGTAACTCCATCATGGCCCACAGCAGAAGCCTCTCTTCATGTTTTTAAGTTTGTACTGCACATTTAGGTCTTTAAACTACCTGGAAATTCAGTAACCAATATGAAATAGGCATCCAAAATGACCTATTTCTATATGAATAGCTAATTGCCCCAGCAGTATTTACTCAATTCTGAATAGCTAATAGCGCCTGAGTAGCTAGGACTACAGGTGCATGCCACCATGCCTAGCTAACTTAATTTTTTTGTAGAGATGGAGTCTTGCTATGTTGCCCAGGCTGGTCTTGAATTCCTGACCTCAAGCGATCTTGCTGCCTCAGCTTCCCAAAGTGCTAAGATTACATGCCAGAGCCACTGTGCCCAGTGGTTCTACATAAATTTAGAATCAACTAGCCAAGTTTCCTGGAAACCTTGAGGATTCTGGTTGGGACTGCTGTGAATTTATAAATTAATCCGGAGAGAATGGTTAGCTTTTCAATGTTGAGTTTTCCCCAACAAAGGTGATGTGGTTTGGCTGTGTCCCCACCCAAATCTCATCTTGAATCGTAGCTTCCATTATCCCCAGGTGTCATGGAGGTAATTGAATCATGGCGGTGGGTTTTTTCCCGTGCTGTTCTCGTGATAGTGAGTAAGTCTCACGAGATCTGATGGTTTTGTAAGGGGCACTTCCCTGCACATGCTCTGTTGCCTGCTGCCATGTAAGACATGCCTTTGCTCCTCCTTCACCTTCTGCCATGATTGTGAGGCCTCCCCAGCCATGTGGAACTGTGAGTCCATTAAACCTCTTTTTCTGTATAAATTACCCAGTCTTGGGTATTTCTTCATAACAGTATGAAAATGGACTAATACAAAAGGCATGGTAGATCTCCATTTCTTTAGGTCCCCTTTTATGTCTTTCAGTTGTGTTTGTAATTCCCCCATAAAAAATTAAGCATCTTTTTTCAAGTATGTTCCTACTTATTGGTTTTGCTATTACCATAAATATTACCTTTTTTAAAAAATTATATTTTCTAACTGTCACAATTAAACCATACAGCTCTTTTTTTATTACCTTCTTCCTGGTCATGTTTAAACATGCTTAGATTTCCCTTTGCCTAAAAAAACCCTCCAGTTGGCCATGGAGCTGTGTCTTCTGTTCTTAAATAGTGTAACCTCAGCTTCTTCGTTTCCTACTTAATCCCTACCCTCACCTTGCTTTCGCTTAGCTACTCAGGCGGAAAGTGCTCTGTCAGAGATGACCATGGGCATTCGGTTATGGAATTCCACAGCCTTTTTTCAGTGTTTCTCCTATCTGAGTTACACATGACATGAATGACATCCTACCCCTTTACTCCTCATGTTCTCTCTTCTTCTGGCTTCCATAGACTGGTATTTCTCTCACATCTCCCAAGTGCTTCCCCTTCTCCACCCCTCAGTTTCTCTTCTAACTTTCATTTCAGGAAGAACCTATACCTGTCTCAGGGATAGAGGCAAAGCCTCTCCAGGGAGGCAGAGTTTGAGCTAGCTCTTGTGGCAAGACTAAGGTTTACCAGATGCACAAGCAGGAGAATGGCACTTCTGGCAGAGAGAATAGCATATGCAAGGTGAGGACAGCACAGTTAACCAGGAGCCTCCTGGACAGCTTGTTATGTGTAGAGCTTCACTGTCCAATGTGGTGGACACTAATCACACATGGCCATTCAGTACTTGAAATGTGGCTAGGTCACGTCGAGATGTGCTGTAAGTGCACAATACACACCAGATTTCAAAGACTTGGTACCAAAAAAGGAATGTAAGATCTCATTGATTTTTTTTCCTGATTATATGTTTAAATGGTATTTTGGATATATGGCTTTAAATAAAATACATTTTAAAAATTAATTTCACCTATTGCCTTTTCCTTTTTTAATGTGGCTGTTAGAAACTTAAAATTATGTACATGACTCCCATTATATTTCTGTTAGATGGTGAGTGTCTAGAGTATAAGAGCCAGTCAAAAAGGAGAAGCAGGGGATTCTTTATCGATTGACTTTCTTCTTTCTACTCCTCCTGATGACAATAAAGCTCAGGTCCTAGCCGGGCACGGTGGTGTGCACCTGTGGTCCCAGCTGCTCAGGAGGCTGAAGTGGGAGGAAGGCTTGAGCTCAGGAGTTCAAGGCTGCAGTGAGCTATGATTGTGTCACTGCACTCCAGCCTGGGCAGCAGGGAGAGACCCTGTCTGAAAAAATTAAAAGAAGGAAAAAGAGCCAGGCATGGCGATTCACGCCTGTAATCCCAGCACTTTAGGAGGCCTAGGTGGGAGGATCACCTTAGGTCAGGAGTTTAAGACCAGCATGGCAAACATGATGAAACCCCGTCTCTACTAAAAATACAAAAATTAGCCAGACATGGTGGCAGGTGCCTGTAATCCCAGCTACTCAGGAGGCTGAGGCAGTAGAATTGTTTGAACCTAGGAGGTGGAAGTTGCAGTGAGCCAAGATTGCACCACTGCACTCCAGCCTGGGTGACAAAGTGAGACATCATCTCAAAAAAAAAAAAAAAAAAAAAAAAACCACTATGTCCTGCTAGCCTTACGTAATACAAATGAAGTCACTAAGTTGTCCATGGATAAAACATTCCAGTTAACTTTAATTTTAGACAAAATATGTATTAATTAAATATATAAATTAAACATATGTATATTGGCCTGCCTTGTGATGAAAGCTAATGATTTATGACTATGGCATATAGTTGATATTCACCTCTGTTCCCAATGTGTTTATACTTCAAAACTCAAACTCACCAAGGAAACAATCTTCTAAATCTTACTGCAGTCAGCTCATTTTCCTAAACTGTTACTACGTATAAGACACCTGATTTGACAGTTCCTATAACAACACATTATACATTTTAAATTGGATGTGGTTTTTACCTTAAACTCTGGTGATGGCAAAACCATTTTCCTCAAAGATGATTGGTTATGCAGGTCTATAATAGTGCTTAAATATAACCTTGCTATGCCAAGCTTTCTGACAAAGAGTAATCTTTTTATTTTGAGCCTTTTTGGTATTGAACATGATCTCTGCAAGAAGAATTTTTGCTTTATTATATTATTAAGAAATAACTGCATCTTGCTCCTTGAAAAAAACAGTTCAGGTCCTAATCGCTTCTCACCTAAGGTCACTTCCTTTTTTCTTTCTTTCTTTCTTCTTTTTGGGGAGACAAGGCCTCACTCTGTCACCCAGGCTGCAGTGCAGTGGCACCATCTCAGCTCACTACAACCTCCACCTGCTGGGCTCAAGTGATCCTCTTGCCCCAGCCTCCCAAGAAGGTAGGACCACAGAGGCGCACCACCATGCCTGGCTAATTTTTGTATTTTCTATGGAAATGGGCTTTCGCCGCATTACCCAGGCTGGCCTCAAACTCCTGGGCTCAAGTGATCTACCTGCCTTGGCCTCCCAAAGTTCTGGGATCACAGGCATAATCCCAGAGCTACCACGCCTGGCCTCACCTAAGACCATTTCAGTGGTTCTACTGGTCCCTCCCTACATGGTGGGCTTTTCATAACCTACCCTATTAACCATATTAACCTTTCTAAAGCACCTCATCCCTCTGCTGTTCACTTAGGTTTCCTTAAGGGTTCCTGCAAACTTTCAAATTGAGGAGTAAAGCTGCCTGGCATTCCGTGGCTTTCCGCTGCATGAGTCTAACCTGCATTTGGGTACGACTTAGGATTGCCCCCCTTTATGTACCCTTGGATGTGCCAAACTGGGGGTTTCACCTCCATGGGACCCGCATCTCTCACCTGAATCCCTTCTTTGATCATCTTCCCTCTGCTTAGAATGCCCTTTCCCAAACTCCTACTCACCAAAATCTTACTACATAATAATGGTATTGTGTTTATATAAAAAAGAAAAAAAGCATATGGAGGTATAAACTAAAAATTTAGAGATATAAAGTGAAAAATTTAGAGATAAAAACATTTTAAAAATTGTACTAGGACTTTAGGCTCTATATCAAATACCTATTCCTTTATGAAATGAATACTAATGACTCCAAACCTTCGACAAAATCCCTGGTGCTATGTGCTATGCATTACCGTAGGTGCTGGGTAAACTACACAGTTAAGTCTGAACCCTGCTGTTAGGAATTTAGTCTCACTAGAGACAGCACCTTAAACCAACAAATACCACGAAGTGTGATTCAGGCTCTGACGAAGGTGGGACCCCTGACAAGTCCTAATCCAGGCTTGTGGTAGGCAGCAGGAAGCATCCTAAAAAGTGATGTAGAAGGCCCTAATCCTCCTCTTATAATGCCCAAGACACCATTTACAGCTTTTCTGGTTTCTGGTTGTCTTTCATATTATCATGAAATGCATGTAAATAATGATCTTCATTATTTACTTATTCCATATTTGCAAATATGCCTATTGCTAAAATTTATTTGTAACCCCAAAATTAATATTCATTGCCATTTCTCAGTCATTCATGAACGTGCCAAGTGGTGAAAAATGTGAGTTTCCCAGTGCTCACTTTCCCAGCTGAGGTAGAATGAGGTGATGCCTGGCCTTCTTGTTCCACTCTAGAAGCAATCATACTGTCAACAAGTGTCACAGTCTAGCTAGAGTCACATTTTCCATATTTTGTGCTTTTTGTTGGTGATTCTGCTGTTTAAAATGGCCCCAATCGTAGTACAGAAGTGCTGTCTAGTGTACCTAAGTGCAAGAAGGCTGTGATGTACCTTATGGAGAAAATACATGTGAGAGAAACTTCACTCAGGCATGAGCTATGATGCTGTTGGCTATGAATTCAATGTTAATGAATCAACAATATATATTAAATAAGGTATTTCTAAATAGAAACATCAACAAAACAAGGTTGCATAATGATCGATTAATGAAAATGTTGTGACCCGAGGCTCACAGGAACCTAACCCTGTCTTTACCCTAGGAGCAGTGGCTCTGTGTTCCCTAACTCAGGGTTGGTGGCAACTTTATAGAACATAGCTACTTCAAATAAGAATTAACTGCACTTACAGTTCCTCTGAGGGTAGGATCTAATTTGCTCATCAGTTTATCTTTTGTGTGAATGCCTTTGCTACAAAATTAAATAACCATACAGTTTAACAAAGGCTGGATCCTAAAACAAAATAATTTTATACGGCATTAACTTCACTTTATAGCTTCAAAATGACCAACAATGGCTTTCACCAGCATGTTCTTCAGATTAGGGTCTGCTCCACTTTTTAGAAATTCTAAGGCACATTGTTTATGGGCTGGTAAGCTGCACAAAGCAAGGATGTGTTTCCCAACTGATCCAAACCGTTAACATCAGGAGGATTGAGCCTGTTGAGCTAACAGTTAAAGAAATGTGGACAGGCGTGGTGGCCCATGCCTGTAATCCCAGCACTTTGGAAGGCGGAGGTGGAAGTGTTGCTTGAGGAGTTTGAGACCAGCCTGGCCAACATGGAGAAACCCCATCTATACTAAAAATACAAAAATTAGCTGGGCGTGGTGGCACGTACCTGTAGTCCCAGTTACTTGAGAGGCTAAGGCATGAGAATCACTTGAACCCGGGAGGCGAATGTTGCAGTGGCAGAGATCACACCACTGCATTCCAGCCTAGGTAGCAGAGAGAGACTTTGTCTCAAAAAAGAAAAAAAAAAAAAGAAAGAAAGAAATGCAATGCAGAATTATATATCAAAGATAGACTTTCTCCCGTAATCCATGGGAAGGTGCATCTATCAGTAGAGCCTGAAGAACAGCCAGGCTCCTAGGCATCGTGGCTGTTAGTGCTTTCTTGCTCACTAAACCAGCCAATCCTGCCACTCTCATTGCTTGTTCTCAGATGATCTGAGATACATCTCAGGCCTGTGTCCAGGTGCCACACTCCCTTGACAGCATGCACCATGCACTGTGCCACTGCCATCCTACTCACCCCAGACATTACGATTTCACAACAATTTACCCAAAGAGGCCTTTTCGAATGAGCTGAAATAACTTCAAAGCAAATGGTAGTGCTTTAGTCATGAATTCAGAACAAATTTAGAGTTTCATGTTTAATGAGACCGTGCAGGAATAGAAACTGAAAGGTAGGTCTTCTAAAGGGAAAAACAGTGGGTAAAGCTTTGAGTCTAATGTGGTATAAATGTTCCAAAATTCTGTCCCTTCTTTGCATGTTATCTTCTGAAAGTATAGCATTCCTCTCAGAAATTCCCGCTGATCAAAGCTAGAAAAACTTAATTCCTTTATAGGGTCCTATATATTATGTCTCAATTTTCAATTGGCTTAATCTAAAAAAAAATTAAGTTATCCTTATGTTAACTATTTAACATGAAAATTCGGATTCTTATCCATCAGGTTTTTAGGGGACTGGGGCAGGTGTAAATCAGAAATTCAGAAAAAAATCACCATTTAAAACATGTCCTGCTTCAACTATTACCATACTAAGTCTGTGTGTGTGTGTGTGTGGGTATGTGTATGTGTGTTAAGATATTTAAGAACTTTTGTTCTATTATATGATTTCCGGAGTTTTTTGGTCCCACAATTCAACTAAACTATAAATTTAACATGAAGTAAAATTTCCCTGAAATATAAAGAAATAATGCTTTTTGTTTTTGGGGTTTTTTTTGTTTGTTTTACCAGAGCTGTGAGTTCTGTTGTTTTGTCTTCTATTGTTGCTGCTAAAAGTCATTCTTCAAGATTTCTTTGTTGAGTTCTTTCTATAGCTGCAAAAGAAAAGGACATGTTACTCCACTGCTAGTTAGGTTCTGATTACAAATTCATTAAAAACATGTATAAAAAATACAGTGATCATGATGAGAAAAATAAAAATGTTTTGGATTATAATTCAAATACAGTTATATTTTATTATTATTTTCATTTCCTTACATTTCAGATTATAGAGTTCAATTTATTTCAGATTTGGATGAATTTAAGTTTTTAATTCAGGGGTCTTTAAGTATTTTATTCACCACAACACTCATCACAACCAATTATGGATTACTTTTATATACTGAAATACTATTACATATCTGCCTTGGAAAAGTAAGTGGGGTTCATACCTTCCAGAACCTTAGAATGTAAAAGTAACAATAAAAAATAGCATTGATAAGAAGATGTACATGCCATATAAATACATGCAGATTTATGTCAATTTACTTATAAATTGCCACATAAGAATCAATTGATTGATACGGTTTTGCTCTGTTGCCCAGGCTGGAGTGCCATGGTGTGATCATACCTCACTGCAGCCTGGATCACCTGGGTTCAAGCAATCCTCCCACCTCAGCCTCCCAAGTAGCTGAGACTTCAGGCATGCACCACCATGCCTGGTTAATATTTTTATTTCTTGTATTGCTGAGGTCTATGTTGCCCAGGCTGCTCTCGAATTCCTAGGCTCATGTGATCCTCCCACCTTGACCTTCCAAATTGTTGGGATTACAGGCGTGAGCCACCTTGCCCAGCCTATGTTTATTTCTTTAACAAATACTTTAGCATGTACTATGTGCCAAGTGCTATTCAAAGCTCTTTAAAAATATTAACTCCTTAAATCATTGTAACTACCTGAAGTAGGGTTTGTTATTATAGTGACTTTTACAGATTGTTAAAGCAAACTAAATATGGCCTGAGAAGGACTCCGTACTTCTACATTTGAGTCCTTATGGATGAACAGTAACCTAGCTTAATAGTCAGACAAAATTGAAAACCTAACTTAATAGTATGCACTTGTAACAATAGCAGAGTGCTGGCCAATCCCAACGGCCGTACTTCAACATAAACTGCTAAATGTTCAAACTGTGTTCAAATAAGGCAAACTCTGAGCTGTAACCAATCTAGCTGTTTCTGTACCTCACTTCGCATTCCTGTCCTTTTTTGTCTATAAATTTGTTCTGACCACGAGGCATCCCTGGAGTCTCTCTGAATCTGCTGTGATTCTGGGGGCTGCCCGATTCATGAACTGTTCATTGCTCAACTAAACTCCTTTAAATTTAATTCGGCTGAAGATTTTCTTTTATCAGGTGGTGTCAGAAGTGGGATCTGAAGCGGAGGTTCCAGCAACTCCCAGGAGCACTGAATGAACACACAAGGTAGCTGCAAGACCCACTTGTGTCCATTGATCTCTCAGAGCAGCTGGGGATCGTGGGTAAGCTCCCTCTCAGATTTCAGAGCTCCCTGGATTTGTGTTTTGAGCCGAGTTTCTTTGAGCAAATTTCTGATCCAAACTGGGTTTGGAGTTGTGACAGAAACTGGACTGGGTTCAGAAACAGATTTGACCTGGGAATTAACTGGCTTGGATCCAGTTAGAGGCCTCTTACTGAGTCAAAAAGGAACTGGTAGTAACCAGATACATTGCAGGGGTTATAAAATTTGGCTTTTGAAAATTCACTGGGATTTTTGTGTTCTACCCGTTTGTTTCATTTTTCTGGTGGGCTTAGGTAGGAAAAAAATCATTGGCTAAGTTAATCAGGAGAACCTGACAGTAAAGCCAATATTTTTGGTAAAAATTGTATCCTTAATTTCTGGTAAACTGTGTTCCTTCTGGCTTATACATTAGGCCTGGGAAGCAATGAAGTTTTACAGAAATGGCAAAATCTTAAGATAACTTACAGTGGAACGTTCGGAATGAACAATACATTGAAGTACATTTAAAAATGAGGGCTCTTGGTAAAGTACCTTTTGGCTAAGTATGGATTTGGCACTACGGGATGCCAACTGCTCTTCTCTTTGGAATAATCTGCCTTGCACTCTTTGCTGATGACTATGGGTGACAAAATTAGGCACATACAGAGGGGTTCGACATGGGGAGTTTTTTCCTCCTTCAAAAGGGGAAACGAGAGCTGATGGGACTGCTGGAAAAGATCCCTTTGCTACCAAGAAGCAGCCACCTGAACTTTTCAGTGTTGCTGCAATAGGTGGGTCTTTCTCTGGTCTCTCTGATCATTTTGCCTTCCCCACCCTGCCACAGGCAATGCTGTTCTCTCTCTCCTTTGCCTTTCTTATCTTTTCTATTATTCAGGGTGACCATCTTGCCCAGAGACCACGTGTTGAAATTCCTGGTCAGAGGTTGCATTAACCATGATGGGGCCCAACCAAGGGCAAGTTTGAGCCTTGCCAGTTTGATATTGGGTGCTCAGCAGAGGGGCTAATGTCTATGTTTTGTCACACATATTTTGTTCTAGCCAGATGAAAAAAGGTAAATTTCCTTTATGATGCTACTTGGCCCCCAGCATGATGGTGCAAGCTGGATCACTGGGGCTGCTCAGGGAAAAGGAACCCAGAAGCCTGGCATGCTGGCAAAAGGGTAAGAATTTCTTACCAGTCAGACTTCTGGCTTCTCTCTCTCTCTCTGGCAAACGGTTGTGAAGTCTTACAGAAATGGCAAAATCTTACAGAAATGGTAAAAATCACTATATTTCTCTTCTGTATAGTTTTGATTAATGCGAAAAATAATTCTGAGGCTAGTCTTAAACTGATGTATTTGTGCTATGAATTTGTTTTTCTGTGTCAAGGGGTACCTTAGGATAAAATATGGGCTTAGGACTCCATAAGCTTGCTGCTCAAGACAGCTCAACAAGCTGGTCAATAACAAACTTTCCTGCAGGTCCCTGAAACAAACAAAAAAACTGGATGGGGTCTCATCTTGTTTTATGTCCTTGGGAGCTTGACCTTGTAACCAGGTTGAGGAACTTTCTCTTGGTCTCCGCCTTCCAGGGAATGGGGATTTTAGGGTTTATGTCATAGTTAGCTCTAAAAATTATCTTGAGTAGTTAAAAGCCTTTGCAAGCTCAAAATTAACTACTCTAGACTCCTTCTAAGAAGTACAGTGAAGACCGCCCTGTGCTGTAGCTCAGTAACTTAGGCTTTGCCCTTTCATGCTGGCAGTCCACGTTCAATTTCCTACTTAGAAGCAGGTCCTTTCTGGTTTAATATCCGCATGACCTTGTAAGCCTCTTCTCCATGGACTAACTTACATTTTTCTTTCTCTGAGCACCACCTGGGAGGTTACCTTTGGTAAAGTTCAAAAGCCAGAAATATCAGCCATTTGGCCTGGCTGAAATTGGGTAATAAGAAATTTTAAAAGGACTTTATTAAAGAATGCTACAGTTAAAAGAAAGCTTAACTAAAAGTAGACATTCAAGCTCTAACAGCCTGGACTCCTTGGGAAAAACAGGAGGCACCAGAGACCCATTTCCTGGCCCTGTTCTTCCAAGGACTCCACCATAAAGCCATTAACCAGTTAAGAAACTTAAAAACTGGTAAATGAAAAATCTTACAACTTCTGTAGTACTCTTCTTCTGTCTGTCTAATTATATGTGTTGTGTGTAATGTTTATATAAAAGAGTTCTAATTAATTGGCTTAAACAAAAATAAGTGCTTAAATCAAATATTTTGAAAGCAAAATAAAAACTATAATGCCTTTTAGTTCATGTAACTTTAGTAATCTTTGGGAAATAAAAACAGCTCTAAAGATTATTGATAAAATAAAGACATTTTACCTAAATTATGCAGGTCAGATATTAGGTTTGCTAAATGCTTTAAGGTCATAAACTGCTTTGACTTTTAAAAATTGTTCAATTTATTTTTGAGACATTACATTTTAAATAAGGCCTGGGGATATATGGAATTAGCCATGCCCCCTAACTATGCAAAGAAGGTTATAAAGAAAAGAGATTTTACCTAAGAAAGGATGTTGTATGGTAAATTCTTGTCCTAAGGTAAAATGACAGGTTATTTAAAAAGAGGGATGTTTAGGTCAAGTCAGAAAGTCTAAACATGACATACATGGTCTGTGTAAGTCATGAAAGAATTTGTGAACAGGAATTTATGCCAGAAATGCTGTACAATTCAAAGGTGATTAAGCCTCCTAAATGATTCATAAAAGGCCACTATGACTCAAATGTACAGCCTGCCTGCTTTATAGCTAGGTAAGGCCAGGGACAAGGGGAGTTAGAGGCTGGAAAGAGTCAGACCTTATCTGCATTTCTGTCTGGGTCCTAGGCTCCACACCTAGTACATAATTAAAATCCCTTACTTACCAAGGTTTTCTCACCAAAAGTAAAAGTCGTAAGAGTTAACATTGTAATATGTAATTGAGACTACTGAAAAAATAGGTTTACATGCAAGGTGTGTAAGGAGAATGAAATGTTTTTTTGTAAGAGATTATAAGAAAGTATGGTAATGTAAATTTTTGCCTAGGTTAGAGGGTTAAAGGATTGTTTTAAATTAAATAAGTTTGAATAAGTTATGGAAGGTTTGAATAAGTTGTGGAAGGTTTATAAAAATTAATTGTAAGAGGCCAGGCACGGTGGCTCACACCTGTAATCCCAGCACTTTGGGAGGCCAAGGCAGGTGGATCAGGAGGTCAGGAGATTGAGACCATCCTGGCCAACATGGTAAAATCCTGTCTCTACTAAAAATACAAAAAAATTAGCCGGATGTGGTGGCGTGTGCCTGTAGTCCCAGCTACTCGGGAGGCTGAGGCAGGAGAATTGCTTGAACCCGGGAGGCAGAGGTTGCAGTGAGCCGAGATCACGCCACTGCACTCCAGCCTGGTGACAGAGCAAGACTCCATCTCAAAAAAAAAAAAAAAAAAAGAAAAGAAAAAATTAATTGTAAGAGATTCTATGCGTAAACATATTGGCTAAAGTTAAAATGGCATTACTGAGTTTTTTCCATAAATTGGACATTGGAATAAAATCACAACAGAGTTTTCTTAGAACATTGTTCTGCTCTGAGAAAAACTCTGTAAAGGGTTACAAAATGTTTATAAAAATCTTACCTTATGGTCAAACTAATTAAAACAATAGATTTATAAAATATTAAAAGCTAGCTTTAACATTAAAAATATGCAAATGGAAACATAAAATTTGGTTTTCTCTTTTAAAAAGGATTTTTATGTAATATTAAAAGATAATGAAAGGTTTTTGTTTACCTTTTAAATAAACTACAAAAGAAATAGCGGGGGAAAGGAAAGGAAGGAGACAGAGTCAGCTGGCCTCATGCTATCTTCATTGGGTCTTGTTTGGAAAGCTGAGTCTCCTCTCTATCAGACTAATGTTTTTTCCTTTAAAAAATTTTTGAGTTATTTTGGCTAAATGAATGAACTATGATAACCTAAGATTCTATTTTGTAATATCCATTTTTTTTTTTACCATTTTTTATTATACTTTAAGTTTTAGGGTACATGTGCACAACATGCAGGTTTGTTACATATGTATATATGTGCCATGTTGGTGTGCTGCACCCATTAACTCGTCATTTAACATTAGGTATATCTCCTAATGCCATCCTTCCCCGCTCCCCCCATCTCACAACAGGACCCGGTGTGTGATGTTCCCCTTCCTGTGTCCATGTGTTCTCATTGTTCAATTCCCACCTATGAGTGAGAACATGTGGTGTTTGGTTTTTTGTCCTTGCGATAGTTTGCTGAGAATGATGGTTTCCAGTTTCATCCATGTCCCTACAAAGGACATGAACTCATCATTTTTTATGGCTGCATAGTATTCCATGGTGTATATGTGCCACATTTTCTTAATCCAGTCTATCATTGTTGGACATTTGGCTTGGTTCCAAGTCTTTGCTATTGTGAATAGTGCTGCAATAAACATATGTGTGCATGTGTCTTTATAGCATCGTGATTTATAATCCTTTGGGTATATACCCAGTAATGGGATGGCTGGGTCAAATGGTATTTCTAGTTCTAGATCCCTGAGGAATCGCCACACTAACTTCCACCATGGCTGAACTAGTTTACAGTCCCACCAACAGTGTAAAATGTTCCTATTTCTCCACATCCTCTCCAGCACCTGTTGTTTCCTGACTTTTTAATGATCACCATTCTAACTGGTGTGAAATGGCATCTCATTGTGGTTTTGATTTGCATTTCTCTGATGGTCAGTGATGATGAGCATTTTTTCGTGTGTCTGTTGGCTGCATAAATGTCTTCTTTCGAGAAGTGTCTGTTCATATCCTTCGCCCACTTTTTGATAGGGTTGTTTGTTTTTTTCTTGTAAATTTGTTTGAGTTCATTGTAGATTCTGGATATTAGCCCTTTGTTAGATGAGTAGAATGCAAAAATTTTCTCCCATTCTGTAGGTTGCCTATTCACTCTCATGGTAGTTTCTTTTGCTGTGCAGAAGCTGTTTAGTTTAATTAGATCCCATTTGTCAACTTTGGCTTTTGTTGCCATTGCTTTTGGTGTTTTAGACATGAAGTCCTTGCCCATGCCTATGTCCTGAATGGTATTGCCTAGGTTTTCCTCTAGGGTTTTTATGGTTTTAGGTCTAACATTTAAGTCTTTAATCCATCTTGAATTAATTTTTGTATAAGGTGTAAGGAAGGGATCCAGTTTCAGCTTTCTACATATGGCTAGCCAGTTTTCCCAGCACCATTTACTAAATAGGGAATCGTTTCCCAATTTCTTGTTTTTGTCAGGTTTGTCAAAGATCAGATGGTCGTAGATATGCGGCATTATTTCTGAGGGCTCTGTTCTGTTCCATTGGTCTATATCTCTGTTTTGGTACCAGTACCATGCTGTTTTGGTTACTGTAGGCTTGTAGTATAGTTTGAAGTCAGGTAGCGTGACGCCTCCCACTTTGTTCTTTTGCCTTAGGATTGACTTGGCAATGTGGGCTCTTTTTTCGTTCCATATGAACTTTAAAGTAGTTTTTTCCAATTCTGTGAAGAAAGTCATTGGTAGCTTGATGGGGATGGCATTGAATCTATAAATTACCTTGGGCAGTATGGCCATTTTCACGATATTGATTCTTCCTACCCATGAGCATGGAATGTTCTTCCATTTGTTTGTGTCCTCTTTTATTTCATTGAGCAGTGGTTTGTAGTTCTCCTTGAAGAGGTCCTTCATGTCCCTTGTAAGTTGGATTCCTAGGTATTTTATTCTCTTTGAAGCAATTGTGAATGGGAGTTCACTCATGATTTGGCTCTCCGTTTGTCTGTTATTGGTGTATAAGAATGCTTGTGATTTTTGCACATTGATTTTGTATCCTGAGACTTTGCTGAAGTTGCCTATCAGCTTAAGGAGATTTTGGGCTGAGGCCATGGGGTTTTCTAGATATACAGTCATGTCATCTGCAAACAGGAACAATTTGACTTCCTCTTTTCCTAATTGAATACCCTTTATTTCCTTCTCCTGCCTGATTGCCCTGGCCAGAACTTCCAACACTATGTTGAATAGGAGTGGTGAGAGAGGGCATCCCTGTCTTGTGCCAGTTTTCAAAGGGAATGCTTCCAGTTTTTGCCCATTCAGTATGATATTGGCTGTGGGTTTGTCATAGATAGCTCTTATTATTTTGAGATACGTCCCATCAATACCTAATTTATTGAGTTTTTAGCATGAAGCGTTGTTGAATTTTGTCAAAGGCCTTTTCTGCATCTGTTGAGATAATCATGTGGTTTTTGTCGTTGGTTCTGTTTATATGATGGATTACGTGTATTGATTTGCATATGTTGAACCAGCCTTGCATCCCAGGGATGAAGCCCACTTGATCATGGTGGATAGGCTTTTTGATGTGCTGCTGGATTCGGTTTGCCAGTATGATATTGAGGATTTTTGCATCGATGTTCATCAGGGATATTGGTCTGAAATTCTCTTTTTTTGTTGTCTCTGCCAGGCTTTGGTATCAGGATGATGCTAGCCTCATAAAATGAGTTAGGGAGGATTCCCTCTTTTTCTATTGATTGGAATAGTTTCAGAAGGAATGGTACCAGCTCCTCCTTGTACATCTGGTAGAATTTGGCTGTGAATCCATCTGGTCCTGGACTTTTTTTGGTTGGTAAGCTATTAATTATTGCCTCAATTTCAGAGCCTGTTATTGGTCTATTCAGAGATTCAACTTCTTCCTGGTTTAGTCTTGGGAGGGTGTATGTGTTGAGGAATTTATCCATTTCTTCTAGATTTTCTAGTTTATTTGCGTAGAGGTGTTTATAGTATTCTCTGATGGTAGTTTGTATTTCTGTGGGATCGGCGGTGATATCCCCTTTATCATTTTTTATTGCATCTATTTGATTCTTCTCTCTTTTCTTCTTTATTAGTCTTGCTAGTGGTCTACCAATTTTGTTGATCCTTTCAAAAAACCAGCTCCTGGATTCATTGATTTTTTGAAGGGTTTCTTTGTCTCTATTTCCTTCAATTCTGCTCTGATCTTAGTTATTTCTTGCCATCTGCTAGCTTTTGAATGTGTTTGCTCTTGCTTCTCTAGTTCTTTTAATTGTGAAGTCAGTGTGTCAATTTTAGATCTTTCCTGCTTTCTCTTGTGGGCATTTAGTGCTATAAATTTCCCTCTACACACTGCTTTGAATGTGTCCCAGAGATTCTGGTATGTTGTGTCTTTGTTCTCATTGGTTTCAAAGAACATCTTTATTTTTGCCTTCATTTCCTTATGTACCCAGTAGTCATTCAGGAGCAGGTTGTTCAGTTTCCATGTAGTTGAGTGGTTTTGAGTGAGTTTCTTAATCCTGAGTTCTAGTTTGATTGCACTGTGGTCTGAGAGACAGTTTGTTATAATTTCTTTCTTTTACATTTGCTGAGGAGTGCTTTACTTCCAACTATGTGGTCAGTTTTGGAATAGGTGTGGTGTGGTGCTGAAAAGAATGTATATTCTGTTGATTTGGGGTGGAGAGTTCTGTAGATGTCTATTAGGTCCGCTTGGTGCAGAGCTGAGTTCAATTCCTGGATATCCTTGTTAACTTTCAGTCTGTTTGATCTGTCTAATGTTGATAGTGGGGTGTTAAAGTCTCCCATTATTATTGTGTGGGAGTCTAAGTGTCTTTGTAGGTCTCTAAGGACTTGCTTTATGAATCTGGGTGCTCCTGTATTGGGTGCATATATATTTAGGATAGTTAGCTCTTCTTGTTGAATTGATCCCTTTACCATTATGTAATGGCCTTCTTTGTCTCTTTTGATCTTTGTTGGTTTAAAGTCTGTTTTATCAGAGACTAGGATTGCAACCCCTGCCTTTTTTTGTTTTCCATTTGCTTGGTAGATCTTCCTCCTTCCCTTTATTTTGAGCCTATGTGTGTCTCTGCTCATGAGATGGGTTTCCTGAATACAGCACACTGCTGGGTCTTGACTTTTTCTCCAATTTGCCAGTCTGTGTCTTTTAATTGGAGCATTTAGCCCATTTACATTTAAGGTTAATATTGTTATGTGTGAATTTGATCCTGTCATTATGATGACAGCTGGTTATTTTGCTCGTTAGTTGATGCAGTTTCTTCCTAGCCTCGATGGTCTTTACAATTTGGCATGTTTTTGCAGTGGCTGGTACTGGTTGTTCCTTTCCATGTTTAGTGCTTCCTTCAGGAGTTCTTTTAGGGCAGGCCTGGTGGTGACAAAATCTCTCAGCATTTGCTTGTCTGTAAAGGATTTTATTTCTCCTTCACTTATGAAGCTTAGTTTGGCTGGATATGAAACTCTGGGTTGAAAATTATTTTCTTTAAGAATGTTGAATATTGGCCCCCACTCTCTTCTGGCTTGTAGAGTTTCTGCTGAGAGATCAGCTGTTAGTCTGATGGGCTTCCCTTTGTGGGTAACCCGACCTTTCTCTCTGGCTGCCCTTAACATTTTTTCCTTCATTTCAACTTTGGTGAATCTGACAATTATGTATCTTAGAGTTGCTCTTCTCGAGGAGTATCTTTGTGGCATTCTCTGTATTTCCTGAATTTGAATGTTGGCCTGCCTTACTAGATTGGGGAAGTTCTCCTAGATAACATCCTGCAGAGTGTTTTCCAACTTGGTTCCATTTTCCCCGTCACTTTCAGGTACACCAATCAGACGTAGATTTGGTCTTTTCACATAGTCCCATATTTCTTGGAGGCTTTGTTCATTTCTTTTTATTCTTTTTTCTCTAAACTTCTCTTCTCACTTCATTTCATTCATTTGATCTTCAATCACTGATATCCTTTCTTCCAGTTGATCAAATTGGCTACTGAGGCTTGTGCATTCGTCACGTAGTTCTCGTGCCTTGGTTTTCAGCTCCATCAGGTCCTTTAAGAACTTCTCTGCATTGGTTATTCTAATTAGCCATTCGTCTAATTTTTTTCAAGGTTTTTAACTTCTTTGCCATGGGTTTGAACTTCCTCCTTTAGCTCGGAGTAGTTTGTCTGAAGCCTTCTTCTCTCAACTCGTCAAAGTCATTCTCCATCCAGCTTTGTCCCATTGGTGGTGAGGAGCTGCATTCCTTTGGAGGAGGAGAGGCGCTCTGATTTTTAGAGTTTCCAGTTTTTCTGCTCCGTTTTTTCCCCATCCTTGTGGTTTTATCTACCTTTGGTCTTTGACAATGGTGACGTACAGATGGGGTTTTGGTGTGGATGTCCTTTCTGTTTGTTAGTTTTCCTTCTAACAGTCAGGACCCTCAGCTGCAGGTCTGTTGGAGTTTGCTGGAGGTCCACTCCAGACCCTGTTTGCCTGGGTATCAGCAGCAGAGGCTGCAGAATAGCGAATATTGGTGAACAGCAAATGTTGCTGCCTGATCGTTCCTCTGGAAGTTTTGTCTCAGAGGAGTATCCAGCCATGTGAGATGTCCATCTGCCCCTACTGGGGGGTGCCTCCCAGTTAGGCTACTTGGGGGTCAGGGACCCACTTGAGGAGGCAGTCTGTCTGTTCTCAGATCTGCAGCTGCATGCTGGGAGAACCACTACTCTCTTCAAAGCTGTCAGACAGGGACATTTAAGTCTGCAGAGGATTCTGCTGCATTTTGTTTGGCTATGCCCTGATCCCAGAGGTGGAGTCTACAGAGGCAGGCAGGCCTCCTTGAGCTGTGGTGGGCTCCACCCAGTTTGAGCTTTCCGGCTGCTTTGTTTACCTACTCAAGCCTCAGCAATGGCGGGCACCCCTCCCCCAGCCTTGCTGCCGCCTTGCAGTTTGATCTCAGACTGCTGTGCTAGCAATGAGTGAGGCTCCGTGGGCGTAGGACCCTCCGAGCCAGGCATGGGATATAATCTCCTGGTGTGGTATTTGCTAAGACTGTTGGAAAAGCACAGTATTAGGGTGAGAGTGACCCGATTTTCCAGGTGCCATCTGTCACACCTTTCTTTGACTAGGAAAGGGAATTCCCTGACCCCTTGTGCTTCCTGGGTGAGGCGATGCCTCGCCGTGCTTTGGCTCATGCTCGGTGCACTGCACCCACTGTCCTGCACCCACTGTCCAACACTCCCCAGTGAGATGAACCCAGTACCTCAGTTGGAAATGCAGAAATCACCCGTCTTCTGTGTCGCTCACGCTGGGAGCTGTAGACTGGAGCTGTTCCTATTCAGCCATCTTGGCTCCACTCTCTGTAATATCGAATGTTTTAAACCTTTGGTATTTAACAAGCCTTTCAAAATCAAGCTCTAGATTATCATGCTAAATCAGCCAATACTAAGGTTGTTTAAATATAAAATTTGAATGAACTCCATGGTCTAAGTCAAATTACCTATGATAATCCATTAGTTATCAATGCTATGCACTGAAATTGGAGAAACAACTGGTATTCAAGAGGACTTAAGTCCAATATTAAGCATGGATTCATAAAGAAGCAGGACTTAAGAACCTTAATATTTTGTTGTTGGGGGTTCTTCATTCCATGACTCGTCATGGAAAAGATAAAATGGTCCAAGTTGAATATATTGATGTAGTGACTTATAAACGATGGAAACAGTTTAAAAGCAATGTTTGGTTCCATATTCCTGAAAAGACAATCAAAGGTTCAGGTACATCTGGTTACCTGATGGGCCATTTAAATGTTTATAAAGGTATTTCATTCAATTGCCATTTTTCAATGCATGCTATCTGGTTGTGTAGGGGCTTTCCCATGCAAGAGGGCTGATGTAACAGTGGATTGTTATGCTACAGTGTGTTTTCACCTGGTGGAGAAAGCTTCTTATGGTTCGCTGAGGACAATCCCTTCACAATCTAGAACCCAAGGGTTGGATCTTCTGGCAACATCAGAGAGGGACTGTCCTTGCCATCCACACCACAGCAAAACTTTGGAGCCTTGAATCTTGGGTTAATAATCTTACGACTGAGAAGGGTCCCTCCACACTCCTGGAACTGTACACCCATTGGAACCTTTAGGGTTGAGCTAACCAGGAAAGTGTCTCCCCAGAAGATGGCATCCTTGATGTGAACGGCTTTTCCCAAGATTACAGATCAAAACTTCTTCTATCATGAGACTCTATCTTTAAATATTTTTTCCTTGTTTATGCCTCTATTAACAATATGAATGAAAATGGGGTCTATTATGTGCACTTATAGGGTATACTTTTATCTGTGAAGGATTTTCCACCCAGCCTTATACATGAATAACCTTATACTTTAATAGATAAAAAATGAAGGCCCAATGTAGGTGAGAAACTTTAGTGGTATATATGTTGCCTTATAATCAGTCAAAACTCCCCTTAACCCACAACATGGATTAAAAAGAACATTGCTAGGAGGCCTTCACTCTATAGGAAGGACATCATTTGTTAGGTCCTTTTTCCATGGTTTAGAATAAAAGAGGCAATAATTAGAAATGTCTCCCTCATAATAGGCTCTACAGCAAATTCTACTTTAAAGGCTATCGTTACACAACAGACTCTAAATTCTCTTGTGAAAGTTATGTTAAATAATAGAATTGGCTAAACAGAGAAGTACCTGTGCAGCTGCTGACACTTGTGGCCTATGGAGAAATACGTCAAGGTAAATTATAAAAATTCAGTTGTAGGAGATTAATGAAAAGACCACTTAGTCAAGCGACTAGACTATCTAGCACATTCTTTAATCTATTTAATTTTAGGTTTTTGGTTTATGGGGACTCTGGGTAAGGACCATACTCCAAACTCTTGGTATTATCATCCTAATAGTCATAATAGTCTCCCCGGTGTGCTGTATTCTCTCAAAGGTTGTAAATGCTTGCCAGACATCTCTGGGACATCAAATGGTCTCTCTTCAACTGGAATGACAAAAGCTGAAAGAAATGGGTGACCATGAGGACGCTGCAACTTATGAATGACGTGCTGAGACCGGAAACCCAAAATAATGGTAACTGAGGGACCCTAAGTTTTGTTCACACTCTCACCTAAGTGAGAACCTGGCCAAAAAGGGGGAATTTTTTAAAACAAAATTATGGGAAACCATTATTTTCGACTGAGTTCATGTGCTAGGCCCCAACAAACCAAACCAAACTAATATGGAGTGACTCATGCTAAATATGACATAATCAAGCTAAGGCTTTAAGAAAACACAGATCCTAGAACAGACCAGGTTTTGTTTTTCTCCTGTAAACAGGATGGTCCAGCATAAGGTACTCTCTACTCAGTCCTTATTCTCTCCTTGCAAAACACACTATTCTGTTTCCCAGTAGGTTTCAAAATCATATAAGTACATTTACAACAGTAACAGTAACATCAATAACTAAGGTTTTAGTCAACCTCTCAAAATTGAGAAAATGACCAAAAGGGGGGAATTGTTAAAGCAAATTAAATACAGCCCCAGAAGGACTCTGTACTTGTATATTTGAGTCCTTGTGGATGAACTGTAACCTAGCTTAATAGTCAGACAAAATTGAAAACCTAATAGTATGCACCTGTAACAATAGCAGAGTGTTGGCCAATCCCAGGGGCCATACTTCAACCACTCATAGACTACTGAATGTTCAAACTGTGTTCAAATAAGGTAAATGCTGAGCTGTATGTAACCAATCCCACTGTGTCTGTATCTCACTTCCAATTCCTGTCCTTTTTTGTCTATAAATTTGTTCTGACCATGAGGCATCCCTGGAGTCTCTCTGAATCTGCTGTGATTCTGAGGGCTGCTCAACTGGTGAATTGTTCATTGCTCAATTAAACCCCTTTAAATTTAATTCGGCTGAAGATTTTCTTCAAGAAACTAAGGAAGTGAGACACCACCAGGTTATGGAACTTAACCAATGTCACACAGCCAGAAGTGGAGCAGCTAGGATTTGAACTTGAGCAGGCTAGTTCCAGAGCCCATGCTCTTATCACTATGCTGCCTCTGAAATCAGACTAGCAAGAAAAGAGCAACTGGTAATCGGATTTGTGTAAGAGACTGGAATATGTAAGTAAGGTCTCATTTCTGCTAGATTTGAATTCTGCTTTGGCTTATCGAAAGGCTTAGTGATCCCACTTAACATGCATGTACAATGTGCTGTGCAAGGTTGCAAAGGAGGAACTATGAAGGTTTTTCAGGTGGTCCTGGCCAAAGTAAAGTTGTGGACAGAGAAGCAGATTGAGGAGCCAGGTGACTGGGGAAACAGAGGAGCATTTATTAATAGTAATTACTATGCATTTAATGTTGAGACTATGTACACCATTGCATTTAACCTAGAGGGAACACATTTATTGAATACAGAAATTGCTGAAACTAGTTCAGCTTTGTCTTAAGAAATGACTAACATTACTATTACTATAGACCATCATCATCTTTTCTCCCATTCTTTTTCCACACCCAGCCACTCTACCTCAGAAGGCAGCCAAGCCTCTATGGAGGCTGTCAGTGGCATCTTCTGTTGCTAGGATTCACTATCTTCAATCTTTCCTCTCACTGGTTCTATAGCCACTGAACTGTGAGCTCTTTGAGAATGGTGACACTGCCTATCCTGCTCGTACATCCCTCCACTACTGCATGTATCCCCCTGAGCTGTGATTTATCCCCTCAGTCATTCTTGAAGTCAGGTACCTGTTCCTGTCTGTGTAATCTAGGCATTTATGACAGTGTCTGGCACAATGTGTAGTTGGTCAAAATATTGAATAATCAAATACTTAATAAGGTTTGTTCAGATTTTAGGGAAGCAAACTAAAAGATATCCAAATGTTTCTAAGTTTTCTAGGCTCATTGATGAAGGAAAATAGACAGGAATTTGAAGTTGAAAATACTAAATTGTTCTTAGATTATGTTCCTGGACATTTCCTGTCCTGTGTTTATTCAGAACACTGAAAGAAGACTGTTGATTATGCCAAATGAAAAGCAAATAGTCCATTTGGGGTGGTGAGGCTGCTGGAGAGCTGGTGATGTTCTGCTTGTTGATGTGAATGCTGTTTACAGAGATGTGTCCTGTGTTTACAGAGACTGTAAAAACAGTGAACTATACATGAATGAGGTAGACTTTTCTGCATATATATCTCAATGTTCTTAAAGCAAATATTACAAATCCAAAATTTATTTTTCCTATAAAATTTAAATTTGATATTACTTTAAACTGTCTTTCTCTTCAATGAGAATCAAGTTAGTAAGGATCTCAGAAGTCATAAGGTCTACCTCTGTCCTGACAGACGCTTACATACATGCACAGGGTAGGTTGAATAGTAGTACCCTTGCAATGCAAGAGAGAAGCTGGAAGGCACAGTTCATTAGTGATAGAAAATCATACTTTGCAATCACCATAGTAATAAATGATTAGGGCAAGTATTTTTGGGGGGTGTTTGCAGCACTTTAATTATCAAGAGAATATAAAAATACATTCAAATAAATGAAGAAAAATGGGCAAACAAATGGACACATATGAGGATTTCTAAGGTTCAATTAACATGTGAGAACTTCTCAACCTCTCAGTCATCAGGGAAGCCATAAGCCATTGGATCCACAAACATTAAAAAGTCTCACAATCCTAAGTGTCAGGGAGAATGCTGACTATCAGAAGTGCTGAGTAAAGCTCTTTACAAAGCTCTCAAGTAGCATCCACTAATGCCAAACATCCCCATGAGCAGCGACTCCAATCCCAGCTGCGAAATGCTCAGGCTCAACTCAAATGAGGGCAGGTGCATTCATAGCAGAGCTAGTCGTGATGGCCACACAGTGAAGACAGCAAATGCCCACCAGCGGCAGGGTGGTTAAATGGTGGTGGTGCATTCACCAGCAGTGTAGACCAACCAGCCACTCCAGGTCCACTGGTATCCGCAGGACTTTGCAGACACAGGCCCCCTATAAATCCATTAATCACTTGGGGCCCGAGTCTTTTTGTCCATAGAGCCATCCCCCTCTTGGTACTGAGATGTCGTGGTGGAGACCAAGGATTCCTCGAACTGGTCTAGGGGTGGGAGGAGCTCTGTGAAGTCAGGGAATGACTGTCTGGCAAGAAATTGGAGGCATAAGTGCTCTGAGGTCACAAGGGGACTAGGGCTGGGGCTGGGAGGGATCCTAAGTTTGGGATTGGGCCAGGACCTGGGATTGGGGCTAGGACTAAGCCTGGGCCTGGGAGTAAGCCTGGCTTGGAATCAGGCCAGGGCCTAGGATTGAGCCTGGACCTGGGATTGGGCCTTGGCTTTTGAGTGGGCCTGGAATGGGGCTGGGATTGGGCCAGGGGCTAGACCTAGGACAGCCAAACGCCCTCCTGGCTCTGCACCCAAAGCTACTCAAGGCCTGGTGGAGGCTGCAGATTGTGGGAGAATACCCACGGGGCCTCTCCCTGTGGGAGAATTCCCAAGAGGCCAGGCTGATGGGGGGCAGAGGCCGCAGCTTCAGGGAAAGGGGGCACAGTGCGAGCTCTGTGGGCTCTGTGGCCTCCTGCCCAGGGCTGCACTGGGGCAGCTGCTGCTGGGGCTGCTGCTGCTGGGACTGCTGCTGCTGGGACTGCTGGTGCTGGAGCTGCTGCTGCTGGGGCTGCTGCTACGGGGGCTGGGGCTGCTGCTGCTGCTACTGGGGCTGCTGCTGCTACTACTGGGGCTGCTGTTGCTGCTACTGGGGCTGCTGCCGCTGCTACTGGGGCTGCTGCTGCTGGGACTGCTGCTGCTGGAGCTGCTGCTGCTAGAGCTGCTACTGGGGCTGCTGGAGCTGCTACTGGGGCTGCTGCTGCTGCTGCTGGAGCTGCTACTGGGGCTGCTGGAGCTGCTACTGGGGCTGCTGCTGCTGCTGCTGGAGCTACTGCTGGGGCTGCTGCTGCTGGAGCTGCTACTGGAGTTGCTGCTGCTGGGGCTGCTGCTGCTGCTGCTAGAGCTGCTACTGGGGCTGCTGGTGGAGCTGCTGCTGCTGGGGCTGCTGCTGCTGTGGCTGCTGCTGGGGCTGCTGCTGCTGGGGCTGCTGCTGGGGCTGCTGCTGCTGGAGCTGCTGCTGGGGATGCTGCTGCTGAGGATGCTGCTGCTGAGGATGCTTCTGGAGCTGCTGGAGCTGCTTCTGGAACCACCGCTCCCGAGAGCGTTTGGCCCGGCGATTCTTGAACCACACCTGCACTTGGTACTCCCTGAGATTGAGCATCTCCGCCAGCTCTTGTCGTGTGTCATAGTCTGGGTACTGTTCCTCCTTAAAGTGATTTTCTAGCACTTCCTGCTGTTTCCAGTTGTAGATTGTGCGGTCCTGCCGCTGTCTCTTTGGAAGGCCTGGGGACAGTGGAAGGCCTTGGGGATGCCTAGGGTCTTGCATCCTGGGTCCTGCTCTGTTCTTGAACATAATTAGGGCAAATATTACCAAGCTGAAACTACTGACTAGAAGTTTATTGGTAAACAGGATATTGACATTGTCTCAACTTTTCTTCCCACACATTTATTCATTACAAAGGGAAAAGATGCCTTACAGTATACCACAAAGTGATCAGAGTTAACATCACCAATAAAACAGACATTATGTGCTCCCTAATGTGATACACTAGTATGGGATACGACTTCATCTACATAATATTCCCGCCAGACATACATATCCTGAACCTAATCATATGAAAAGAGAAAAACCAAAATCAAGGGACATTCTACAAACAATTCCACAACTGCTTTCCTCTTAAAAAATGTCAGTATTGGCTGGGTGTGGTGGTTCATGCCTGTAATCTCCACACTTTGGGAGGCCAAGGTGTGCAAATCAGTTGAGGCCAGGAGTTTGAGACTAGTCTGGGGAACATAGTGAAACTCTGTCTCTCCAGAAAAATAAAATAACATTAGCGAGGTGTGGTGCCACATACCTGTAGTCCCAGCTACTTGGGAGGCAGAGGAAGAAGGATTGTTTGAGCCCAGGTGGTCGAAGTTACAGTGAGCTATGATCACACCACTGCACTACTATACTCCAGCCTGGGCAACAGGGCAAGACTCTGTCTGCAAAATAAATAAATAAATAAATAAATAAATAAATAAATAAAAATTAAAATAAATGGCAGTATCAAGAAAAACAAAAACAAAGGCTGAGGAATTGTTTCAGATAAAAAGAGACTAAAGAGATGATTAAATACAATGTGGGGTTCTGAATTAGATCCCAGATTGAAGGAAAAAATTTACAAGCAACATTATTTGGACAACTGGCTAAATCTGTATATAAAATGTATATCATGTAATATTAATGTTAATATCCTGAAATTGATAATTATATTGCGATTATGTAAGAAAATAATCCTTGTTTTGTTCTTAAAGGATCGAAAGCTTTTTTTTCTTTTTCTTGAGTCAGTTTCACTCCATCACCCAGGCTGGAGTGCAGTGGTATGATCTCAGCTCACTGCAACCTCCACCTCCTGGGTTCAAGCGATTCTCATGCCTTAGCCTCCTGAGTAGTTGGGACTACAGGTGCATGCCACCATGCCTGGCCTGGCTAAATTTGTATTTTTAGTAGAGATGGGGTTTTCCATGTTGGCCAGGCTGGTCTCGAACTCCTGACCTCAAGTGATCCACCTGCTTCGGCCTCCCAAAGTGCTGAGATTACATGCGTGAGCCACCGCACCCAGCCAGATCTGAAGTATTTAGGGGTAAAGCATCACTGTATCTGCAAATTATTCTCAAATAGCTCAACAAAAAATTAAAAGTAAATAAATAACATCAAATAATATGTAGAAGTCTAAACCAGATGTGGCAAAATGTCAATACTTGGCAAATGTAAGTGAAGGACATACAAGTATGTATTATTCTTGAAACTTCCCTATAGGTTAGAAATTTTTCAAAATAAAAAGATAAATGAGATATAGAAGAAGACAATATCTTACAAGTAACAGTCTATACTTTCCCCAAATACCTCCAGTCTTAAGAAACTTACTGTATCTTTCAAGGCAACCCAAGCCATTATTACAATACACTGGACCCAAAGACAAACGCCCTGCTACTCCGTCACCTGGGCCATCAAGTGGCCCTGGTTCTGCCACAAATAAAATCATCCCTCCTCCCAAATAACAGCTCCTTAGGTACTTGAGTATGATTTCATTGTGCCTGGCTATTTCTTTGTTTTTGGGGTCAAACATTTCCTGTCTCTTTGTACATTACCCTGTGACATGGTTTCTGGTCTACCTATGGTCTTGGTGAGTTGCTCAATGCACTTCCTGTAGTCTGCCAATAACCCATTTAACACTATCCACAAATGATATTATATGTGGATAAGGTGATCTCATTAGAGCAGAATCACACAATTAAGTCTCTACTTCTATTTCCCAGGCTAGGACCACATCAACTGACAAATCATATTACTTCTAAAGTCAATTAGACCTTCGTCCTTGTGCAGTTTGGATTTTGGAAGTGCCTTAGAGCATGTCTTGATGATTGTCCTTATTAAATGTCAACTTGTCAGGTTAACCTTTCATTCCAGTCTGTCAAGAAAACTTCAGTTCTGAGTTCTCATCGTGTTACAATTAAAATGATGGGACATGGTCAAAGACAGTACCTCATCCTCCCAATTAAATCACAAATTATTAAAGGGCAGAAACCACAGCTAATATGTTCTACATGTCCCCACATTCCATAAAACAGTGCCTAATGGAAGACGTTATATGTTGATTTGCTTGTTCACTGATAAGGAGGGTTCACTTTAAATGCAGAAGCAAGTTGAGACACTGACCTAAAAGATGCCTGACAAGTAGACATTGTTTTGTAACTACAGAATAAGTGAGAATATTTTAGTTCTCAAGGCCAATTGGAAAGTAATAAAGAGCAGCATCTTGGTTTTCATTTAGATAAATTAAAATTAAGAAATCAAAATCCTTTAAATACAAAATTATATTGCCTTTCTCTGAATTTCAAAGGAAAGAAACAAAGGGTATGTATGAAATTGCAACTCTAATTCAATATCTTTACTCATAGTATAGAAATTAAAAATCTTTTTTCAACATTAGGAATACTACTGAAAAATAATTATAGCAAAGCCCTGGCCGTAAAAGATTCTATTGCATGAGAGTTTCTAAATGTAAGCATCCAAACATTTTTCTTTTAAACAACTTTAGAGAAATTCCTGAGTTATTGCAGACTCATGGCTTCTTAAATCCAATTTAGTCTTTGACATCTGTAACAATGAAGCTGATCCATCAAGAAATTACTGCTTCCTGTTATACTACAATGAAGTCCTCGAGAAAATGGAGCCAGCCAGGGCTGTCCTACCCAACACCAAATAACTCCCATAACTGCCCCTCTTATAGTTTCTCTGTCCTGCCCTTCCATATTCCTTATCATGCTTCATCAGCCTATCAGCCATTTTCCTTCATGTCTCTAATTTTCTACTTTTAATTTTGTTGAGTATTTGGAAAACTTTTTTTTTTTGGAGACAGGGTCTTGCTCTGTTGCCTGGGCTGGAGTACAGTAGCATGACCATGGCTCACTGCAGCCTCAAACTTCTAGGCTCAAATGATCCTCCTGCCTCAGTCTCCTGAGTAGCTGGGACTACAGACACATCACCACACCCAGCTAATTTAAAAATATTTAAAAATTTTTTTGTAGAAGTAAGTGTTTTGCCATGTTGCCTAGGCTAGTCTCAAACTCCTGGCCTCAAGCAAGCTTCACTCCTTGGCCTCCTAAAATGCTGGGGTTACAGGTGGGAGCCACCATGCCTAGCCTGAAAAATATTTTTTTATTTTTCTGAGACAGAGTCTCACTCTGTCACCTAGGCTGGAGTGCAGTGGCGCGATCTCAGCTCACTGCAACCTCCACCTCCCGGGTTTAAGCAATTCTCCTGCCTCAGCCTCCTGAGTAGCTGGAATTACAGACACCTGCCACCATGCCCGGCTAATTTTTGTATTTTTGGTAGAGACAGGGTTTCACCACGTTGACCAGGTTGGTCTTGAACTCCTGACCTCAAGTGATCTCCCACCTCGGCCTCCCAAAGTGCTGTGATTACAGGTGTGAGCCACTGTGCCCGGCCTGAAAAACAGATTTTTAAAACTTGCCATAATCTTGTATAAATTAAGAGCTCAAAAGCTTTAAGTAAAAAAACTGTCATATAGAGAGCTGTCTCACTAATCAGTGATCCCAAATGACATTATCATTAGTGCATTGGCTGGCTGTCCTCTATTTTGGTATCTCAGATGGCATTTTTAGTCATATTTTGAATGTTGGTTATAATGAAAGTAAATGCTATTTATATTAAGATCCATATTTATCTTAAAGCATGCTTTGATTTCTTCAGTGTGAGTAATTTATTTTGCTGTCTACTCCCATTAACAGTAGTATGAGCATTATATTCTAAGAGAAGCATTCCCAACTTCTAAAACACAGAGAAACTATTTTTAGCTATTGTTAAGCTAAGACTTATTGCATTTAAGCCTTTTTGCAAATTATTAATTTTTTATTTTATTTTATTATTATACTTTAAGTTTTAGGGTACACATGCACAACGTGCAGGTTTGTTACATATGTATACATGTGCCATGTTGGTGTGCTGCACCCATTAACTCATCATTTAGCATTAGGTATACCTCCTAATGCTATCCCTCAAATTATTACTACCATCTCCACAACAGGAAAAAATACCATGTAAGAATCTTTATATCACATCTCTTGACTTGTATCCAGAATATATAAAGAACTTTTACAACTCAACAATAAAAAGACAACCCAATCAGAAATATGCAAAGATGGCTGGGCACGATGGCTCATGCCTGTAATCCCAGCACTTTGGGAGGCCGAGGAGGGTAGATCACTTGAGGTTGGGAGTTCAAGATCAGACTGACCAACATGGTGAAACTCCATCTCTACTAAAAGTACAAAATTAGCTGGGTGTAGTGGTATATGCCTGTAATCCCAGCTACTTGGGAGGCTGAGGCATGAGGATCATTTGAACCCAGGAGGCAGAGGTTGCACTGAGCTGATATAGTGCCACTGCACTCCCGCCTGGGTGACAGAGTGAGACTCTGTCTCAAAAAATTAAATTAAATTTAAAAAATTAAAAATGAGCAAAGACAACAATAAACAATCCCAAAAGGAAACAAAAACAATTATCTTTACAACTGCATCAAAAAGAATGAAATGCTTAGGAATAAACTTAACCACAAAGGCAAAAGACTTGTGCACAAAAGACTTTCTACACAAAACACTGCTGACAGAAAACATAAATAAATGAGAAAACATCCTGTGATCGTAAATAGACTTAATATTGTTATGAACAGAACACTACTTAAAGCAATTTACAGATTTGATGCAATCCCTATCAAATCCCAATGACTTTTTTAATGTATTTCTATTTTTTTCTTTTTTTAAAAAAATAGGTGATGGATTCATTTCATTCATTCATTCATTCATTTTTTTGAGATGGTGTCTCACTCTGTCACCCAGGCTGGAGTGCAATGGCATGATCTTGGCTCACTGCAACCTCCGGCTCCCGGGTTCAAGTGATTCTCCTGCCCCAGCCTCCCAAGTAGCTAGGATTACAGGCATGCACCACCACGCCCAGCTAATTTTTTGTATCTTTAGTAGAGAGGGGGTTTCACCATGTTGGCCAGGCTGGTCTGGAACTCCTGACCTCGTGATCCGACCACCTCAGCCTCCCAAAGTGCTGGGATTACAGGCGTGAGTGAATGAGCCCAGCCCCAGTGACATTTTTTTTTTTTTTTTTAACAGAATCATAAAATCTGAGTGGATCATCATGGTGGACGGCAGGCAGGACTAGATTGCAGCTCTGACTCAGACAAAGCAGTGTGCGGAGGCTCGCACTGTGAATTTTAGATCCCGAACAACTGCAAAAACAAACCAGGAATCCTGAGAGGACCCACAGACCCTCTGGAGGAAGTGGATTGCTCTTGCAGGACCCAGGAGACACTCCAAACACTATGAGTGCCCAAACTGAAGAAGTGGGAAAGGGAGATCCTCTGCTCCCAAACACACACCCCCACTGGGGAAACTGAAGGTCTAGTTTGTGGGAGAAGTTTCCGACATTACCTAGAGCTGAGTCAATTTAGAGAGGTGAGTGAAATACAGGGGTAGAGGAAGCAGCGGGAAAGGCTCTGGGAGCTTGTAGGGTCCCCAAGCAGGGCATTCCTGCCTGGCACCACAGGGATCCTTCAGGAGGGCGGCCAGAGGTGTGGGGAAAATGCCACAGGGAGAAGAAAAATCTCCAACTGAACTTTGTAACAATTTGAACTGGGCGAGAAGCCTCCTGGCCAGAACTTGGGGGAGAGTGTGAACTCAGCATGCAGACTCCATAGGTGGGGAGAAAAACCAAAGCTCTTTTCTTTCCCAGCTGGGAGGTGGGTAGCCTGAGGCACGTGCTCAAGCCCTACTCAGCCACTGCCTGGAAACAGACTTGGTGCTGTTAGGAGGGGACACGGTGGGAATGAGACCAGCCCTTCAGATTACGTGGGAGCTGTGTGAGGCCTGTGACTGCTGGCTTTCCCCCAACTTCCCTGACAACCTACATGACTCAGCAGAGGCTGCCATAATTCTCCTAGGTACACAACTCCAGTGACCTGAGAACCTCACTCCCATCCCGCACAGCAGCCACAGCAAGACCCACCCAAAGAGAGTCTGAGCTCAGACACACCTAGCCCTGCCCCCACCTGACAGGCCTTCCCTACCCACCCTGGTAGCTGAAGACAAAGGGCATATTCTCATGGGAGGTCTAGGGCCGCACCCACTGCTGGTTTTCTCCATACTACCACAGCTGATGGTCTCTGGAAAGCACCACCTCCCGGCAGGAGGCCAACCAGCACAAAAATAGGACATTAACCACCAAAGCTAAGAACTCTCACAGAGTCCATTTCATCCCCTGCCACCTCCACCAGAACAGGTGCTGGTATCCATGGCTGACAGACCCACAGACGGTTCACATCACAGGACTCTGTGCAGACAACCCCTAGTATGAGACCAGAGCCTAGTAGACTTGCTGGGTGGCTAGACCCAGAAGAGCTTGGCTCTCAGGAAGCCACATCCCTAGGAAAAGGGGGAAGAGTACTACATCAAGAGAACACCCCATGGGACAAAAGAATCTGAACAACAGCCTTCAGCCCTAGACCTTTCCTCTGACAGAGCCTACCCAAATGAGAAGGAACAAGAAAACTAACTCTGGCAATATGACAAAACAAAGCTCTTTAACACCTCCCAAAAAATCATACCTGCTCACCAGCAGTGGATCCAAACCAAGAAGAAATCCCTGACTTACCTGAAAAAGAATTGGGAGGTTAGTTATTAAGCTAATTAGGGAGGCACCAGAGAAAGGTGAAGCCCAATGCAAGGAAATTAAAAAAAAAAAGATACAAGAAGTGGGGGGGGGGACAAATATTCAAGGAAATAGATAGCATAAAGAAAAAACAATCAAAACTTCAGGAAACATTGGACCAGGAAACATTGAAACACTTACAGAAATACAAAATTCTCTGGAAAGTTTCAGCAATACAATTGAACAAGTAGAAGAAAGAAATTCAGAGCTTAAAGACAAGGTCTTTGAATTAACCCAATCCAACAAAGACAAATAAAAAAGAATAAGAAAATACGAACAAAGTCTCCAAGAAGTTTGGGATTATGTTAAGTGACCAAACCTAAGAATAATCAGTGTTCCGGAGGAAGAGGAGGAATCTGAAAGTTTGTTAAAATAGTTGGGGCAATAATGGAGGAAAACTTCCCTGGCCTTGCTAGAGACCTAGACATCCAAATACAAGAAGCACAAAGAACACCTGGGAAATTCATCGCAAAAAGATGATTGCCTAGGCATACTGTCATCAGGTTATCTAAAGTTAAGATGAAGGAGTCAGGTAGCATGATGCCTCCGGCTTTGTTCTTTTGGCTTAGGATTGACTTGGCGATGCGGGCTCTTTTTTGGTTCCATATGAACTTTAAAGTAGTTTTTTCCAATTCTGTGAAGAAAGTCATTGGTAGCTTGATGGGGATGGCACTGAACCTATAAATTACCTTGGACAGTATGGCCATTTTCACGATATTGATTCTTCCTACCCATGAGCATGGAATATTCTTCCATTTGTTTGTATCCTCTTTTATTTCATTGAGCAGTGGTTTGTAGTTCTCCTTGAAGAGGTCCTTCACATGCCTTGTAAGTTGGATTCCTAGGTATTTTATTCTCTTTGAAGTGATTGTGAATGGGAGTTCACTCATGATTTGGCTCTTTGTCTGTTATTGGTGTATAAGAATGCTTGTGATTTTCGTACATTGATTTTGTATCCTGAGACTGCTGAAGTTGCTTATCAGCTTAAGGAGATTTTGGGCTGAGACAATGGGGTTTTCTAGATATACAATCATGTCATCACAGACACTTCTCCAAAGAAGACATTTATGCAGCCAAAAAACACATGAAAAAATGCTCATCATCACTGGCCATCAGAGAAATGCAAATCAAAACCACAATGAGATACTATCTCACAACAGTTAGAATGGTGATCATTAAAAAGTCAGGAAACAACAGGTGCTGGAGAGGATGTGGAGAAATAGGAACACTTTTACACTGTTGGTGGGACTGTAAACTAATTCAACCATTGTGGAAGTCAGTGTGGCGATTCCTCAGGGATCTAGAACTAGAAATACCATTTGACCCAGCCATCCCATTACTGGGTATATACCCAAAGGATTATAAATCATGCTGCTATAAAGACACATGCACATGTATGTTTATTGTGGCACTATTCACAATAGCAAAGACTTGGAACCAACCCAAATGTCCAACAACGATAGACTGGATTAAGAAAATGTGGCACATATACACCATGGAATACTATGCATCCATAAAAAATGATGAGTTCATGTCCTTTGTAGGGACATGGATGAAACTGGAAACCATCATTCTCAGCAAACTATCGCAAGGACAAAAAACAAAACACTGCATGTTCTCACTCATTGGTAGGAATTGAACAATGAGAACACATGGACACAGGAAGGGAAACATCACACTCCGGGGACTGTTGTGGGGTGGCGGGAGCGGGGAGGGATAGCATTAGGAGATATACCTTATGCTAAATGACGAGTTAATGGGTGCAGCATACCAACATGGCACATGCATACATATGTAACAAACCTGCACATTGTGCACAGGTACCCTAAAACTTAGAGTATAATAATAAAATTAAAAAAAAAAAATCAAAAAAAAGAAAAAAAAAGATGAAGGAAAGAATCTTAAGAATTGTGAGACAAAAGCACCAGGTAACCTATAAAGGAAAACCTATCAGATTAACAGCAGATTTATCAGCAGAAACCCTTCTACAAGCTAGAAGGGATTGGGGCCCTATCTTCAGCTTCCTCAAACAAAACAATTACCAGCCAAGAATTTTGTATCCAGCAAAACTAAGCATCATATATGAAGGAAAGATACAGTCTTTTTCAGACAAATGCTGAATTTGCCACTACCAAGCCACCACTACAAGAACTGCTGAAAGGAGCTCTAAATCTCGAAACAAATCCTGGAAACACATCGAAATAGAATCTCTTTAAACCATAAATAACATAGCACCTATAAAAGGAAAATACAATTTAAAAAGCAAAAACATCAAACAAAAAAATTAAGGTACACAGGCAACAAATAGCACAATGAATGAAATGGCACCTCACATCTCAATACTAACATTGAATGTAAATTGCCAAAATGCTCCACTTAAAAGATATAGAACTGCAGAATGGATAAGAACTCACCAATCAACTATCTGCTGCCTTCAGGAGAATCACCTAACACATTAGGATTCACATAAAGTAAAGGGATGGAAAAAGGCATTTCATGCAAACGGACACCAAAAGTGAGCAGGAATAGCTATTCTTATATCAGACAAAACAAACTTTAAAGCAACAACAGTTAAAAGAGACAAAGAGGAACATTATATAATAAGAGGCCTTGTTCAACAGGAAAATATCACAATCCTAAACATATATGCACCTAACACTGGAGCTCCCAAATTTATAAAATAATTACTAATAGACCTAAGAAACGAGATAAACAGCAACACAGTAATAATGGGGGACTTCAATACTCCACTGATAGCACTAGACAGGTCATCAACACAGAAAGTCAACAAAGAAACAATGGATTTAAACCATACCTTAGAACACGTAGACTTAACAGATATATACAGGACATTTTATCCAACAACCACAGAATATACATTCTATTCATCAGCGCATGGAACTTTCTCCAACATGGAAACTTTTCTGATACATAATGATCTTAATAGAAATGTTAGCTATTGTTTTTATTGTATGGTTCCTCATATACATGGCTTGGGAAGCTAACGCAAGTCTCTGAAAGATTTCCTCAAGTATCCCTGTCTAAATGAGAGAGGAAAAACTACCATTGAAATAGCAGACTCTGTTTAACAAACTCTGGTTGTAGGTCTCTGATGAAATTTTAGTTCTCTGAATCCTCTAAAATTCATTTTACATATGTTTTATTATCATGCCACAAAAATCTAGCCTAAGTGAGTAGAGTTATCAAGTATTAGCTGGACCACATTCCAAAATTTCTTTTCTTTCCAATGTTAGGCATGTAAAAATCAAGGTGGAAAATATAAGCACAATTCAAATAGATTTGGGGTCACTCTTTTTTAGTATTTTAATTAGAAAACAGGTATCCACCCTTAACCTGAGAGAGATTCTCCACAGAAATCCAGGCTTTCATGTCTTCTTTGAGTAAGCAATGATATTTTTCCAAAGTAGGGGTCCTAACTGTAAAAATTACACTAGAGAATTTAGTAGAGACCTATTCATGGAGTATTTCCCTATGGTATGCTGGTACTTACTTTCAATGAGTTTTAATTCAAGGTGTATAGATACGGAGTACATAACATGCAAAATGGGACCAGTAACATATTGCTACAATTTTATCATCTGAAAACCTAGTGTGTAAGGCTAAATTATTTTCATAACTACTTAGAGCAGTGGGTTTTATAACTTATTAAGGAAGGGCAGAAATGCTAAGAAGCCATGAAAATTTATGTATTCTGAGCCTAGATATTTGGTCTGAAACCTATGGAAAAGTTTCATTATCTAAAATATAAATTCCATAGAGTAGCATTAGCAAAGGTTAATCTTTTCTGAATTTTTAATCAATTTAGTAAAAAAGTTCTCTCCATTCACACATTTAGAAAATTTGGATTTGCTCCCTTGATGTGCCCAGGAGAAACAACAGAAAATATTAATCTAATGTCCCAGTAGTCCCCAAGCTTCATGGGTCCCACCAATTAAGCACACAGCACTAAATGGTTTCTTGTCTTCTGTGTGCTTATAAATGGCATATACCCATTTCTGTAGCTCTATTTCATGTAAGTTATAAGATATATACAGATATCTTGATACTGGAAATGCTTTAAAAGGAACAATATTAAATATATGACATCTAAAAGATGTTTCAAAAATATAAAACAAAATAATTATGAATTTCCCTTCTATCATATCATTTCTGGAAAACACAAGCTTTATTTCAATCCAGTTTATTTCAGTTTTAAAAATAAAATACATACCATTGTAAAACTGGCTAAGTAGTAGGTTTTAATCATTTGTAAACTGAGGACACAGAACTCAGTTTGTGTCCTGCCAATACAAATGTGTACAATCCTGTCAATATAAATGTATACAGAAAAGGCAGAAGTGTTCAGGTGCCTTGAATTGCAGTAACATTTAAGAAATCATGTTTTATGTGGATCATTGCTTTAAAACCAATGGGAAATTATATTTCTCTATAAGAGAATTTCCCCAGTTAGAGCCGGAAAACTTTTTCTAGAGTATTGGAAAGTGACACATGGGATACATTCATGATCATCCACTTATGGAGTGGTGCCCATGGAATACCAGGAAAACAGAAAACTCAGCTCTAATCGTCCAGCTGTCTCCACGTTGTGCGGATCATACACAACTGAATCTGTGAAGCACACATCCCACCTCTATATGCTTTATACTTGTATGTATTATAAGAAAAGGTACATAGCTACTTCTGTGCTAATAGATCATTTTTATTAGAAAACATCCTTAAGCATGTGAATATTGCATAAACACGAGCTAAAAGAAATCCTCCCAGTGTGAATCCTCCCACTGTGCCACATCATGCTCACCACCTGACTTGCACAGCATGGTTTAGGAGATACGGGGACAGAAAAGGAACTCCTTCCATCAGCAGGATGAGCTAAGAGACTTTCTTCAAATATGGCTCTTAGGAGTGTCAGATGCTGAAACCTGGCTTGCCCGATGAGCCAAACCCCCAAAATTGCATTTGACACATGGGAGAAGGCAAGCTATTCTGAGAGACTTGAGATTCAGAAGATAATGACATAAATCACAGGAAAAATAACATGGAAGAAAATTCTGAGATAGGTCACATTTGGAGAGGCCACACTGAAGAAGACAAGAGAAAAGCTAAGTGCGCAGGTTAAGAAACAAAATATACACAGAGCAAGAAATGTCAAAGAACAATCTGAGCATTTCTTTGAAAAGTCACCATCAAAATCTCTCAAAGCAGACAGTGAAGCTGAATTTCCTTCAGAAGAAAGGTAACATAGGTAAGATTCCCTTTACTACCTTGATTAAGGAAGCAATCACTATAGATATTTTGCAACCTGTAGTTACCAAATCATGGACAATCTGTGATATATGGAATAATCAAATGGGCCACCAACTAGTGAAGAATGCTCAGGTCAATGCACCTGATCCAGTGGTCAGCAGAGCAGTGGAGAAAATAAGGAAAGGAGCAAACTCACAAGTTTGGCACTTATGCCCACGGGGGTGGACAGGTTACAGGGTGATGGAAGGGAGGGGGGGCATGTCTATCTTCACATCTGCAGCACCAGTGTAATTGTGCATATCTCTCAGGGTAGAGATGATGTGCAAATACTATGATTTACATCCAGCACTTAGCGAGGTACCTTAGATACATGAAAGAGCATACTTTGGCTTTGCATTATCATAATTGTCAACTTCATCACTGTCATCACTATCATCTTCTCAATAAATTTGAGAGATTACACCTTTGGGAGCCACAAAGGGATTATCACCATTATCATCACTTTGTTTTATTTTTTAAAGCAACTGCAACCTCATAGTCACTGTCTCTAATTTGAAATATTCTAGCCACTAGAGTACATGCTTATGTGCTGACACCATTAATTTAAATTTGAGAAGTTAGGCCCAGCACAGTGGCTTATGCCTGTAATCCCAGCACTCTGGGATTGCTTGAGCTCAGAAGTTCCAGACCAGCCCAAGCAACATGGCAAAATCCCATGTCTACTAACAATACAAAAAACTAGCCAGGTGTGGTGGAGCATGCCTGTGGTACCAGCTACTCAGGAGGCTGAGGTGGGAGGATCGCTTGAGCCCAGGAGGTTGAGGCTGCAGTAAACTGTGATGGACCACTGCACTCCAGCCTGGGCAACAAATGAGACCCTGTCTCAAATAAATAAATTAATTAATTAATTTGTGAAATTAAAACTGGGGTAAGATGTGTCTTCATGAGAAATTATTGTTAGATAGTTTGTGGGAATGTAAGGTTATACTCTCTTGATAAGCCAGTGTTTTGAATAAATAATCTAATTTCCTTCTAAATGATTTAAAATTATTTATTCCTATATATATATATTTTTAAATTACTCAAACTACAGAAGACACTTCTTAGATAATACTTTGAATTGATTTATAAAGATGAGAGAAGTAGAAGCAAGTACGTTTAGTAAAATTCTGGAGTTAAAACCTATCCCTTCCTTGATAAATAGGAATATGAAATTAGTAATATCTGGATCTAAAATAACTAGATAACATAAGAGTATGGACCTTGAGAACTGAAAAAGAAAGTAAATAAAAGTCATTTAGTTTGAGAAGTGAATGGAAACCTAAAATTGAGTATCTCTCAAGGAAAAAAATCCACCAATTTTATGAGTCACTAAAGGATTAAACATACCAAACAAAACAGAAAAGACCCCCTTGCACTACCGAGGAAACAATCCTCTGAGCTGTGGGTGATGGTTAGAGCTGGGTGGCTAATCTGAGGTCACCAAAACCTCGCTATTAGAACCAACTGGTCTCAGTCCACAGCCTGCCTAGGGCCCAGCTCACCCACTGATTCTACACCTGCAGAATAAAGAGGCATTTACGCAGATGGATGAGTAGGGGATTCAGTTCACCTGTGAAGAACCTGCATGGTTTTAAGGAAAGATATCCTTAGCTCATCCCTCTGTAGGCCTGCAATTGTAGTGTCTGTAGAAAGGTGGCAAAATTCAACTGGGGAGCATGGAACCATGGAGTCACCAGTGGAATATTTTACCTGCCTCTTAATTTTACTGTATTCCCTCCTGGATAATAGCAATCTGGAGAGAGCTGTGCTCAAAATTTTCTCCAACTTCCCTTGTCACATCTGTGTGAGGAATCAGAAGGGTCACATCATGTACACAAGACCAAGTTCTTTCCTTCTGATACCAAGATCAAATTAGTCCAAGCCCACTGCATACTTTATAATGTCTCTACTCTGGGGTGAGAAGTTTCCTAGCGCCTCCCCTGAGTTCACAGTGGCTCTGCATGTCCTCTCCCTGCAATGTGTGACAGGCACCTGCATCCTTAGGTCTGTCCTCACTTGGAGCATTTGCTTTCCAGGTCGTGCATGTTGTGATTTCCATTCTCCCATTTTCACGTTTCCAGCTCTCTCTCAGTTTAAACAAGATATTAAAATATTTCTTATGGCCATGAGTGAAGAGAGCAAATCCAGTTGGAGCTGATTTCTTTCCATTTTCTAAGAATTCCTACAGTGTCCCTAAATGTGATATAAATGTGCAGACCTGCAGGTCAACGGCCTAGACCCTGCAGAAGATGGAGCACACATCTCAAGGAGCTGAAAACTTTTCGGATTCTATGACTGAGGTACTGAGACATCCAATCCTTGAGCCCTCCAGGGCAACTAAAGGAGAAATACATCACAATGGATCACTGCAGTGTAACCAAAGGGTTCCCTGGTAGTACAGGGACCCCCAGGCTTCAAATGTGATCATTCCATGAAAGCAAAAATGTTAGACAATTTGATCTTGAACAACTCTCAACCTTCTATATTTTACTAAATTCATTTTTTTTTTTTTGAGACAGGGTCTCACTCTGTTGTGCAGGCTGGAGTGCAGTGGCACGATCTTGGCTTACTCCAAACTCTGCCTCCCAGGCTCAAGTGATCCTCTTGCCTCAGCCTCCTGAGTAGCTGAGACCACAGGAACACACCACTATGCCAACCTAATTTTTTCTGAGTTTTTGTAGAGATGGGGTCTCACTATATTACCCAGGCTGGTCTCACTGAGCTCAAGCCATCCTCCTGGCTCAGCCTCCCAAAGTGCTGGGATTACAGGCATGAGCCACTGCACACAGCCCAATTTTGCCAAATTCATTAGGAAGGGAATCAGAAAAGAGATGAAAATTTCTGTCTATTCAAACAAGTTTAAGTAGAGAAAAGGAAAATGCCCCGAAAAATGCATTATTAAGGAGCTAGCTTGGCTACATACAGACCATGGAGACTCTTGGCTCAATAAAAAGTGCCATCTGCCATCACTTGTCTGTTAGTAGCGTGAGCTGACCCAGGCCATGGCATGTGGGATCCACTGCCCAGGTCTGCTCTCACTGTCCCTGATCAGGAATAGAGTGCACTTGATCTGTGGTTGCCAAGCAGCCAAGTTTTGCCTTCCCACAGGGGTAGAGAGGCCCCATCTAGCAGACACAGCAGCCAGCTAAGTTCAGCTTTTCATCAGCCAATGATTTGGTACCACGTAATTAAATGCCACCAAAATGGATGTCAGCAAAATGTAGGATTAGGTATTTCAAAGCTATTATTCCACAGGGAAACAGTGAAAAAATTAAGCAGAAACTACCTGAAACAACTCTGTCTGAGCTCTAGAAAACAGTCAAAGATTTACAGCAACCAGGTAAATACCCAATAAAAAACAAAACCATTTTCAAAATTGTAAGAAAGTTTTGTGGCATTTTTTCTCACCTTACCCCAGCCCTTTTCTAGCATGGCAGCAGTCTTGGTCTTGAAGTGGCAAAAATCCAGATAATTTTTTTCCTTGAACCAGAGGAAGGAGAGTAGATCTTATTGCAAACCATTGTGTACATCTACTGTAAGCTGTCTGTTAGATACTTGAAACATTTATGCAAGATGTTCCTATCTGGTTTGCCCAACTTGAAACTTAGGCAGGAAATACAGTGAATGCTCATTAAAAGTGGCTAGTTAACTACAGACTTACAGAAGCCTGAGGCAAAAGGTTACAAATGGAGACACACAATATACCATACAAAAGCATGTAGCAGAAGCTATTATGTGATTCACTGGGAAATTAGGATGTTCAAAAGCAGTCAAGTATATAAGGGAATTTAGAAAGCCATAGTCATGCCCAGGCAAGATGCATGCTCAAAAAAGACTTGTGAAGACTGTAAGCTTTCACCCCAGGCTCAGGGCAAGGCTAGCTAAATGCTGAAGGATTGCCCCAGCACAGAGACAATCTGCAAAGACTGGAAGAGTTCCAAGCATTCAGGAAAATCTCTGTCAAACCACTAGATGCATATAAACTATAGGAACAGACATTATAGATAATATGTGGTAAGGAATCATCTTTGTAAACGTAGTCAGGAAAAGTCTCAAAAGTAAAGGACTACTACAGCATTTAACAATTACAAAGGGAGAAAAAAAACCCTGGGAAGTAGAAGAATCAGACTTCCCAGAGATACCACATATAATAATCAAAAGCTTAATTTTTAATTAAAAAAGCCACACAAAAACCATAGCATAACACAGCCCCTTCAAAGAAGAAACAAAAAAAGCTAAAGAACCCATCCTTGAGAAAGCTCAGAATCAGGCTTACTAGAAAAGGACTTTAAAACAACTGTCTTAACGGTGTACTAATAGCTAAGGGAGAAGATAAACAAAACTAAGAGAAATCAGAAGAAGGATATATGAACAAAATGATGCCAGAAACAATAAGTTTCTCATCAAACTTCGTTGTTCTTTCTGGTTCTGTAAATAACCCTTCCCACCTAATTGGTAACAGGAACAGCCTCTCCCTTCCCACCTACTTGGCTCTATTCAATTTCAAACAATAGCCAATCAGGTTAGTTTAGATTGTACGGTCTGACTCCAGTTACTGGGAAAGGACACAGAAACAGGAGCTGCATTAGGGATAAAAACCCCTGTCCTAGCCTACTCGGTGTGCTCTTGCGATTGCATCAGATGCAAGCAGCACCCTTCCGCAGAAGTAAAGTTGCCTTGCTGAAGAATTTTTGGTCTAAGTGCTGGCTCTTCTTTGTGGACCAAACACCTGTCTCCAACAATCTGGGGGCTTGTCTGGGATTCCATTATCCTCCAGGGAAGGGTCTCCGATCATCTCTCATGAGGAGACACATCCTGCTGCCTTGTCACAGTTGCCTCAGGAGTAAGGGATCGAGACCCATCTGGCATGACGAATAAACCCGGACTCTCAGCAATGCAGAGAAAGAAAAAGTCTACAAATAAATACAGTGGCAACCAGGTAACTCTGAGCACAGACCAAGGTAAGAGAATCTGTGGGGGCGGTGAAATATTTCCTTGGTGGTCGGGACATCCTGGAGGTGAAAGTGTGTAAATGAGATGAACAATTAAGTGTGAAGTGAGTGTAGAGTCCAGATCCATGGTTCCGTGGTCACCTCATACGGCTTAAGGTGGCCTTCCTGTCATGGGGTTTATACTGACCCATCAATACTAAGAGGGATCTAAATTCCATGAGGGAAGCAGCTGGAGAAGGATGAAGTGAAAGCAAAGGAGTGCAAGAAACCTCCAGTAGCGGGGGTTGAGCTCTAGAGAAAGGGTACAAGAAATCTGTATTAGGAGAGGTTGAGCTCCGCTGACTCAGGGAACCTCAAGAAACACCTAAAACTTCCAGGATGGGAAATACCACCAGCAAGATAGAAAATAAAAAGGACAAGACAGACAATAAAGTTCCCTCTAATAGCCCCTGAGGTCTCATGTTAAACTACTGGAGGAATAATGAAAGGACCAAACACAAGAAAAAGCAACAAATAATAAAATATTGTTTTATTTGGACCCAAGAACCTATCCTCAAACCCTCAGTTTTTTGGCCAAAGTTGGGTCCAATGAGGATTGGATTTGTCAACTTTTAATAGAATATGTCAATAACAAAAGTCCTGTCTCCCAGGAGGAAACAGACTATGCCCTGTGTTGGCGGCAAGGGCTTGTCCTCCTCTATCCCCTAAAAGCTACAGGAGACAAGCCAGAAACTACTTCCCCTCAGGAAATTAAGATCCCTAACCCCAAAAAAGTCCACTAACAAGTGGGACCCTTTAGACCACCTTTCCCACTAAGCACCTCTAACTTCCCTCCCCCTCAAGCAAATGCAGCTACCCCAAGCCCTTCCCCTTCTCATGTTGTTTCCTCCCCTCCTTATAATCCTGACTCTTGGGGCCATCCCCAGCCTAAATGCCCGCCCCCAGGAAGACTTCAACGTGAGATAGAACAATGTAAAAAAGATATCCAAAACTTCCTTTTCCCCACTACCTTGAGAGAATCTGCTCCAACACTCTTTCCCTTCAGGGAAGTGCCTCTAGAAGGAAGGGGCATTGGCTTTGTAAATGCCCCCTTAACCAGCTCAGAAGTCTGAAACCTAAAAAGAGAGCTCAAACCACTCTTAGATGATCCCTATGGAGTAGCAGATCAAATTGATCAATTCCTAGGACCCCAGTTGTATACTTAGGCTGAATTAATGTCCATTCTAGGCACCCTCTTTTTGGGAGAGGAAAGAAGCATGATCTGCAGGGCCACTATGATGGTTTGGGAATGTGAGCACCTCCCCTGACCCCGCCCCCAGTCAAAACATCCCAGCAGCTGAACAAAAGTTCTCTGCCCAAGATCCTCAATGGGATAACAACAATATAGCCCATCAAGGAAATATGAGAGATCTCAGAGATATGGTAATTAGAGGGATTCGGGAATCAGTTCCTCAAACTAAAAATATTACCAAAGCCTTTAATATACAACAGGGAAAAGATGAAGGACCTATGGAATTCTTAGAGAGGCTTAAGGAGCAAATGAAGAAATATGCTGGCCTAGAATTAGAAGAACCCCTTGGATAAGGGATGTTAAAGCTCCATTTGGTCGCCAATAGTTGGACGGACATTATTTAAAAAAACTACAAAATTAGAGAACTGGAAAGATTGACCTACAGAGGAACTTTTAAGGGAGGCTCAAAAAGCATATGTATGAAGGGATGAAAAAAAAGCAGAAACAAAAGGCAAAAATCATGCTGTCCATCCTACAACAAAGCACCCAAGGGGCCAAAACCTGTAAAGAACTTAAGCTTCCACTCACCAGGCCACATAAAGGGTACAAAAGAGCAAAGCCAGGGAACTCAAAATTACTGAAAGAGGGCCAAATAAATGTTCCAAATGTGGGAGAATAGGACACTTCAAAAGAGAATGGCCCAAATGGGAAAAGGAAAATAAAGTCATCCTACTTAAGGCCTTTGAGGAAGACTGGGGGATCAGGGGCACTGTCTCTTATTTCGAGTCCTACCCAGAGCCCTTGATAAATATAGAGGTGGGGCCCAAACCTGAGCTTATAACTTTTTTAATTGACTCAGGGGCAGCTGACTCCTCTGTTTGTCATCCCCCATTCTGGTGTAATTTGTTCACAAGAACTTATCTCAGGAGTAAAAGGAGAAAAATCTAAAGCAAAAATCTTAAAAGAAACAGAGGTCAAATATAAGAACCACTCAGCTAATACTAAATTTCTGTTAATTCCAGAGGCAGGAACAAACTTATTAGGGAGACATTTAATGCTAAAATTAGGCTTAGGCCTCTATATTAATCAAGGAAAATTTCTCACCTCCCTAAATTTACTCACCACTATAGATGAAAAACATATTCATCCTGACATATGGTCAAAAGAAGGAAATTAAGGAAAGCTATGGGTTCCTCCAATCCATGTCAAATTAAAAACTCCCAAAGAAGTAGTAAAAAGAAAACAATACCCTATTCCCTTAAAAGCCAGGATAGGTTTAAAACCCATAATTGAAAGCCTTCTCCATGACGAATTCCTTGAACCCTGTATGTCCCCTTATAACACTCCAATACTGCCTGTATAGCAGCCAGATGGGTCATACCAGTTAGTGCAAGACCTCTGGGCTATTAATCAAATAGTTCAAACCACCCACCCTATTGTTCCTAATCCGTACACTATTATTGGTAGAAGTCCACATAACCACCAATGGTTCACAGTAATAGATTTAAAAGATGCCTTTGAGCTTGTCCGTTAGCAGAGGACAACTGGGACATGTTTGCCTTTGAATGGGAAGACCCCTACTCCAGTCAAAAACAACAATACCGACGGACAGTTTTACCCCCAGGGTTTACAGGATCACCAAACTTATTTGGTCAAATTCTACAGCAAGTGATAAAAAACTTTTCCCTGCCCTCATCCATATGCCTACTCCAATACATGGATGACCTGCTTATTTCAGGAGAGAACAAAGATTGAGTAACATTTTCAATCAGCTTCCTAAATCATCTAAGAGAACAAGGGTTACCAGTCTCAAAGAGTAAACTCCAATTTGTAGAACCTGAAGTAAAGTACCTAGGGCACTTAAGCAAAGGCAAACAGAAAATAGGGTTTGAATGGATTGAGGGTATCATATCCCTACCTCTACCAGAAATGAAACAAGAACTTAGAAAATGTGGGAGATTGGTTGGATACTGTCACCTATGGATTGACTCATATGCCTTAGAGACAAAACCTTTATACCAAAAACTCACCCAAGAAGAGCCAGACTCCCTTCTATGGACCTTATCAGAAATACAAGTAGAAAAATTAACACATTTATTAGTAACTGTCCTGGTTCTAGCTTTAGCCGCCCTAGAACTGCCATTTCATATTTTTGTCAATGTAAACAAATGAGTAGCCTTAGGGGTACTCACCCAAAAACACAGGGGTCACCAGCAGCCCATAGCCTTTCTGTCAAAAGTTATTGACCCAGTAATGGATGGCCTGAATGTGTTCAATCCATAGCACCAACTGCCTTGCTAACAGAGGAAAGCAGAAAAAATAACCTTCGGAGGAAACTTCATCGTGAGTACTCCTAACCAAGTCAGAACTATTCTTAACCAAAAGGTAGGAAGATGGCTTACTGACTCAAGAATTTTATAGTATGAGGCTATCTTATTAGAAAAGGATGATTTAACTTTAGTGACAATTCACTTAACCCCACTGCCTTCCTAACAGGGAATCCAAACCCAGAGAACCCGGAGCACAAATGTTTAGAACCAATCAGTTATCAAACAAAAATTAGGTGAAACTCCTTTCCAAACAGGGAGGCATCTTTTCATAAATGGTCCTTCTTGGGTAGTTGAAGGAAAGAGGCATAACGGGTACTCAGTAGTTGATGGGAAAACTCTGGCAGAAACAGAATCAGGAAGATTGCCAAATGACTGGTCTGCTCAAACATGTGAGCTATTTGTACTAAATCAGGCTTTAAAATGTCTACAAAACCAAGAAGGAACTATCTACACTGACTCCAAATATGCCTTTGGAGTAGTCAATACCTTTAGAAAAATCTGGACTGAACGGGGTGTTATTAACAGTAAGGGCCAAAACCTGGTCCACAAAGAGTTAATAATACAAGTATTGGATAATCTACAGCTGCCAGAAGAGATAGCTGTTGTTCATGTCCCAGGACATCAAAGGAATCTATCTTTTGAAAGCCGGGGGAATAACCTTGCAGATTAAATAGCTAAGCAAGCTGCTTCTTCCCAGAAGGCACCCATTTTCCATCTAACCTCCCGTCTTCCCCCTCCAGCTGCAATCCCCATCTTTTCCCCTGCAGACCAAGAAAAACCAAAAAAATTAGGAGCTGAGGAAAGCCCAGAGGGAAAGTGGGTATTACCAGATGGAAGGGAAATGTTGTATAAACCTCTCATGAGGGAAATGCTGTCACAACTTCACCAAGGAACCCACTGGGGTCCCCACGCTCTGTGTGACACAGTCCTTAGGGTTTATGGGTATATGGGGATCTAGACCCCTGCTAAGCAAGTTACAGATAGTTGCATAGTGTGCAGAGAAACTAATAAGCAAACCTTAAAGAAGCAACATTTTGGAGGAAGAAATCCAGGGCTAAGGCCATTCCAAAGTATCCAAGTGGACTATACTGAAATGCTCCTAATAGGTCACCTCAAATATTTATTAGTAATAGTAGACTATCTTACCCACTGGGTAGAAGCCATCCCCTTCCCAAGTGCAATAGCCAGTAATGTAGTTAAAGCTCTGTTGGAAAATATCATACCCAGGTTTGGAATAATAGAGAATATTGATTCAGACAACAGGACCCACATTACTACACTCATAATTAAAAGGCTAACCCAAGCACTAGAAATAAAGTGGGAATATCATACTCCCTTGGCATCCACCTTCATCAGGAAGGGTAGAAATAATGAACCAGACCCTGAAAAAAAAAAAAAAAACCACCTCACCAAATTAATCTTGGAAACCTGGTTACTATGGACAAAATGCCTTCCCACTGCCTTACTAAGAATCCGAACTATCCCTCAAAAAGACCTTGGCCTGTCCTCTTATGAAATGCTCTACGGGCTGCCTTACCTAAATTCCACAACTGACCTTCCTACATTTGAAACAAAAGATCAATTTCTTAAAAACTATATATTTTGTCTGTCTTCCACCCTTTCCTCCCTCAGGACTCAAGGCCTCCTAGCACAAACTCCACCCCTTGAATTCCCAGTTCACCAACACCAACCCAGAGATCACGTCCTTATCAAAAGCTGGAAATAGGGAAAGCTCGAACCCACCTGGGAAGGACCTTATTTGGTGCTCCTAATGACTGAGACGGCAGTCCAGACCGCTGAAAAGTGGTGGACCCATTATACCAGAGTCAAAAAAGCATTGCCCTCTCCAGAATCATGGACTGTCACTCCAGGAACAACAGCCTCAAAATCAACATTCAAGTGGGTTTAATCTATCTTTTTCTTCTCTCCTTAGCTACTCAAGGATATCTTATTATCAGTGTAACTCAATCACCCTTTCCCCAAACAGTTACATTTGATGCTTGTCTAGTCTTACCTTGTGGAGATCTTCAAAGTCAAAGGCAGCTAGCCTCTGCAGAAAAATACCCCTGTCCCTCCAAGGAAAACACTACTACTACTGTGTCTTGTGTGTGGTGGGAATCTTCAGAGGAAGAGTCAGGTAATTGGGAGTTATGTTCACAGTGGGCAGACGTTCTATGGACTACTAAAAATCAGGGTTGGACCTCCTGACAGGGTTGCACTGCCCTAAAGCCACACCTACACTTCACCAAAGGGACTACCCCCTCTAATTGCCAATCTAACCATTGCAACCCAGTACTTATCTCTATTAATACCCTTACCTTCACCATTCCCACACCCACTGTAGAGCGATTTTATGGCTAAGGGGCAGATGTTGCTGGAAGGGACCCTATAGGCTTCTTTAAATTATGCTTTGTTCCTTCCCCTTCGTCTCCCACCCCCTCCTCGATCCCACAAATTCAAACCATTTCCCACCTCATACCCAACGACAAAACCAAAGTATCGTAATAGAAATCAAAAATTTAAAGCAAACTTTAGCCATTGAAATAGGGTACCAAGATGCAAATGCCTGGCTGGAATGGATTAAATATTCTGTCCACACACTACACAAAAGCGATTTTTATGCTTGTGCGACAGGCAGGCCAGAAACCCAAATTGTCCCCTTTCCTCTGACCAACCGGGCATGGACTGTATGTATGGTAGCCCTCTTCCAAAACCCCACAGCCTGGGGCAATAAGGCATGTCTAACCCTCTCCCTACTATTCCCAGAAGTTAAAAGCCCTGCAGGTCTGCCCCTGAGGGCCATTCGGACTCCGGCTACAAATGTCAATTTCACCTCGTGTCTCTCATGGCATGGGGAAAACTTGGCATTCCTTAGGAGCTTAACAGGGTGCAGCACACCTAAGCCTTTTCAAGAGCTAACCAATCAGTCTGCCCTTGTTCATCCCTAAGCAGATGTATGGTGGTATTGCGGTGGACCACTATTGGGTACTCTGCCAAGTAACTGGAGCAGCACTTGTGCTCTAATCAAATTGGCCATCCCTTTCACCCTGGAATTTCATCAACCAAACAAAAAGGACAACTACAGAAAAAGAAGTGTCCCCCATGGGTCTTTTGACCCTCATGTTTATATAGATGCTATCGGAGTTCCCCGAGGGGTGCCCAGTGAATTTAAAGCCTGAAATCAAATTACCACAGGATTTGAATCTGTATTATTCTGGTGGTCAACTACAAACAAACATGTAGACTGGATAAATTACATTTACTATAATCGACAGCGGTTTGTCAATTACACAAGCGATGCCATTAAAGGAATAGCTGAGAAATTAGGCCCCACCAGCCAAATGGCTTGGGGAAACAGGATAGCCCTTGACATGTTATTGGCTGAAAAAGGCAGAGTCTGTGTCATGATTGGAGTCCAATGTTGCACTTTTATCCCTATTAACACAGCCCCTAATGGAACAATTACAAAAGCATTACAGGGCCTTACAAGTGAATTAGCTGAAAATCCCGGAATAAATGGCCCCTTTTCAGGTCTTATGGAAAAATGGTTTGGAAAATGGAAATGACTCATGACCTCAATATTTACTTCTCTTGCAGTTGTTACAGGTGTACTCATTCTTGTAGGTTGCTGTATTACACCTTCTGTTCATGGGTTGGTGCAAAGGCTTACAGAAACAGCTCTTACTAAAACCTCCCTCAATTCTTCCCCACCCTATTCAGATAAACTCCCACTTCTAGATCACCAAGAGGAACAACAGAGCCAAATTATGTTTGAAAAATTTGAAGAGGAAAAACTATAAAGAGGGGGGATATTGCCAGAAACAATAAGTTCCTCTTCAAACTTCGTTGTTCTTTCTGGTTCTGTAAACAACCCTTCCCACCTAATTGGTAACAGGAACAGCCTCTCCCTTCCTGCCTAATAGGCCCTATTCAATTTCAAACAATAGCCAATCGGGTTTAGATTGTGTGGTCCAACTCTAGTTACTGGGGAAAGGACACAGAAACATGAGCTGCATTAGGGGTAAAAACCCCTGCCCTAGCCCCCTTGGTGTGCTCTTGCAATTGCTTCAGATGCAAGTAGCACCCTTCTGCAGAAGTAAAGTTGTCTTGCTGAGGAATTTTCAGTCTAAGTGCTAGTTCTTCTTTGTGGCACCCAACACCTGTTCCCAACAATGAGAATATCAACAAATAGAAAATATAACAAAGAACCAAACAGAAATGAAGATAAAGATACAATAATGAAAATTAAAAATTCACTGGAAGTGTTTGACATATTATTTGATTCCATTCTTCCTAAATATGATTTCAATCTTCTTAAATGTATTCAGTCCTGTTTTGTGACCTATCCTGGAAATATGTGATGTGATCTATCCTGGAGAATGTTCTGTGTGCACTTGAGAAGATTACATATTTTTCTTTTGTTAATTGAAAAATTCTGTATATGGCTATTACATCAATTTAAAGTCCACTATTTTGTTATTGATTTTCTATCTGGATTTTCTATTTTTTATTGAAAGTGGGGTACTGAATTATTCTACCATTACACTATTGCTGTCCATTTCTCCTTTCAGATATTTTGATATTTGTTCTATATACTTAGGTAGTCTAATAGTAGGTACATATGTATTTACAATTGCTGTTATCTTCCTGTTGAATTCACCCTTTTATCATTATGTAATGACTTTGTCTCCTGGGACAGTTTTTGACTTAAATTCTAATTTGTGCTATATAAGAATGGCCACTACTGCTTTCTTTTGAGGGCTATTTACATGGGATATCTGTTTTCAACCCTTCACTGTCAGCCTGCGTCCAGAATTGGTGGGTTCTTGGTCTCACTGACTTCAAGAATGAAGCTGCGGACCCTCACGGTGAGTGTTACAGTTCTTAAAGATGGTGTGTCCGGAGTTTGTTCCTGCTGATGTTCGGTCGTGTTCAGAGTTTCTTCCTTCTGGTGGGTTCGTGGTCTCACTGGCTTCAGGAGTGAAGCTGCAGACCTTCACGAGTGTTACAGCTCTTAAGGCGGCACGTCTGGAGTTGTTCATTCCTCCCAGTGGGTTCGTGGTCTCACTGGCTTCAGGAGTGAAGCTGCAGACCTTTGCGGTGTTACAGCTCATAAAGGTGGCGTGGACCCAAAGAGTGAGCAGCTGCAAGATTTATTGTGAAGAGCAAAAGATCAAGGCTTCCACAGCGTTGAAGGGGACCCGAACACGTTGCCACTGCTCGCTGGGGCAGCCTGCTTTTATTCCCTTATCTGACCCCACCCACATCCTGCTGATTGGTCCATTTTACAGAGAGCTGATTGGCCCATTTTACAGAGAGCTGATCGGGCCATTTTACAGAGAGCTGATTGGTCTGTTTTGACAGAGAGCTGATTGGTGCATTTACAATCCCTGAGCTAGACACAGAGTGCTGATTGGTACATTTACAATCCTTTAGCTAGACACAAAGTTCTCCAAGTCCCCACTAGATTAGCTAGACACAGAGCACTGATTGGTGCATTTACAAACCTTGAGCTAGACACAAAGTGCTGATTGGTGCATTTACAATCCTTTAGCTAGGCATTAAAAGTTCTCCAAGTCCCCACCCAACTCAGGAGCCCAGCTGGCTTTGCCTAGTGGATCCCGTGCCGGGGCCGCGGGTGGAGCTGCCTGCCAGTCCCATGCCATGCGCCTGCACTCCTCAGCCCTTGGGCAGTTGATGGGACTGGGCACTGCAGAGCAGGGGGCGGTGCCCGTTGGGGAGGCTCGGGCCGTGTGGGAGCCCATGGGGGCAGTGGGCTGGGGGAGGCTCAAATATGGCAGGCTGCAGGTCCCAAGCTGCGCTCTGCGGGGAGGCAGCTGGGGCCCGGTGAGAATTCAAGTGTGGTGCAGGCGGGCCGGCACTGCTGGGGGACCCGGCACACCCTCTGCGGCTGCTGGCCCAGGTGCTAAGCCCCTCATTGCCTGGGGCTGGTGGCGCTAGCCGGCCACTCTGAGTGCAGGGCCTGCCGAGCTCGTGCCCACCTGGAACTCGCGCTGGCCCACGAGCGCCGTGTGCAGCCCCACTTCCCGCCCGCGCCTCTCCCTCCACACCTCCCCACAAGCAGAGGGAGCCGGCTCTGGCCTCAGCCAGCCCAGAGAGGGGCTCCCACAGTGAAGCTGCGGGCTGAATGGCTCCTCAAGCATGGCTAGAGTGGACGCCGAGGCCGAGGAGGTGCTGAGAGTGAGTGAGGGCTGCTAGCACGTTGTCACCTCTCAAGCCTATGTGTGTCCTTGAATCTAGTATTTACTATTGCCGTTTTGTTAACTATTTTTTGTTTGTCTTGTAGTTCCTTTGACTCTCTGTTTCTCTCTTGCTGTCTTCCCCAGTGTTTTGGTCTTTTTATATTTGATGCAGAAAATTAAAGAAAGGAAAATAAAATTAAAAGAGAAAAGCAAGTTTTCCTGTTTTAGGCTGTCTCATCCCAAAAAGCAGTAACAGACACAGCCCAGGCCCAGGCAAGGTCCTGATAACACAATCTAAGAAGTCAAGACCCAAAAGGAATGTGCTCTGGAGACTCTCCCAGCACTCCCCAACATAAGGATAAGAAAAACAAATTCCTCTTTTAGCCCTTTACCCCTTCTCCATAAATATTTTGCAAGTTTTCTAAGTTCCTGTTTCTCCTTTGATGCAGCTGCAAAGTCACAAGCTATGCTAGAGATTATGAGACCTGTCACTGTTTAATTAACTGTCTTTGTTCTGCTTCTGTAAGCTTGCTTATAAAAATCAAGCCCTGTCTTTGTTCCAGGCTCAGTTTTTTGGATGTGAAAAAACCTGGATCCACTGAGCTGGTGTACACCTTAATAAAAGTCCTCCTGTAACACCTATTTAGTCTCTCAGGTCCTCTAATTCCTGCAACATATTGATAAGTTTTTATTCCTTCTCTTTTCTTCCTGTGTAACTTTTATAAGTATTTTCTTCATGGTTACCAAAGGTAACAGTAAATCATTCTTCACCAGTAATTACATTAAATGTTAATGGACTAAGCTCCCTAATAAAAAGATACAGAATGGCTTAATGGATTTTTTAAAAAGCATGATCCAACTATACATTTGTCTACAAGAGACTCTATTTATTTATTTATTTATTTATTTATTTATTTAGAGACGGTCTCACTTTGTTGCCCAGGCGAAAGTGCAGTTACATGATCATGGCTCACTGTAGCCTTGAATTCCTGGGCTCAAGTGATCCTCCTGCCTTGGCCTCCCAAAGTTCTGGGATTATAGGCATGAGCCACCATGCCCAGCCAAGAAACTCACTTTAGATTCAAAGACACGTAAACTGACAGTGAAGCAAATGGTAACAAAAAGAAAGCAGGAGTGGCTAGTCTTATGTCAGACAAAATAGACTGTAAGCCAAAAACTGCCTCTAGAGAAAAAAATCATTATATTATGACAAAAGGATCAATTCAACAATTTACAGCTGTAAAAGCCTGCATTACGAGGTAATGGTCCAGAATTTCCCTGGGAAATGTTCCCAGAGGCATCCAACAGCCTCTCTGCCACTGCCACTTGGTATGGGGAAGCAACAAAGAGCCTCAGGGCTACACCTGACCTTACAGCACACCACAGTCACCATAGAGAGAGGAGACCAGTCTCTCCTCCTATTGAGTCTTTGACCCCATGCTCTCCAACAAGCAGAATCCTAAGCACATGCCAGCAGTGCAGCTGCACCACCCCACTGGCTGAATACTCTCAGTAACAGTGACTCCACATTTCTTGGAGGTGGAGCCGCCAGAGGCAACCAACAGCCTTTCTGCCACTGCTTCTGCAGTATTACCCCTGCTACCCCTGGACTAAAGAAGGAACAAAGACCCAAAGTGCCTTATTCACATCTCCAACAAGCTGCAGTCCACCCAAGGAGAGGAGGCCAGTCCATTTCCCATGGGATCCCCCTACAGCTCATCACCAGACAGGGAACCCCCAGCCTGGGCCCACAGCACAGATCCCTGATCCTAGGCTGATTGCTAACCTGGATCTCTCTGGTGTGGGGACCCAGGAGACAAGCAAAAGACCCTTGGCCACTACTAAGGTCCCTTGCTCTGCCGCCTCCAGGTTGGGGAAGAAACATAAAACCTGAGATCACCCCAGAGCTGTGGTGGGCAGCCTGGGAGTGCAAAGCCACAATCTATACCCAGCACTCAAGTGGGAGAGGAGCCCACACTTTCAGAGCATTGAGAGGGAGCATGGCTGCAACCATAAGGAAATATAGGGGAGGGATATGATTGAGCAGAAGCCTAAACCTACTGGATCACACCCCAAAGCTTCAACACCAAAATACCTCACTGACATACCACACTATGAAACGAAAGACAAAAAGTCAGCTACAAATAAAGATCCTATACAATGCCTCAGCTCTGTGAAAACATCCAGAATAGAAGTTTATTGAGTGTACTCAATCAACACTTCATTCAAAGGAACACCCACATACAGGGATGGGAAAGAACCAATTCAAGAACCCCAGCAACTCCAATGGCCAGAGTGTCTTATGTCCTCCAAAGAACCACCCAAGTTCTTCAACAAGGGTTCTTAATTAGGCTAAGCTCACGGAAATGACAGAAAAAGAATTCAGAATATGGATAGGAATGAAGATTGAGATGCAGAAGAATGGCAAACCAAATCCAAAGAAACTAAGAATCACAACAAAAGGATACAGGAGCTGACAGATAAAATAACCAGTAGAAAAAAGAACCTAACTGATCTGATAGAGCTGAAAAACACACTACAAGAATTCCACAATGCAATCACAAGTATTAACGGCAGAATAGACCAAGCTGAGGAAAGAATCTCAAAACTCAAAGACTGGCTCTCTCTGAAATAAGATAGTCAGACAAAAATAAAAAAACGGAATTAACTAAACCTCTGAGAAATATGGAATTATTTAAAGAGAACAGATCTGTAAATCACTGGCATCCCTGAAAGGGACAAAAAGAAAACAACAACTTGGAAAACGTATTTCAGAATATCGTCCATGAAAACTTCCCAACCTTGCTAGAGAGGCCAACAGTCAAATTCAGGAAATAAAGAAAACCCCTGCAAGATTTTTACACAAGAAGATCACCCCCAAGACACATAGTCATCATATTTTCCAAGGTGAAAAAGAAAGAATGTTAAAGGCAGCTAGAGAGAAAGGGTAGGTCATCTGCAAAGGGAACTCCATCAGGCTAACAGTGGACCTCTCAGCTGAAACCCTAAAAGCCAGAGGAGAATGGGGGCCTATATTCAACATTATTTAAAAAAAAATCTTCAACCAAGAATTTCATATCCAGACAAACTAAGCTTCCTCAGCAAAGAAGAAAGATCCTTTTCATATAAGCAAATGCTGAGGGAGTTCATTACTACCCAGCCAGCCTTACAAGAGATCTTGAAAGGAGCACTAAATATATAAAGGAAGGACTGTTACCAGCTAATACAAAAACACACTTAAACACACAAACCAGTGACACAATAAAGCAACCACACAAACAAGCCAGCATAATAACCAGCTAGTAACACAATGACAGGATCAAATCCACACATATCAATACTAACCTTAAATGTAAATGAGCTAAATGCCCCATTTAACAGGCACAGACTGACAAGCTGGATAAAGAAGCAAGACCCAATGGTATGCTTTCTTCAAGACCCATCTCACACACAGTGACACCCATAGGCTCAAAATAAAGAATTAGGGGAAAGTCTACCAAGCAAATGGAAACAGAAAAAAAGCAGGGTTTGCAACCCTAATTTCAGACAAAACAGACTTTAAACAAGGATTAAAAAAAAGGACAAGGTCATTACATAATAATTCAGCAAGACCTAACTGTCCTAAATATATATGCACCTGTGAAAGGAAAATGAATCTTGGGGCCCCAAAATCACTAAGCTAAAGTGAAAAATCAAACTGGGAACTGCTTAGGGCAAAACTGCCTCCCATTTTATTCAAAGTCACCCCTCTGCTCACTGAGATAAATGCATATCTGATTGCTGCATTTGGGGAGGCTATTCAGAAACTCAGAAGAATGCAACCATTTGCCTCTTATCTACCTATGACCTGGAAGGCCCCTTCCTGCCTCAAGTTGTCCTGACTTTGCCTCGAGTTGTCCCACCTTTCAGGACTAAACCAATGTATATCTTACACATCTTGATTGATGTCTCATGTCTACCTAAAATGTATAAAACCAAGCTGTGCCCCTACCACCTTGGGCACATGTCATCAGAACCTCCTGAGGCTGTGTCATGGGCATGCATCCCCAACCTTGGCAAAATAAACTGTCTAAATTAACTGAGACCTGTCTCAGATTTTTGAGGTTCACATTTTGGCAATCACAAAGAAATTCTCAGTGGAGGTACCTCTGCCTTTGACAAATCTCCTATTGGTGCTTGGTACTAGCATAAACCAACTTTATGGCTCAAACCTATAGGAGAATTTGCTGAGGACTGGAAGCACCCCCTCCAGAGAATCCCTGATCTCCCAAAATTTGGTCGAGACCTAAAGTTTATTTTGCTGTATGACTCCTTTTTCTTTTCTTTTCTTTTTTTTTTTTTTTTTTGGCGTTTTACTTGCTTCCAACAGGGAAAGCAAGATTTCCTGTTTTCATGATGATGGTAGGTAGGTAACTCCTTTATGGAGTTTGAGCTCGCTCCAAGCAGGGAAAATGTGTTCTAGGTTTTTCTTTTCCTGCTTCTAGGGTAGTAGAAAGCCATCTTCAGCCTGAGACCCACGCTTAGGTAAGTAGCTGAATGGGGGTTTTGTCTTGGCTAAAGTATACAACCAGCTGGTGTTAATTTCTCTTTACCATTAGAGCACTCAGGAATCATATTGTTGGGGATTTTTGTTGTTGTTGTTGTTGTTTGTTCCAGTCTTTCTCCCATCAGATTTGACCAACTATATATCTATAATTATGGGTGACAAAGCCTCTCTAATTTGGCTAAAATTCCTCAAAAGCAGCAAAAGAGGGGGAAAACAGAACAAAAAAAAATGTGCTTCATTTGTGTTTTCTGTCTTTAAAAAAATGTTTACTTTTCTTCCATCCTATACCTCCTTCCACCTTTGCCATCTGTAGTACCCCAAAATCTAGAGAAGGCTTCTAATGACTTGAACCCCTTTAAAGAATCCAGAACGAAGGCACCATTCATCCCTTTTGGGGTGTTCTTTTTTCTTTGTGGAGTTTCAAGAGTCATGGGCAGATTCTTCTTAGGTCTAAAGCTCTGTTTTTCTGTATTGCATAACCTGACCTCTTTGGCTTTGTTGGTAGCAGAGATTACCTTGTACTGTGAGAGGATTTGACCATGGCGTGTGTAATGGCAGATGAGAGCTACAAAGTAGGGGTGGCTGAACACAGTTTACAGCAAGTGGTCTTGGCTGTTGTTCTTTTTTTCTCTCCTACAAAGTTATTTAAGGATCCTAATTGTAGTTCTGAGATGCATTCTAAGGTGTCTTCTCTATTGCTTTTTCTCCCAAAATTAATCTTGATTTGGCTCATCTGTGCAGATTTGTTTGAGAAACTGAACTGTTGTTTTCATAGGTAAATGAGAGACTGAGTTTTCTTAGCTCTGAAGAGAAAGGTCATTTTGCTCCTTCCACCCAAAAAGCACCCCTAGGTGACTGGGGTCTCGTGGGAGTGTCTCTGGGGGTTGACCAACCACAATGTGCAGTGGTCCCACAGGGAAATCCCCAACAAAAATTAGTTTTTTAAAAAGGTCTCGTCCAGGAAATGCATATAAGGTCTGATCACCCAGTGTTTGAGCCGTCTCAGAGGTCATAGGCCTCTGAAGAGAGAACATGAGACACATAAGATGGTGGAAATGACTCACTGTGGACACACTATGGAGTCCTGCCCACAAGCAGAACACATTGATCCACCACACAAAAACACTAGGCCAAAGCTCAGTACCTCCTTTTAAGAAAAAAATGTGGAAAACAAATAATCTAAGAATAAGGAGAATGACACCCTTTCAAGGACTCTGCAGGTTTTATGGCACATCTACTTGCTAGAGTTTATGTAAAATGGAAGTAAAATGGTCTTTGCACACATTTATATTAAGGAAAAAGAGCCTTAAGGTCGAACTGCAAACTATAAAGTTCTTAAGTTCTCTTTTTCTTTCTTCTCTGCCTGCTTTAAATCTGCTGTTATTTTTCTATTAAGATAAAAACCACTGTTTGAATCCAACAGGTTCTTTTTGCAAGGTGGTGAATTTGTATTTATCTCATGGCTAAAGTTCTGAAATAAAAGCTATAGGATCTTGGGTGTGTGTGTGTGTGTATTTAAATAGCCTTTATAATTTCTATCATTTTATGTTTAATTGGCAATTAAATCCATTTTAATTTCCCTCTAGCATACCAGACTTTTTCTCTCTTACCTTATAATGTAAATTTTGCTATTTGATTTTCACCTGAGTTGTTTCCTTTAATATGCAAATTTAAGGCTATTTAGCTGACAACTGCCTAGGGTTGTGAAATAAGTCATCAAGAATTTGAAAGTCTAAGATGGGAAAAAAAGGGTCTTTATAAGATGTAGTTCTGTTGGCATGCCTATGTCTATGTACTTACGGTTGTGTATACAATGTTTCACTATTGAAAATACATAAAAGAGCTCTAATTAATTGGCATAAGAAAATAAAAATGCTTGAATCAAATATTTTATCAGGAAAAGAGAAGACTAGTCAAATGCTTTTTCCAGTTTATGTAACTTGAGTGAAATCTGTAATAAATAAGCCAGCTTTAAAGTTATTTGTAAAGTAAAATTAGAAATGTCTTAAGAATTGCCAGTATACATTTTTGTTTGCATTTATTTATCAAGCAATTTCATACTTATCCCTGTCAAATACTATAAGGTGCCAATATTTGGCATAGGTGTTACAAAACCATAAACCCAGCCCAAGACAGAATAATCTTTGCTTATGTAATTTTTAATGCATAAGACATTAATATTGGTTTAATAAAAATAGCTACATCTTAAATTTAGTAAGATTACCATAACTTCTAATCTTGTGGCTTTAGGTGGTCTAGTCTACTGGCTGTAAGGTTTGTTTTGGGAAAGGACTGTTACCATCTTTGTTTCAAGGCTGAACTATAAACTGAGTTCCTCCAAAAGCAAGTCTGACCTATGCCCTGGAATGAACAAAGACAGATTGGAGGTTAGAAGATGGAGTCAGTTAGGTCAGATTTTTTCACTGTCTTAGTCATAATTTTGCAACAGTAGTTCTGAGAGGTGACAGCGTGCTGGCAGTCCTCACAGCCCTCGCTCGCTCTCGGCGCCTCCTCTGCCTAGGCTCCCACTTTGGTGGCACTTGAGCCCTTCAGCCCACAGCTGCACTGTGGGAGCCCCTTTCTGGGCTGGCCAAGGCCGGAGCCTGCTCCCTCAGCTTGCAGGGAGGTGTGGAGGGAGAGGTGTGAGTGGGAACCAGGGCTGCGTGTGGCGCTTGCAGGCCAGCTGGAGTTCTGGGTAGGCATGGGCTTGGCGGCTCCTGCACTTGGAGCAGCTGGCCGGCCCTGACAGCCCTGGGCAATGAGGGGCTTAGCACCCGGGCCAGCGGCTGTGGAGGGTGTACTGGGTCCCCCAGCAGTGCCAGCCCACCGGCGCTGCACTCGATTTCTTGCTGGGCCTTAGCTGCCTTCCCGTGGGGCAGGGCTCAGGACCTGCAGCCCGCCATGCCTGAGTCTCCCACCCCTCCGTGGGCTCCTGTGCGGCCCGAGCCTCCTTGACAAGCGCCATTGCCTGCTCCACGGTGCCCAGTCCCATCAAACACCCAAGGGCTGAGAAGTGCAGGCGCATGGTGCGGGACTGGCAGGCAGCTCCACCTGCAGCCCCGGTGCAGGATCCACTAGGTGAAGCCAGCTGGGCTCCTGAGTCTGGTGGGGCCTTGGAGAACCTTTATGTCTAGCTCAGGGATTGTAAATACACCAATTGGCACTCTGTATCTAGCTCAAGGTTTGTAAACACACCAATCAGCACCCTGTGTCTAGCTCACGGTTTGTGAGGGCATCAATCGACACTCTGTATCTAGCTACTGTGGTGGGGCCTTGGAGAACCTTTATGTCTAGCTCAGGGACTGTAAATGCACCAATCGACACTCTGTATCTAGCTACTCTGGAGGGGCCTTGGAGAACATTTATGTCTAGCTCAGGGTTTGTGAATGCACCAATCGACACTCTGTATCTAGCTACTCTGGTGGGGCCTTGGAGAACCTTTATGTCTAGCTCAGGGTTTGTGAATGCACCAATCGACACTCTGTATCTAGCTACTCTGGTGGGGCCTTGGAGAACCTTTATGTCTAGCCCAGGGATTGTAAATACACCAGTCGACACTCTATATCTAGATACTCTGGTGGGGCCTTGGAGAACCTTTGTGTCGACACTCTGTATCTAGCTAATCTGGTGGGGATGTGGAGAACCTTTGTGTCTAGCTCAGGGATTGTAAACGCACCAATCAGCACCCTGTCAAAACAGACCACTCAGCTCTACCAATCAGCAGGATGTGGGTGGGGCCAGATAAGAGAATAAAATCAGGCTGCCTGAGCCAGCAGTGGCAACCCGCTCAGGTCCCCTTCCCCACTGTGGAAGCTTTGTTCTTTCGCTCTTTGCAATAAATCTTGCTACTGCTCACTCTGGGTCCACACTGCTTTTATGAGCTGTAACACTCACTGCGAAGGTCTGCAGCTTCACTCCTGAAGCCAGCGAGACCATGAGCCCACCGGGAGGAACGAACAACTCCAGATGCGCCGCCTTAAGAGCTGTAACACTCACCGTGAAGGTCTGCAGCTTCACTCCTAAGCCAGCGAGACCACGAACCCACCAGAAGGAAGAAACTCCAAACACATTCGAACATCAGAAGGAACAAACTCCAGACACGCCACCTTAAGAGCTGTAACACTCACCGCAAGGGTCCGCGGCTTCATTCTTGAAGTCAGTGAGACCAAGAACCCACCAATTCCGGACACAGTTCCATAACTTTAAATGATGACTATTGCAGTTTTCATAAATAATCTAGGTAAACAATTAAAATAATTAGGCAAATGTAATGGGATAAATACATGTAGTCAAACTCATCATAATTTAGAATCTATATTAAATTAAATAATAGATATTTCATTATTTGGGTATTTTTCAATAAAAATATATGTTTAGGAACACATTCTTCCTGAAAAAAAGTGTGTCATTTTTAAAAGATGAATAATTTTTTTCTAATTCAAGGCCTATTTAAAGGTTATGTATAAAACAAGGTAAAAGGAACCAGAAAATAAGAGATGTAAAGAAAGTTATAAAAATAGAGGTTTTTTTTTTGTAAGAAAGCTTAAAGAGAAATATTTTATATGAGAAAGAATCTTGTATGGTAGATTTAGTCCTAGAATAAAATAACTGCTTGTTTAAGAAAGACTGATGTTCAGGACAAACCAGAAAGCCCAAACATGTCACGAACAGTCCATGTAAGTCAAATAAGAAGATTTAAAAAACAAAAACTTTTATATGATCAAGTTGTCTACTAATTAAAGGGAAATTATCATGGTCTTTCTAAAAAGTGGGTTTGATGTAACAACAACAACAACATTTATACACTAAATAATTGGTTGGAACAATAAAATTTTCTTGAGGAATTAATTTGCTCTTAATTATAAGATATTTGAATTTTTTTAACCCAAAATGTAACTTTTATTGCATCTCAACATTTTCAGTTCTCTCTCCCCTTTTAAAGGGTGCAAAATAGTAATGCTCTCCTTCAGCTCATATAAGTTTTTTTTTTCCTTGAGTTCTGTTTGTTATGGCCTGATGCTAACAATGCTTTCTTAAAGGTCTAAAGGAACTGTTTTCTTCCAATGTAATATTCTGTTCACTGCAGAAGGTCTTTTCTTTTGCCTTTTGGTAACTGGTCTAACAAATTTTACAGTTTATTGAAACAATTCCTATGCCATTATTATTGAGTTTTGATTTGCTTAGGAAAAAAACTGAGACTAAAAAAAATTTTTAAATTAAGATTATTACATCTGTGTATCTTTCTGTATGTGCTTTTAAAGTACCTGTGACATTGAGTTACAGGGCTTTGGCTCCTGGGTCTAAAAAGAACGCCAAGTCCTGCTAAATCTCAAACATTAACAGCAATTAAAGCCTCATCTTCTGGTAAAAGATGCTAATCAAATAAACTGCATTCCTGAGACACAGGGTCAGAAATTAAAGCTATTCCACTCCTCAAGGCCCAGGGACTATCACAGAAGAGGTGGGCATGTGAGATTGTAAGGGCTGATTTTGACAGATAAAATAAGTTCAGTTTCTCTATAAATTAATCATTAATGCCAAAGGCACACTGATGCAAGACCAGCATATGGGTCTCTATGTCAGATTACCAAGGTTTTCTTGAAGCATTAACTGACTCCTTAGTAAAGGTTATGAAGTTTATAAAAGACTCATGGAGGTTATCTTAAGGCCAAGATTAAAATGTTATAGACTGTCTAAACATTTTTAAAAACAAATTTAATTGGCTTCATGCTGTTTTTATCAGGGCTTATTGTTTGAAAAACTAAGTCTCCTCTCTCAAAGAATAAAGGTTTTCATCTTTTTTTGAAATCCTTGCATTATCACATTGGTCAAATGAATGACTTATTTTACAATAACCTGTGGTATCAAGTGTTTTAAATCTTTGATATTTGACAAACTTTCCAAAGTCAAATTATAAATTATGTCTTTTTCTGATCTAATTAATCCTTTAGGATACTAGATTCCCTAAAGCCCAAAAAAAGACACAATTTGACTTATTTGGCATAAAAATTATACAGAAAGCACTGTCAAATATGAAATGGTGTTTGGTCTTCTTTGGGCTGTGTTTGTATAAATATGTTATTGGTATGTGTTCCAAAGTTATGGAAAACTCCTATAATTCTGATATGACTTAATGTATATTATCAGTAATAATTATAATCATTATGTTAAATTATTGTGTGCAAGAGGTAACAAATTTCCTTGTCAATTGTGTTCTTGACTCTGGCTGCCCTAAAACTTTTTGTCTTTGACACAATTGTTGACTTGTTTTGGCCCTCTTTAAAAGGTGATTTTATAATTAGCTATAAAACTCTAACAGGTGCTCTTGAATACAAGTTTCTAATAACTCTGGAGATTGTGACACTGGAATACAAGAAAAACTTTTAGGACTCATGGAGAACTGAAATGTTTATAAATATCAACCAGAATAGGAATTAACTACATGGACTGAACTAATAGAAATCTGAAGTAACCTTTTTGACTTTTTGCTTAAAACGTTGGTGGTCCTTTTTTCAGGGTAAAGGAAATTTTTCTTCTAAGCTATTGATAGTTTTTAGCAATTTAGTATAATCCTATGAACAAAATTTGGAGCAAATTTTCTTCTCTCTACCTGATTTCTTCAGAATTTGGAAGCTATTTGTGGGTATTCTTAGCTTATGGCAATCCAGTTATTTGCATAAGTGCAATAAGAATCTGTTTTCCTTTTTAACAGGACACAATTGGAGAAACTGGTTATTTTACCAAGGCTTTGACTGGAATGGCGTGCTTTCCTTTAAGGAATCAAACTTGACTCATGCAGCCAATAAAAGCCCCTTAGGAAACTGGCCTCATATCTTGTCTATACAGTCCCTGTACAGGGTTCCTGACCTGTGGTAAGTAAAGAATGTCATGTTCTAACAGGCCCAGTAGCCCTATGTTTATCTTGGGACCTTAAGAGAAGAGGATCACCCAACTCACAAGTATTTGATGGTACAAATTATGGCTGGGATGAGCTATAAAAAAGCCTTATCTGGGATTCCTTCTATGGAACAAAGTTCCATCAAGGCCAATTTAAAAGCCTATGTAGAAAAATTTTTCTTGCTGCACTGTATACAAATAATCAGGGCAAGTATAATAAAGCAAAACTAAGTCCTATCATGATTTGTCTTTAGTAAAAATGGGAAACTAGAGAGAGAAAAATTGTTTAAAAAATATAGCATACCAAGACTAGATTCTAGTCTTGCCTAATGTTTCTCAATTTTTATTATTTTCTATGGTTTGAAGCAAATTCTAATTTTTCTCAGCTATAAGTCTTCAAAATAATGTTTTTATTATTTTCCCTTCATTTTCCCCCATTTTTCCTAATTTGGAATCACTGAAAACTAAGCTCTGCTTTTGTAAAGCCCTACAAACTGAAGCTAGACAACTTAAAGTTCAGAAGAAAATAACAGCAATCTATTTACATACATAAGCCACTTTCTTACCTGCCTACTGATATACAGACTTCAGAATAATGTGGCCTGTATCAATTTTCCAGGGTTGTTCTGTTTGTTGCTGTTTTTCTCCCTTCCTCCCCCTATTTTCTCTTCATAGGACATGAGACTTCAGAACCTGCAAAAATGAACTTTCCTAATAACTCAGGACCTACCCATCTGGGAATAAACCATGCTAGCCATGAGAGATCAGATGAAACCTGAGACCAGAGACTCGTTTTCTTCTAAAATGCTTTCTCCAAAAGATTCTAAAAAAGAAAATGGAGGAAATGTGAAAGGAAAATAAATCTTGGGGCTCCAAAATTACTAAGCTAAAGGGAAAAATCAAACTGGGAACTGCTTAGGGCAAAACTGCCTCTCATTCTATTCAAAGTCACCCCTCTGCTCACTGAGATAAATGCATATCTGATTGCCTTATTTGAAGAGGCTAATCAGAAACTCAAAATAATGCAATCATTTGTCTCTTATCTACCTATGACCTGGAAGCCCCCTCCCCACTTTAAGTCACCCCCACATTCACCTCAAGTTGTCCCACCTTTCAGGACTGAAGCAATGTTCATCTTACACATATTGATTGATGTCTCATGTCTCCCTAAAATATACAAAACCAAGCTCTTCTCCTACTAGCTTGGGCACATGTCATCAGGACCTCCTGAGGTTGTGTCACAGGAATGTGTCCTCAACCTTGGCAAAATAAACTTTCTAAATTAACTGAGACCTGTCTCACTCAACACAGAAGCAGGCAGGTTTTAAAGCAAGTTCTTAGAGACAAACAAAAAGACTTAAACTCCCACACATTAATAGTGGGAGACTTCAACACTCCACTGACAGTATTAGATCAGTGAGGCAGAAAACTAAAGACATTCAGGACCTGAACTCAACATTCAACCAAATAGATCTGATAGATCTCTACACAACTTTCCACCCCAAAACAGAATATACATTCTTCTCATTGCCACATGGCACATACTCTAAAATCAACCATGAAATCAAACATAAAACAATCCCCAGCATACGCAAAAGAACCAAAATCATATCAAATATACTCTTGGACCACAGGACAATAAAAATAGAAGATTAAAAGAAATCACTCAAAACCATGTTACATGGAAATCAAACAACTTGCTCCTGAATGATATTTGGGTAAATAATGAAAATATGGCAGAAATCAAGAACATGTTTGAAACTAATGAGAACAAAGATACAACATACCAGAATCTGTGGGACACAGCTAAGGAAATTTTAAAAGGGAAATTTATAGCACTAAGTGGCCACATCAAAAATTTAGGAAGATCTCAAACTAACAATCTAATATCACAACTGAAAGAATTAGAGAAGCAAGAGAAAACCAGCCCCAAAGTTAGCAGAAGACAAGAAATAACCAAAATAAGAGTTGAACTGAAGGAAATCAGGACATAAAAAACCACCCAAGAGATTAATTAATCCAGGAGTTTTTTTTTTAAATGAATAAGACAGGCCACTAGAGCTAGACTAATAAAGGTATAAGATCCAAATAAACACAATTAGAAATGACAAATAGGATGTTAACACTGACTCCATAGAAATAAAAATAACTATCAGGAACTACTATGAACATCTCTATGCACACACACAAAAAACAGAAAACCTAGAAGAGATGGATACATTCCTAGACATATACACCCTCCCAAGACTGAATCAGGAACAAACTGATTGCCTGGACAGACCAATAATGAGCTCCAAAATTGAACCAGTAATAGCCTACCAACCACAAAACAGGACGAGATGGATTCACAGTCCAATTCCATCAGATGTAGAAAGAAGAAATAGTACCATTCCTACTGAAACTATTCCAAAAAATTGAGGAGGGCCCCCTCCCTAACTCATTCTATGAGGTTCACATCATCCTAATACTGAAACCTGTCAAAGACAACAAAAAAGGAAAAAGCTTCAGGCCAACATCCTTGATGAACACTAATGTAAAAATCCTCAACAAAATACTGGCAAACCGAATCCAGCAGCACAAAAAGCAAATCCACCATTATCAAGTAGGCTTCATCCTGGAATACAAGGTTGGTTCAACATATGCAAATCAATAAATGTGATTCATCACATAAATACAACTAGAGACAAAAACCACATGATTATTTCAATAGATGCAGATACGGCTTTTGACATAGTTCAATATACCTTCATGTTAAAAACTCAATAAATGAGGTATTTAAAGAACATACCTCAAAATAGTAAGAGCTATCTATGACAAACCCACAGCCAATATCATACTGAATGGGGAAAAACTGGAAGCATTTCCCTTGAAAACTGTCACAAGACAAGGGTCTCTCTCTCACTACTCCTATTCAACATAGTATTGGTAGTCCTGGCCAGAGCAATAAGGCAAGATAAAAAAATTAAAGGCACACAAATAGGAAGAGAGAAAGTCAAATTATCCCTGTTTGCAGACAACATGATTCTATATCTGTAAAACCCCATAGTCTCAGCCCATAAGCTCCTTCAGCTGATAAACAACTTTGGCAAAGTTTCAGGATACAAAAATCAATGTACAAAAATCATCAGCATTCTTACACACCAACAAGAGCCAAGCCAAGAGCCAACTCAGGAATGCAAGCCCATTCACAACTGCCACAAAAAAAAATATGTAGGAATACAGCTAACCAGGGAGATGAAAGATCTCTGCAAGGAGAATTATAAAACGGTGCTCAAAGAAATCAAAGATGACACAAACAAATGGAAAAACATTCCATGCTCATGGGTAGAAAGAAACAATATTGTTAAAATAGCCATACTGCCCAAAGCAATTTACAGATTCAATGCTTTTCCTATCCAACTACCATTGACATTCTTCACAGTGCTAGAAAAAATGATTTTAAAATTCATATGAAACCACAAAAGAGCCCAAATAGCCAAGGCAATCCTAAGCAAAAAGAACAAAGCTGGAGGTGTCACCTTACCTGACTTCAAACTATGCTACATGGCTACAGTAACCAAAACAGCATGGTACTGGTACAAAAGCAGACACATAGACCAATGGAACAGAATAGAGAGGCCAGATTTAAGGCCACACACCTATAACCATCTGATCTTTGACAAAGCTGATAAAAACAAGCAATGAGGGAAAGAACCGCCCCAGTTCAACAAATGGTGCTAGGATAACTGGTTAGCAATATGCAGAAGACTGAAACCGGACCCCCTTTTTACACCATCTACAAAAAACAACTCAAGATGGATTAAAGACTTAAATGTAAAACCCAAAATTATAAAAACTCTGGAAGACAAGCTATGCAATACCATTCTAGACATAGGAACGAGCAAAGATTTCATGACAAAGATGCCAAAAACAATTGCAACAAAAGCAAAAATTGACAAATGGAATCTAATTAAACTTGAGAACTTCTGCACAACAAAAGAAACCATCAAAAGTGTAAACAGATAACCTGCAGAATGGGAGAAAATATCTGCAGACTATGCATCTGGCAAAGGTCTAATACCAGCATATATAAGGAACTGAAATTTACAAGGAAAAAACAACCCCATAAAGAAGTGGGCAAAGGAGATGAACAGACACTTTTCAAAAGACATACATGTGGCCAACAAGCATAAAGCTTGTCAGTGATACTGAAAAGCTCAATATCACTGATCATCAGAGAAATGCAAATCAAAACCACAATGAGATACCACCTCACACCAGTCAGAATAGCTATTACTAAAAAGTCCAAAAAATAGCAGATGCTGGCAAGGTTGCAGAGAAAAGGGAACACTTATACACTGTTGGTGGGAGTGTAAATTAGTCCAACCATTGCTTAAAGCAGTGTGGTAATTCCTCAAAGAGCTAAAAGCAGCACTATCATTTGACCCAGCAATCTCATTGCTGTGTATATGCCCAAAGGAATATAAATCATTCTACCATAATGACACCTGCACAAGAATGTTCATTGCAGCACTATGCACAATAGCAAATACATGGAATCAACCTAAATGCTCATCAATGACAGATAAAGAAAATGTGGTACATATACACCATGGAATACTATGCAGCAATAAAAAAGAATGAGATCATATCTTTTATGGGAACATGGTTGGCGCTGGAGGTCATTATCCTTAGCAAACTAACAGAATCAGAAAACCAAATACTGCATGTTCTCACTTGTAAGCGGGAGCTAAACAAGGAGAATTCATATACAGAAAGAAAGGAATAACAGACATTTGGGCCTATTTGTGGGTGGAAGGTATGAGGAGGGAGAAAAGCAGAAAAAAAAAATAACTATTGGGTACTAGGCTTAGTACCTGGGTGACAAAATAATATGTACAACAAACCCTTGTAATACGAGTTTACTATATAACAAACCTGCACATGTACCACTGAACCTAAAGAAATCTAAACAAAAGATGTTATCAAAGAATTAAAAATAACAGCAAAAAGGATAATGCAAGAATTAACCCAGAAAACCAAAGATTATAGATGTACAGAATACACTAGCCTGCAAACACAGCCACACAACTCAAAAGACAGCAGTTCAAGACAAACAGATAAACCTAGAAAGTCTGATAGAAAAGTTCTAATATGGAGAGACTGGTATGAAACAAACACAGAGGCCATAATCAGCAAAGTGGCCTTGAAATTTTCCTAGAATTGAATGATACTCTCTGTAAACAATGTGAAATGGTCAAGGTGCTATACAGTTTTTTGTTTGTTTTTAATGAGGAATTGAAGCCCACATTGTAAAAAGCAGAAATAATCCCAGGCAGTTTTGAAGATTAAAGAACCATTAAAAATTCTTATAATGAGATTTACTGAGATATAATTCACAAACCAGAAAATTCATTCTTTTAAAGTATAATGTTAAGTGGTTTTTAGTATATTCACAGAACCATACACTTGAAAGTTGGAAGAAACCTTAAAAATTATCTTACTGTTTCCCAAAGTATGCTCTCAGGAACCCTTCTAGCCCCACAGGCTGCTGTATAAATAGAAATTTTCCCGGTCAAATAAATTGGTTAAACACAGCACACCTGCATACTCTATATTCCCCTTGAAGAACTATAGGGAAAAACTAAAGTCCCTAAGAAGTTCCAGGATATCCCAATTAACCCGACACAGCATCTCTTTTCACGGAACATGTACTAACAGCCCATGAAATCAGGGCTCCAGAGAAGGTGCTTCAGAAAACCCTGGCGGGTTCCAATCCCCTGGCATTCCAGGTCAATAAAAAGAGCACGAGAGAAGTCCCACTGGCTTGACTGATATCTCACAGCTCTTTCAAACTGTCTGATATGAAAGCAACCATTGGGAAGTATATTTTTACCGTTTATGGCACAGCCAAAACCAGAAAACAGATCTCCAGACTTCTAGTCCAATGTTCGCTCTAAAACATGACACAGCAAAAACTGAAGCTCTGACACACTATGTCAAAAATTCCCATGGCTTCGTCCTCTACAAGAAACCACAGGGAAATGAGGACTACTAACTAAAGAAAGAAAGATATGCACAGATTTAAGGAGCCAGTGTGCCTGAACATTGTAAAGAAAATCTAATAGGAATCCTGAATGATAAAATGATAACAAAATTTCATAGAAAAGTTCAACAAGGAGTAAGTAAAAGTTAGAAACGCTATTTTCTGAAATTAGCCTCTATATCATCCCTCGACGGGAGTTCACCATATACCTATTAGCACTAGAAAAGTGAGAAAGAAAAAATACTTGGAACACGCACTGCATAGATATGTGAAACTAATATTTACCAGAAAAACTTGTAAAACAAGTAAAACTAAGATCATATTTTAACCTGATATAAGAAAAAGCCTTCCCCAAAATATGTAAGCAGAGACAGATACAAACAAGAATAAACAACACAACCTTGAAAGGCAACGGAAAAAAATACATATACGTCATGCACTCAATTACAGATGAGTGAAGAAGCTAAACTCCTCTATGAGAAAGAAATTCACTGGTTGGATTGAGAAACAAAATAGAACAATCTCCTTCCCACGTCACCCTATTCCACCTGCAAGCCCCATGGAGATCAGATCTTTTCAGTATATGTGGCTTTTCTCCATTCTGAGTTTGTATGCAGGCTCATCCCTCATGCCCTGAACATTTAAGAGCTGAATACTGTATGAAAATTACCTCTAACTGAAAACTCCTACTGACTCTTCAAGAAGCAGCCCAAACAGCCCCACTTCTGCGTCATCTTTCCCAGATGCAGGGGGTTGCATCATGGTTAAGTTTCGTGATTCTCTGTGTTCTGGTAGCCCTCTTTTTATGATTCTCAAGGGCCAGTGACCTCTGCATCTGCTACGTGTCTGCTGCCCATGCATCTGGACTGTCCCCAATGCACAGTGAGCTGCTGCTTCACTTTTTAGATCCACAGCCCTAAGAGCAGTCCCAGCTGTGCCAACACCATTACTGCCAACAACTGGGCACCCACTCTGAGCTTTGTACTGTACGCACCTCCTGGATTACCTCCCTGAATCCTAACAGCCAAACGCTGTCAGAGTACCACTGGGATCTCCATATCATTGAGGATGGAAGCAAGATTTTAAAGAAGTGCAGGGTCTTGTCCAAGGTCATTCGACCAGAGTGGAGGGGCTGGGACTCACCTCAGAAGTGGCCTCCAGAGGTGAGCCCTGACCCACGGGCTTCTGCCAGGCAGAGGACAAGGCCTCAGACAGAGTAGGCCTCACATACAGTTTATTGAATGACATAAGATTAATCATAATCAGATCATCAAGACACATCATAATGAACATTTAATAAAACCTTTAGGCTCCCAAACACTCTCAAGTGAAACAAATAAAGAAATCCAAGCCAAATTTCAAGGAATACAATCAAACCCCTAATTCTGGAACACTAATATCAAACTATTCGCTATCATAACAAAAGTGTTATGATAAAGCATTAAGACAAACTATAAAGAAAACTAAAAATAAAACAGAAATTAAAAAACAAGTTGATTTTAAAAAATCAAATCTCTCTTACAAAATATAATCAAAAGTTTAATCATAAAATTAAGAAAACACAATCACACACTTTAACATACCTGAAACTAGTATTCAGTTATATGTTTAGAAAGTATTAAGTAGAAGTAAAAATGGCAGATAGGAGGCAGGACTAAATTGCAGCTTCCACTCGGACAGAGCAGCATGTGGAGACTCGCATCATGAACTTTTGCTCCAGAGCTTCTGCAGGAATATACCGGGAAAGCTGAGAGAATCCACAGACCCTCTGAAGGAAGCAGATTGCTCCTGCAGGGCCAGGAGACAGCCAAATACCGTGAGTGCCCAAACTGTGAAAGTAGGAAAGGGGGATCATCCACCCCAAACACACACCTTAACTGGGAAACCCGAAGATAGAGATCACAGGAGAAGGATTTGACCTTACCTGCAATTGATTCAATTTAGAGAGCCGAGCAAAATACAGTAAGCAGTGGGAAAAGCCTTGTGGGTTCTCTGGGTCCCCAGGAAAGTCACCTCTGACTTATCTCACAGGGGTCCTTGAGGAGGGCTGCCAGAGGAACTGGGAAAAGGCCACAGGGAGAAGGAAACCTCCAGCTGAACTCTGTAACAATTCCAACCGAACGCAAAGTCTCCTGGCCAGAACACAGGGGAGGGCGTGAAACCCGTGTGCAGACTCGACAGGCAGGGAGGCATGAAAGCCCTGCTTGCTTTCTCAGCTGGGAGGCTGGTAGCCTGGGGCAAGTTCTCAGTCCTGTTCACACATAGCATGGAAACAAACTCAGTGCTATTGGAGAGGGCACAGTGGGACTGAGACTAGTCTTTTGGGTTGGGCGGGAACTGGGTGAGGCCTTAACTGCTGGCTTTCCCCAACTTCCCTGACAACTTGTATGACACAGCAGAGGCAGCCATATTCCTCCTGGGAATATGACTCCATTGATCTGAGAACCACACCTCCATCCCCTACAGCAACCACAGCAAGCCACGCCCAAGGAGAGTTTGAGCTCAGACACGCCTACCCTGCCACCACCTCATGGTCCTTCCCTACCCAGCCTGGTAGCTGAAGACAAAGGGCATATTATGTTAGGAACTCTAGGGCCCCACCTACCACCTAACCTTCCAGGTACTATCACAGCTGATGTTCTCCTGAAAGTGCCACCTCCTGGCAGGCAGCCAATCAGCACAAAACTAGTGCATTAAACAACCAAAACCAAGGACCCTCACAGAGTCCATTCCACTCCCCTGAAACCTCCACCACAGCAGGTGCTGGTATCCACGACTGAGAGACCTGAAGATGTTTCACATCACAGGACACTGTAGACAACCCACAGTACCAGCCTGGAGCCTGGCAGCCCTGCTGGGTAGCTAGGTCCAGAAAAGAAATAACACTCACTACAGTCAGACTCTCTCAGAAAGCCACATCCCTAGGAAAAGGGGGAAGTGCTACATCAAGGAAACTCCCTGTGGCACAAAAGAATCTGAACAGCAGCCCTGTGCCCCAGATCTTCCCTCTGACATAGCCTACCCAAATGAGAAGGAATGAGAAAAAAACTTCTGGTAATATGACAAAACAAGGTTCTTTAACATCCACCCAAAATCACACTAGCTCACCAGCAATGGATCCAAACCAAGAAGAAATCCCTGATTTACCTGAAAAATAATTCAGAAGGTGGATTATTAAGCTAATCAAGGAGGCACCAGAGAAAGGTGGAGTCCAATTTAAGGAAGTAAAAAAAAGTGATACAAGATATGAGAGAAGAAATCTTCAGTGAAATAGATAGCATAAATAAAAAAGAATCACAATTTCAGGAAATACAGGATGCACGTAGAGAAATGCAAAATGTTCTGGAAAGTCTCAGCAATAGAATCAAGCAAGCAGAAGAAAGAACTTCAGAGCTCAAAGACAAGGTTTTCAAATTAACCCAATCCAACAAAGACAAAGGAAAAAATAATACAAAAAAATGAACAAAGCCTCCAAGAAGTTTGGAATTATGTTAAATGACCAAACCTAAGAATAATTGGCATTCCTAAGAAGAAAAATCTAAAAGTTTGGAAAACATATTTGGGGGAATAATCAAGGAAAACTTCCCTGGCCTTGCTAGAGACCTAGACATCCAAATACAAGAAACTCAAAGAACACCTGGGCAATTCAGCACAAAAAGATCATCACCTAAGCATGTTGTTGTCAGGTTATCTAAACTCAAGACGAAGAAAAGAATCTTAAGAGCTGTGAGACAAAAACACCAGGTAACCTCTAAAGGAAAACCTATCAGGTTAACAGCAGATTTCTCAGCAGAAACCCTAGAATCCATAGATGGAATTCAGGCTCTATCTTCAGCCTCCTCAAACAAAACAATTATCAGCCAGGAATTTTGTATCCAGTGAAACTAAACTTCATAAAAGAAAGTTACAGCCTTCTTCAGACAAATGCTGAGAGAATTCACCACTACAAAGCCAGCACTATAAGAACTGCTAAAAAAAATAAAAAATAAAAAATAAAAAAAAAGGTTCTCAATCTTGAAACAAGTCCTGGAAACACATCAAAACAGAACCTCCTTAAAGCATAAATCTCACAGGACCTATAAAACAAAAATACAATTTAAAAAACCAAGTTATACAGGCAATGAATAGCATGATGAATGGAATAGTAGCTCACATCTCAATACTAACATTGAATGTAAATGGCCTAAATGCTCCACTTAAAAGACACAGAATTGCAGAATGGATAAAAATTCACCAACTACCTGTTGCCTTCAAGAGACTCACATAACACATAAGGACTCACATAAACTTAAGGTAAAGGGGTGGGAAAAGACATTCCATGCTAATGAACAGTGAGCAGGAGCAGCTATCAGAAAACAAGCTTTAAAGCAAAAGCAATTGAAGACAAAGAGGGACATTATATAATGATAAGAGGCCTTGTCCAACAGGAAAATATCACGATTCTAAATATATATGCACCTAACACTGAGCTCCCAAATTTATAAAGCAATTACTAACAGACTTAAGAAATGAGATAGAAAGCAACACAATAATACTAGGGACTTCAATACTCCACTGACAGCACTAGACAAGTCATCAAGACAGAAAGTCAACAAAGAAACGATAGATTTAAACTATACTTCAGAACAAACGGACTTAACAGATATTTACAGAACATTCTACCCCAAAACTGCAGAATATACACTCTATTCATCAGTGTACGTAACTTTCTCCAAGACAGACCATATGATAGTCCACGAAACAAAAGAAGTCTTAATAGATTTAAGAAAATTGGAATTATATCAAGTACTCTGTCAGACCACAGAATATAATTGGAAATCAATTCCAAAAGCAACCTTCAAAACCATACAAATACATGGAAATTCAATAACCTGCTCTTGAATGATCACTGAGTCAACAATGAAATCAAGATGGAAATTTAAAAATTCTTTGAACTGAATAATAGTGACACAACCTAGCCAAACCTCTGGGACACAGCAAAGGCAGTGCTAAGAGGAAAGCTCATAGCCTTAAATGCCTACATTAAAAAGTCTGAAAGAGCACAAATAGATAATCTAAGGTCACACCTCAAGGAACTAGAGAAACAAGAACAAACCAATACCAAACCCAGCAGAAAAAAAGAAATAACCAAGATCAGAGCAGAACTAAATGAAATTGAAACAAAACAAATACAAAAGATAAATGAAATGAAAAACTGGTTCTTTGAAAAGATAAATAAAACTGATAGACCATTAGCAAGATTAACCAAGTAAAGAAGAGAGAAGATCCAAGTAAGTTCAATTAGAAATGAAACAGGAGATATTACAACCGTAATTTTGTAATTTTGTATTACAGAAATACAAAAGCTCATTCAAGGCTACTATGAACACCTTTGTTCTATGAACACCTAAACTAGAAAAGTAGAGGAGATGGATAAATTCCTGGAAAGATACAACCCTCCTAGCTTAAATCAGGAAGAATTAGAAACTCTGAACAGACCACTAACAAGCAGTGAGATTGAAATGGTAACAAAAAAATTACCAACACACAAAAAAGTCCAGGACTAGATGGATTCACAGCTGAATTATATCAGACATTCAAAGAATAATTGGTACCAATCCTATTGATGCTATTTCACAAGACAGAGAAAGAGGCTATCTTCCCTAAATCATTCTATGAAGCCAGCATCACCCTAATACCAAAGAAAAGGATGTAACAAAAAAAGAAAACTACAGACTAATAGCCCTGATGAACATGGATGCAAAAATCGTTAAAAAAAATACTAGTTAACTGAAGCCAACAGCATATCAAAAAGATAATCCACCATGATCAAGTAGGTTTCATACCAAGATGCAGAGATGGGTTTAACATATGCAAGTCAGTAAGTGTGATAACCCACATTAACAGAATTGAAAACAAAAATCACATGATCGTGTCAACAGACACAGAAAAAGCACTTGACAAAATCCAGCATCGCTTTATGATGAAAACCCTCATCAAAATCAGCATAGAAGGGACATGCCTCAATGTAATAAAAGCCATCTATGACAAACCCACAGCCAACATAATACTGAACAGGGAAAAGTTGAAAGCATTCTCTCTGAGAACTGGAACAAGACAAGGATGCTCACGCTCACCACTTCTATTCAACATAGTATTGGAAGTCCTAGCCAGAGCAATCAGACAAGAGAAAGAAATAAAGGGCATCCAAATTGATAAAGAGGAAGTTAAACTGTTGCTGTTTGCTGATAATATGATTGTATACCTAGAAAACCCAAAAGACTCATCCAAAAAACGTCTAGAACTGATAAATGAACTCAGTAAAGTTTCAGGATACAAAATTAATGTACACAAATCAGTAGCTCTGCTATACACCAACAGCAACCAAGCCGAGAATCAAATCAAGAACTCCACCCCTTTTACAAGAACTTCAAAAAAACAAAAAACAAAACGAGCAAACAAACAAACAAAAAAACTTAGGAATATACCTAACCAAAGAGGTAAAAGACCTCTACAAGGAAAACTACAAAACATCGCTGAAAGAAATTATAAATGAAAAACAAATGGGATCACATCCCATACTCTCAGATGGGTAGAATCAATATTGTGAAAACGACCATACTGCCTAATCTCCAAATTCAGTGCAATACCCATCAAAATATCACCATCATTCTTCACAGAACTAGAAAAAACAATCCTAAAATTTATATGGAATCAAAAAAGAGCCCACATAGCCAAACCAAGACTAAACAAAAAGAAGAAATCTGGAGGCATCACATTACCTTATTTCAAACTATACTATAAGGCTATAATCACCAAAACAGCATGGTACTGGTATAAAAACAGGCACATAGACCAATGGAACAGAGTAGAGAACCCAGAAATAAACCCAAATAATTACAGCCAACTGATCTTTGACAAAGCAAACAAAAATATAAAGTGGGGAAAGGGGACTCTATTTGACTATTGGTGCTGGGATAATTGGCTAGCCACATATAGGAGAATGAAACTGGATCCTCATCTCTCACCTTATACAAAAATCAACTCAAGATGGATTAACAGACTGGGTGTGGTGGCTCATGCCAGTAATCCTAGCATTTTGGGAGGCCAAGGCAGGCAGATCATTTGAGGTCAGGAGTTTGAGACCAGCCTGGCCAACATGGTGAAATCCTGTCTCTACTAAAAATACAAAAATTAGCTTGGTGGGGTGGCACACATCTGTAATCCCAGCTACTCGGTAGGCTGAGGCAGGAGAGTCACTTGAACCTGGGAGGCGGAGGTTGCAGTGAGCCAAGATCGCACCACTGCACTCCAGCCTGGGTGACAGAGTGAGACCCTGTCTCAGAAAAAAAAAAAAGGCATTAGCTACTTAAATCTAGGATCTGAAACTATAGACATTAACTTAGGCAAAGATTTCATAACCAAGAACCCAAAAGCAAATGCAATAAAAGCAAAGATAAATAGGTGGATCTTAATTAAACTAAAGACATTTTGCACAGCATAAGAACAGTCGGTAAACAGACAATCCACACAGTGGGAGAAAATCTTCACAATCTATACATCTGACAAAGGACTAATACCCAGAATCTACAAGGGACTCAAATTAGCAAGAAAAAAAGATAAAACAATCCCATCAAAAAGTAGGCTAAGGATACGAACAGACAATTCTCAAAAGAGGATATACGAATGGCCAAAAAACATACGAAAAAAATACTCACATCACTAATGATCAGGGAAATGCAAATCAAAACCACAATGTGATACCACCTTACTTCCACAAGAATGGCCATAATCAAAAAAATCAAAAAATAATAGATGTTGGTATAGATGCAGTGAAAAGGGAACACTTCTACACTGCTGGTGGAAGTGAAAACTAGTACAACCGCTATAGAAAACAGTGTGGAGATTCCTTAAAGAACTAAAAGTAGAACTACCATTTGATCCAGCAATCCCACTACTGGGTATCTACCCTGAGGAAAAGAAGAAATTATATGAAAAAGATAGTTACACACGTTTATAGCAGCACAATTCGCAATTGTAAAAATGTGGAACCAGCCTAAATGTCCATCAATCAATGAGTGGGTAAAGAAACTGTGGCACGTATATATGATGGAATACTACTCAACCATAAAAAGGAATGAATTAATGGCATTCACAGCAACCTGGATGGGATTGGAGACTATTATTCTAAGTTACTCAAGAATGGAAAACTAAACACTGTATGCTCACACTCGTATGTGTGATCTAAGCTATGAGGATGCAAAGGCACAAGAATTATACAATGAACTTTGGGGATTTGGGGGAAAAGAGGGGGAAAGGGGTGAGGGATAAAAGACTACAAATTGGATTCAGTGTATACTGCTTGGGTGATGGGTGCACCAAAATCTCACAAATCACCATGAAAGAACTTACTCATGTAACCAAATACCACCTGTTCCCCCAAAATCTATAGAAATAAAAATTTTAGAAGAGCAATAAAAAGTAGAAGTAGAAAACTACAATATAAAACTAAAATGGATATAAATATATATTAACATTATAAAAGAAATAAGGGAAGTTACTAAAGAATTTATTTCAAAAGGGTATTTAACAGCAATAAGTCACAGCAGAATTATTTCAAATGTTTAATGGCAGTTTCATTACTTTATGTGATTTTCTTCTCCAAAATGTAAAACAGATATGCTTTTAACCAAATCATTAAAAATAAATCAAGTTTATTTCTAAAACTAATAAGAATAAGCCCTCAGAAATATTTATATTTATATTCATATTTAAATATGTATACCTGTTATTTGCTAATAAGTTACATATTTACATATGTCTGTTATTTGCTAATAAGTTACATATATGTTATATATTGCAACAGTGTTACGGATTGAATGTTTGTGTTTCACAAAATTGATATGTGAAATTATAACCCTCACTGTGATTTTTATATTAGGTGGTAGGAGTTCTGAGAGGTAATTAAGGCATGAGAGTGGAGCCCTCATGAATGGAGTTTGTGCTCTTATAAGAGATCTCCGAGAGCTCTCTAGTCTTCTTTCCACCATGTGAAGACACAGTGAGAAGCCATCATCTGTGAACCAGGAAGTGATCCTCACTAGACACCCAATCTTTTGGCACCTTGATCTTACACTTGCCAGCCTCCATAACTGTGAGATATAAATGTTTGTTGTTTCAGCCACCCAATCTATGGTACTTTGTTATAATAGCCCAAGCTAAGACATATATATATACACACACACACACATACACACACACACACATAACATATATATGTTATATATATATACACACATATAACATATATATGTTATATATATTAGCCACGTGATGTACTAGAAAAAACACTGGATTAAGAAAGCAAGTCTGAATTCTAGGTCTTCCTTAATCCTTAACTATGTACACTTATACAAAGTACTTACCTTATACAGACCCCTGTTTGCTATATACAAGGACAGATTTATGCAAAAAAATTTACAAAGCCTAAATGGGAGAAATAAAAAGTGACATGACTCAGTGAAGAGATGTCCTCAATAACTAAATAAGAAATATTATAAACATAGTATCAATTTAAATTTCCCCATAATATACAGTGCCTGAGCAATGGATAGTTGTATATATGTGAGAGAACAAGTGGAGGCAATAATGATGTATTTGTTCTACTTAAGACATACGTGGGGTCTTTAAAATGGCCATAGAAAATGTATATTATAATAAAACTATGCAGGGATTTCAAAAATGTTTTACACCAAAGTAAACTCACACTTGTTATAACATGTCTGAACAGGGTCTAGTCTGAGGTACTAAGAAGGATAAGACGTCAGTTTGAAAAGAGCCCCTATCAGAGCAACATGAATTCTGCCAAAATGGAAACAAGAACAAACATCGAATTTATGGGGTAGCTTGGGCAAAAGAATGGTGAAATCAGTGATGCTTTACAAAAAGTTTATGGGGGCAATGCCCCAAATAAATCAGTAGGTTGCAAATGGATAACTAATTTTAAGAAGGGCCAAGATGATGTTGAAGATGAAGTCTGCAGCATCAGCCCATCCACACAGATATGCAAGGAAAAAATTAATCTTGTTTGTGCCCTAATTGATGAGGACGAATGATTAACAGCAGAAACAACATGATGGACATATCAATTGATCCAGCTTACACCATTCTTACTGGAAAATTAAAGCTGAGCAACTTTCCACTCAACGGGCACCAAAACCACTGCATCCAGATCCACTGCAGACAAGAGCAGAGCTTTCAATGGAAATGTTAAACGAGTGGGATCAAGATCCTGAGCACGTCTTTGAGGAACTGTAATAGGAGATGGAACACGGCTTTACCAGTATAACCCTGAAGACAAAACACAATCTAAGCAGCAGTTACCAAGAGGCAGAAGGGGTCCAGTTAAAGCAAAAGCAAACCAGTCAAGAGCAAAGGTCATGGCCACAGGTTTTTGGAATGCTCAAGGCATTTTGCTTATTGATTTTCTGGAGGGACAAAGAATGACAACATCTGCTTACTTATGAAATTGTTTTAAGAAAGCCAAAAGTTTAGCAGAAAAATGCCTTCGTGATGAAAAATCCTCAACAGACTAGGCATCCAAAGAATATATCTAAAGATAATAAGAACCATCTATGAAAAACCCACAGCCAACATCATTCTGAATGGGCAAAAGCTAGAACCATTCCCTTTGAGAACTGGAATAAGGCAAGGAAGCCCACTGTCACCACTCCTATTCAACAGAGTACTGGAAGTCCTACCCAGAGCAATCAGGCAAGAGAAAGAAAGAAAAGGCATCCAAGTAGTAAAAGAAGTGAAACCATCTCTCTTTGCTGATAATATGATTCTGTACTTAGAAAATGCTAAAGACTGCCACAAGGCTACTAGAACTGATAAATGATTTTAGCAAGGTTTCAGGATATAAAATCAATGTATAAGAATCAGTAGCATTTCCATACACCAATATATCCAGGCCGAGAGTCAAATCAAAAACAATCCCATTTACAACAGCTACAAAGAAATTTAAATCCCTAGGAATACAGCTAACCAAGGAGGTCAACGATCTCTACAAGGGGAACTACAAAACACTGCTGAAACTAATCGGAGATGACACAAATAAATGGAAATACCCGTCATATTCCTTGTCATATTCCTGGATTGGAAGAATCAATATCATTAAAATGGCCATACTGCCCAAAGAAATTTACATATTCAACACTATTCCTATGAAACTACCAAAAAACTTTTCTAAAATTCATATGCATATTAGGCTGTTATCACATTGCTAAAAGAAATACTTGAGACTGGGTAATTCATTAAAAAAACAGGTTTAATTGGCTCACAGTTCTACAGGCTGTACAGGGAGTATGACAGCATCTGCTTCTGGGGAAGTAATAGGGAGTATCTACTTATGTCAGAAGGCAAAGCAGGATTAGCCATCTTACATGGCAGGAGCAGGACCAAGAGAGAGATGGGGGAGGTGCTACACACTTTTAAACAACCAGATCTTGTGAGAACTCACAATCACTGGAAATGATAATTGGACATGAAATTTGGTGGGAACACAGATCCAAACCATATCAATATGGAAAAACAACAAAAAAGCCTTAATAGCCAATGCAATCCTAAGCAAGAATAAAGCCTGAGGCATTACACTATACAACTTCAGACTACACTATAAGGCTACAGTAAGCAAACAGCATGGTACTGGTACAAAATCAGACACACAGACCAAAGGAACAGAATAGAAAACTCAGAAATAAAGCCACACAACTGTAAGAATCTGATCTACAAGGCTGACAAAAACAAGCAATAGGGAAAGAACTCCCCATTCAATAAATGGTGCTGGGGTATCTGGCTAGCCATATGCAGAAGAATGAAACAAGATCCTTATCTTTCACCATATAAAAAAATTAACTCATGATGGATTAAAGATTTAAATCTAAGACCTCAAACTATAAAAATCCTAGAAGAAAACCTAGGAAATGTCACTCTGGACATTGGCTTTGGCAAAGAGTTTTTGTCTAAGTCTCCAAAAGCAATTGCAACAAAACCAAAAATTGACAAGTGGGACCTAGTTAAACCAAAGACCTTCTGCAAAGCAAAAGAAACTATCAACAGAGTAAACAGACAACCTACAGAATGGGAGAAAATATTCCAAACTGTGTATCCAATAAAGGTCTAATATCCAAAATCTATAAGAAATTTTAACAAATCAAGCAAAATGCAAATAACCTCATTAAAAACTGGGCAAAGGACATGAACGGACATGTTTCAAAAGAAGCCATACGTAAGTGGCCTACAAACATATGAAAAAATACTCATTATCTCTAATCATGAGAGAAATCCAATTCAAAACCACAATGAGATACCATCTCGCACAAGTCAGAATGGCTATTGTTAACAAGTCAAAAACCAGTGGATGTGGAGAAAAGGGAATGCTTATAAACTGTTGGTGGGAATGTAAATTAGCTCAGTTACTGTGGAAAGCAGTTTGGAGATTTCTCAAAGAACGTAAAACAGACCTACCATTCAACCCAGCAATCCCATTACTGAGTATATAGCCAAAGGAATACAGATCATTATGCCAAAAAGACACATGCACTCATACGTTAACTGCCATGCTATTCACAACAACAAAGACTTGGAATCAACCTAGGTGCCCATCAGTGGTGGACTGGATAAAGAAAATGTGATGCATATACACCATGAAATGTTACACAGCTTTAAAAGAGAGTGAAATTACGTCATTTGCAGCAACACAGATGGAGCTGGAGGGCCTAATCCTAAGCAAATTAACACAGGAACAGAAAACCAAATACCGCACATTCTCACTTACAAGTGGGAGCTAAACATGGAGCACACATGGACATAAACATGGGAAGAGTAGACACTAAGGACTGCTAGAGGGAGGGAAGTAGGGAGAGAGGCATGACTTGGTAAACTACACATTAGGTACTATGCTCACTACCTGGGTGCAATATACCTAAAACTTGCACATATATCCCCTGTATCTAAAATCTAAAATATAGGTTGAAATGTAAAAACACACAAAATACCAAAACATATGAGATGCAGTTAAAGCAGAGCTTAGATGAAATTTATAGCTGTAAATGTCTAATTAAAAAAGAAGAGATAATGATAAATCTCAAACCAGTAGTGTTCCTTTCCACCTTAAAAAAGCAGAAAAAAGAAGTGCAAAGTAAACACAAAATATTCACAAGGAAGGAAATAATATTGGAGCAAAAATACATAATATAGAAAAGAGGAGAACAGAAAAAATCCACAAAATTTTTCTCTGAAGAAATTTTTAAGATGATAAATTTTATTAGACTGGCCAAGAGAAAACAGAGAGGAATCAAATTACTAGGATTAGGGATGAAAGAGGGGTTGACACTACAAGGTCTACAGAAATAGAAAGGATTATGAAGGGGATACTATGGACAAGCACATGCCAAAAATTAGATAACTTAGATGAATGGAATTTCTATAAAAACACAAAGTACTGAAAGAGTGAACTCAAGAAAAAATAAAAAGCCTAAAGAGAGCTATAACAAGAAATGAATTTAAATTAAAACATATAACACACACACACACACACACACACACACACACACACACACACACACACACACACAAAACAACCCAGGAATGGATTGTTTCAAAGGTGAATTCTAACCAACATTTTAAAAAGATTTAAAACTAATATTCATAAACTCTTCTGAAGAAAGAAGGGGTGAACACTTCCAAACTCATTCTAAGAGGCCAGTATTACCCTGATACTAAAACTAGGCAAAGACATTATAAGAGAAGAAGACTACAGATCAATGTCTCTAATCTATATAGATGCAAAAATCATAAAAATTAAAATAGCAAACTGAAACCAGCAATGTATAACAAGGATTATACACCATGACCAATGGAAATCTATTCCAGGAATGTAAGGTATGTTCAAATATATGAAAAATCAATATAATATACCACATTAAAAGCATAAAGAAAAAAAACCTCATGATCATTTCAATAGACACAGAAAAATATTTGACAAAAATCCAACATATTTTCATAATAAAAACACAAAACAGCCAGGCGCGGTGGCTCACGCCTGTAATTCCAGCACTTTGGGTGCCTGAGGTGGGCAGATCACCTGAGGTCAGGAGTTCGAGATTAGCCTGGCCAACATGGTGAAACCCCATCTCTACTAAAAATACAAAAAGTAGCCAAGTGTGGTGGTAGGCATCTGTAATTCCAGCTACTCAGGAGGCTAAGGCAAGAGAATTGCTTGAACTCTGGAGGTGGAGGTTGCAGTGAGCTGAGATTGCACCACTGCACTCCAGACCGGGCAACAAGAGGGAGACTCAATTTCAAAAAAAGTCCGGGTGTGGTGGCTCACACCTGTAATCCCAGCACTTTGGGAGGCCAAGGCAGGCAGATCACAAGGTCAGGAGTTCGAGACCAGCCTGGTCAACATAGTGAAAAGCCATCTCTACTAAAAATGCAAAAAATTAGCCAGGCATGGTGGTGTGTGCCTGTAATCCCAGCTACTTGGGAGGCTGAGGCAGGAGAATCACGTGAACCTGAGGGCCAAGGTTGCAGTGAGCCGATATCGTGCCATTTGCACTCCAGCCTGGCGACAGTGTGAGACTATAAAAAAAAAACCCACACAAAACAAATTAGGAATCAAAGAAAACTGCCTTAAACTGATAAAAGTCATCTACAAAAAATGTAGAGCTAACATCATATTTAATGGTGAAAGATGGAAAGCATTCCCCCTAAAATCAAGAACAAGACAAGGATGTCAGCTCTCAACATAGCAGCATCATACTGAAAGCTCTAGCCATAGCAATTAGGGAAGGAAAAGAAATATAAGTCATCAGATTGGACAGAAAGAAATAAAATTATCTGTATTTTTAGATGACATGATTTTGTATATAGAAAATCATAGCTGGGGATGGTGGCACATACTTGTAGTTCCAGCTACTCAGGAGGCTGAGACAGGAGGGTCGCTTGAGCCCAGGAGTTCAAGGCTGTAGTGTGCTATGATCATGCCTGTGAATAGCCATTGCATTCCAGCCTGGGCAGCACAGTGAAACCCAACTCAAAAAAAAAAAACGGGAAAAAAAGAGAAAATCCTAAGAAACCCAAAAAATTATTAAAGCTGATATGAGTTCAGCCAGGTGGCAGAATACAAGACATACAAAAATCATTTATATTTCTGTACATTAGCATTAACTATTCTGAAAAAGAAATTGATAAAAAAAATCCAATTACAACACCATAAAATAGAATAAAATGCATAGGAGTAAATTTAAAGAATCCAACCATACCCAGAAACTACAAAACATTACTTTTTTTTTTTGTAACACATGTACAATGTAATAAAACATTGTGTTTTTATTATGAAATAAATTAAAGTAGATCTAAGTAAATGGAAAGACATTCCTTCATTGGTTAAATAACTTAATATTAAAATGTCAATATTCTGCAATTTGATCTATAGATTCAAATGCAATCCTTATAAAAATTCCAGTTTTTTTTTATAGATTTGACAAACTGAATCTAAAATTCATATGGAAATTCAAAGGACCCAACATAGTCCAAACAATCGTGAAAAGTAAGATGTTGGAAGATTCACAATTACAATTTCAGAACTTACTATAAGGCTACAGTCATTGAGAGAGTATGGCACTGTTTTAAGGAAAAACATACAGATCACTGAAATGGAAATATACCCATACTTCTATGCTCAACTGATTTTTGATAAAAGTGTCAAGACAATTCCATGGGTAAGAAAACATCTTTTCAGCAAATGGTGTTGTTAGAACTGAATATTCCTAAGCAAATAAGTGAAGTTAGATACCTACCTCAGACCATATACAAAATTATATTAATATGGCTTAGTGATTTAAATGTAATAAATAAAACCCTAAACATTTTAGAAGAACATGTAAGTATAAATCTTCCTGTACCAGGCAATGGCTTCTTCAAAATGACATCTTAAGCCGGGGGCAGGAGGAAAGGGAAACCAAAGGAAGAACAGATAAAGTGGACTTCATCAAAATTAAAAACTGTTTAAGTGGTACAAGTAAATTTTAGGAGTGATGTGCTGCCTCTCTGTACCATATGGAGGATTGGCTCCACTTTAATGAGTAGGGGAAAACAAATTCTCCACGCATGTAAATTCTCAAGGATTCCTTTGAAGGTTTATCATAATATAATATAAAACTCATAAGGAAATAGTAAAAGTCATTTTGTGTCACATTATGAATTTAAAATATTTTTACATAAAAAAATCAAAAACTTGTTTACCAAAGGACACTATCAGGAATATAAACAGACAACCCACAGAATGGGAGAAAATATTTGTAAATCATGTATCTGATAAGGGCTTAGTATTCAGAATTTATAATGAATTCTTGGCTGGGCACAATGGCTCATGCCTGTAATGCCAGCACTTTGGGAGAACGAGGCGGGCGGATCACGAGGTCAGGAGATCTAGACCATCCTGGCTAACACGGTGAAGCCCCGTCTCTACTAAAAATACAAAAAATTAGCCGGGTGTGGTGGCGGGCGCCTGTAGTCCCAGCTACTCAGGAGGCTGAGGCAGGAGAATGGCGTGAACCTGGGAGGTGGAGCTTGAAGTAAGCCGAGATAGCGCCACTGCACTCCAGCCTGGGCGACAGAGCGAGACTCCGTCTCAGAAATAAATAAATAAATAAATAAATTATCTTACAACTCAACAACAGTAGACAGATAACCCAATTTTTAAAAAGTATGTCCTTTCAGCAATATAGATGGAGGTGGAGGCTATTTATTCTAAGCGAACTAACACAGGAACAGAAAACCAAATACTGCATTTTTTGACTTATAAGTGGGAGCTAAACATTGAGTACCCATGGACACAAAGAGGGGAAGAGACATCAAGCTCTACTTGATGGTGGAGGATGGGAGGATGGTAAGAATAAAAAACTACCTATCAGGGCCAGGCGCCGTGGCTCATACCTGTAATCCCAGCACTTTGGGATGCCGAGGCAGGCAGATCACGAGGTCAGGAGATGGAGACCTGGCTAACACAGTGAAACCCCGTCTCTACTAAAAAAATACAAAAAATTAGCTAGGCGTGGTGGCAGGTGCCTGTAGTCCCAGCTACTAGGGAGGCTGCCAGCCTGGGCGACAGAGCGAGACTCTGTCTCAAAACAAAACAAAACAAAACAAAAAACGCCTAACACCTACCTATCAGGTACTATGTTTATTACCTAGGTGATGAAATAATCTGTACACCAAGCCCCTGTGATACACAATTTACCTACATAACAAACCTATGCATGTACCCCTGAATCTAAAATAAAAGTTGAAAAAAAGTACAAGCATTTAAAGACACTTTTCTATGAAGACAAATGGCCAAGAAGCATACAAATAGTTGCTCTGCACTACTAGCCATTATGAAAGTGCAAATCAAAAGCACAATGCAATAAAAACTGCATGCCCACTAGTATGGCTGAAATATAAAAGACAGATAACAATCCACAAAGACATGGAGAGAGATTGAGACTTTCATACATTGCTGCTGGGAAAGAAAAGTGTTTTGGTTACTGTGGATAAAAGCCTGAAAATATAATCATAGAGTAATATTATAAACCAGCAATTGCCCTCAAGAGAATCTGAAACATATGTCCGTGTAAAAAACTTATGTTTGAATGTTCATAGAACATTATATATAACAGTTTAAAAAGTGGAAAAAGCCCAAATGTCTATGAACTGATGAATGGATCAACAATATGTGGTATATCTACACAACGGAATATAATGCAGATATAATAAAAATTAAATACTAATACATGATAAAATGTATTTGAACAATGGAATCATTATGTTGACTGAAAGGACCAGACACATATATTTATATATATTATAGATATTATATATTACATTATAAATATATACTCATATATATTATAGATGTTATATATTACATTATAAATATTCTAAATATATAGTATATACTATATATAATACAGTATATAATATATAAAGCCATTTATATAATAATAAAGTGTACAAAATAGGCAAATCCTCAGAGGCAGAATGAGGGTTACTGGTTCCAATCACTGGGGGCAGAAAGCAAACAGAGTGATTGCTTTCCTTTAGGATTTCTTTTTGGGATGATGAAATGTTCTAGAAACACATAGTGAGTGATGTTAACCTTGTGAATATACTAAATACCACTGAAATGTACACTTTAAGGGGGTGAATCTTATGGAATGTGAATTATATCTCAAATGTTTAAAAGTTGCTAGGGAGACATGACTATTATCCTTAGTAAGTCAAATGAAGGAGTCTTGCTACTAAAGTTAACACAGGAAACAGAGACAATGACTCATGAAATATAATACAACACAGGAGCTGCACTAGGAATTGAGATTTGTCCTAGGGGTATTTTTTGAATATATGTGAGGCAGTTGGGGACCCCTTATGCCAAGAGAAGACATATTAGGAAGTTTGATATGAAATGTATTTGTTAATTTGATTGCAGTATCATTATGACATGTGAGAAAATATGGTGTTTTCTACTATGATTATGACAGCACATTGAACTCCTCAAGCAGATATATCAAAGAAAAATATGGATTGCACATTAAAAAGTGTTGAATGTAGTTCCTAGACTATTTTACAGGGAAGAATAAAGTAAAATTCAGACACACACACAAAAAGTTTTGTTTTTGTTTTTAAGCTTCCTAGTTCTGATCTTACAAGCCTGAACTTGTCATCTTTCTATAGATGACACTATAAAATTACAGCCCTAAGAGAGATAAGCTAATAAAACCTTTTCCTTTAAACTACATCTCAGCAGCTTTTTCTTATGTTCAGTGAGTCACACCCTCATGTCCATTTGGGTAAGTGCTCATTATTTTGCCAATTTAGAACCAGCGAATGAATGAGCCCCTCAGGCAGGCAATGAAAGGAGGTACAGTGTGTGTGTTCTTGAAATTATGCTGGTAGGTCCAGATTAGCCATCCAAGCTGTAACCATACAAACGTCTCTAACACAAGACAATATTCCTAAAATATTTACACTAAATTTAGTGAATCAAATGAAAATCATATGAAATAACAAATATCTTTTTTTTTTGAGACATATTTTCACTCTTTTCACCAGGGATGGAGTGCAATGGCGTGATCTCAGCTGACTGCAACCTCCGCCTCCCGAGTTCAAGTGATTCTCCTGCCTCAGCCTCTTGTGTACCTGGAATTACAGGCGCGCACCACCACACCCAGCTAATTTTTTTTGTATTTTTAGTAGAAACAGGGTTTCACCATGTTGGCCAGGCTGGTCTCGAACTCCTGACCTCAGGTGATCCACCCACTCCAGCCTCTCAAAGTGCTGGATTACAGGCGTGAGCCACCATGCCCGGTGAAATAACAGATAACTTTTAAGAACATGATGTTTCTGGCCAGGCTCGGTGGCTCACGCCTGTAATCCCAGCACTTTGGAAGGCTGGGGCGGGTGGATCACCTGAGGTCAGGAGTTCAAGACCAGCCTGGCGAACATGGTGAAACCCCATCTCTACTAAAAATACAAAAATTAGCCAGGCGAGGTGGTGTGTGCCTATAATCTTAGCTACTTGGGAGGTGAGGCAGGAGAATCTCTTGAACCCAGGAGGCAGAGGTTGTAGTAAGCTGAGATCATGTCAATGCACTCCAGCTTGGGTGACAGAACGAGACTGTGTCTCAAAAAAAAAAAAAAAAAAAAAAAAAAAATATATATATATATATATATATATATATATATATATATATATAGTTTCTATGAATGAAATGATTTATGTTCTTGCTATATTTATTCATAAGGTATAAAGTTGATCTACTGATATTTTATTTAAAGTATTTTTTTTCTTAGTATACTTTGAGATATTTAAATTTAAGACTTCTGACTTCTGGCATGTAAAGAACTTGGAAGTTGTCACTCTGTTCTCACAAGTAAAAAGGTGAATGAACTGAAAATAAACAACTCTTCTTAGACCCATCAGAGAACTGTGGTCAAAGGGTAAACCACTGCCTCAAAAACTGAAAAGACAGAAAGGAGAATATAGAGAATCACAACTGAGGGGTGCAAAAACCCATGAGAAGAAACACATGTGAGAACCAGCACTGGAGTAGGAATACCTAAATGATAATTGATAAATTGCTACCAGCTCAGTGTAAACAAGTCCAAGAGCTAAAAATTCCAGCAGGGCTCAATCTCAGGGGGACCCCTACAATTCTGAGACTTTTACCTCCAGGAGCTCACCAGGTTCTCAGGGTGAATATACAGAAAAATCCCATTGTGATTCTGGCAGGGGAGGGAAAAAGCAGCCATTATAAAACATGACTAGCACATTTTACTATCTTAACAAAGGCTGCCCTCAAGAGAAACTATTTTATCAGAGTAACTATTTTATCAGAGAAACTATTTTAACATACCGAGTTGTGAGAGCATAACCAACCTCGGGAAGGGAAATACTCAACTCCAGTCCCTTGTAGCCTTTCTGTCCCATCTAAAGTGGGGGGCGGGGGCGGACTCAGAAGCACATGTGAAGGTCACAGCCCATGGGCTCAGGCTTACCACCATGTTATCAAAGGCCTATTCACTGAAGCTTGTTATATGCATCATGCCTTGCTTTCAAAAACAAAACACAACAACAACACAGGGCATAAAACACAGTTTGAAGGGACAGAGCAAGCAAGAATCAGGCTCAGATACAGTAGGAATAGTGGAATTACCAGACAGTTTATTTAAAATCATTATAATATTCTAAGGGCTCTAATAGAAAAAGCAGACAACATGCAAGAATATATGGGTAATATAAGAAGATAAATGGAAATTCTAAGAAGGAAATGCTAAAGATAAGAAACATTGTATCAGAATTGGAGAATACCACGAAGTACCCAGATATAAAAGCAAATATTATCGCAGCTAAAGAAACAGACAAACCCCAGTATGATAGCAGTTGAAGACATTAACACCACACTTTCAGTATTGGACAGATCATCTAGACAGAAAATCAATAAAGAAACATTGGACTTAATCTGCATATAGACCAAATGGACAATATTTACAGAACATTTCATCCAATGACTACAGAATACAGTTTCTTTTCCTCAGTACATGGATCATTCTGAGAGACAGACAATATGTTAGCTCACAAACAAGTCTTAAAACATTCCAAAAAACTGAAATCATATCAAGCATCTTCTCTGACCACAATGGAATAAAACTTAAAATCATTAACAAGAGGAATTTTGGAAACTATACAAATACATGGAAATTAAACAATATCCTTCTGAATGACCAGTGGGTCAATGAAGAAGTTAAGAAGGAAATTGCAAAATTAAAACAAATGATAATGGAAACAAAACATACCAAAACCTACTGGAAATAGCAAAAGCAGTACTAAGAGGGAAGTTTATAGCTATAAGTGCCTACATCAAAAAACAAGAAAAAGTTCAAATGAAACACCTTATGAAATGCATCTTAAAGAATTACATCTTAAAGAATGCATCTTAAAGAATTACAAAGGCGGCTGGGTGTGGTGGCTCATGCCTATAATCTCAGCACTTTGGGAGGCTGAGGCAGGCGGATCACCTGAGGTCAGGAGTTCAAGACCAGCCTGGAGAAAGCCCATCTCTACTAGAAATACATATTAGCCAAGCATGGTTGTGCATGCCTGTAATCTCAGCTACCTGGGAAGCTGAGGCAGGAGAATCTCCTGAATCCAGGAGGCGGAGGTTGCAGTGAGTCGAGACTGCACCATTGCACTCCAGCCTGGGCAACAAGAGCGAAACTCCAAAACTCCGTCTCAAGAAAAAAAAAAAAAAAGAGAGAGCTGGCAAGATGGCGGAATAGGAACAACTCCAGTCTGCAGCTCCCAGGGAGATCAACGCAGAAGGCAGGTGATTTCTGCATTTCCAACTGAGGTACCTGGTTCATCCAATTGGGACTGGTTAGACAGTAGGTGCAGCCCATGAAGGGCGAGCTGAAGCAGGGTGGGGCGTTGCCGCACTCGGGAAGCACAAGGGGTTGGGGAACCCCTCCCCCTACCCAAGGGAAGCTGGGAGGGACTGTGCCGTGAGGAACGGTGCACTCCAGCCCAGATACTATGCTTTTCCCATGGTCTTCGCAACCCACACACCAGGAGATTCCCTCCACTGCCTATGCCACCAGGGCCCTGGGTTTCAAGCACAAAACTGGGTGGCACTTTGGGTAGACACTGAGCTAGGTGCAGGAGTTTTGTTTTGTTTTTTTTCATACCCCAGTGGCACCTGGAATGCCAGCAAGACAGAACCATTCACCCCCCTGGAAAGGGGGCTGAAGCCAGGGAGCCAAGTGGTCTAGCTCAGCGGATCCCACCCCCAGGGAGCCCAGCAAGCTAAGATCCACTGGCTTGAAAGTCTCACTGCCAGCACAGCAGTCTGAAGTCGACCTGGGATGCTCAAGCTTGGTTGGGGGAGGGGCGTCCACCATTACTGATACTTGAGTAGGTGGTTTTCCCCTCACAGTGTAAACAAAGCGCTGGGAAGTTTGAAATGGGTGGAGCCCATTGCAGGTCAGCAATGCCGCTGTAGCCACACTGCCTCTCTAGATTCCTCCTCTCTGGGCAGGTCATCACTGAAAGAAAGGCAGTAGCCCCAGTCAGGGGCTTATAGATAAAACGCCCATCTCCCTGGGACAGAGCACCTGGGGGAAGGGGTGGCTGTGGGTGCAGCTTCAGCAGACTTAAACATCTCTGCCTGATGGCTCTGAAGAGTGGCAGCTCTCCCAGCACAGTGTTGGAGCTCTGCTAAGGGTCAGACTGCCTCCTCAAGTGGCTCCCTGACCCCCGTGTCACCTGAATGGGAGACACCTCCCAACAGGGGCTGACAGACACCTCATAAAAGAAAGCTCCAGCTGGCATCTGGCAGGTGCTTCTCTGGGATGAAGCTTCCAGAGGAAGGAACAGGCAGCAATCTTTCCCGTTCTGCAGCCTCCGCTGGTGATGCCCAGGCAAACAGGGTCTGCAGTGGACCTCCAGAAAACTCCACCAGACCTGGAGCAGAGGGGCCTGATTGTTAGAAGGAAAACTAACAAACAGAAAGAAATAGCGTCAACATCAACAAAAAGGACGTCCAGACACAGAAAACCCATCCAAAGTCCACCAACATCAAAAACCAAAGGTAGATAAATACACGAAAATGGGGAGAAACCAGTGAAAAAGGCTGAAAATTCCAAAAACCAGAATGCCTCTTCTCATCCAAAGAATCACAACTCCTCACCAGCAAGGGAACAAAACTGGGTGGAGAATGAGTTTGACTGACAAAACTAGGCTTCAAAAGGTGGGCAATGACAAACTCCTCCAAGCTAAAGGAGCATGTTCTAACCCAATGCAAGGAAGATAAGAACCTTGAAAAAAGGTTAGTCAAATTGCTAACTAGAATAATCAGTTTAGAGAAGAACATAAGTGACCTGATGGAGCTGAAAAACACAGCACGAGAACTTCGTGAAGCATACACAAGTATCAATAGCTGAATCGATCAAGCAGAAGAAAGGATATCAGAGACTGAAGATCAACTTAATGAAAGAAAGTGAGAAGACAAGATTAAAGAAAAAAGAATGAAAATGAATGAACAAACCCTCCAAGAAATATGGGACTATGTGAAAAGACCAAATCTACATTTGATTGCTGTACCTGAAAGTGATGAGGAGAATGGAACCAAGTTAGAAAACAATCTTCAGGAGGGGAGGAGCCAAGATGGCCGAATAGGAACAGGTCCAGTCTACAGCTCCCAGCATGAGCAACACAGAATATGGGTGATTTCTGCATTTCCAACTGAGGTACCAGGTTCATCTCACTGGGGACTGTCGGACAGTGGGTGCAGGACAGTGGGTGCAGCACACCGAGCATTAGCCGAAGCAGGGTGAGGCATAGCCTCACCCAGGAAGCACAAGGGGTCAGGGAATTCCCTTTCCTAGTCAAAGAAAGGGGTGACAGATGGCATCTGGAAAATCAGGTCACTCCCACCCTAATACTGCGCTTTTCCAACAGTCTTAGCAAACGGCACACCAGGAGATTATATGCCGCGCATGGCTCGGAGGGTCCTACACCCACGGAGCCTCATTCATTGCTAGCACAGCAGTCTGAGATCAAACTGCAAGGCAGCAGCGAGGCTGGGGGAGGGGCGCCTGCCATTGCCGAGGCTTGAGTAGGTAAACAAAGCAGCCGGGATGCTCGAACTGTGTGGAGCCCACCGCAGCTCAAGGAGGCCTGCCTGCCTCTGTAGACTCCACCTCTGGGGGCAGGGCATAGCCAAACAAAAGGCAGCAGAAACCTCTGCAGACTTAAATGTCCCTGACAGCTTTGAAGAGAGTAGTGGTTCTCCCAGCATACAGCTGCAGATCTGAGAATGGACAGACTGCCTCCTCAAGTGGGCCTCTGACCCCCGAGTAGCCTAACTGGGAGGCACCCCCCAGTAAGGGCAGACTGACACCTCACATGGCCGGGTACTCCTCTGAGACAAAACTTCCAGGGGAATGATCAGGCAGCAACATTTGCTGTTCACCAATATCTGCTGTTCTGCAGCCTCCGCTGCTGATACCCAGGCAAACAGGGTCTGGAGTGGACCTCCAGCAAACTCCAACAGACCTGCAGCTGAGGGCCTTGACTGTTAGAAGGAAAACTAACAAACAGAAAGGACATCCACACCAAACCCCCATCTGTACATCACCATCATCAAAGACCAAAGGTAGATAAAACCACAAGGATGGGGAAAAAATGGAGGGGAAAAAATGGAGCAGAAAGACTGGAAACTCTAAAAATCAGAGCGCCTCTCCTCCTCCAAAGGAATGCAGCTCCTCACCAGCAACGGAACAAAGCTGGATGGAGAATGACTTTGACGGGTTGAGAGAAGAAGGCTTCAGACGATCAAACTACTCTGAGCTAAAGGAGGAAGTTCGAACCCATGGCAAAGAAGTTAAAAACCTTGAAAAAAAATGAGACAAATGGCTAACTAGAATAACCAATGCAGAGAAGTCCTTAAAGGACCTGATGGAGCTGAAAACCACGGCATGAGAACTATGTGACGAATGCACAAGCCTCAGTAGCTGATTCGATCAACTGGAAGAAAGGGTATCAGTGATGGAAGATGAAATGAATGAAATGAAGTGAGAAGAGAAGTTTCGAGAAAAAAGAATAAAAAGAAATGAACAAAGCCTCCGAGAAATATGGGACTATGTGAAAAGACCAAACCTACATCTGATTGGTGTACCTGAAAGTGACAGGGAGAAAGGAACCAAGTTGGAAAACACTCTGCAGGATATTATCCAGGAGAACTTCCCCAATCTAGCAAGGCAAGCCAACATTCAAATTCAGGAAATACAGAGAACGCCACAAAGATACTCCTCGAGAAGAGCAACTCCAAGACACATAATTGTCAGATTCACCAAAGTTGAAATGAAGGAAAAAATGTTAAGGGTAGCCAGAGAGAAAGGTCAGGTTACCCATAAAGAGAAGCCCATCAGACTAACAGCTGATCTCTCGGCAGAAACTCTACAAGCCAGAAGAGAGTGGGGGCCAATATTCAACATTCTTAAAGAAAATAATTTTCAACCCAGAGTTTCATATCCAGCCAAACTAAGCTTCATAAGTGAAGGAGAAATAAAATCCTTTACAGACAAGCAAATGCTGAGAGATTTTGTCACCACCAGGCCTGCCCTAGAAGAGCTCCTGAAGGAAGCACTAAACATGGAAAGGAACAACCGGTACCAGCCACTGCAAAAACATGCCAAAGTGTAAAGACCATCGAGGCTAGGAAGAAACTGCATCAACTAACGAGCAAAATAACCAGCTAACATCATAATGACAGGATCAAATTCACACATAACAATATTAACCTTAAATGTAAATGGGCTAAATGCTCCAATTAAAAGACACAGACTGGCAAATTGGATAAAGACTCAAGACCCATCTGTTTGCTGTATTCAGGAAACCCATCTCACGTGCAGAGACACACATAGGCTCAAAATAAAGGGATGGAGGAAGATCTACCAAGCAAATGGAAAACAAAAAAAAGCAGGGGTTGCAATCCTAGTCTCTGATAAAACAGACTTTAAACCAGCAAAGATCAAAAGAGACAAAAAAGGCCATTACATAATGGTAAAGGGATCAATTCAACAAGAAGAGCTAACTATCCTAAATATATATGCACCCAATACAGGAGCACCCAGATTCATAAAGCAAGTCCTTAGAGACCTACAAAGACACTTAGACTCCCACACAATAATAATGGGAGACTTTAACACCCCACTGTCAACATTAGACAGATCAAACAGACTGAAAGTTAACAAGGATATCCAGGAATTGAACTCAGCTCTGCACCAAGCGGACCTAATAGACATCTACAGAATTCTCCACCCCAAATCAACAGAATATACATTCTTTTCAGCACCACACCACACCTATTCCAAAATTGACCACATAGTTGGAAGTAAAGCACTCCTCAGCAAATGTAAAAGAAGAGAAATTATAACAAACTGTCTCTCAGACCACAGTGCAATCAAACTAGAATTCAGGATTAAGAAACTCACTCAAAACCGCTCAACTACATGGAAACTGAACAACCTGCTCATGAATGACTACTGGGTACATAAGGAAATGAAGGTAGAAATAAAGATGTTCCTTTAAACCAACAAGAACAAAGACACAACATACCAAAATCTCTGGGACACATTCAAAGCAGTGTGTAGAGGGAAATTCATAGCACTAAATGCCCACAAAAGAAAGCAGAACAGATCTAAAATTGACACCCAACATCACAATTAAAAGAACTAGAGAAGCAAGAGCAAACACATTCAAAAGCTAGCAGATGGCAAGAAATAACTAAGATCAGAGCAGAACTGAAGGAAATAGACACAAAAAAACCCTTCAAAAAATCAATGAATCCAGGAGCTGGTTGTTTGAAAAGATCAACAAAATTGATAGACCGCTAGCAAGACTAATAAAGAAGAAAAGAGAGAAGAATCAAATAGATGCAATAAAAAATGATAAAGGGGATATCACCACCGATCCCACAGAAATACAAACTACCATCAGAGAATACTATAAACACCTCTATGCAAATAAACTAGAAAATCTAGAAGAAATGGATAAATTCCTTGACACATACACCCTCCCAAGACTAAACCAGGAAGAAGTTGAATCTCTGAATAGACCAATAACAGGATCTGAAATTGAGGCAATAATTAATAGCTTACCAACCAAAAAAAGTCTAGGACCAGATGATTCACAGCTGAATTCTACCAGAGGTACAAGGAGGAGCTGGTACCATTCCTTCTGAAACTATTCCAATCAATAGAAAAAGAGGGAATCCTCCCTAACTCATTTTATGAGGCCAGCATCATCCTGATACCAAAACCTGGCAGAGACACAACCAAAAAAGAGAATTTTAGACCAATATCCCTGATGAACATCGATGCAAAAATCCTCAATAAAATACTGGCAAACCGAATCCAGCAGCACATCAAAAAGCCTATCCACCATGATCAAGTGGGCTTCATCCCTGGGATGCAAGGCTGGTTCAACATATGCAAATCAATAAACATAATCCAGCATATAAACAGAACCAATGACAAAAACCACATGATTATCTCAATAGATGCAGAAAAGGCCTTTGACAAAATTCAACAACCCTTCATGCTAAAAACTCTCAATAAATTAGGTATTGATGGGATGTATCTCAAAATAATAAGAGCTATCTATGACAAATCCACAGCTAATATCATACTGAATGGGCAAAAACTGGAAGCATTCCCTTTGAAAACTGGCACAAGACAGGGATGCCCTCTCTCACCACTCCTATTCAACATAGTGTTGGAAGTTCTGGCCAGGGCAATCAGGCAGGAGAAGGAAATAAAGGGTATTCAATTAGGAAAAGAGGAAGTCAAATTGTCCCTGTTTGCAGATCACATGATTGTATATCTAGAAAACCCCATTGCCTCAGCCCAAAATCTCCTTAAGCTGATAGGCAACTTCAGCAAAGTCTCAGGATACAAAATCAATGTACAAAAATCACAAGCATTCTTAAACACCAATAACAAACAGAGAGCCAAATCATGAGTGAACTCCCATTCATAATTGCTTCAAAGAGTATAAAATACCTAGGAATCCGACTTACAAGGGATGTGAAGGACCTCTTCAACAACTACAAACCACTGCTCAATGAAATAAAAGAGGACACAAACAAATGGAAGAACATTCCATGCTCATGGGTAGGAAGAATCAGTATCGTGAAAATGGCCATACTGCCCAAGGTAATTTATAGATTCAATGCCATCCCCATCAAGCTACCAATGACTTTCTTCACAGAGTTGGAAAAAACTACTTTAAAGTTCATATGGAACCAAAAAAGAGCCTGCATTGCCAAGTCCATCCTAGGCCAAAAGAACAAAGCTGGAGGCATCATGCTACCTGACTTCAAACTATACTACAAGGCTACAGTAACCAAAACAGCATGGTACTGGTACCAAAACAGAGATATAGACCAATGCAACAGAACAGAGCCCTCAGAAATAATGCCACATATCTACAACTATCTGATCTTTGACAAAGCTGACAAAAACAAGCAATGGGGAAAGGATTCCCTATTTAATAAATGGTGCTGGGAAAACTGACTAGCCATATGTAGAAAGCTGAAACTGGATCCCTTCCTTACACCTTATAGAAACATTAATTCAAGGTGGATTAAAGACTTACATGTTAGACCTAATACCATAAAAACCCTAGAAGAAAACCTAGGCAATACCATTCAGGACATAGGCTTGGGCAAGGACTTCATGTCTAAAACACCAAAAGCAATGGCAACAAAAGCCAAAATTGACAAATGGGATCTAATTAAACTAAGGAGCTTCTGAACAACAAAAGAAACTACCATCAGAGTGAACAGGCAACCTACAGAATGGGAGAAAATTTTTGCATTCTACTCATCTGACAAAGGGCTAATATCCAGAATCTACAATGAACTCAAACAAATTTACAAGAAAAAAACAAACAACCCCATTAAAAAGTGGGTGAAGGATATGAACAGACACTTCTCAAAAGAAGACATTTATGCAGCCAAAACACACATGAAAAAATGCTCATCATCACTGGCCATCAGAGAAATGCAAATGAAAACCACAATGAGATACTATGTCACACCAGTTAGAATGGTGATCATTAAAAAGTCAGGAAACAACAGGTGCTGGAGAGGATGTGGAGAAATAGGAACACTTTTACACTGTTGGTGGGACTGTAAACTAGTTCAACCACTGTGGAAGTCAGTATGGCGATTCCTCAGGGATCTAGAACTAGAAATACCATTTGACCCAGCCATCCCATTACTGGGTATATACCCAAAGGACTATAAATCATGCTGCTCTAAAGACACATGCACACGTATGTTTATTGCAGCACTATTCACAATAGCAAAGACTTGGAACCAACCCAAATGTCCATCAATGATAGACTGGATTAAGAAAATGTGGCACATATACACCATGGAATACTATGCAGCCATAAAAATGATGAGTTCATGTCCTTTGTAGGGATGTGGATGAAGCTGGAAACCATCATTCTCAGCAAACTATCACAAGGACAAAAAACCAAACACTGCCTGTTCTCATAGGTGGGAATTGAACAATGAGAACACATGGACACAGGAAGGGGAACATCACACAACAGGGTCTGTTGTGGGGTGGGGGGAGCGGGGAAGGATAGCATTAAGAGATATACCTAATATAAATGACGAGTTAATGGGTGCAGCACACCAACATGGCACATGTATACATATGTAACAAACCTGCACGTTGTGCACATGTACCCTAAAACTTAAAAGTATATATATAAAAAAAACGAAAACGATCTTCAGGATATTATCCAGGAGAACTTCCCCAACCTAGCAAGACAGGTCAACATTCAAATTCAGTAAATACAGAGAACACCACAAAGATACTCCTCCAGAAGAGCAACCCCAAGACACATAATCGTCAGATTCACCAAGATTGAAATGAAGGAAAAACTTTTAAGGGCAGCCAGAGAGAAGGGTCGGGTTACCCATAAAGGGAATCCCATCAGACTAACAGTGGATCTCTTGCAGAAACTCTACAAGCCAGAAGAGAGTGAGGGCCTATATTCAATATTCTTAAAGAATTTTCAACCCGGAATTTCATATCCAGCCAAACTAAGCTTCATAAGCGAAGGAGAAATAAAATCCATTACAGACAACCAAATGCTAGGAGATTTTGTCACTACCAGGCCTGCCTTACAAGAGCTCCTAAAGGAAGCACTAAACATGGAAAGGAAAAACCCATACCAGCCACTGCAAAAACATGACAAACTGTAAAGACCATTGACACTATGAAGAAATTGCATCAAGCAACAAGCAAAATAAGCAGTTAGCATCATAATGACAGGATCAAATTCACCCAAAACAATATTAACCTTAAATGTAAATGGGTTAAATGCCCCAATTAAAAGACACAGACTGGCAAATTGGATAGAGTCAAGCCCCATCAGTGTGCTGTATTCAGGAGACCCAGCTCACGTGCAAAGACACACACAGGCTCAAAATAAAGGAATGGAAGAATATTTACCAAGCAAATGGAAAGCAAAAAAAAAGCAGGGGTTGCAATCCTAGTCTCTGATAAAACAGACTTTAAACCAACAAAGGTCAAAAGAAACACAGAACAGCATTACATAATGGTAAAGTGATCAATGCAACAAGAAGAGCTAACTATCTTAAACATATATGCACCCAATACAGGAACATCCAGATTTATAAAGTTCTTAGAGATCTACAAAGAAACTTAGATTCCCACACAATAATAGTGGGAGACTTTAACACCCCACTGTCAATATTAGACAGATCAATGAGACAGAAAATTAACAAGGATATTCAGGACTTGAACTCAGCTCTGCACCAAGCAGACCTAATAGACAGCTACAGAATTCTCCCCTACAAATCAACAGAATATATATTCTTCTCAGCACCACATTGCACTTATTCTAAAATTGACCATGTAATTAGAAGTAAAACACTCCCCAGCAAATGCAAAAGAATGGAAATCATAACAAACAGTCTCTCAGACCACAGTGCAATCAAATTAGAACTCAGGATTAAGAAACTCACTCAAAACTGCACAACTACATGGAAACTGAACAACCTGCTCCTGAATGACTACTGGGTAAATAACGAAATTTAAGGCAGAAATAAATAAGTCCTTTGAAGCCAATGAGAACAAAGACACAACATACCAGAATCTCTGGGACACAGCTAAAGCTGTGTAGAGGGAAATTCATAGCACTAAATGCCCACAAGAGAAAGCAGGAAAGATCTAAAATCGACACCCTAACATCACAATTAAAAGAACTAGAGAAGCAAGAGCAAATAAATCAAAAGCTAGCAGAAGACATGAAATAACTAAGATCAGAGCAGAACTGAAGGAAATAGAGACACAAAAAAAAACCCTTAAAAAAAATCAATGAATCCAGGAGCTGGTTTTTTGAAAAGATCAACAAAATAGACTGCTAGCCAGATGAATAAAGAAGACAGAAGAATCAAATAGACGCAATAAAAAATGATAAAGGGGTATCACCACTGATCCCACAGAAATACAAACTACTGTCAGAGAATACTATAAACACCTCTACACAAATAAACTAGAAAGTGTAGAAGAAATGGATAAATTCCTGGACACATACCTACCAAGTCTAAACCAGGAAGAAGCCAAATCCCTGAATAGACCAATAACAAGTTCTGAAATTGAGGCAGTAATTAATAGCCTACCAACCAAAAAAAGTCCAGGACCAGACAGATTCACAGACGAATTCTACCAGAGGTACAAAGAGGAGCTAGTACCATTCCTTCTGAAACTATTCCAAGCAATAGAAAAAGAGGGAATCCTCCCTAACTCATTTTATGAGGCCAGCATCATCCTGATACCAAAACCTGGCAGAGACACAACAAAAAAAGAAAATTTCAGGCCAATATCCCTGATGAACATCGATGAAAAAATTCTCAATAAAATACTGGCAAACCGAATCCAGCAGCATATCAAAAAGCTTATCCACCATGATCAAATTGGCTTCATCCCTGGGATGCAAGGCTGGTTCAACATACGCAAATCAATAAACGTAATCCATCACATAAACAGAACTAATGACAAAAACCACATGATTATCTCAATAGATGCAGAAAGGCCTTCAATAAAATTATACATCCCTTCATGCTAAAAACTCTCAATAAACTAGATATTGATGGCATGTATCTCAAAATAATAAGAGCTATTTATGACAAACTCACAGCCAATATCATACTGAATGGGCAAAAACTGAAAACATTCCCTTTGAAAACTGGCACAAGACAGGGATGCCCTATCTCACCACTCCTACTCAACATAGTATTGGAAGTTTTGGCCAGGGCAATCAGCCAAGAGAAGGAAATAAAGGGTATTCAAATAGGAAGAGAGGAAGTTAAATTGTCTGTTTGCAGATGACCTCATTGTATGTTTAGAAAACCCCATGTCTCAGCCCCAAATCTCCTTAAGCTGATAAGCAACTTCAGCAAAGTCTCAGGATACAAAATCTATGTGTAAAAATCATAAGCATTCCTATACACCAATAACACACCAACAGAGAGCCAAATCATGAGTGAACTCCCATTCACAATTGCTAAAAAGAGAATTAAATACCTAGGAATATAACTTACAAGGGATGTGAAGGACTTCTTCAAGGAGAACTACAAACCACTGCTCAAGGAAATCAGACAGGACACAAACAAATGGAAAAACATTCCATGCACATGGATAGAAAGAATATTGTGAAAATGGCCATACTTCCCAAAGTAATTTATAGATACATTGCTATCCCCATCAAGCTACGACTGACTTTCTTCACAGAATTAGAAAAAAATCACTTTAAATTTCATACAGAACCAAAAAAAGAGCCCCCACAGCAAAGACAATCCTAAGCAAAAAGAACAAAGCTGGAGGCATCACACTACCTGACTTCAAAGTATATTACAAGGCTACAGTAACCAAAACAGCAATGGTACTGGTACCAAAATAGAAATATAGATCAATGGAGCAGAACAGAGGCCTCAGAAATAACACCACACATCTACAACCATCTGATCTTTGACAAACCTGACAAAAACAAGCAACTGGGGAAGGATTCCCTATTTAATGAATGGTGTTGGAAAAACTGGCTAGGCATAAGTAGAAAACAAACTGGACCCCTTCCTTACATCTTACATAAAAATTAACTCAAGATGGATTAAAGACTTAAACATAAGACCTAAAACCATAAAAATTCTAGAAGAAACCCTAGGCAGTACCATTCAGGACACAGGCATGGGCAAAGACTTCATGACTAAAACACCAAAGGCAATGGCAACAAAAGCCAAAAATTGACAAATAGGATCTAATTAAACTAAAGAGCTTCTGCACAGCAAAAGAAATTATCATCAGAGTGAACGGGAAACCTACAGAATGGAAGAAAATTTTTGCAATCTATCTATCTGACAAAGGGCTAATATCCAGAATCTACAAAAAACTTAAACCAATTTACAAGGAAAAAAACAAGCAACCCCATCAAAAAGTGGGTGATGGATATGAACAGACACTTCGCAAAAGATGACATTTATACAGCCAGCAAACATATGAAAAAAAGCCCATCATCACTGGTCATTAGAGAAATGCAAATCAAAACCACAATGAGATACCATCTCATGCCAGTTAGAATGGCAATCATTAAAAAGTCAGGAAACAACAGATGCTGGAGAGGATGTGGAGAAATAGGCACGTTTTTACACTGTTGGTGGAAGTGTAAATTAGTTCAACCATTGTGGAAGACAGTGTGGCGATTCCTCAAGGATCTAGAACCAGAAATACCATTTGACCCAGCAATTCCATTACTGAGTGTATACCCAAAGGATTTTAAATCCTTCTACTATAAAGACACATGCACACGTATGTTTATTGCAGCACTGTTTACAATAGCAAAGACTTGGAACCAACCCAAATGCCCTCAAAGATAGACTGGATAAAGAAATGTGGCACATATACACCATGGAATACTATGCAGCCATAAAAAAGGATGAGTTCATGTCCTTTGTGGGGACATGGATGAAGCTGGAAACCATCATTCCCAGCAAACTAACAGAAGAACAGAAAACCAAACACTGCACGTTTTCACTCATAAGTGGGAGTTGAACAATGAGAACACATGGACACAGGGAGGGGAACATCACACACCAGGGCATGTTGGTGGGGTGGGGGGCAGGGGAAGGGATAGCATTAGGATTAATATCTAATGTAGATGACAGGTTTATGGGTGCAGTAAACCACCATGGCATGTGTATACCTATGTGATAAACCTGCACGTTCTGCACATGTACCCAAGAACTTAAAGTATATAAATAAAGAAAAGAACTAGAAAGGCAAGAGCAAAATAAACCCAAAATTAGTAGAATAAAACAAATAAAGATCAGAGCAGAAATAAATGGTTTTGAAATGAAGAAAATACAAAAGATCAATGAAACAAAACGTTGTTTTTTTAAAGTTAAACAAAATTGAAAAACCTTTAGTTAGACTAAGAAAAAAAAAGACGACCCAGATAAATAAAATCAGAAATCAGAGATGAAAAAGGAGACATGACAACCAATACTGCAGAAAGTCAAAGAATCATTAGTGGCCACCACGAGCAACTATATGCCAATAAACTGGAAAATTTAGAAGAAATGGACAAATTCCTAGACACATATAATCTACCAAGATTCAACTATAAGGAAATCCAAAACCTGAACACATCAGTAACAAGTAAAAAGACCAAAGCTATAATAAAAAGTCTCCCAGCAATGAGAAGCTCAGGACCTGATGGCTTCATTGATGAATTCTACCAAGCATTTAAAGAAGACTACTAACACCATTTCTACTCAAACTATTCAGAAAAACAGAGGAGGAAGGAATACTTCCAAACTCATTCTATGAGGCCAGTATTATTCTGATACCAAAACCAGACAAAGACACATCAAAAAAGAAAACTACAAGTCACTATTTCTGATGGATATTGATGCAAAAATTCTCAACAAAATACTTGTAAACCAAATTCAACAACACATTTAAAATATTCTTCATAGGCTGGGCGTGGTGGCTCATGCCTGTAATCCCAGCACTTTGGGAGGCTGAGGCGGGCGGATCACTTGAGGCTGGGAGTTTGAGACCAGCCTGGCCAACATGTTGAAACCCCTTCTCTCCTAAAACTACAAAAACTAACTGGGCATGGTGGCATGGGCCTGTAACCCCAGCTACTTGGGAGACTGAGGCATGAGAATCACTCAAATTCAAGAGGCAGAGGTTGCAGTGACCCAAGGTTGTAACACTGCACAGCAGCCTGGGCAACAGGGTGAGACTGTCTCAAAAAAAAAAAAAAAAATGTTATTCATCATAGCCAAGTGGGATTTATCCCTGGGATGCAAGGATGGTTCAACATATGCAAATCAATCAGTGTGACCTATCATATCAACAGAATGAAGGACAAAAACCATATGATCATTTCAATTGATGCTGAAAAATCACTTGATAAAATTCAACATCCCTTCCTGATAAAAACCCTAAAAACAACTGGATATAGAGGGAACATACCTCAACTTAATAAAAGCCATATATGACAGACTGATGTATCATAATGAATGGGGAAAAACCAAAAGCCTTTTCTCTAAGGTCTGGAACACAAGAAGGATGCCCACTGTCACCACTGTTATTCAGCATACAGTACTGGAAATCCTAGCTAGAACAATCAGACAAGAGAAAGAAATAAAAGGCATCCAGAAAGGAAGAAGTCAAATTATCGATGTTTGCAGATGATATGATCTTATATTTGGAAAAACCTAAACAACTCCATTAAAAAACCTATTAGAACTCATAAACAAATACAGTAAACTTGCATGATATAAAATCAACATACAAAAGTCAGTAGCATTTCTATATGCCAACAGTGAACAATCTGAAAAAGAAATTAAAAAGTAATCCCATTTACAATGGCCACAGATACAACTAAATACCTAGGAATTAAAGAAAGTAAAAGTTCTCTATAATGAAAAACTATAAAATGCTAATGATAGAAATTGAAGAGGACCCACCAAAATATGGAATAATATTCCATATTCACAGATGGAAGAATTAATATGGTTAAAATGTCCATACTATCCAAAGCAATCCACAGGTTTCAATGCAATTCCCATTGCGATGTCAATTACATTCTTCACAGTAATAGAATAAACAATCCTAAAATTTATTTGGAACCACAAAAGACCCAGAATAGCCAAAGCTATCCTGAACAAAAAGAACAAAACTGCAGGAATCACATTATCTGACTTCAAGTTATACTACAGAGCTACGGTAAACAAAACAGCAAGGTACTGACGTAGAAACAGACACATAGACCATTAGAATAGATTAGAGAACTGATAAACAAATTCATATGCCTAAAGTAAATTCATTTTTAATAAAGGTGCCAAGAACACACATTGGGGAAAAGAGAGTCCCTTCTATAAATGGTGCTGGAAAAACTGGATATCCATATGCAGATGAATGAAACTACACCACTATTGCTCACAAAAATCTAATCAAAATGGATTAAAGACTTAAATCTAAGACGTCAAACTAGAAAACTGCTGCAAAAAATATTGCAGAGACTCTCCAGGACAATGGTCTGGGCAAAAATTTCTTGAGTAATACCCTACAAGCACAGGAAACCAAAGTAAAAATGGACAAATGAGATCACATCAGGTAAAAAAAGCTTCTGCACAGCAAAGGAAACAATCAACAAAGTGAAGAGACAACTCATGGAATGGGATAAAATACTTGTAAACTATCCATTTGACAAGTAGTTAATAACCAGAATACATAAGAAGTTCAAACAACTCTATAGAAAAAAATCAAATCATCTGATTTAAAAATGGGGAAGAGATTTGAATAGGCATTTCTCAAAAGAAGAAATACAGATGGCAAACTGGCCCACAAAAAGGTGCTTGACATCAGTCATCATCAGAGAAATGCAAATCAAAACTACACTAATATATCATCTTATATGGCTTATATGCAAAAGACAGGCAATAACAAATTCTGGCAAGGATGTGAAGTAAAGGGAACCCTTGCACACTGTTGGTGAGAATGTAAATTAGTGGAACCACTATGGAGAACAGTTTGGAAGTTCCTCAAAAAACTAAAAATAGAGCTACCAATGATCCAGCAATCCCACTGCTGAGTATACACCCAAAAGAAAGGAACTCAGTATACTAAAGGGATATCTGCACTTCCATGTTTGTTGCAGAACTGTTTACAGTAGCCAAAATGTGGAAGCAACCTAAGTGTCCATCAACAGATGATGGATAAAGGAAACTGTAGTACTTATACACAATGGAGTACTATTCAGCCATAAATAAGAATGATATCCTGTCAGGTCACTATGTTAAGTGAAATAAGCTAGGCACAGAAAGACAAACATCACATGTTCTCACTTATTTGTGGGATCTAGAAATCAAAACAATTGAACTCATGGAGACAGAGAGTAGAAGCACGGTTACCAGAGACTGAGAAGGGTAATGGGTGCATGAGAAGATGTGGATGGTTAATTGGTACAAAAAAGTTATTAACAGAAAGAGTGAATAAGGCCCAATATTTGATAGCACAACAGGGTGACTACTGTCAGTAATAATTTAATTGTACATTTAAAAATAACTAAAAGAGGCCAGGCATGGTGGCTCATGCTTGTAATCTCAGCACTTTGGGAGGCCGAGGCAGGCAGATCACTTGAGGTCAGTAGTTCAAGACCAGCCTGGCCAACACAGTGAAACCCTGTCTCTACAAAAATACAAAAATTAGCCAAGCGTGGTGGCGGGCACCTGTAATCCCAGCTACTCGGGAGGCTGAGGCAGGAGAATTGCTTGAACCTGGGAGGTGAAGGTTGCAGTAAGCCAGGATTGCACCACTGCAGTCTAGCCTGGGCAACAAAGTGAGACTCTATCTCAAAAATAAAATAAAATAAAGCTAGGCACAATGGCTCATGCCTGTAATCCCAACACTTTGCAGGCAGATCATCTGAGGTTGGGAGTTCAAGACCAGCCTGACCAACATGGAGAAACCCCGTCTCTACTAAAAATACAAAATTATCTGGGTGTGGTGGGCACATGCCTGTAACCCCAGCTACTTGAGAGGCTGAGGCAGGAGAAATCACTTGAACCTAGGAGGTGGAGGTTGCGGTGAGCCAAGATCGTGCCACTGCACTCCAGCCTGGGCAACAAGAGCAAAACTCCGTCTCAATCAATCAATCAATCAATCAATGTAAAATAAAATAAAAATAACTAAATGAGTATGATTATTTATAACACAAACGATAAATGCTTGAGGGACGGGTACCCCATTTTCCATGATGTGATTATTATGCATGCATACCTGCATCAAAACATCTTATGTACCCATAAATATATACTATGTACCCACAATATTTAAAAATACAAAATTTTTAAAAGAGCTGAAGAATATCTTTGATACTCAGTAGAATGGACATGACAAAGGAAAGAATTAGTGAGCCTCAGTTTATGTCAATAGAAACTTCTAAAGTAAAAACCAATGATGGGCCAGGCATGGTGGCTCACACTTGTAATTCCTGCACTTTGGGAGGCCAAAGTGTGAGGATCACTTGAGGCCAAGAGTTCAATACCAGCCTGGGCAACAGAGTGAGACCCCATCTCTACCAAAAAAAAAATTTGGCTGGGCGTGGTGGCTCACACCTGTAATCCCAGCACTTTGGGAAGCCAAGGTGGGCGGGTTACTTGAGGTCAGGAGTTTGAGTCCAGACTGGGCAACGTGGCGAAACCTCATCTCTACTGAAAATGCAAAAAATTAGCCAGGCATGCTGGTGCATGCCTGTAATCCCAGCTACTTTGGAGGCTGAGGCAGAAGAATTGCTTGAACCTGGGACAGGGAGGTTGCAGTGAGCCAAGTTTGCGCCACCTCACTCCAGCCTGGGAGACAGAGCATAACTCTATCTCAAAAAAAAAAAAAAAAAAGAAAAAGAAAAATGAAAAAACCCCCAGAATATCCAAGAATGGTGAGACAACTACAAAAGGTGTAACATACACTTAATGAGAAAACCAGAAAGAGAAGAATAACAGAAAGGATCAAAGAAACATTTGAAGCAATAATGACTGAGAATTTCCCAAAATCGATGTCTGAAACCAAACCACAGACCCCAAAATTTTAAACAACAACATGCAGGGTAAATACCAAAAAATCTATATGTAGGCATATATAGATTATGATAATAAAATATATGTCTTCCCAGGTAATAAATTTGGTTTGACAAACCATACTGTAAATCACACTATAAACTGAAACAGAGATGTAGTATAAACAAAATCATAAGACCAATGCTAGAGTCGCAGAAAGTTATGTGTAATGTAGGTAGTGAATAAAATATCTAAAATATACAAAGAGCCCCTACAAAGTGAGATGATAATTTAGTGGGCAGATGATATCACCACTGACAATAAATGTTTTTATCTTAGTATGTTTGTACTTTATAAAAATAACAATAGGCCGGGCATGGTGGCTCACACTTGTAATCCTAGCACTTTGGGAAGCCAAGTCAGGTGGATCAACTGAGGTCAGGAGTTCAAGACCAGCCTGGCCAACATGGTGAAACCCCGTCTCTACGAAAAACACAAAAAATTAGCTGGGTGTGGTGGTGGGTGGCTGTAATCCCAGCTACTTGGGAGGCTGAGGCAGGAGAATCGCTTGAACCAGGAGGGTAGAGATTGCAGTGAGCTGATATCACACCACTTCACTCCAGCCTGGGCCAAAGAGTGAAACTCTGTCTCAAAAAAATAAAAAATAAAATAAATTTTAAAAATTCTTTAAAATTGACATATAGGTAAGAAACTGAAGCTTCATTTCCAAGAGGCTTTAATTGTCCTGGGCATTATTTTTCTTACTGAGGAGCTAGCTGCCAAAATCAGGTGAACTGTGTAGCTGTGTAGATTCAACTTGGAAGATTTGCCCCAGGTTATGCAGCTGGGTAGTAGCAAGAGTGTGTGCTGTACCTCTGGTTCCCATCCCATGGTTCTTTTATATCTTCCATGAAAAAAATGACCCCCCAACCTCCTACAAAGCATAAGGATATTTTAATAAAAATATACATGCCCATACACGAGACCCAGAAGAGCTCATGTGTGTCTCATAAAAATTGAAGCAAACCTAGAAGGCATGAAACATCTGGCAGCCAATTCCAGATGAAGCTTAATTTTGCCTACCTTTGTTTTATTATCTTTTTTCTTTTTCACAGAGGGTCTCTTGAGCAGTGTTGTGAGTTTAACCTAGCAATCCATGGAGCAGAAGCAGGAAGCAGGCTCAGTGTCCAGCAGGTGGATAAAGGGGACCTGTACAGTTATGTCAATTGTGCAGTTATGAGAATTTGGAAGGCTCAGCTCCCATAGAGCATATCATTTATTCCATCCAAATAACATTTAATGGTTTGGGGGATAGTGATCTCCTGACCTTGCTTGACCTCTCAGAATGAGGGGGATTCAAGCACAGCATCTGTTAGTCACAATTCATAAATTAATTTGGTTCTTTGGGGTCTGTCTACAATGCTGTGTAGCAGCAGGGAAAAATAATGGTGAGCTGATAAGCAGAGCCATTGCATCCCATAGATAAAACAACTGTGAAGAGACTTTCCATTTTAAAAAACCAGTTATTGTGTTGTTTTCTAGATAGTCATAATGTCATCTGTATGGTTAAAAATGTAACCAGGACATAACACTGCCAGTCCCTGGAACAAGAAAAAGTTTTCTCTCGGTATGAAGAGAAAAAGGAAGCACAGAGCTTAGGCTAATAACCCCCAGAAAAACTCCACTGAAAGAGAATCACTGATCTGTGCTTTCAGCCTGAAAATTCTGATTGCTGCTCTCATCTGTTCTTATTTCTGGCTGTAGCAACGCCATCAAATGATTAATTTCTAATAAAACCACAAAAAGTTTTGTACCTAAAAATGAGTGGGACTCTTAGCTGGCAATCCTCTGACAATGTCTAAGCTGAGAATAATTACAAAGCTCTGGTGTCTCTCATCTTCTGCCTCCAATAGACACCTCCAAGATATTTGTTACTTTTGCCTTTAACTGGAATGGTAGCATATGAATGTATGTATACACAGACACACATTTAATGCAAGCATTTGTTGCGGGAATGACAGCCCTCATTCACTCTTCACAAAGCTTTCAGGCTTACAACTCTCTAGATATGCTACATTTCTCATAGACATTTCTGAGGTAGTAGATGACAAATTTAGTTCATATACATCTCAAAAACTATATTATATAAGTAAATGGTAGGTAATGGCAGGGATTCTTATCCCTGGTATCCATTGTTTGGTATCTAAGACTATCCAAGGTTGATAGTCTTAGATAGTGGGGAATCTGATTTAAAGCTGTAGCTGCTTATCCAGCAGATTGGCTAGATGGCAGATCTGCCAAATGGGCAGAGTGAGTTCCTAAAAGAGAAAAAGTAACCAGAAGAATTCTACCATGGAGGATTTAAAAAATGATATTATTGATTTTAAAATGTAAAATTTTACTAACTTCTACAGTCCAAATTAATTAAATTTAGAGGTTCTTTAGAAGACCATTAAAAATATTTTCTTTAATATTTTAGCTACACAGATATATGTCAGAAGGCAACTGGAAAACTTTAATAACTTTTCTAGAAGGTTGGTCTGGGCACCTCTTACAATACCCCATGTCCAACGATGCTGCCATTCTGATCTGTAGATATGGGGCCAGCTCCCTGCCTACCAGACCTGGCTTTGATATGCTGCTTATCCAAGCCACAGACCTTCCACCCCCGGCAGACACCATCCCTCTGGCTATATCCAAACACCTGCAGAGGCCTTGATGTTTTTTTCTGTCTGGGTTAATTTGTAAAGGGTTTTCCAGTATACCCAGAGTTACTAAATTTTGTTCAATTCAGTGTCCTTGGGGAAGTACTAATGTACCATGCAGGGCCTGGGTTTTACTTTGGCTTTTATAGTTTATTTCCATTTTCCCATTTCATTTCTTAAAAATCTGTAACTAGGCTCTGTGATGGCATTTAGTGTACATTACTTAGTAGCTATACAATAATTTAAGTATTAGAACATGGTAGGTGTGCCTTGAATCAAACAACAGGGTCAGATGTGCCAGGACATGAATGCAGAGTAGGCCTCTGAGGTGGTCCAACAGCTGGACCCAAAGGACTGAGAGGACTAAGAGTTCAGATCAGAACAGTGCTGAAAACACAGGGCCAGATGATTTGCTACAAAACTTTTCAGGGGCCAAAGTAGCAGTGAACAGGTGCAACCCCAGATTGGCTCTGTCTAGCCCTGTCTATGATGATGCACATTTTAAAAGTGTGTCAATACCTGTGTGCCTGTAGCTCTCATGTTAATAGACAAACAATGGTTTGTCCTTCCCAATGTCAATGGCATTAAAATGAACTTTTTGTTTTTCTTTGTTTCAGAACAAGTTTGCCCTCTCCCTTGTTTTCCAGATACTCCGGTATCTGGAGCATCCTCAGAAAATATACTGGAATGGTAAATGAGCAGCTTTATCACATGGCATTAAGCAGATATGTTTAATTCCATATTCTTTAGAAAGGAATCTAGAAGTTTGCAAAAAAGTGATGCACAACATAATCCAGAATGCAGAATAATGCCTAACAATGTTGATGGAAATCTATGAGAATTGTTAACTTGTGAAAAGTCTTTGATTAGGTTTTTTCTGGTAGAATCTGAGCCACTCTTTCTGCCATTTATTATGGTTTTAATGTGTCATTTCAGTCTAAGAAAACAGGAACAGAAAATGTTCTTTTTCTGTTATCACAGCACATTTGTATTGCTCCATATACTTACCCACAAACTCTCAGAAAGAATAGACCCCCATAGTGGAGAATATAGTTTTACTTACACTTCTATGCATAGTGCAAGTTTCTGTACTTCTAAGTTGTAAGTGTGGTATATTAAATATTTGGAATATGTCTCTGCTTAAGTTATCTGTGCAGGTGGATCTGATCTGGGGGAGGTAGGGAAGATGGCAACATTTCCTATTATATAAATCCTTGAATTTCCTTTAAGGTAGCAGTCAACACTACCACCCCGATTCAGTCAGGCTAGAATTCTGAGTAAAGTTATCTTAACTCTTCCTGGTATGACCTTTGACCACTAAGAATGATGAACATTTTAAAACATGTGAGTCCTGTGGTACACAAGAATCTGCCTGGACACTACTGCTTAACATTCTGTATTTGAGTGTGCAACCTGGGAGCACTCCCAGAACCTGCCCTGTGCTGGGAAGCATAATCACCTTCTACACATTTTATTCTGAGGTTTGAAATCCTGTCAACTGTGGATGTGCCCACTTTGGCATTTTTCTAATGTCTCTGTTCTATGGGTGAGTAATGTAATCTGAAACTTTCTAAGTGTAATTTCCAAGGAACTAACCCAGAAACATTAATTTTAAACAAATATTTTTTGAATCCTGCATAGAGAGTAGTTTAGCTAAACTCTGTAGCCCGATCATGTGGAGCTCTGGGACAGGAGTGTATCTGAGAGGTGGATCACTTTCATGCTGACCTGGCAGAATAACTGAGGTGGCTCCAACCCTTCCCCCTGATGAGACCTCAATGCAACTCGCTGAAAGCTCCTCCAGCCACCTCTGTCAAGACTGGGACATCTGCCCACCATTGGGTATTGCACTTACCCACCTGCTTTAGCCACAGTGGGTTCTTACCCAGGAATACTTCCCCTACTGGCCTGAAGCCTGACCATCAAACAAGTAGATACAATAATAGAGGAAAATAAATTAAAAAGTACATGCCACAGGGAAATGAGATAAACTTCAAGAGACCTCTACCATTCCAACTCCATAGAAGACAATGAACTTGCTCACACATGAAGCACACTGCTACTACAACCAGCATGAGAAAGTCATCATGCAAAGAATCTCTATAACCAAGGAAATCTTACAAAGTCTTCACCCCTGAAAGCACCAATAACTGAATTAGGCTATAATTAACTATAAGCATTAAAGTCACATCCTTAAGGGGAAAAGTTAAAAAAAGAAACAGTCAAATCAAACATAAATTCAAGAATAATTGGAAGAAATAGTCTACCCCAATGAGAAGGAACCAGAAAAGTGACTCTGGTAATAAGACAAAACAGGGTTCTATAACACCCCCAAAAGATCACACTAGCTTTCCAGCAATGGATCCAAACCAGGATGAAATCTTTGAAATACCAGATAAAGAATTCAGAAGGTTGATTTTTTTTTTTTCTTTTTGAGACAGAGTCTCGCTGTCACCCAGGCTGGAGTGCAGTGGTGCAATTTCGGCTCACTGCAAGCTCCGCCTCCCAGGTTCATGCCATTCTCCTGCCTCAGCCTCCTGAGTAGCTGGGACTACAGGCGCCCGCCACCACGCCCAGCTAATTTTTTGTATTTTTAGTAGAGATGGGGTTTCACCATGTTAGCCACAATGGTCTCGATCTCCTGACCTCGTGATCTGCCCGCCTTGGCCTCCCAAAGTGCTGGGATTACAGGTGTGAGCCACTGTGCCTGGCCAGAAGGTTGATTATTAAGCTATTGAAGGAGGTACCAGAGAAAGGTGGAAACTATCAAAGAAATTTTAAAAGCAGTTCAAGATATGAAGAATGTTCTAGAGAAATAGATATTATAAAGAAAAACCAGTCACAACTTCTGGAAATGAAAGACACATTTAGGGAATTACAAAACGTCATGGGAAGTTTTAACGATAGACTAGAACAAGCAGAAGAAAGAATTTCAGTGTTTGAAGACAAGACTTTTGAATTAACCCAATCAGATAAAAATAAAGAAAAAAGAATCAAAAGAAATAAATAAAGTCTCCAAGAAATATGGGATTATGTAAAAAAAAGCCAAACCTAAGAATAATCAGTGTTACCGAGGGAGAGGAGAAAACAGAAAGTTTGGAAAAGTTACTTGAGGGAACAATCGAGGAAAACTTTCCTGGCCTGGCTAGAGATTTAGACACCCACATCCAGGAAGCTCAAAGAACACCTGAGAAATTCACTGCAAAAAGATCTTCACCAAGGAATATAGTAATCAAGCTATTTAAAGTCAAAATGAAGGAAAGAATTATAAGAGCAGTAAGATAAAAGCATCAGGTAACCTATAAAGGAAACCCTGTCAGACTAAGAACAGACTTGTCAGCAGAAACCTTATAAGCCAGAAGGGATTGGGGTCTGATCTTCAGCCTCCTTAAACAGGATAACTGTCAGCCAAGAATTTTGAATCCAGCAAAACTAAGTTTTATAAATGAAAGATAAAACAGGTCATTTTCAGACAAACAAATGCTGAGGGAATTTGACACTACCAAACTAGCACTATAAAAAATTCTAAAAAGAGTTACAAACCTTGAAGCAAAAGCTCAGTATGCACCAGAATAGAACTTTCTGAAAGCATAAAATTCACAGGGCCTAAAAACAATAACACAATGAAAAAAAATATAGGTAATAATTAACATGATGAAGAGAACAGTATCTCACATCTCAACATTAATGTTGAATGTAAATGGCCTAAATGTTCCACTTAAAAAGATACAGAATGGATTTTTAAAAATTACAAACCAAATATCTGCTGTCTTCCAGAGACTCACCTCACACAGAAGGATTCATATAAACTCAAGGTAAAGGGTGCAAAAAGATATTCCACACAAATAAAAACCAAAAGCAAGCAGGCATAGCTATTCTTATAACAGATAAAACAGACTTCAAAGCAACAACAGTAAAAAAAGACAAAGAAAGTCATATGATAAAAGGATCACTCCAAGAAGAAGATATTACAATCCTAAATTTATATGCACCTAACACTGGAGCTCCCAGATTCATAAGACAATTACTACTAGACCTACAAAATGAGATAGACAGCAACACAATAATAGTGGGAGACTTCAATGTACTACTGATAGCACTAGACAAATCAGAGACAAAGTCAACAAGGAAACAATGGACTTAAATGATACACTAGAATAAATGGACTTAGATATTTACAGAACATTCTACCAAAGAACTGCGGAATATACATTCTTCTCATCAGCATGTGGAACATTCTCCAAGATAGTGTTAAATACAGTGAGTTCTAAATTTCTCTTCAAAGAATCAGTATGTCAGTATGTTCAGTTCTTTGTTCTCCATTTTAAAGTTTAACTTCCTCATTCTCCTCATCTCCTTGACCCTAGTTTCAGTAAACAACTTTTTCACCAGTTCTAATCAGTTCACACCTGTTTCCCTGGTCACCTGCTCCATGCTGAGTCACCACTGGTTACCTACTCTAACCTGAGTCACCCCTGTCACCTGCTCTGACCTGAGTCACCTTTAGTCACCTGTTCCATAACTGTCCTTCCCACCAAAACTGCTCACCCCGCCATTCTGTTTCATACCCCTGCTCTCTTTAAAATAGCCAATCAGAATTAGCTTAGACTGTGTGGTCCAACCCTAGCCAATAGGGGAATGACACAGCAGTAGGGGTTACTTGTATCAGAGATAAAAACCCCTCCCCCTCCCTTGTTCAGGTGTGCTCTCGCCATTGTTCCATCTGAGAGATGCACTCTTCTATAGAAGTAAAATTGCCTTGCTGAGAAAATTCGTGTTTGAGTGCTATTTCTTTTGCAGCACCAAAAATTTATTTCTAGCAAATTTGGGGGCCCATCTGGGATTCTCATTCTCCTCTGGGGAGGGTCTAGACCTCTCCCATGAGGAGACATGCCCTGCTGCCTCACTGCAGTGGCCTCGGGGGTAAGGAATTGAGACCCACCCGGTGTGATGAATAAACTCATGCTCTCAGCAATGAAGAAAGAAACCGGCTGGCAACCTGGGGGAAAGATCCTCACATACCACAGTGACCAGTAATTCTCTGCACAGACCAAGGTAAGAAACACCGCAGGGGCGACAAAGTATTTCCTTGGTCGTCAGGATATTCTGGGGGTTGAAAGTGTGTGTGAATGCATGGAGCCTCCAGCAGTTGGGGCTTAAGGATAGGTGAGACATCTCTAATATGAGAGATTGAGTCTAATAGCCCTAGCAAGCCCCCAGAGAAGGATAGGTAAGCCATCTGTAATACGAGAGATTGAGCCTAACCAGGACCCAATATGGGAAACACCCCAAGTAAGATAAGGGGTATAAAGGATAAAGTTAACAACAATAATACTCCGCCTAATAGTCCTCTAGGCCTAATGTTAAAATATTAGAAGAAAAAAAAACCTTAGAGAAATGATAATTGAAAGAATTTGAGAGTCTGCGCCCCGCATCCAAAGCATTATAAAACCTTTCAATATACAACAAGGAAAAGATGAAAGACCTACAAAATTCCTAGAAAGACTCAAAGAGCAAATGAGGAAATATGTAGGTCTAGAATTAGAAGACCCCCCTCAAATGAGGGATGTTAAAGCTTCATTTTGTAACTAATAGTTGGCCAGATATTAACAAGAAATTACAAGAGAACTGGAAAGATAGACCTATGGAAGAGCTTCTAAGAGAAGCCCAAAAAGTATATGTAAAAAGAGATGAAGGAAACACAAAAGCAGAAAGCAAAAATTCTGCTCTCCACCATATAACAAAGTACCCAGGGGGCCAGAACCTATAAAGAACCTAAACCCCCACTCTCCAGGTAATATAATGGGTATGAAAGAGTAAAGCCAGGAGACTCAAAGGTAGAAAAAAAAAAAAGGGACAGAACGAATGTTTCAAATGTGGAAAATTAGGCCACTTTAAAAGACAATGTCCTGAATGAGAAAAGAAAGAAAAAGTATCCCATTTAAAGCTTTTGAAGAAGACTAAGGAAGTCAGGGGCTCTTTTATTTTTTATCTTAAGTCCCACCAAAAGCCCTTAATAAATTTAGAAGTGGGACCTAAACTTAAGCTTATCACCTTTTTAATCAACACAGAAGCAGCTCGCTCCTCAGTTTGTTCTCTTCCATCCAGTGCAACTTGTTCACAAGAAGACCTTTTTATCTCAGGAGTAAAAGGAGAAGGGTTTAAAACAAAAGTCTTAGAGGAGACAGGAGTAAAATATAAAAACCAATCAGCTAGTATAAATTTCTGTCAATTCCGGACACAGGGACAAATCTATTAGGAAGAGATTCAACACTAGAATTAGGCTTAGGCCTCCAAATCAATCATAGGAAATTTCTCCCCTCCCTAAACTTGCTCACCACCGCAGATGAAGAACACATTCATCCCGATATATGGTCAAGAGACAGGAATAGAGGAAAGTTACAGATTCCTCTGATTCATGTTAAATTAAAAACCCCTGGGGAAGTAGTAAAGCGAACGCAATACTCTATTCCTTTAGAAGCCAGGGTAAATTTAAAACCTATAATTGAAGATCTTCTTTGTGATGGGCTTCTTAAACCCTGTATGTCTCCCTATAACACTCCAATACTGCCTGTAAAGAAGCCAGATGGGTCATATCAGTTAGTGCAAGACCTTAGAGCTATTAATCAGATAGTCCAAACTACACACCCTATTGTTCCCAATCCTTATGCTATTATCAGTAGGATCTCATACAGTCACCAGTGGTTTACAGTAATAGATTTAAAAGATGCCTCTGGGCTTGTCCGTTAGTAGAGGACAGCCAGGACCTATTTGTCTTTGAGTGAGAAGACCCTCACTCCAGTTGAAAACAGCAATACCAATGGACAGTCTTATCCCAAGGATTTATGAAGTCTCCAAATTTATTTAGTCAAATATTAGAACAAGTCATTTAATTAGCAAAGGTAAATGGAAAATTGAGCTTGAATGGATTAAAGGCATCATATCCTTGCCTCTGCCGGAGACTAAACAAAAACTTAGAAAATTTTAGGGTTAGTCAGATACTGTCATCTATGGATAGACTCTTATGCCCTAAAAACAAAACCTTTATACAAAAAGCTCATGCAAGACGGGCCAAACCCCCTCATTTGGCAATTACCAGAAATCCAAATTTCCACCTGGAAAGGTTAAAACATCTATTAGTAACTGCCCCTGTCCTAGCTTTACCCTCCTTAAGCAGCCATTCCATCAGTGTAAACAAGGGCATAGCCTTAGAAGTACTTACCCAAGAGCATGGTGGCCACTGGCAACCCTAAGCCTTCCTATCAAATATCCTTAAGCCAGTAACCCGCGGATAGCCCAAATGCGTTCAATCTGTAGTGGCAACTGCTTTGCTAACAGAAGAAAGTAGAAAAATAACTTTTGGAGGAAACTTCATTGTGAGCACACCTCACCAGGTCAGAACTATCCTAAGTCAGAAAGCAAAAAGGTAGCTTACTGACTCAAGAATCTCAAAGTATGAGGCTATTCTGTTAGAAAAAGATGATTTAACATTAACCACTGATAATTTGCTTAACCCAGCAGGTTTCCTAACAGGGGATCCAAATCTAGAGAGCGATCACACATGTTTACATTTAATTGATTACCATACAAAGGTCTGACCAGTCCTAGGAGAAACTCCCTTCAGGACAGAAGGACACTTATTTATAGATGGCTCCTCCCAGGTGATTGAGGGAAAATGACACAATGGATATTCAGTAATTGATAGAGAAACTCTTGTAGAAATAGTCAGGAAAATTGCCTAATAATTGGTCTGCTCAAACGTGTGAGCTGTTTGTATTCAACCAAGCCTTAAAGTACTTACAGAACCAGGAAGGAACCATCTATACTGATTCTAAGTACACCTGTGGAGTGGCTCATACATTTGGAAAAATTTGGACTGAACGAGGTCTTATTAATAGCAAAGGCCAAGACCTGGTCCACAAGGAATTAATCACCCAAGTATTAAACAACCTTCAGTTGCCAGAAGAAATAGTTATTGTCCATATCCCTGGATACCAGAAAAGCCTTTCTTTTGAAATTGAGGAAATAACCTAGCAGACCAGATAGCCAAACAGTCTACCATTTCTTAGCTGTACAACTGGCCTGCTTTGCAGCCAGGTAAAACCTAGGACACATGGAGTTAAATGCTAGAATAAGCCAGACTTTATCTGCACTTCTTTGTAGGTCCTAGGCTCTACACCTAGCACATATTAAAATCCCAAACTTACAAGATTTTCTTTAGTTTAATTAGATCCCATTTGTCAATTTTGGCTTTTGTTGCCATTGCTTTTGGTGTTTTAGACATGAAGTCCTTGCCCATGCCTATGTCCTGAATGGTAATGCCTAGGTTTTCTTTTAGGGTTTTTATGGTTTTAGGTCTAACATGTAAATCTTTAATCCATCTTGAATTAATTTTTGTATAAGGTGTAAGGAAGGGATCCAGTTTCAGCTTTCTACAAATGGCTAGTCAGTTTTCCCAGCACCATTTATTAAATAGGGAATCCTTTCCCCATTGCTTGTTTTTGTCAGCTTTGTCAAAGATCAGATAGTTGTAGATATGCGACGTTATTTCTGAGGGCTCTGTTCTGTTCCATTGATCTACATCTCTGTTTTGGTACCAGTACCATGCTGTTTTGGTTACTGTAGCCTTGTAGTATAGTTTGAAGTCAGGTAGCGTGATGCCTCCAGCTTTGTTCTTTTGGCTTAGGATTGACTTGGCAATGTGGGCTCTTTTTTGGTTCCATATGAACTTTAAAGTAGTTTTTTCCAATTCTGTGAAGAAAGTCATTGGTAGCTTGATGGGGATGGCATTGAATCTATAAATTACCTTGGGCAGTATGGCCATTTTCACGATATTGATTCTTCCTACCCAAGAGCATGGAATGTTCTTCCATTTGTTTGTATCCTCTTTTATTTCATTGAACAGTGGTTTGTATTTCTCCTTGAAGAGGTCCTTCACATCCCTTGTAAGTTGGATTCCTAAGTATTTTATTCTCTTTGAAGCAATTGTGAATGGGAGTTCACTCATGATTTGGCTCTCTGTTTGTCTGTTATTGGTGTATAAGAATGCTTGTGATTTTTGTACATTGATTTTGTATCCTGAGACTTTGCTGAAGTTGCTTATCAGCTTAAGGGGATCTAATTAAACTAAAGAGCTTTTGCACAACAAAAGAAACTACCATCAGAGTAAACAGGCAACCTACAAAATGGGAGAAAATTTTCGCAACCTACTCATCTGACAAAGGGCTAATATCCAGAATCTACAATGAACTCAAACAAATTTACAAGAAAAAAACATACAACCCCATCAGAAAGTGGGCAAAGGATATGAACAGACACTTCTCAAAAGAAGACATTTATGCAGCCAAAACACACATGAAAAAATGCTCATCATCACTGGCTATCAGAGAAATGCAAATCAAAACCACAATGAGATACCATCTCACAACAGTTAGAATGGCAATCATTAAAAAGTCAGGAAACAACAGGTGCTGGAGAGGATGTGGAGAAATAGGAACACTTTTACACTGTTGGTGGGACTGTAAACTAGTTCAAACATTGTGGAAGTCAGTGTGGCGATTCCTCAGGGATCTAGAACTAGAAATACCATTTGACCCAGCCATCCCATTACTGGGTATATACCCAAAGGACTATAAATCATGCTGCTATAAAGACACATGCACACGTATGTTTACTGCGGCACTATTCACAATAGCACAGACTTGGAACCAACCCAAATGTCCAACAATGACAGACTGGATTAAGAAAATGTGGCACATATACACCATGGAATACTATGCAGCCATAAGAAATGATGAGTTCATGTCCTTTATAGGGACATGGATGAAATTGGAAATCATCATTCTCAGTAAACTATCACAAGGACAAAAAACCAAACACCACATGTTCTCACTCATAGGTGGGAACTGAACAGTGAGAACACATGGACACAGGAAGGGGAACATCACACTCTGGGGACTGTTGTGGGGTGGGGGGAGGGGGGAGGGATAGCATTAGGAGATGTACCTAATGCTAAATGACGAGTTAATGGGTGCAGCACACCAGCATGGGACATGTATACATATGTAACTAACCTGCACATTGTGCACATGTACCCTAAAACTTAAAGTATTATAATAATAAAAAAAAAAAAAAGATTTTCAACAAAAGTAAAGTTGGCTAAAAGTTAATGGTACAGCATGTATTATCGCAACTTCTAATCTTGTGGCCTTAGGCAGTCTAGTCCACATACATGAAGGAAGTTTGCTTTGGGAAAGAACGATTATCATCTTTGACATTAAAAAAAGGAGAATTTATGTAAAAAGAGTCTTATATGGTAAATTCTTGTCCTAAAGTAAATTAACTGGTTGTTGAAAGGGATGTTTACAAGTCAGAAAGTTGAGGCATGTCAAAGATTGTCTGTAAAAGTCATAAAAAATGTTATAAAAGGGAATCTACGCAAGAAATGTTGTATAATTTAAAAGTAAGTAGGCCTCCTGAATGTAAAACTATTGAAGAAACAGTTTATGTGCAAGATGTATAAGGAAAGTAAAATATACTTTTGGTAAGAGTATTACTAGGAGGCATAAGAATGTGGATTTTTACCGACATTAAAAAGTTAAAAAATGCTTTGAAGGTTTATGCAAGTTTTGAAACATTAATTGTAAAGGAAATTCTGTGTATGAACATATTGGCTAAAGTTAAAGGGGTATCATCCAGTTTTGCTGTAAATTGGACATTAAAATAAAAGCACAATGGGTTTTTCTTAAAGCACTAACCTGTTCTTTAACAAAAATTATAAAGGGTTAAAAAGAGTGTATAAAAATCTTACCTTATGGTTAGACATTAAAATTGGATAAATATGTCTACAGGTTTTATTAAAATTGAGTTTAACATTAATAGCACACTGATATAAAGGTGAAATTTAGCTTATCTGGTATAAAATCATACAGGAAGCATTGCCAAATATAAAATGATGTTTGGCTTTCTTTGGTCTAAAAACTAATAAAAATAGGTGCTAAAGAATTCAGAAGGAAAACAGATATTGCCAGACCAGACAGAAATGTTATCCAAACGCCTTATGAGGAAAATCTTGTCCCAACTACATCGAGGGACCTATTGGGGGCCCCAGGGCATGTGTGATGCAGTTCTCAGAGTTTATGGGTACATAGGAATTTATATCCTGGCCAAACAGGTACAGACAGTTACTCAGTATGAAAAAAAAGAACCTAATAAACTATAAAAGATTACCCCTTGGGGGAAAGAGTCCAGGCTTAAGGCCATTCCAAAGTATCCAAGTTGATTACACAGAAATGCCTCCAATAGGTCGTCTAAAATACTTACTAGTGATAGTAGATCACCTCACTCACTGGGTCAAAGCTATCCCCTTTTCAAATGCAACAGCCAACAATGTAGCCAAAGCCCTGATTGAAAATATAGTGCCCAGGTTTGAACTAATAGAAAATATTGACTCAGGCAATGGAACTCATTTCACTGCATACATCATTAAAAAGCTGTCCCAAACATTAGACATTAGATGGGAATACCATACTCCCTGGCACCCACCTTCATCAGGGAGAGTAGAAAGAATAAATCAGACTTTAAAGAACCACTTAACAAAATTGGTACTGGTGACTTGGTTACCATGGACCAAGAGCCTTCCTATTGCCCTGCTGAGAATCTGAACTGCCCTGTGGAAAGATATTGGTCTTTCTCCTTATGAGATGCTCTACGGATTGCCTTATTTACACTCCACTGCTGACAATCCTACCTCTGAAACAAAAGATCAATTTCTTAAAAATTATACACTTGGCCTGTCTTCTTCTTTCTCTTCTCTTAAAACTAAAGTTCTCTTAGCACAGGCGCCACCCCTGGAGTTCCCAGTGCATCAAACATCAACCTGGGGATCACGTCCTCATCAAAAGCTGGAAAGAGGAGAAGCTGGAGCTGGCCTGGGAAGGACCTAGCCTAGTGCTCCTAACTACAAAAACTGCAGACTGGACAGCAGAGAGGGGATGGACCCATCACATCTGAGTCAAGAAAATGCTGCCCCACCCTGGAGTCATGGGCCATAGTCCCAGGGGAAACCCCTACCAAACTAAAGCTAAGAAAAATTTAACTCTCTTTCATCTATTCCATTACTCCTTATTTCCTCACTCTATTACTGACCACCTAGCTATTAATGTAACCAAGTCAATTTTGCCTCAAACTATTACATTTGATGCTTGCCTTGTTATACTCTGTGGAGACTGGCCAAGTCAAAGATAGCTCTCCACTTCAGAAAAGTACCTCTGTCCTTCCAGGTGCCCCTCAGACTGGACATGGTGAATTGGGATCATTTAGTCTAGGAAGATTTCAATGAAGACCCCAGTGTCAACTGGGAGTCTTTCCCCCCATCCCCAATCCAGAGCTTTTATGCCATAGTTGGTCCAACGTTCTGTGGACCACTAAAGAGCAAGGATGGACTGCCCCAACCAGTAGTTGTAATTTCCTAAAATCATAAAGTCATTTTACTAAAGGAACAGCTTCCCCTAACTGTCAGCTAAACCAGTGCAATCCAATACAGGTTATTATCCCAAACCCTCAAAGTTCTTCCCCTTCTCTAAGCCAGTTCCCTTCTTGAAGCCGGTTTTATGGGGGCTGAGGTTTCAGGAACAGACTCTATCGGATCCTTTGAAACACGTTTCATTGATCCGCCACCACCTACACCTTCCCCTAAGCCTTCTTCCAAAACCTCTCACAACGCAACGGTTGTTCCTCCCCCATCTAATGACAAGACCAAGGTAGCTATTGTAGAAGTTAAAGATGTAAAACAAACTTTGGCAATTGAGACAGGATAACAAGATACGAATGCCTGGTTGGAATGGATCAAATATTCCGTCCGCACTTTAAACAAAAGCAAACATTATGCTTGTGCGCACAGCAGGCCAGAGGCCCAGGTTGTCCCATTTCCGCTAGGATGGTCCTCCAGTCGACCAGGCATGGGCCGTATGGTAGCTCTTTTCCAGGATTCCACAGCCTGGGGTAACAAGTCGTGCCAAGCTCTCTCTCTGCTATATCCCGAAGTTCAACACCCTGCAGGTCAGCCCGAGGGCCATCCAGTCTCTGTCTTCCGACACTAAGTTCGCTTCATGTCTCTCACGACAAGGAGGAAACTTAGTGTTTTGGAGACCTGAAGGGATGCAGTGAGCTTAAGAATTTTCAAGAGCTTACTGATCAATCAGCCCTTTTTCATCCCCGAGCAGATGTATGGTGGTAGTGGTCAACCTTTACTGGACACTCTGCCTGGTAACTGGAGTGACACTTGTGCTCTAGTCCAGTTGGCTGTTCCTTTCACCCTGGCATTTCATCAACTAGAGAGAGGGAAAATACAACATCGTAAAACAAGGGAAGCCCCTTATGGGTCTTTCGACTCTCACATTTATTTAGATGCAATTGGAGTCCCATGAGCTTTAACCAGATAAAGTTAAAGCTCGAGATCAAACAGCTACAGGATTTGAGTCAGTATTTTGGTGGGTGAAAATAAAAAAGTAGATTGGATAAATTACATTTATTATAACCAACAGCAGTTTATTAACTACACTAGAGGTACTGCTAAAGGAATAGCTGAGCAATTAGGGGCTACTAGCCAGATGGCTTGGGAAAATAGAACAGCCTTAGACATGATATTAGCAGAAAGAGGAGGAGTTTGCATCATGATTAAAACTCAATGTTGTACCTTCATCCCAAACAATACCGCCCCTGATGGAAGTATAACAAAGGCATTGCAAGGTCCAACTGCTCTGTCCAATGAGTTAGCCAAAAGCTCAGGAGTAAATGACCCCTTCACAGGATGGCTAGGAAAATGGTTTGGTAAATGGAAAGGAATCACAGCCGCAATTCTTAACTTCTCTCGCAGCCATAGTAGGTGTACTCATTCTTGTCAGGTGTTGTGTCATACCATGCACCCGTGGGCTGGTGCAAAGACTCATAGAGACAGCACTTACTAAAACCTCCCTTAACTCTCCTCTACCTTATTCAGAGAAGCTTCTTCATTTAGAGAATCAAGCAGAACAACTAAGCCAAGACATGTTAAGGAAGTTTGAAGAGAAAGAACTGTAAAATTCAAGAGGGGGGAAATTGTTAAATACAGTGAGTTCTAACTTTCTCTTCAAAGAATCAGTATGTTCAGTTCTTTGTTCTCCATTTTAAAGTTGAACTTCCTTGTTCTCCTCATCTCCTTGCTCCTAGTTTCAGTAAACAACCTTTTCCACCAGTTCTATCAGTAGTTCACATCTGTTCCCCTGGTCACCTGCTCCATCCTGAGTCACCCCTGGTCACCTGCTCTGACCTGAGTCACTTTTAGTCACCTGTTCCATAACTGTCCTTCCTGCTGAAACTGCTCACCCCACCACTCTGGTTTATACCCCTGCTCTCTTTAAAATAGCCAGTTGGAATTAGCTTAAACAATGCGGTCCAACTCTAGCCAATGGGGGAATGATACAGTAGGGGCTACCTGTGTCAGGGATAAGAACCCCTTCCCCTCCCTTGTTCAGGTGTGCTCTCGCCATTGCTCCATCTGAGAGACACACACTTCTATAGAAGTAAAATTGCCTGGCTGAGAAAATTCATGTTCAAGTGCTATTTCTTTTGTGGCACCGAAAATTAATTTCTAACAATAGACTATCAAACATGTCTCAATAAATTTTTTAAGATCAAAGTAATGTCAAGTATCTCCTTAGACCACAGTGGAATAAATCTAGAAATCAATTCCAAAAAAGAGCCCTCAAAACTATACAAATACATGGAAATTAAATAATCTGCTCCTGAATGATTTCTGGGTTAACACTGAAATCAAGACGAAAATTTTAAAATCCTTTGAATTGAATGATAATGACATGTTATCAAAACCTCTCAGAAACAGTAAAAGCAGTGCTAAGAGGAAAGTTTATAGTGCTAAATTCTTACATCAAAAAGTCCAAAAGAGCACAAATTGACAATCTAATGTCACATCTTAAGGAACTAGAGAAACAAGAACACACTAACCCTAAAGCTAGCAATGGCAAAGAAATAAAGATTAGAGAATAATGAAATGAAATTCAAACAAAAACAAAATATCAATGAAACACAAGGCTGGTTTCGGTTGAATTTAGTTTGAACAAATTTAAACACAAAATACAAAATATCAATGAAACAAAAGGCTGGTTCTCTGAAAAGATAGACAAAATTGATAGACCATTAACTAAATTAACCAAGAAAATACAAATAAGCTCAATTAGAAATGAAACTTGAGATACTCAACTGATATACCACAGAAATACAAAAGATCATTCGAGACTGCTATGAACACCTTTATGCACACAAACTAGAAAACCTAGAGGAAATTCCTGGAAACATAAAACCCTCCTAGATTAAATCAGGAAGAAACAGAAACTCTGAACAGACCAATAACAAAAAGTGAAACTGAAATAGTAATTTAAAAATTGCCAACAAATAAAGACCAGGACCTGATGGATTCAAAGCTGAATTCTACCAGACACTCAAAGAAGGACTGGTACCAATCCTACTGAAACTATTCCAAAAAATTGAGAAAGAAGGAATCCGCCCTAAACCATTCTAAGAAGCCAGTATCACTTTGACAGCAAAACCAGGAAAGGACATGACAAAAAAAGAAAACTACAGACCAATGTCCCTGATGAACATAGATGCAATAATCCTTAACAAAATACCAGCTAACTAAATCCAACAGCACATCAAAAAGATAATACATCATAGTCAAGTGAGTTTCATCCCAGGGATGCAGGGATGGTTCAACATATACATGTCAATAAATGTGATATCACATAAACATAATTAAAAACAAAAGCCATATGATCATCTCAAGAGATGCAGAAAAAGCATTCAACAAAATCCAGCATCCCTTTATGATTAAAAAAACTCTCAACAAACTAAGCATAGAAGAGACTTACCTCCAAATAATAAAAGCCATATATGACAGACCTATCATAGACAACATCATACTGAATGGGGAAAAGTTGAAAGCATCACTGAGAACAGGAACAAGACAAGAATGCCCACTTTCACCACTCCTATCCAACATAGTTCTGGAAGTCCTAGCCAGAACAATCAGACAAGAGAAAGAAATAAAGGGCATCCAAATTGGAAAAGAGAAAGTCAAAATATCTGTGTTTGCAGATGACATAACTGTATACCTAGAAAATCCTAAAGACTCCTCCAAAAGACTATTAGATTTGATGAAGGAATTCAGTAAAGTCTCGGGTTACAAAATCAATGTACACAAATTAGTAACACTGCTATACACCAACAATGACCAAGCTGAGAATCAAATCAAGAACTCAATCCCTTTTACAACAGCAGCAAAAAAAAATTATAGTATTTAGGAATATACTTAAAAAGGAAGTGAAAGATCTCTACAAACTACAAAACACTGCTGAAAGACATCATAGATGACACAAACAAATGGAAACACATCCCATGGTTCATGGATTGGAAGAATCAATATTGTGAAAATGATACCTCCCCAAAGCAATCTACAGATTCAACACAATTCTCAGCAAAATACCAACATTATTTTTCACAGAATTAGAAAAAACAATCCTAAAATTTAAGGAACCAAAAAAAATCCCAAATACCCAAAGCAATCCTAAGCAAAAAGAACAAATCTGGAGGCATCACATTACTGAACTTCAAATTATACAACAAGGCTGTAGTCACCAAAACAGCATGGTACTCGTATGAATGTAGGCACATAGGCTGGGTGCAGTGGCTCATGCCTGTAATTCCAGCACTTTGGGAGGCTGAGGTGGGTGGATCACCTGAGGTCAGGCATTCGCAACCAGCCTGACCAATATGGAGAAACCCTGTCTGTACTAAAAATACAAAGTTAGCCAGGCCCAGTGGCACATGACTGTAATCCCAGCTACTCTGGAGGCTGAGGCAGGAGAATCGCTTGAACCTGGGAGCTGGAGATCGCGGTGAGCCAAGATTGTGCCATTGCATTCCAGCCTGGGCAACAAAAGCGGAACTCCACCTCAAAAAACAAAAAACAAAACAAAAGAAAGTAGGCACATAGACCAATGGAACAGAATAGAGAACCCAAAAATAAGGATTAAGAAACTCACTCAAAACCGCTCAACTACATAGAAACTGAACAACCTGCTCCTGCATGACTACTGGGTATATAACGAAATGAAGGCAGAAATAAAGATGGTTCTTTGAAACCAATGAGAACAAAGACACAACACACCAGAATCTCTGGGACACATTTAAAGTAGTGTGTAGAGGGAAATTTATAGCACTAAATGCCCACAAGAGAAAGCAGAACAGATCTAAAATTGACACCCTAACATCACAATTAAAAGAACTAGAGAAGCCAGAGTAAACACATTCAAAAGCTAGCAGAAGGCAAGAAATAACTAAGATCAGAGCAGAACTGAAGGAGATAGACACACAAAAAACCCTTCAAAAATATCAATGAATCCAGGAGCTGGTTTTTTGACAAGATCAACAAAATTGATAGACCGCTAGCAAGACTAATAAAGAAGAAAAGAGAGAAGAATCAAATAGACGCAATAAAAAATGATAAAGGGGATATCACCACCGATCCCACAGAAATACAAACTACCATCAGAGAATACTATAAACACCTCTATGCAAATAAACTAGAAAATCTAGAAGAAACGGATAAATTCCTGGACACATACACCCTCCCAAGACTAAACCAGGAAGAAGCTGAATCCCTGAATAGACCAATAACAGGCTCTGAAATTGAAGCAATAACTAATAGCCTACCAACCAAAAAAAGTCCAGGACCAGACGGATTCACAGTCAAATTCTGTCAGAGTTACAAGGAGGAGCTGGTACCATTCCTTCTGAAACTATTCCAATCAATAGAAAAAGAGGGAATCCTCCCTAACTCATTTTATGAGGCCAGCATCATCCTGATACGAAAGCTTAGCAGAGACACAACCAAAAAAGAGAATTTTAGACCAATATCCCTGATGAACATTGATGCAAAAATCCTCAATAAAATACTGGCAAACCGAATCCAGCAGCACATCAAAAAGCCTATCCACCATGATCAAGTGGGCTTCATCCCTGGGATGCAAAGCTGGTTCAACATATGCAAATCAATAAACGTAATCCAGCATATAAACAGAACCAAAGATGAAAACCACATGATTATCTCAATAGATGCAGAAAAGGCCTTTGACAAAATTCAACAACCCTTCATGCTAAAAACTCTCAATAAATTAGGTATTGATGGGATGTATCTCAAAATAATAAGAGCTATTTATGACAAACCCACAGCCAATATCATACTGAATGGGCAAAAACTGGAAGCATTCCCTTTGAAAACTGGCACAAGACAGGGATGCCCTCTCTCACCACTCCTATTCAACATAGTGTTGGAAGTTCTGGCCAGGGCAATCAGGCAGGAGAAGGAAATAAAGGGTATTCAATTAGGAAAAGAGGAAGTCAAATTGTCCCTGTTTGCAGATCACATGATTGTATATCTAGAAAACCCCATTGCCTCAGCCCAAAATCTCCTTAAGCTGATAAGCAACTTCAGCAAAGTCTCAGGATACAAAATCAATGTACAAAAACCACAAGCATTCTTACACACCAATAACAGACAAACAGAGAGCCAAATCATGAGTGAACTCCCATTCACAATTACTATAAAGGGAATAAAATACCTAGGAATCCAACTTACAAGGGATATGAAGGACCTCTTCAAGGAGAAATACAAACCACTGTTCAATGAAATAAAAGAGGATACAAACAAATGGAAGAACATTCCATGCTCTTGGGTAGGAAGAATCAATATCGTGAAAATGGCCATACTGCCCAAGGTAATTTATAGATTCAGTGCCATCCCCATTAAGCTACCAATGACTTTCTTCACAGAATTGGAAAAAACTACTTTAAAGTTCATATGGAACCAAAAAAGAGCCCACATTGCCAAGTCAATCCTAAGGCAAAAGAACAAAGCTGGAGGTATCACGCTACCTGACTTCAAACTATACTACAAGGCTACAGTAACCAAAACAGCATGGTATTGGTACCAAAACAGAGATATAGACCAATGGAACAGAACAGAGCCCTCAAAAATAATGCTGCGTATCTACAACCACCTGATCTTTGACAAACCTGACAAAAACAAGCAATGGGGAAAGGATTCCCTATTTAATAAATGGTGCTGGGAAAACTGGCTACCCATAGGTAGAAAGCTGAAACTGGATCCCTTCCTTACACCTTATACAAAAATTAATTCAAGATGTATTAAAGACTTACATGTTAGACCTAAAACCATAAAAACCCTACAAGAAAACCTAGGCAATACCATTCAGGACATAGGCATGGGCAAGGACTTCATGTCTAAAACACCAAAAGCAATGGCAACAAAAGCCAAAATTGACAAATGGGATATAATTAAACTAAAGAGCTTCTGCACAGCAAAAGAAACTACCATCAGAGTGAACAGGCAACCTACAGAATGGGAGAAAATTTTTGCATTCTACTCATCTGACAAAGGGCTAATATCCAGAATCTACAAAGAACTTAAACAAATTTATAATAAAAAAACAAACAACCCCATCAAAAAGTGGGCGAAGGATATGAACAGACACTTCTCAAAAGAAGACATTTATGCAGCCAACAGACACATGAAAAAATGCTCATCATCACTGGCCATCAGAGAAATGCAAATCAAAATCACAATGAGATACCATCTCACACCAGTTAGAATGGCGATCATTAAAAAGTCAGGAAACAACAGATGCTGGAGAGGATGTGGAGAAATAGGAACACTTTTACACTGTTGGTGGGACCATAAACTGGTTCAACCATTGTGGAAGACAGTGTGGTGATTCCTCAAGGATCTAGAACTAGAAATACCATTTGACCCAGCCATCCCATTACTGGGTATGTACCCAAAGGATTATAAATCATGCTGCTCTAAAGACACATGCACACGTATGTTTATTGTGGCACTATTCACAATAGCAAAGACTTGGAACCAACCCAAATGTCCATCAATGATAGACTGGATTAAGAAAATGTGGCATATATACACCATGGAATACTATGCAGCCATAAAAAATGATGAGTTCATGTCCTTTGTAGGGACATGGATGAAGCTGGAAACCATCATTCTCAGCAAACTATCGCAAGGACAAAAAACCAAACACCGCATGTTCTCACTCATAGGTGGGAATTGAACAATGAGAACACTTGGACACAGGGTGGGGAACATCACACACCGGGGCCTGTCATGGGGCGGGGGGAGTGGGGAGGGATAGCATTAGGAGATATACCTAATGTAAATGATGAGTTAATGGGTGTAGCACACCAACATGGCACATGTATACATATGTAACAAACCTGCACATTGTGCACATGTACCCTAGAACTTAAATTAAAAAAAAAAACCCAAACATGTACAGCCAACTGATCTTTGACAAAGCATATAAAAACATAAATTGGGAAATGGACACCCTGTTTAATAAATGGGGCTGGGAAAACTGGATAGCCACATATAGAAGAATGAAAATGGATCCCTATCTCTTACCTTATACAAAAATCAACTCCAGATGGATGAAAGATGTAAGTATAAGACCTGAAACGATAAAAATTCTACAAGACAGCATTGCAGAAACTCTTCTAGGCATCGACCTAGGCAAAGAAAGAATTCATGACTAAGACCCCAAAAGCAAATGCAACAAAAACAAAAAAGGGACCTAATTAAACTAAAAATCTTCTGCTCAACAAAAGAAATAGAGTAAAAAGACAACCCACAGAATGTGAAAAAATATTTGCAAACTAGGCATCTGACAAAGAACTAGTATCCAGAATCTACAAGGAACTCAAACAAGAAAAAAATCTCATCAAAAAGTGGGCAAAGGACATGAATACACATTTCTAAAAAGAAGATATACAATAGCCAACAAACATATGAAAAAAATGCTCAACAGTACTAATCATCAGGGAAATGCAAATTAAAACCACAATGAGATACCACCTTACTCCTGTTAGAATGGCCATTATTAAAAAGTTATAAAACAATAGATGCTGGCATGGGTGTGGTAAAAAGAGAATGCTTATACGCTGCTGGTGGGAATGTAAATTAGTACAATCTCTATGGAAAACAATATGAAGATTCCTTAAATAACTAAAAAGTAACTCTATCATTCAATCCTGCAATCCCACTACTGGGTATCTAACTTAAAGGAAAAAAGATCATTATATGAAAAAGACACTTGCACACATACATGTTTACAGCAGCACAATTCACAATTGCAAAGATGTGAAGCCAACCTAAGTGACCATCAACTAATGAGTGAATAAAGAAAATGTGATAACTATACACCATGGAGTACTACTTAGCTATAAAAAGGAATGAAGTAATGTCTTTTGCAGCAACCTGGATGGAGGTGGAGGCAATTATGCAAAGTGATGTAACTCAGGATTGGAAAACCAAAAACCATGTGTTCTCACTTATAAGCTATGAGTACATAAAGGCACACAGAGTGATATAATGGACTTCAGAGACTCGGCAGGGCGGGCAGGAAGGGAGGGAGGGAGGGAGGAAGGGAGGGAGAGGCTGGGAATAAAAAATTACACATTAGGTACAATGTACACTAGCCCAGTGTCCAGTGCACTGAAATCTCAGAATTCACCACTATATAATTCACCAATGTAACAAAAAAACCCCCAAAAAACAAAAACCACTTGTACCTCAAAAGCTATTGAAATAAAAATTTAAAAAAAAAAGTACAGATCAAGGCAACAGGTCCTTCACATATAGCCAAGCAGCCTGTGCACTGCACACCCCAGGTGGCACCATACATAGACCAAAAAGTGAAGGACTTGCTCTTGTGATTGTACAATGCGCAGCCTGCACAACCAGACCTGGTATCCCCTCACATAATTCACTACAAATTCCTGATCCAGAAGTCAAGAAGTCTGGGTTTGCACACTGATTTCTCCAGTAACTTACCCAGAGACCTTATGCAAGCACCATTTCCTCTCTGTGCCAGTTTCCTCTTCTGTAACAGGACTTGTGTCTGAAGTTTCCTCCAGCTACAAAATTCTGTGATTCAACAGAAGCAGATTTCAATTTGTGAAGGGCTGCCATACAAAAGATGAAATAAGCTCCCTCACCTGGCTTGAGAGAGAAGAACCATGAGTTGGGGAGGGGTATTAGAGGGGAACAGTATATGCCTCAGTCAGAAAGAAACTCTTTCTCATGATCAGAGTACCCAGCACCCGATGAGGCAGCTCTGGGAGTGATGGGTTCCCTGTAGCTGGAGGATTTCAAGTACACTGGGTAAGCACCTGTTAGAGGTGGGCGGTCTCTTCCAGCAAGGAGAGTTCATTGTTGCAAAGCTTGGTTCTGCTTTCCTCAGTGCTAGGAGGCACTCAGCTGGGGCCAGGTGTTGTCCACTCCTGCGGATAGTTATTAATGCAATAAACTTGTCGGCTCTGCCTCTCTACCCCTCTTGCAGCTCACACAAGTCCACATTCTCCAAATTAAACTCGGTCTTTTCATCCTAGAAAGAACTAATAAATTAATCGCCTCACCCAGACTCGCGGTAAGGAGAAGATGGAGCTAGGATGGGGAACCATGCAAAATACTCAAGAGAATTATCCATGCAAACACTTCTAGCAGCTCTACTCCAACAACAGCTAATGCTAATTGCAAATCATCCTTATCTAGGCAAGACTGCGCGTCCCCTAGGAATTCCTAGCAGCAACAGCTGTGTAGGACTGGTTTAAGTTTCTGCACATGAAGGAAGAGAATCATAAGGGTTCTTTTAAAATCACAACCATTTGTTTTTTCATTAATTCAGATCAGGTGCCCCCAAACAGTGTAGATGGTTCAGGGCGAACTGCATCACCTTTAAGTTGTGTCCACAATTCCATGAGGAATGGTAAGATTTGGCAATTATCCACTTGGGATGATCAATGAGGGGCGTTCAGTCAGTCTTGGGAAGGTGGGGTCAGAACACCCCCACTGTTGTTCAAAACACTTCAGTGTTTTGCTCTCACTTCCAACGTGAATCAATTTTTTAAAAACCAGCTTGGATGTAGCTCTTAAAGACTTCCATTCAGAAATTTAGCTCAGGGCACTGTCAGAGGCATTCAAACTGGAGCGACTCCATTTCGAGTGAGGGTTAGGAAAATGAGGCTGATACTTGCTGCGCTGCATTCCCAAAAAGTTAGACATTCCTAGCCTCTAGATGTTTATAGTTAAGGGAACAAATTAATAATGTTTACTAAACAGACCCAGACTTGGGAGTTTCCAGATATTCTGATATCTGGAGAACAAAAGCATTCCTAATTTTGCTTTAAAAATTATTTTGCTTTAAAAATAATATTAATTCTTCACGCCTGTAATCCCAGCACTTTGGGAGGCCGAGGCGGACAGATCACAAGGTCAGGTGATCAAGACCATCCTGGCTAACACGGTGAAACCCCATCTCTACTAAAAATACAAAAAATTAGCCGGGTGCGGTGGTGGGCGCCTGTAGTCCCAGCTACTTGGGAGGCTGAGGCAGGAGAAGGGCGTGAACCCGGGAGGCAGAGCTTGCAGTGAGCCGAGATGGCGCCACTGCACTCCAGCCTGGGTGACAGTGCAAGACTCTGTCTCAAAAAAGAAAATAATAATAATAACAATAATTCTTGCAAAATATAGTAATTAAGAAAATTAATCCTTTATCACAAACCCTTGCAGCAGAGCACATCTCCTGAAAATCTTTTTTTAATCCTATATATATATACAAGCATTGTACCTAGGGTGGACGCATTTCTCCTCTTATATTCAGGAACACTCTATCCATGAAGTAGCTGTACTTTCATTACTTTACTTTCTTAATAAACTTACTTTTACTTTACACTGCAGACTTGCCTTGAATTCTTTCTTGCTTGAGATCCAAGAACCCTCTCTTGGGGTCTGGATTGAGACCTCTTTCCTGTAACATATTTCTCTTGACCACAGAAGGGCACAAAAAGCATTAAACACTGTCTCTAAAATTGCTGATTGAGATTTGGTATTTAATAGCTATGAGCAATAAGATTAGATAGATGCTTTTTGTTTTGTTTTGTTTTTGAGATGAAGCCTTGCTTTGTTGCCCAGGCTGGAGTGCAGTGGCACGGCTCACTGCAACCTCCAACTCCCGGGTTCAAGCAATTCTCCTACCTCAGCCTCCCAAGTAGCTGGGATTACAGGTACCCACCGCCACACCTGGCTAAGTTTTGTATTTTAGTAGAGACGGGGTTTTGCCATGTTGGCCAGGCTGGTCTCAAATCCCTGGCCTCAAGTGACCCACCCACCTTGGCCTCCCAAAGAGCTGGGATTACATGTGTGAGCGACCATGCCTGGCAAATGTGGTTATGTTTTGTTGCTGCTATGCCAACTAAGTGTGATCGAGAAGCACTAGGATAGAAAAATCAGGGGACTTTTCTCCTTGCTGTTTTGTTTCATTTTGCACACTAAAAAAACAAAACAAAACACTTCTTTCCTTTATTGGATTTGGGCAAACTGGCTTTGCTCCTCTGCTATTGCCCAGAATCTGCTTGTTCTGGTTATTCCCATCTAAATCCTCCTCATTTCCTTGCTTTATTCAACATTTTTTGTGTTGGAGTCCATGTTGTGGTTTATCTAAGATTCATGGCTCGGTTATAAATTTATTTGTTATTTGGATAATGTGCATCATGTTTGATGAGAAGAAAGGAAGAAAAAGAATTAGACATACTAGATGATCCTTTGATGCAAACCTCGCCTGGTTCATTGGGCATTTTTGGGTGGACCAGAACCTCCTTCTGTCAGCTATGAAGGTTCAGATGCGTCAGTCATTTCTCCCTCTAGTCCACCTGAAAGCTCTATTGAGAACCCTTCATCCCCTCCTTCTTTCCCGTCTAGTCCCACTCTGTACCCACCACTCCCTGAAGAACTTAGCCCAGCAAGTACCACTCATAGTGGAGCCTCATATCAACCTCCAACGGGAAACCTTTGTCCACTTAAAGAGGTGGCAAATGGGGAAGAAGGCACTGTGAGAGTACATGTTCCCTTTTCTATATCTGATTTGGCTCTATGCAAAGAGAAGTTTGGTCTTTTCTCTGAAGATCCAGGACAATTCATAGATGAGTTTGAGAAATTAACTTCAGCCTATAGTTTAACTTGGCAGGATCTTCATGTTTTGTTGTTTCTGTGTTGTATAGTGGAAGAGAAACAATGTGTTTTGGGGACAGCTAGGGCTCATGCAGATAAGGTATTGGCTCACAACCCAAACCATAATATATATGGCAGGATGTAGAGCAGTTCCAGATCAAGATCCAGAGTGGAAGTATCAAAGGGCCAGTGAAGACTTGGGAAGGAAAGCTCATATGGTCACTTGTTTGTTGGAAGGGATGAAGAAATATATGAAAAAGCCTGTTAACTATGCAAAGGTTAAGGAAGTTTCTCAGGGTAAAGATGAGAATCCAGCTTTGTTTCAAAAGCATTTAGTTGAGGCAATCAGGAAATATACTAACACTGATTCTGCCCCAAGGGAAGGACAAACCCTTTTGGGAGTACATTTTATAACTCAGTCTGCCCCTGATATCTGTAGGAAACTATAAAAAGCAGCTACGGGTCCCCAAACTCCTATGGAACAGCTTCTGGATTTGGAATTTTTAGTTTTTAATAACAGGGACAAAGCAGAGGAAGCAGAAAGAACAAGATGGACCTCCCCCAAGGTGCAGCTCTTGGCTGCAGCCTTAAGCTGCAGATTAGGGATTCCTGGGCTGGAGCTGATGGGGTTGCCCTCCTGGCCTTTGGCCTGAACAAGGGAAGCTGAAAGGTGGGAAGGCCAAAGCTGGATGTCTGAGTCACTGTGCCTTGTGCATAAATCAGTGTGCACCCTGTAAGAAAAGTGGTCATTGGAAGAGGGAGCCATTGGCACCTGAACCAATAATGGCCAATTAGCCAGACAAACCCAAGAGTGATGGGGGCCCAAGGCCTTCTGCCACAGTTTCCATCAGACAACTAGCCATATCTCTGGAGAAGCCTCAGTAACCCTTGATGTGGCAGGTAAGAATATTAACTTCCTTCTGGACTGCTTACTCTGTTTTCGCCCATTATAATGGGCCTCTGTCACCCAAAAACTGTATGGTCACAGGGTAGATGGACAAGCCCATAGATGCCATTTGACCTATCCTTTAAGCTGTTCTTCAGAGACTTTGGTTTTCTCACATGCCTTTCTTATCATGCCTGAGTGCCCCACCCCTTTGTTGGGAGGGGATTTGTTGACTCAGCTGCAGACAGTGGTATCTTTTGGAAATCACAAGGCAGGTGAGGAACTACTCCTCCTCCTTTCCTGTGATAAGGGAGGAAAGTCAATAGGGGGCTTATCTACTTTACCTATTGAAGTAATCTCCCAAGTAGATCCTATAGTATGGGACACTAAGATTACAGGCAAAATGTTAAATGTTTCCCCAGTTTACATCCAACTTAAGCCTATACCCCTGGAAGAGACAATACCCCTTAAAGCCAGAGGCACAAAGAGGGGTCCAACCATTAATAGCTAAGTTTTTGCAATTTGGGTTGCTAAGGCCCTGTGAGTCTCCTTGTAATACGCCAGTCTTACCAGTTAAAAAGCCAAAGCCAAATAGAGACTATAAATTTGTTCAAGATCTTCAAATTGTCAATGAGGCTGTCATTCCCATACATAATATAGTGCCCAATCCCTACTTGCCATTAGCCGAGGTCCTTGGGGATGCCAATTGGTTTACGATCTTAGATCTTAAGAATGCTTTTTTTTTTTTTTTTTTTTGCATTCCAGTACACGCTGATTCACAATTCATTAAGTGGACTGATTCTGATAGTCATTTAGTTTTTCAATTAACTTGAACAGTTCTTCCTTAGGGGTTTAGGGACAGTCCTCATCCATTTGGAAATGCACTGGCTAGAGAATTAAAGATGTTACAATTAAATAAGGGCAGTATTATTCAATATGTAGATAATCTGCTGATTTCTAGCCCAACCAAAAGAAACTCAAATGAAAATATCACCATGTTGCTAAATTTTCTGGGAGCTAATGGATATAAGGTTTAGACGCATAAAGCCCAGATTTCAACTCAAGAGGTTAAACGCTTAGGATATGTCCTAACCCCTGGCACCTGGGCAATAGCGCCAGAACAAAGGGAAGCTACCTTGGACATTCCAGAACCCCAAACTAAAAAGCAGCTGTGGGCTTTCCTAGGGATGACAGAATTCTGCCGTTTATGGGTGCCTGGATTTGGGCATATAGCCAAGCCTTTATATGAGGCTCTAAAAGGAGCAGATGTAAATCCTTTTGAACAGGATAATAACTGTAAACAGGCTTTTAATGCTCTTAAGGAGAAACTGGGATCAGCTCCAGCCCAGGAATCCCTAATCTTGTTAAGCCATTTTTCCTTTATGTGGGTGAAAAACAAGGAACCACCCTAGGTGTCCTTGTACAGAAGTTAGGAGATATTCCCTGACCAGTGGCATATTTTTCCAGGCAATTAAACCATCTCCCTTTGGGATGGCCTGGATGCCTCAGGGAAGTGGTAGCAACTGCTCTTTTAGTAGATAAAGCCAATAAACTGGTTTTAGGACAACATCTGGATGTTTTAGCCCCACACTAAGTACAAGGAGTGTAAAAGCTAAAGGACACCAGTGGATGACAGGGGGACATTTATTAAAATATCAGGCTTTGTTGCTAGGTGCTCCTAATATAACACTTAAAGTATGTCAAACTTTGAATCCACCTACCTATTTGAATCCACCTACCCTAGATCATTCTTGTATACAAGTTATGGAGCAAGTATACTCCAGCCATCTGGATTTAAAAGATGAGCCTCTAGATAATCCTGAGGCAGAATGGTTTACAGATAGAAGTAGCTTTGTGCACCAGGGAAACAGGAAAGCTGGGTATGCTGTTGTCAGTCAACATGAGGTAACTGAATCCCGGGCCTTACCAGCTTCTACCTCAGCTCAAAATGCAGAATTAATAGCTCTTAGTAGAGCCCTGCAATTGGGAAAGGACTTAAGAATTAACACACTGATTCTAAGTATGCCTTTCTGGTACTTCATGTTCATGCTGCTATCTGGAAGGAACAGGGACTCCTAACTGCTAACGGTTCCCCTATAAAATATCATTAAAAAATTCTGAATCTATTGAATGCTGTTTTGCTGCCCAAGAAAGTAGCTGTAATCCATTGCAGAGGACATCAAAAAGGAGACGCCAGTGCGGCTAAGGGAAACTCCTTTGCAGATGCAGCTGCTAAGGCAGCAGTGTTAAAGGAGCCAGCTGAACTTGTCAGCATGTTAGTGCCCTCAGCCACGGTAATGACAGAACTCATACACCAAAGAGGAATGACAGTGGGCTAAAGGTCAGGGTTTAATTTAAGATCCTTTTGGTTGGCCTATCAATAACAACAAACTGCTAATACCAGGTGCTAATCAGTGGAAAACAGTTAAGCATTTGCATGACTTTACTCATTTGGGAAGAGACAGCCTGTTTCAATTCATGTCTCAGCTTTTTATAGGAAAAAGCTTACTTAAAATAGTAAAGCAGGTAACTCAGGCCTGTGAACTCTGTGCCCAGAATAACCCAAATAACTAATCTTTATCTCCTCCTCTAGTAAGGCCTGTTCAGCATAGGGCAACATACGCTGGTAAAGACTGGCAAATAAATTATACTCAAATGCCCCCATGTAAAGGGTTTAAATATTTATTAGTATTTGTTGACACTTTTACCAGTGGGATCGAGGCTTTTCCTATGCAGTCTGAAAAGTCAATTGAGGTTTCTAAACTCCTACTAAAGGAAATAATTCCTAGACTTGGGCTGCCTAAGAGCTTACAGAGTGATAATGGTCCATCTTTCACAGCAACAATTACCCAAAACATATTTTCAGCCTTAGAAATTCAATACTGCCTTCACTTGGAGTGGAGGCCACAGTCTTCAGGGAAAGTAGAAAGAGCTAATCAAACTCTAAAAAGAACTCTTGAGGACTAAATAGCAGCTCTGCACAGAGCAGCATGCAGGCTTGCATTGTGAATTTTAGCTCCAGATCCACTGCAAGAACAAACCAGCAATCCTGAGAGGACCCACAGTCCCTCTGAAGGAAGCAGTGCTCCTGCAGGACCTGGGAGACCCCCCAAATACTGTGAGTGCCCCAACTACAGAAGTGGGAAAGGGAGACTCTCCTCTCCCAAACACACGCCCCCACTGGAGAAGCTGAAGTTCTGTTTGTGGGAGAACTTTCCGACTTTACCTGCAGCTGAGTCAAGTTAGAGAGCCGAGCAAAATACAGAGGCAGAGGAAGCAGAAGAAAGGTCCTGGGAGCTCACTGGGTCCCCAAACAGCCCATTCCTGCCTGACACCACAGGGATCCCGCAGAAGGGTGGCCAGAGGGGCAGGCGGTAAAACTCCGCAGGGAGAAGGAATTCTCTAGCTGAGCTTTGTAACAATTTGAACGGGGCAAGAAGCCTCCTGGCAAGAACTCGGGGGAGGGTGCGAACCTGGCAGACTTCACAGGCACGGGGAAGAACTAAATCCCCTTTCACTCTCAGCTGGGAGGTGGAAAGCCTCTGGTAAGTTTTCAAGCCTGTTTGGCCCTCTGCTTGGAAACAGACTCCGGGCTGTTGGGGGACACACAGTGGGAGTGAGACTGGCCCTTCTGTTTGCTTGGGAGCTGTGTGAGGCCTTTCACTGCTGGCTTTCCCCCACTTCCCTGACAACCTGCATGGCTCAGCAGAGGCAGCCATAATCCTCCTAGGTACACAACTCCAGTGACCTGGGAATCTCACTTCCATCCCCCACAGCAGCCACAGCAAGACCTGCCCAAGGACAGTGTGAACTCAGACACTCCTACCCCCACCCACACCTGATGGTCCTTCCCTATCCACCGTAGTAGCAGAAGATAAAGGTCATTTAAGGAAAGCAGCACCTCCTGGTAGGAGGCCAACCAGCACAAAAATAGAGCATTAAACCACCAAAGCTAAGGACCCTCATGGAGTCCACTGTATCCTCTGCAACCTCCACCAGAACAGGCACTAGTATCCATGGCTGAGAGCCCCATAGATGGTTCACATCACAGGACTCTTTGTAGACAACCCCCAGTACCAGCCCAGAGCTGGGTAGACTTGCTGGGTGGCTAGACCCAGAAGAGAGATAACAATCACTGCAGTTCAGCTCACAGGAAGCCACATCCACAGAAAAAGGGGGAGACTACTACATCAAGGGAATACTGCATGGGACAAAAAAGTCTGAACAACAGTCTTCAGACCTAGACCTTCCCTCTGACAGAGCCTACTCAAATGAGAAGGAACCAGAAAACCAACCCTGGTAATATGACAAAATAAGGCTCAACACCCCCCAGAAATCACACTAGTTCACCAGCAATGGACCCAAACCGAGAGGAAATCCCTGATTTACCTGAAAAAGAATTCAGGAGGTTAGTTATTAAGCTAATCAGGGAGACACCAGAGAAAAGCAAAGCCCAATGTGAGGAAATCCTAAAAATGATACAAGAAGTGAAGGGAAAAATATTCAAGGAAATAGATAGCTTAAAGAAAAAACAATCAAAAAGTAAGGAAATTTTGGACACACTTTTAGAATGTGAAATGCTCTGGAAAGTCTCAGCAATAGAATTGAACAAGTAGAAGAAAGAAATTCAGAGCTGGAAGACAAGGTCTTCAAATTAATCCAATCCAACAAAGACAAAGAAAAAAAGAATAAGAAAATATGAACAAAGCCTCCAAGAAGTCTGGGATTATGTTAAATGACCAAACCTAAGAATAATTGGTGTTCCAGAGGAAGAAGACAATTCTAAAAGCTTGGAAAACATATTTGGGGGAATAATCGAGGAAAACTTCCCTGGCCTTGCTAGGGACCTAGACTTGCAAATACAAGAAGCACAAAAAAAAAAACCAGGAAATTCATAGCAAAAAGATCTTCACCTAGGCACATTGCCATCAGGTTACCCAAAGTTAAGACGAAGGAGAGAACCTTAAGACATGTGAGACAGAAGCACCAGGTAGCCCATAAAGGAAAACCTATCAGGTTAACAGCAGATTTATCAGCAGAAAGCCTACAAGCTAGAAGGGATTGGGGCCCTATCTTCAGTCTCGTCAAACAAAACAATTACCAGCCAAGAATTTTGTATCCAGCAAAACTAAGCATCATATATGAAGGAAAAATACAGTCACTTTCCGACAAACAAATGCTAAGAGAATTTGCCATTACCAAACCTCCACTACAAGAACTGCTAAAAGGAACTCTAAATCTTGAAACAAATCCTGAAAACACATCAAAAGAGAACCTTTTTAAAGCATAAATCACACAGGACCTATAAAACAAAAATACAAGTTAAAAAACAAAAACAAAACAAAACAACAACAACAAAAACAAATTACACAGGCAACAAAGAGCAAGATGAATGCAATGGTACCTCACATTTCAATATTTCATTCAATACATTTGAATGTAAATATCAAAATGCTCCACTTAAAAGATACAGAACGACAGAATGGATAAGAACTCACCAACCAACTATCTACTGCCTTCAGGAGACTCACCCAACACAAAAGGACTCACATAAACTTAAAGTACAAGCGTGGAAAAAGGCATTTAATGCAAATGGATAACAAAAGCGAGCAGGGGTAGCTATTCTTACATCAGACAAAACAAACTGTAAAGCAACATGGTTAAAAGAGACAAAGAGGGGCATTAGATAATGGTAAAAGGCCTTGTCCAACAGGAAAATATCACAATCATAAACATATATGCACCTAACACTGGAGCTCCCAAATTTATAAAACAATTACTAATAGACCTAAGAAATGAGATAGACAGCAACACAATAATAGTAGGGGACTTTAAAATACTCCACTGACAGCACTAGACAGGTCATCAAGAGAGAAAGGCAACAAAGAAACAATGGATTTAAACTATACCTTAGAACAAATGGACTTAACAAATATACAGAACATTTCATCCAACAACAGCATAATACACATTCTAGTCAACAGCACACGAAACTTTCTCCAAGATAGACCATGTGATAGGCCATAAAATGAGCCTTAATAAATTTAAGAAAATTGAAATTGTATCAAGCACTCTCTCAGACTACAGTGGAAAAAACCTGGAAATCAACTCCAAAAGGAACCTTCAAAACCATGCAAATATATGGAAATTAAATAACCTGCTCCTGAATGAGCACTGGGCCAAAAACGAAATCAAGATGGAAATTTAAAAATTCTTCAAACTGAATGACAATGACACACCCTATCAAAACCTCTGGGATACAGCTAAGGTGGTGCTAAGAGGAAAGTTCATAGCCCTAAATGCCTACATCAAAAAGTCTAAAAGAGCACAGACAATCTAAAGTCACACCTCAAGTAAATAGAGAAACTAGAACAAACCAAACCCAAACCCAACAGAAGAAAGGAAATAACCAAGATCAGAGCAGAACTAAATAAAATTGGAACAAAAAAAGTACAAAAGATAAATGAAACAGAAAGCTGGTTCTTTGAAAAGATAAATAAAATTGATAGACCATTAGTAAGATTAACTAAGGAAAGAAGAGATAAAATCCAAATAACCTAAGAAATGAAACAGGAGATATTACAGCTGACACCACTGAAATACAAAAGATCATTCAAGGCTACTATGAACACCTTTATGCACATAAACTAGAAAACCTAGAAGAGATGGATAACTTCCTGGAAAAATACAACCCTCCTAGCTTAAATCAGGAAGAATTAGATACCCTGAACAGACCAACAACAAGCAGTGAGATTGAAATCGTAATTTAAAAATTACCAACAAAAAAGGTCCAGGACCAGAAGGATTCACAGCAGAATTCTACCAGACATTCAAAGAAGAATTGGTACCAATCTTTTTGACACTATTCCACAACATAGAGAAAGAAGGAACCCTCCCTAATTCATTCTATGAAGCCAGTATCACCCTAATACCAAAACCAGGAAAGGACACAACCAAGAAAGGAAACTACAGACCGATATCCTTGATGAACATCGATGCTAAAATACTAGCTAACTAAATCCAACAACATATCAAAAAGATAATTTACCATGATCAAGTGGGTTTCATACCAGGGATGCAGTGATGGTTTAACATATGCAAGTCAGTAAATGTAATACAGCACATGAACAGAATTAAAAACAAAAATCACATGATCATCTCAATCGATGCAGAAAAAGCATTCAACAAAATCCAGCATCCCTTTATGATTAAAACTCTCAGCAAAATCAGCATACAAGGGACATACCTTAATGTAATAAAAGCCATCTATGACAAACCCACAGACAACATAATACTGAACACAGAAAAGTTGAAAGCATTCCCTCTGAGAATGGGAAAAGACAAGGATGCCCACTCTCACCACTCTTCTTTACAGTACTGGAAATCCTAGCCAGACCAATCAGACCAGAGAAAGAAATAAAGGGCATTCAAACAGGCAAAAAGGAAGTCAAACTGTCACTGTTTGTGGATGATATGATTGTTTACCTTAAAAACCCTAAGGATTCCTCCAGAAAGCTCCTAGAACTGATAAAAGAATCCAGCAAAGTTTCCAGATACAAGATTAATGTACACAAATCAGTAGCTCTTCTATACACCAACAGCAACCAAGTGGAGAATCAAATCAAGAACTCAATCCCTTTTACAGTAGCTGCAAAAATAAATAAATACATAAAATACTTCAGAATATACCTAACAAAGGAGTCGAAAGACCTCTATAAGGAAAACTGCAAAACACTGCTGAAAGAAATCATAGACGACACAAACAAATGGAAACATATCCCATGCTGGTGGATGGGTAGAATCAATATTGAGAAAATGACCGTACTGCCAAAAGCAATCCACAAATTCAACGCAATCCCCATCAAAATACCATCATCATTCTTCACAGGGTTAGAAAAAAACAATTCTAAAATTCATAAGGAACCAAAAAAGAGCCTGCATAGCCAAAGCAAGACTAAGTAAAAAGAACAAATCTGGGGGCATCACATTACCTGATTTCAAACTATACTACAAAGCCATAGTCACCAAAACAGCATGGTACTGTTATAAAAATAGGCACATAGGTCAATGGAACAGAATAGAGAACCCAGAAATAAACCCAAATACTTACAGCCAACTGATCTTCAACAAAGCAAACAAAATCATAAAGTGGGGAAAGGGCATCCTTTTCCACAAATGGTGCTGGGATAATTGGCTAGCCACGTGTAGGAGACCAAAACTGGATCCTCATCTCTCACCTTATACAAAAAATCAACTCAAGATAAATTAAGGACTTAAACCTAAGACCTGAAACTATAAAAATTCTAGAAGATAACATTGGAAAAAGCTTTCTGGACATTGGCTTAGGTAAGGATTTCATGACCAAGAACCCAAAAGCAAATGCAATAAAAACAAAGATAAATAGCTGGGACCTAATTAAACTAAACAGCTTTTGCATGGCAAAAGGAACAGTCAGCAGAGTAAACAGACAACCCACGGTGTGGGAGAAAATCTTCACAATCTATACATCCAACAAAGAACTAATATCTGGAATCTACAAGGAACTCAAACAAATCAGTAAGAAAAACCAAACAATCCCATCAAAAAGTGGGCTAAGGATATGAATAGACAATTCTCAAAAGAAGATATACAAATGGCCAACAAATATATGAAGAAATGTTCAACATCACTAATGATCAGGGAAATGCAAATCAAAACCACAATGTGATACCACCTTACTCCTGCAAGAATGGCCATAACAACCCCCCCACAACCCACCACAAAAAAAAAATTAGAAGTTGGTGTGGATGCAGTGAAAAGGGAACACTTCTACACTGCTGGTGGGAATGTAAATTAGTACAGCTGCTATGGAAAACAGTATGGAGATTCCTTAAGTAGAACTACCATTTGATCCAACAATCCCACTACTAGGTATCTACCCAGAGTAAAAGAAGTCATTATTCAAAAAAGATACTTGCAGACACATGTTTATAGCAGCATAATTTACCATTGCAAAATTGTGGAACCAACCCAAATGCCCATCAATCAATGAGTGGATAAAGAAACTGTGATATATATATATTTGGTATATATATGTGTGTGTGTGTGTATGTAGGTATATACATATATATATATATATATATACACACACACCAAATATATACCAAATAATACCATATTACCAAACTGTGATATATATCACAGTTTATTATATATAATATATATACCAAATAACACATATTACCAAACTGTGATATATACATATCACAGTTTATTATATATATCACAGTTTATATATATATAGTATATATCAAATAATACCATATTACCAAACTGTGATATATATATATCACAGTTTATTATATATATATCACAGTTTATTTTTTATAACATATGATGGAATACTATGCAGCCATAAAAAGAAATGAATTGACAGCATTTGCAGTGACCTGGATGAGACTAGAGACTATTATGCTAAGTGAAGTAACTCAGGAATGGAAAACCAAACATCATATGTTCTCACTGATTTGTGGGAGCTAAGCTATGAGGATGCAAAGGCATAAGAATGATACAATGGACTTTGGAGACTTGAGGGGAAGAGTGGGAGGGGGCGGGGGATAAAAGATTACAAACATGGTGCAGTGTATACTGCTCGGGTGATGGGTGCACCAAAATCTCACAAATCACCACCAAAGAACTTACGTAATCAAATACCACCTGTGCCCCAATAACTTATGGAAAGGTAAAAATATAAAGAACTCTTGCTAAACTATGACAAGAAACATCAGAAACCTGGCTGTATTTATTACCTGTAGCCTTATTACGAGTTCAAGTGACCCCAAAGGGAAATCTGCAGCTCAGCCCTTTTAAAATAATGAATGAAAGGCCTTTCTTAACTACAGACCTCCTAATAAACATAAATACTTTCAAGCTACAAAATTATGTAATCAACTTAGGATAAGTGCAAAAAGCACTCCTTAAATATGGAAATCAAAGACTCCCTTCCTTCACTAAGAAAGAGAATTTTGTTACAACCAGCCAGGAGATTGGGTCCTATTGAAAACATGAAAGAAAAGATCCCCAGCAGACCAAGTTTTCCCAAAATGTAAGGGACCTTATCAAGTTATCCTAAGTACCCCAACTGCAGTTAAACTTCTGAAAATAAACAGCGGGGTCCACCTATCTCAAATTAAACCCGTCTCTTATAAAAAGTCCCACAGGCCGACGGAACATGAAAGACTAATCACGTTTATTCCTGTAAGCCAATCAGTGACCTCCAACTCCTGTTCAAAAAAAATACAAGAGATGGGTAACATAAAGATATGGATTGGCATTCTACTTTTGGGTATAAGTTGGAATCACGCAGAGAGTATTTTATTTACTGAGTGGGCACAGACTTTGGCCTCTCTACAAAATCAAACTGTCGGGTATGTGGAAAATTGCTCCTTTCCTCCACTTCCGGGTGGCCCTGGCATATTCAACTGGCCAACCTAAGTTTATGGGGATTTTATTATGATTGGAAAACGAAACATTATAAACATAGCCCCTCTTTTCCCATGTATCATAGCCACACGGGACTTAGCCCCTTCCACTCCTATGAAGAAACAAAACAGCACCTTTTTAATCTAATTAAAAAACAGCTAAACTCCACCCCAACTTTAGGTTATGCTATACATAATGAACTTGGGCAAATGACAGCTGTTTGAGTGCAGGTATCAGGCAAAGCACCTCTATGTTTTAAAAGGCACAACAGTCACCACCAAACTGGAACCATAATGTGGGATGGCTGTCACCTCAACAATGTAATCAGACCCTTCTTTTAACAGACCAAACGTGGATGGGATGGCAAGATAACTTACCAAAAGTAAGTGCCTACCCTTCTCCTTGGGTTGGTTATGGGCTTGCAGAACTCATGGCTGGCCATACTTACCTTGTAACTGGAATAAAAGGTGTACGTACATGTGGTCATCCTTACCTCCGGAGATCTAACCTCACCAAATTGGACTCTCTCCCATCTAACTGGGAAATTGTGAAAGCTCACCATAGGCAACAAAATGGTTCTATTCAATGGCTGTATTTTCCCCACAGGTAGCTACAATCAGTATCGAGTTACAAGTTGAAGCCTTGTTACTGAAGCACACGGCTGCAGTTTTCAATAATACACCCCAGGCCCTTACCCTCCTGAGGAAACTTCTCCGATTAGGCAGGTAGTCTTACAAAACCATATGGCTTTGGACATTTTAACAGCAGCCCAAGGAGGGAACTTGTGCTTTAATCAAAACCGAATGTTGTGTGTATGTTCCAGACTATTCGCATAATATTACCCAGACTATAAAGGCTTTAGACGGCCGGATGTGGTGGCTCACGCCTATAATCCCAGCACTTTGGGAGGCCGAGGCGGGTGGATCACGAGGTCAGGAGATTGAGACCATCCTGGCTAACACGGTGAAACCCCGTCTCTACTAAAAATACAAAAAATTAGCTGGGTATGGTGGCGGGCGCCTGTAGTCCCAGCTACTTGGGAGGCTGAGGCAGGAGAATGGCGTGAACCCGGGGGGCGGAGCTTGTAGTGAGCAGAGATCGTGCCACTGAACTCCAGCCTCAGTGACAGAGGGAGACTCCATCTCAAGAAAAAAAAAAAAAAAAGCTTTAGACACTCATATCTCTGCCATGAATGCACTATCAGTCAACCCTTTATCAGCTTGGTTCCAACAACTGCCCAGTTCTTGGGCCAGGACCCAGGCTGAATAGGGGCGATGATATTCCTGCCCCTAAAGTTTACTTGGAATAATTTTACCTATTTTGCTTTGCTGTTGTGGAATATATTGCAGTTGTACTCTTTGTGTAGAAATGCAAGACAAGCTCACTCAATGCTTTCTTAAACACTTATTAATCTTCCAGACATCACCTTTTGTCGGAACTCGGGAGTTAAAAACAACCTTAACCATACCAACGCTCTTTAACTGAGCTTCTCCCTACCCTGAATGCAAGAGACCCTAATTTAGGCAGGAATATCATTGCCCCTATTCAGCCTGAAAAAGTTACAGAAGACAGATCTTCATCCCTCTGCAACCCCCAGGATTAAGGGTCCTTTTGTAAAGGGAGGGGGGAGATATGTCAGAGGCGTTCAAACCAGAGCAACTCCATTTCGAGTGAGGCCTAGGAAAATGAGGCTGAGACTTGCTGGACTGCGTTCCCAAAAGGTTAGACATTCCTAGCCTCCAGATGTTTACAGCTAAGGGAACAAATTAATAACGTTTACTAAACAGACCAGACTTGGGAGTGTCCAGATATTCTGCTATCTGGAGAACAAAGGCATTCCTAATTTTGCTTTAAAAATAATATTAATTCTTGCAAAATATACTAGTTAAGAGAATTAATCCTTTATCACAAACCCTTGTAGCAGAGCACATCTCCCGAGAATCTTTTTAATCATATATATAGGATAAAATATTTTTGTATGTATATATATTTTATATGTATATATAAAATATATACAATGCTTGTGTATACACACACACACACACACACACACACACACAAGCATTGTACCTACGGTGGACGCATTCCTCCGCTTTCAGGAATGCCCTACTCTTTCTATGGAGTAGCTGTGCTTTCACTACTTTAGTTTCTTAATAAAGTTGCTTTTACTTGGCACTGTAGAGACTCACCGTAAATTCTTTCTTGCTTAAGATCCAAGAACCGTCTCTTGGGGTCTGGATTGGAACCCCTTTCCTGTAACAGCACCATTAGCTCTTTTTTTTTTTTTGAAACTGAGTCTTGCTCTGTTACCCAGGCTGGAGGGCAGTGGCGCAGTCTCGGCTCACTGCAAACTCCACCTCCAGAGTTCAAGCGATTCTCGTGCCTCAGCCTCCTGAGTAGCTGGGATTACAGGTGCCTGCCACCACACCTGGCTAATTTTTACATTTTTAGTAGAGACAGGGTTTCACCATGTTGGCCAGGCTAGTCTCGAACTCCTGAACTCAAGTGATCCACCTGCCTCAGCCTCCCAAAGTGATGGGATTTCAGGTGTGAGCCACACCATTAGCTCCTTAAACAATTCAAATAAAATTTCTTTTCTAGTTCCTTATTGAATACAGTGTATATTTACTCAATAAAAAGTATCAATCTCAATTTAGGCTATTTTCCTGATGGTGAAAGATATTTAGTTTGGGGCCAGGCATGGTGGCTTATGCCTGTAATCTCAGCACTTTGGGAGGCCGAGGCAGGTAGATCATGAGGTCAGGAGTTCAAGACCAGCCTGGCCAACGTGGTGAAACCCTGTCTCTACTAAAAAAAATACAAAAATTAGCCGGGTGCGATGGCAGACACCTGTAATCCCCACTACTTGGGAGGCTGAGGCAGGAGAATCACTTGAACCCGGGTGGCAGAGGTTGCAGGGAGCCAAGATCGCTCCACTGCACTCCAGCCTGGGCAACAGAGCAAGACTCCGTCTCAAAAAAAAAAAAAAAAAAAAAAAGATATTTAGTTTGGCAAGATTCCAAAACTTTCTCTCTTGGTGACACTCTCAGAGGGGAGTCACAAAGCCATCTACCTAGGAGATATAACTGTCCCCCAAATAATGTAAATAAAAATGCTGTCTTTAGGAGGCTGAGGTGGGCGGATCACCTGAGGTCAGGAGTTCGAGACCAGCCTGGCCAACATGGTGAAACCCTGTCTCTACTAAAAATATAAAAATTAGCTGGGCATGATGGTGGGTGCCTGTAATCCAAGCTACTCGGGAGGCTGAGGCAGAAGAATTGCTTGAACCCAGGAGACGGAGTTTGCAGTGAGCTGACATGGTGCCGCTGCACTCCAGCCTGGGTGACAGAGTGAGACTCTGTCTCAAAAAAAAAAAAATGCTCTTACGTGTACCATATTTTGCATTTTATACACTGCTTTCACATAGAATATCTACTCTGATATTCTTAAATATCTGCTGTGAGGTAGCATGAGTCCTGTTTCATGGATGAAGTAACTAGGGCTCAGAGATGTAAAGCCACTCACCCCAAGTCAGTGCAGCTAGTGGGAAACAGAGCCTGAGGCTGGAAAGCAAGTCCATCTGTCCCCCACACCCACGCTGCCTTTTGAATAGTTACAGCTACCAAACGAGAAAGGAAATAGAATGTCAGGTACCTTTCTGCGTCCTGGTCTGTGCTCTGCTGATTGTTCTTAAAGGTGTTGAAGCTGCTCATGTCCACATAGCCATCATTTTAGTTTGCTGTGGACAGGGCTCTGCTCTGATCTTCAAACAGCTTCCTGAACACACCAGCCCTGCAGGCCTCCAGGGCAGAATCTGGATATTCTCATAGTCTGAGTTCATGGTTGGAATGTTCTCATAGTCTGAATGGTCAGCGCTGGGGAAGGAGATAGATAGTGGCTTGGCCAGTGGCAAGGGCAGAAAGGGCGGTCAGGGGCGGTCTTTGAAAGACTCCACTCTGGACACCATCCTGCTGAAGGAGACACCTTTCCTCTTGCCATCTCTATAAAAGATGTGGGATGAGGGGTATTCAGAAGCCTGGAGCGTCCCAGTTTGAGACTTAAGCTGAGGGGAGTTATTGAGGCTTCTCTGGTTGACTTTCCTGGAAGGCCTGTGGCAGCTGGATTCTGAAGAGGGACCTGGAGGAAGACAGCTTCACATGCAATTTACTCTCCGTCTTCTTTTTTTTTTGAGATGGAGTCTCACTCTTGTTGCCCAGGCTGGAGTGCAATGGCACAATCTCGGCTCACTGCAACCTCCGCCTCCCAGGTTCAAGCAATTCTCCTGTTTCAGCCTCCCAAGTAGCTGGGATTACAGGTGCACACCACCATGCCTGGCTAATTTTTGTATTTTTATTAGAGACGGGGTTTCACTATGTTGACCAGGCTGCTCTCGAACTCCTGACCTTCGGTGATCTGCTCGCCTCAGCTTCCCAAAGTGCTGGGATGACAGGCATGAGCCATCGTGCCTGGCCTCTCCATCTTGTTAAACATCAGCGCCAGGAACCGCTTAAAGGATGACTTCTTCTTCTTGTACTTGTCCGGGGAGTCGCTGTCGATCAGGAGAGAGGGAGAGCTCTTTGTGATGGGCTTCTTGGTGATGCAGGCCAGGTCGAAAGGAGGTGGGATGTCGACCATGGAAGAAGGCGTGGAGGTGCCGCTGGATGGAAGGTGGTTTCTCTGGGAGAAACTCCCAGACACGACAGAGAGATGTTCCTCTTTCCTCTTTATCCTGTGGTCATCTAACCCCGACCCTTCTGGCTCCCAGTACACAGAGATGGAAACAGGAATCTCTTGGCCTTCCACGGAGAACGACCGAGGGTATAAAGTGAAGGCCCTGGGCTTTGCTGGCAAGGCCCTGCTGGCTTCCAGGGGCCTCCCTTCAGTGACAACAGCTCTTTCCTGCCTCCTCTGCGGCACCTCCGATGCCAGGGGCTGAGGAACCTGCCTCAGATCTGGTTTCTTTGGGGGCAGTTTCTGGGACGGTTTCTGGCCACCTTCCCAGAGTGGGGCCAGGCCCTTGTGTCGATGTTCTTCCTGTCCACGGAGACCAGGCTGCCCTCTCCTTCACAGTTCATTTCTTCTTCTGAGCCATAACCACCCAGGGCATCCAATGCAGCCTGCCCTCCTTCTCAAGGGGCTGCCAGACCGGCAGGCCCACTCCCATCACATAGGGGTTGGCCAGTGTGTCATCAACAACCTCCTCCTCCTCTTCCCCCTCCTCCTCCCGGGAGGCTCACTCCCATCACATAGAGGCTGGCCAGCATGTCATCCATGGCTTCCTCCTCCTTCTCCTCCCCTCCTCCTCTCCTCCTCCTGGCAGTCCCACTCCCATCACATAGGGGTTGGCCAGTGTGTCATCCACAGCCTCCTCCTCCTCTTCCCCCTCCTCCTCCCAGCAGGCCCACTCCCATCACATAGAGGCTGGCCAGCGTGTCATCCACGACCTCCTCCTCCTCCTCCTCCTCCCCTCCTCTTCCTGGCAGGCCCACTCCCATCACATAGGGGTTGGCCAGTGTGTCATCCACGAACTCCTCCTCCTCCTCCTCCCCCTCATCCTCCCAGCAGGCCCACTCCCATCACATAGGGGTTGGCCAGCATGTCATCCACAATGACCTCCTCCTTCTCCTCCTCCTTCGGCAGGACCACCACATCAGGGGCTGTGGGACCCTCCGCCACTCCATCTTGCAAGGGTCCATGCTGGCCACACAAAGCCCCAACCACGGGGTCCTCCTCCGCACACAGCCCCAACTTTGGTGCCTGCTCTGATTCTAAGCTTTTCACTGACTCAGAAAAAGGAGAACAGCTCTCCCTGCAAAAAGAGGTGCTCTTGGTTGGGAAGAACTCGTAGGGGCTTCCTGTGAGGGAAGTCACAAAGTTGTCCATGCAGTTGTTCTGGAAAAGGACGATCTGGCAGCTCTCCTCAGCAGGCTCATCCTGTGTGCGGTCCTCCAGGGTGGCAGCTGCCACTTTCTGGTTGCTTTTCTCCTCATGGTCAGGTAGTTCACCAAGGTCAACCTGCTCCCCACCTATGACACCTGTGGCCTCTTCACATCCCTCCTCAAGAACCTCAGGGCTGTTCATGGCCGTCTCTGCCTCCGGACCCCGGCCAGTTCCTCCTTCTCAGGGGCCTCCTCGCTGGCTTCCTCAGCATCCTCTCCCATGTCCTCAGTGGGCCTGTCAGGATCCGAACCCTCATGTGCCCCGCTGGGTCTGTCCTGGCACAGCCTTCCTCATCATCCTCCTCTGCCTCCCCAGGGTTGTCGGGGGGCTTGTGGTCCTCTCCATGGATGTGAGGCAGGAGGAGGTCGCTCTGGAAGACCACCTCTCCAGCCCAAGGCCTGCCATTGTCCAGGCTGCACTCCCTGTGTGGCTGCACCAGCTTCTCTTCCTCCTCACTTCTGGACACCTGCTCTTCTGTCCCTGGCTCATCCGCAGCCCTCTCCTTGGTCCTCAGGAGTGAGGTCTGTGCCTTCTTCACCCTCCCTGCTCAGCAATACTGCAGCTGGGGCAGCAATAGCCGCCGAGTCCTTACCAGCTCCTGTCCTCTCCAGGCCACATGCCTCGCCTCCCTCCTCACGCTCCTCTTCCTCTTCTGCAGAGGCCTCGGGAGACACCAGGGCTGCATTCCCCACACTGCCCCCGTCCTTGGGTTCGTCCTCCCTCAGCGGAGCCCTGAGGACGATGTAATCCTCGTCGGTCTCTGACTCAGAGCACTTTGGGACGGACCGGGGCCCCTCATCAAGCCCCCTGTCTACACAGAGCAGCCGTCCGTTGCTGCATTTGTTCAAGCTGTCATTCAGGTACACACTGGCTCTCCACTCGTTTGGGGCAGTCAGCCTGGGCTTGGGGGCAATGGGGGGGCTTCAGACCCGTGAACATGGAGTTTGGACTGTGAAGACTCTCGAGCCTGGCTGAGGAAGGGAATTTGGGTGCGGTCACTGGCGTCAGTGGACTGGTAGTCTTTGGCTTGGGAGCGACAGGTGGTTTTGGCAAATCTAGAGGACAAAAATAAAGAAAAGGAGAAAAAGTACGATTAACTTTATTTCCATTCAGAGTCTCCTACACACCACTTGCAGGGGACGCTGCAGATAGTTCCGTCCGTCCATGTGAAGCCCACCTCCCGTGCTTTGTCTTAGGCTTATGCCCTCCACCAGAATCTTTAAAACCCCTTGATTTTCCACTAAAGATTCATTCTGTAAACAAAGTGAACAGACCTTTCTTCTACACGCAGCCCAACTAATGAAAATCAACCAAATGAAATCCTGTGCTCCTCAAATGAAGTGTCCAGGTCAGTGCATTCATTCATCCAGCAGCTACTGATAAACACTTTCTATGACCCAGCAACCATGGGAAAAGGCTGAACTTGCTGTCACCCTCCCTGCTGCCCTCATGGAGCTTACATCCCCCCTTCTACAGCTACTCCATTGGGTACCCACTAGCTACACGCACAGCACTGCAGATGGCAGGGTCTCCTAGGGTCAAGAGAAGACAGCCTCTGCTGAGAACTCACCGTTGAGTTAGAATAACTGGAGGGTAGAGCCGGGGACCCTTGGAGTACTATGACTGAATAGCTGCCATCTCATCCCTTCACGAATGACACGCCAAAGGTTTGAAACAGTGATGTGTGTTTCTGCTGGGGGTCATGTCTGGAATCTGCATGCTTCAGGATTGTGTCCAGCCAAGCCTCAGTCAGGTGGGGCCCCTGAGAAGGGAGCGAGGCCTGTCTGTGACGTCTGGGAGTGGAGGGCAAGGGTCTGGGGACCCGACCAAGTCGCTTTTGCGAAAGGGACGTCTTTCTCCGTTGTGGAAGGGACCCTCACTCTGGGGACCGCCGTGAGAGTGGGATATGGGCTCACACGGCCAGGGCGCGGCCTCGCCAAGGCTGAGGCGGGTCCCTGAGGCGGGGCGATTTGGACGGTGGGGGGGACCCCGATTCTCGGCGAGGGGACCCCGGAGCCGCGCATGCTTCGGCCAAGGCCGAGCAGCACGGGAAGGTCGGGGAATCCTGGGAAGCTCGTCCCGGGCGCCCCGGGAGCTCCAACTTATGGCGCGCGTGCCTCGGCGCCGCCGGAAGTCGCGTGGGCGGCGGCCGGGGCAGCGCGCGGCTTCGCTTCCGCTCCGGACTCAGGGCTCCGCGCCGGAACCCTGCGCTCTGGCCGCCGCGCCTTCGCCTGCGCCTCTGCTTGCGCCGCATCCGCACCTCCGTTCTCTCCTAGACATTTCCTCCGCGCCACAAGAGGAAAGATTTTGTTTTTGTTTTTGTTTTCCTGCTGGGTCAGGGATCCAGGAAGCCGAGGGTCGGGGCGTCCCTGCGCACATTTAAAGGGGCCGTGGCCATGGGCACGGCAGGAGGCTCGTGAGGTTTGAGGGACCAGAGCTCAAGCGAGTTGGGCTTCTGGGATGTTCCTGGCTCCTTCACCCAGCGGACCATCTATCCCTTTATTTTTAACTCTGGACATTCGTTCAGTGCCGCGCCAGCCTCTGCGCTGAGCACAGAACAAGACAGCCCCAAATTATTGCCCTCATGGAGCTTAGACGGGAGGAAGTCGCTGGAGACACCATTTCAAAGCGAGGGAGGGAAACCAGGGCAATGGAGCTGAGCGGTGGCTCTCAGAGGGCGCCACGCATTCTTGGGGCCCTCCCTAGCCTCCCTGAATCAGAAACCCCGTGTTTTATCAAACCCTCCAGGTTTGAGAACCACTGGAATAGAGAATGGGTGGTCAAGGAAGGCCTCCCTGAGGAGGTGACATTGGTAAGGGAGACCCAGTTAATGAGGAGCCTTTCCTGATCCACTCAGTACACACCGCGTAGCCCCTCACAGATACCTGCCTGGTGCTCGGCTACATAGATGACTCAGACCAAGCCTCCACCTCCCAGGAGTTCCCAGTCTGCTTGACCACACAGACACAGGCAGATAGTTCTGCTACTCTGAGGCTCGTGCTGGGATGGGAACGCACAGGCGCCTGTGGGAGCTCAGAGGAGGACCCCAGTGCGGAGGGTTCAACCAGAGGAGAGGCCTTCCCAGTAGGAGGAATTGCTGGGGCAAAGACTTCACCGAGGTGGGAGAAGGCCTGGCCTGCTGGAGGAGTGTCCAGGGCTTTGGCTTGGCAGAGGTGGTGCTGGAGGCAGATCTGATTTCTCCAGCTGTAAAATTAGGAACTGAATTTGATCCTTTCAAAGACCTTTCCATTTCTAAGCCACCACAGATCCCTTAATCCTCCAGTCTTTTGTGGAGAAATACTTGTGACTCGAATAGAAAATCTGTGGCTGAATTTGGTGTTACTTAGACAGGCTCTTGATATATTTTATGGGTCCATGCATGGAGGTGTGGCAGGGATGGAGATGGAGGTGATGGTGGAGGTGGTAGAGGTGGCGAAGGTGGCAGTAGCAGAAACAGGTGGTGGAGGTGGTGTTGGAGGTGAAGGAGGCAGAGGTGGTAGTAGAAACTAGTGGTGGTGGAGAGGTCGAGGTGGTGGTGGTGGAGGTCGAAAGGGTAATTGACGTAGTTGTGGAAGTTGTGGTGCAGCTGGAGGACATAGTATATTCGGTGGAAGAACTGGAAGTGGTAGAATTGATAGATGATGTAGACATGGTGGAACTGAAAGAGGCGAAGGAGATGGTGGACATGGAACAGGTGATGGAGTGGATTGAGTTGATGGAGGTGGTATAGATGACAGAGCCAAGGGAGGTGATGGAGGTGGTAGAGATGGTGGAGTTGAGGGAGGTGGTGGAGTTGAGCGAGGTGGTGGAGGTGATAGAGGCAGTCGAGTGATGGAGGTGGGACAAGTGATGGAGTGGATTAAGTTGATGGAGGTAGTATAGGTGATGGAGTCAAGGGAGGTGGTGGAAAGGATTGAGTTGATGGAGGTAGTGTAGGTAATGGAGTCAAGGGAGGTGACGGAGGTCATGGAGCAGGTATATCTGTGTTTAACTGTGGGTACAAATGAGTGAGTAGATAAATTGCTTCAATGTTTGATGGAAAAAGAAAGCATGTTTTTAAAACTTGAGCTTGTTTCTGAGATTAGCAATAAAAGCAAAATATCCTAGAACTCCCAGGGTGGGAGCAGGTGAGGGAGACTCAGATAATTCAGTTCACCACCAGTGTTACTCTTCGCTGTCGGCCCTTGCAAAGGAGAAGGGAGGACAACAGGGACAAGGCTTGCTAAGCCCTTTCCACTACTGTTGAATTTGGGCTTTGATGCTAAGCAGAGTCTGCTTAAAAAGATCATAGCACCAAGGCCAGCTGGGAAAATGACAGGTCTGAGCTTGTGTAGCTGAAGCCATACAATAGTGTGGAGTGATGGGCTGTGAAGTTGAAATGCTTATTCCTTTGTTTGCTGTTCCTAATAAGAGAAAATGGATGGGAGAGACTGTTGGCTTTACAAACACCCACTGCCAATACTGGTGGTTGTATTTATGGGACTGAGCCACAGCCACTCACTGAATTCAGGGGGAGTAACTGTAAATACCCACAAAAGACATGATGTGTGGGGGTGATGACCATCATCGCTACTTTCTTGAGCCTTTAACATATATATTCATCCCAAGAATTGTATAAAGGAGTTATTATATACCCATTTCACAGATGGAAAAACCCGAGGCCCAGAGAGGGGAAGTGACTTGCCCTTATAGCCCAGCCAGGACTCGCATCCCATTCACCCATTTACTACTCTGTGAATGCTTGCAGTCCATGGCTTTGCCTTTTGGGGGCAAGAGCCTCTCTGCACTTTTCTGGAGGAGCCTGGAAGGTGGAGGACAGGAACTTCTAAGGCAGATGCCAGCAGTGTTAACATCTGAGCAGGCTTTCCCTCTCTCCCCCTTTCTTTTTGCTCTTTCCATCCTGCCCTCTATCTACTTTGGACGATCAGAAGGCCAGCAGCTGCCAGCAACCTTGTGGTGAAAACCCAGCAGGAGTGTTGGAATTGGGGGTCAAGGGGACCATCACCATCCAAGGACCAGCCAGGTGTCCACCACAGAGCCTGCTGGGTATGTGACAGAGCTGTGCCCATGCCCAGGTTTGATCCCAGAAGTTGGGATCAAAGGAACCTGGACATCCAGTGCATCAGCCAGGTGAGGAGGCAGGTAGTGGCACTAATAACAGGCAGTCATAGCAATGACAGTAATAAATGCTGACAGTGGATGCCTGGGGAGCACCTGTTCTGTGCTCCACCCTTTCCATACATCTCATGACATATGGAGGCTGGGCAGGGTCAGCTCAGAGTTTTTATCACTGGGTGGGATTTTTATCACTGGGTGGGATTCAAGGTCTGTGGAGGAAGTGGCCACCTTCTTCTTCCAGGCAGCCATTTTTTTTCCTTGCCCTGGCTTGTTTGGCTTTTTCCCAAGGCTGCATTTCAAAACAGCCCCTCCTGGCTGGCGGGGTGTGGGCACAGCTCTGTCACACACCCAGCAGCAGGGGCAGCTGGCCCTAGGCTTCCTGCCCCTCTCTGGGCCACGTGGATTGGAGGAAAACCCCTCAAGCCTTCTTCAAAATAGGGAACTGCTCTCCCTGCTTCCTGAAGGACAAGAACTATCCCCATGGCAACCAAGGGATGAAGAGGCCACATTAACCCTTCTGAGGGCAGGCCTGGTTGAGAGCCTCTTCACCAACCCCTCCTGGGTGTGGCACTATACAGGCGACAAGGGGAGTCACATCTCCCAAAGGACATCCCCCAGTCTCACCACCATTCCAAGAGAAAGGCAAGGCTGAGATGTTATACACATTGGATGAAGGGCAACGTTGAGGTGAACTCAGAGGGACGGACAGTACAAGGACTTCGGATTTTATTCTCCTAACAATGCAGAGCCGTAGAGGAGGTAAAGCAGGTGAGGGACAGATTCTTTTTTAAAAAAAATTAATTTATTTTTAAATTACACTTTTAAGTTCTGTGGTACATGTGCAGAATGTGCAGGTTTGTTACATAGGTACACACGTGCCATGGTGGTTTGCTGCACCCATGAACCTGTCACCTACATTAGGTATTTCTCCTACTGCTCTCCCTCCCCTAACCCCCCACCCCACAACAGGCCCTGGTGTATGATGTTCCTCTTCCTGTGTACATGTGTTCTCATTGTTTAACTCCCACTTATGAGCGAGAACCTGCAGTGTTTGGTTTTCTGCTCTTGTGTTAGTTTGCTGAGAATGATGGTTTCCAGTTTTATCCATGTCCCTGCAAAGGACATGAACTCATCCTTTTTTATGGCTGCATAGTATTCCATATGTGCCACATTTTCTTTATCCATTCTATCATTGATGAGCATCTGGGTTGGTTCCAAGTCTTTGCTATTGTGAATAGTGCCAAAATAAACATATGTGTGTGTTGTCTTTATAGTAGAATGATTTATAATCCTTTGGGTATATACCCAGTAATGGGATTGCTGGGTCAAATGGTGTTTCTGGTTCTAGATCCTCGAGGAATTGCCACACTGTCTTCCACAATGGTTGAACTAATTTACACTCCCATTAACAGTGTAAAAGCTTTCCTATTTCTCCACATCATCCCCAGCATCTGTTGTTTTCTGACTTTTTAATGATATTCTAACTCATATTTTGAAAGTTTTCCTTCTGGCCGTGGGCGCTGGTGGGATTTAGTGCAGAGTGACAGGGTCTTGGGACTCTGAAAGGTGTTTTTTTCTGGGGGACTTTGCCCTGTGAACCCTGGAGAGATCTGAGTCATGGGGAGAGGTAGTCATTTGTTGTTGTGGAGGGCGGAGGAGGATGGAGACTCTGTGAAGCATTGGTGTTAATTCTTCATTAAATATTTGACACAGTTTATCAGTGATGAATCCTTCTGGTTTGGGGTTTTCTATGTGGGGAGTTTTTTGATTACCAAACGCATCTCTTTATTTGTTGTATTTCTATTCAGACTCTCTATTTTATTAACAGCTTTGTTGGTTTATAAGTGACAAAATTAAAGTATACATACTAAAAGCACACACATTGATAAATATCAGCATGTGGACCACATGTGAGGCAGAAACCACAGCCACCCCAAAGCCTCCCTGTGCCTTTTTATTATCCCAGCTCCCTGCATCTTCATGGCTCCAAGGTCCATCTTCAGACACTCGCTCATCTCTGTTTTGTCATTTGGAGTTTGAAACTCAAAGCTCCAGTTTTATGTATATGGTTTGAATTAGATCCTTGTGTTATCTCAGTAGTTATAGGGTTAAATTGTCTATTGTATACTTCTTAGTAACATGTTTCAAAGTAAATAGGCTTAACAGAAAAAGCATAACCCCATATGATTAAATGAACCTAGAAAGCATATCCCCTATGATGGGATTAATCATTTTAAAAAGGATATGCTCATCTTAAGAGACATTATGCATTACTGAATAATTAGGGATTTATTGTCCTTCTCCCACATGGATGTTCAGACTTTGATCATTCATTTTTCAGTACTGACTAGCACTGAAGGACTGATGGTGGCATAGCCATTGTCCACCAGCATCTGGACTCGATGACGGACTGGATCACTGTTCCACACCAGTCCTGAGCAGGAGGCGACAACACAGTCCAAAACATACACAATCACAAAGCAACTCACGAGCAGAAGAATGGTCTGCGTGGCCATTTTTTCTGGGGGTGCTTTTGGAGAAAGGTTGGTGCTGTGAAAATGCTGGGACTGCCTGTTACGCCTGGACAAGAGAATCACCATGTATCCACTGGAGGGGGGCCGTGAGCCCTGCAAGGGAGACATCCTGAAATGTCATCAGTGTGAAAATTGTCTGCTCAAGGAAGCAACTCAGGATCCCAGCAGAGCAGGATTGAGTGACAAATGTAAGGCTATTTGAGGCCAGATTTTTGATGGGAAGAGTGGAGACTAAGAAGCTGTCACTAATGGATATGTGGAAGACCCATAGGAAGAGAAAGCAACGTGGTTGGTGATGTGAGAATCTTTGAACACTGCCAAACAGGAGCTTCTGGGGCTGCAGGTGATGGCCGGGAGGATACTCAGCAGGCAGGTGGTGGAAATGGAGAGGCCTCTCATCAACCTGTACCTGTAGATAACTGACTTATGTTTGATGTCATCCTCTGAATCCTGAGACCCAAAAATATCTGTAGCTATGAACTCTGTGGGTAGCAGCAATATGATATGGATTAGAGCCACATGACAAACGATCAGGTCAGCGGGCTTGGTCCTGTGCTTGAGAAGGCACGTGAGGATGTGGAAGAGAAGGAGCATGGCATTGGCAGAGATCCCAATGCCGACTTCAGAGAAAGCAGCATTTCTTATGGCTATGAAACTGGAAGGTTTGTTGTTTTTATTCATCTTATGGGGAAAATAAGCACATAGTGAATGTCTAAGAAGAAAAGCAAGAAAAATTCTTTATTACAAATATTACCACTTCTTTCAATCTCAACCAACATTATTGCCATCATCAAAATACATGAATTAATCCTGATCCAACTTTTCCCCCTTCAGTACTGGACCCCCTCTTCACACCCTCCTGGAAGCCATCCCCACCCTCTCTCTTCTCCCATGACTATGCCATCATGGCTGGACTATGATTCCCATTGCTGGGCTTCCACATTACTTCCATAGTATAACTCCCTATTATTGGGAAGCCATTTTCTTATTTTTACCATAGTTCTACTTCTTCATAGGCAGGAGCAATGAGTTGTTTCCATTTGTATTTGCAGAAACCTGGTAAAGTTCCAGGTACAGTACACAGGAAGAGCTCTACTATTTTTGCTGAATTCAATTCAGGAGAATTTCATGGACATAGAAATGAGACCCCCTCATACAATGAGTATCAATGGTATAGCCATGTATACAGTTATATTATCTCAGTGCTATCTTTATTTTGGTTTCTTTATTGCCAGGCAAATACTTTTTTTTTTTTTTGAGACAGGGTCTCACTAACTCTGTTGCCCAGGCTAGAGTGCAGTGTTGTATGTGATCAAGGCTCATCGCAACCTGCAACCTTCTCCTTCTGGGCTCAGGTAATCATTCCACATCAGCCTCCTGAGTATCTGAGTATGATTAAATACTCTTAATCATAAGAGATTAGATGTTGGTAAGTGTGGACTCTGAAGTCAAATGCCTTGAACTAAAACCCCAAACTGACATTTACTAAATGTGTGATCTACAATTGTCACCTATACATCTAAACCCTGATTATCTCACCTATAAATACAAAGGACCATGTTACTTCTAGAGATGTTATGTATTAGTCTGTTCTCATACTGCTATAAAGAACTGCCTGAGACTGGGTAATTTATAAAAGAAAGAGGTTTAATTGACTCACAGTTCTGCAGGGCTAGGGATGCCTCAGAAAACTTACAGTCATGTCAGAAAGAGAAGCAAACACTTCCTTTTTCACACAGCGGCATCAAGGAGAAGTGCTGACCAAAAGGGTGAAAAGCCCCTTATAAAACTATCAGATCTCATAAGAATTCAGTCACTATCTCAAGAACAGCGTGTGGGTAACTGCCCCCATGATTAAATTACCTCCAACTGGGTCCCTCCCATGACACATGGGGATTATGGGAACTACAATTCAAGGTGAGATTTGGGTGGGGACACAGAGCCAACTCATATCATTCTGCCCCTGGCCCCTCCAAAATCTCATGTCCTCACATTTCAAAACACAATCATGCCCTTCCAACAGTCCCAGCAAGTCTTAACTCATTCCAGCATTAACCCAAAAGTCCAAGTCCAAAGTCTCATCTGAGATGAGGCAAGTCCCTTCCACCTATGAGCCTTTAAAATCAAAAGCAAGTTAGTTACTTTCTAGATACAATGCAGGTACAGGAATTGGGTAAATACACCCATTCCAAATGGGAGAAATTGGCCAAAACCAAAGGGCCAAGGCCCCAAGTAAGTCTGAAATCCAGCAGGGCAGCCAAATCTTAAAGCTCTGAAATGATCTCTTTTGACTCCATGTCTCATATCCAGGGCATGCTGATGTAAGAGATAGGCTCCCATGGCCTTGGGCAGCTCAACTCCTGTAGCTTTGCAGGGTAAAGCTCCCCTCCCAGCTGCTTTCATGGGCTGGTGTTGAGCGTCTGCAGCTTTTCCAGGTGCATAGCACAAGCTGTTAGTGGATCTATCATTCTGGGGTCTGGAGGATGGTGGCCCTCTTCTCACAGCTCCACCAGGCAGTGCCCCAGTGGGGACTCTGTCTGGGGGCTCCAACCCCACATTTTCCTTTCCCATTGCCCTAGCAGAGGTTCTCCATGTGGGCTCCACCCCTGCAGCAAACTTCTGACTTGACATCCAGGCATTTCCGTACATCCCCTGAAATCTACATGGAGGTTCTGAAACCTCAATTCTAGACTTATGTGCATGTGCAGTCCCAACACCATGTGTAAGCCACCAAAGCTTGGGGCTTGCACCCTCTGAAGCAATGGCCTGAGCTGTGTGTTGGCCCCTTTTAGCCATGGCTGGGATGCCGGGCACCAACTCCTGAGACTGCACAAAGCAGCAAGCCCTGGGCCAGGCCCATGAAGCCATTATTTCTGGCTAGGCTTCTGGGTCTGTGATGGGAGGGGCTGCTGTGAAGACCTCTGACATGCACTGGAGACATTTTCCCCATTGTCTTGGCAATTAACATTTCACTCCACATTACTTACGAGAATTTTTGCAGCTGGCTTGAATTTCTCCTCAGAAAATGGGTTTTTCTTTTCTATTGTATCATCTGGCTACAAATTTTCCAAACTTTTATGCTCTGCTTCCCTTTTAAATATAAGTTCCAATTCCAAACCATATCTTTGTGACTACATAAAAGTGAATGCTTTTAACAGCACCAAGTCACCTCTCAAACACTTTGCTGCTTTGAAAATTCTTCCACCAGATGTCCTAAATCATCTCTTTCACGTTCAAACTTCCACAGATCTCTAGAACAGGGGCAAAATGCTGCCAGTCTCTTTGCTAAAATGTAGCAAGAGTCACCTTTACTCCAGTTCCCAACGAGTTCCTCATCTCCATCTGAGACCACTTCAGCCTGGACTTCATTGTCTATGTCACTATCAACATTTTGGTCAAAGGCCATTCAGTAAGTCTCTAGGAAGTTCCAAACTTTCCCACATCTTCCTGTCTTCTTCTGAGCCCTCCAAACTGTTCCAGCCTCTGCCTGTTATCCATTTCCAAAGTTGCTTCTACATTTTTGGGTATCTTTACAGCAGCACTCCACTACCTGGTACAGATTTACTGTGTTAGTCCATTCTCACACTGCTATAAAGAACTGCCCAAAACTGGGTAATTTATAAAAGAAAGAGGTTTAATTGGCTCACAGTTCCACAGGGCTGGGGAGACCTCAGGAAACTTAACAATAATGGCAGAAGAGGAAGTAAACACGTCCTTCTTCACATGGTGGCAGCAAAGAGAAGTGCTGAGCAAAAGGGCTAAAAGCCCCTTATAAAACCATCAAATCTCATGATGACTCACTCACTATCTTGAGAACAGCATTAGGTAACTGCCCCCATGATTAAATTACCTCCCACCAGGTCACTCCCATGACACGTGGGGATTATGGCAACTACAATTCAAGCTGAGATTTGGGTGGGGACACAGAGCCAAACCATATCATGGTATGCGTGCAAAAAAATTAAGTAAACGTATCAAATATAGATAGTTCCTGATAAATAATAATCTCCACTGAAATTGCAACCATTATTTTTATTATTATATAATTCCTCATACATGTGATTGAGAGAATGCCGTTATTTTAATAAATTTTCAGATTTGTTCATGCCTAAAAGACCAATGAGAAATGAATGCCAAAATAGTAGACTTTCAACAATCTCTGTTCTTAGGACATTGATGGAATTTAAAACTTTTTCTCTGAATCCCTGAAGATATTTATATAGTTGGAACTCATGCCAGAAAAACCTAGTCTAAGTGAGTAGAGTCATCAATTATTAGCAGGACCACATTCCAAAATTTCTTCTCTCTTCATTCTTAGGCACATGAAAATAGTGGTAAATATATTCATAATTTAAATAGATTAGAATAATTTTTCTACAGATATAATTAGAAGACGTCGCTCCACTTCTACCATAAAAGGTGGTTCTCCATAGGAGTTCAACCTTTCATGTCTTCTTTAAGTCAGCAAGGATATTTTCCCAGTTATGGGGTCCAAGTGTTAAAATTCTACTAAGAAATTTGTTAAGAGCTAGTTGTGGAATATTTCACATGATTAATACAGCTATCTACTTATTTATAAATGTGAGGTACATAACATTGCATAATTGGTTCAGTCACATATTTTCACAGATTTGTCATCAGAAAATCAATAGTGTCAGTCTAAATTAGGGCATGTTGTTCTTTCTTTCTTTTTTTTTTTTTTTTTTCCTGAGACAGAGTCTTGCCCTGTCACCCAGGCTGGAGTGCAGTGGTGCAATCTCTGCTCACTGCAACCTCTGCCTCCCAGGTTCAGGCAATTCCCCTGCCTCGGCCTCCCAAGTAGGTGGGATTACAAGGGGGTGCCACCATGCCCAGCTAATTTTTGTATTTTTAGTAGAGACAGGGTTTCACCATGTTGGCCAGGCTGGTCTTGAACTCCTGACCTCAAATGATCCACCCGCTTCAGCCTACCAAAGTGCTGGGATTAGAGGCGTTAGCCACCATGCCCAGGTATATCTTTTTATAGTTGAGTTTAAGAGGTTCTTTTTACAATGTAGATACAAGTCTAAAGCAGGTGAATCCTTTCTGAATATTTTCTCTCAGCATATGCCTCTTATTAATACTTTTAATTGTGACTTTTGATGATTAAATGTGGTTTTTATAAAACCTAATTTCTCTTTTTTTTTTTTTCTGTTATGGCTATTGCTTTTGTATCTTAAGACAGGGGTTCCCAACCCCTGGGCCATGGTTTGTGGCCTGTTAGGAACCAGGCCACACAGCCAGAGGTGAGTGGCAGGTGAGCCAGCAAAGCTGAGCTCTGCCTTCTGTCAGATCAGCGGTGGCATTAGATTCTCAGAGGAACGCGAACCCTATTGTGAACTACACAGGAAAGGAATGTAGGCTGTGTGCTCCTTATGAGAATCTAATGCCTGATAATCTGTCATTGTCTCCCATCACCCCTAGATGGGACCATTGCAGGAAAACAAGCTCAGGGTTCCCAATGATTCTACATTATGGTGAATATGTGTATTAGTCAGAGTTCTCTAAAAGGACAGAACTAATAGGATAGGTGAATATATGAAGGGGAGTTTATTAGAATGACTGACATGATCACAAGATGAAGTCCCACAATAGGCTATCTGCAAGCTGAGGAGCCAGGAAGTTAGTCCAAGTCCCAAAACCTCAAAAGTAGGGAAGCCGATAATGCAGCCTTCGGTCTGTGGCTGAAGACCCGAGAGCCTGTGGCAAACCACTGGTGTAAGTCCAAGAGTCCAAAAGCTGAAGAATTTGGAGTCTGATGTTTGAGGGCAGAAAGCATCCAGCACAGGAGAAAGATGAAGGCCAGAAGACTTAACCAGTTTAGTCCCTCCATGTTCCTCTGCCTGCTTTTATCCTAGCCGCACTGGCAGCTGATTAATGGTGCTCACCCAGATTGAGGGTGGGTCTGCCTCTCCCAGTCCGCTGACTTAAATGTTAATCTCCTTTGGCAACACCCTCACAGACATACCCAGGAACAACAGTTTGCATCCTTCAATCCAATCAAGTTGACACTCAATATTAGTCATCATAGTAAGTAATAGTAATTGAAATAAAGTGCACAATAAATGTAATGCGCTTGAATCATCCCCAAACCATCCCTGCATCCCCCATACCACTGTTCTTGGAAAAACTCTTCCACGCATCTGGTCCCTGGTGCCAAAAATGTTGGTACCACTGTCTTAAGAAATCTCTGCCTATGCAAATTGTAAAGATATCCTCCTATATTTTCTGCTAAAATCTTTATATTCTTAGCTTCTGCCATTAAATGTATTAATTGTCTTGAGTTAAACTTTGTGTATACTGTGAGGTGCTAGTCTAGGTTCATTTTTCTCATATCGATCCTGTTATTTCAACATCATTTGTTGAAAAACTTTCCTTTTCATGGGATTCGTTAGTACCTTTGTCAGAAGTCAATTGACTGTACACACAGGGGTATATTTCTTTGGTATCTATTTGATTCCATTAATATATGTGTCTGTCCTGACAATACCACACTGTTGCAATTAGAGCCACTGTGTAACAAGACTGGAAGTAAGGTGGTTTAAGTCCTCCAGATTGATTCTTCTTCAAGATTGTTTGTATAATGAAATCATTTGCATTTCCAATACATTTTATATTAAGGTTATCAAATCCTGTAGAAAATTCTGCTGAGATTATGATTGGGTTTGCAATGAATGTTTAAACTGATATGGGAGAAATGCAATTCCAGAAATGTGACACCTTTCTATATATGAACATGGGATACTTCACTATTTATTTAGGTCTTTAAAAAGATCTCTTAGAAGAACTGGAACCAATTTTACTAAAACTATTCCAAAAAATCACAGAGAAGGGACCTCTTAACTCATTCTACAAAGCCAGCATCATCCTGACACCAAAATCTAGCAGAGACAGAAAGAAAAAAGAAAACTTCAGGCCAATATCCCCGATGAACATAGATGCAAAAATCTTCAACAAAATATTAGCAAACTGAATCCAAGACCACATCACAAAGTTGATTCACTATGATGAAGTAGGCTTTATTCGTGGGATGCAAGGTTGGTTCAACATATGCAAATCAATAAATGTGATTTACCACATATACAAAATTATAAACAAAAATCATATGATCATCTCAATAGACACAGGAAAAGCTTTTGGTAAAATCAAACATCCCTTCATGATAAAAACCATCAACAAACTAAGCATCAATGGAAAAATACCTCAAAATAATAAGAGCCATCTATGACAAACCCACAGCCAATATACAGAATGGGCAGAAGCTAGAACTTTTTTCCTTGAGACCTGCAATAAGACAAGGATACCCATTATCACCACTTCTATTTAACCATAGGTCTGGAAGTACTATGTCAGAGCAATCAGGCAAGAGAAATAAATAAAAGGCATCCAAGCAGGAACAGCATCAAACTATCTCTCTTTGCTGATGATGTGATTCCATACCCAGAAAACCCCAAAGACTCCACCAAAAGGCCCCCTAGAACCAATAAACTACTTCAGTAAAGTTTTGGGATACAAAATCAATCTACAAAAATCAGTAGCATTTCCATATACCAGTAACATTCTAGCTGTGAGCCAAATCAAGAACACAATCCTATTTTCAATAGCCACAAAAAAATACCTAGGAGCACAGCTAACCAAGGAGGTGAAAGGTTTCTACAAGGAGAACTACAAAACACTGCTGAAAGAAATCAGAGATGACATAAATAGATGGAAAAATATTCTATGCTCATGGATTGGAAGAATCTACATTGTTAAAATGGCCATACTGCCCAAAGCAATCTATAGACAACAGTATTTCTATCAAACTACCAATGTTATTCTTGACAGAACTAGAAAAAAACTATTTTAAAATTCATATGGAACAAAAATATAGCCTGAATAGCCAAAGAAATCTTAAGCAAAAAGAGCAAAGTTGGAGGCCTCACATTACCCAACTTCAAACTATACTGTAAGGCTACAGTAACCAAAAGAGCATCGTACTAGTATGAAAACAGATACATAGACTAATGGAACAGAATAAAGAACCCAGAAATAAAGCTGCACACCTACAACCATCTGATCCTTGACAAACTCGACAAAAATAAGCAATGGTGAAAGGACTCCTTATTCAATAAATGGTGCTAGGATAACTGGCTATTCATATGTAGAAGAATGAAACTGGACCCCTACCTATTACATAGAAAAATCAACTCAAGATGGATTAAAGACTTAAATTTATGACCTCAAACTATAAAAATCCTAGAAGAAAACCTAGGAAGTACCCTAAATATCCTTGTTGATATCAGCTTTAGCAAAGGATGTACAGCTAAATCCCCAAAAGCAATTGCAACAAAAACAAAAATTGACAAATGGAACCTAATTAAAATAAAGAGCTTCTGCAGAAAAATAAAAGATCCATCAACAGAGTAAACAGACAACATACCAAATGGGAGAAAATATTCATAAAATGTGCATCTGACAAAAGCCTAATATCCAGAATCTATAAGGAACTTTATTTATTTTATTTTATTTTACTTTTTTATTATTATACTTTAAGTTTTAGGGTACATGTGCACAATGTGCAGGTTAGTTACATATGTATACATGTGCCATGCTGGTGTGCTGCACCCATTAACTTGTCATTTAGCATTAGGTATATCTCCTAATGCTATCCCTCCCCACTCCCCCCACCCCACAACAGTCCCCAGAGTGTGATGTTCCCCTTCCTGTGTCCATGTGTTCTCATTGTTCAATTCCCACCTATGAGTGAGAGTATGCGGTGTTTGGTTTTTTGTCCTTGTGATAGTTTGCTGAGAATGATGGTTTCTAGTTTCATCCATGTCCCTGCAAAGGACATGAACTCATCATTTCTTATGGCTGCATAGTATTCCATGGTGTATATGTGCCACATTTTCTTAATCCAGTCTATCATTGTTGGACATTTGGGTTGGTTCCAAGTCTTTGCTATTGTGAATAGTGCCGCAATAAACATACGTGTGCATGTGTCTTTATAGCAGCATGATTTATAGTCCTTTGGGTATATACCCAGTAATGGATGGCTGGGTCAAATGATATTTCTAGTTCTAGATCCCTGAGGAATCACCACACTGACTTCCACAATGGTTGAACTAGTTTACAGTCCCACCAACAGTGTAAAAGTGTTCCTATTTCTCCACATCCTCTCCAGCACCTGTTGTTTCCTGACTCTTTAATGATTGCCATTCTAACTGTTGTGAGATGGTATCTCATTGTGGTTTTGATTTGCATTTCTCTGATGGCCAGTGATGGTGAGCATTTTTTCATGTGTTTTTTGGCTGCATAAATGTCGTCTTTTGAGAAGTGTCTGTTCATGTCCTTCGCCCACTTTTTGATGGGGTTGTTTGTTTTTTTCTTGTAAATTTGTTTGAGTTCATTGTAGATTCTGGATATTAGCCCTTTGTCAGATGAGTAGGAACTTTAACAAATCAACAAGCAAAAAAGCAAATAATCCCATTAAAAATTGGGCAAAGGACATGAACAGACACTTTTCAAAAGAAGTCATAGAAATGGCCCCCAAACATATGAAAAATGCTCATCATCTCTAATCAGAGAAATGCAAATCAAAACCACAATGAGATATCATCTCAAACCAGAATGGTTTTATTAAAAAGTAAAAAAATAATAATAACAGATGTTGGCAAGGCTGCAGAGAAAAAGGGACATTTATACCCTGTTGGTGGGAGTGTAATTTTAAGACCAGCCACTGTGGAGAGCAATTTGGAGATTTCTCAAAGAAATAAGAGCTGAACTACCATTTGACAAAAACACAGAATCAACCCAGGTGACCATCAATGGTGGACTGGAAAAAGAAAATGCGGGACAAATACACCATGGAATATTACACAGCCATAACAAGAATGAAATCATATCCTTTGCATCAACATGGGTGCAGCCAGAGGCCATTACTCTAAGCAAACTAATGCAGAAACAGAGAACCAAATACCACATACTCTCACTTATAGGTGGGAGATAAATATTGAATACGTATGGACATAAAGATGGGAACAATAGACACTGGGGCTACTAGAGGAGGTAGTGAGGGAGAAGGCAAGGGCTGAAAAACTACCTTTTGGGTACTATGCTTTCTAGCTGGGTTACAGGTTCAGTCATACCCCAAACCTCAGCATCACACAATATACCTTTGTAGCAAACTTGCACATGTACCCTCTGATTCTAAAATAAAAGTTGAAAATAAAGTATCTCTCAGTAAATTTGGCAGTTTTCAATCTAAATATCTTACATGTTTTGTTAAATTGCCCCTAAGTAGTACATGTTTCTTTGATGCCATTTTAAGAAGGTGTGATGTGTATTTTTATATATTGGTGGGTTCAGTATCCTAAAATATTCACAGAGTTGTACAACCATCACCACAATCAATTTTAGAACATTTTGATAACCTTAAAAAGAAACCACATATCATTCAGCAACCATTCCCCAGTTCCCCTCAACCCTCTAGGCCTCCAACTACTAATCTATTTTACATGTTTATAGATTTTCTTATATGGGAAGTTTCATATAAATGATATTATACAATAAATGGACTTTTGTGGCTGGCTTCTTTCTCATAACGTTATGTTTGCAGGTCTATCTACGTTGTAGCATGTACTTCATTCATTTTTATTACTGAAAAATAATGATTCAGATAGATATGCCACATTTTATTTCTGTATTCATCAATTATTACTTATTTGGGTTGGTTTCACTTTTGACTACTATAAATAATGCCACTGTGAACATTCATGTACACTTTTTTTGAACAACTGTTTTCAGTTTTCATGAGTATATGCTACGTGTGAAATTTTTGGGACATATAGTAACTATTTAACACTTTTGGGGAAATCTCAAGAATGTTTTCCACAGCAGTTGCATTGTACATCCTCATATATGAAAGTTCCAATTTGTTCACATCCTTGCCAACACTTGTTATCTTCCATTTATTTTTATTATAGTCACCTAGTGGTTATGAAGTGGTATCTCATGGTTTTGATTTGAAATTTTCTAATGGCTAATGATATTAAGCATCTTTTTTTGGGCCATTTGTATATATTTTTTGGAGAAATGTCTACTCAGATACATTATAGATTGAATGTTTGTGTCCCACCAAATTTTATATGTTGATATCCTAACCCCTCCTGTGATCGTATTAGGAAGTGGCACCTTTAGTAGGTGATTAGGTCATGAGAGTGGAGCCCTCATGAATGGGATTAGTGTCCTTAGTAAAGAATTCCCAGACAGCTTCCTCACCCCTTCCACTATGTGAAGACACAGTGAGAAGAAAGGGACCAGGAAGTAGACCTTCACCTGTCCCTGAATCTACTGGTGCCTTGATCTTGAACTTCACAGCCTCCACAACTATGAGAAGTAGATTTCTGTTGTTTATAAGCCACCTAGTTTATTGCATTCTGCTATAGCATCCCAAACAGATTAATATGAGATCCTTTGCCTATTTTTAAAAACTAGGTTATTTGTCTTTTTATTATTGACTTGTAAGAGCTCTTTGTATACCTTGGATACAAGTCCCTTATCAGATATATGGTGTGCATATATTTTCAGTTATATCTTTGGTTGTCTTTTCACTTTTTAAAATAATGTTCTTTAAAGCACAAAGCTTTCGATTTTTATGAAGTTCAATTTATCTATTTTTCTTTTGTTGTTTATACATTTTATATTGTATCTTAGAAGGCTTTTTCTAGCCCAAAGCCATGAAGGTTTACTTCAATAGTTTCTGCTAGAAGGTTTGTGCTTTTAGATTTAACATATCAATTAATGATCCATTTTGAATTCATTTTGCTTATGGTATGATGAAAGAGTTCAACTTTATTCTGTTGCATGTGAATATCCTATTGTTTCAGCACTATTTATTAAAAAGATTTTTTTTCCAAATTAATTATGTGTTACACATATTGGATATCCTTAATCATCTCTTAATGATTATAGGATGTCTCCTCTCTTGTTACTGATTGGTGATCTGTGCTTTTCCTTTTTTTCCCCTAATCAGTCTAATTAGAGTTTTATGTATTAATTTATTTATTTCAATAGTTTTTGGGGAACAGGTGGTTTTTTGCTTACTTTAGTGGTGATTTCTGAGATTTTGGTCCACCTGCCACGCTAGCAGTGTATATTGTACCCAATGTGTAGTCTTTTATCCCTCACCCACCTTCCACCCTTCCCCCAAGTCTCCCAAGTCCATTATATCATTCTTATGCCTTTACATCCTCATAGCTTAGCTCCCACTTACAGGTGAGAATATGATATTTGGTTTTCCATTCCTGAGTTACTTCACTTAGAATAACATTCTCCAACTCCATCCAGTTTTCTGCGAATGCCGTTACTTCATTCCTTTTTACAGCTGAGTAGTATTCCATGGTGTATATATACCATATTTATTTATCTACTCATTGGTTGATGTGCACTCAGGCTGGTTCCATTTTGTTTGCAATTGTGAATTGTGCTGCTATAAATATGTGTGGACAAGTGTCTTTTTCATATAATGACTGCTTTTCCTCTGGTAGATACCCAGCAGTGGGATTGCCGGATCAAATGATAATTCTACTTTTAGTTCTTTAAAGAATCTTTATACTGTTTCCTATAGTGGTTTGTACTATTTTACATTCCCACCAGCAGTGTAAAAGTGTTCCCTTGGCAAGGCGCAGTGGCTCACACCTGTATTCCCAGTACTTTGGGAGGCTGAGGCAGGTGGATCACGAGGTGAAGAGATCAAGACCATCCTGGCCAACATGGTGAAACCGCATCTCTACTAAAAATACAAAAATTAGCTGGGTGTGGTGGCGCACGCCTGTAGTCCCAGCTACTGGGGAGGCTGAGGCAGGAGAATCGTTTGAACCTGGGAGGTGGAGGTTGCAGTGAGCCAAAATTGTGCCACTGCACTCCAGCCTGGTGACAGAGTAAGACTCTGTCTCAAAAAAAAAAAAAAAAAAAAAAAAGTGTTCCTTTTCACCACATCCACACAAACAACTATTTTTTTTTATTTTTAAATTATGGCCATTCTTGCAGGAGTAAGGTTGTATCTCATTGTGATTTTCACTTGCATTTCCCTGATAATTAGTGATGCTGAGAGTATTTTTTTTTTCATATGTCTGTTAGCCATTTGTATATCTTCTTTTGAGAATTGTCTATTCATGTCCTTTGCCCACTTTTTGATGGGATTATTTCTTTTTCTTGCTGATTTTTTTTGAGTTCCTTGTGGATTCTGAATATTTGTCAGATTTTGTGGATTCTGAATCTTTGTCAGATGCATCGTTTGTGAATATTTTCTCCCACTCTGATTGTCTGTTTGCTGATTATTTCTTTTGCTGTGCAGAAGCTTTTTAGTTTAATTAGGTCCCATCTATTTGTCTTCGTTACATTTGCTTTTGGGTTCTTGGTCATGAACTCTGCCTAATCCAATGTCTAGAAGAGTTTTTCCAATGTTATCTTCTAGAATTTTTATGATTTCAGGTCTTAGATTTAAGTCCTTGATTAATCTTGAGTAGATTTTTGTATAAGGTGAGAGATGAGAATCCAGTTTCATTATTCTACATGTGGCTTGCCAATTATCCAAGCATCGTTTGTTGTATAGGGTGTCCTTTCCCCACTTTATGTTTTGTTTGCTTTGTAGAAGATCAGTTGGTTGCAAGTATTTCACTTTATTTCTGGGTTCTCTATTCTGTTCCATTGGTTTACATGCCTATTTTTATACCAGGACCATGCTGTTTTGGAAACTATAGCCTTGTAGTATAGGTTGAAATCAGGTAATGCGATTCCCCCAGATTTGTTCTTTTTGCTTAGGATTGCTTTGAGTATTTAGGCTCTTTTTTGGTTTCATATGAATTTTTGGATTTTTTTTTCTAATTCTGTGAAAAATGATGTTGGTATTTTGATGGGAATTGCTTGGATTTGTAGATTGCTTTGGATAGTATGGCCATTTTCACAATATTGATTCTTCCAATCCATGAGCATGGGATGTGTTTCCATTTGTTTGTGTCATCAATGACTTCTTTCAGCAGTTTTTTTGTAGTTTTCCTTGTAGAAATCTTTCACATCATTGGTTAGCTATATTCCTAAATTTGTTTTGTAAAAGGGATTGAAGTTCTTGATTTGTTTCTCAGCTTGGTCACTGTTGGTGCATAGCAGTGCTACTGACTTGTGTACATTTATTTTGTATCCTGAAGCTTTACCGAATTCATTTGTCAGATCTAGGGGGGTTTTGGATGAGTCTTTAGGGTTTTCTAGGTATAGGATCATTTCATCTACAGAGATAGTTTGAGTTCCTCTTTACCAATTTCGATGACCTTTATTTCTTTCTCTTGTCTGATTGCTCTGGCTAGCACTTCCTGTACTATGTTGAATAGAAGTGGTGAAAGTGGGCATCCTTGTCTTGTTCCAGTTCTGAAGGGGAATGCTTTCAACTTTTCCCCATTCAGTATAATGTTGGCTGTGAGTCCGACATAGATAGCTCCTATTACCTTGAGGTATGTCCCTTCTATGCCAATTTTGCTGAGAGTGTTAATCATAAAGTGATGCTGGATTTTGTCAAATCCTTTTTCTTCATCTATTGAGATGATCATATAATTTTTGTTTTTACTTCTGTTTTTTGTGATATATCATATTTATTTACTTGTATATGTTAAACCATCCCTGCATCCCTGGTATGGAACCCACTTGATCATGGTATATTATCTTTTTTATATGCTGTTGGATTTGGTTAGCTAGTATTTTGTTAAGGATTTTTGGCATCTATGCTTATCAGGGATATTATCTTTAGTTTTTTTTTCTTGTTATGTCCTTTCCTGGTTTTGGAATTAGGGTGATACTGACTTCACAGAATGATTTAAGGAGGATTCCCTCTTTATCTTTTGGAATAATTTCAGTAAGATTGGTACCAACTCTTCTTTGAATATCTGATGGAAATCCGCTGTGAATCCATTTGGTCCTGGACTTTTTTTTGTTGGAAATTTATTACTGTTTCAATTTTGCTACTTGTTATCATTTGGTTCAGAGTTCCTATTTCTTCTTGATTTAATCTGGAAGGATTGTATATTTCCAGAAATTTACCCATCTCCTCTACATTTACTAGTTTGTGTGCATAAAGGTGTTCATAGTAGCCTTGAATGATCTTTAGTATTTCTGTGGTATTGGTTGTAATATCTCCCATTTCATTTTTTTTCTTCTTCTTCTTTTTTTTTTTTTTTTTTGAGATGGAGTCTCACTCTGTCGCACAGGCTGGAGTGCAATGGCACGATCTCAGCTCACTGTAACCTCCACCTCCTGGGTTCAAGTGATTCTCCTGCCTCAGCCTCCTGAGTAGCTGGGACTACAGGCATGTGCCACTATGCCTTGCTCATTTTTTTGTATTTTTAGTAGAGGCAGGGTTTCACCATGTTGGTCAGGCTGGTCTTGAACTCCTGACCTCAAATGATCCGCCTGCCTCAGCCTCCCAAAGTGCTGGGATTACAGATGTGAGCCACCGTGCCCAGTCTCCCATTTCATTTCTAACTGAGCTTATTTAGTTATTCTTCTTTTCTTGGTTAATCTCGTTAATGATCTATCAATTTTGTTTATCTTTTCAAAGCACCAGCTTCTTGTTTTATTTATCTTTTGTATTTTTTGTTGTTATTTAGTTCTGCTCTAACCTTTGTTATTTCTTTTTTATTCTTTGCAATTTCTTTCTATTCTTTGCTATTTTCTTCGGCTGGATTTGGGTTTGGTTTGTTCTTGTTTCTATAGTTCCTTGAGGTGTGACCTTAGATTGTCTATTTTTACTCTTTTCAGACTTTTTAATGTAAGCATTTAATGCTATGAACTTTCCTCTTAACACCACTTTTGCTATAACCCAGAGGTTTTGATGTCACTATTATTGTTCAGCTCAAGAAATTTCTTAATTTCCATCTTGATTCTACTGTTTACTCAAAGATCATTCAAAAGCATTTTATTTAATTTCCATGTATTTGTATAGTTTTGAGGGTTCCTTTTGGAATTAATTTCCTGTTTTATTCCACTGTGGTATGAGAGGATACTTGATATAATTTCAATTTTCTTAAATTTATTGAAACTTGCTTTGTGACCCATCATATGGTCTATCTTGAGAATGTTCCATGACCTGAAGAAAAGAATCTACATTCCGCAGTTGTTGGGTAGAATGTTCTGTAAATATCTAGTAAATCCATTTGTTCTAAGGTAAAGTTTAAGTCCATTGTTTCTTTGTTGACTTTCTGTCTTGATTCATGTCTAGTGCTGTCAGTGGAGTATTGAAGTCCCACACTATTACTGTGTTGATGTCTGTCTCATTTCTTAGGTCTAGTAGTAATTGCTTTATAAATTTGTGAGTGCCAGTGTTAGGTGCCTAATATATTTAGGATGGTGATATGTTCCTGCTGGACTATTCTTTTTATCATTATATCATGTCCCTTTTTGTCTTGTTTTACTGTTGCTGCTTTAAAGTCTCTTTTGTCTGATATAAGAATAGATAATCCTGCTTTTTGGTTTCCATTTGCATGGAATATCTTTTCTCACACCTTTACCTTAAGTTTATGTAAATCCTTATGTGTTAGGTGAGACTCTTTAAGGCAGCAGATACTTGGTTGATGGATGTTTATCCCTTCTGCCATTCTATATCTTTTAAGTGGAGCATTTAGACAATTTACATTCAACATTAGTATTGAGATGTGAGGTACTGTTCTATTCATCATGTTGTTGCCTTAAAACCTTTTTTTTTTATTGTATTATTGTCTTATAGGCCCTGTGAGATTTATGCTTTAAGGAGGTTCTATTTTGGTGTACTTTGAGGTTTTTGTTCTAGATTTAGAGCTCCTTTTAGCATTTCTTGTAGTGCTGGCTTAGTAGTGACGAATTCTCTCAGAATTTGTTTGAAAAAGACTGCCTTTCCTTTGTCTATGAAGCTTAAGTTTCACTGGATTCAAAATTCTTGGCTGACAATTATTTTGTTTCAGGAGGCTAAAGATGAGACCCCAATCCCTTCTGGCTTGTAATGTTTCTGCTGAGAAGTCTGCTGTTAACCTGATAAGTTTTCCTTTACAGGTTATCCGATGTTTTTGTCTCATAGTTTTTAAGATTCTTTCCTTCATCTTGACTTTAGATAACCTGATGACTATGTGCCTAGGTAATGATCTTTTTGTGAAGAACTTCCCAGGTGTTCTTTGAGCTTCTTGTATTTGGATGTCTAGATCTCTAGCAAGGGCAGAGAAGTTATCCTCAATTATTCCCTCAAGTAAGTTTTCCAAACTTTTCTCTTCTTCCTCAAGAACATGAATTATTCTTAGGTTTGGCCATTTAACATAATCCCAAATTTCTGGAAGGCTGTGTTCATTTTTTTCAATTTTTTTTTCTTTTTGTCTTTGTCTGATTGGATTAATTTCAAAGCTTTGTCTTTGAGCTCTAAAGTTTTTTCTTCTACTTGCTCTAGTCTATTATTGAAACTTCCCACTGCATTTTTATATCTCTAAGTGTGTCTTTCATTTCCAGAAGTTGTGATTGTTTTTTCTCTATGATATCTCTTTCTCTGGTGATTTTTTCAACCATATCCTATATTTTTTTAAATTTATTTAAGTTGATTTTCACTTTTTTTTTGGTATCTCCTTGAGTAGTTTAATAATCAACCTTCTGAATTCTTTATCTGGAAATTCAGAGATTTCTTCTTGGTTTGTATCCATTACTGGGTAGCTGGTGTGATTTTTGGAGAGTGTTATAGAACTCTGTTTTGTCATATTACCAGAATTACTTTTCTGGTTCCTTCTCATTTGGGTAGGCTATTTCAGCAGAGAGGTTTGAAACTCAAGGCCTTCTGTTCAGATTCTCTTGTCCCTTTGCGTGTTCTCTTGATGTGGTACTCTCCCCCTTCCCCTAGGAATGGGGCTTCCTGATAGCTGAACTGCAGTGATTGTTATTTCTCTTCTGGGTCTAGCCACCCAGGGGGGCTACTAGGCTCCAGGCTGGTGCTGGGAGATGTCTGCAGAGTCCTGTGATGTGATCTGTATTCAGGTCTCCCAGCCATGGATACCAGGTTTCTCAGGTGATGGGTGGGGCCATGAAACTCCCAAGAGTTTCTGTGTTTTGTGTTCGGCTACCAAGGCAGGTAGGGGCAGGGTTAGGCAGGTCTGGGCTCAGACTCTCCTTGGGCAGGGCTTGCCACAACCACTGTAGATAATGGGGTTGAGAGTGGTTATCAGGCCAATGGGGTATGTTCCTGAGGGGCTCTTGGCTGCCTCTGCTGTGTCATACAGTTCACCAGGGAAGTTGGGGATAGCCGGTAGCAAGAGGCCTGACCCAGCTCCCATGCAGTTGGTGAGGCTGGTGTCACGCCCACAGTGCCCCACTCAGACCTTGCCCCAGGCCATGAGCTACCCTGCTGAGAAAGCACGCACAACTTTCGGACCTCACCCCTCTCTGTCTGCCCGCTCTGTTGGCAGCAGCTCCTGTGTTCCTGCACGCATTCATACCCACAACAGCTCCTGCTCATCCCCCAGACTCTGTTCAAGAAAACTTGTGCCCAGTCGAAATCACTACCAATTTAAGTTGAGAACTTCTTTTGCCCCACAACCCCTCCCCAATTCCACTGTCTGCCTTCCCCAAGGGTCCCTGTGAGATATAGTCAGGGATGGCTTCCCTGGGCTTGGCTGCTTCCAAATCTTGGTTATTGTGATGGTGCTGCAACAAACATGGGAGCGCAGATATCTCTTCAAAATACTGATTTCCTTTATTTTATAGCATATACCTAGCAGTGGGATTGCTGGATCATATAGTAGCTCTATTGTTAGTTTTTTAAGGAACCTCCAAACTGTTCTTCATAATGATTGTACTAATTTATATAACCACTGACAGTGTACAAGAAGTTAAATCCTTCTCTCATGATCTAGATTTTCAGATTCCCCAATGGGGATGTATGTTCAGAGGGAGGTTTTCCCCCTCTCACACTTTGGGAACCTATAGGTTTTCACTTGTTGCACAGAATTTGCAGTGGCATGTCACTTCTTTCAAAGGATCTGTGAATTCTTATGGTTTTCCTGATATGTTCCTGCAATGGTTCTTGAGCAAAAGATCACAGTGTAAGTCTCCACATGCTGTTCCGTCCATCCATTTGGTAGCTGCCCATTAGCCCTGTCTCCTACCCACCACTTCGCCTTTGATGTATAATACTTTTCATGTTCTGTTGAAACTGTTTGCTAGTATTTCATTGAGGATTTTTGCATCCACATAAATCATGGATATTGGCTTGTGAGTTTTTTCTTGTGATGTCTTTGGCTGTGGTATCAGGGCAATGGTGGCCTCATAAAATGAGTTTGAAAGGTTCCTGCTTTATTTTTTGAAAGAGTTTCAGAAGCATTGGCATTAATTCCTTTCTGAATGTTTGTTAAAATTCATCTGTGTGGCGCGTGCCTGTAGTCCCAGCTACACGGGAGGCTGAGGCAGGAGAATGGCGTGAACCCGGGAGGCGGAGCTTGCAGTGAGTCGAGATCGCGCCACTGCACTCCAGCCTGGGCGACAGAGCGAAACTCCGTCTCAAAAAAAAAAAAAAAAAAAAAAAAAAAAAAAAAAAAAATTCAGCTGTGAAGCCATCTGGCCCTGGGCTTTTCTTTGTTGGGAAGTTTTTCGTTGCTAATTTAATCTTGTTTGTTACTGGTCTGTTCAGGATATCTATTTGTTCTTGATTTGGTTTTGGTAGGTTGCATGTTTCCAGGAATTTATCCATTCCTTCTAGGTTATCCAATTAGTTAGTATATAATTCTTCATAATAGTCAATTATAATATTTTTATTTCTGAGGCATCTGTTGGAATATCTCATTTCTGATTTTTAATAGGATTGTTTGTAACACAGAGATAAATGCTTGAGGTGAGTGATACTACATTCACCCTGGTGTGATTATTATGTATTGCACGCCTGTATCAAAATATCTCATGTACCCTATATAAACTGTAACTATTATGGATACATAGTATATATATAAAAAAACTAAAACTAAAAATATGTTACAAGATGAGTTAGTGCAGTGTATTCAAAATAATTAATCATAGTACACAGGGTATCTCAAGATTTATGTGCCAGGACTGAGGACAAATCACAAAGTCTAACTATAATTCAAAATACTTAATATATGAGAAACCAGGAAAATGTGATCAATTCTTTTTCTTCAAGTTCAAAGGGACATGTTCCAGATGTGCAGGTTTGTTACATAGGTAAATGTGTGCCATGGTGGTTTGCTGCACAGATCATTCCATCACCTAGGTATTAAGCCCAGCATCCGTTAGCTATTTTTCCTGATGCTCTCCTTCCCCCTGTCCCCACGACAGTCCCCACGTGTCCCCAGTGTGTGTTGTTCCCCACACCCCATGTGTCCATGTATTCTCATAATTCAGCTTCCACTTGTAAGTGAGAACAAGCAACATTTGGTTTTCTATTCCTGTGTTAGTTTGCTGAGGATAATGGCTTCCAATTTCATCTATGTCCTGATCCTTTTCATGGCTGCATAGTGTTCCATGGTGTATATGTATCATATTTTCTTTATCCAGTCTATTGTTGATGGGCATTTATGTTGATTTCATGTCTTTGCTATTGTGAATAGTTCCGTAATGAACATACACGTGCATGTATCTTTACAATTAAGTGATTTATATTCCTTTGGGGAAAAACCTAATAATAGGGTTGCTAAGTCAAATGGTATTTCCGCCTCTAGATCTTTGAAGAATCCCCACAGTTGAACTAATTTACACTCCTACTAACAGTGTAAAGGCATTCCTTTTTCTCTGCAACCTCGCAACATCTGTTGTTTTTTGGCTTTTTAGTAATAGCCATTCTGACTAGCATGAGATGGTATCTCATTGTGGTTTTTATGTGCATTTCCCTAACGATCAGTGATGTTCAGCTTCTTTTTCATATGCTTGTTGGCCATGTGTATGTCTTCTTTTGATAAGTGTCTCTTCATGTCTTTGCCCACTTTTTAATGGGGTTTTTTCTTTCTTATAAATTTAAGTTCCTTGTAGACTCTGGATATTAGAACTTTGTCAGATGGATAGATTGCAAAAATTTTCTCCCATTCTGTAGGTTGTCTATTCACTCTGATGATTGTTTCTTCAGCTGTGCAGAAGTTCTTTGGTTTAATTAGATCCCATTTGTCGATTTTTGCTTTTGCTGCTATTGCTTTTGGCATTTTCATCATGAAATCTTTGTCTGTGCCTATGTCCTGAATGGTATTGCCTAGATTTTCTTCTAGGGTTTTTATACTTTTGTGTTTTACATCAAGTCTTTAATCCACCTTGAGTTAATTTCTGCATATGGTGTAAGGAAGGGTTCCAGTTTCAACTTTCCGCATTTGGAAAGCCAGTTCTCCCAGCATCACTTATAAAATAAAAAATCTTCCCCCATTGCTTGTTTTTGTCAGGTTTGTTGAGGATCAAATCACTGTAGGTGTGTGGTCTTATTTCTGAGTTCTCTATTCTGTTCCATTGGTCTATGTGTCTGCTCTTGTACCAGTACCATGCTGTTTTAGTTACTGTAGCCTTGTAGTATAATCTGAAGTCAGGTAGCGTGATACCTCCAGCTTTGTTCTTTTTGCTTAGGATGATTTGGCTTTTCAAGCTCTCTTTTAGTTCCATACAAATTTTAGAATAGTTTTTTGTAATTCTGTGAAGAGTGTCAATGGTAGTTTAATGGGAATAGCATTGATTCCACAAATTACTTTGGGCAGTATGGCCATTTTCACTGTATTGATTCTTCCTATCCATGACCATGGAATGTTTTTCCATTTGTTTGTGTCCTCTCTGATTTCCTTGAGCAGCCGTTTGTAGTTCTCCTTGAAGAGGTCCTTCACTTCCCTTGTTAGCTGTATTCCTGGATATTTTTTTCTTTCTGTAGCAATTGTGAATGGGAGTTCATTCATAATTTGGCTCTCTGCTTGCTTGTTATTGGTGTATAGAAATGCTAGCAATTTTTACACATTGATTTTATATCCTGAGACTTTGCTGAAGTTGCTTATCAGCTTAGAAGCTTTTGGGCCAAGACAATGGAGTTTTCTAGATATAGGATCATGTCATCTGTAAACAAAGACAATATGACTTCCTCTCTTCCTACTAGAATACTCTTGATTTCTTTATCTTGCAGGCTCATAGCTGTGGCCAGGACTTCTAAATCTCTCTAAAGGAGAGAAACATAACTGGCTATTCTGGTTGTCGCACCTGTATTGTCTTATCATGATTCCTAGCTTCTTTGCATTGGGTTATAACATGCTCCTTTAGCTCTGTGAAGTTCATTATTACCCACCTTCTAAAGTCTACTTCTGTCAATTCAGCCATCTCAGCCTCAGCCCAGTTCTGTGCCCTTGCTGGATAGGTGTTGTGGTCATTTGGAGGAGAAGACACACTGACTTTTTGAGTTTTCAGTGTTTTTGTGTTGATTTTTTCTCATCTTTGTGGGGTTATCTACCTTCAATCTTTGAGGTTTCTGACTTTTGTGAGATCTTTGTGGATGTTGTTATTTTCTGTTTGTTTTAACAGGCCACTCTTCAGTAAAGCTGTTGTGGTTTGCTGGGGTTCCACTCCAGACCCTAGTTGCCTCGGTTTTTCCCATACCTGGAGGTATCACAAGTGATGCCTGCAAAACAGCAAAGAGGGAAGCCTGCTCCTTCCTCCAGAAACTCCAACTCCGGGGCCACTCACTTGTTGCCAGCCTGAATGTGGCTGCAGGAGGTGGTTGAAGACCCCTGCTAGGAGGTCTCACCCAGTGGGAAAGAACAGGATCAGGGACCTACCTAAAGAAGCAGTCTGACTGCCCTTTGGTAGAGCAGGTAAGCTGAGTTGGGGAGGACCATTCCTCATCTGGACCATTTGTATTCTCCAAAGCCAGCAGGCTGGAACAGCTGAGTCTACCAAACTGCAGAGATGGTAGCCACCCCTCCCCCTGGAGCTTTGTGGGACAAAGCTCTCCCTGGGGGTAGAGATCAGAGCTCTGTCTATAGAACACTTGCTGGAGTGGCTGAAGCCCCTGCAGGGAGGTCTCACCCAGTGAGAAGAAATGGTTCAGGGTCCTGCTTAAAAAAGCAGTCTGGCCAAGATCTGGCAAGGCAGCTGTGCTGTCCTGTGGGGATCCCCCCCTTGTTCAGACCACCTGTATTTTTCAAAGCTGGCAGGCTGAAACAACTGAGTCTACCAAACCACAGAGATGGCAGCCACCCCTACCCCTGGGAACTTGGTCCAGACTCAGGCAGACTCCAGCCTACTGCTGCCGGCTGGCTGGAATTCCAAGCCATTGGGTCTCAACCTGTGAGATGCCATGGAAATGGGGCCTGCAGAATGATGCCACTTGGCTCCCCAGACTCAGCCCCCTTCCTAGGGACATGCACAGATGAATCTTCTGCCTTGCCACAGATCCTGGGGCTGGAGTATGCAAAACTCCTGGGTGTCTGTGTGTGCCTGAGTGGCCACTCTGCCAAGACTCCACACAGGCCATGTATCGAGCCCAAGACCCTGGTATTGTGGCTCATGAGGGGATCTCCTGATCCACAGCTTGCAGAGATCCATGGGATGAGTGTAATTTCTGGGGAAGGGTCACGCATTGACTCACCACTTCCCTTGGCTGGGGGTGGGGGTTCCCTTGGCTTGGTGCTGCTCCCAAGTGGGTCATCACCCCACCCCACTTCTTTTCATTCTCTGTGGGTCAAGCTATTTGCTTAGTCAGTCCCAATATGAGAACCCGAATATCTCAATTGAAGGTGCTGAATTCACTTGCTCCTTTCATTCCTCTCTGTGAGTGCCACAGACTGCAGCTACTTCCAATCAGCCATCCTGGCCCCTCAACAACCAAATGTGATCAATTCTTAGTATACCATCCATACACATGCTGAAATACCAAAAAAGATTTCTGAAAAGAAAGCAAAATATTACAGAAATAAGTGCAATTACTATTTCAGCACAAGATTTTTGGTAGAGAGGAAAAGATTAGATTTTGTTAATTTGGGCTCAAATCCAATGCATTTTTCCCTCTACCTAATGAAATATTACTGAATTATCATATGGCTTAGAGACTCCATTGTAGGGTTCACTTATACCCCCACATTTCAACACCTCTGAATCATGATGCATCTTATAATCAATGAAATACCATAGTCTAGGAGGTTTTTTAAGTCTTAGTGGTACACAAAATAATGGCATATCTCACAGTTCATTACAAGTTTGATTTGATAAAATATGGTACATGACCCTCATAAATAGGTTTCCCTTCTAACTTGTTGGTTTAAAAAATAAAAGTAAGGTACTACGAGAGTAGGGACTCTGAATCATACCCTATCATATTCCTATTCCTTTCCAGTGTATTTGAATTTTTATTCTGCTACCTGAATTAATTTAAATTATGCAAAAAATTATAAACACTATACTGAAGAATCTTAAAGCTTATAAGTTTTTCTTTTTGGTATCTGATAATATCAATTTATTAGAATATGTTTACATGAATTCCAAATTTTCCAAATTAATAGAATAATTCAGTATGTACTCAGGATGAATTTAGTGATTTACAAAGTTTCTTTTCCAGGTGATTTTCCCAAACTGGCTTTTCACCTGTATGAGTTCTCACATGTTGTTTATCCACGTGCATGAGTCTTTACATGCCAAGTAATTAATGAACTCTTATACATTCTGATGAATGTAATAAATTGATAATGTTTTCTCCAGTGTAAATTATTTGCTCTCTAAATGAGGTCTTTATAGCTAAAGGCTCTGTGACATAATCATGAGGTTTCTCTTCAATGTGCATTCTCTGTGGTTAATGAGGTATCTAAATAATTTAATACATTGACTATATTAATGAGATTTAGGAGTATTAGGAGTTTTTACATTAGTAAAAGAGAAGTTATTTTGAAAAGTATTTCCACACTAATTACAGTTTATACTGTATTCTCTCCAGTATGAATTCTCCAATACTAATGAAGGATGATTTATAGTTAAAGAACTGCCCACATTGCTAGCATTCAAAGGACTTCTTACTATTGTTGTACAGAAACTGAGCTACAGGTACAAGGTTTCTCACATTTACTACATTCACGGGGTTTGTAGTGGGTTGAATAGTGTCCACCTCCCCCTCAAAATTCACATCCACCCAGAATCTTGGAATGTAACTTTATTTGGAATGGGGTCTTTTCAGATGTAATTATTGAAGATAAAGTCATACTGAAATTAGGATATGCCCTAAATATGATGACTGGTTTCCTTACAAGAAGAGTAGAAGAGACAGAGACACACACAGAGAAGAAAGCCATGTGAGGATGGAGACTGGAGTGATATAGCTACACATCAAGCAATGCCAAAAATTACTGGCAACCAGCAGAATCTAGGAGAAGGGCATAGAACAGTTTCTTCTTGAGAGCCTCCAGAAGGAACAAACTTCCCAAATCCCTTTATTTCTGACTTCTGGCCTCTTAAGCTGTGAGAGAATAAACTCCTGTTGTTTTAAGCCACCCAATTTGTGCTTATCTGTTTTGGCAGCTATAGGAATCTAATTTCCCCTCCTGTGTGATTCTTCTGATATACAATAAAGTATTATCCACTGAAGAAAGCTTTGCCATATTTGTTATATTGATTAGGATTATCATTTCTACAAATTTTGGGTGGCTAAAGAATTTTAACCCCTGGTACTGTGGCTTTTTACTTTAATTAAAATCATAAAAATTCTCTCCAGTATGACTTCTCTATGCACAATGAAGTGGAATTTTCTAGTGAAGGCCTTCCTACATTTATTACACTTATAGGAACCTCTACACTATGAACCTCTTGATGTCTTATGAAGTTTGTTATAACTGAAAGTTGTCCCACATTATTATATTAAAAAAAGTTTTACACATGCATAGGTTGAACTAATAATTTCCCACATTTTTATGTTTATAATATTTCTTGCTAGCACAGTTTCTCTCAACTGTATCAAAATTACACTTCAAATGCCCTCAAATAACTATGAGATGCTGCTTTCCTTGGAGGAATTAGCTTTGAGCTCAGATAAAAACTGGCTTCCAATTTTACTATATTCATTTCCTTTCTCCACAGTCAATGCTTTATTGAAGATGAATGTACCTAGCTTCAAGTCTCCCTCCCCTCCTTTTGAAATAAATTTTACAAAGAGCTTTTCCTTGTGAATATTCTTTCAGTCAACTTAGGAATACCCTTGTTCAGAATTGTCCTATTGTATGTTTCATGTCTCACCTTCTAGAACTATTGAGAGCTCAATTGCAAATGACCTCTTCCCTAGCTGAAAAAGTACTCATTGTAAGACAACTGGTGCAGAAATAAACAATTCAGGGAAGATAACATTTGAGTAATTTCAAACATGATCTTGCATTATGCAGAAAGCCAATAAAATAATCAGAAGGAAGATGAAAAGATGAAAGAGAAAGTATATAGAACAGAGAGTAAGCACAAAGAGGACTGGACAGGAAACGGAGTTACTAGAAATAGCAGCTAGAGTGATGTCAGAAGGGAATGGCAGAATAAGGACCTCCAAAACTCCCCTACTCCATAAAAGCAATGGGAACACAGGCAATAATTATTGAAATCAAGTCTTTCAGAACTCTAGAAATTAACCAAAATCTTATAATAATCCAGAGAGCATTTATTCAAGAAAATGGCTGAATATTGGTAAGGACAGCATTTCTTTTGGCATATAAATTGCTCTATTCTTACTCACTTTATCCCAACTGCACAGCACCTTTGAAAATCAAAAATCAGTAATCATAGTTAAAATCTGCAACCTAGCAGCTACTGGAGAGGAAGAACAGGTTGAAACATCCAACACCCCAATCCTAGACAACTGTCCTTATTTAATCTGGAGCTTCCTAAGAAAGCGCCACTCAAAGGTCTTCTCTTTATTTTACCTCACTCAGATTTCCTGCAGTGTGAAAGGCCTTTTCTCCACAGGCATTCATCAAAAATCATCAATGGCAAGTGTTTAATACTGCAGCTGCCTGAGGTAGTGATAAGAGTGGATCAAATAACAAGCTAACCAAAAAAGCTTTTAAAAAGTAAAATCCAGGGAACAAAGTGTCCATGGGGGGCTTTAAGCATGCATAGGAATAGCATGCATACTCAGGACTATAAGTATGCTAGGAAAGACATGACAAGGCCCTAGGTTCTCACCTGAGGCTGTCCAGGAAGCTCTGCACGAGCCAGAAGTAAAATCTAAGACAGGGTCATGAACTGCCTCTCCAAGTGTTGAGAGCATGCCTAGACACACACACACACACACACACACACACACACACACACAGTGCCCCTCAGCAGTCCAAGAGTCTTAGTTCTATACTTTAAAAAAATATATCTCCAATTCATAGCTGATTTGCATGGTAGCAAAACAGAGAGTTCAGTGGCCACAAATGAGAACAATATACAGACTTTCCTGAATGAGCCTGATCCCATATCTCAGAGCCCACCAGTGTTAATACCCTGGGTGGGTATCCTTTCATCTCATTCTCTTTAGTCATAAAAAGTATCTATCTATGGTTGTTGCCTCCATTTCCTCAACTCCTATTCTCCCAGAATGCATCCAACTGGCTTCTGTTTCCTGCATCTGAAGGAAAGGACACTGGTTCCACTGAGAGCCTCAAGTAACATTCATGGTGCCAAAACTAATGGTTCCCTCTTAGTCACTCTCCTGCTCACTTTCTTAGTGGTCTTCAATGCAAGGTGGCCCCACCTTTCTTCTTGAAATCATCTCTTCTCAGATATCCATGTCATTACATTTACCTCGTTTTCCATCTACCTAACTGGATGTTCTTTTCTATCTCTGTCATAGACTTCTCCTCTGCTCCATCTCTAGATATTGATGTGCCCCAGGACTCACAGAAAGGCTCTCCATGCTTCTCTATCTGCACCCTCTTCCTGGCATTCAATATTGTCCACATGCCTATGCCTCCCAAATGTAGATCTACTTCCCTGTCTTCTCCTGTGGCTTGCAGACCTCTCCACATGAATATCTAATAGGCAATTCAAACTTAACAATGGAAAAATAGAACTCCTCCCACCAAAACAAAACAAAACAAAACAAAAAAAACACCAATAATACTTTTCCTGCTCCAAGTCTCTTTTCCTCTCTGTCAAGAATCCAGTGTTACAAACCCCCATGTTGCACATGCCAAAACTCAGGAATCAGATTTGGTTTCTTTTATCCTTTATCCCCCATGTATATCCATCAGTAAGCCCTGCCTACTCTACAGCCAAAATAATGTATATCCAAAATTCAACCACTTTTATTCTACTGCCTACTCATGCCATCATGTAATACAATATATAACCTATTGATAGGCATGACTATTGTGGCAAGATCTGCTTGATGCTCACAAATCTTCCCCACATAAGAATACTACATTTCCCAGTCTCCTTTGCAGTTACTTTAAGACAGTGTGACTGAGTCCTGGCTGTTGGAATATGCAACACTCAGTATATGCTACCTCTAGCTGAGCCCCTAAAATGTCCCACTCAATCTTCCTGCCACAGGTTAGAAGCAAGGGATGAGCATTACTTTGAGCCTAGACCCTGAGACACCTTCTGGAACAGCTGCCCAGAGTCACCTCCCGACCACATCACACTGTGTGTTGAGCAAGAGATAAACTTTTTTGTGTTAAGCAACTGAGATTTGGAAGCTTTTCTGGCACTGCAGCTAGCATGTATACTAATAGACATATAAACCACATGCAGACATTGATCCACTTAGAACAGCAGATACCTCTGTGAAGGCTGGATTTCAGCCTAATCTGCAATTATTTTTATTTTTCACAAGGATAAAGAATACGTGTAGTTCAGGTGCAGATAACAAATTTAAAAGACAATTCCTGCATTCCCCTCCTCTTGCAGCTGGAACACCCTGTCTGTATACCAACTGCTCTTCCCTCACTCACTCCCAGAGTTCCTTCATCTCCACGGCTTTGGTTCACAGCTAGGGCAGGAAGGCAATTATGAGACACAGTCAGTAAATCAGTCCACAGTTACTTACCAGCACCCAACAGTCAGGCCCTGGGCATGGTGCAAGCCAGGCACCAAGAGGTGAATAAATCATGCTGTCTGGCCTTGAGCAGCTCCACAGTCTGGCAATTTCTTCCCAGAGTGACCGCTCTTCACAAGAAACTGCTGTGTTAACAAGCTCACATGCTGAAGATGGACTTACCTGAGATCCAAGGTCATCCAGTCTCTAGATTTGTTTCTTCATCTTTGTCCAAAACTAGCAGAAGAAGCAGAACAGAAAAGATAATTGCGTCATGGCTAGGATAGAGGAGTGTACTCAGATGGAAGAAGAGGAGGGACATAAAAGGAGAAGTTATCAAATGAGATAGACTTGAAGACTTGCTTAAGTGGGGTCTTAACGACTGAGTGGGAGTTCACCAAGAGCACCTAGAGTAAGGGAAGGTACATGCAAGGGCACAGAGGGGTGAAATGATCTTTTGCTTTCAAAACACTGATGGCTTCAGTTTGGTAGAAACACAGGGTGTGGGAAGGGGAGAGGCAGTCAGGGTAGGCTCCTCTGTATGAACTTGGACTTGATCCACAGTGTTGTCACAACCCTGTGCAGACTTTGCCTTAGGGTGCCTGGTCAAATGGGCAAGTGGGACTGAAATCCGGTAAGGCTCAACTCACCAAGTCATGTACCCTGTCACGGGTTTGGATCCACCAGGAGAAAGGGGTGCCATTTCCACCATGCCCAAAGATGGCTGTGTGGTCTAACAGGAGCCCTGTTTATCCTGCCCCGGCATCACAGCTTTCAAAGCCTTTTTACACACAAGATCTCACTGTGTTCTCACAACTCCATGAAGAAGGCATTGTGAGTACCATTTTATAGATGAAGAAACTGAGGCTGAGATGTGAAAAGACAAAACCTACAGAAGACATTCCTAGAGAGGTCCCTTCAGGTTCCAGTGATTCCCCTTTGGCTAGAAGATCCTGGGAAAACCAACAAAGCTCTTGGCATTTGTCCTCTAGCAATCTTTTCGTCATGGAAAAACACAGGCTTGATGTATACAACTGACTCATAGTGTACACTACATTACACGGCCACAAATACAAATTTTAAAAAGTGAGGTGAAATACTAACTACTTCTATCGTTCTAAGATTTTTCCCCACCCCAACAGATTGTCTTTGTAGGAAACTCATCTATAAAGGATGCCAGCAGAGACCAGGTCACATCTGTTTTAATTTTGGATGAAATTCCATTTCGTGGCCTCTCCTCAGATGGGGAGGTGCCTGCAATCTCACACATTTCAAATAAATTTTGCTGAGAAACCAGGGCAGGTAATATCTGATTTTTACCTAATACTAGCTTGGGGAGAAAATGGGACTTTGGGGGAAATTTCCCCAAATTTTTGGTTTACAAAAATCATTCTTGGTTTAAAAAATCAGAGCCCAACCAAGAGAAGGGAATTTCCCCTACCTTGGCCAAGTTCCCTAAAGCATCCCGGCAACAACACTGTAGGAAGAGATTGTGAGTGAATTAGGAACCTTAATGAGCTTCTGAGTAAAACGGCCTGGCTTGCTCTCTGAGGAGTAGATGATGGTACCGAAACCCTTGGGGCAGTAAGTTTCATAATATTCCCCTTCCTTTTTATATCTAGAAAATTTATTCAATACATAAAATTCATTGAGAATTATACTAAAAAATATATGGGCTGTCTATAAAACAAATGCTAAGGGGCTTTCTAAAGGTTCCAATAACCAAGCCAGTTAACAGGTAGGGGAGTACTCCGCGGCCATTAGAGAAAGCCTTCAGTACAGTTCTGGCGCCATCTCGTGTCTAACATTGAGCTCAGCACTTAGAAAATACACAGCAGAGGAATGTACTGGGAAGAGTGAGTGGCCAGGTGTTCCTGAAAATTTACAGAAGGGATGGGGAGATGCAACTGGAAAAGTAGGCTAGGGCCCGCTCCTGACGGTCTTTATCTCACAGGCGCTGGCAACTAAGCCACATGATCAGATCTGTGTTTTAGAGCAATTCAGCAGTAAGCACACAGGCACGGTGGGTGACAACGGCTCAGATACCTAAGGGCTCAGTGCTTCATGCCCATGTTCACTGCCTGAAGTCTTGTGCCAAACCACTGGATCAGCAGCTCCTACTAGAATGTATGCAGGCATTACTGGTTGATTTGTTCACGTCTATATCCCCACTGCCTAGAACAGTGCCTGGTACCTAAATGTTTTTATTTTAAAATAAAAGGACATTTTTTCCATATATGACTACATGATAACACTGTCAAAATACAGAGCCCCCACCCCATCCAGCTGCACAGCAGCCTGAGAGGAAGGCATCGCTTTCCTCATCTTACAGATATAAACAGTGGGGCTCAGTGAGGTTGCCCTGGTAAGGGCAGAGGCGCAGCCCCCCGGGTAAAATTCCTTCACAGCCAGGCTGCAGGGACCTCCAGCCTGTTGCAGGTAAACGAGCTGGACTTCGGGATCCAGACCAGGCTTCCCCGGCGTCCGTTGCGTCACGCACTGACCCTTTCTAGACCTCAAGTGACAGCATCTACACAGGAGGCGCCAGGACCGTTCCCCAAAAGCAAAGTCTTTAAAGTGACATTCCCCAGAACCCCCACCCGCTCCCAGGTGAACTGGAGCCGAGGGACTTCAACGGAAGACACCACATCCGATCCTACCCGAATATACGAAAAGCGGACCCGAGCGGGGGGCCTAAGGCTCCGCACACTCGTCTTCGGCCGCCCTCCCCGCTCTCATTTTATAAAATGCCGACGCCGAGGCCGCCAGTGAAAAAGATTCTCGTCGGTGGTTACAACTCGGGTCAGGGGAATCCAGGAGCCCCAGTTTTCCGTTGGGACGGAAACGGCGGAATCCAAAAGTGACAGTATGACAGGATTTCCAGAGCCGACAGACCAGCCCTCAGCAATCCCCACCTCTTCAAGTCGGCCCGGCCCTCTCGGCCTCCGGCTTCTCACTCGCTCGGCTCCGCTCGGCTCCACCCGGCTCCGCTCGGCTCCACCCTGCCCCGCTCGGCCCCACTCATTTCCGCTTGGCACCACCCGACCCGCGCCTCGTCTCTGTTCGGCTTCACTCGGCTACTTTCGGCTGCGCCCCACTCCCTCGGCTCGTCCACTTGGCCCCATCCGCTCCGCTTGGCCCCGCCCTCTCGCTCTGCTCCGATCGGCCCGCGCGCTCGCCCTCTTTGGCAGGTGGAACAACGCGGGATGTCCTGTTCGCCCCGCCGGGCTCGGGTTGGGGGTCGTTTGTTCCATCTGGCTTAGCTCCCGTTTCGGCCCACAGCGGGTTGCGTCGGGTACAGGTCGGCTCCATCGGGCCTGCTTCCCTCCCCTTCTTCGGTCACCTACGAGGTCAGCTCGTGCACCTGTCTCCCCCTCACCTACCCGACAGCTCTAGGGCAGCTCGGTTCGAAACGACCCAGGAGGGGTCTTGCAAAGTCTTCCATCATCGTGGGCACCGCTCAGGCTGAGGAACGAACTGAGCTCCGGGGTATCTTGACTTGGCGACGCGTCTCGGGACCCCCACATCACACCTGGATGCCCTGGGGTAGCCCTCGCACATCTGAGTCTCCCCATCTGCAAAATGCAGCTGTTGCTAATTCTGCTCTCCCGGGCCCGGCGGGAGGATTAGGGGCCAGTGAGCACTTGTTGAGAGCCCTTTGTGTGTAAGGCGGAGTGTGGACGCAAGGGACACCCGAGTGAGCGGACAGCGAGGTCAGGACCCTGTGTATGGAGGCGCACACAGAGGATTAAACCAGCATGTTTGCAAAAACGCCTGGCCCTCTGCTTTTTCCGCTGGCTGTGTGGCGTTGAGCACGTGGTCTAGCCTCTGGAGCCGTTTCCCCTCCCTAAGATGGGCAGAGCTCCTTGGCAAGCAAGAACTGTCCGTGTGTGCCTTGCCCTCCAGCTCCAGACATCTCACAGAGGCAGCACAGGTATCTGTCTCCTGTCCCATCCTTCAGGAGGTTGGGTCGCAGGAAGGATGGCCTGTTACAATGACCCTCCGCATGACTTCAATTCATTCCACAAACTTCTGAGGGCCTGGAACTCAATGTTGGGGAGACAGGGCAACAGTTGGGTACTTAACTTGCAAGCTGCAGAAACTGACTTAGCCACTTTAAATAAAAACAATTTGTTGGAAGGATACCGGGAAGGTGGTGGAATACAGGAAGCCTGAAGACAAGGTTCAATAAAGCAAGAGTTGGGCTGTGCCAGGTAGTCTTGGTGCCAAAGACCTCTAAACAGTTACCCTTGGACACTGCTGCTATGTGAATGCACGCTAACCCTTTCTGCTGTCCCCGTTAAGTCTCCAGAGAGAGGGTCTGATTGGCTGGGTGTAGGTGTCAGGAACTTCTTCACGTTGAACTAGGTCCTGAAGGATGAGTAGAAATTTGCTAAAGGGAGAAGGAAAGAACATTCCAGGTAGAAGGACCAGCATGTACAGGGCATGTACATCACTGGAAAGAAATCTCGGGGCCATCTTGGACTTGTGCTTGCCACAGTGTGCCAGGTGCTTTCCTGGTCATGTCATTCAGTGCTCAAGAGAACCCCATAAAATTGATACGAATAATTTTTTGGAAAAAAGTATTATATTGTCTTTATTAAAATGATAAGTGCTTTTATAAACCATTCAAGCTATATAGCAAAATGTTGCCAAAATGGAGAGAGGAGGGCAATCATTACAAACCCTAGTTCCCCAAACCTAGAATTAATATTAGGCAACATCATTCCAGATGTTTGTCTAGGTATATATTTGGAAGGTGGAGTGGGAGTGGAAGAAAGGATGGGAGACGTAAGAGAGGGAGGATGGGTAACAGGAAGGAAAGAAGAGAGGCAGTGTGCAAGGAAGGAAGGAAAGGAATTTTATTAAAATGAGATTATACTGTATATGTCAATTTAAACAATAAAATACATGAAGCATATTTCCATATGAATTTAACCAAAGGAAAGGAAATTTGAGTGAAATAAAAGCAGTTGTTAACTTTACATATTCGATTTGTTAGCAAAATGAGTATTTTTTACAAGATCACTCCAGGTTTGTGGAGAACATTAAGAGATTAGGGGCCATCTCCCCGCTAAATTACATGTTTAAATCCTAGCATTTATTTTTCCCTGTTATGAAGAATGAGAAAATTAAGTCCTTCACACTTTCTATCATGCTCACACCTAACATACTGCCGTTGGGCTATTGATTCTATTTATTTATTTATTTATTTATTTATTATTTTTTGGAGACAGAGTCTTGCTGTCTCCCAGGCTGGAGTGCAGTGGCACAATCTCGACTCACTGCAACCTCCGCCTCCCAGGTTCAAGCGATTCTTCTGCCTTAGCCTCCCGAGTAGCTGGGATTATAGGAGCCCACCACAATGCCCAGCTAATTTTTGTATGTGTTTTCAGTAGAGATAGGGTTTCACCATGTTGGTCAGGCTGGTATTGAACTCGTGACCTCAAGTGATCCGCCTGCCTCACCCTTCCAAAGTGCTGGGATTACAGGCATAAGCCACTGCCGCACCCAGCAGTGCTATTGATTTTATAATGCCAAGGTCTGTAATATTCACAGACCTTGTAATATTCTGCCACCTCCCTTCCCTTGAATATTTAATCGTAGTTCTGGGTTGGTTTGTTAGCATTGCTCACCTCTAGTCATACATTGACTTTTCCCTTTCCTAGTTTCTTTTTTTTTTTTTTTTTTTTGAGACAGAGTCTGGGTCTGTCACCCAGGCCAGAGTGCCAGTGGCATGATCTCAGCTCACTGCAACCTCTGCCTCCTGGGTTCAAGCGATTCTCATGCCACAGCCTCTTGAGTAACTGGGATTACAGGCATGCACCACCACACCCGGTTAATTTTTTTTTTTTTGTAGAGATGGGGTTTCACCATGTTGGCCAGGCTGGTCTTGAACTCCTGGCCTCAAGTGATCTGCCCTCCTCGGCCTTCCAAAGTGTTGGGATTACAGGCAAGAGCCACTGTGTCCCTTTCTGAATTTCTTATTTAGATTTATCTCTTGATTGCCATAGACCCACCTTATGGATAGGAACATTAAGGCTTGTTCAAAGTCACATTGCCCATGGCAAATCAGTGCAGAGCCAAGATTCTGACAAATATTTGCCTCTCCAGAGGGAGAGCTCAGGAGACCCATGGCAGCTGTGAGATTTTGGACTTGGGTATTGGCATCTAGGGAAGGAGGGAGTCACTCTCTCTTCTTGAACTTTCTGGGGCTGCCAGAGGAGCCTGGACAGGACTCGGGGCTAACTCTGCCTCAAGGGGTCAGATTAAGGGTTGGACAGGTTTCCTGTAGTGCCTCTAACCCAGCCCTAGAGATCTAAAGAAGGAATTAGTGATTCAGGTGACTGGTTCTAGATTTTTTTGGACACGGAGGACTAAGAACAGAAAGTAGGACAATGAGGAGGCCCAATGCATCTGTTTTTCTTCCACTAGAAACAAAAATCCCCCAACCCAGAGGCCTAAACAATAATAGATTTTTCTGTCACTTAAAAAAAAAAAGCCCAGAGGCAGGCTGCGGGGCTGCTATGGCAGCTCAACCATGCCATCGTGTCCCTTCTTGTTTTCCATTTGGCCGTCCTTCTCAAGATGGCTGCCAGAGGAAGGGGAAACTCAAGGAACTGAAAGCCCAGGGGCTTCCACCTACATCTCTTTCAACAGAACAAAGTCATGGCTGCCCCTAGCTGCAAAGGATGCTGGGAGATGTAGTTTCTAAAGTCAGTCACAAGACAGAAAAAGTTTATCTTCAGGATAATTGAGATTTTTCACTACTTTTTAGTCTACAATAATGAAAACAGCTACACTTAGTCATTTACAGATATTCATTTGAAGTACCATCGAGGGACCAGGCACAGAGCCAGCTGCCTTGTGTAAACTGGTGAACGAAGGGCTTGTCCTCTCCTCACCTGACTTACTTAGGGAATAGTCACTGTGTGCAAAGTACCTAGTATCTATTACTTCATTTAATGTTCATAACAGTACTAGGAAGTAATTACTATTATCCCCATCCTACACACAAGTAAACAGAAGCTCTGAGAGGCTAATAATCTATCAAGGCTCCATAATTATGTAACAGATCCAGAATTCAAATCCATGTTGGTCTAGTCCAGAGCTTCAGCCATTAACTATTCCATACTAGTGGGTTCCATCCATGGCTGTGTCTTAGAACCTCCCTGAAAGCTTTTTATATGCTCCACAGAGATTCTGATTTAAGTGGTTGGAGGTAGGGTTCAAGCATCAGTCTGTTTGTAATTATCTTATTTAATCCACACAACAACTGGAGATGAAGGTATTTATCTTTCTATTTAAAAATCAGAGAAACTAAGACCCAGAGATGCAGACTCACTTGCCTAAAGTCACACAGTAATTCCACAGTGAAACTGGGATATATGATCAGATCTGTCTTCTCCAAAAAGCCATCCTTAGCTCCAGAGAAAGGCAGCCTCCCTAAAGCTGGGGGATATACTGGCCAACCACTCTGCTCCAGCCCCAGAAGCCTCCCAGGGAATGTGTGTGCATGAGGGGCAGAGCGCCAGGTGGCAACTAAGTGATAAACAGGCCAGGACATGCCAGGATGTGTGCCGGAAGCCCAGCCCACTAAAGGCAGAGGTGTGGCTGGGCCAGGGTGGGGGCCGGACGTGGGGATGCACTTTTTCCCCAGCACAACAAGCTGTGGGCTTCCTCCCTCCCAGCTGAGCCCTGCCTGATATGGCAGGCCCAGAATGGGTCGCTAGCTAGAGAGTGGAGGGGTGGCAGGAGGGCAGGGGCCCAGGGCCAGTCCCCAGAGGAAGTCACATGGCTGGGGGCACAGGCATGACCCAGGAATGGTGAGGGGAGGGAGATATTTCAGGCCCGAGAGGAAGGGCCCAGCCCATGAGATGAATCACCCGGGCCGGAGATTATCCTGAGGAAGACCTTGGGGGTGGAATGGTGATAAGTGCTCTCCTCCCGAGGTGACCAGGAGCCCACGGGCAGATGGCCAGCGGCCGGTGAGGCAAAGTGTGGCTGGGAGCGCACAGATGAGTCTGAGAGGGCCCACCAGATCCAGGTGCTTTCCAGAAGGGACTTCTCAGTGACCCTACAACATGAGGGGAAGCCCTGGAGACCAGTCACTTGCACAAGGTCACAGGGCCAGAGATGGGATTTGGAGTGGGAGTGTGCCTTTCTGTTTCCGCAGCTTGTCTCCCCAAAGCAGGGAGCTAAGACTGCCACTGCCCTCCTGCTCCAGGGGCTTCCTGGGTGGACATGAAACTTCACTGATAAGACACCAGGCTTTAGACTCCGAATGGCAAACCAGGTGTCAGAGCTTATGCTTGCTCCTGGATGAGGCACTAGACTTGTCCCAGCTTCTTATTGCAGGAATGGGAAGTAGGGAGTCCAGAGGCTCACCCAGAACAAGGGGCTTACCCAGGATTCCAGAGCAGGCTGGACAGAGGCCAGTGGACCTGAGTCCTGCCTCCCAGCCCACAGATGATGATCTTCTGGATCTCTAAGGGTGGCCATCAGCATCACCTGGGAACTTGTTAGAAATGCACATTTTGGGGTGCATTTCATTCAGTCCCAGATGGACTGAATGTGAACCTGGGCAGTGGGCATCCCTCTGAGCATTAACAAGCCCTCCTGCAGGGGATTCTGGTGCCAGCAGAACATAAAGTACACACACACACACACACACACACACACACACACACACACACACACACACACATATTCACCGGGTGGTATTTGGTATAAAATGGCCTCACAATGGTCTTTACCTCAAATTCAATTAAAACAATCCCATCCACCTGATGATCCATCCATGGGCTCACAAACCATGAGAATGCAGAGGTCCTTCAAAATCAACAGGGATTTGTTTCTCAAGCTGGAGGGATATGTGGGCTCCTTGAAAGGGGAAACTTGTACACTACTCCCCCTGGCCAATAAACACACTCAATGGTGGTTTAACTAATTTTTAGTACACCATTGCTTAGATATGTACTATCATAAAACTAAGCGTAGGCTCTTATGCTATTAAAATCTGCAAGTTCCAGATGAAATATAAACTAACATAAACACCAGAAAATCTAACTTTTAAATGAATGATAATTGACATATGCCAGAGAATGTTACTTTGCTGAAGCCAAGTGGCAGCTTGTAGCCTGATCATGGTGTCAATTGTCACCATGTAGGGCCCATTAAATTTGGCACCATCTATCACCCTCTGTCATGAGATGAATCAAACCTCCCAACCCCTTTCCTCTAGCCCACCTCCTCCTAACCCTTTCTTCACACAGGGCAGGGGCTTCAGTGAATTACTGCTTTCTTCTCCTGGGCTCCAAATCACAAAAGTGGTTTTCCTGGGAACCTTATGACCATAAGCAAAAATGCAAACTCAAACAGCAAAGTTAATTAGAGGACAGTTATCAGTTATAATGAGGTCATCCTAATAGTTTGAAATATGAGGATGTTAGATTCATGTTAAAATGAAAAAAAAAAAAAGACCATTTGAAATTCTCATTCTTGGAGCCCTGAGCATTCCTCTCTGGAAACCTGGGAGTCCATAGATCCCTTTTGAAGAGACAGAGACTTAGAGCTGGCATGCCTTACTCCATTTCTGAGCTGGAGAAATCAAGGGCCACAGAACAGTGGGGACCCACTGTTCCCTTCTCTGATCCCTCTAACCTCTATCAGCTGATTTCTCACTGGTATGAGGAAGAAGTGTCCCAGTCACCATTGTATCCAAATGCAAGGGGCTCCCCTGGGATGAGTGAGCCGCTCTCCCTGAGAGAGGTTTGAGCACAGTTGGCCACTACTCAGTGGAGATGGGATAGACTTCCCTCCACCTCTGCCAGGAAGTCCAACTTGGGAGGTCTTGAGGGGGACCTGGGCATCTGTTTCATACCTAAGTAATTTGGATGCACATAGTAGTTTGAGAAACAGTGGCCCTGATCATCTTTAAGATTCCTCTGATCCTAGAGGGCTGGATTCCAATACACATCTTTATCGCCATAATCATCATCATCAAATAACTATCATGTGTTGAGTGCATGCTATGTGCCAGTTGCTCTGTGAAATGTGAATGTGTTATATATATGATTGCTGTAACCTATGAGATGGCATTATTATTATCATCATCTCCATACAGATACGGAAATAGGCTAAGGGAGGTTCACCATTTTCCTAAGGTCACACAGCAAGAGGCTGAGCCGAGACTCAAAGCTGGGTGTGTTGCCCCAGTGCCCTAGCAGTATTTCATATCCAACTCTGCCCCTAGCTGGCTATGTGCCTTTGGAGCCTCTCGGGCCTGCAATGGGGCTCAGTCTCCCCACCTGTAGGATGGATTGTCTCTTTGCAGCCTCTTCCACAATCTTGGCCCCCAGATTCACAAACAGATTGATGGTTCAGCAAGGGAGTCAATAGGACTTTGGCAGCAGGGGGAGGGAGACATCAATTTTCCAGCCCCAAGGCCCATGTTCCAGCTCCTCCCAGTCAGGATGCTCTGGTCCTACCCATTCTGCCCCCAACTCCTGCCCCCTTGATAACACTGAATCACTGGCCTGGGTGAGGCCTACCTCGTGCATAGCAGTGGGTATTAGGAATGCTGGGATGGAGATGAAATCTATGTAGGCGAAATCAGTGCAAAGGAGCCTATTATTAGCAGGAGTGAGGAGATGTGGGAGAAGACAAAAAGGGAATGGAGACATGTGTTAACATAAGTGCCAGACACTCAGCTAGACGCTCAGCTAGATGCTGGGTAAGCAACTTAACCCCTCAACATCTCAATTTTCTCTTCCGGAAAATGAGGTTTTTATGAGGAGTGCATGAGAATCATCCAATTATTCATGTGTCTAACAATTATTCATCAAGGGCCGCCCATGTTCCAGGCATCATTCTATGAAATGCAGCTGTTAAGTAACAAATATTCCTACTTGTGGGGCAGACAGTGCAATGAGGAAGATAGACAAACAAAAGTCAACAAATACACAATGTAAAGTTGGGGGGTGCTGATACATTCTAGGCATATAAATAAAGCCAGAGTAAGAGGTGGTCTAGACAGTGCCATGAAAGCGCAGGGTACTCAGGGGTCACCCCCATGGGGCAGCGATGTGGGAGGTGATATTCTGCTTGAATGAAGTAATGGGTGAACCATACAGCCATCTGGGAAAAGTGCTGCCAGCAGCAAAGAAATATAAGGCATCCATCAGACAGCCTGGCACATACTAGGTCCTCAGTAAATTGTGCATGCTATCACAGTGCAAAGAGAGAGGCTGTTTCCTTATTTGAGCAGATGGATGGTCTCTGTGTTCCTGCTGCTCCCCAGCTGTAGGAATGTAGTCTTCAGACCCCAGCTTTTTGCCCTGCCTGCTCTAATCCTGGGAGAGAGGACCTGGGGGCCAACAGCTCCAAGGCAGAAGGAGGAAGAAGAGATTCCATCGGAGGCAGCACAACCTCCTACCAGCCTGGCGCACAGAGGGGGGCTCCCCAAGCAGACACCATGGTGCCAGTCACAGGAGTTGAATGCTGGATAGCCACAAAATAATAGAGGCTGATCTCACTGGTGAAAACCCACATGGGACTGGATAACAGCCCTGCTCTGACAATGTGGGTGCCTTCCCATCTACAGGATGAAGGCTACAGGCCTTTACAATTGACACCCTAATGGCTTCTGCCACCTCCTTCCCACCTCTCCTTCTTTCCAGCTCCTCTGCTCTCCACGGGCTGATTACCCGGGGTCTGGTGATCATCACTGGGTGTGCAGCTCTGGGTGCCCTCTGGAGGTGCCCATGTCAGGGGATGGGGAGCAAACAAACACACAGATGAGGCTGTGGTGTTTGTGGTGTTTATGGTGGCTGCTTGAACAGGGGCTAGCACAGAGGCTGTGGAGGTCAATATCCTTTTGGAGGAGTTGGCCAGGGATGGCTTCTGGAGGAGGCAAAATGAAGCTTGTTCAGTTCTCAGCTCTTCAGAGCCTTCTCTGGTCACACTACCTGAGGTTCCCCACGGAGCTGTTCTGTGTCACAGCTCTGAATTTCATTTTCTTCTGAGAACTTTCCCACATGAGAGTATTTCTTTCCTTCATCAATTCATTCAACAAAAATGATGCTCCCGCTGGGTGCAGTGGCTCACGCCTGTAATCCCAGCACTTTGGGAGGCCGAGATGGGCGGATCACAAGGTCAGGAGATGGAGACCATCCTGGCTAACATGGTGAAAGCCCGTCTCTACTAAAAATACAAAAAATTAGCTGGGCATGGTGGCGGGCACCTGTAGTCCCAGCTACTCGGGAGGCTGAGGCAGGAGAATGGCGTGAACCCAGGAGGAGCTTGCAGTGAGCCGAGATCGAGCCACTGCACTCCAGCCTGGGCGACAGAGCGAGACTCTCTGTCTCAAAAGAAAAGAAAAAAAAAATGCTCCCAGTACAGGGCTCCCAGCAGCTCCAAACACTTACTGAAAGCTTTGGCTATGGTTTATGCTGCTGAAGTTTTCTTCTAAGCATCAATGAAGAAAACGGAGGGACCAAACACAGGTGGAAAGTCTCTATAATCTCACCCTGGGGGACCCGCCGTTAGAGACCACCTTAAACACAAACACCCTTTCTTGATCCGTGGCAGCACCAATGGTGGCGGTGGCCTCTCTCTTAATTTAATTTACAAGCGTGTACACGGCACTGGCTATGTTCCTGGCAATGTGCTAAGCACTTTACTTGTAGTATCTCAAACCTCAAAACTACCCAAGGAGGTAGAAACCATTACTGTGCCCAGTTTACAGATAAACTGAGGCAACGAGGGATTTAAGTAACTTTTCCAAGGTCACAAAGATAATAAACGGTGGAGCCAGGATGTGGACACCTCTAGAGCCCTCACTGACAGCAGTGTCTGGTATACAGCAGGACTCCATATCCCTTAGAGATTATTGCTGTGGCCGAGATCTAAGCTGATCTCCTTCTGTATCCAGCAGGGGGCGACAAAGCACCTGGCTGACTGTGCACCTGCCCCAGGTATGGTTGATTTGGCTTAAAGAGGAACAGTACCTGCTGAAGAGGTATCCTTCTCACTTCTTAATCCAGGCAGAGGGAGCTAAATGGGGAGAAAAATTCTGGGCTAGCATGACTCTGCCAAAGAAGAACTTTCTGCAATGGGTCCCATTGAAACAGTCATGAAACCGTTATTCACACTAGGTTCCAGGTTTTGGAATGAATCCTTGGAGGAGCTCCCAGTCAGGTGAAGGATTAAATTACCTGAACATTATTAGGCCCACAGAAATCCAAACAAGTTAAAAATAAACCGTTCTGGATCACGAAGCTAGTAGGTCTCAGAGTTGGGATTCAAACTCAGACCTATCTGACCCAAAAGTCTGAACTCTTTTTACCAAACCATGGTCCTCATGTTGATGAAAGCCCTGTCCTGGGTGCTGGAGACAGAGATGAAGGATACAGCGTTTTTCCCACAAGGAGATTATGTCCTGATGGAGGAGGGAGGGGAGTGAGGCCATACAACATTTGGGGTGGGAAGGGCTCTGCCAAGATCAGCACAAGAAGGGTGAGAGCACAGAGGAAGAGATGCATTAAAAGGTGGTCCCTTTGAAGATCATATCTATTGTGTTTACTGCTGTACCCCAGCAGTGAACCCAGCCCAGGGCCCAGCACAGTTTAATCCTCAACGAATGTTTGATGACTGAATGAATGAGGAAGACACCAAGTGCCTAGGATAGGAGTAATGTAGATCAAGGAAGGCTTTTCAGATGAGTTGACATTTGGGTGGGATTTGGAGGATAAGTTAGAAGTTTACCAGGTAGAAAAGAGCTAAAGGCATTCTAGACATATGCAAAGGAAAACAGGCTGCAGTAGTAGTCTCTCAACTTTTTAAAAAATCCTAACCCAAAATGTATACACATACACATCCAATACACACACACACACACACACACACACACACACACACGCACACACACAGTTGGAACCTTATGCATAATGCCCTCTGTTATTTTCTGATCTATTTCTTTTTGTAAATGCTAGTGGCAACCCACTAATTTGTTGTGATATGTGCACAAGTGTTTGGGGAAAGTGGAGGCTGTAAAGGTAATTTTGAGCTAGACCATAAAGATCTCTGGATGTTAGGCTGGTAAGATGGAACCCTTTTTAGTTCTGCCTCTCCTTCCTTCCCTGTGAAGCCAAACACTACAAATTCCTTTTCCTTCTCTCACTGTCTGATGAACTCCCTGCCTCTCAGGCTTGTCTTTGTCACCTTTAGTCCCTCCATTTCCCCAGCTGGTTCTTTAAATCATGCTGAATTCCTGGGGCTCTGCACTGGGCCTTCCCCACTCATCCTTCTTGGTCTCCCAGGGTGTCCTCTCCTTGCCTTGATTTGAATGTCTGCCCACTTCTAGCTGGGGATATCCAACCTAGAAGTGACAGCCCCAAGCCTCTCCCCGAGCACCAGTCACCCTTCAGTGACCTACAGACACTTCAGACTCAGCATGTCCAAAACCAAGTTTCACTCCCTGAGACCTCCTGCTCCCAGGGTCCCCAGTCTGTATTTTTCTCACCAGCCACACTCTCACAGGACAGGACACTGTCCTGGAGGCCTTCCTTATCCTGTCTACCCTGCCTTCAAACTCGGTCTCAAATCCACCCCCTTCTCTCCCCACCATCTGTCCAGGGTAAGCCTTCTCTCCCACAGGTAACTGTTGAGACCTCCTGACTTGCCCTCCTCTCTTGCTCCCTCCTCTGTTGGCTCCCATGACAGCCACCATGAACCTTCTGAAACAAAAACCTGATCATGTAACACTGCTACCCCCCTTAATATGCCCTGTGTCCCTAGACTCCCCATTGAGCCTCTTCCCTGCATATCTCCTTCCCTCTAACGCCCCAATATCCAGGCACCTTGAACCTCCGTGGCCCTGTTTCCTCTGGTTTCAAAAACTCACTTGCTTAATACCAACTCACTCTTTTAGGATCCCATTTTAGGAACACTTCCTCTAGGAAGCCTTCCCTGATCCTCTGAGACTGGCTGAGGAGCTCCTCTGTGTTCCAACAGCCCACTGTGCACCACACATCTTGGTGCCTAACACCTTTTTTCCTATTGGAGTGTCCCAAGTCCTTCCCCCTCCTCCATTAGATGGGCAGCCTAATGGGGCTGGGGGGTGGGTTAAGAGCAGATGCTGAAGTCAGTATTTTCTAGGTTCGAAGCTCAGCTCAGCCATGGACTGGCTGTGGGAATTTGATACTTTATTTAATCCCTCCCTGATTCACTTTCCTCATTCTATCAAATAATGATGGCTGTGATAATGATATCAACAAGTGGAGTACCTACCCCTTGGCATTTTCAGGGGATTCAGTGAGTTGATATGCTGAGGCTGTAAATGACAGTGCCTGGCATGTAATAGTGCTACCTATGTGTTTGATCATGAAATCGGTCCTCAGATGGGTTGCTCCAGGAGGGGCAGAGACTGGATTTATTTGATATACTGATCTGTCTTGGCCATATTCTTCCCTGCTGTGTTCCTCCTCTTCTTCCTCCTCCTCCTCTCTCATCTTCCGATGTACCCAGCACCTGCATGGGCTATTGGTATGTGCCTAGCACCTGGCCTGACATCCGGTCACAAGTACACCCCAGCATTCATGACATGAGTGAAACTTTGGTCTAGGAATGATGGTGAATGCAGAAAATAAAGGTCATATTTGGAGATTCTTTGGAGGTAGACTGCTCAGGGCTTGTGCTGACTTCATCTGAGGGTGGAAGAGGAGGAAGAGGAGGAGGAACAATGCAGGAGGGAAGAACATGGTCAGGACAGACCTTGTGATTTCCTTTACCAAACTCTTAGCTCCTCCAACCATCTCCAGATCATTACAAGCCACCTCCATTCACCCAAATACTCCAGCCAACATCGGGGTCACCTATCATTCCTCTTTCTCTTTCTCTACCCACCCCCACCGAATCCTTTCAAGTCCTGTCTGTGCAAGACACAGGCCCCGTATCCTGGGTCCTTTTCTCCTCTCTGCACCCCACTTCTACCCTTATTGTCCTAGTTACAACTGCTGTGTAACAAGCATCCCCTCCAAACTTAGTGGCAAAATAATCATTATATTCACAAGTTATAGGGCTCAGGAAGTTGGGCAGGGTACACTGGGGATACTACACGGCCACTGTCCACCATGCTTTAGCTTGGCAGACACAAAGCCAGCATGACATAATGGTGGAGGTACCTTCACCCACATTTCTGGCACCTGGGCAAGGTGACTCCAGTGCTGAACTCACCTGGGACTGTGGGCTGGAGCAAGCACAGGTGGCCTCTGCCTATGCCTGGGCTTCCTCACAGCATGGTGGCCTCTAGGCCTCTTCCATGGTGGCTCAGGGCCCCAGCACTGGTGCGCCAGCCAACAAAACAAAGACTGCATTGTCTTTTATCGCGAAGACTTGTAATTTTTGAGCATCACTTCTGCTACATCTTATTGGTGGAAGCCATCACAAGCCCACCCAGATTCACGCAGGCAGAGCACAGAGAACCCACTTCTTCATGGGAGGAGTGTCAAATAATTTTGTGGTCATGTTCTAAGAGCACCACCCTAACCCAAACTACCAATGTCTCACCTGGACCCCTACTGTCATCTCCTCTCTGGTCTGCTTGATGGCGCACTTTACTCACCTGTCCCCATTCCCACAGTGTGTTCCCTTAGGACAGCCACGGGGAGCTTTTGAACACACAAATCAGATCAGTCACCCCCTTCTTCATCCCTCCAATGTCCCCAGCTGAACACACCACTGAAATCCAAGCTCCTTGACGTGCCCACACAGCTTTGTGGATCTGTGTATCCCCATCTCCCTTCAAGCTCAGGCCTTCTCTCTCTCTCTATTGCAGCCCACCATCTCCTCCCTGGGGCTCATGCCCACCTCTGAGCTTTTGCACCTGCTGGTCCCCTTCCTGCAGTGCTGGACCCCTGATGCTGTGTCCTTCAGGCCTCACCTCAAATGCCACCTCCTCAGATCTAAAATTAACCCTCCAACACCCAGTATTCCCTCTCCCATCACCCTGCTTAATGGTCTACTATCTGCAACTCTGTTCTTGTTCACTTATCATCTGTCTCCTTCCTGGCCCCAAGAAGAAAGACTGTTGCCTTTCTTCTTCCTTGTGTCCACGGTGCCCACTATCGTGGTTGGCACAGAATATGGAATATGAATGAATACCTGAATGGTGGCTTTCGGGTGTGTGTGTGTGTGTGTGTGTGTGTAATTTAGAAAGGCAATCTTGAAGGATAGTCAGGACTGGGTGCAGGAGGTTACTACAGTTGGGCATACTTTGTTTCCCATATGGTTGTGCCACTCGCTAGCTGGTGACTCTGGGCAAACACCTTCACCTCCTTGAGCCTCAGTGTCTTCAGCTGAAACCTGAGTTCAGATTTGCCAGACCTGGGCATAGGGACAGCAGGTCCAGCAGGAACACCAAGCCAGGACCACAGCCACTCCCAGGGAGCTCAGTCCCTGGAGCCCGAGAGGAACACTCTCCGGAGGCGCAGGCGCAGCCGCTCCTAGAGACTGGGCAACCCCCAGGTGGCAGGCGGGACCGGTCCGTGCAAACAGGGAACAGGTACCCGGAGGATGGACATTCGCTGGCAAAAACATAAACTGCCGCTCGGAGTCTTGGCACCACCCAATTTCCAGGGACGGTTAGACTCCCCCTAGCTCACTGGATGAGGTGTACACCAAAGAAGGGTGTTAGCCCCCTCGGGTCGGCCAGGGCACTCAAAGCATTCTGTTCCCGGGAGCGAGGCCGAGGTGCACCACCCGCCGCGTCCGCCTGGTGACGCCGCGAGCGCGCTCTGAGCGGCCAGCTGCGCCCCTCACGCTCCCGCGGCTCAGGCGCCCCACTGCTGTTCCGCGCGGGGCAACTGGGCCTCAGCCCGACTCAGTCTGTCGGCTAACAGCAGGATCCCAGAGGAGGCTGCCCAACCTGGGCACCCCCTGCCGCCACTCTCGAATAGGTGGGAGTAGGGAAGAAATACACTGAGCCAGTCAGCCCGTCGCTCCGCGAAAGGGGGCGCCCTCCCCTGAAGCTGGGGTTGGGGAACTGGGGTGTGCCCTGTCAGCCCCAGCTCCCTGTTCCGGGCTGGAGGGAGCAGGGCAGCAGACCAAGGCACTAGGCCTCTCGGCCGAGTCTGGTCCACTCCACCCGAGGGCAGCCTCTGGACGCCCACTCGCCCTGCAATCTGCAAGTTAGTGACGGGTGGGGGGCGAGCGGGCTCCTACCGCCTCCAACCGGGCTGTGCTCCCCAGCCTGCCACCTGCACCCCGGAGCAGGGAGGGGGCCCCCGGGAGCGCGCATGGAAAGGCGCGAGCGCGCGCCTTGTGCAGGCGGCCCTGTCCCGCGGGCGCAGGGGCGCTGGGCGGGCGCTCCGGGGAGGCGGGCGGGGGAGGGGGCGGGGGAGGGACGGGGGAAAGGAGGGAGGGGCGGGGGCTGGAGGCAGCAGCGCCCCCGCACTCCCCGCGTCTCGCACACTTGCACCGGTCGCTCGCGCGCAGCCCGGCGTCGCCCCACGCCGCGCTCGCTCCTCCCTCCCTCCTCCCGCTCCGTGGCTCCCGTGCTCCTGGCGAGGCTCAGGCGCGGAGCGCGCGGACGGGCGCACCGACAGACGGCCCCGGGGACGCCTCGGCTCGCGCCTCCCGGGCGGGCTATGTTGATTGCCCCGCCGGGGCCGGCCCGCGGGATCAGCACAGCCCGGCCCGCGGCCCCGGCGGCCAATCGGGACTATGAACCGGAAAGCGCGGCGCTGCCTGGGCCACCTCTTTCTCAGCCTGGGCATGGTCTACCTCCGGATCGGGTAAGGGCTGCCTGCGCCCTTTCCGCGCGTGTTTCGACAAAGTTGGCACGGCCCGGGGAGGGAGGTGTGCCGCCTGCGAGCCTCTGCCGGCCAACTTCCACAGCTTCTCTGAGAGGCCGGGTGGGTGCGGTGTGGGAGCGGTGGACGCACAAAGGCCCCCCGCAGGACACCCCAGGAGATATAGGCAGGGGGACTGGCCATCCTGAGGACGTCTGAGTCTGGAATCCCCCAGGACCAGAGACAGCCGGTAGGGACGCTCCAGCCTGAGGGACTCTGGGGGAGGGCTAGCTGCTGCAAAGGTTCAGCCCATCCCGGGGACCCTTCGGACCCGGGCATAGGGACAGCAGGTCTAGCAGGAACATCAAGCCAGGACCACAGCCAATCTCGGGGAGCTCAGTCCCCGGAGCCCGAGACGAACTCTCTCAGGAGGCGCGGCACAGCCGTTCCTAGAGACTGGGCAGTCCCCAGGTGGCTGGCGGGGCCGGTCCGTGCAAACAGGGAACAGGTACCCAGGAGGAAGGACATTCGCTGGCAAAAACATAAACCGCCGCTCGGAGCCTTGGCACCACCCAATTTCCAGGGGCCCTTAGACTCCCAGAGCCCCTTCCCGGGCCAAGGGGACAGCACGTCCCACCCCCAACAAACACACACAAAGGTGGGACGAGAGGCGGTCTGAGACACAGAGGGAGACAAGCGCTAGAGAGAGGCGGGACACCCCGCCCCCTGGAACTGGGCAGCAGAGGCGGCCGGGCGCGCGAGCAGCCCTCCGGCTTCACCTAGCGTTTCTGTGGAGGTGGGGCTCGGGGGCGCTCTGGCTGGAAGGTGGGAGGGGGCAGCTCGGGACGCGTCCTGGAGCTGCTTGTGCAAAGCCGGTCACCCTTTGTACTTAAGACAACGCGTGTGAGGCTCGGAGCGGTGTGGGGGCGGGGGGATCTGGGCATGGATAGAGGTTCTGGCGCTGAAGGGCCCGCTTGGTAGGTCTCACACACCCTGCCCCTCCAGCCCCCAGCAGTGAACCCATTACCATCCCTTTTGAGGAGGGGTGGACCGCAGGGGCTGCGGCGAGGGGATGTGCGTGGCAGACCCTTTGTGTTTTGTCACTACTACCCCCCTACCCCGTCACTTCCCCAGTCCACGTCTCTGGAGCGGGGATTTCGCAAGTTGTCCGGCCGCGGCCGCTAGCAGGTGCGTGCAGAGCCGACCAGGGGCCGCCAGCCCGACCAGCGGCGGAGAGGCGGCTGCGGGGCTCGCGCCAGTACCGCCAGCCTGCCGGTGTGTTTTAAGTGTTATTGATTCGCCCGCGTCTGGGTGGCTTTCCTTTTTTTCCCCTGCTTTAATCTTCATCTTGGCCCGCGCCCCGCCGCCCCGCGCACATTCAGCATCCAGGAAGCCAGTAGGGCCGATTGGCTCGAGCCGATTGACTCGGGCCGCGTGCGGCTTTATCTCCTTTTTAATTAGAAACGGGGAGGAGGGACACGGGTGGCGGGGGAGACAGAAAGGGAAAACAGCAGAAAATAACCTCCCCTGGCCGCCCCGCCCGCCCGCGGGCCGCCCTCCCGCCGGCGCCGCGGCCTCCCCGGATTGGCCCTGCGGGGGCCCAGCTGCCCGGCAGGGAGGGAGGGAGGGAGTCCTGCAGGGCGCTGGCTTTCCGCCCCAAGCTGCCCTCTGGGGTAGGGAGAGGTCCAGGTCGGAGAGGTGGGAGTTGCAGGTGACTTCGGGCCAGGCCCTGCTGCTCCCTGCGCCTCGGGCTACTCATCTGTATAGTGGACATGAGGGGTGAAGTCTCAACGTCCCTAAAAGGTTTTTCCATTTCCCCAGACGTGACGGCTCTACCCGCTTCTGGCTGATGGTGGGGCATCTGCGGTATTCTTATTTTGCTCGGATAGTTCAGGTGACTCCGCACTAGCCTATTGCAACAATCAGATCCGATAACGATAATGATAATTACAACACCACCACCACATTTATGGGGCACTCACTATGTGCCTGGCACCTTCTAAGCACTTTCCATGTTCTAGCACATTTGATTTTCACAGCAGCCAATGAGGTGGGGACTAGTTATCAATACCCTAATTTAGCCATGGAGAAACTGAAGTGCAGAGGGAAGGAAACTTGCCTAAGATCGCACAACTAATAAGTGAAGGAAGCTTGGATGAGAACCTAGGCCAGACCCTTAGGGGCTAGTCTATTGCACCTATGAATTTTTGGCCCCAGTATGCCAACCTATCCACTCTCAGCTGGTGTAGAAATTTCCTGGTGGCCAGCTAGGTGCTCAGAGGGTCCTCCTGACAAATGATGCCAAAACGTCTCCACTTAATCTTCTCATGCTGCTTCTTCCTCAGACATTCCCAGCATTCTAGTGTGTGTTAGACTCGGGTTTAGCGCTGAGATGCCAGTGCAAAGCCAGGCTGTCCCACCTCCAACACCTGCTAGCTGAGAACCTTCCTCCAGGTCCCAACCTCTGTGAGCCTCAATTTTCAAATATGTGAAACGGATGTGATGATTCTTGCCCCACAGGGCTGTGTGGAAAGGTCACATGAGCTGCTGTTTGTGGCAGCACCCACCATACTGCCTTGGCACATAGTAGGGACACTGCCCAAGTTTACTGATGCATTTGATGCATATTTGGGGGGCACCTGCCATGTAATAGGTACTCACCCGGAGCCACATCTTTGAAGTGCCACAATCCATTTATTCAGCAGTCATTTAGTGAACCAGCAGACAGCCTCCCTGCCCTCAGGGAGCTCATCCTCTCAGGAGGAAGACAAGTGATCAAGTGAGCATGCAAATTAAAAACACAGACATGAAAACATTTCAGTAGACCATGAGTAATCAAGAATATCCAGTAAACAAAACAGAGATTGTGATGGGAATTTATTAGGGGTAGGGAGGGGAGGGAGGAGCCCTTAGCTGGGCTGGTCAGGGAGGTGACCCTTGAGGTCATGTGAATAATGGCAAGAAGCCAAGCTTGTGAAGATCAGGGGTGAGAGCGCTTCCAGGGAGAGGAGGAGCAAGGACAGAGTGCCTACTGCAGGGAGAAGGCTGGCACGTGGCAGGAGCCTAGGGAAACGGCAGGAGTGATCAGTTGTGCGCTTGGAGGGCATGGGTCCATGTCACCTCCTTGAGTTATTGGTACAGGAGAACCTCACTCTAACAAATTGCAACTCCAGAAAACTGCCCACAGCTGAGCCCCAGGACGAGGCACTTGTCCAGTGGCTCTACCTGCAGCCCTACCACTGCCACCAAGCCAAGCCACCACCAACCCTAACCTGCCTAGTCCCTCTGCTCCTGCTCTGGCACCCCACAGGTCTTTCCTACATGGAGTGGGGACCACCAGGTCATGTCAGTGTCCTGCTTACACCCTTCAGTGCTTCCTGGTGCTGCCTGATGCACCTGAGAAAATGCCAGCCCTCAGCCATCTCCTCTTCCCAGGATCTCCCTGCATCTCAAGCCCTGGCTTTGTAGCAGTTTCCATGGGTTCTTTCTATTCCTTGAAGACCCCGAACTTGTCTCCTAGAACTTTGCATTTTCTGTTCCCTCTGCATAGAATACCCTTCTCCAGATCTTCCCACAGATGCCTCCTGGCAATTCAGATCTCTGTTCTGTTCTAATGTCAACTCCTCAAGGAAGTCCTCTTGATCACCTCAGCTAAAGTGGCCCTCACTTTCCTCACCACCCCCACACCCCAGTTGCCATCCCAGCATCTTCCTTTACTTTCTTCATAGTACATATCACTGTCGAGATGGCCTGTTTTATTCATTTGTGACATCTGTGTTGTCACCCTCCCTAGTTCCTTGAGGGCAGGGCATTGCCTGTCAGGTGCACAGCTGTCTCCTAGCATGGTACGTGGCACATGATGGGTATCCGATATATATCAGTGAATAGTTGAGGAAGATAGGAATTCTCCTCATAATAGTCGCACACATCCTCTAGGCCAGTCATGCCCGGAGTGGGATACATGTACTCCATTGACAGCAGGAAGAAAATGCCAGGACTTCTACTTACAATTACTTTTTAAGTTTTTTTTCCAACAATAAAACATATACATACATGAGAGTATATGTTACATATACATTAAAAAACAGATTTTTTTAATGAACATCTGTGCACCCATCACTCCTTCAAAGGCACCTGCTGCATGAAACTTTGAAGTCATCATTTCCTTGCTTGCCTTTACAATTTTACCAAAGAGATGATTCCCTAGCAATATAGAGCTTCTTTTGCATGTTTTTGAACTTCATCTCAATTGCATCCTACCATAAACTCAAAGGCAACTTGCCTTTTTTACTCCATGTAATGTTTGTGACATACATCATCTTTTTTTGTTTCTAAAACAAAAATCAAGTGTGTGTATGTTTCACTGATATTGGGTATACGCATTGATTCAAGAGCCTATGTAGAAATTATAGGGTTTCTATTCGAATGGACATGAGTTAGGGGTGCAGGATCAAAAAAGTTGGGAGACCACTGCTGGGGGCAGTGGGGTGGCCAGTGCTGGACACCTACGAAGGGTTCCCAGGCCATGCCCCCTTGCTGGCCTAATGCTCCATCTCTCTGTGTCTCTCCCTCCAGTGGCTTCTCCTCAGTGGTAGCTCTGGGCGCAAGCATCATCTGTAACAAGATCCCAGGCCTGGCTCCCAGACAGCGGGCGATCTGCCAGAGCCGGCCCGACGCCATCATCGTCATAGGAGAAGGCTCACAAATGGGCCTGGACGAGTGTCAGTTTCAGTTCCGCAATGGCCGCTGGAACTGCTCTGCACTGGGAGAGCGCACCGTCTTCGGGAAGGAGCTCAAAGTGGGTATGTGCTCACCCAAACACCCCCGCAGAGTCTTACCGGCTCTAGGGACACCAGAATACCCTCAGGTGCCCTCTGGAACTCCCTCACCTGCCCCTGCTAGAATATCCCTCAGTATGGGGTCCTGCAGGTGCATTGACTTGCATTCAGGACTCTCAGTGAGGGTCAGGTCTCTGGTTGAATCCATACCCCCTCAATCGTTTATTGACAGAGGTGCAAACCAGCAACCAGTGACCCAAATGTTAACCTCTGATACAGTGCTGGTGTTGTGTTTTGAATTGAAGCCCAAATTTTAAAATTTGTTGTTTCACCTAAAATATAGGAATTTCTGGTTTCTTTTGAAAAGTTGGCAGATCTACTCTTAATTTACATGTGTGCCCATGTGGTTGCAAAGACCTTAAACTGAGAACACAACTCCCTTTAGTTGCAGCAGTGAATGGGCAACCCATTCACTGCCGCAGTCCCCACCACTCCCTACTGCTGCCCGTCCTGTGCATTCCTGTGACATGATCCGCTTGACTCCTGTGGGCTTTTGACTTTGCAACTGTTTTATGGGAATGGCGTGTGCAGACACATACATACACACAGAGTTTTGAGCCACACATTTGACTTCTGAAGCAACTATAACAAAAGTCTGGTGGAAAAGGGTCAGAGAGAGCAATGCTGGTCTCCAGGAGGCCCTGGTCAGTGGCAGGAGGCCGTGCTGTGTGTCTTCTGGCTTGTGTGCGTGTGCATTAGGGGACCAGAAACTGCCACAGGCTGGCTTCTGCACTGTGAACTTCCCTGAAAGCCAGGTCAGCCTTGGATATCTTTGGGTATCCTGCCGCCTCCTCCTCAGGTCACACTGCTGTCACATCTGGGCTCCCAGGCTGTCCCACGCTCCCCCATCTCATTGCCCTGTTGCTCCTGGCCATCCTGCAGTCCCTTCTGCACCCAGCAGGCAGGATCATCCTTTTACATGGAAATCAGATCATGTCACTGCGCTGCTTAAACCCCTCTGGAGGCTTTCTTGCATCAGAATGAAATCCCCACTGCTCATCTAGCTGCTGCTGACCTCTGCTGCCATCTTCCCCCTTCACCTTGCTCACTCAGCCTTGTCCTTTTTCCCAAACACACCACACTGGACACCAGCTATTTCTTCTGCCTTAGCTCCTTTCCTCAGCCCCATGCCCCTGACCCTGTCCAGGTCTTCTAGACCTTTTCGACCTTGTCGAAAGTCCCCTCTCACCTCAAAGCTCCATCCCATCAGCCAAGCACTTCACACTGTCTCAATCCATTCCGAACTGGTTTGCAATGTCAGCTTCATGAGGGCAGGGGCTCTACTCCCATGCTTACCACTGAACGCTTTCTTCCCCTTGCCTTTTGGAAGGAAGCACAGCCTTACCCATCCCTGCAGCAGGCCTGGTTTTGTCACCATATTCTGTGAGTGCCTTCTTATTTGCACCTTACAGAACTGTAGACAGGATCTCAGTATGGGGTCCTGCAGGTGCATTGACTTGCATTCAGGAATCCCAGTGAGGGCCAGGTCTCTAGTTGAATCCATACCATCCCAATAGTTTATCGACAGAGGTGCAAACCAGCAACCAGTGACCCAAATGACACCTGGTGACAAATGTCACCAGGTGACATTTGGGCCACTGGTGAAGTTGGCAGAGGATCTTTCCAGAGGCAAACCTTTTCCAGGGTCTTTGTTGTGTAGACTTTTGCCTTGCACCGTCTGCCCTGCTTTTCCCTCTTCCCAAGCCCAGGGCTCACTTTTTAGTTGGAAACAGAGGCCCAGAGAGAGAATGGGACTGTCCCGGGTCACATAGTGAGTGGCATCAACACTGAGACTCCAGTTTAGGTTGCTTAATCTGTCTTGTGAGCCTCCCCTTGCTTGTCGCTTGTGGTTTTTGTGCTTTCTTCTACTCAGATAACACACACAGACACACACACACACAAAATTCCTGGGACCCAGGCATGGGCTCCAGCATTGTTTTAAATTTGTGGCTTCTGATATATAAGATGTTATAGATGAGGAAACTGAGGCTCATAAGGGACTTGCTCGAAGTCAAGTCAAATGAGTGGCAGGGCCTCTCAGGACTGGGTTCATTCCCGTATAATTTTCAGTCTCAGAACAGTCAGTATATCAACTGGCATTGGAATAGTCCCCACAGAGGTCTGGGGTGGAGCAGGAGGGCTGCAGTGCAGGGCAGTGCCTGGACAAGGATCCTCTCCTGTTGAGCAGCCCCCAGCTGGCCATGGTTGTAGAAGAGAGGCTGAGGAGGAATACTGCCAGCGCACACCAGGGAGGAGCAGAGGCCAGTGGCAAGAGGCATTCTAGTGGGCTTGGCAGGCAGAGGTGGCTGGGGGAATTCCAGCAAAGAGAGGTGCCCAAGAAAATCCTTGGGACAGCGATGCAGGGCAGTTGGTCGGAGGAGCCTGGAAGGAAATAGGAGCTGGAGCCAGGAGGTATACAGGGTCAATTTAACAAGTTTGAATTTCTGAGTGGGAGTCGTTGGAGGATTTTGAGTGTGGGAGTGACTGCCAGAGGATAGGTTGAACTTATGAAATTGCCACTATGAAATGATTTTTGGCCCACAGAAGTGGCAACATAATATATGTTGATATACATATATTATGCATTGACTTGCATTCAGGACTCCCAACGAGGGTCAGGTCTCTGGTTGAATCCATAGCCCCTAATAGGAATAGGAATCCATTCAACCTTATAGGAATTTTAGAAGATTCATGAAAGAGTGAGTATAAGTTCATTGATTATAATACTTGTTGATTTATTCATGCATTCACCAAGTTATTTGGTGTCCACTGTGGCTGGAGGCTCCTGTTCCAGTGTGTGTGTCCAGGGAATGGCTCTGGATTTGTGAGGGAGGTGAGCTATGGGCATGTCTGGGGAAAGAGCATGTCGGGCAAAGGGAACAGTAGATGCAAAGGCCCTGAGGTGGAACGTGCTTGGGGGTGGCTTAAGGAACAGCGAGGGGCTGGGGTGGCTGGAGTAGAGTGAGGAAGGCTGAAGGGGAAGTGCCAGGAGCTGGGTGGTGCAGCATCCCTCAGGCCAGGGCAGGGGGTCTGGATTTCCCTTCATGGGAATGGAGACCTTCTGGAGGGGAGACAATAAGGGAGGGACAGTATCCGACTTTGGGTTTAGCAGCATCACTCTGGCTGCTGGCAAAAGCATGAACTGCAGGGTAGGGTGGCAGTGGGGGTCTGGAGTCTGGTCGAGTCTTCCAGGAAGGAGGTGATGGTGGCTCAGCCTCAGTGATAGCCATGGAGACCTGCTTTGAAATCCACCAGCCAGGAAGGAGGGAGAGTGACAAACTAAGGGCCAGCTAGGAAGAAGGGAGGGTGACAAACTAAGGGCCAGCTAGGAAGGAGGGATGGTGACAACCTAAAGGCCAGCCAGGAGGGAGGGAGGGTGACAACCTAAAGGCCTGCTAGGAAGGAGGGAGTCACTCTGGTCTAGACTTCTAGGGTAGTGGCAGTGGGAAGAGGAAGATGAGTCAAGATGAGAGCCCTGAGAGTCTGAAATGCCCCTGAGCTTAGGTTTCCTCATATATAGACAGGTGTCCTGCTCCAGGACATCAAGAAGCAAGCATGACATTTAGGGTCACTGCGCTCCTCCTCAGTGCTCTCACCCCCATGGGGTTGCCACTTTCTGGGAATGACCAGCTAACAAGGGCTGTCTTGCAGGGGTAAAAATCTGGCCTTTGGAGCTGTGGCCATTAAGTCCTGACTTTGAGCACCAGGACCCATTGTCTGCCTTTAAAGAGAAACTTTCCAAAGCTCCACCCCATACTTCTGCTTACATATCATTGGCCAGAACTTAGTCACATGGCCACATCTAGCTGCAAGGGAAGCTGGGAAGCGTAATCTTGTATTCAGAGTGGACATGAGACCAGCTGGACTCTGTGACTGAAGAGGAAGAGTTCTTCATCGCATGCCTGGCTCCCTTCTGAGTATTCAGTTTTCCTGCATAGAGCTGAGAGGCAGCAATGGGCAGGTACCAGGCAAGGTCCCCTTGCATGCTAGAAATTGAACCCCAATTCAAGCCACCTCTGGTGAAAGGGGGACTTATGTATGCCTAAGGAACTGGAGAGCCAGGGCATGGTGCTGACTTTCGAAATGGACTGGACCAGAGGTAGCGTTGGCATCCGGCAACCCCAGGGCCACCTCTTGGGGCAGCGGGACGGCCTTTGCACCTGCAGTGCCACACCTTCCAGATTCAAGTACCCCCAGAAAGAGCATTGGCCTTTCTCTAGCAGCACTTGGAGAAGTTCTAAGATTCACTCGGATTGGACCAGCTAATGGGGCTTTACTTTTGGTTGTGTGCCCATCCCAAACTAATCACAGTGGCCAAGGGCAACAGTGCTTTTTCTGGCCCAGCCTGGTAGCCCCACCCAGACCATCTCTCAGGGGAGAGGAACTGCTCACGAGTGTACTAGTCTGCTAGGGCTGTCAGAAGAAAGCCCTGCAGACCAGGTAGCTTAAACAGCAGAAATGAATTGTCCAGTTTCAGAAGCTGGACGTCTGCCATCCAGGTGTCAGCAGGGCTGCTTTCTCAGAGGCCTCTCTCTTGGGCTTGCCACCTTCTCCCTGGGTTCTCACATGGCCTTTCCCCTTGTATATGTGCCCCAGGAATCTCTTGTGTCCTGGTCTCCTTTTTTATAAGGACACGAGTCATATAGGATTAGGGCCCACACTAACAGTCTCATTTTAACTTAATTATAATACTTCTTTAAAGTTCCTATCTCTAAATGCAGTCACACTCTGAGGTACTGACTCAGTTCACAGCAATGAGTGGCCAGAGTGCAGCATGGTTCAGGCTTTAGGGAGAAGGCAGAGGGAGTGTGGCGGGCTCTCAGAAGTGAGACCTCAGGATGGAGGGAGGAGTCTGGACAGTGGAGATGGCCCTTGATCTGGGACTTGGAGGGTGGGGAGAAATTTATCAGTGAGTGGGATTCCAGGCAGAGGAAACAACAGAGCAAAGGCATGGTCATGTGAGAGCTATGGTGGGAATGAGCAGGGGCCTGCAGCCTCAGGAGACGGTGGCTCAGAGAGTCCCCTGTGAGATGGCAGGCTAGCTGTCAAGACCCTTGAATGCCAGGGATTGTTTGAGTGGGGTGTGTGGCCCCACATCAGTTTGACCAACTGCTACCTTGGGCGGGGGGTGTCTAAGAAGGCCTTCACTTCCCTCTAGACTTTTCTTTCTTTCCTTCCTTCCTTCCTTTTTTTCTTTCTTTCTCTCCTTCTTTCTCTATCTTTCCCTTCCTCCCTCCCTCCCTCCTTCCCTCTTTCTTTCTACTTTTCTGTGTCTTTCTTTCCTTTCTTTCTCTTTCTCTCTTTCTTCCTCCCCTCCTTCCTTCCTTTCTCTCTCTCTCTTCATTCCTTCCTTCTTTTCTTTCTTTTTTCTTTCTTGCTCTCTTTCTCTTTCTCTCTCTCCCTTCCTCTCTCTTTCCCTCCCTCCCCTCTCTCCTCCCTTTCTTTCTTTCTGTCTTTCTTTCTTTTTCTTTTCTTTCTTCTTTTCTTTGTTTCTTTCTTTCCTTTCTCTTTCTCTCTTTCTTTCTCTCCCTTTCTCCCTTCCTTCCTTTCTCTCTTTTCCTTCCTTCCTTCCTCCCTCCCTCTCTCCCTCCCTCCCTCTTTCCCTCTTCCTCTCTTTCTTTCTTTCTCTCGTCCTTTCTTTTCTTTCTCCCTCTTTCTTTCTTTTCTTCCTCTCTCTCTCTCTCTCTCTTTTCTTTCTCTCTTTCTCCCTTCCTTCCTTGCTTCCTTCCTTCCATTCTCTCTTTTCCGTCCTTCCTTCTTTCCTTCCTTCCTTCTTTCTTTCATTCCTCCCTCCCTCTCTCTCCCTCTTTCTCTTTCTCTCTCCCTCTTTCTCTCTCTCACTTGCTTTCTCTCTCTCTTTCTCCCTTTCTCTCTCTCTCACTTTCTCTCTTTCTCTCTCTCTTTCTTTCTCTCTTTCTCTTTTTCTTTCTCTTTCTCTTTCTCCCTTCCTTCCTTCCATTCTCTCTCTTTTCCTTCCTTCCTTCTTTCCTTCCTTCCTTCTTTCCTTCCTTCCTCCCTCCCTCCTTCCTTCTCTCCCTCTGTCTCTTTCTCTCTCTCTCTCACTTTCTCTCTCTCTTTCTCTCTTTCTCTCTCTCTCTCTTTCTTTCTCTCTCTCTCCCTTCCTTCCTTCCTCCCTTCCCTTCCCTTCCCTTCCCTCCTTTCTTTCTTTCTCTTCTTTCTTTCTTTCTTTCTTTCTTTCTTTCTTTCTTTCTTTCTTTCTCTCTCTCTCTCCCCCTCTCTCCCACTCCCTCCCTCCTTTTTTTCTTTCTCCTCTCTCTTTCTTTCTTTCTCTCTCTCTCTCTTTCTTTCTTTCTTTCTCCCTCTCTCTCTCTCTCTCTCTCTCTCTCTCCCCCTTCTTCCCTTCCCTTCCCTTCCCTCCCTCCCACCTTTCTTTCTCTCTCTCTTTCTTTCTTTCTTTCTTTCGTTCTTTCCTTTTCTGACAGGGTCTCTCTCTGTCACCCAGGCTGTAGTGCAGCACTGCAAATATAGCTCACTGCAGCCTCCACCTCCTGGGCTCAAGCAATCCTTCCACTGGGATTACAGGCACACACCACCTCACCTGGCTAATTCTTTTCTGTTGTCTTATAGAGACGGGTCTCACTGTGTTGCCCAGGTTGGTCTCAAATTCCCAGCTTCAAGCAATCCTGCCTTGGCCTCCCAAAGCAATGGGATTACAGGTGTGAGCCACTGCACCTGGCCATTTTTTTCTTAAATAATATTGTGACCTTCCTCGAATTTACCCCCAACACAACTTGTCATCCACGTTTGTGAGCCTCCCTCATGTCTTCCCTGCCTCTCCCTCCCTGGCTACACTTTCCCTACCTTGAATCTTGAGTTTCCCATTCCCTTGCTTATTTATGTTTAATGTATCATATGGAGATCTTCCCCAAAAGTAAATGACTTCATTTTGGTTGGATTGAATTGCTATTGTGCCAAGCTCCTCCCCCGCTGGAAGCACAGCTCCAACACTGGGACTGGCCAGCTGCATGTCTGCCCAGTGAGTGGGTGAGAAAGACAATCTAACAGCATCCTGATTTGCACTTCCCTGAGAAGTGATGAGGTTGAAATATCTTCCTGTATTTACTGGCTGTGCATGTTCGCTCTTCCACGAGTTACCTCTTCATGCTTTTTCCCCATTTTTCTGTTGGGTTGTGGGTTCTCCCATTGGGTTTGGCCAGTGTGGTTGTAGTCACAGTGCAGGGAAACCAGGGTTAGACCAGGTAATGCCTAGGGATGAGTGGGTTCCTTGGGGTGAGTGGGCTCCTCAGGGTGAGTGGGCTGTGGGAGGCTTCACTCTATCTTGTATCTTTTCACTGAGGATCAGTGTGGACCAGGAGCCAAGATAGCCCTTTCTCATCCGTCACTTCATTGGGTCCTTGGCACCCTTGAAAGAAAGTGTGTCCACCTCCGTCTCATTCCTGGGAGACAGGCTTAGAGTCAGGCAGAGGCTGACCAAGATCATGTGGCTGTTTTGTGGCAGAGCTGAAATCAGTTGTGAGTCCCCCCTTGCTAGAGGGATTCTTCTGTTTGTGTGATCCTGCCAGAGATTCTCAAGTCTGCCATGTATTTGAGAACCCCTTGTCTTGCTGCAGGTGTGGGGCTGCCAAGTGAGTACTGAAATCAGAGTCACATGGCCGGGTTTGCATCCCAGCCCCACCCTTACCTTGCAGATGACTTTAAGTGAGTACTTCACCTTTCTGACAGTCTGCAGAATGGGGGAGCCACACACCCACCTTGCTAGGTGGTAGTGGCATTACATGATACGGGATGTAAGAGCCTGGCTCATTGTTATCCATTGGATGACATCCCCTGCCCGCTTCCAGGAGGCCTGTGTGCCCGTGTCATATGAACACAAGCTCAAGGAACCCGGGACCCATGCTCTAGATTTTCTTAGTGATTACCATCCTAAGCTGACCATTTTGACTCTACCTCCAAACTATATCCCCCAATCTGTCCAGTTTTCACCACCTTCACCACCACCTCCTGATTCAAACCGCCATCTTCAGATACTTGTTGCCTGGACAATGACATCAACCTCCAAATGCACTCCACCTCCTCCCTTTCATCCTGCAACCCACGCAGCCATCCAGCATGACATCTTCTCCGTGTTGCTCCGTGTGGCATCCTGCTGTGTAAAACCCTCCCGCGGTTTCCTGTTGTTCTGAGAATAAAACGCACACCCATCCCCTGCTCCTTTATGGACCTCTGCCAAAGTCCCTCCCACCTCAGGGCCTTTCCCTCACTGTTCCCTCTGCCTGGATGCTCTTTGCCAGCTTGGCTCGCTCCCTCTGTCTTTCTATCCTCTACTCACCTGTCAGCCCCTCGGAGAAGCCTTCATTACCCCCTCTCTAGTGTACACTGCCTGTCCTTGTCCGCTCTCACTGTGTAGCATTTTCTTTATGTCACTTTGTTACTCCAGGATGTATTCTCTGTAACTTGCTCATCTGTGCAGCGCTGTGTAGTGGTTCAGCCCTGAAGCTTACTGCTTGGTCATTTACCAACAGTGGGCCTTGACCAAACGGGAGTGATAATGGCACCATTCCCACAGGTGGCGAGAGGATGAGGTTAATTACTGCACTCAGAACTGTGCCTGGCACACAGGAAGTGCCCCATACATCGTAGCTGTGTTGTTATTATTGTCTGTCTTTCTGGCCAGAAGGCAGCTCTGTGAGGGAGCAGGGGCCTCTGACCCAGTGCCTGGCACATGGAGGGCACAGTCCCTGTGGAGGTGCTCAGTGGATGTAGGGACATCACAGGTACCAGAGCAGCCCCCTGCCCCAACTCCTCTCTGCAGCAGGAGATGGCACAGAGGGTACTTGGGAGATGCAGCTGAGTGATAGTGGGCAACCTGTCATATCCTGCATATGCAGGTCTCCACTCAAAGGCCACCTCCTCCAGGAGGTCTTCCTGGACCATCCTGTCCAAGACAGCACCCTCCACCCTTCCCTGACAGGGCACCCTGCACTGTTGTCTTTGCAGCACTTACCACTTTTGGAAGTGACTTTGTTTACTTTTGCAAGAACCCATCTGACATTAGTCTTCTCTGCCATCATGAGGCTCCATGGGGCCCAGATCTGCTGATCCTCTTCTCCCCAGACCGCCAGCATGTGTCCTGGGGCCTGGCACACAGTAGGTCCTCATGGAACACGTGAAGAAGTGTATGGCCCCCAGGCAGGCCAGCTCCTTTCTACCTTGTGTGGCCCCAGTTGCTCCGAGCCCTTGAGGACAGGCCTGGCCTTGTTTATCTTCCAAATGACGGGTCTGGGGAGCACCTCATGCACAGCAGGTGCTCCGTTTTCTCTGTTGCGTGAGTGACGGCTGTTTACTTCTCACCCCAAATAAAAAACTGCACGTTCATGTCTGCACATTTTCATTGAGCTCCATTCTAGCTGGGCAGCCTCACTCATCAAGATCTTTTTAATGTCAATTTGATCAACCATCCTGTTAGCTATCCTGTCCATCTCTGCATTGGCTCAAAATGGGATAAAAAATGTTGACTAGGTCTAGTGCCTAGGAAAGACCCCTGTGGCATGATTCAAGAGGAGCTGTGCCCGTTCCCAGGCTCCACCTGCCGCCTACTGCCAGCTGCCCCGGGGAGAAAAGGACATTCCCTTGGACAATAAAATGGGGGAACTCAGCATGTTATACTCCCTGCTCCTGGAGAGTCAGGGTGCCTGCCGGCATATTAAAGGTGCTGAAATGTCCTGTAGATAAGACAGCAGCTTGAGCTGACTCAATCTAGAGGGTCCACTCATTTCCATCCTTGGACTCACTGACTGCCCAGTGGAGCTGCTCTTAGGGGCACACACACTGGGGAATATCACCCTGGAGACCCTCACAGCTTGACCATACTCAGAATGTGGTTTATAGGTCAACTTGGAATCTACCAAAAAGTATATCCACCCACCACCAATTTCCATATCTTTCCCCAAGGGTACAGAAGAGGCACATCCTCGCTTCGGACATTGCCATGGGCAGCGAAATCCATTCTAATCCACATTACCATTGAAAGTCCCTTCAATCATGCATAAAATTCAGAATGCCTGAGTTTCCATACAAGTACAGGAAAGCATGCACATACATGTAAAATGTATATGCGACAACACAGTGTATAGAATGAAGAGTATATATCCACAATATAAGTATATAATATTTTAATTTTTTTCTGGTACATTTGGTTCAATTTATGGAAGTTAAATGTTCATGGGATAAGACTCCCCCACTTGTATGTCCACTCATTTATTCACGTCCTCATCCCACAGATATTTACTAGAATCTCTGCAGTAAATGCTGGGGTGCAGGCTCTGTCTGGGGCACTTGCTATCTGGTGGGGACAAACTGGGAAGTCAAGGCTGAAAAGTGCTCTGAGGATCTAGTGGAAGAGAAACAGGCACTGGGAGATGAGCACAGAAGCTGCCCACATGGGTCACCTGAAGTAGGGGCCGTCCACAACCCAGGAGGGGAAGGGGAGTGGCAGCAGGAAGGGCTTGGCTGGGCGACGCAGACAGGAGCCCTGGGATCCAGAGTGGCTTGGCACGAGGGACTGCAGGGCGTAGCGTAGGGAGGGTAGAAGAGGCTGGGGAAAGAGGTGGGACCAGGCATCCTGCAGGGTTTTGGGACCAGACTCAGGGGGTTTGCTTGGGAGGGAAGTTGTCAGAGGTATTTAATCAGAGGAGAGACAGGATGTAGGAAGATAATCAAATTCTTTGCACACACAGAACATTGCTATGTCTCCAGCATTATCATCGGCAAAGAAATGGTGATTTCCCGCCATGTGCTCCTGGGGATGGGTGCATTCTTTTCCACATGCTCACGACCTCCTGTTTGGTACCCCCCTGCCGGAATTTTTCCAGGGATGGGCACAAATGACCTAGGAGTCAACCCCTGGAGTCCACCCTCCTCTGTCTACAATCTGGGAAACTCTGATGCATTTCTGGGCTTCTGCCTCTGTAGAATTTGTCACCACTTCTCTTGGGCAGTCACTTGAGCAGCTCTCTCCTCTCCCCAAGGTGACTGCCTGGGCTGAGGGTCCCATGTCTGGGGATCCCCACACTCTGCAAAAAGGACTCCATCATTTTACCCATCTAGGGCTGTGAGAGTGCAACACATGTCTGGTGAGCTGGTGAATGCTTAGAAGGATGGATTTGAAGACCTTTCCAGTGAGAGAGACAGAAGCAAGGGGCGGGCCAGCTCCATTTTCTCTCTGCCATTTCTTAACAATACGCCATCTTGCCCAAGCAAAAGACCTATTCTTTCCTTATTCTTGCTTAGAATGCAGCTAACAAAGGACTTTTTGTCTCGTTTGCATTTTTTTTTTGCAAGCCTCAGTTCATCCTGGGTTTTAGCTCTCCTGACACTATTCTCTGAGATGACTCTTTTGTTATAATGTTCTCTTCCCAGCTTTCATGTGGTAGACAGGCAGGCAGGCAGGCGTGCGTGCGCATGCAACATGCAGACACACACACACATATACACATACACACACACACATATACACATACACACACACACACTTGCTTTCACATGCACATTCATTCATTCATTCAACTGTTGAGGCTTCACAGATAAATAATCCAGGTCCCCACAACCTAGTGGCGAGAGACTGATCATTCAATTCAATACAAAGTAAGGATGGACAGGGTGCTGGGCCACAGGTGGAGGGAGGGGACATCTGGGAGGCCCCTCAGAGTAGGGAACTTGGGAGCCATGGCTTGATGGATAAGGTGCTAACCAATAACGCATCTAGTAAGAGCTACTGTTTATCGATCCCTTACCAAGTGCGGGCTGAGCTTGTCATGTGCATTGGCTTATTTAATCCTCCCAACAACCCTGGGAGGTAGACATTTTGTATTCCCACTTTACAAATGAGGAAACTGAGGCCTTGAGAGGTGAGTTAGCTCATTCAAGGTCCCGCTGTCAGGAAGAGGGGGTCAGGATGTGAACCCAGATTTATCCACCTCCAGGGCTCTGTTTTAAAACTTCCTGGGCTACATTCACTGCCCCTTAGCAGGCAGATGGAATAAGAAAGACAATTGCAGGCTGAGGGAACAGCATGTGCAAAGGCGTGAAGCCAGGAAGGAGTAGATGCTGACCATTGGCAAGTGGTCAGCAGTGTGCTCTGGCCTTGCTCAGTGGGAAGAGAGACCCTTGGATGGAGAAAGACAGAGGCTGGGGCTTGCACACACCCCTCCCCAGTTTCCCGAGCTGTGGGCCTGTTACCTTACCAAGCTCCGCCCAGACACAGCTCCCTGCACCCCCAAATCTTCCAGTTATTCATTGAGAGGCTCCCTGGTTCCTCTTGGTGAGACAGCCCCATGTGGCATTCTGAGCCCAGAGGGGCTATGAACTGCCATGCCACGGGGCTGGCAAGCGCAACCTTTTTCCATCTGTATATTTTCCAAATCATATATTTCAGCTTGTGTCACTGCAGATTGCTTGCTCTCTGACCCATTGGCTTTAAATAGCAAAAGAAAAAAAAATACAATGCACTTTGTGGTTTCCAGTAAGATACCGTAAATACACCCAGATAATATTCCGGTGCAAACCATTTACAGTGGCTACACAGGGCGGTGGAATGGAATCTTTTGGGCAGGCTTGGACATCAGTTTATTTCCTCTGTACCCGCTGGGATCGTTATGGAGCTGGAACCACAGAGGGCGTCAGCTGGGCTCCCCATTTTCGTCTCAGTGATAATATGTATCGTTCTTTATCCAGCACCTTCTGGGAGCTCCATAGAGGCTTCATTCCACAGTGGTCTCATTTAATTTTCACAACTTGGCAATGTCCTCCTAAGGGTTCCCACTTCACAGATGGGGAAGCTGAGACTCAGAGAGGCAGAGTCCTTGCTTGGGGCTCCCCCAGTGAATGAGAAGTAGACAGGAGGGACTGACGGGTTTTGTCTTATCTGAGTTCTGAGCTGAAGTCACCTGGGATATCACAGGAGGGAAGGTCTCTTGGCTTCTGGATGAAAAGTTTACCTGGAGATGTGGATGGATTGAGAGGTAAGGAGGGCATGGGGGAGGTGAGGGAGCCAGGGGATCTTCTGGTCTTGCTGAGTCACTGGTGACCTTGAGCAAGTCTCCCATTCTCCTTGAAGCTATCATTCCAGTAGGAGCCCCCTGGCTTTGTTTCTGTGGCTCTAGGAATCTCTTCTCTGATTCTGGGGAGAGGAAGGGCTGGCAGAATCCACACCCGCCCACAGCCTCACCTCCTCCGGTGCCGCCCTGGCTCACCTGCTCCCGCCACTAGCTGACCACACCACACCAGGGCCATCACTCAGGCTACCCCTTGGCCTGATGCCTTCTTTGCCCCTAGAGAGCCTCATGACCTCCCCACTCAAGGCACCACCCCAGATATCCCCACTCCCATCACTGCCCTGTGTCACCTTCTTCAAAGTCCTCAGCTGCCACGGAGTGGCATGATCCTACTGCCTGTCCTTCTACGAAGGCAAAGCCATGTCTGAACTCCTCATCTGAGTTTCCTCATGCCCTAGAACAGTGCCTGGCACATAGTAGATGCTCAAGAAATATCTGATGAGTGAAGGAACAGACGGCTTGGTCAGGGAGGTGGAGGGGAAGGCAGGATTTGAGGGAGGTTCTTCCTCTGCTCCTGGGCAGGAGGGAGGGGCAGGTCCTTCACAGCAGACTGTCCCCACTGCCAGGGGTGGAGGATCTGATCCTGGAGGGCACACAGGCCATGGTGGCCAAGCCCAGGGTTCACTCACAGGCTCCACATGGATGATCTGGGCAAGAATGTAGGCCTGGAGTCAGTAGGACTGGAATGGTTTTCAAAACCTTGAGGCAAGGGAGTGGGTCAAACTCTGGGGCCAGCTGTACGAGTTTGAGTCCTTACAGGTTGTATCACATGGGCCTCAGTTTCTGCATCTGTAAAATGGAGATAATAGCAGCCCCCACCTCCCACGTTGTTGCCATATATTGTAGATCTATATTCAGTGCTTAGAACAGAGCCTGGTGAATAAGAAACATTTTGTATGTCTTTGCTCAGCTTTTTATGTACTATATGTCATTGGACATATGATCTCATCCCATTTCCACAGCAATAGAACAGACCACCCTTGCAGGTGTCTCCTAAGATAAATGAGGCATTTATCTTAGGCATTCGGGAAATTACCCACCTGAATGAAGGGGCTTCCCCGTACAGCTGAGAGAAGGGCTGTTCTCGGAGCAGTGAGCATGACCAGGGTCCAAGGGAGTTCTCTGGAGTGGTTAGGCACAGCAGGTGACCTCCAGATTTGCATCCTAACTCTTCCTGGGCAAGTCACCTCATCTCCCCAAGCCTCAGTTTCCCTATCTTACCTAGGATGAGTAAAGGAAGCAGACATGGATGGAGTCTGAGATTTATTTTAAGATTCCAGGAGGCTTTTCTGCTTTCTACCATCAAACCCTGTTCTCAGCTCAGCAAGCCATCCGATTTGAATGGTTTTGATAAATTATTTATTGATAAGTTTTAATTGATAACAACTGAATGCCATCTCGTTTTAGAAGTAAGTGCATTCTGACAAGAGTTGATGTCTTAAGCCAGAAGAATCTCTAACCATGGGGTTTCCATGCACTGGTGGGCCAGGAAGGGAGCTGGGGTGGGGCTGAGGAAGGACACAGACCAACTTGGGCCTTGAATTCCAGTTCTGGCCAGTTTCTAGCTGGGTGACCTCAGCAAATCACTCTAACTCAGAGCCTCCATTTCCTCAACTGTAAAACCATGGGGAATGACATCTACACTGGGGAATGTTGTGAAACACCTTCACAGAGGACCAAGCATGGGTCCGGAACCTAGGAGGTGCCCAACAAATGTTACCTTCTCTCTACTCTTTCCCATCTTCCTTAAAAAAAAAAACCCAAGTGTCTGGCTAACTCTGTGCTCATGCCTTGGGGCAGTCTTGATTTGATGAATGGGCTAGGAGATGGGCTATAAGGGGCTGGAGTTTATCACAGGTTCCACACCTGCCTGGTTAGATCCTCTTGGAGCCTCAGTTCCCCCATCTGTAAAGCAGAGAGGCTGTTATTACCTCCCTTGAGGGTTGCTTTCCTAGGGAATAGATGGGCATTCTCTTCTAACATGCTGAGCATGGAGTCTGGCAAACAAAAAGCACCCAAGAAAGACCATGTGGTTGAAGGCACACAGTCTGTGGAGACCAAGTCAGAGCTTTCTTTCATTCATTTATTCATTCCACTGCTATTTACTGGGTACCTACTCTGTGCCAGGCCCTGAGGACACAGCAAGGGCCATGACAAAGTGCTTATCTTCAAAGCAATTATATCCGAGAGGGACAGGGGTCATGGTGGTAGGGCTGGTATGGGGAACAGATAATCAGCAGCTAAGTCTAAAATGGCAGGGAGCAATAAGGGCCATGGATAAAACAGATGCAGGGCAAGTTCTTCTCTGTACCACCCAGTGGCACCTATAATTTCATCAATTATTATAATTATAATGCTCACTACTATTTGTTTAAGTACCTGCTAGGTGCCAGGTGATGTCTACCTCTTCCTACAGGGTAGGTGCTAATAACAGATGAGGAAATGGAGGCTCAGAGAGGTTAAGTGACTTGCCCAAGGTCACACAGCTTTTGGCAGGGTTGAAATTAGGACTCAGGTCTGTCTCACCCCTCACACATTTTGGAGGAGGTTGGAGACGGTGGGAGTGACAGATATGGTCCCTGTCATCTTGTAAACCTTAAATTTGCCTGGGCAGACAAACACTGGATCAGCCTCACATACTTGCCTCTCTGCTGTGACCTTCAGGACATTGTGAAATGGGACTCGGTGATAGTAACAACAACAAAACTACAACGCAACGGCTGATGTTTACTGAGCACTCACGGCATGCCAGGCACTGTGCTCAGCACCGCTCAACACCCCTTGTTTTGTAATTCAGTTCACTTAGACACATAGGTGCTGTGTAATTGTACCCATTTCACAGAGGAAGCAACGAAGGGTCAAAGAGGTTAACAGCCCTGACGTTAGTCACACAGCCAGCTGGATGCCCAGGGTAGTTTCCTCCATGGTAGTGTGGGGGTGGAGTGGGATTGGATCATCCCAGTCTAATGTGGGCAGGTAAGGCCAACGTCAAAGTTAATGGCAAGAGTCAAAAGTGACTCTTCCACATCCAGAAGGACTGGACTTTACCAGCCAGTACCTGGGTCCCTGAGAGCTCTGAAGCCAAGAATGACTGGCCCTCATCGGTGTCTTGACTACAGCCTTCGCTTGTCAGGGGCAGTGGGTGCTGAGGAAGCCCAGCTTGGTGGGGAGGGGAAGGCCATGGCACTTGATGAGACCTCACTCTGGGCTGTGGGGAAGAAAGCTCTCCATCTGGAGCTCGGGGGGGTGAAATGTGCCCCAAGGTGCAGCTGCCCTTCCCCACCTCAGGGGTGGGATGGAAATGGTGAGTGGGTGGAAGCCATCTGTGGTTAGCTGTCCATTTCTCACCATCTGCACCATCATGCACTGCTCCAGAGACTGAGAGACCCAGGGACGGTCACCACTGGGCTGTAGAGCAGAGGACACACGAAATTACCACAGGAGTCTTGGGCTGACAGCCCCCTCCTCTGCCTCCTGCCCCTTCCCCAGGGAGAAACCAAGGGAGAGGGGCCAGTCTTTGAGGACAGGCCAGGCTTTCTGCCCCGCCTTGATTCGCAAACTCCATTCTTGGTCTGATAAAGAGGACACAGTCTCCCATCAATGGCTGGAGCCTGCCGGTGGTGCCTGCCCACTGCACCTGGGAATCATTTCATCCCTGGGGGCAGTTCTTGGTCTACATGGGGTGCCCAGAGGCCGGGTCTGCAGCTCAGCTCTGCTGCCCACATGTTGGGTGTCCCAGGCAAGCCAAAAGCCTTTGTGTCTTCGATTGTAAAAGAAAAGCCCTACTCCTTACCTCTCAGCCCTCTTGTACTTGTAGAGACTTGTTACCTCCATCATAGATAAGAATTGTTATAATTGGAGCATTTGGGGCCACTTCCTCATGCCAACCTCTGTGCTAAGTGCTCTACCATTGTTAATTTTTATCATCACATTTTACAATGGGGGAACTGGAGCACAGAGAGGTTAGGTGACTCACCCAAGGTCACACAGCTGGAAAGCAGTGGAACAGATTTCTTCCCTGCCCTCCATCTGATTGTCCTTTTCTCTCACGTCCTTGAGGGTCTATTCTGGATATTGACTGTCTCCCTGAGGGTTTGGTTTTCTTGTGAGTTTGATACTCTCGAGTGTGAGCTGGTGCCTGGGGTTGGAGAGCTTTCTCTTTGCTCTTCTAGGCTCTCGGGGAATCACTGGACCGGGGGTGAGTCTTCCCACTTGCCTTGGAGCCCTTGGAGCATGCAGGGGGATATATTTGAGCCTCAAATCTATGCAAATGCAGGAAGTGGCGATCAATTTCCAGGAGATTCTGGCTTCCTCCAACCCCACCTGCCCACCTCCTGCGCTGGCTGGTGTGGACCTGTGTGCCTGTCTAGCTTTGCTGGAGGGTGGGGACAGGTGCAGACTTTTCCTGTCTGTCTGCCGTTTCTTTGCCCGAGGATCTATCCATGAGGCTCTATCTCTTTACCAAGGCCCTGCCTCAGCAGCACTCAAAGCCTGGTCTCCTGACACCTCATGGGCTTAATTCCAAAGCTCCCTCCTTGGCAGAGCTCAGCAACATGCGTCTATTCCCACCTATCTTGCTGGCAGTTCTGTCTTCAACCTGTGGCTGAGACAGCTTCCCTTGTCCTCCTATGGCCTGGTCCAGCATGCAGATCTTACACAGCATTTCTTGATTTCATGCAGCAAAGGCATTGTTGGGTTTTATTGCTGGACCAGAAATCGAGCCTGTTCCTGTGCCCCATGGCTCCCCTGTCCTTGCTGCCCTGTGCTAGTCCCTCTGATGGGCGTGTGTTACTCAGAGATGTTTTCTTCCTTCTTCTTCTTCTTCTTCTCCTTCTTCTTCTTCTTCTCCTTCTTCTTCTTCTTCTTCTTCTTCTTCTTCTTCTTCTTCTTCTTCTTCTTCTTCTTCTTCTTCTTCTTCTTCTTTTTCTTCTTCTTCCTCTTCTTCCTCTTCCTCTTCCTCTTCTTCCTCTTCTTCTTCTTCTCCTTCATCTTCTTCTTCTTCATGGAGTTTCGCTCTGTCACCCAGGATGGAGTGCAGTGGCACAGTCTTGGTTCACTGCAACCTCCACCTCCCAGGTTCAAGCAATTCTCCTGCCTCAGTTTCCCAAGTAGCTGGGATTACAAGCATGTGTCACCATGCCCAGCTAATTTTTGTATTTTTAGCAAAGACAGAGTTTCACCATGTTGGCCAGGCTGGTCTTGAACTCCTGACCTAAAGTGATCTGCCCACCTCAGCCTCCCAAAGTACTGGGATTACAGGCGTAAGCCACCATGCCTGGCCCCCTCAGAGATGTTTTCTAGTACTAAGGAAATGACTAATGCAGAGAGTTGCGAGCCCGGTAGGTGCTAAAATAATACCCTTTCCCGACCCCCAAAGTTGAGCTGAGTTCCCCAGGGGCTTCATTCCACTTGGTGCCAAGTTTCATGTTTGTGGAGCCAGGCACTGGCTATGCATTTCTGCATTTGACATGCCCCCTTCTCCTGTACCTTCTCAGCAGCTCCTGTCAGGCAGGCGCTGGCACTCTCCAGACTGAGATGCGGACAGGAGAAGGAGCTCGCCCAAGTCCCAGTCAGTCAGTGGCGGAGCTGGGACTTGAGCCCAAGCATTCTGACTCCAGAGCCTCTGTGTTAGCAGGGACACCATGGGTGGGCTGGCATGGCACGCCACGGCAAAGACAGCCCTGGCATGGGGAAGCTGTCCAGTCCAGCAGGTGGACAGGCCTACCTTCTGCAGGGTGGGAGGGCAGCGATGGGGTGGGGGGACAAGTTGTTTGTGTCTGTCTCCCCCTCCTGGGGAGGGAGGTCCCAAGGTGAATGAGAAGGTGGGTGGGGAAGGACCTCCCTGAGCATGGGACAGAGTGACCTGAGGCTGGAAGCAACTTGGAGCAAGTCATCTGCCTCCTCACTTGCTGCTTAAGCCGTCTCCATCCTGGCATTCTGAAACACCTTCTCTGGCCCCCCTTTGCCTGCTCTGGGTTCCAGGGCCTCTTCTTCCAGGTGCCTTCCCTGAAACCCACCCAGGCTACATGAGAGTGAACTTGCCCAGTGCTCCTCAGGGCTTATACCACACACAGGGCTTCCCATAGGTTGCTTTGGTCAGTCTTCACCCTGTAAAGCAGACGTAGCCCTTGAACCCATTTTGCAGGTGAGGAGACTGAGGCCCAAAGAGGCTAAGAGGCGAGGTGGCAGCACCATATTTAGGCCAACTCTGAGTGACTGCCTGTCCCACGCTGTCTCCTGCACCCCAGCTGCTCAGGACCCTGCCCTACCACTGGAGATACTCACAGTCCAGTGAGGGGGCCACAGAAGAAGGGAGGGGATGGACATCTGAAATAGCAGGTGACACACAGAAAGAGTAGTAGTGGCCACGAAAACAAGAGGTAGGGTGCAGTCAGGTTCCATGAATGAAACATGGGGCCAAGAGCTTTCCATGGACAAACTCATTCTCCCTCATTGCCATGAGAAAGTTACCAATGATATGTCCCCATTTTACAGCCAGAGAGACTGAGATGCAGGGAGGAGTAGTCCTTGGCCAATAGTCACAGATCCAGGGATTGATGTTCCTGGGATTTAAACTCAGGCCTTCTGGCCCCAGAGCCAGTGTCCTCTGTGGGTGTTGGGGAAACGCTGCTTTACGATGCTGTGAGCTTTATGCACGTGTGCAGTTTACATGGTTACGTCAAGTGTGCTCAGGAGTGGGGAGTGGGGACTGATGGGCTAGAGGGGTCCCCCACATCTGGCCTTCCAGATCCTGGGCAACCAGCCCACATACCTTCCTCCTTTACTGCCCAGTTGACTCCCCAGGTTCTGGGGTTGAATGGATGTGTGTGTAATGGGAGGTGCTCAGCTCATCACCCTAAAAGGGAGCTTTGTTGGAAGTTAGGAACGGGTACTCAGTCGAGCTTTGGAGAGCCATTGCATTGAGCTCAGCCTCACTCTTCAGTCAGGCCCAGCCTCCTCTCAGATGCTTGGGACCTGACCCCAACTTGTCTCCTCTTCTCTCCTCCTCGCAGGGAGCCGGGAGGCTGCGTTCACCTACGCCATCATTGCCGCCGGCGTGGCCCACGCCATCACAGCTGCCTGTACCCAGGGCAACCTGAGCGACTGTGGCTGCGACAAAGAGAAGCAAGGCCAGTACCACCGGGACGAGGGCTGGAAGTGGGGTGGCTGCTCTGCCGACATCCGCTACGGCATCGGCTTCGCCAAGGTCTTTGTGGATGCCCGGGAGATCAAGCAGAATGCCCGGACTCTCATGAACTTGCACAACAACGAGGCAGGCCGAAAGGTAGGAAGCCAGGGAGGGCAGCTGGGCGGCGCTCGCGGAGATGCTGCAAAATGGCTTGTTTGTAACATCTGGTGCTGGGTGTCTGTTGAGGAGCCACAGGGCTCTGCCCTCAGCCTCATTCTGCTTGGTGCTGGCATCAGCTTGTAGCTGGTCAGGATTTGTGTATGGCACGAAGCTTGTCAGTTACTGAAGAGGTTGGATAATTGAGTCTGCCTTAAGACGAATTGAATGTTACTCAGCAAGATGGAAAGAGGGACAGATGTGAACTCTTATCCTTGGGAGGGACCAAATTAGCCTTTCTCCCTTGCTCCCTTCCTGCCTCTCTCCCTCCTTTTTTCTCTCCCTCCCTCCCTCCTTCCCTCCGTCCCTCCTTCCCTTCCTCCCTCTTCTCAGGCTTCTGGCCACATCCTGTGTGTCAGAGCCTCACAGGTGGCCTTGGTGAGTCACACAGGGGAATTGCTCACCTGGTCTGCCCCAGGATGGTGTCCTGGGGGAAATTACCAGGCCCTGCCTGTCTAGTCTCATGGCTGGGAGCTCCTGCCCAGGGTGGTGCATCCCTGCAGTGGTCCCAGCTGCTCCCTCCTCCCTGTTTTTGTGGTCCAATCACCCTGCAGGTCCCAGGTCCCAGGCTCCCTCCTGCCTTGAAGCCCTCACTTCCTTGAGGCAGACAGGAGGAGGACACGTGGCTTCCCTCTCCCAGCCTCAATTTCCTCACCCACGGCTCCCTGGCTGGGCCATGGTGAGAATTAAAGGAGAGAATAGCACGTGGCCCGCAGCAAGTCAGGGTCAGGATGGATCCCGTGGGAGTGTGTTCTGTGAGCCACACAGCTCCACTGGGCATGAGGCTTGTGGCTGTTGCTCTGTCATACTGCCATGAGCCCGTGGGCAACACAGACACTGGGAACTGTCAGAGGCTGTAAGACCAATCTCAGTGGGCTTCCTGGAGGAGACAGGCCTCGAGAGATGAGCGAGGTTTGGCTAGGCAGGGAAAGGAGGTGGAAGCAGCCAAGATCTGGTGAGTGGGGGAGGAATGGACACAGACCCAGAGGTAGGGGCAGGGGGCCAGTTAGGGACCACACTGGCTAGTCTGTGAGGCCCTGAAAAGGGAACCCCTGCAGGTTGGGGCCGAAGAGTGCAGCCTTGTGTTCTGCCCCCAGATCTGCCTGTGGCTGCCATGTCCTTGTCCTTCAGGTTTCAGCCATGATGTCCTCTCCCCAGAGAGGTTTCCCTTTACATTCCTTCCTAGCCTTTTCTCCGAGTTTGCCTTGTTCCGTGGCTTTCTCCCCTCTCTAGACTTTAAGCATACCGAGGACAGAGGCCTGGGCTGTCTCAGACACAGCAGCACTCCAGAGCGTGGCACACAGTAGGCACTCTACAAATATGTATGGAGTGAATGGATGAGTGCCTTGTGGTTGCTGGGGAGCCACTGTGGGGCAGAAGTCATAGACCCTTGGGAGGCAGAGGGCTACTTTGAGTGGGGTCAGGAGCTGGGTATGAGTGGAGTGCAGGCCAGGCCTGACCTGATGTTTTTGAGCAGGAACAGCCCTCCCATCTCAGGAAAGCTCAGTAGAGGGCCATACATCCTCCTGCCTGCCCAGTGCTCTCTGGTTAGGGAGGACCTTTGGGGATGGCTTTCTAGAAAAGCACTTCTACAGACACTATGTATTTCCTGAGCCAAGAGGTGGGACTGTGGACTCCCCGGTGTATGCAGAGAAAGGGCTGAGTCACACCCGTCCCGCCCCTTTGTGCTACAGGGATGGAAATGGAGGCTCAGAGAGGGTACCAGCTGACCTGTGGGGACTCAGGTCAGTGACCACACACACCACTCAGCCAGAGCACGGTGAGGTGGTCTTCCAGCCTAGCCCCAAGTGGCCAGTCCCTCACTTGCTGCCATGGGACACCCCAAGGGCCCCGACGAGGGCAGGAACAAAGACAGCCGCCAGCTGCTGTGGGTTCCAGCCCCTCTTGCGACCTCAGTTTCCACATCTGTCGATTGGGACTATGACCCACTCCTTGTTCCGACCGGTGCCAGTCAGTTCCCCAGGATTTTGCAACACGCCATTTACTCAAAGGCATGGGACCCCACCCCAGAAGCCCCCTCCCAACAGGCTGCCATGGGCTCCACGCATGGCAGGGCTGGGAAACCGACAGGAGCAATGGGGCCAGCCTACTGCTGCTCCTGGCTGAGAGCCTCGGAAAGGCTCGCAGATGTGTTTATCACCCGCTCCCTCACTCCTGCCATGAGGAAACAAGACTCAACCTGACCACAGGCTCTGGGGCTTGTTGGCAGCTGGTGTGAGAGAAGGGGAAGCGGGGAGGCTGGGGTGGGGGGGTGCACCATGTGGCTTCTGCAGACCTGATGAGGGGCTGCCCCTGGGCTGAAGGGGAGCCCCCAACTCCCCTGGCAGTCGAAGGAGAATAAATGCTGCAGGGGCGTCCTGCCCTCACAGGTCCCCAGTTTGAGTCTAAGCCCAGCAGGATGTGGGCCATGGGGCAGGGGCAACACCGCAAGGAAGCTGCAGGGCATCCCCTCCTTTCCCTCATTGTCTCGTCAATTGTGTGGTCTGCAGGCCGAATCAGAATGGTTAGGTGCCAATATCTTTTGGCGAGGTGATTTTAGAATTATAGTTTCCCCTATTGGCATTTCGGGGCCTTTGTACTTTGGATTGAAATCAGTGGCCGCTCAGGTCGGGGGTCCCAGAATACGAAGTTCACATCCTAGCGTATGATGTGTGGAATCATAGGCTCCTCAGTTGGGAGGAAGGGAAGAGTCAGAAGCATTGTGCTGAAATCTTTGGATGGTGGAATCTTTGTGGCTTTGAATAATTTCTTTCCAGCCTTTTGGCCGCAAGGAAATTAACTACCCACAGTTTTTGCCCTCAAGACTAGACGTTCAGTCTAGTGAGAGAATCAGGTACAAGAAGCAAAAATTGTGATTCAGGGCTACACACTGTAGGAGAAACGTGATACAGAAAGTGAAGAAAAGAGGTCAGAGGAAGAGTGGTTTGTTTCCTCTTGAAGTCTAAGAGTGCTAGGCAGAAGAAGGGAACTCTTAGCAGGGCTTTGAAGGATAAGGAGTCCAGGTGGACGAGGCATCAGGAAGGAAGAGGGCAGTTCAGGCAGCACAGGCATGTTCAAAAGCATGAAGTCCTAACAGCATGCTGTGGGGGCTCCGTGTGGCCGAGGGTGGGGAGGACGAGTGACGAGGCTGCAGAGGGGCTAGATCCTAACACACAGCCTTGAATGCCAGAACAAGGAGTGGGACTTTGTCTTAGGCCAGAGGTGCCCAGAAGAGGCTTTGGTGGGGCAGTGCTTGGGCAGGTTTCTGGCCCTGTCTGGGATAGAGTGGAGTACAGAGTGAAGGGGCTGTGGCCACGGTTGGTGCCTAAACCCAGCAGGAGCCTCGGGGCGCACGGCTGGGGAGGCTGTTTAGGAAGCCTAATAGGTAGGAGATGTGTCAGGTGTACTTGGTGTGGAGGAACAGGGTCGTAATGGAAGCCATGGTGTTTGTAGGATTGCCCGATGGGAGGGTTAAAGGGGGAAAGCAGGAGAGAGCCTGGGCCACAGCCTGGGCAAATGGGTACTGGGACGGGAGGGCTATGGGAAGGGAAGGACAGTCAGGGAGGTTGGAGGAGAACCAGAAGAACCTGGGCCTTCTGGGTGCATTTGTGAGTGCGTGTAGACATCCCCCTGCAGGAGTGCAGAGAAGCCTGGGCAGCTGCGAAACCCAGCCAAGGGCCAGGGGTCTCCGAGCCTCCATGATAATATTGTACCTGGCAGGCCAGGCTTTCGAGTCCTTACTGTACAGAGAGAGAAGTGCACCAGGGAGCTCCGGGGGCCTGGGGGAGGGTGGAGGCTCTCAGCAACCCCTTCATGAGAGTGTGGTGACTGAGCCCAGGAGAGGCAGCCCTGGGGATGGGGGCCCAGCTGGGACGGGGCTGGCCCCTGCTGGAATGCGCCTCTTGCTCCAAGGGAGGTGAGCTCAGGGGGATGGAATTCCGCCGAAGTGAAAAGTCACCTCCCAGTCCCTGCCCAGCCTCTTGCACACGGAGGGGTGTCGGTCTTGTCCCTTCCTGCCCTGCCCCGTCTGGTCCGGGTGCTCCTGGGAGCTGGATTCCCACCCCTGCCCTGGCCGCAGGCAGGCCTGTGAGTCAGGGGACACCAGGGACCAGCCCCTGGCAGCTGGGGCGGAGCCCAGATAAGGCCTGCTCAGCTATGCTCCTCTCTGCTGTCCCGAGGGCCACTTGCATATTTGACCAGATAGAGTGGCCAGTGGTGGCATGTCGAGGGCCTGAGGAGCCAGGCCCCGCCCAGCCCGAAGCTGACTGGCCAGGCCAGGCTGGAAGGAGGCATCCTCAGTCTGCCGTGCCCTCCATTCCTGCCCCGCCCCTGGGCACAGGTGTGGGTTCTTGCCCTTGCGAATGGAAAGGCTTGCAGCCAGGACTCAGGGGACTTGGAGCAGGAATGGTCTTGCACACATCTCAGCCTTTCAGGGCCTTGGTTTCTTCCATGGCAGGGGCTTCTTTCCTTTGCTCCCAGGAGGGTCTCCAGGTCTGACATGTGGGCTGGGGAATGACATGGGGTTCTTGGGACCATTGTACCCCAACCCTGTCTGCAGCTTCTCTCCCACACACACCACCTTCCAACCACACACTCCTGCAGTCAACCAAGCTTGTTCGCACCTCAGGGCCATTGCACAGGCCGCTTTCTCTGTCTGCAAAGCTCTTTCCTTGAATCTTTGCAGAACTAGCTCCTTGTATTCCTTCAATTCCTGGCTCAGATGTTGCCTTAATGGGGAAGTCCTCCCTGACTTCCCTCCCCTGCTGTCTGTCTCATCTCTCTCCATCACCCTACTTTACTTGCATGTGAAACCACCGCACAGAATGATCTCATTTGCACAGCTCTTTGTGTCTTTATTGCTTGTTGCCTCCCACTGCAGGGTCAGCACCACAGGGTAGTGATGGCCTAAGTTCACCCCTAAACCTAGAACAGTGCCTGGCGCATCGTAAGTGCTCAAGAAATATTTGTTGAGTGAACAAATGATATGGCAAGTGCTTGCTCTGTCTTGGGGGGATTTCCAGGAGCAGGGCTGCAAGGTATAATACAGGACTCCCACTTAGAGTTGAATTTGAGATAAACAAAAGTACGTCCAAACTATTGCACAAGACATACTAAAAAATGATTCGCCATGTATCTCAAATTCAGATTTAACCAAGTTTGTGGTTTTGAATTGAGCTGATATTGAGATAATTGTAGATTCACATGGAATTGTGGAATATGAAGAGATCTTGTGTACCCTTTGCCCAGTTTCCCCCAATGGTGACAGCTTGCAAAACTATAGGACGAGGGTCACAACTAGGATGCTGATGCTAGGACAGTCAAGATGCAGAGCACACAATGGTCCCCAGGTTGCCCTTGTATAGCCACTTCTACTTCCCTTCCCCTTCCGAATCCCCAGCAAGCACTAATTTGCTCTCCACTTGTATACTTTCATTATTTTAACGATGTTACATAGGTGGGTCTTACAGTATAACCTTTCCAGACGAGCTTCTTTTCATTCAGCACAATTCCCTCAAGCCTCCTTCAAGTGTTGTGTATCAGTAGCCGGTTCCTTTACCTTGCTGAGTAGTATTCCAGGGCACAGAGTCTCCACAGTTTGTTTTGCCATTCACCTCTTGAAGGATGTCTGGGTTGTTTGCAGGTTATGACTATTACAAATAAAGCTGCTGTGTCCATGTGTGTACAGGTTTTTTTTTTGTGTGTGTGAATGTAAGGTTCTATTTCCCTAGAATAAATGTCCAAGAGCACAAATGTCTGATGGCTGTATGTTTAGCTTTATAAGAAAGTGCCAAACCATTTTCCATTTTGTGGGAGAGTGGGTGTGTCATTTTATATTCCCACTAGCAATGTGTGAGTGGTACAGTTGCTCCACATCCTCACCAGCATTTGGTGACATCACTGTTTTTAAAATTTTTTTGCCATTCTGATAGATGTATGTTATACCTCATTGTGGTATTGATTGGCATTTCCTGAATGGCTAATGATGTTGAATATATTTTCATATGCTTATTTGCCATCTGGATAGCCTTTTCAGTGTAGCATCTGTTAATGTCTTTTTGCCTATTTTCTAAGTAGGTAGTTTACTTTTTTAACTGGTGAGTTTGGATATTTCTTTATATACTCTAGCAGCCAGTATTTGGTCAGACATGCGGTTGGCAAATATGTTTTCCCAGACTGTAGCTTGTCTTTTTTATCATCTTCATAGGGTCTCTCACAGAGTAAAAGTGTTTAACCTTGATAAGTTTTAACTGATAAGGTCCAATGTATCTATTTTTCTTTGAATGGACTGTACCTTTGGTATCATCTAAAAACTCTTTGCTCAGCCCTAGATCCCAAAGATTTTGCCATATTTTTTTTCCTAAAAGTTTTATGTTTAGCATTTAACTCTGTGACCTGTTTTTTTTAAAAAATTCATTAATTTAAAAAAATCAATGAAAATTTCTTTTTTAAATTGTATGTTACGTTTTTATTTATTTTTAATTGTGATAAAATATACTTGGCATGAAACTTGCCATGTTAGGCATTCTTGGGTGTGCACCCCAGTGGCATCAAGCACACTCTCACTGTTGTGCTGCCATCCCCACTTTCCATCTCCAGAACTTTACCATCTTCCCAAACGAAGACTCTGTCCCTGTTAAACAACCACCTCCCATGTCCCCCCGCCCCACCCCAGCCCCTGGCACCCACCTTTCCACTTTCTGTCTCTTTGAATCTGACTGCTCTAGGCGCCCCACATAAGAGGCATCATATAGTTTTTGTCCTTTTGTGTCTGTCTTATTTCAGTTAGCGTAATGTCTGAAAGGTTCTGTGATTGCTTTGAATTAACTTTTCTATGAGGTGTAAGTTTAGGTCAGGTTTCGTTTTTCAGCCTATTTATGTGCTAAATCCGGGAACCCTCCCTAGCCTCCACTGTCAAGGACGGTGGCCTCGGGACAGTGCCAAGGAAAGCTGTAGGATTGTTTTAGAGCTGGAGATTCTCTCTTCTGTGGGCATTTAATCAATGAGAGACTGAGACCCTGAACTGGAGGGGCCCCGCCAAAGCCACACACCAAGGGAGTGGAGAAACAAGAGCTGCACCTAGGGCCTGGCTCCTGGCTCAGACCTCCCTTCCGCTCCCTAGAGCTGGCCAGGGTCGGGGAGCTGAGCTGGATGAGAGGCTGAGGTAGGGACCAGGAGGTCCATGGTGGGCTTGAGAAAAGCTTAGTGGGATGACCAGGCCAGGGTGTCTGGGCCTAGAGAAAGGAGCCCAGACTAGACCAGAGAGGAAGCTACCAAGGATGGGTTGGAGGGGGACCAGCCCAGGCTGGGGCGGAGGGTGCCCACGAGGCCTGAGGTTTTGCCAGTTTTCTCTGATGACACAGCGAGGGCAGAGCCCAGCCAGGTCCTGTCAGTGATGCCACAGTGATAGCAGTGGACAGTACCCGGGGAGGAAGGGGATGAGATAAGAGAGGCCGCATGGGTAGGGGCAGGGGCGGCCCTTCCCACAGAGACTGGAAACGTCTGTGACCCCAGCTTCATGCAGCCTGGTCCCTGGCATCCCACTTTGCTCTGGGCTGGTAAGACCACCCCACCCCCAACCTGGATGGACGTGGGCAGCCGGGGCAGGCCCTGAGGAGGCGCTGAACACCCAGGCCTGGAAGGAGTCAGGTGGCTCAGCCATGAGTGGAGCAGCCTCAGGAAGGTGTCACCATCCTGCAGTCCCTGAGGACTGGGGGTGGTGTGGTTAGGAGGGTGGCAGGCAGGACCAGGACCCACGGGATGGAAGAATATGGGGAAAAGGCAGCTCAAGTGAGAAGGAACTTGCTATCAGGAAGCAGGATGCAGTCCCTATCAAAGCAGGTGGTACAGGTGGAGGGAAGGTTTTCATTTGCTGGGAGAATATGGACATGATTCTAATATCAGCACTTGAAATATATATACTAATTTAATCCCCACAGTAGTCTTATGAGATCAACATTCCCTGTTCTCTCCGTTTTACAAATAAGAAAACGGAAGCACAGAGAGGTTAAGAAAGTTGCTTAATGCCACACAGCTGGCAGGTGCTGTGCTGGGATATAAACCCAAGCAGCCTAGCTCCAGATCCAGGTCTTAACCTCAAACTATCCTACCACCCTCAGGAGTCTTGGACTCAGATGCCTTTATCCCCACAGTCTCCTGATCCTGAAACCCTGTGATTCCAAGATGTTAACCTAAGATTCACAGATGCTCTGATTTGAGGAATTTGGAGACTACAGTCCTCGGCCCCTAGAAGGCCCCACTATGTGGTCATTTGGGTTGTGGGTTATCCAGGCACGCACACGTGCATCCTCTCCTACTCTGGTCACTGTGGCCTTGGGGCAGTCCTTGAGCCACCACCTTCTGCCTGGGAGAGGACACATCAGGGCCAGGGAGGAACCCGGTTGTGAGTGAGAAGAGGGGATTCTGTGTGCCACCTTGGCAGGTGAGGGGCCCCAGGCTGTCATGGGGGTTCAGGATGAGACTGGACAAGGAGATGGCCAGACAGAGACCCACACCTGGTGCAGGGACCAGGGCACCTCCTGTTTTAGCAGAGTTCTGGACTTGTTCAGCCTGATGAACAGCAGTGGGAGAGACTTCTCTTCTCCTCCGATCCTTCCAGGTAGTCGTGAGACTCGCCTCGGTGTCTCTCAGAGCCCAGCCTGGGCCTGGCATACTCTTGGTGACATAAAGTGGCACACATCCTAGGCCATGTCACAAACAGCCACCAGAGCACCACAGGCAGTAGGGCTGGGTGCATCTGTCCCTGCCTTCTCATTCCCAGGAGTGTACAGGGGGCAGGCAAGAGGCAGGTGCTCCCTGTGCTGTGAGGTGGGCTCTGGAGTCCACTCCTGGCTTTGCTGCTTGCTAGCTGTGTGGCCTTGGCCATGTTACTCTGCCTCTCTGTGCCTCAGTTTCTCCAGGGACACTTAATAGCGCTATAGAGTATTATGAAGATTACATGATTAAAAGAATTTAAACTGCTTATAGCTGCACTGTCCAATATGATCACAAGCCACATAGGGCTACTTAAATTTAAATGAATTACAAATAAATAAGATTAAAAATTCTATTTCACAGTCCATGTTTCAAGTGCTTGGTAGCCACCTGTGGCTCGTGGCTTCCTACTAGACCATTCCGTGGTGGCAGGAAGGTCTGTTGGACATCACTCTCTTAGAGTGGCGGGCACGGAGTAAGGGCTGAGACGTTGACTACTAAGGGGCCTGAAAATGTCTTAGCTGCGGTGGAAGCTCATCCTGTCACCTCCCTGGCCTCCTGCCAGCCCAAGGGGGTCCCAGATGCTGGCCATCTGATTTATCTTGGAAGGAATTCCCAGTGTGGCTGCTGGCCTTGCAGCTGGGAACTCATTTGAAACTCACCTGAGATGGGGAGGGGGCAGCATGGCGAGGCCCTGAGAGCCCCCTAAGTGAGGTAGAGTCAGGGGCTCAGTTACACCACAGTGAGATCAAGTCAAAAGACGCACACCGGGGACAATTGCCGCCTTTGTCCTCGGGAGGGGGATTGGGACTCCTGGGTGTTATCAAATCTGCCGGGAAGAGGGAGGGAGGGGAGCCAAGTGATGGGAGGAAGGTGGGTGAGGAGAGGGGCAGGAGTGGTCCTAGAGGGAAGGAGAAACTAGGTGTTCTGGAGGGTCTGGCACCAGGAGTTGGCAGCTGTCACTTTTCCTAATCCTCAACACTTGTGTCTTTTGAAGAGAAATCCAGGTGCACCTGTGTCCCTAGGAAGGACTCCTTGCCTGACAAAGGCACTTCTTTAAATTACCTCCTTTCAGTGTGCGTTGAGACACTGTCAAGGCTGCTCACAGTGGCAAGCACTTGCTCTCGCTCTGTCCCAGGTGGGGTTCTAGGTGCTTTCCTGGGGTTACTCCGTTTGATTGGCCCGACATCCTTGGGGACCCTTGGTAACTCCATTTCTCAGATGGGCAGCTGAGGTCTGGGCAGTGAACGTGAGCAGCATCCCAGGCTCCTGGACAGGAGAGCTGGACTCAGGGTCTCAGGGCCTCCCCAGGCCATGGTGGGGAAGGGACAGATTCCCAGCCAGCTGGGCATGGGCAGTGAGGCCAGCACTCAGCTGCTCACTGCAAGGCACTGTGTGCCCCTCTCAAGGCCTGCCCTTCCATGTGCTGGTCCCATCCCAAGTGCTCTTTGTAAATGATCTCACAGGGAAGGGCCTATTGTCATTCCTGCTTGACAGATGAAGAAAACTGAAGGCACAGAGCAGTTCAGTGGTGTGCTTGAGGTTGACCAGGTAAAAAGCATCTGAGCCAGGGTTCCCTCCAGCCATCCCAACTCTGCAACCCAAGCTCTGTTCATCCTTGGTGCAGCCTCTTCTTAGCTCTCAATTGTGTGTGTGTGTATTTTTGGACCTAGATGGATTGGTAGCATTTTGAAATAATAAAGATTCCAACAAGGCCAGGCACGGTGGCTCCCGCCTATAATCCCAGCACTTTGGGAGGCCAAGGGTGGGTGGATCACCTGAGTTCAGGAGTTTGAGACCAGCCTGGCCAACATGGAGAAACCCATCTCTACTAAAAATATAAAAGTTAGCTGGACAAGGTGGCGGGCACCTGTAATCCCATCTACTTGGGAGGCTGAGGCAGAAGAATCAATTGAACCCAGGAGGCAGAGGTTGCAGTGAGCTGAGATTGCACCACTGCACTCCAGCCTGGGAGACAGAGTGAGACTCCATCTCAGGGGAAAAAAAAAAAAAGATTCCAACATGACATTGGTAAAACACTTTATGATTTGCATGACCTTTTTTTTTTTCAACATCTTTTCCTGGCCAAGTCTCACAGCTTTCCTCCAGGTGAGCAGTGTAATTGTGCCCGTTTTGCAGGTGAGGCAGCTGAGGCTCTGGTTGGGTACTGCTCAGTCCCCCGGAGGTGTTCTCTGCTGGGCTGAGAGTTTTGGATGGGAGGCAGGTCAGGAGCTCCTGGCCAGACCATGCGGGGAGGTGTGAATGACCTGGATGTGGAAAGAGCTCCGATCAGAGCCCCGACTGTGCCACTTGTTTGCTGTGTGCCCTTGGGCAGTCACCCTTCTCAAGCCTCAGTTTCCTCATTGAAAAAAAGGCAGTGAGGATTTGTACTTGTCAGAGCTGTTGTGCAGATTGCATGAGATAATGCCCCTGGAGTGCCTCGTCCTACGCTCTCAGGCATGATGAGTGCTTGGAAAGCAGTCATTGCTGTTATGAATATCATTGTTAGTATCAGTAGTAGTAGTGATTTTAAAGCCACAGTCAAGTTTTAATTCTTACATCTTATTCCTAAGGACTGTTCTAGCTCTAAAACTCTGTTTTGTCCATTCGCTGGCTGTAGAGTGTGCTAGCAGACTCAAGAGAAGGAGCGGTCCAGGTCGCCATTGAGATTTTTTGCTGCACTGAGCAGGGAGGGCCACAGGACACCAAGCCATGGCAAGGCCACGCTGGTCCTCCTTTATCCAAAATAGGTGATGTCCACCTAGGTCTTTCAGTCCTTGTGAGCAGCCACTTCCAGAGGGGGCCTCTGCCCTTGTCCTTTCAGCCCCATGCCACACATACCCAAGTACACACCACATTCCAGGACCTTTAAAGTTGTCCATAAAGTCCAGTCTCCAGCCCAGACCTGCCTCCCGAACACAAGTCCTGTGCATCCAGCTGCCATCCTGCCTCCCTGCTCCAGGATGTCTACTGGCCCATGAGCACTCGTCTACCACAACCTAACTCCTGATCTTTCTCCCACAAACTTGCTGGTGCCTTTGTCTCCATCCCCTGGTTCAGTAAATAGCATCTGCATCCTTCCAGTTGTGTAAGCCAAACCCTGGCCCTGGCCTTGGCCATGACACTTTTCTTTCTTTCACACCCCACATCCAACATGTCAGTTCTACCTACAACATCTGTCCAGAGTCTGTCACCAAATAACTTATACCCCCGAGCTCATGATCCAAGCCACCAGCCTCTCTTCCCTACAGTGACACAACAGTCCCCTGCCCCAGAGTCCTATTCACCAGCATCTCTTCCCTGACATTGCACAATTGTCCCCTTGCCCCAGGGTCCTATCCACCAGCATCTCTTCCTTGCAGTGGCACAACGGTCCCCTTACCCCAGGTTTCTACCCACCAGTATCTCTTCCCTGCAGTAGCAAAACAATTCCCTTACCCCAGAGTCCTATCCACCAGCATCTCTCCCCTGCAGTGGCACGACAGTCCCCTTACCCCAGGGTCTTATCCATCAGCGTCTCTTCCCTGTAGGAACACACCAGCCTACTAACTTGGGCCCCTGCAGGCTTTTCAAATGTCAGTTAAACTCTGCCTCCCTCACTTATAATCTCACCATGGCTCCCATCTCACCCAGAGTAGACACAGAAGCCTTCACGGTGGCTCACAGGCCCCTCCCTCACCCCTGTCTCCTTCCCCTTCGCTCTCTCTGTCCCCCTGCAGCGGTCTCCCTGTGGCTCCTCACACACACTGGGTATGTCCCTGCCCCAGGTCCCTTGCACTTACTGTTCCCTCTGCCTGGAATGCTCTCCCTGCAGACACTTACCCTCTCACCTCCTCAAGTCTTTTCTCAAATATCACCTCTCAAGGAGGCCTTTCCTGACCACCATATTTGAACTCACCCTCCAGTCTGTCTCGCTGCTTCCTGTTCCCTTCCACGTTTTGTTTTTCTGTGTAGCACTCATGGCCACCTGATATAATATTGGTACTTTGCCAAGTGATCCCAGTGTGGCTGGGAAAAGTTAGAGTGCCTGCTGTAGAAGGCCTCCTGTGGGAACGGCACAGGCCCAGACAGAAGCTTCCCTCCCACCTTTTCCCCTCTGTGCCTTCGATATTTGTTCCAGTGGGCCAGCAGCACATGAATATTTTATACCTGTACAGCTTTTGTCTTACTCCAGGCACTGTTCTAATTACTTCATACGCATGAATTCCTAAAATTCTCATAAGAACTCCATGAGATCAGCCTGGCATTGTCTCCCTTTTACAAATGAGGAAACTGAGGCACAGAGCGGTTCAGCGACTCGCCCAAAGTCATACAGTTGATAAGCAAAGAGCCAGGATATGAACTCAGGCAGTCCAGCTCCAGAGGCTGCATTCTTGCTCTACTTCCTCTCTTTTGTGTATTCATCCACTTATTCATTCATTAAGAATTTATAGAGTGTCTTCTTTGCCTTAGGTGCGACGTTTTAGAGACGAACAGATCACTAAAAACTGGTTCCTGCCATCAGGAAGCTTAGTCTAGTGGGAAACGCTGAACAAGTAAATAAGGGAAAAGGAAAATCATATTCATTCAGCAACCATTCACTGACGCCTGAGATTATTTCCCAGCCTTTAAAAAGTTAGAGGAGGCCAGCCCCTGGTGTATTCCCTGATTGTGTTCATTTCTAAGCCAGAGAGCCGAATCCCTATATGCCAGCTCTGTTTTAGGCACTGAGGTCTGAGATAAATAATATACCATTTTTGAATTTGAGGGGGATTACATTCTAATGACAGAAGGAGAAGAGTGAATTACTGCATGTAAATATGACAACATGAACTGGATTTGGTAGAGGAGTGTGTAGGGGACTATGGGACCCCAGGATAGGAGCTCTAACCATTTGGGGATTGGTTTGGATGAGTGCATGGCTGAGTGGTAGGATGAATGGATGGATATATAGATGGATGGATGGATGCATGCATGCATGCACAAATGGATAGATGGATGGATGGATATTTGCTAGATAGATAGTAATGGGAAGGCTGGTTGAATGAATGGAATATGAATGAATAGATGGATGGATGGTTAAACGGACAGATCTTAGAAGATGGTTGGATGGATGTTTGGGTAGTAGGATAGATGGATGGCTGAATGGGTGGATGGATGGATGGATGGATGGATGGATGGATGAATGAATAGCTATTTGGAAGGATGGTTGGGTGAATGGATGAGCAAAAAGCTGAGCTCACTGCTGGAAAGTTGGACATTTTCCCAGTGAGATCACCAGATCAGCTGAAAGAAAGGATGGAAATCCATGCATTCGTTCATTCATTCATTCAACAAATATTTATTAAGCACCTATTTATGCGTCTGGTACTGTTTTAGGCTCTGGGATTAGACATGGTACTTGCCTTTATGGAGCTGACATTCCGGGGGAAGGGAGACAACAAACAAATAATAGAATATATATATGGAATCTGTTGTCAGAGAGTTATAAATGCTATGATGAACAAACAAAGCAGGATGAGAGGGCACAGATGTCAGGAGCAGGGGCATTTTATTTTAGGCGATCAGGAGAGGCCTCCTGGAGAAGGTAAGTTCTGAACAGGAAGTGAGGAAATGAGCCATCTGGGGAATTGCATTTGAGTCAGAGGGAATTGCAAGGTCAGAGCCCAGAGGCAAAGAGGCCAGTGTGGCTGTCAGGGAGGAGAGGAGGTCACAGAGAGATGTGTTAGAGAGTGGGGAGTGCAGGGCCCTGCTTCCCTGTGAGAGAAGGGTTTGTCTGCATCTTGGAAGCCTGCGGAGGACATTGAACCCGGGCTGATCAGCGTTAGGAAGGGCACCACCCTCCCTGCACCCCTGCTTGCTGGTTCCCAGCCCTGCTCCCTCCTGGCTGCTTGGCAGTTGGGAGGCTGTCAGCATTTTAATTACAGATCCACGCTCTCAATGGTTTACAACTCAACTGTAAAACAGGCCCTGGGCAACATGTGGCACCTCTGAGTGATTTACTTGCTCACCATTTCTATATTTAGTGCCATTTAATGCTTGTTGGCCAAGTTTTCAGAGAGAAAAAGAAGGAGGAATTTGGTGGTAGAGTGGGGAAGGGGTCGGTTAAGTTTTGTTTGTTTGTTTTTAAAACACACAGATGTATTTTTCAGTTGTTTTCTGAGATTATTTCCCAGGCTTTAAAAAGTCACAGATGGACCAGCTCCTGGTGTATTCCCTGATAGCGTTCATTGCTAAGCCAGAGAGCTGAATCCCTTGCAAAGTTGCCCTTTTCTTCTTAAAAGCTGTGTGCACTTCCTGGTGAGGGTTAGGTTTAAAGGACGCCATGGGCTGAGGGTATGACTAAGGGCCAAAGGCATCAATGACTTAATATTTCACCTGTTACGGGCTGGGCTTCAGGCCATGTGCTCCCACCCCCTATCTGGGCTCCCCTCTGAGACCCCCAGCCTCAGGCTCTTCACAGCTTCTCAAAATTCACCTGGGGAATGTGTGGAAATGCAGCTCCCGGTTCCATGTGTGGGTCTGGGGCAGGGCCTGAGATTCTGCATTTCCGACAAGTTTCCAGGTGATGTGGATGGTGCTGGTTGGTCCAGGAACCACACCTTGAGCAGCAAGGATTTCAACCAGCACTGTCCAGTAGAAACATAATACCAAACACATGGGTCATATGACATTTGCTAGTTGCTACATCAAAAAGGTAAGAGGTGACATTAAATTTAATAAGATATTTTATTTCATCTAAGATATCCCAAATATCTATCTGATATTGATTACATATCATTTCAATATGTAATCAATATGCAAATACTGAGATACTTTTTAATTTTTCTGTAATAAGTCTTTAAAGTCTGGCATTTGTTTCACACTCATAGCACATCTCAATTCAGACTAGCCACAGTTCAAGCACCCATATTGCTCATGGCTCCCGTTTTGGAGGATGCAGATCTAAATCCAGCTTGAGTACCCTGGTGATAGGGAGCTCGCTACCTTCTGGAAAGTCCACTCCATACCTACAGAATCCGAGCTGAGAGTTGCCCTTTGAGACTAGCTGGGGAGACCCAGCTTTACTCTCTGGGTCCCTAAGCCAGTTGGCATTCTTGGTCCAGAGCAGTCCTGCAAAACTTTGGGGGCTCCAACCAGGTCCCCTTGAAGCCCTTTCCCAGCTCCCTCCTGTGAGTCGGGTACCTCCCGTTCTCTGCCTGAGCCAGCCCCAACAGCAGCCCTGAGATGGTTTTTTAGGTAGTTCATAATCTCTGATTTTCTTGTTGAAGGACCAGGCTCAGAGAGGTTAAGTGGTATCCTGAGGGTGACCCAGCCAACAGGTGGCAGAGCTGGGGCTTGAAGAAGGGACTTTAAAACCTCTTCCTCTGCTGTGGGAGTCTTCAGTTCCTTCCGCACACCGTGGTTTCAGAGGACCTTTCAGGTCCACTGTTGCTCCTGCACATGCACCAGCCAGCAGGCCTACATGGTGCTGACAGAACCTCAGAGACAGCAGGAGGGTGAGGACCCGAAGCCGCACAGCTGAGAGAGAAACCCACGTCCCTCTGGGCCCTGGGTCTCCACTCCTGCAGCAGCTCCTTGTAGCTCAGAGCACTGAGAAATTGGTTATTTCTCAACCATGCCCCCCACCTGCTCTGCCCAGGGGAAGAGGCCCCACCGCACCCTCAGCTGGGAACTGCAGACGCATAGAGATAACCGGGGTGTATTTCCATTTGCCCGACTGGAAAACCTCTACACCACCAAAGGCAGGAACAGAATATCTCAGAGGTGTCTTTGCACACACATCCGGGGGCTGTTGCGGGGCAGCGTGGAACCTTGGTTCAGGCCAGTCCAGCCTCTTGGACACCAGCTCCTGCACGCTGGACGCCAACACAGGTCGGGAGAGGCCAGAGCTGCTCCTCATGTCTCAGGGAGCTCCTGTCTGGGATGGGAAGTTCATAGGGCTTCTTTGGTAGCTGGCCACCTGGGCAGGGCCTTGCTGGGGCCCAGGCAGCTCAGATGGAGGTGGTCAAGGGCACAGAGGATGTTCAGCCAGGTGTGACCCGGCTCCTGGGTCCTTCCTCCATGTTCCAGAGCATCGTCGCCTGTGTCCCTGCCCCAGAGACTTTCCGGGATGCTTCAGCCTTGATCTTCTGTGGACTAAGTCAGGGCCTCTTCTACAATAACCCACCATGAAAGAATGGCTATCTAGACTCCTGAGCAAAGGTGAATTCATTCATTCATTCATTCATTCATTCATTCACTCACCCAGAAAATGCTTGCTGGGTGTCTCCTGGGAGGCAGACCTCCTCTAGATGCTCCCGAATACAGCAGATGGGGGCTCTGTGTTTCTGGAGCTGACATTCAGGAGGGGAGGGGAGAGCAAGCAAGTCATCCCAAAGTACCTCAGGTGGCCGGGGGGATGTGAGACAGGGGGATGTGAGAGGGGCTGATGCGGGGCACTGTGGAGAGGGGGCCATCCAGGGTGGCTTTACGTTGCTGAGCCGGAGCTGAGGAACTGGAGGAAGGGTGTCACAGGCAGAAGGATCAGCTGCTGTGGAGTCCTGGGGCAGGAATGGGCTTGGTGTCGTCCTGGAATACCTGACATTTTAAGTGTTCACAGAAGGGTTTTGGCGGGGCTGAGAGGCAGTGGGTGCCCTGGGGCCTCAGAGGACAGGGCAGAGGATGGTGTTCTCATCAGAGGCTACCACTTGGCCTCCGGTAACTGCCCACACCCCCAAAACCAGACACCCCCAGTAATGCCCTGCAGTGTGCTGGGCTCCAGCCAGGAGGAGCAAGGTCCCTGGCTCTCAGCACTCAGTCTCATGGCAGTTCCATCTAGGCCTCCCTTCAGGTCCCAACTTGCCTTCCTTTCCTACCTGGGGCTGCCACTGCTGCACCAAGCTTCTCTTCTGCACCCACACCCGCTCCCTTGGTTTTTCCAGCCCCAGGGCATTGCACTCCTGCTCAGGCACAGGTGATACCCTTCCCTCGAATTTCCAGTGGCGAACTCCTCTTCATCCTTCAAACCCCACAGGTCACTTCCTCCAACTGCTCATGGGCCCCATGGCAGTACATACAGGCCTTTATTTTGGACCAGTCTTCCTTCTACCGGTCTGGTTGTCTCCCTGACTATCTGGGCTTTTCTTGAAGACAGAGACTTTGTCCAACCACCCTCACTTTACTGGCACCCAGCACAGGCCCTGCAGTGGGAGGTTCCACTGGAGGGTTCAGGACTGCCAGAGTGGATGGAGGACATGACCAGGGCTCTCCACCCCTGGCCACATGTGAGAATCCTGAGAAGCTTTTTAAAATAGCAGACACCTGGCCACACCTGAGACCAGTGAAATCCTAACCTCTGGGGGTGGGGTCCAGGCATCAGCAGATTCTGAAAGGCTGGGATTCTGCAGATGACTCTGAAGCAGAGCCTGGGGAGAGCGTGCGGATGCTGCTGTGCCCATCTGGAGGCCAGGGCTGAGCCCTGCATGCCCACACGAGGGCCGACACCCCTGTCATTGCACGAGCAGCTGTGCTCCATGGCCCAAGTTCCTAGGGACACTGGCCCAATGGGGTCTCTTGTCTTTTTTTTTTTTTTTTTTTTAAAAACCAGCTTTACTGAGATATAATTCTCATGCCATACAATCCATCCTCTTAGAGTGTACAAGTCCAAGGTTTTTAGGGTATTCACAGTTGTGCAACCGTCACCACAATCAATTTTGAAACTTCTCAGCACCCCTCAAAGAAACTCTGTACCTACTAGTAGTCACTCCTCATTCCCTCTCTCCCAGCCCCTGGCAGCAACTCCTCTGCTCTCTGTCTCTATGGATTTCCTGTTCTGGACATTGCATACACCTGGAAGCATACACGCTGTGGTCTTTTGTGTCCAGCATCTTTCACTCAGCATAAAGTCTTCAAGGTTCATCCATGTTGCAGCCTGTGTCAGTACTTCATTCCTTTTTATGGCTGAATAACGTTTCATTGTATGGAAAGACAACATTGTGTTTACGCATTCATCCATTGATGGACATTTGAGTTGTTTCATCTTTTGGTTATTATGAATAATGCTGTTATTGACATTTGTGGACAAGTTTGTGTGTGAGTGTGTTTCTGGTGTTAGTGTTCCCCCAGCCTCGTGGGGAGGTCCCATCCCTCTTTGAAGTCCACCATCTTTGGGGTTGTCCCTGACAGAGCCCAGGTCTCTGGCCAAGAGAGAAGGGTCTGAACTGATGTAGGGGGCCCGTGCTCTGGGTCCTCTAGCTCTGTGTCCCATTGCTCTGCATCCCCATGGGGGTGGCCAGAGCCAGGCAGGCCAGCAGGAGCTGAGGACGCTGGCTCAGCCCTCATCAGATGCACAGTTTGTAGCTGATTTACCACCAAAGGGGTTCACAGCGGTTTTGCCCTCGGAGCTGGCCAGGCGGGTGGTCCTCTGGTTTCTGCGTGCTTTCCCGTTCTCTCTCTGGTTCTACCTGACTGAGCCCCCACCCTGCTTCTTCCTGCATCGCAGGACCTTTCTGCTCAGGTCTCTAGTCTGTCCTCTGCGTGGACACCTGAGAGAGCTTCTCCAATGCCATTCCACATGTGCTCCTCTGACCCCAGCGAGAACCATCAGGACAAAGACCCCGCCGGCCCTCCAGCCTGGCCCACTGCCCTCCTTCCTGTTTCCTGACTGCTCCCTGCTTCCTTCTGCCCTCGGCCTTTGCCCATGCTCTTCCCTCTGCCTAGCCTGCCCTTTCCTCCCTTTTTGTCTCGTCGACTCCTCTTCAACGTCTGGTTCTCAGCTCAAGGTCACTTCCTTACCTGATCACTCCAGTCGCTTTCTTTCTTACTGCTCTCAGTCATTCATTTGCAAGTATTTACTGAGCACCCGCTATGTTCCTGGTCTAGCTGCTGGGGACACAGCAGGGGATGGACAGACCGGGTCCTTGCCCCTGGGCAGTTGACATGCTGGAGGGAGACATGATAAGCACAACTAAAACGTGTGCTGTGTCACATTTGACGCAAGCTAGGGAGCAAAACAAGCCGGGGCAGGGGCGGGAAAGACCAGGGCAAAAGTCAGGGAGAGCCTCATAGGGAAGGTGAGATTTGAGCAAAGGCTAGAAGCACTGAGGAAGGGAGCCATGTGGAGAGTGGGGAAGAGTACCCCAAGGCAGAAGGGCAGCAGGTGCAAAGGCCCAGAGGCAGGAGCATGCCTGGGGTGCTGGAGGAACAGCAAGGAACCCACTGTGACCAGCATGGAGTGAATGAGGGCATAGGAGATGAAGTCAAAGAGGAGATGAAGTCAAAGAGGCAGCAGGGGATGCCTGGAGGACAGAGGGAAAGAACAGTAAAAGGAGCCCCGTACACCCGACTCCCAGCACGCACCCAACCCACAGCGTGCACCTGACCCACAGCGTGCCCCTGACCTCCAGTGTGCACCCGACCCCCAGCATCAGCAGCCCCAGCTTGTGGTCCAAGTCCTCTACCTCGTTTTCTCTCCTCAGCTCCCCACAACTGGAAGGGTTTAAGGAAAACCCTAGACAGCTTGTTATTTCACCCACACATGACTGTGTATCTCCAATCAATAGGGACTTCTAAAAAAAAACCATGGTGCCATTATCACCCTGAGCAAAATAAACAATTGCTCAGTGCTGTCTAATACCCTGCCTGATTCAGATTTCTCAAATTGTTTTAAAAACATTTTCCAGCCAGGCTGTGGGGGAAACTTCTGGGAGCTGTGACCACAGGAACGGGAGCAAGTTTGCGCTTTCCTTCAGGGCCACCATTGGTGGAAGCTGGTATCAGCCTTATGCCCGTGTGACAGTTGACAGCACAGCCACCTCCCCCTCCAGAGCTTAAGCTTCAAGGGAGTCAGGGGCTTGCCTCTTTCTGCCCACCTGGCCACCAACCTCAGCGCCTGGCCAGGGAAGGGATTAAGTTAGCGTGTGGTGGAAAGGTGAATGAGTGGATGAATGAATAAGTGAATGTATGACTGACTGCCAAGGCCATTTCAGGGTGCTCCAGCAGTTGGGAGAAGCACATAGGTTCAGTGGCTCCATGTCCCCGCTGTCAGCCTCCCTGCCCCTCACGCTGTGGTTGGGGTTACCCAATTGCCTCACCCCAGGTCACAGGCCACAGTCCCCACTAACCTAGACTCTGGGACAGGCCTGCCCAAGGCAACCCCTGCCCCGTAGTCAACCTAGCAGCCTGCAGGGAGGTCACTTATGAGAGAGAGGCACCCAGAATGCATCTAGGAGAGGCTGCACTGTGTGGTGCTGCACTGTGTGGGGCTCGACTATTCCACCTCCAAATGGGTTTGCTACTTTAAATGCCCCAGTTTACAGGGGAGCAAAGCTGAGACCTGGCCCCAGGCCCCCCATGCCAGTGTGCAGTGGGTCCATCTGCTAGCCACCACCATATGGGCTCCCTTCATGTTTGAGGGTGTGTGTGTGTGCGCTTGTGTGCCGGGAAGTATGTGGGCAGGACTGTGTGTGAAGGGCTATCTGTGCATATGTTGTGTAGGGATGGACGGCATGAGAAGCACCTGTGTGTGAGCATATGTGTCATGCATACCTGTGAGGGAGTGTGTGAGTGTGCGCACAGGCGTAAGAGTGTGTGCTTTGAGTGTGCTGATGAGTGTGAGGGTGTGAGCCTGTGGGGGGTTGCATGGGGCCATGCCTGGGGAGGTTGTGTATGTGTGAGCACATGGTGGGATGTGACTGTGTGCAGGCCACACAGGTTACTGGGGGGGTAGGAGCCTAGAAAGAGATGAATCTGGGGTGAGGGGCTGTGTGTCCACAGTTCTCGGGCTCCTAAGATACCCCAAAGTTGGGCAGAGACCAGTTCATGGAGGGTCTTGAAAGCCAGGCAGAGGAATCTGGGCTTTAACCTCAGGAGCCATAGACAGCATCTAAGCAGTTGTAACCTGGCAAACACTGAGTTTCAGAAGGCCCCCAGTATAGACCAGAAAACCTCTCTCTGGCTTGAGTGGAAACCTCTCTTCCTGTACCTCCCAGGCTGCATTCCAGGGGCCCTGTCCTATGGGGTGCACCTTTTCCCTGCCATCCCCTCCATGTCAGGCAGGAATATTTGCTTGAAGTCAGTGCATCCAGAATGACTTAAAGAATGCACCAAAAAGAAAATACCTCAAATGTTTACAGAAAAAAAAAAAAGCCATTTTTTCTGCTCTTTCATCTGAGTCGCCCAGAGGTATACAGCTGCAGCTGGCTGAAATGCAGCTTTCTGCTAAGATGGATCGACATGGGGAGGGAGAGGAGGAGCAGGAGGAGACTGAGAAGGAGGAGGAAGAGCAGGAGAAAGAGTAGGAGGAGCCTGAGGAGGGGGAGGAGGAGGAAGAGCAGGAGAAGCTTGGGAAGAAGGAGAAGCTTGAGAAAGAGGAGGAGCCTGTGAGAAGGAAGAGTGGGAGGAGCCTGTAGAGGAGGAGGAGTGGGAGGAGCCTGTGGAGGATGAGGAGCAGAAGGAGGAAGAGTAGGAGAAGCTTGGGAAGAAGGAGAAGCCTGTAGAGGAGGAGGAGCCTGCAGAGGAAGAGGAGGAGCAGGAGGATGGGAGCAAGAGGAGGAGGAGGGGGAGAAGGAGGAGCATGAAGAGCAAGAGAAGGAGAAGGAGGAGCAGGAGGAAGAGCAGGAGGATCTTGAGGAGGAGGAGGGGGAGCAGGAGGAGCCTGAGGAGGAGGAAGAGGGGGAGGAGGAGGAGGAATATCATCAGGAGCAGGAGAAGCAGGAGCAGGAACAGGAGGGGAGCAGGTGGTGGCAGCTCTGGATGGGAGCCTGTAGCACCTATCCTGGTGTGGGTATCCACACTTATTGTCTCCCGGGGTTGGGGGTCCAAGGCTGCCTGCCCGCTGACCTCCACGTTGTCTTTATTCAGTGCCTTGGAAAGGGTCCCTGGTTTGGACATTTGCAAGCAGGACAGGTCCTGGGCGGGACTCTGGGGAGATACACCTATAAGGCAGTGAGGAAGGCAGCCCTGGGCATCGAGAGAAGTTGGCCAGTGATGCAGCAGCCACAGGGACTTATGCTGGTCCCATGAGAAACCTGGAGCTGGGTTAGCCCCATGGAGGCAGGGAGATGGGCCTTTGTACCCAGCACCAACCAGTCTTTGGCTGGGGGGCTGCCCAGGGAGGGGGAGTGGTCTTGGGTGAGACAGCTCCCATCAGGGGAGGGCAGTGCCTAGGGAGGAACTCAGCTGCTAGCCATCAGCAGCAACACTCCCAGCAGCTGCAGAGGGAGTGTCTGGTCCTGAAGGACAGATCCCAGTGGCATGCGACAGTGTCCACTACACAAGCCAGCCCAAGTGACCATCACCGAGGGAGCAAGGCCATCCTAGCCCACCCACCTTCCTTCTGTTCGGCCACATTACAGCTCTACAGCCAGATTGCTGGACTCCAATACCAGTTCCATGCTTCCTGACTGTGTGACTGTGGTCCGCACTGCCACCCCTTGTCTCCCCAGTCTGCTCATCTGTGAAATGGGCTGATGATGGTCAACCTTCCTCATAAGGTTTCTGTGTGCATTCGTGTCAGGCACTGGACACCGCAGCTACCTCGGAGGCAGCGGCTTTTATTAGAGGTGGGCATGGATCCTGCCCTTGTGCCGCTCAGTCTGCTGAGAGGTTTGGGCATACACGTAGGAAGAAGTGACACTGAGCAGCTTGGGCTTGAGGCCGGCATTGAGCCCTAGGCCGAGAAATTGTCCTCACTCTGATCCTGACACCAACACCAACATTTCCTGCAGAGCCTTGAACAATGGCACAATCCTACATAATCACAGTAGTGATTATGAGCGCCTCCTTCCCCTGGAACTCCACCTTCGGTCATTTAACCCAGCTGCTGCATCACCAGGTGTGTTCCATTGAGCCCATGTCATGAGGAGACAAAGCTGGAGCTCAAGGAGGGACTCACTTACCCAGTGTGCCCACCAGAGTCTGGGAGATGGCGTAGTCAGGGGTGACAGAGGCAAGTTTAGGTAAAGGATGACTACAGGGATGTGGGCAGGATTTAAGGAATCCTAAAAAGGCCTTAGGGCTGGCAACATTGGGGAGCTCTGTCTGCCCTGGAGGGCAGTGTTAGTAGAGAAAGTGTGGCTTGGGGAAAAGGGGCCTCCTGGCAGGCGCTGTGGTTCTAGGCAGAGGGAGACAGTCACAGCCACCATGTGGTCCATGGACAGGGAGTCCAGGGTGTAAAAGTCCTGCCTGTATCTTCTCCTGCCCTCCAGTCCCTGTGGGATCACCCACTGGGAAGCTGGAGGGCAAGGAGGGACACAGCTCAGCCTCCCAGGGTAGAGCAGGGGTGAGCAGCAGCCAGGGACACCTTCTGCCACACACAGAGGATGATGGACCCGTGTTTCACTTGGTTGGTGCAGGGTGGGTGCTTGGAGACAAGAAACATGAACAGATGGGGCATGGGGCACAGGAGAGGAAGCCAGCGGAACTTGGTGACCATCTCCTGCCTCAAGTCTCTGGAGTCTGACCCAGGCATGGCTTTCTGTGAAAACTAAGCCATCAGCCCTCCAGCCTGAGGTTGAGGGGCCTCCACATCCAGCAAAGCTCCCACCTGCTTTCTGTCCATCTTTTTGACCGGGGCCCACCTTTACCATGTGATCAGCTGGCTTGGATCTTTTTGGAGGAGGTTCAGGAACGAGCCTCCTGCTTGGGGGAGGGTGGCTGGGGTCTGAGCATGGGAGATAGCAGTACCAGCAATGTGGATGGGAGAAGACGCTGCGGGGACCAGGAGCACATTGTGTGAGGGGAGAACAAAGGCAGCCATTGCAGGGGCTGCTTAAAGATGCCCTGGGGTTGCCATGCCAGGCAGCAGCAGCACAGACATGCCTCCAGCGCTGGGAGGGTGTTTGCAATAGGACAGGGGTTCTGGGGTGAGTTGACCTGGGTGTTGGAGAAGGCAGGAGAAAGGATGAAGGGCTGGGGCTTCAACAGCAGGGCTCCCAGGAACTCCTAATGACCTCTGGGGGAAATGGTCACTTCCTCTCATCTCTGCACCTGCTGCACTGCACAGAAATGGGCTTTCACTCCAGGGACTTCTGGGAGAGTGTGGACAACTTCAGCCAACCTGCTTCTCTCCTCCCCCTGCCCTCCTTGTCTCCCTCTGTCCCCGTCTTTTCTCTCCGAGATCCCCCTGTGTTGCCTTCATTGGTAAGGAAAACTGAGACTCAGAGAAGGAAAGGGACTCGCCTGCAGGCACATAGCAGTGTACAGACAGAAGCAGGACCTCCATCCGATGGCTCCTTCCGCCCCACAGCGCCGCTCTCCCTGCCCTGCCCTTCTAGCCCTGTGCGCACTCATCCCAGCATCCACTGCTCAAAATGAGAAAAGTTCCCACAGGCTGGGCGCCAGTTCTGTGAGATACCTGGTGCCAGGCCGCAAAGAGCCTTCTCCTATTTAATCCCCACTGTTCCCTTTGAGAGGACTTGTCCCTACTTTACAACGAGGAACAAATCTCTTAGGATGCATTTGGTTGCAAGTAACAGAATGCCTTACTAGTACCAAAAGTGGTTTTGATGATAGGAGTTTGTTTTTTTCCTGCAAAATAAAAATCTGGATATGGTTTCTTTCAGAAGCTCAACAGTCTTTTCTTGGGCCCCAGCTCTTTTCACCCTTCCATTCTGCCATTGTCACCTTGTCAGCCTCATAGGTCTTGCCTAATGGTCACAAGATGACTGCCTAAGCTCCAGGAATCACATTCTTACACCACAGCATCCAAAGATAGAAAGGGAGAAGTTGCTTTTCCGGGTCTCTGTTTTTTTCAGGCGATGTGTTATGCTTTCGGCCTCCGTGGTCAGAGGTAGGCCAGCAGCAATGAGGAAATGGAGAGCCAGAGAGTGTGCCATGTTCCCTTGGGCCATTTCTGCCATCACCAGCATGTGGTGGCAGGGATGGGATTTGAACTGAGCTTCTTGGGTGACCTGACTCTGCCACAGTGCCTGCCCTTCTGCTTCAGGCTGCCTTTGGCCACATCATACTTTCGTGGAGACTGATTCTGGTTGCCCAGGTCACTGCTTATAACCTGAGGTACAAGTAGTCCAGAACTGACCACTCCCTGCAGAGGAGCCAGGCTGGCCAACCTCAGAGGGGTTTCAGAGGGGAGGAAGCAGCAGATACTCAACGAGCCCAGAGTCTCGAGCTCCAGCCCTCGAGGTCCTGGCCTTCCAAAGGCCTTTTTAGGCAAACCAGTCCTTGGCTCCCCAGACCTGCGCCATGCCATGTGTGGCTTAAAACCCATCAACTTGGGGCTGGCTATCTGTTTTACAAAGGGCACCTCCACCACCCAGATGAAAGGATTTCTGTTGCAGTTAGGGTACTTTAAGTTGTAATGGGTAGAAACCCAACTCAAGCTTGCTTAAGAGCAAAGGGTATTCATTAGTTCCTGGAACACAGTGGTCTTGGGTTGATGAATTCAGGTCTGGCTTGATCCAGGGTGCAAATGATATTCCCAGGACCCAGCTGCATGCACCCCTTCCTTGCCCCCTCTCTATTTCTCAGCTCTGCTTTCCTAGTTGATGCCATCCTCTGGCCCCATGTGGTTGCACGATGCCTGTCCACAGCTCTGGCCCCTGCATTCCCTCCTGTTCGTATCTGGTGGGAGATAACCAACAGCTCTTGTCTTCTGTGTGCGCAGAATCCCCAGGACTCACTTCAGTTTGGCCCTGACTGGTCTGAGTCACCCATCCTTAGCAATGACCAGTGGGGCTACTTCAGTTTCGGGGGCTAGGAAAGGCCTCATTGAGGACTCTCTGTTTGCAAAGCTCCAAGGTCTCACTGGGCTTGCTAGAAAACAAGGCACCAAGATAAGGACTGGGGTTGGGTGGGGCTGGGACAGGTGGCTCTGTGGAGGAGGTGGCACTGTGGAGGGCTGTAGAAGGCTGGGTTGGGCTGGGCCTGCGGAGATGAATGGGGGCACATTCCTGGAGTAGGGCAGCGCAGGATCGATCCTGGAGCGCCCAGTGCTTCAGAGTGCCTGCCATGGGTGCTGGGGGCAGGGATGACAGCAAGCAGTGTGTTCAACGCTGGGAAGCCTTTGGTTTTTAAAATTCGATGCCCCTCAGAATGCTATGGAGGGTGGCAGACACTTCCAGTCATAGGAGCACCATGTGGCATGGACCCTGTGGGAGCCAGAGGTTGCTGTCTGATGTCCCCTCCCAAGGATCCTTCCTTCTTCCAGGAAGTTCACCCCTAGGTCCCCTGGGCAGCCCGAGGGTCTGGGACAGGCCCAGAAGCACCAAATTCGATAGTATCTATTTGGCATTATGAATCAAGGAATTTTCTGGAGCCAAGTTTCTCCCCAGTCCCCTCCCAGGCCTGAGAACCCCACCCTGAGTAATTCCGGGCTCTGGGCAGCACCTGGTACATTGTTGGCACTTCCTGGGGGACCTGTCAAAAAGAGATTGATTTTTCTCCCTCCAGTGGTGCAGAAAATCCTTCCTGCTGCTCCAGACAGGTTTGGGGCATGGCTGGCAGGCAGAGGAGGCTCTGGATTGCAGCCCCACCCAACCTGGTGCAGGAGTCCCCTTTACAGACCCCAGCTGCTGCTTACATACATTCCAGGACAGGGAGCTCATTACCTCACCAGCAACCCTCTTGAACCCTGGTGAGCTTTGTTGGGGAGGTTGCCCTCTGACTGAGCAGGAATCTACTGCTCTCTGACTCCTGCCAACAACTGGGGTCCCAGCTCTGTGCTCTGGGACACAGTCCTTCCTGCTCACTCTGTCCTGGGTCAGGCCTGCAGACCCTGTGGAGTAGTGACTAGGGATCCCAGAAACTACCTTCTCCAGGCTGAACAGCTCCAGCTCATTCACTGTGGGTCCTCCAGCCCTCTCCTCTAGACATGCTCTGTTTCTTTCCATCTGCTGAGGCATAGTCCAGTTCTGAAAACTGTATAGGAAGACCATCCCCTTCTTTATTGTGGGCATTAGGCCTTAGTTAATATGGCCCCAGAGTGTTGGCTTTTCAGTAGCCTCCTAGCTCATATTGAACTTGTGGTCAATTTCAATCTTTCTCAGTCTCTCCCATACTGTGATTTTGCAATCAATTTTTTAGATATCAAAAATTGTAGATGTTTAGCCCTCTTCTGGCTGGTTTCAGCCACTGTTTTATTCTGTGGAAGGGACTGAAGTCTGCCTGGCCCTGCACTCACATTATCCTCTGTAGATGCCTGAGCTGACTGGAGTCAGATTTCGGTAGCACCAAAAGACCCTTTTACTCCCCAGATTCCCCTCTTTCTGGCCACTCACCATGCCTGAAATGTCCTCATTATGTGCTCAACATGTGCTCTTCCTTAAGCCTGCTCCCTCTTTCAGTTCTCTGTGTCTGTTTCCCAATCTGAAATGCCTTTTCCCCATCTACCTGAGTTTGGCCAGTTCTAATTTATCCCTCCCGTTATCTGACTCCAGCTCAGCCCTGGCCTTCTTGGGGGAGGCTTCCTTGAGATGCACACAGGAGCATCTCACGGGTTCAAGTTTCCTTCTCTGTTGCTTTCACTCCTTCATAGCACTTACCAATGTATGATTAGATTCAGGGGAATTATTAATTCCACAGTTACTTCTGGTTTGGAATCACAAGCTCAGAGGTGGCAAGGACTGCAAACTCAGGGAAGGTGGGGACCGGAAGCTCAGAGAAAACCGGAGCAGCACCTCCTTGTGTCATAGTCTTCCTGGGAACTCCCCAGCAGGGGTGACGCCAAATACCACACAGTAGGTCCTCACTGTGAAACAGGTGCATGAGTGAAAGCCTACGTGGACAGACATGCCCTAGGTCCTGTTCCCCTTGCAAACACCGGGCAGCACCGCTTGCACACAAGGCTCTTCATCAGAGGCGGGGGATTTCAAGGTGAATGACCTGGCCCGAGGAGTGTGGCCGGTGGGGTTCTCTGGAAGCAGAGGCTGAGATGGAGTTTCCGGTCCCAGCTATTTATTGGGGATCTGTATAAAGGAATAAAGGGGAAGAGGAGGAGCAGGCTTGGGCAGATAGAGGACTCACACTTGGATGCTGGCCCAGCAAAGCCTTGATGGGGAGCACTGGACTCGGTCCTGCCCATTATGTTGGACTGCCTCTGGCTAAAATGGCCAGACCTTTATACCCTTGCCTCTCTTGGTCCCCAGATGCAGGGCCCCACACCCTGAAGGATCTGACAGCTGGAGGCTATGCACTAATCACACTCCCAGGCCAGTGGTGTGTTGGAACCCACTCCTATGGGCTGGAAGACCCGCTACTAAATATTCAGGATTTGTCAATTGTTAAACTGCTGGTAGCTTAAAGTCAGCCATGGTGGGAACATTTAATTTATTCCTCAGAAATTGGGAAACACTACGTAACAGGGCTTTTTGTTTTTTCTTTCGAGAGCCAGTTTGAGCAACATACCACTACATGTAGCTATGAAGCAAGTCCTCCCTTGGAGGGCAATTGGCCTGGGGGAATGCTGACGTATAGGCAGGTCATCACAGTGCTAAGGAGACAAGGACTCTAACAGCACAGGCCAGCCATGGAAACCATGAGGGAGTCACTGTCTATCCTGACAATCAGGGAAGGCTTTGTGAGGAGCTGACTTTTTTCCTGACATGGCAGAATATTCAAACACTACAAAAGACAATCCCATGAAAAGTAAGACTCCTGTTTGTCCAGCTGGTCCCCTGGCACTGGTGTCCTCCCCAGAGACAGCTGCTCTTACCAATTCCCCTCATGTAATTCCAGAAATACCCTGTGCTCTTACAAGCATACATGGATGAGTCTTCTTTCTCATACAAACAAGCTCCCAAGCTGCAAGCCTTTCTACACCTTGCTTTGCTCTCTTAACCACGGACCTTGCACAGTGTCCTTGGTTAGTGAGTAAGAGCCATTTCATTCTCTTTAGCAGCTATAGGGCATTCCAACTCATAGATGTGCCGTAATTTACATAACCAGTCCCCACTGGTGGATCTTCAGATTCTTTTGGCCTTTGGATATTTCAGATAAGGTCCCTGTGAGGCTCTTTGACATCTTGCACAAGCACAAGCCTCCCCGCAGGGTACATATTCAGTAGTGGAATTGTTGGGCCATCGTCTGTCATGGTGATAAAGATTGGCCTTCCAGATAAGGAACAGCATGTGCAGGGCCAAGAGGCATGGAAGGGGTGAGCTTGCTCAAGCGGAGGCAGCTGCTGCGGAGAGAGCATGGGCCTGGGGGCCAGGAGGGTGGGGCTCGGCTCGGCCCTGCTGCAGAGGAGCCAGGTGTATCCACTGTGGTCATGGCTGGATGCCACAGGCACATTCAGACTGGGGAATTAAGGAGAGTTTAGAAAGAGACCACTGTCCAATGACCGATGGATGCGTGGATAAAATGTGGCATACCTGTACCATGGAGTGTTATTCAGCCATGAAAAGGAAAAGAATTGTAACACATGCTACAACATGCACAGACCCTGAAAACTTTATGCTGAGTGAAGGAAGCTAGAGACGCAAAATGCCACATACTATGTGATTCCATTTATAGAATAGATCTGTCTAGAACAGACAGATCTACAAAGACAGCAGGTAGATTAGCGGCTGCCTGGGCCTGGGACAAGGGGAAATGGGGAATGACTGCAATGGGTATGGAGTTTCTTTTGTGGGGTGACTAAAATGTTCCAGAATTAGATTGTAATGATAGTGGTACAATTCTGAATATACTAAAAACCATTGAATTGTACACTTTTGATGGGAGAATTGTGTGGTATGTGAATTGTACTGCAGTAAAGCTGTTTTAAAAAAGAAAGAGTTTGCTAATAAAAGGACAAAAGTAAAGGAATTCAAAGAGTTGGTGCAGCACCCTGGGGCTGGCTACACTGGGGAGTGGTTACTCCTTACGCCTGAAGACAGGGGAGGCTGAGCTGCTAGAATCCGGGGGCTGTATAGAGAGGACTTCCCAGCAGGAGCTGTGACCTTTGATAGGGTTGTGCAGACATCCTGAAGGGCCCAGCAGGGAGCAACCAGGGGGAATAACTCCCAGAACTTTCCTCCTGCCCTCCGATTTCCTGCCAGTGCCTTCCACAGGCCAAACCATCTGGAAGGGCCTACTGAGGCCAGACACCAGATTCACAGATTTACTTCCTCATTTATTTTTCTCATATATTGTGATATCTCAGCATCACAAGATGGCAAAATGGCAAACTCTAGCAGTTTCATGCAGCTGGTCTTTAACCTGCAACCCAGTGGTGCAGCCACTAATATAAAATACTGACATTCTGCCAGCTGCTCCAAGCCCCTTGATTGTCCCCCACCTTTGCCATGGCTTTTCCTTGAATCCTCTCAACTTCACCTATATCCAGCAATGGAGGGTTGATGCCTGGCTAGCTTGGCAGGGCCTGTGGGACCCTGAACATTCAACTGACAATTGCTCGGGCCTGGGGCATACTGCTTGTGGAGTGATTTGAATGCACCCCCTTGGTGAATTACCTTCTGGCATTTTCTGCGCACCGGCTGTATGCCAGGCACTGGGAAGCTGCATGGAGCCGTGTCATCTTAGAGCCTGAGCCTGAAAGCCCTCAGACCTCCTGACACTGAAGCACAGAGCCCAGGCTCTTCAAGTGGGGAGGTGAGCTCATAAGTCCCCTCGGGCAGCTCAGAAGCCTGGCCTCAAGCAGTAGGGTGCAGAGTGCAGCTTTGTCCCTCACACACTTCCTCTGCTATTGTCCCCTGCCTCGGGGAGAGGGCTGGGTGCCCATCTGGTGACCAGCCCTGGCCAGGCAGCTGTGATTATGCCTGGCTTAATGTGGACAGAATGCAGTCACTGCATCTCTCAAAATGCAGAGTGTGCAGGGCTAGCAGGCTGGATGTCACCTGATCGGAGCCCATTCAATACCACCATGGCGTCAGGCCATCAGTGGCTTCAGAAGAACAGGGAGGCCACATTCAGGGGACCAAGAGGGGCAGAAGGAGCAGTGACCCCCATCCAGGACACAGGAGCCATTTTCTGCACTAGGGCCATTGCTTAGGGCCCACCACGGTAGTAGCCCTCAGTATCACACACATGGAAATACATGCAAGCCTTGGTATTGCTTTCCCACAAAAACCTTCCAGGGGCTTCCCATTGCCTTTTTTAAGAAAACAACTTTACTGAGGTATAATTCACATGCCATACAGTGTCACCACTTAAAGTATGCAATTCAATGGCTTTTAATATATATTCACAGATATGTGCAACCATCACCACAATGAATTTTACATTATTTTCATCACCTCAGAAAGAAACCCGTACCCATTAGCCACCACTCCCCATTTCCCTTCTTCTCTGCAACCATTAATCTCCCATGTGTCATTATGGATCTGCCTATTCTAGGCATTGCATGTAAACGGAATCACACGATATGTGGCCTTTTGCATCTGGCTACTTTCACTTAGCATATAATGTTTTCAAGGCTCATCCATGTTGTAGCGTGTATCAGTACTTCATTCCTTTTTATGGCTGAATAACATTCCACTGTATACCTCATTTTGCTTATCCATTAATAGTTGAGGGAGTTATTCCGCTCACTTTTTGGCTGTTATGAATAATGCTGCTATGAGCAATCATGTACTCATTTTATTGTGGACATGTTTTCATTTCTCTTGGGCATACGCCTAGGGGTGGAATTGTTGAGTCACACATTCTGTGTCTAACATTCTGAGGAGCTGCCAGACTGTTTTCCAGAGTGGCTGCCTCCTTTCAGATGCCCACCAGCAGTGCAAGAGGGTTCTGATGGCTCCACACCCTCGCCGACACTTGTTATTGTCTTAGCCTCCTAGTGAGTGTAAAGGAGCATGTCGTTGTGGTTTTGATTTGCCTTTCCCTGGGGACCAGTGCTGCTGAACATCTTCTCATGTGCTTGTTGGCCATTGATTGTATCCATTGCATTTTTATAAATTGAGATATTGCTTATGTGAAAAAAGTACACAAAGCATCCCTGTTCACTTAAAAGAATAGTTACAAAGCATGATCCATGTAACCATAAACCATATCAAGGAGCAGAATATTGCCAGGACCCCCAGAAGACAGCTGGGTGCCCCTGGCCAACCACAGCCCCTCCCCGCCCTGGGAATAACCTTGTCTTGATATTGGTGGATGGGCTCCTAAACAATACTATCCAGTTTTGTCTGCCTTTGACCTTGATCCAAATGAAATCACTCTGTGGAAATCATTTCTGGCTTGCTTCTGTCCCTCCACACTGTGTTTCTGAGTTAGTCCCTGTCAGTGTGGCTTGCTAGAGCTGTTCATTGTCATTGCCCTATTGTGTTCCACTGAAATGCACACGCTGTGGTTTATCCACTCACTATGGATGGTCATCTGGATGGTGCCCAGGTCAGAGCGATTATGAACATTGCTGTGTGGACATTCTTGAACCTGTTTCCTTTGCACACACAGTGTGATTCTCTAGGGTATGTGTCTTGGAAATGGAAGGTCTGAGTCATAGGCATGTGCATCCTCAGCCTTAGTAGATACTGGAAAACGGGTTTCTAACATACGTGTACCAGGTTGGCATGCCTCCAGCAGTGTCTGAGGGCTCCAGGTGCTCCATATGCTTGCCAACACTCAGTATTGTCAGAATCCATTTTGAGCATCCCCCAGGTATCTCTGTCAAAGCCTCCAGCTCAACTGGGCCTGAGTGCATCAGAAACACCTGCCTCACTCTGCCCCCAATTGTGTCATCACACCTCCAAGCCTTTGCTCTTTCTCCTGCTTCTTAAGCCAAGGCAGTAAGGCAGGCTGGAGATTTGGGAACTATCCCCTCACTGACAACCTGTGTTGGGGATATCTGTGTTGTTTTGGGGACACAGATTTGTGGGACGCAGCCTGCATTTGAAGGGGCTGCTCATCCAGCATGGGCTGCGTGTGGGGGGGTCCTGGGAGACTGCTGCCTACAGGAGGTACTCTGTGATGCCAGGTGTTCTGGAACCAGAGCCTTCAACCAGCCAGTCCTGTTCCTGAACACTTTGGATGCCTGTGGCATCACTGGCTCATTTGATTGCAGATACTGAGGTTGAAATGTGGTGGCTCTCCCTCCCTGGTGGTTCTGTTGACCAAACACTGGTCACCTCTCCTGGAAGGAGAGCTCTTAGGGCTAGGAGGACCCTGAACATGGACCCAATTCTCAGAGTCAGGGACTTAATCTTGTCACCTCAGTATCCCCAGCATCTTGAACGGGCCCAGGGCCAGAGGCAAGACTAGCGAGTTTTTTGAATGTCTCATTCTCTTCCAGCACCCTGATTTTCTCAGAAAAGCTGGAATTGTCTTCACTATATGTTAGAGTTAAGGAAACTGAGACCTGGAGAAGAAGCATCACATGGGAACTAAGTGGCCAGCAGGCACTCAGTTCGCCCCTCAGCTCCAAGCCCCTTGCCTCAGAATGTCTCACAGACCAGCTCTGAGACTTAGTTTAGCCTCAAGGCTTTTTTTTTTTTTTCTGTAAAAAGGAGTCAATCATACTAGCTTCATGGAATTAATAAGATGCCATACATAAAAGCATGGGCCCAGTGTGTGTGCAGGGGGTTAATAAATGTCCACTCACTTACCCCTTCCTCCATTCATTCTTTCATGATATAACAAGCAAAAGCAATTTGACAGTCTGAATGAAGGAGAATAAAAATGCTCACACATGGTGAACCAGCAACTGTGCTCACTTGGGAAATCCCCATCTCTGTGCCTGTACACAGTAGGAGCTCAATTCATGACTTAGGATGGTGGAGGAAGGGAGAGAAGCTTTAGTCCCAAAGATATTTCTTTATAGTTGAAAAAGGAAGAAAGGGGTGGAGGGAGGAAGGAAGGAAGAAAAGTGAGAGAAAGAAATAAAAACAATTTTTTAAAGTACACTGAAAATAACCTGAATATGCTGTACTCTGGGTGTTGGGTAAAATGTTGCCTTCTCTTATTGCTAGGCTATTCTAAAACAAAGGTAAGCAAAATATGGCTCATGGCCCAACTCCAGTCCACTGTCTTTGTAGGTGAATAAAGTTTAAATGAAAAACATCTGCCATTCAATTCTTGAACTTCATATAAATGGAATCATAAAGTATGTCCTCTTTGGTGTCCAACTTCTTTCCCTCAACATTACCTCTTAAAGATCCATTCTTTGTGCATGTGTGAGCAATTCATTCTTTCTCCTTGCTGTATAGTATTGCATTGTATGAGTACAGTTAGGCACTATCGTTATCCCCCTTCTACATATGGGGAAACTGCTGCACAGAGGGCTGAAGTGGCTTGCACAGCACAAAGGCTGGAATGAGAGGGCCTAGAATCCAGGTCTGAGTTTCCTACACCAGAAAGAAAAAACTAAAGCCAGACCCAGATAGGTGGGGCAGGGGTGGGGGGCGGGGGGGAGCTGGGGGCTGCACTTGGCCTTGGCGTGCAGTGACCTGTGCTGTGCTCTTCCCCGCCCTCCCCTGCAGATCCTGGAGGAGAACATGAAGCTGGAATGTAAGTGCCACGGCGTGTCAGGCTCGTGCACCACCAAGACGTGCTGGACCACACTGCCACAGTTTCGGGAGCTGGGCTACGTGCTCAAGGACAAGTACAACGAGGCCGTTCACGTGGAGCCTGTGCGTGCCAGCCGCAACAAGCGGCCCACCTTCCTGAAGATCAAGAAGCCACTGTCGTACCGCAAGCCCATGGACACGGACCTGGTGTACATCGAGAAGTCGCCCAACTACTGCGAGGAGGACCCGGTGACCGGCAGTGTGGGCACCCAGGGCCGCGCCTGCAACAAGACGGCTCCCCAGGCCAGCGGCTGTGACCTCATGTGCTGTGGGCGTGGCTACAACACCCACCAGTACGCCCGCGTGTGGCAGTGCAACTGTAAGTTCCACTGGTGCTGCTATGTCAAGTGCAACACGTGCAGCGAGCGCACGGAGATGTACACGTGCAAGTGAGCCCCGTGTGCACACCACCCTCCCGCTGCAAGTCAGATTGCTGGGAGGACTGGACCGTTTCCAAGCTGCGGGCTCCCTGGCAGGATGCTGAGCTTGTCTTTTCTGCTGAGGAGGGTACTTTTCCTGGGTTTCCTGCAGGCATCCGTGGGGGAAAAAAAATCTCTCAGAGCCCTCAACTATTCTGTTCCACACCCAATGCTGCTCCACCCTCCCCCAGACACAGCCCAGGTCCCTCCGCGGCTGGAGCGAAGCCTTCTGCAGCAGGAACTCTGGACCCCTGGGCCTCATCACAGCAATATTTAACAATTTATTCTGATAAAAATAATATTAATTTATTTAATTAAAAAGAATTCTTCCACCTCGTCGGGATCCGTTTTCTGCAATCAAAGTGGACTGCTTGCTTTCCTAGCAGGATGATTTTGTTGCTAGGACAAGGAGCCGTGTAGAAGTGTACATAACTATTCTTTATGCAGATATTTCTACTAGCTGATTTTGCAGGTACCCACCTTGCAGCACTAGATGTTTAAGTACAAGAGGAGACATCTTTTATGCATATATAGATATACACACACACATTTTTTTTTTTTTTTTTGCTGTTTGCTGCTACTTATCCAGAAATTTAAGCTGGTCCAGATTTGGAGACGTTTTTTCCAGAGTATGTTTTCCATCCTTTTGCCCTCCCCAGTTCAAACTTCACCATTAGAAAAATCCAGTTTGGAATAAATAGAGAGGAAAAATAATAAATTCCCAGCAGTTTCCATCTTTCGGAAAGTGAGCCACCGGATAAGAGAGAATATTTTGTAAGAGACTATTTTTATATGAATATTTTATTTATATCGAGTCTACTGTATCATTCCACGGCCTGTGCTTCTTCTTAATTCTGGTACTCACTTAGGGGTAAGGAGGGGCGATGCCTGGTTGTGGCGTCAGGCCCCATGGGGCCCCTTGCACAGCTGGATTCTTGAGTTCTGTTTGCCAAGTGGGCACAAGCTGCCCCTGGATGCCTGGGGTTGAGGCATCATCTCATCCATGTTAGCCGGGAAAGAAATCAAATCCCCAGCCTCAGCCTGTTAAGCTCAGGCCTTTCAAGCAGGGCCACTGAGTGGTAGCTTCGAAATGAGTCACTGTGGTGGGTGGTCATCGTGCCCCTCACAGGGACTTGACCGTCATCCTGCAGCAGAGGCCAGTTCAGGGAGCCCCACACCTCACCAAGACACTAGCCATTGCCTGCGTGTCCTGGAAGGTGAGATGTAGTCCTCAGGTGAGGTGACCCAAAGCAGATGGGGTGAGGGGCCGATGAGCAGCCGGGCCCAGCGGGGCTTCCTGGATATCCTGCTCCCAAGGCCAAGCAGCAGAGAGAGGTTCAAGTGAGGCCACTTTGCTTTGGGTCCAGCTACACCCAGAGCCTCAGCCTAGAAAGCTGTCCTCCAGCAGGCTGGGGGTGTTCTAATATGTGTCCGTTTGCATTTCCGGTGTGTGTGTGTGTGTGTGTGTGTGTGTGTGTGTGTGTGTGTGTGTGTACTGTATCTTCTTAGGGACTTGAGTGTAGTCACGTGACTTTGCGCCTTGCAGCGCCTCCGCCGTACTCGTGTGTGTATGTGTCTGTGTGTTTCCGTGCTACCCAAGCGTCTGTTTCTCTCCGTGTGCCTGGGAGATCAGGTCTCAGGCATGGAGCTGCATGCCTTTGCATCTGCTGCTCCCCAGAGTCTCTGCTTGCATGTGAGGGCTGGTGGTATGAGGCAGACAGCAGAGATTGTGTGTGATTGTGTTGAACCGCCAAGAGAAGGCACCTCTGAACTCTGTCCCCACACCCATGGGTGAAAACCAGACACCTCTGAGACCACAGCACAGCCCCATGGCCCCACCTGCTGGGAGCCCTTCAGTATCTAGGCTGTGTCTGACTCCTCAGTGTCCACACTGAGCCTGGATCACAGCATGGGCAAATAAAAGTGACTGGATGGTTGCATGGTTTCTTCCCTTGGACATTTTTTTCCATTTTTCTTTTACTTGGGTGTCTGGAGGAGTGGGCATGTGAAGGGGCCATGGAGTGAATGGATGGAGGGATGGATGAATGTGTGAGTAGGTAGGTAGGTGAATGGGTAGATGTGTGGATGGATAAGTAGGTGGGTGGGTGAATGGATAAATGGATGGATGGGTAGATGGATGGATGAAGGGATAAACAGATGGGTGGATGGATTGATAAGTGAGCGGATGAATGGATGAATAGCTAGGAAAGTGGGTGGGTGGATGAGGGTGGGTTGATGAGGTAGGTACACCTACAGATAGGTAAGTGAGCAGTTTCTTGGGAGTCCACAGGTCACATTTTATCTTTGCTTTGGAAAACCTAGCAGATCTGCCATGATCAGGATGGCTTCCCGACCTTGCAACCCTTCTGCTTCTGACCTCCTTGGCACCTGGGAATGGGGGAGATTCTGACCAGCCTCCCCAGATGAGTGTTCAATGATAGTTACATAAACACAGTCTCAGAAGAGTCATCCCTGTGTCCTCCCTCACTGTGGGTTCCCAGCTCTGGGGCCTGCCCTCTCTCGGGTGCCCTGTTCAGCTGTGCTCTGAGCCCCAGTTTCTCCACCTGTGAAATCAGAATAACACCTACCTCACAGGGCTGTTGTGAGGATCCTCCCAGTAATGACTGTATGGCACTTTGAGTTGCAAAGCAATGGATGAATGCTAAATATTATTATTAATTATTATTATCACTATTCTCTCCACAACTATGGGATTCTTCAAACATGGCTTATGGTAATAAATATTTGGTTCTGCATTGGGCAGAGGTATCCACCAGCCCCTTTGGTCTATTCCTAAAGTGGCTTTTCAAAAAAACTGACGTTACAAAGGCCAAAATCGTTAGAGGCTGAACCAAAAACATCAGAAAGCCCAGGACTATAGTGATGAGAAACCAAATGCCTGGGGTCTTGGCAGGAACCCAGTCTCAGAAAGTAAGCTGCTCAACACAAGGGCATTTTTGCCACATGGGAATGTGGGCCTCTTCATGGTCAGATCCTCTGATTTTTCAAGAAAGGACAAGCATCCAGGTTTTTAAGTAAAATATCCCACTTTTTCTGTACATTGACAAACACCATGAGGATGAAGCAAAACATGACTGTGGGCTGAACTTGGCCTTCATGCCACCAGCATACAGTCTCTGACTTGGACACATCTCTTGTTTTAGAACTGGAGAAACTGAGGCCCAGAGAGGGCCAGGGCTCAAGGCCACACAGCAAATTTGGCAGTGAGAAAACAAAGTCCAGGATGTGTGCCTCCCAGGGATGGCCTTGCACCAACATAGTGCACCAATGGAGGCAGCAAAATAATTTGAGGGAAACGGTTAAGAGGGATAAAGTTCCTATACACACACACACACACACACAGCCTCTGGACTTGAGTTTAAAACTAGCTCAGGGCTTCACGGAGCAGGAACTGGACTTTCCCAAAGGCCCTGAGGAGATGAACCAGTGCCTGAACCTCTCTGCAGAGGGTGCCCTGCCAATTGGCAAGGGAGCCCCTCAGCAAGACCTGAGTCAGAACAGACCTGGGGAGGCTTTTCCCACCAAAGGTCAAGACAGTCCTGGGGAGGCTTTTCCACCCAAGGGCAGGCACAGTCCTGAGGAGGCTTTTCCCACCCAAGGTCAGGACAGTCCTGGGGAGGATTTTCGACCTGAGGTCAGGACAGTCCTGGGGAAGCTTTTCCCACCTGAGGTCAGGACAGTCCTGGGGAGGCTTTTCCCACCTGAGGTGGGGCTGTCCCCTGCACACTTCAAGGCAAGTCTAAGACATGTTTCCTGAGACCCTAGGAAGCCTCTTGCTCCCACTTCACAAATGACAACCAGTCTCAGGGAAGAGAAATTACCTCTTCAAGGCCTCACCACCCAGAAGCAAGGGAAGGAAGGCTATAGTTTGGGCTGTCACACATCATCTGAGCCATCATCACCTGAGCATTCCACCACCTCAAACAGAGGCTTGAGGAAGATGGAGATAAGAGGTTCAGGCTGTGGACCACACAGGCTGTCCATGCCAGATGCAGATTGCCATTGTCAAATTCCTCCCCAACACCAGGCACATTCAACAGGCTGCCAAGCTCTGGCAGTTTCTCCCTGGGGCATCTCATGAGTTTTCTCACTGCCCATCACCTTCTTTGGCCACCATTGTCTCTTTCAGGTGAGAATCTGAAAGAATGCCAAGGCTTCCTCCAGGTCTCCCTGCTTCCACTCATACCCCATCAAGCCAGCCTCCAAGCTCTGGCCAGACCAACTCACACCATACCTACCACCAGCCATGGCTCCCCATTGTCCTGTAGGTAAAGTCCAAGTTCCTTATCCCACAGTGACCTTGCACCTGCCATGCTGGCAGCCTTTTGCACAGCAGTAGCAATGGTGCCACTTAGGAGATAAGCACTCTGCCAGATGAGGTTCTAGCAGTTCTCATGCCCTCTCTTTCATCACCACACCCTATTTGTCTCCAGCACAGAATTACTGTGGTCCCATTTCTCTGTACATCTTGTCCTTTGCTGTCTCCTCTGCCCAGAGCACTCACCTTTCCCCCACCTGACAAACTCTTCTGAAGACTCCTCTGAAAAGTCTGTTCATGCTGCTTCAGGGAGGATGAGACCCAGGGCCACCCACATGCAGCCCTTGCCCACATTCTTTTCCTGGCCTGCTAGAATCAGAACCACACTCCTTGATGGTGCTCCAGAGCCTGCTACAGGGCCCACCCACATGAAAATTCACTGACAGGCACAGGACTGGAACTCATGTCCCAGGCTCGATGACCAGGTTCCTTTCCTGCTTGGGGAATTGTGTCAGTGAGCTATGGCTGAATAACAAACTACCCCCAAACTAACTGCCTCCAGACACTATGGATTGATCTTTGCTCATGAGTGCATGGGTGCACCGGGCACTTCTGGTCTCAACTGGGCTCTCTCACACACCTATGGTCAGCTGTGGGTCAAGTAGGTGGCGCTGCTGAGCTTAGCAGAATCTTCCACATATTTTGGGGTCAGCTGTCTATAGGCTGCTCTAGGGTGGCTTCTGCTAGGACAACCAGGGTCTCTTCCACATGGTCTCATCCTCCAGCAGGCTGGCCCAAGCTGGTTTCCATCAGAGGGGAAGGACTCCAAAAGTGGGAGCAGATGCTGCAAGGCTTCTTGAGGCCCTGGCTTGGTACCATCACTATATTAGTTCTCCATGTCCTACTGGCAAAAGCAAGTCCAGGCCAGCCCAGATTCAAGGTGTAGGGAAGCAGATGCCACCTCTTCCCAGCAGGACCTGCCCAGCTACATAGCAAAGGGTGTGGGGAGAGGGAGGGGAATGATTTCCCAGAACTCAATCACGGAACAAAAGGAGAGCTCCTTAGCACTGATGCTATGGTGGGGACACAGCCATTCTGCTGTGTGGAGCCCTCGAGCCTCAGCTGCTCACCCTGCCAGTTGTGCAGTCCTGGAGTCAGTCATGGGTCTTGTCTTCCTCTACTCCATCCATCAACAAGTCCCATTGATTCAACCTCAACCTATACCCAAATCTGAGCTCTCTCTGTCTGCACAACCACCAGCCATTTATGGGGCTGAGTCTGGCTGGCTTTTTGCCACTCCCAGATCCTCTTATTCTGGGCCATGTGACTGGGTTCTGGATGATGGAGTAGAGGCGATGCACTCCACTTCCTGGCCCGTCAACACCCCCAACGCTCCTTACCTATGTGGGCCATGGGATGCCAGCTGTGAAGCCACAGAAGGAAGGGCTCTGGGTCCCTGACTGTCCACCTGGAGGAAAGTCAACCTGCTGGTCAGGAATATCCGCAGGCAGGAAATACACGGCTGTGGGATCTGGGAGTTCATTTGGTACAGCACAGAGCCCCTTTCTATCCAGGATCTAGCCTATCCCTCCTCCTTCTGTTCCTCTAACAAGCCAGCTTCCACACTGCCTCTGGGCCTGTGCACATGCTGCTCCCTCTGGTCATCGCATGGCTGACTCTTTCTTGTTAATAGGGCTCATGTCAAATGCCAACACTTCAGGACATACTCACAACTAACCTGGCTCCCAGCACCCCCTCACCCACTATTTTTGTTTCTTCGTGGCTCTTACCACTATCTGAAATGATGCTTCTCATTTGTTAGAGGCTATACAGTATAGTGATTAAGAGCATGGACCCTGGAGCCAGATGCCCTGGATTCACTCCTGGCTCTATTTACTGGCTGTGTGGTTTGGGGCAAATAACTTAACATCTCTGTGCTTGTACTTCATCATTAGTAAAATAGGAAGAGTAATGGGATTATCACAGTGATTAAATGAGTTAATATATGCAAGTTGCTAAACATAGTGCCTGGCATGCCGTGAGGGTGTGGAAGTGTGAGCTTTGCGTATTAATATGGTCATTAAGTTTCAAGAGAGCAGGACTTTGTCTGTCTTTGTGGCTGCTGGGTTCCCAGTGCCAGCACACAGTTGGGGTTAATAAATATTTGTTGAATGAGAATGAATGAGATCGGAGCCTGTTCCCAGACTCGCCAGGCCCCCTGCCTGGGCCCAGCCAGGCTCAGAGGCGGTGGGCTTGGGCAGGCGTCTGAGTGGAGGAGCTGGAGGACAAGCGGGGGGCCTGTCCTGAGGGCCGCCTGCTTGCCCAGGGGCCAGTGGGGGAGTGGACACAGATCAAGCCCCCTCGACGTGGTCACAGGCACATCTGCCCCATTGACAGGGCAGCCACCAGTTGCCACAACAACGCTTCTGGCCCTAGAAGAATGTGCTGGAGACAAAGGGAGAGCTCTGCAGCCACTCCCCAGCTTAGCCCCCGAAATGGCAAGCTGCCCTGACCCAGAGAAAGTGTCACACCACGCATGTGCAGTGCACACACAGACAGAGAGAGAGAGAGAGTCACTGAGCAAGAGACCCAGAAGGAGTCACACAGCCCCGGGAGTGAGCAGACGCTCACAAAAGGAGGGACAAAGCTCTGACAGACCCCGCGAGAGGCTTCAGAGACACACACGGGCCACCCCCAGGGGTAGAGGTCACATGCACATAAAGCACACCCATCCAGACCCAGGCCACAGACCAGGGCTCAGGGAGGCCCGGGCAAACCTGTCTCACCCAGGCGCCCGTGGCTTGACCTTCATCATTCACCTGCAGTCCCTGCACCTGCCTGGCCCAGTGTGTGCATTGCTGGGGGCTGGTAGGCAGGCGGGTGAGGGTGTCTTGGGTGCACGGTGATAGGGTGGACTTGGGGATGTGTAGGTTGGAGAGAGACCCAATGCCACCTCCCCTAAGAGGCCATATCAGGCAAGAGGTACTTCAGCATGAAGAGAGACAACCTCTGAGGCCCAAGAGAGCACCCTTCTGAGGCTCCCTCCTGCCTCACGCAGAGCAGCATGCCCCCTGCACAGCCCCCACTCTTGGCCCTTCCACCCTCTGAGCCAGAGCGTCCTCACTGTAAAGTGCAGGGAAGTCCCATGCATGCCTCCCCAGTGCTACTGGATCAGAGAGCAGCTGCAAATGCACACCATCAACTAACCACGCCGCCACCACTAGATTCTGCAAGCCTGGACTCAGCCCCAGGCCCAGCAGGTGCCAGGAGGGCATCAGGGGCTGGAGAGGCCCCTGCCTGAAATAGACCTTAGACAGTGATTCTCTAAGTGAGGTCCTAAGATGTCTCTCAGAGGATCAGGAGAACAAAAGGCCAAAATTATTTTCATAGCAGTAGGAAGATATTTGCCTTCTCACACTCATGCTCTCACAGGTGTACAGTGGAGTTTCCCAGGGCTACACGTGGTGTGATATTGTAGCAGAATGAAGGCAACAGTGGATGTGAGAGTCCAGCTGACTTCTATTAAGCCAGGCAGTGAAGAGATTTGCAAAGATGTAAAACGAGGTCACTTCTCACTTTCATATTATTTTATTGGTTTTAAAACATAGAGCTATTTTTCATGAAAAATGTATTATTTATGTAAACAAAATAGATTCGTTAACATTTTCAAATGAATTAATACATAATTTTTTCACAGCTTTAATTTCTACTATTGTAAATATGGACAGATACGACAGACCTATACACAACAGCTCAAGGCCTGCACTAATTTTTCTAAACGTTAAAGGGTCCTGAGATCCAAAACTTGAGAACTGCTGCCTTAGACACCCTGCTAGCAAGTAATTATAGTTCCCCTGATCACCCTAATTTAGTAAATAATAAAAACAAGGAGCACATACTCAGGTCTTCCCCATGCATCAGGCCCTGTTCTGAGGGCATTAGAAGAGTTACTGCATGGAATCCAGCCCTGCAAAGTAGGTGCTATTAAGATACCTGCACACACATGTGTATAGCAGCACAATTCACAAGTGCAAAAATATGGAACCATTCCAAATGCCCAGCAATCAACGAATGGATAAAGAAAATGTAATATAGATATATACACCATGGAATACTACTCAGCCATAAAAAGGAATGAAATAATGGCATTTGCAGCAACCTGGATGGAATTAGAGACCGTTATTCTAAGTGAAGTAATTCAGAAATGGAAAACCAAACATTGTATGTTCTCATTAATAAGTGGGAGTTAAGCTATCAGGACACAAAGGCATAAGAATGACACAATGGACTCTGGGGGCTCAGGGGAAAGGAAAGACTGCACGTTGGGTACAGTGTACACTGCTCGGGTAATGGGTGCACCAAAATCTCAGAAATCACCACTAAAGAATTTATTCATGAAATCAAACACAACCTGTTCCCCAAAAACCTATTGAAATAATAAATAAATAAATAAATAAATAAATAAATAAATAGAAACTATTAAATTTATTATTTAAAAAAAATATGGAGGAAGAAACGAAGGCTGAGTTTCCAGCAACTTGATGAGGTCATGGGCTTGGAAGTGGCAGAGTCAGGACTCAAACCAAGGCAGTCTGAAGTGAGGCCATCCCCGCCCACCCCACCCCAAACCCCACCAGCTCCTGTCTCTCCCTGTGCCTAGGAATGCCCAGTTATATTAGAATTTCTGATAAGCAACAGTAACAAAATATAGTATAAATATGTTTCAAATATTACACAGGACATACCTATACTAAAAATCATTCATTTGAATTTCATCTGAACTTCCCATTTTCACTGGTGTCCTGTATTTTTATTTGCTAAATCTGGCAACCTTAACTGTGCCAGGCTGCTCTGGATGCTGAATAAGATAGGCAGGCCCCCGCCTTCTAGACTTCTGGTCCAGGCAGGACTGCCCAGTTCTTTCCAGCTGTGGACCCTGCAGCCAGTGCCTCCACCTCTCTGAGCTGCAGGGGGAGGCATTCTGGTCCCTCTCTCTAGGGCGGACATGGGGGCAGGGTGGGCAGCTGAGATGTGTGGTGATTATGGGCACTTTTCTTTCTGGCAACACTTTCCCACAAATTCAGCCTCCCCTCATAGCCAGTGAGGCCTGCTTTGAGAGGTTGTCCCTAGAGCTGTGGAATCTGCATACCCCACCTCCTTCCCCTCTGCCATCCCCCAAAAGTGACCTCTGTCTTCCTTCTGCCTCCCCACCCTGGGCGACCAAGGAGAGCTGTGTGCTCTGCAGCCCGGCTCTGACCCTCTCTGGGCACAGGTGTTCGCCAGGAGGACTGGGCTGCAGAGATTCCACTTGACAACAGGATCTGGAACATCTGCAGGTCCCAGAGTTTCCCCATCTGTAAAATAGTGACACCCATTTTACAGCTGAGGAAACTGAGGCTCAGCTCCCAGGATGTGTCCTTTAGCATTTAATTATGTGCCACGTGGGCCCTTCTCTCCATAAGGACATCTGCTGGTCCCCACCTGCAGGCCGGCACACCTGGACAGTGGCAGAGTTCACGTGGCAGACGCTCTGACATAGCTGTTGCCCTTGGAAGGCAACCAGGGCCACACATCCATCAGGGATGTGGGTGGAGAATCAGTGAGCACTCGGGTGGACTTTTTCACTTAATATGTAATTACTTCCTTGAGTAACATCCTTTTCCCGCCAGCCTGGGCCTCTCTCTGCTATTTCATTTTTTCCTTTGATCTCTCAAAGGATGTTCAGTTAACATGGTTGAGCACCAACCAAGGGCACGGAGGGCACAGGTGGCAGGGATCCTGGCAAAGTGTCCTCAGGAGAGAGCCGGGACTAGAGTGCAGACAGGGCAGCAGAGTGGCCAGGAGCACAGGATCAGGGCTCACACACTGTGTGGGGTGTGATCCACACACTGCCGCTCAGCCTCCCTGGACCTCAGCCCCCTCATCCTTGACTGCATGCTAGGGCGTGCCAGGCCTTACCCCAAACATTTTGCACATATGCACTTCTGTAATCCTCACAGTAACACCGCGGGGGAGGCGCTACTGTCAGCCTTGGTGCATTTGTTTGCTAGGGATGCTGTAATGAAGTATTGCACACTGCGTGGCTTCAACAATGGAAATTTATTTCCTCACCGTTCCAAATCAAGGTTGGGCAGGGTTGGTTTTTCTGAGGGCCGTGAGGGAGAACCCTTGGCTGGCAGAAGGCTTCCTTCTCCCTCTGTCTTCATCTCTTCACATTGTCTTCCCTCTGTGTGCATTTCTATGTCCACATTTCCTCTTTTTATGAGGATAGCAGTCATATTGAACTATGACTGATATCCTTATAAATGACCTGATTTTAACTTGATTAACTGTAAAATTAATTTTCACTAGATTAACTCTAAATAACTTGATTAACTCTATCTCCAAATAAGGACACTTCCTGAAGTACCAGGAGTTAAGACCTCAACTTGGGAATTTTCTGCAGGGGGCACAATTCACCCCATAACACCTGGGTGTGCTGAGGAATCTGAGGCAGAGAAGTCAAAGTGGTGGGCTCAAGGTCATCCACATCAGGGAGCTAGAGGCAGGATTCAAACCCAGGCCACTCTCAATCACTCTGAAGTATTGCCTGCTCAAAACTGAGCCAGGCAGTCATACTTGGCAGGGCTGTGCTGGGCATTAAATGCCATAAGCCCTATGAAGTATTTGGAACAGTACCTGTTAGCTGTTAATATGAGGGTCTGCCAAACCTGAGTTCAAATGCAGCCCTGATCTCTCATGGCTCTGTGGCCTGGGAGTTGGAGACTTCATTCCTCTCTCAGATTGGGTAATAATCCTTCCCCAGATGTCTGCTGTCAGGCTCCGATGGGCTCCCAGATGTCCCTCTAAGCACATGCCACTGGGCATTGGGACAGCACTGCCATATGAGTCATTCCTCTTTCTTCCCAGTTGCTGGGACCCTTGATGTCCAAGGCTCTCCAAACCTTGTGATCCTGCCTTCCTGTGGCCTCCCTTGAGATGCAGTGGAGGGCCTGAACCAGGGGACCTTTCAACCTCAGTTTGCAGAAGGGAAGAGGGAGGAGAGGAGAATAACTGAATTTAATTCAGGTGAACAAGGCACAGAATCACTGGGGAAGATGGAGTCATGGCAGCCAAAATCAGGCTCTTACGTGAAACAAACAAGCAAAGCAGACAAAATCCCTGAGACAGTGATTTTAAAGGAACTGGACTTCAGGCAACAAAGAATGTAATGGTCACACCGTTATGGCTTTGAGAGCTTCCAGGTGGTGGCCCGGGGAGGTGGGGCTACACAGAGCCCAGAGAACTCCTGGGAGTCCGGGAAGATGGGGGCAGCTGTGGTTCAGAGAGCAAAGTGCCAGCGAGGAAAGAGGGAGCTCTGGAGACCTACAGGGGGTCCCCCTGAGTATTTGGCAGAGCACTGGTCAGGGCGTGTGTGTGAAGAAACTAGTTGAGGCCAGTGAAGAATCATCTGAAAGGATTAGAGAAAAGGTTGCCTGTAGTGTCCCAGGGCTGGGGATAGTACACGTTCCCGCCAGTCAGACCGAGAAATCTCACAATTGCCAGGGCAGCAGGTAGACTGTTCAGGAAGGTCTTGCCTCAGTAGTGGGGAATGATTAGTCCTAGCCTGGGCACCTGAAAAGGTTTCAGACTTCTCTGAAAGAGAAGACCCCAAAGCTCAAGGAGATTCACAGGAACTCAAAAATATCCAGCACCCAACAAGGAAAAACTCACAATGTCCGGCATTCAATCAAAGATTACCAGGCATGCACAGGAAAACACCATTATAAGAAAAATCAAAACCAACCCAGGGCCAGCCTCAGTGATTCATGCCTATAATCCCAACACTTTGGGAGGCCAAAGGTGGGCAAACTGCTTCAACACAGGAGCTTGAGACCAGCCTAGGCGACATGGCAAAACCCTGTCTTTACAAAATATACAAAAATTAGCCAAGGGTGGTGGCTTGCACCCGTAGTCTCAGCTATTGGAGAGGTTGAAGTGGAAGGATCTCTTGAACTAAGGAGGTCAAGGCTGCAGTAAGGTATGATCATACCACTGCCCTCCAGCCTGGATGAGAGAGAGAGACCTTGTCTCCCCTCTCCCCCCACCAAAAAAACCCCAAACAAGCCAGAACTGCCACAGACAGTAGAATTAGCTGTGAAGGACATTAACAAATGTCATTGAAACTGCATGCCATATGTTCAGAAAGTTAAGCTGAGGTACATATAATATGAAAAAAGCTTTCTAGAGATGAAATTTCTAAAGATGAAAGCTACAAGTTCTGAGATGAAGAAATATACTAGACAGGGCTACCAGCAGATTAGACATTGTAGAAGAAAAGATTAGCAATTTGAAGACAGAGCAATAGAAACTATTCAACATGAAACATACAGAGAAAGTGCAACTTTTAAACAAAAAAGTGCATCAGTGATCTGTGGGAAAACTTCAGGCAGCCTAACAAGCAAGGAGTTGGGATCTGGGAAGGAGAAGGGGCTAGGGGAACAGAAAAAGTATTTGAAAAATTAATAGCCAAAAATGTTCGAAATCCAAGGAAAACTGTAAACCCACAGAGCCCAGAGCTCCACAAACCCCAAGCACAGAAACATGAAAGAAACCACACCAAGGCACATCATAATCAAATTGCTCAAAACCCAGTGAAAAAGAGAAAATCTTAAAAACAGCCAGAGGAAAACAAGATGTTACTTCTATAGACACACAAAAGGTGAAAGAATTCATTATCAGCAGACCCACACTACCTATAAGAAGTTGTTAAAGAATGCCCTTTAGGCAAAAGGAAAATGACACCAGCTGGAAACGTGGATTTATGCAAAGGAACAAGGAGCATTGGAAATGGTAATTCCATGGGGAGACGTAAAAGATGATTTTTATATTATTTAAATATCTTTCAAGAATTGACTTTTTAAAAAAATGCAGTTTTAGAGATAAGGTCTCACTATTTTGCCCAGGCTGGTCTTGAACTCCTGAACTCAAGGGATCCTCCTGTCTCAGCCTCCCAAGTAGCTGGGATTATAGGCACGCCCCACCACATCTGACTGTTTAAACCAGCCTATTGCAGAGGTTATCATTTAGATGTGGAGAACAAGAGACAGAAAGGGTAAATCACCTGCTGCGCAGTGTGGTGGATGTGAATCCAGGCTTTAAGAGTCTCGTTTCATTTTTCGTGGAAATAAAAATATAATCGTTATAAGTATAGTTGACCCTGGAACAACGTGGGGGTTGGGAGCACTGGCCCATCTTGCAGTTGAAAATCTATGTATAACTTTTGACTACCCCAAAACTTAACTATTAATAGCCTACTGTTAACCAGAAGCCTTACTGATAATATCAACAGTCATTTAACGCATAATTTTGTATGTTATATGTATTACATACTGTATTCTTACAGTAAAGTAAGCTTGAAAATATAAAATGTTAGTAAGAAAATCACAGGGAAGAGAAAACATATTTACTATTCATTAAGTGGAAGTGGATCGTCATAAAGGTCTCCATCCTCATTCAGTTAATGCATATTTTGTATGCTATATGTATTATATACTGTATTCTTACAGTAAAGTAAGCTTGAAAATATAAAATGTTGTTAAGAAAATCACAAGGAAGAGAAAACGTATTTACTATTCATTGGAAGAGAAAACATATTTACTATTCATTAAGTGCAAGTGGATCGTCATAAAAGTCTCCATCCTCATCTTCCCGTTGAGTAGCCTGAGGAGGAGGAAGAGGAGGGGTTGGTCTTGCTGTCTCAGGGCTGGCAAAGGCAGAAGAAACTCTGAGGATAATTGGCCCCAAGGAGTTCAAACCCGTGTTGCTCAAAGGTCAGCTGTGAGTGGATATACTTATACACACACACACACACACACACACACACACACATATGTATATGTGTGTGTGTGCATATATATATATGCCTAGGTAATGAATCTATTTACATGAAATTTGGTGTATACAGTAGTTTTCCCAGGTTGTGGGCCTATGAGTTTTGTGAGTTTTTTGCTTAGCTGTATTTTGTTGTTGTTATTATTATTATTATTATTATGGAGACGAGTCCCACTCTGTGACCCAGGCTGGAGTACACTGGTGCAATCTTGGCTCACTGCAACCTCTGCCTCCCGGGTTCAATCAATTCTCCTGCCTCAGCCTCCCAAGTAGCTGGAATTATAGGCGTGCATCGCCCACCATATTGGCCAGGCTGGTCTCGAACCCCTGACCTCAGGTGATCTAGCTGCCTCGCCCTCCCAAAGTGCTAGGATTACAGGCCTGAGCCACCGCGCCTGGCCTATGTTTTGTAATTATACTTCATCTTGATTTGGGGCAAAACTTTTTTGTTTGTTTTTTGAGACAGAGTCTCGCTCTGTCGCTCAGGCTGGAGTGCAGTGGTTCGATCTCGGCTCACTGCAAGCTCCGCCTCCCGGGTTCACGCCATTCTCCTGCCTCAGCCTCCCGAGTAGCTGGGACTATAGGCACGTGCCACCACGCCCAGCTAATTTTTTGTATTTTTTAGTAGAGACGGGGTTTCACCGTGTTAGCCAGGATGGTCTCGATCTCCTGACCTCGTGATCCACCGGCCTCGGCCTCCCAAAGTGCTGGGATTACAGGCGTGAGCCACTGCGCCTGGCCAGGGGGCAAAACTTTTAAATTACCTAGAGAAGAATAAAACCCGTAGTTTCACGGGAGTTGTGGAGACTGTTTTCACAACCTATTTCCTTTCTTACCCATTTTTGATCAGGTGTCCACAGGGCCCCCTTCTCAAAAAACCCCAAGGCAGCATGACTCCCACTTGGCAATGTAGTGGCCCACATGATGGGAGATCAGGGGTCTGCAGCCACCAGCAGGACCTCACTCCAGAGCTAGCTCTCTACTTGCCTCCAGATGTTGCCATCTGAATAATAGTACAAGAAATAGTAGCATCAAAAATAAAAATAAAAAAGCAGCTCCACTGATCAGGCTCCCTAGGTGCACCAGGCACAGCAGATGCCACAGAGGTCCCCAACCTTGGCTGCACACCAGCCTCGCAGTGGAGCTTGGGGAAGACAGAAACCCAGAACCCAGCCCCACCCCAGAACTAGGATTGAATTGGGCCTGGGAGCAGCCAGATATGACCACAGATGCAGCACTTACTTGACCTCCCTAGAACTGCCCTCTTCCCCTAGCACTCTGCAAGGCAGATATTCCTCATTACAGTTACAGGTGATAGATTAAGACCTAGAACGGGATTGAGTTCTGACTTGTCACAGATCACATAGCCAGGCAAGGGCAGACCTAGGTTTGAACCCCCTTCCCTGCTATAATGCAGCACACTCTCCCACCAGACTCCTCACTCCCCTACATGGCCGAATCTGGACTCAGCATTTTCTACCAGAATTGTTCTGCATTCCCTATTTGTGATCCCAGAGAATGGTCCTTTCTCCAGATTTTCAGAACCCAAGGTGGGACTCCCCGCCACACAAAATCAATCTTGGCTCCCCCTTCTCCTCCCAGCATGCACATCCAATCTGTCACCAAGTCCCGTTGATCCCATCTCCCAAATCTTCCCGCTCCAACCCCACTGTCGTCACCTACTCAGGCCTCCCTAGTCTTTCCCCGAAATGTGGCCAGGCCTCCCAGCTCTCCAAGCCACAGTCCTCCTCTGGGCTTCTCTGACCGCTGTGCCCTTCTCTCTCTCCCATTGGCTAGTAGCTGCCTATCTATTCCTGCCTCCCCCAACCAGACTGGGGGCTCCTCAAGGACAGGGACCATATCTGATCCTGCAACAAGGCCCCAGCACCCCATACAGAGAGGGCACACTGTGGATACCAACAAATGCTTAGTGAGTGAGTCAATGAATTCAATGAATGAGGGAATTAATAAATGACAAATTAATTAATGATCAGGTCTTTTTCTTCTTCCCCATTGGGCTCCAAGGATTCAAAGTGAGATTCTTTTATTCTGCTCTGTGTGCCAAGCTCTCAGCACTGGCCTTGCCTGAGCAGATCCTAATAAACGTTTGTTGGTTGAATAACAGAATGGGCCTTCTGTTTGGAATGCTCTTCCCCCAAACGTCCCCATGGCTCTCCCTTTTGCCTCCTGCAAGTCTTTGCTTAAATGTCACCTTCTCAAGGAGGTCCGACCACCCTATTTGGAACTGAAAGCACCTGCTTCCTTCCAGAACTCCAGCCTCCCCTCCCTGCCACTTTGTTGTTCCCACCTTCCCACTTACGATCCCTTTCACTTGCTTATTATGTGTTTATCACTTATCATCTGTGTCCCACCTGCCACCAGCATAACAATTGTCTTAAACACAGATCTTTGTTTTGTGTAATTTCCCCAGTGCCTAAAACAGTGTGTGTCTAACGTGAGTGTCCAATAAATACTTATTGAATGAGAAAATGGCTCTTGCTCTGCGCTGACTGCTCTGTGGTCTGGGGCCAACTCCTCAATCCCTCTGAGCTCCTGCATACTCATCCCTAGAACAACAATAGCATCAACAATAATGTAATAAAGGAGGTTGGGCGGCGTGGCCGTCATTGGAACTGCTCAAAGATATTCTGTCTGTCCAACTTCCAGGCATATAATTGAGCTGTGCCTCCTGCCCCACTGGGGTTCAGCATGCGACACACCTTGGCCAGTTTGAACGGAAGGGGAAGTGATGAGACACCATCACTTAACTGGCTGTTAAGCCAGTGTGTGACTCACCATTCTCTTCTCCCCTCTGCCCAAAGATTGGCGGTGTTCCCAGTGGTGGCTGCTCCATCAGCCTGCTCCCCGAGTGAGGATGGCACAAAGCAAAGCTGCTGCTAGCCCATTTGGACATGTGGCATGCATGAGAAATAAGCTTTTGTTGTATTAAGCCACTGGGATTTGGGGCCTTTTGTTACTACAGCATAGCCTCGCCTCTCCTGACTGATGCCAACAGAATAAGCTCTTTGGTCCTGATAGATCTGAATCTGCAATTTTTGTCTATGTGTTACCCTGAGAGCTTGCTGCTCCCGCTGCCCACCGCTGGCACTGGAGAGGGTGGCCTCGCAGGTGTCACAGTAACAGTGGCTTATCTGTGTTGTGTGTAGACCACCCCGCAACTGCCCCACTTCATCTTCAGCACAATCCAGCGAGCAGTTACTGCTGTTGTCCCCTTGAAGGCACATAGGGGGCAAGAAGACTTGCCCAGGTGCGTAGCTGTGAGATGGCAGGGCCAGGACTTACCCCAGGCAGGCTAGCTCCAGGGCCTGGACTCTTTTAAGTGAGCCCCACATCGGGTGGCTCTGTGTTTCTGCCTCTCTCATGATTCAGGTTCTTGCCATCCCCATCCCAGCTTCCAGCTTGCTATCCAAGGAAGGCTTGCAGCTCAGTGCCAGGCTTCCCTGTTGGATATATTTGGGCCCAGGTGGAGGGCAGGGCATGCTAGGCTCCAGCTGGCTTTGCTAAGGGGGTTATGTGGGAGAGGGGCGCTGGGTCAGAGCAGGGCTGGAGGTGTAGCAGGCACCAGGATGCAGCCTCTGGCTGCCTGGAACCCTTCAACATGTCCCACATGAGTCAAAGTGTAGATCATCCCGCACTTCTTTGAGATTCCCCTCTTCCCCACTCTGGGCAATTTCTTCAAGAGCATGCAGTGCTCCTGGTCCCTGACCAAGTAGCATTGGTTGGGTCATAGAGTATCTACTCACCTGGACCAGCTGGTCCAGCCCCTGCATTTAACAGTGGGTGGGCTGGAGGCCCCGAGATGGATGGGCACTTAGCAGAGGCTGCACGGCAGGCACAAGTGCTCAGTTTGCCCAGATTTCACCTTTGCAAAACTGGCTTCCATGATTAGACACACCCCATCTGAGAAGTCTTCCTCATTTAAATGTGGGGCGGTGATGGCTGATTTCCCCCTGAACTTGGGAAGTGGGGAGAAGGGAAAGAAATATATTTCTTATGCCAGAAGCTTGGCATAAGAAACTTCACCAAAGCCTCTAAGGTGGGTCTCATGAGGGCCCACTTCACAGGTGGAAAGCCTGAGCCTGCCAAGCTCTGGCTGCTGAGTGGCAGAGCCAGGATTCAGACTTGGGCTCCCAAAAATAGCCAGGGTATGTGCTACAAGACCACATTCCACTCGAACTTACAGCCTCCATCTCTGCAGGAGCTGCCCCCTTAATGGGGAGGAGAGTAAAACCACTGAGGACAGGGCTCCTCTGGGACCTTGGCTGCCTTTGATGAGGTAGAGTCACACACCTTAGCCACTGACTCTCTACATGACTTGGGCCAGGGCTTCCACCTGCCGAGGAGCCTGTCTCCTCGGCAGTCAAATGGGGATTAATAAGGGATTCTTTCTTCAATGAAGGAATGAGGTCACGTGCCTTGCCCTGCACCCGGCAAGTGATGGTTGGTGAGAACAGGTCCATCTGCACCTGAGTCGTGGGCACCCAGCTGCCTGCAGAGCATATCTTCACACACTGCATGTGGCCTAAGGGACCTCAGAGAATGTCTCAGGATAAATATCCAGAAGCAGAATTGTTGCTTCTTCGGTGTGTAACTTCATGTGCATAAGAACTGGGAGATTAGGAGATGGCTTTCTTGATTGGTTCCACTGGTGACCACTCCCACTCAGGACACCAGAGGTTCTCTATGCCACACCCATGCCAGCACTTGGCATAACCCAGCTTTCTAATTCCTGCCCGTCTAATCAATGTAAGGTGATAGCTCATTGTTATTTTAATGTGCATTTCTCTGGTTACTAATGAGCTTTCCCATCTCTTCCTGAGCTGTTTGGCCTTTTCTGTTTCCACTTCTATAAATTGCTGGTTTATATATTTGGTGCATTTTTCCACTGGGTCTACTATCTGAAAAACCTCCTCTGAGCTTCCCATCTGGCCAACCTCCTTGGCTCCTTCAGAAGCCTGCACTAACCCATCATGTCCTGGGCTCTCTGCACTCCATAGTTCCCTGGGTATTACCTCCCCAGCCGGAGGCAGGGACTGTGTTGCATCCTCACCCCTGCTCACCTGTCTGCCTCGCTCATTCACCCACTGGGTTCCCTTCACAACTGGGATAAAATTCAAACTCCTTACCACGGCCAGAGGGTCCACTCTGTCCCAGCTGACCCTGAGCACTCTTGATGTCCCTGCTAACTTGCTTAAGCCCCTTGGGCTTCCTGGCTGGGTCTGACATGCCATGCTCCTCCCCACCCTCCCTTCCTCCAGGCAGGACCTCGTTTAGAAGTTACCTCCTCCCAGCTGCGCAGTGGCTCACGCCTGTAATCCCAACACTTTAGGAGGGTGAGGCGGTCGGATCAAAAGGTCAGGAGTTCTAGACCAGCCTGGCCAATATGGTGAAGCCCCATCTCTACTAAAAATACAAAAATTAGCCTGGCATGGTGGTGGGCCCCTGTAGTCCCAGCTACTCGGGAGGCTGAGGCGGGAGAATCACTTGAACCTGGGAGGCAGAGGTTGCAGTAAGCCGAGATCGTGCCACTGCACTCCAACCTCGGTGACAGAGCAAAACTCTGTCTCAAAAAAAAAAGTCACAAGTCACCTGCTCCCAGAGGCCTTCCCTGACCTCCCTGCCTGAAGTACCAGTGCAAGGATACCTGCCTCCACTCCACTCCCTGAGCTAGCTTTGTCTTTTCCTGGCCCTTACCAATCTGGTCATTAGGTCGTGCACGTTCTGTGGGTTTTTGGAGGTGAGGCAGCTGATGAATGCCAAGTCCATAATAAAAAGTGTAGCCCCCATACGGGAGCCCAGGCCCCCGGGTGCGTTCCCCACCCTGCCCTGACGTAGTGCCCAGGGCTGTTTAAACTCTGGCATTTATGAGATTCCACCTAATACCTCTCCACTGGCTGCTCCTAAGGCATGGCGGCTTAATCAGCACCAGAAAAGATGTTGGCAGTGGAGGCAGACAGGCCAAGGACATTTGTGCTCGCACCTCCTCAGAGCACAGCCACTTCCTGCAGGCCCCAGCATGGATCTCCCACTCACCCCGAGCCCCGTGCACCTAGACAATGGTTCTGTAGGACGGCTTCTTTTCAGGGAACTGTGAGCAGGAGTGGGGACACACCACAGCCAGACCTGGGTGGAGAGAAGCGGATGGACCTAGTCCGCCTCTATTCTGGATAGTCACCTTAATAGAGGAGCCACGGGTGGCAGGAGGCTGGGACCCACCTTGCCCATGGGGACCCCCTTTCTGCATGCCCTCCTGGGCTGCTGAAACACAAGAAACCAACCTCCACGGTGTTAGGCCACCAGGATACCTCGGTCTAGCCGCAGCTGGAATAATCAACTAAAACGTGGATTAAGGCATCGAGGCAGGCCCATCACATTCGCTGGAGGAGGAAACCAGAGTAGGCCAGTGCCCGATAGATCTCGGTGAGTGAACCCATAGATGGGATGAACTGAGCCAGCCCTTGCCTCTCTGTGCTCCCTCCAGTGTAAAGAAGTAATATCCATATGTGTGTGTGTGTGTTTATATATATATAGTTATTGTTGCTGTTGTTGTTAAGACAGGGTCTCACTCTGTTGCCCAGGCTGGAGTGCAGTGGCACAATCTCGGCTCACTGCAATGGCTGCCTCCTGGGTTCAAGTGATTCTCCTGCCTGTCTCCCGAGTAGCTGGGATTACAGGCACGCACCACCACACCCGGCTATTTTTTATATTTTTAGCAGAGACAGGATTTCACCATGTTGGCCAGGCTGGTCTCGAACTCCTGGCCTCAAGTGATCCACCCGCCTCGGCCCCGCAAAGCGCTGGGATTACAGGGGTGAGCCACTGCGCCCAGCCATATCCTTTATATTTTTATTAACAAAAGTAATACATGTTCCATAGTTTAAAAACATGCAGAAGTATCTAAAGTGAAGGGTTAAAATACACTCATCTCCAAAATCCTGCTCCCCAGAAGTAACCACTATGATCAGTTTTGCCTATGTGAATTATAAACATATACATACATATTCCCATTGTATGACTGTTTTACAAGTTGTTTTCTGAACGTCAGAAGAAGCACAAATAAACACTCCTCATTCTCTTTAACAGTCAGAGTATTTCACAGCCTGAAGGTATCCAAATGTATTTCATCAGTCTCCTATTTATGGACATTGAATGAGATTCTATGTGTTTGCCACCACCACAAACGACATCGTAGCAAAGATCCTTGAACATATCTTTTGCACAAATGTTGCTGTAAGATTGGCTCCTCAAAGTGGGGTTTTGGGGCCAGACAGTGGTGGTTTTTACATTTTTGTTAGATTCCCTGTCAAAAGAGATGCCCCCTCTGACTCTACTCAACAGAGGGTGTCAGCACCTGGGGGCTGGAGCATCGTGCATTCTATACCAGGGCCCTGGATAAACCCCATAGAGCAGGGGAGGTAGTGAGCTTTCCTTTGCTGGAGAGATGCAAGGGGCTTCAGACCACCACCCACGAGGATGCTGCAGGCGGCGTTTCTCCATCGAACGCCGGGTGCCCAGGATTACCTGTCATTTGTTCCCACTAGCAGATTTTATCTTCATACAAACTTTTAGGGGCCGATCCTGGCTGAGAGCTGCGTGAGGTTCCTTCGCAGCTGAAGTTCCCTCTCCCAGAGCCTGCCTGGGGGAACTAGAGCAACCCTGAGCCAAACAAACAGCTTGAAGATGAAATTTCCCCATCCATCCCTCAGAGACGGCCCTGTGAAATCCATACAAGAAATACACAGCCTTTTAGAATCAGTGCCACTGTTTGTCACCAGATGTTCAGAGGCTGGGGTGCTAATTTATGCAGGCAAGTAGGAAGAGGAGAGATGATCAGAGGGGGCTGGAAGACGGAAGGGGGGCTGTGGAGGAAGCAGGAAGACAATTCTAACCACAGCGCTATAGGATGGGCGGGCTGGGGGAGCCCTGTGCTGGGGGTTGCAAGGAAATGCATTGGCAAAGGGGCGGAGAAGGAGGGGTGACCATAGAACATTTAGGGTCTCTTTTGACAATGAAATGTGATGAGCCAGAGAATCTAAGAATCTGATTTCATTACAAGATCCTGTAATACTGTTGAGAATTTCCATAATCAGATTCCTGGATTCTGTGATTCTGTTTTTCAATGCTCTGATCTGGTGATTCTGAGCCTCTCATTCTATGTTAAAGCTCTAGGGCGGCCCCACAGGGCAGGAGTTTTCGGAGCGAGGCTACTGAAGACCAAGTCTAACTCTGAGTAGTTTGCAGAACCTGGGCACATTGCCTGCCAGTTCCCTGCCTCAGTTTCCTGGGTTGCAAATGGGGAGAGAATGTCTGGGCTCGTGGTGTCGTGAGAGCATTCAGGGAGCACTGAAGCGGGGTCCAGGACACAGTGGGTGTGTAGCTCATGCTGGCTTTGGTGGCTTTGTCCTGAGCTTCAACTGCGATGAGTCCAAGAGTCAATCCTGGGAGCAGAGGCCTGGGACAGAGCTGTTGTTCTGGGTGTTTCTCCAGGTTTGGAAGCATCCGGGGCCCCAGGGCCCAGGTCCACCGGGCGGCCAGCCCTCCACAGCAGGCAGCCGCAAGAAAGCAAAGCAAAGACGCAGAGGGAAGGAAGCTCCTAGGGTTGCGGGGAAGCAAACAAGGGCCACTTCCTCCAACCGCACACTGCAGACAGCCAACCTTTCCCAGGGCCGATCCTCGGGAGTGCTCCTTGGGCGCCTGGCCGGTGTTTGGACAGCTTGAGGGGCGCGGGGACAGAAAAAGTGAAGACGCCGAGAGCCAGGCCCGGCCAGGCCCAGCCCAGCCCCCTCCTGCCCTGCTCCTCTTCAGGGCACCGCTGGGCAGCCCTCCTGGCCACGTGCCCAACCCTGCACCTCGGGCCCTTCTGTCAAAGGGACAGGCCTGTGTGGGGCCTCAGCACGGGGTACTGGAGCTGGGAATAAAAGGACACCAGTGATAATCAGTGTTGACAAAATGCCTCCCAGAGGCCAGGTGCTACTCTTAGTGCCACGTGCAGATTATTTCATTTGGTGATCGTTATATCCTCTGTTATTACCCTAATTTAAAGAAACTGAGGCAGGATTGAGTAATTTTACAGCCCAGATAGTCTGGCTCTGGGCAATCCACGCTCAATAAACCACAGATTTCCTTCCAAGAGATAGCAATACTGAGGCCAGCAGGGACCGTTTTCGGAATAATCCACTTGGTTTATTTCCTTCAAGTCCCATAATGACCCTATTAGGTGGGTATCATTATGTTCCCCTTTTCTTAGATAAGGTAAACTGAGGAGCAGAGAGATGAAGCCACTTGCTCAAGATTATCCCATTAGACAAGGGAGTAGCTGGGATTCAAACCTGTTTCTATCCCTTGCCAAAACCTATGATTGTCACCTCTATGCTAGTGCATGACTTCCCTCTCGCTGTTGAAGCAAATGACCATACACTCAGTGGCTTAAAACAACACAAATGTATTCTCTTACAGTTCTGGAGGCCAAAAGTCTGTTATCAGTTTCACCGGGCTGAAGTCATGGTGTGGGCAGGGTCAGCTCCTCTGAGGCTCCAAGGGGAGAAGCTGTGTCCTTGCCTTGTTCAGCTCCTGGACGCCTTGGCTTGAGGTTCCTTCCCCACCTGCAGAGCACATGTCTCCACTCTGTACTTGCATCATCACTCCCCCATCTTCTCTGACTCTGACCTCCCATGTCCTTCTTGTAATGACCCTCATGACTATGCCATGACTATGCCTGGCTCTATGCATAATCCAGGTGATCATTCCATCTGAAGAGCTTTCATTCCTTCACATAATTAAAGACCCTTTTGCCATATAAGGTAACATAGTCCCAGGTCCCAGAGACTAGGCCATGGTCATATTTGGGGCCCATTATCCTGCCCACCACAGCTGAGCCAGTCTGCGTTTTGCTGGAGCGAAGGTAATGATCTCCTCCTTCCTGGATGTCTATAGGCACATTTTGGGACCACTGGAAACCCTGGTGGTGAAGCTCCTGGATGCTTAACTCAGAACTTGAAGACCTGGGAACTCATCCTCAGCCCGTCTGGAAACACTGAAGCATCCCTGGCCCCACCTGGGGTTACTTCTCCTCCACGGGGCCCCCAGCACTTGGCCTGCACATGCAGGTTTGTATGACTGGGATCCTTGCCTTCGAGCTTGCTGAGGGCAGAGCTCAGCGCCCCTCCCTCTAGCGCCAGCCCACCCCACCATCATGTTTAATAAATGAGCATGGAAGGAGCAAGCCATGGAAGCTCAGAGGGTTCCTGTGACCGCCACGTTCATGTGACATGTCATACTGGAGGCGCTCAGCAGTGTGTGTTGAGTTAATCCCCCACAGCCTGCAGAGTGGCACAGTCCAAGTGAACTTTCTATGATGATGAAAATATCGTATTCTGCATCCTCAAGTGTGGCAGCCACTGGCCACGAGTGGCTACTGAGTACTTGAAACGTGGCTGATGCAACTGAGGATCTGGATCTTGCATTTTTCTTTTTGTAAATTTAAATAGTAATTTACAATTTAATTTAAATGTAGCTAGTGGCTATAGCATTGGACAGAGCAGCTCTAGCATCTTCCCAGGACCTGGGCTCTCTACAGACTCAGACTCGGTTCCAAGGGCAGGTCTTAGCTTAGAATGATCTCTCCAGAACCCTAAATCCCTGGAGCCTCTTCAAGTTACCGCCCCACGACACTCCACCGCCCTGCCTGAGAGGTGTATTTGTAAAGGTCTCAATCCCAGTTTTAGGACCTGGGCCCAGTCCTTCTCCCCATCCCTGCATAGAAATCCTCATCCCTGACAGCCCCACTCTTGTTCCTGTCTGTTGGCCATGGCCAGCATTAACTGAGGGACTGCTAGGAGCCAGGTGTGCACAGGGAGAGAGGAATCATTATTATCCCATTTTGCAGAGCAAGAGGGGAAAGATTCAGCAGGGGCCAGAGGCTTCTCCAGGTCCCCCAGGAAAGCAGAGGCCACACGAGACGACAAACCCAGACCTCCCATGTGCTGCTACAGAGAAACTTCTAGAGCCAAGGAGCCCAGCATCTTGCCGCAGAGACTAACCAGGGTTATCTGGGGCAACAGCAGCGCCCCCGTCACCCTGTTCACCACCCCCAACCTGATTCCCTGCCCGGAGCTGGTTTTCCACCAAGAGTGGGTCAGGGCAGATGGCTACATTAGCAGAGACCCCTGCGGTGCCAGCTTCAGTTTTGTCCAGGGCCGAGGAACAAAGGGCTTTTACGGGGTGTAATCCAGGCCGAGGGGAGAAGAATGGTCAGGTGTATCGAGAGCAGGTTCACATGGAGGGAGAGAGCGAGCCTTGCGGGCCTGGCTGGCACAGGGGCCCGGGTTCCGGCTCACACTCCCAGGGCGGCAGACGGTCGCTGGCAGCGAGTAAAGGCCCTATTTGTGTGCTATGTCAGCAGGGAGGGCAGGCCTTTTAAGGGGCAAGATCATGTGGCCCGATAGCATGCCGGGGCCTCTCCCTGGGGGGGCCCGGGCCCCCTGTGAGGACTGTCGGCCATTGTTAACTGCGCCGCGTGTGAAGGAAAACGGGACACAGGCGGTCAGCTGATACCTGTGCGATCTGGCCACCGGGGGACTCAGTTCCAGTGCCTGCAGCTCCAGTTACACGGCCAGCCAGGCAAGGGGGGTGCGCCAGCCCTGGGAAGGGCCCACGGAGCTGCTGGCCTGGCTGACATGCCCCCATCTGCCGCATGCCCAGGGCAGGCGACAGACAGGGAGCCAGCCAGCAGAGTGAGAAGGTGAGAAGCTGAGACAAATGAGGCCAGAGGTGATGTGAGGTGTGAAGAGGGCACGGCCCTGTGAGCCTTCCCCCAGGTGTGAGCTCACCTTGGAAGGAGGGGCTGGGAGCACACTTTCGGGACTGCTTGACTGTGTCCAACTTCCAAAAGGAAGGGGAAGTTGAGGAGAACATGGGGAAATAAAACTGTGAGTGGAGACTGGAGATGAGCAGGCAGGAGGCTTCCAGCCGCGTTGGGAACCAGCTCTCGCATTTGCCATCCCTGCCGATCCCCACGGGGTAAATCTCAGAGGTACTGGCTGCAGCACGCCGCTGAGACTCCACTTCTAACCAGCACACGTGGGGACTGTGAGTCCGCCAGGTAACAGTGGTGGACTGAGTGCTTATTTAAGGTTTACTGAGTGCGTGCCAGCCCTTGCTGTTAATGTGTTTAGTGATGTTAAAGTGTTTAATCCTCACAACAGCCCCGTGTGATGAGTGTTATGGTAACTCCCACGGGGGAGGCACACAGAGGTTGAGCAACTTGCCCAGGGTCACACAGCCGGGATGCGGCAGAGCCGGGATTTGAACCCATCTGGCTCTAGAATCCATGGTTTTAACCTCTACCCTACCCTGCCCTCCACGGCATCGTCAGTAACAGCCATTTACTGAGCACTAGCAATGAGCCAGGTGGGCTGCTGGGTGAATTCTCTCACTTAACTTGCTAAACCGCCCTTTAAGGTGGTTACTCCTGGTGAATCAGGAAGGGCCCTGGCAGGAAACAGCACAAATGGGTGATGAGAAAAGGGACCTGTCACAGAGGCGCATGAAGGGTTAAGGGAAATGGTGAGGCGCCCTGGGGCTGGTGGCAGTAGGGAGCATTCCCTCCCAAGGTCTGAGACACAGGAATAGAGCCCTTCCTGGAACCTGCTCAGGGAGCTGAGGCTAGAGAAGCAGGCAGCCGCCCACAGCTGCAGCTTCGGTGGACGTAGCCCCAGCCACCTGCAACCCCGCGGTGCGGGAGCTCTGCTCACCCTCCAGCCCCTCTTCAGGCCCACAGAAGTCAGCAGGCTGGGAGCCTGTGGACACAGCCCCAGGGTCAGCCCCCAGGGCACGGAGAAGGGTGAAGGACTAAGAAGGGATCTAGAGGGGCTGACAGGGAATAGCCAGCCGGCTGTCTCCACAAAGCCGGAGCCGGGCTCCTGCAGAGCACACCCACCTACCCATTCGCAGGCTTCCACCTGTCCACCAGCTCGCCTGGGACCAGCCCCAGTCCTCAGACCTGGCCTTGGCCACAGAGATGATGCCAAGTCACAAGGATAAAGTGCCTCCATCCAGGAAACGCTTATCCATCCCTTTACTAAACCCTCTTCATACTGAGTAGGCTGGAGGCTTCAGGCTAGATGCTGTGCAGATACAGGGTGAACCAGACAGCTCTGGAGGCTGCTGAAGGCATTCTGTCCTCCATCCACTGCAAGTGCACATTATCTGATCAGCACCTGCAGGATGGCCAGAGCGTCTAGATACTTACATGGCATTTTTAGATGGTTTTACAAGCCACAGATGTCTTAGACAACATTAACTATATTCATATATGTATAATATGTGTAACAGCCATGTACATCATAATATATGTACATATATGTACGTGCATACACACATCCATCTGTGTTTCCAGACTTTGTGGATGTCCTGGATTATTACTTCACTTAGTCATTGAACAAAATGCCCTGAGGTCAGCCAAGTCCCAGGCCCCAGGAAAAAGGAGGTGGAGAGAAGAACTGGGCACAGAACAATGGTCTCTGAGAAGCCCTTTGTGCCAAAGACCCCAGCATCAAGCCATGGTGTTCCCAGAGCTGTGGAGAAAACCAGGACCTCAGGCCTTCAAAGCCTGTGAGGACGCCAAGACTCATGGGAGCTGGCCGTGCTCGGAGGCAAGACGTGCTGCACATCAGACAGAAAGGTGGTTTCAGGGCCCTGGAGACTGGGAGGGGAAGCCACTGCTGACTCTACCGGGAGGGAGAACCGAGTTCCAGGCCATGAAGGGCAGTGGGTGGATTAAGATGGGACCAGGCAGGCAGCACACAGCTCCTTCAGAAGGGGTGGCTGAAGAGCCCTGTGGGGAGTGCTATTTAGAGGGGTGTGGGCCAGGCTCAGGGAGCCCACGCAGAAAGGAGCAGGGCCAGCACAGTAGGGAGTGAGAAGCAGTGGGGAGTGAGGAGCAGTGGGGAGTGAGGAGCAGTGGGGAGCCACCACCACCCTGGGCCTGAAGGGGCAGGGGAGGGAGGGTTCCAAAACCCAGCAAGAGCTGGGACCCTGGGAGGCTCAACCCAATGGGAAGCAGGAGGGCAGGAGGCCTCGATGGTTCGGGAGGTCAGCCTCCTGGGTGCAGGGCAGGCAGTGTGGAGGGCGGGGCTGGAGGTGGGTAGGCAAAAAGTAGCCAGCCCAGCTGGCTCTGTAGAGCCACTTTGACTAGGTCTGGGTGACAGCTCCACACTAAGGTGGGCTGTGGCCCTGCTGCTTCCTCTTGGCGACTGTGGCCTCAGAGACTTTGGGCCAATCATGATTGGCAGGCCAGTGTGCTAGCGAAACTGCAATGAGGTTGCATAGGTGCGGGGCTCAGCCAACATCACTCCACCTGTGGGCAGAATGGCAGGTGGGACCTGAATGTTAGATCCAAGCACAAGATGAAATTAAGCTGGAGTTTCAGGGTGCCGTGACCAGCTTGGTTCTCACCCTGGTGGGGCTTTCCACCTTCTGACACCCCAGACTCCTGGAGAACACTGGCTGCTGCTACTAACCTGGGTGCCTGCAGCAGGAGCCGAGCCCACTGCCACCCCCAGCTTTGGAATTGCCAGGTCTCTTCCTTACACCATCGTGGCTGTCCAGTTTATTTTCTAGACTAGAGCGCCTGCCACAATCCAGAGCTGTGTGCCTTTGGGCAAGCCGCTCCCCTTCTCCGAGCCTCCTTTTTCTTACCTGTCAAATAAAAATACGCACAGAATGCACTTCTCAGGGTTTGTCAGGATGAACTGAGTCACCGCACTCTGTCAACGGTAGCCGCTACTGCCCTTGCAACCCTGCATGCATTCGCAAATGTTAGTTTAATGCCATTGCCAATAGAAATAAAATGCGAGCCACATAGGTAATTTGAAATTGTCTACAAAGCAAAAAAGATACAGGTGTAATTAATTTTAATAATATTAATATGTTAGTTAAGCCAATATGTCCCAAATAGTATTTCAGTACCCAGCAGCAGCCACATTTCAAGTGCTCGGTGGCCACACATGGCTGGCAGCTACCATGTGAGACAGTGCAGGTTCATGAATGCATGCAACCATGAATGAATGATTGAGAGTTTGCTTCAGGCTGGGGAAATCAAGAGGCTTTCTAGAGGAGGAATTACTGGCATTGGATAGCCAAGGGTGAGCTGTATTTGAACATGTGGGGATAGATAGGGTCACCCAGGGTCATGCCCTCCTTGTTCTACAGATGGGGAAACTGAGGCCCAGAGAAGTGAGCAAGAAGCCTTGGCATGAATTACAAGGAGAAAGTACAGGATTGGGAAGGTGAGCAGGAAATATGTGATTCCTAATGCCAAGCACAGAGAGGGTGAGCAATCATGGGTGAATAAGGGAGTGGGTCAACAGCATTAAGGAGGCAGGGAGGGGAAGGGGAGAGGGAGGATGAAGAAGCCTGAAGGGCTTTAAAAGATCCACTTGCATCCTGCTGCTGCTTAAGATGCTAGACCAGCTGTCACCATGGTAACAGGAGAAAATCACAGAGCAATTTGTAATCATCCATGGTTCTTGCTGCTCCCTGGGAACATTGCTCCCAGTCTGCATCTCTGAACAGGAGGAGCCCTGCAGATCCCAGAGTCCAGCCTCGATCCGATGCTTGAGACCCTTTGCGTCCCCCTCCATGCAGAGCTGTCCATCCGCAGCTCACATAGTTCCCTGAATAGGAAGCTACCTCCTTTTGGGCCAGCCTGCCCCAGCCCTGTGGGGCCTGCCTGGGAGTAAGCTTTCCCTCCCGACAACCTGGAGCCTACTTCTCTTGCTCTGGCCACTGGAGCCCAACTCCACCCTCTCTACCCACAACCCCACTTCCTTCCCTGCCCTAGGACAGCCTTCCGTGACTACCAGCAACCTCTTCTCCATTTGGAGTACATTCTCCGAATGGAGAAGCCAAATGGTTGGCTTCTCTCAACCAGCCCCAAGGACAAAATCCAGGAAAAATCTAAGCAGCATAAAGCACAAAATTCACCTCCCTCATTTTTGGCATAGACCTTGATTAATTGGACCTGAGTTCAAGTTGGCCCAGCCATGGGCTTATTTCCTTGTTGTCTCCATTGTCCTGTCCACTGAGGGTCTCACACACATGGCAACATAATGAGGCTGATACGAAGCTCCTGATTATCCTCTGGGATCTTCCTGCATGTCCTGAATGTCCAAGGTAATTCTCACACTGTCCCCGACTACTCTGTGACCCAGGGATCCCACAGAGGCCCTACCAGGGTGCCTATCTCCATTTTATGGATGAGAAAACTGAGACTCAGTGAGAAGTGACCTGGCCAAAGCCACAACACATAAAGGTGGGAAGCAGCAGGACCAGCATCCTAGGGCAGGCAGAGCCAGTCCAAGGCAGGGAAAGAACAGATTTGGAAGCCTCAGGCTGGACCCCTTAGCACTGGAGTAGGTGGGGAGAGGGCCCATGTTGGGCTGCTGGGACCTCCAGACCAGCGGGAGAAGGGCCTTAGACTCCAGATTCACTTACGATGTGACCTTGGACAAGCTCCTTTCCTCCTCCAGGCCTCAGTTTCCAATTCTGGACAATGGAGCCATCAAGCTAACCTAGGAGGGCTGGAGAGAGGTTTAGCTGAGGCACAGGATGGGGCGCAGGGGAGGAGCTGGGGGCTGAGGGAGTAAGGACGGGTGGGGCACCACCCCTTAGCTGCACGGGGGCCCTGGGACTGTGTCCTTTGCAACCCGGTCTCCATTACCTCTGAGGTCGCCTTGCACGGCTCCATAACTCACTCTGTGGTCCATTACCGCCTATCCCAACTCCGGCCCTGGAAGTTGTCCAGTCACAAATAGAAAGGCGCCAGGGGTTGGCAGAGCAGGCGAGTCTGTGGTTCTGAGGATGGGAGCCTCCTCTGATCAATGGGGTCTGGGGAGAATGCTGCTGGGGGAGAGGAAAGAGCCACATCTTGCCCCTGTCTTGGCCTCCAACCCCTGACCTGGAACCCGCCCTTGGCGGCCGGCAAACACTGACCAACCCCCTTCCGCCCCCCGCTGCAGGGACCCTGGACCTGCCCACACAAAAACTGGGGTAGAGAGAGGAAACGATCCACTGGAAGTTGCTCAGCAGATAGACCCAGCCAGAGCCGAGGTGGGGCAGCCTCAATTCCCAGTGGAAAATTCTTCCCTGGTTTTCATCCAGGGGAGGAGCATTTCCGTTTGTCAGCGGGAGAATCTCATGGAGCCCTGAGGAACCTGAGGACAGGGAAACGCTCCTAGCTAAAGCTTTGACAAGAGGCAGGAGAAAGTTCTGCTCAGCCACTCCCTCCCTATGTGTCTTTAGGTGAAGGGGCCTTTGTTTCCACTGCTGCAAAATGGGTTAATTGTGGGGAGGCTTAACATAGGGAAACAATCTTTTGGGGACCCCCGTCCCTGACTTAGGACCTATATAGGTCACCCCTGACCCCTATCCCGGGACAAAACGTACTGAAGATGCCTGGGCTCTGCTGGTGCCTGAATGGAAGAGAGACCACCCCAGCCACGGTCTGGGAGGAAAACCCCTGTGGGTAGAGGGGCTGAAGAATGACCCAGGGGCCTCAGAGAGCCCCTTTCAGGGTACATGTCCCCAAGCAGCCTGGACCCCAGAGATTACTTTGCTCCTCTTCATCACCCAGAAATTGATTCTCAGAGAGGCAGAGTGACCCGCCTGGCGTCATGGAGCGAGTGAGCAGCACAGGCTGGAAGTGAGCATATGTCCTGGTCCCCTTTATAGCTGCGCTGTCCGGCCCGGCAGCCACCAGCCGCGTGTGGCACGAGCATTTGAAAGGTGGTGAGTGCTGAATTGAGCTGTGCTCTAAGTGTCAAATGCACACCAGGCTTCATGAAAAACAATGCAAAATGTCTCATTCGTAGTAGCTGAAATACAGATTACATGTTGAAATCATATTTGGGGTAGATTGAGTTATGTAAATTAGATAATTAAATTTGATTTCACCTGTTCCTTTTGATATATTCTTTAACGTAACTTCCAGGAAGTTGGAAAGCTCACGTGAAGCTTGCACTCTGTTTCTATGGGACAGCCAGGCCCATCCCCTATGTCATACTGTGCCTCTCACACCTGGTCACTTAACGTACGGGGCCTCAATGACCTCCTCAATCAGGGGAAGGCAGTGGGAATGGTAGAAGGAACGCATGTCAAGCGCTATGGCCAACATTCAAATGTCCCCTGTTACGTGGTTGTTGTCGTTACTGCTGTTGTTAGTACCAGCTTAGGCCCAGAGAGGGAAGCAGCTGTCCTGGGGACACACCGCAAGATGGTGGGACCAGCAGCGGGATCTGAAAGCCCCTCCACCCACACCCCAGATGCCCAGGCCTCAGTAACAGGAGGTGGGAGGGAGGGAGGCAGCTGGAGAACCCTTTGAATTGCTCAGGTCCAAGCGCCTCACACAATGGAATCACTGACCAGGCCAAGGCCAGGGGCCCAAGGCAGGCCTGGCCTCTGTCTGCTTAGCATACCAGGCGGAGGCTCCCACCCCTTCCTGGAGAGGGTTCCAGGAGCAACCATAATGTCCCGATTGTCGTACAATGCCATGATGGAGGGCCCTGTCACATTTTTGTCCCCGTTACTGGGGTCCCCATTCACGGCCACTGTCACTGCACTCAGAACAAGCCAGTCCAGGCCAGGCAGCCTCCTTTGCATTAAAATGGGACGAGAAATAAGCCTTCTCGGCTGTTCAGCTGGGCAGAAAACGGGATTAGGCCAAGGACGGGGCTGAAGGCCCCTTTGGGGGGGCCGCCCCAGGGAAGCCTGGTGTCAGCCGCTGCCCACCCAGACCGGGCAGGCCTCAAACCTGCAGCTGAGGTTTCCAGATGAACTGGGGGCACATAGCCCCCTCCCTGGGCCTCAGCTTCCCTAGACCTGAAATGGGGAGGCAGAGGAAGTCTCCCAACTAAATGAGTGCCTTCAGACTTAGTTCAGTAGCTGAGAAACTCCAAGTTGACAGTAAAAAATGCATGCAATACAGGACAAGGCACAGCTGTCCCACTTGGGTGGGGGCAGGACAAGAGGGTGGCAGGGATGTGCCTGGCTGTCCATCCTTTGGGGTGTTTCCCGGCAAAACTCTGGAGATCCTGAACCACGGAGGGACCCATGGGATAAGGCTGTTTCTAAAGCGGTTTAGTAGCAGCACTCAGCCCCTGAAAGGTGTGCGAAATACAAAAGGACTGAAAGCAACAGAGAGGCCCAACAATAGAGGACGGGCCAGCTCACTCAGGGGACCTCACCCCCGCTGAGTATATCACCAGCAGCAGATTACACATGGGAAGGTTCATACCAAAACATTCACACAGTGAGGCTCGGGATAGCAAAACTCAGAAACAGCCCAAATGCCCATAAATAGGGGACCAGCTAAATAAATCACAAACTATCCATACTCTGGGACCCCTCACAACCACTAAAATGAATGGGGGAGGGCTGTGAAATTTGAAATGGAAGGAAGTCCAAGAAATATTAGCAAGTGAACAAAGAAAGGTGCAGACGAGTGTGTTTAGAGGGGAAATAGACAGTGTGGAGATGCATAGAGAATGTCTGCAATGAAGCCCAAAAAACTATTGACATCGGTAATCTCTAAAAAATTCAAAAGATTGAAAAGGAAAATTTCACTTTGTACCTTATGTACTTCTTTAGCGTAATAGATTGTTTTACCCTATGAACATATATTTCCTTTTAAAGCAAATTAGTAGAAAGGCAACCGCCCTGGTACAGAAGTCCTCTAAGGTCCTCCTGACTTGCTATTTTAATAGGATCAGTTCAACCCATATTGAGCAAGTTCTTCAGAGAGCCATATTCAGTGTAGTCATGATCCAGCCACCAAAACACCCCCACTCAGAGACAGAGACAAGCCAATGGCCTCCTCAGCTCAATGCCACAAAGGCAGCCAGTGCTCAACAGATATTGGCCCAGAGGACGGAGGGTAGCAGCAAAGACTGGGCAAAGGGGGAGAAACCAGCTGGGTCTTGAAGGATGAATATGAGTTTGCAGGACAGATCAACAAGGAAGAGTTTTCAAAGAGAGGGAGAGGAAAAGAGGATGGTGTGTGTATGTGAAAGTCTTTGTCTGTCTTGTCCTTCACCCTGTCCTCAATTCCCCAGCAGATGGTAGGTACTCACTGAGATGTACTCCAAGTGTCCGACACATCAGATGTCAAAAGCCAACATTGCATATATCAGTGTTGGCTACCATTTGTGAAGTGCCAGCTGTGTGCCAGGCGCTGTTCTAGCCCTTCATATCCATGAACTCTACATAACCGTCTGAGGTAGGTAGCACTCTTTATTAGTTTCCCTGCTCTACAGATAAAGAAGCTGTGAGCTGAAGCAGCTAACCCAAGTTCCAGAAACTTGCTGGTGCCTGGGCTGGGATGGGAACCTGGGCGGTCTGCACCAGCGCCCACACTGCGCTACATTACCCTCGCAGCTGGAGAACTTGTTGACTGAACCCTTCAGGTGGGGCCTTATACATGTGTGCACCCTCTCTCTGGCACGTGGAAAGGCACAGAGAGATCTCTTCCTTGCCCCCAGCCCCTCAGCTGGCAAGGGACAGAGTGCAGACTTTAAAGTTGTGTGTCCAGCTCCAAAGCCCGTGTTCCCCTGACCACAGACACTATCTCTGGAAAGGTGCTGGCAACTCAATGCCAACAGGACCCAGGTGGTAAAGGTGAAAGTGGAGGAGAGTAGGCTACAGGGAAGATGATAGAGAATGGTGGGGAGTGTGGTTAAAAAGCAGCACGTGCCTCACCTAAGGTTTCCAGATGTATTATTTCAGAGCACATGAGGCCAGATAAAACACATCAGCGGCCACCAATTTCTAACCTCTGACTTGGCCCACCCCCTGCCAAAGGTGCAGAGGAAGCCTGTTCAGCCATGCCCCTGTCTCTGAGCTCCTTATCCTGCCCCAAGCCAGCCCAGCGAGGCAGCCTTCCTCTTTCACCTTCCAAACCGTTACAGGTTCAATCTGGGTTTGACCTCTTGCTGCAATCCTTCCTGGGCCACACTTCATGGGCAAGGACGAGGGGTGAGTAAAAATGCATGGCAGCTGGTGTTTGCAGTCTGGCCTTATGCCATTCCCGTTGTCTTGGTATTATAAGCCGAATGCAGGCCATCCTCCACACCCTGCCTTTTCCTGAGTCCCAGAGACACCGGCTGGGTGCTCCACGTCAGATTAAATGGCATTTATAACAGCTGTCAGCACGTTTGAGTTGATTACCCTATAATTTGTATGCAGTTGCAGGTCATTACCAAAATTACAATTAAACACTGGCACCCCATAATTAGATGCTTTTATGAATTAGGTCCTGAGGTATTAATGGCAAATTTGTAAGTTCTACCCCTCCCCCAACTCTGATGCCCTTTCCTAGCCAGCTAGGGCCCAAGGTCCGCTTCAGCTCTTCTGAGGACCCCAGCTGGCTTCAGCAGGGGCTTTGCCACCTCCTGGATGGTGGCCACCAGTGTGGAGGTTTGTAGCTTGGGACAGCGAAAATCAGAAACAGTCCAAATATTCAACAGAAACAGCAGGCTGGCTAAATAAGTCATGAGCCATCCATCCGTGCCTTGGGACACTGTGTGATCACTAAAACAAAATGGGGAGGGCTGTGAAATTTGAAACAGAGGATGTCCAAGAAATATTCGCAAATGAACAAAGACAGGCATCGCTCCTTGAAGAAGAATCTGCTTCCCACACATCTAATCCAGACACACAGCCTGTGCTCACCCCATCGATGTTCACGGAGAACCTCCTGGGTGCCAGGCACTGGCTCGGGACTGAGGTTACAGCCGTGAGTATACCATGCAACAATCCCCTCCCAGTTGAGCTGACAGTCAAACAGCAACAACCACAACTGTGAGGAAGGTATCTGGTGTGGGGAAGCACAATAAAGACTAACAAGAAACCGTGACACTGGGAAGGGAGACGGGACGTGCTGCGTGGGCCAGGTGTGGAAATTTTAGACACAGTGATCACAGAAGATCTCCCTGAGAAATGAAAGGTCTTTGGAACCGAGGCAGTGAGCCAACCGGACATCTGGGGGAAGAGATTTCTGGGAGAGGAAACAGCCAGTGCAAATGCCTGGAGCGGGAGAGTGCCAGGCAAAGCTGAGAGCGTGTGGCCAGAGTGCAGTGACTGCAGGAGGGTGAAGGGGTTGGAGTGAGAGAGGTCGCAGGACCCAGATCACAGGGGCCTTATAGGACACTAGGGACTCGGGCGGGTGCTTGAAAAATATTTGTCAAAGGAATGAACTGGGGGAGCTGGAGGGAACCCGAGAGGCAGTCTAACTCCATTCAGGGATCAGAAAAGGCTTTTGAATACTCCTTCCTTTTCCTTTCATTATAAACGCTCATTCCCTGACAACTTGCTCTGTGTGGGGAGGGAGGTCGGCTGATGCACATCAGCCCCCAAGCCCACAGGGAAGCCACCGCTCTCCCCAAATCACAGTGAGGAAAGAGCCTGAGAGGGGCCCAGCATGGTTGAGGAAGCCTCACAGCCCTGGGAGGCAGAACAGCTCAGGAATGAAGAGTGTAGACCTAAACCTGCCCATCAGGTCCAAATCTCACACTGGTTGTGCACCCGAAGCAGCAGATGGGTGTTTACACCACACTGCACCTGTTTCCTCACCTATACAAAGCAGGTGGCACGGAGTCTACCTCAGTAGGTCACTGTAAGAGAGACCCCGCCCAATATCTAGCACACAGCAAAGCTAAAAAGTGGTCATTAGCGCTGTCTTCAGCTCTGCTCCTCTCCACCGTGTGACCTTGAGCAAGTCCTTCCATGTTTCCAAGCCTCAGTTTCCTGATGCTTGCAAGGTGTTCATGAGATACCAGTGGGGGAAAGCAGGTTTGTGTGAAGTGGTGAGTATGTGATGGGTGCTATTGGTGTTGGTTATTGCCGGGATGAGGGCACTAGCGTCAGGCCCTGCAAGAATGCCCCATGATTCCCTTGAGTATGATAGAGCTAAAAAGAGGCAAAAGTAAAATGCACAGAATGCAGACGTCATAGTAAAGCCAAGTGAAAAGCGTTAACACTTTAAGGCCTACCTGAGAGCACTGATTGGCATCAACAGTGGGATAGCTTCTCTAAAGAAGAAGTGAGTAGTTCAGATCGTATTAACCAAGACCTATACCCAGCATAAGGGAGGTGATTGTTCAGTTATATTCCATACAATGCAGAGTCCTCTGAAAGAACTGGGTCCTACCCTTGAGGAGAAGCAGGAATATTCTAGGTACGTTTAGAAGAGAGGAGGAGACGGGCTGGAGACTGCAGCCTGGGAGGAGCCAGAACCATAAGGAAACTCACAGGGAGGCAGACTCTAGCTCCCTGCAAGAAAGAGCATCTTCACTGCCAGAGCTGTGTGGGACTGAATGGGAAGCCATGGTATTAGGGGGTGGGGTGCAAGCAGGACAGCCTGCAGAGAGGTGCTGGGGAGCAGACTGCAGCCCAGGGTTGGGGTTTGAGCCCTTGATCCATGATGTCCTTACCCAATGATGTCCCTCTACTCACCTCCCCATGAGATCTCTGTTGTTGTGAGAATTCAGCAAGTAAAAGCAGCTAAGGTGTTGAGAGTAGCGCCTGCCACCGTTATTTAGGATGGCGGGGTGGGGGCCTAGGCTGCAGGCTCCTGTGTTCTAGAGCCTCTGGAGGAAATAGAGATGTCACGCCACACAGGCATGAAGCTGTCTGCTGGGAACTGGCTTCTCTCCACCCCCAGCCACTGAGAGATTCCCCTGAGAGTCGCCACTGCCCTGGAGATGGTGAATGGGTCTTTGTGTCACCACCCTGCCTGTTGCTGCAGGCCCCCCTGCTCCCTCCCTGGCTCCTTCCCGACCCCGTGGCAGGAAGCATGCCTGCTTCATCCCCAAGATTCAGGGCACCTGTGGCAACTCAGTCAGGCTGTCTGCCCCACACATCCAGCCCCACAAGTGGCCTGGCTTCCCGGGCAGCAGATGGACAGGGATCAGGAGGGGGCAGGAACCCTGAGTCCCCAGAGACCCCACCCCATCTCCCCATCCCCCTGGCACAGCCAGGCTCAAGCCTGGGACAGGTGAGGTCTGCTGGGCTGCTGTCCAGCACCCACCAGAGAATGCTCCATCCTCTGCTCCACACAGACCCCTTCCCAGTCGGGCTGGTCCCCACTACTGGGCTGATCTGGAGGGCAGCTTGGGACCCCTAGAGCAGAGATTTCAGAGGGGCCTCTGGGGTGCTTACAACAAGCTCACAGATGGGGCATTCACAATGCAGATTCCCGGGCCCTATTCCAGACCTACCGATTCCAAATCTCTGGAGACAAAGTTCATGAATCTGTATTTTAAACAAGTGACCCCGTGCATCCTGCAGTTTGAAGAGCATTGCCTAAAATAAGGCAATGCTTCTAACACTGTAGAATATTTGGCAGTTTGAGAACTTTGCAATAATCTGATTCCCCAATCTTTAGAATTGGGGAATATTCGATTTGGGAGGGAAGGGAGAATGTTTGGAATCCTTAGAACTTCCAAGTGTTTTGATTTTTAAAGAATCATTCAAACTTTCAAATGAGCAGACACTTCTGAGTGAATTTCTCCTGAGTCAGACACCCTTACACATCCTGCAAAACTTCTGCCCACTCCACATAGACCCTACTCTTTTTCTTTCATTTTTCAATTCAATCAGATACCATTTATCTTCCTTTTTAATGTTTTGGAATAATTTTAGACTCACAAGGTTTTCCTGTATAGTCTTGACTCAGTTTCCCCCATGTTTGTATCTTGCACAATAAAGTACAATGATTGAAACCAGGAAATTGTCATGAATAAAATCCTGTTAACCAACATAAAAACCTTATTAGAATTTTGCCAATTTTCCCGAAATGTCCTTCTTCTGGTCCCAAATCAGATCCAGATCCCATATTGCCTTTAGTTGTCATGTCCCTGCCAACTTGGGACCGTTCCTCAGTCGTGATTGGTCACTTATGTTTTACTTTATGTTTTTAAAGAACACAGCTCAGTTATTTTGTAGAGTTTGGATTCGGTTTGGATCTGTCTGATGTTTACTCATGATCAGAACGAGGTTATATATTTTTGGCAAGAATGTCACAGAAGTGACATGGGGTGCTTCCCAAGGCCTTGCACGGGGTCTACACAATGGTGTGTCTTACTACTGCCCACCTCTCCTGTCACCTATGTCTTTGCCTAAACCAACCCTCTTCTTTTAAACTTGCTGCCTGATTTAATGTAACCATAAGCGAGTAACATGTTTGACATGCTACAGCTACTAAAATAGAAAATATTTTTTTCCCTGTGCCACCTAAAATCGTCTCGCTGAACTCCAAGGCTACAGATATCACTTTTGACAAACATTGCTTTATATTATTTAACAAGTTTGTCCAGCCCTCAGCCCATAGGCCACATGCAGCCCAGGACAACTTTGAATGTGGCCCAACACAAATTCGTAAACTTTCTTGAAACATTATGAGATTTTTTTGTCTGTGATTTTTTTAAAGTAAGTTAGCTACTATTAGTCTTAGTGTATTTTATATGTGGCCCAAGACAATTCTTTTTCCAATGTGGCCCAGCAAAGCCAAAAGATTGAACACCCCTGTTATTTAGGATTTTTTTGAGTGCAAAGCGCTGCTTTGGTTTATTGATGATCATTACTGCTGTTGTTTTCAAAGAGTCATCAGAATCATCAGAACTCTTCACTGGATGGCTCGATTTTTCTTCAATGCGGTATGCTGACCACGATTAGGAGATAAGGTCTGAGTCTTCTATCTCAGTTTCCCAGCCTGTCTGCGCAGCCTCCGCAATTGCCTGAAGGGATGTAGCTTGCTAACAATGCAGATTTCTTGGCACCAAGAAATCCTGGCCTATTTAGTAGCTTTGGGGTGAGGACTTGGGCGCTACCATTTTAGCAATTCTGCAAGGTTGGGGTCCCCACCCATGTGGAGATACCTTTGTCCCTTCAGCAGCTTGTAGATGTGTCTTAGCCCACTCAGGCTGCTATAACAAAATACCATAAGACCAGGCATGGTGGCTGACACCTGTAATCCCTGCATTTTGGGAGGCCAAGGCAGGTGGACCACTTGAGCTCAGGGGTTACAGATCAGTCTAGGCAACATGGAGAAACGCTGTCTCCACCAAAAAAATACAAAACTTAGCTGGACACAGTGGTGTGCGCCTATAGTCCCAGCTACTCAGGAGGCTGAGCTGATAGGATCGCTTGTACTTGGGAGATCGAGGCTGCAGTGAGCCGAGAGTGCATCACTGCACTCCAGCCTGGGTGACACAGTGAGACCCTGTGGGAAAAAAAAAAACCATAGACTCAGTGGCTTATAAATAACAGAAATTTATTTCTCATAGTTCTAGAGGATGGAGGTCCAAGATGTAGGAGCCTGCAGATTGGGTGTCTGGTGAAGGCCCACTTTGTGGTTCACAGATGGCTTCCATCACTGTGTCCTCACATGGCATAAGGGGCCAGGGAGCTCTCTCAGGCCTCTTTCATAAGGCACTAATTTCATTCATAAGAACTCTGCCCCATAACCTAATCACCTCCCAAAGGCCCCACCTCCTAATGCCATCACCTTGTGGGGTGAGGATTTCAACATATGAATTTCACGGGGGGGGGTCACAAATACTCAGGCCATAGCACTAGGCATTTATCACACGTCAGCCGATCAATACATTTCCATAAAGGAAAAGTCAAGAAATCTGATAACCTAGGGGGTCTACCTCCCAAGAGGGGGCCATGAAATGAGAGCTCATGCAGAGGTTCGTGGAAGCCACCACATCTGCCCAGGCCACAGCATCTGACCCTGCCACATCCAAGCCATGTCTGCTCTACCTCCCAACCTCACATGGATACCACTCACTGGAAAAACTCTTCCCTGGTCCAAACAGGAAGGGATCCATGAAAACATTGTTCCCAGCCTTTGTTGTGTGCCAAGCTGAATGACAGATGATCCAACACGACACACTCTGTCCAGTCGGCATCCCACATACCTGTTTTAACTACATTTAACCTCTGAATGAAGACCATAACACTGCACTTGTGTCTAAGCCAACGCAAGTACCCCTCAACCAACTGGAAGCAACTACCTTCTCCCCTAAGAGGAGACACATGTTACACATGTCACTTCCCCTCTGCTACTGGAGGCACATGCCCCCTTTGATGTCTATAACTTTAATGCAAAGATACAGGTTCATTACTATTCATCTACTTTGTATTTCAACGGTATGGAAATAGGAGAGGAAGGAAAGAGAACGATGGTGGATGAATCTATACTGGTATATGCATAGAAAAGCAAGAAACACACTACACACACAAATTCTGCAGTCTCTATTTCTGCAACTAGTCACGTGGCTGTATTTGTAACTTCCATCTTCCCTTCCCTATTCCATATCCCCTTTGCCTTCATCTCAGCTTAGTTCCTAGGCTGATGGCTGCATTCCTGGAAGGATGATGTTATTTATGGTTCTGCCTATACCACGCTGCTATAGTTTTCTAGTAACAACAGGATTCAGGAGTACCAAGAGGTGCCCCAGAGAACACTTGTACCAGCTATACTCCCCTCTGCCTGCCCTCTGTTTCTGACCATCCATATCAATTGCCCTAGTCATTATAAAAACACCTTTCTAAGCCCATTGGTTCCGTGGTATGAAGGGCTAGGTGGCAGTTTTGACTTCCAATCAATGGACTGATTTTTTTATGTCTCCCAGTGGGAGCATTTGTTCCTTGAGAATCAAAATCTCTAAACCAGTATAGCATAAAGTCGTGGAGATAGGAAGCAAGCAATTGGTCAACGGGATGTTAGAGGTCATGGTAAGAAGATCCACTCCCAGTTCTAGCCCTTGATGTTCAGATCAGTGAATCCTGGTTGTGGAAGAAACCACACAGATATATTTGTCACTGTGTTAGAGCACATGCCACATCCTGTAGGACATTCCTTCAGCCCCACAAATTGTTGTCATGCAGTTGGGAGTCTTAAAGCAACCATTCCACAGTTCCATCAGGCCAGCTGCTTCAGGGAGATGGGGAGATGAAAAGACCAGTTAATTCCACAAACACAAGCCTGTTGCTGCACTTAATGCACTGTAAAATGAGCTCTCCTGGCCATATGCAGTGCTGTGTAGAATACTGTGGACAATGGGTTGAGCATTCTGTAGACCACAGATGATGGGTTTGGAAGAAGCAGTGCAGACGGAAGGCAAATACATATCCAGAAAAAGTGACAATTCCAGTGATGACAAATCATTCTCCTTCCATGATGGAAGTGGTCCAATGTCATCCACCTGCCACTAGGTGTCTGGCTGGTGTTCTGCCAGTAAGGGCATGGAGGAGCTCAGTGTTGGTGTCTGCTGCTGGCGGGATGGAATATCAGCAGTGCCTGCAGATAGATCACCCTTAATGAGTAGAAATCCATGTTTTTCTGAGCTCAAGCAGAACCTCAATTTCTGCCACCATGGCCACTTTGTTCATAAAGCCATTAGTCAATGGCAGATGTGACTGGGGAAAGAGGCTGACTGACATCCTCAAAACAGGTCATCTTGCCACCGGATTGCTGGGAGGTTCCTCTGCTGGGCTTGCCCTTTGGTGGGCACAATGATGAGACACCAGTGTCCTGACAGTGTGTGCTCATTTGCAAAGGTCTAGCCACATACTTCATCCCAGGCTTCCTTGTCACTCATTTTCCAATAGTGTTCCTTCCATCCTGCCATGTTCCTGATCATCCACCCAAATAATTAGCCCGTTGCACATGGACCTATGTAGAAAAACCCTTATCTCTCCCTGAAGGCAAAAAGGCCATCCAGATACACTGTTCAAGTTCTTTCCACAAAGAGAATTTCTATTCACCGCTGTCCTCAGGGCCACCCTGAGTGGAGCTATAGTGCTGTCGCTATCTGTGGAATGGTGTCAACACATGATGCAGAGTCATCTGTAAGCTGGGGTGAATGTTTTCTTCCACCACCAAGTAGTCATAGCAATCTCCCCACAAAACATAGGTATGAGGAGAGGAGAAGCAGGTGACACAGGAGTCTGAGTTGCTTGTTTCTACGACTCACTTTTGTCTTCAGCACTTGTTCCAGCCCAGTGTTACGTGTGCCATTTCCACCTGCAAATGGGATGCTTCTGAGTTCACCCAGCCCTGTGCCTGGTGAGCCAGACAGCACTCAAGCCATGACAGGCAGCTTGGCGGTATGGTAACTTTGTGGCCCATGATCGAGCATTCAGTCTCTCCCAGCTCTACCAGTAACAAACCAGAAACTCTTTCTCCAAAGGAAAATAATTCTCCGCAGACGATCATATGGCTCTGCTCCAATACCCCAAGGATCCTCCCTGCAATTCACCTATAGAAGCTGCCAAAGGCTCCATGTAGCTTCACTATCTGCCGCTGCCACTCAAAACACCATTGGGTCTGCTGGGTCATATGGCCCAAGTGACAAGGCCTTTTGTACAGCAACCTGGACTTATTGCAGAGCCTTTTCTTGTTTGGGGTCACATTCAAAACTGGCAGCAATCTGGGTGAGAGCCACACACTCAACATTGTCCTCAACAATCCAAAGCCCCAATAGGTATGTTTTCTTCCTTGGTGGCAAGAGGAGCAAGGTGCAGCCATCTAGCCATCTTCACCCAGGAAGGGATACCCTGACAGGCCCCAACTTACGGGACCCCTAGAAGTTTCGCCAAGGTGGCAGGTTCCTGAATTTTTCTGGGGCTTCTTTCCTGTCTCCTCACAACATGGATCTGAGCAAGGTGTCTAAGATGTTCCTGGTTCTCATTTCCCAGGACCAAATGGCATGTCATCAATGAAGCAGACCAGCGTGGTGGCCTGCAGGATGGCTGAGTGCTCTGGATTTCAAGGGAGGGCTGGTGAATTGTTAGAACACTGAGGGAAAGAAGGGCAGGAGTGCTGCTGCCCCTCCAGATGGCAGCCAGAGGCTTCCAGGGCCCCTTGAATGAGGAAATCAAAGAAAGCAGGTGCCACCAGCTGCAAGGGGCTATACTGATTTGCTCTAGGTTAAAAACAAGCAAACAAGCATGGGGCAGCTGCCACGATTGAGCCACCATCTCATTAAGTTTATAACAATCCGGCCAAGCGCAGTGGCTCACGCCTGTAATCCCAACATTTTGGGAGGCCAAGACGGGTGGATCGCTTCAGTCTAGGAGTTCCGGACAGCCTGGGCAACATGGCAAAACCCCAACACTACAAAAATACAAAAATTAGCCAGTCGTGGTGGTGCATGTCTGTGTTACCAGCTATTTGGGAGGCTGAGGTAGAAGGATCACTTGAGCCTAGGAGGTATAGGTCACCGTGAGCCCAGATCGCACCCTTGCTAAACACTTACAGGCACCTCACTTGTTGGGCAATCCCACACCCACTGGTGGTCAGCCCCAGCCAGGCAATAGGACAGGCACTCAGCCACGGGTCCCTCAACCCAAGTAGGAACCATAAAACTGCACAGCTGCAAATACACCCACCCACTCATCCCACACACATGTTCATCTCTCTCTTTCTCTTTCTCTCTTTCTCTCTCTCTCTCTCTCTCTCACACACACACACACACACACACACACACACCCTATCTGGGCTCAGACCAAATATAGATACTCATACCCACCCAGTCATACACAAATAGCCCTCACACCTTCACCCCTGCGCACTCACAGCTCTCTCCCTCACTGCCACTGACTCAGCACCTCCCCGTGGTGCTAAGCACACACCGTGTACACATCCCACCCCACACACAGTCTCCCCACCTCTTCCAGTAGCTGCCCAGTTGAGCCACACACTCACAGTCCAGCACTGCCACACACCCAAACCAAATGCACCGACAACCCCACAGCACAGACACATACCATCATGCTGTGGTGCATGCGCACCCACAGTCGGCCCCCACTAAAGATCAACCCCCGCCCTCCTCCAAGACACACTCAGATGCGCAGGCACACGCTGCCCTGACACACACACTGAGCACACTCAGATGCACACCCACCTGCTCAGATATGTCCCATCTAAATTCACTCACACATCCAGTTCCGCTCAGCCACTGCAGTGTGCAGCCACTACACTGCACACACACACGTGCACACACGTGTGCACACTCACGCTCTCCCAGCCACAGCAGCACAGGGCTTCCGTTGCCTCCAATGGACTCTCACCTTTCCCAGATGATCTGCAGGCCCCAGAGCAGCTGGGCATCCTCTCCCGATGGCAGGCAAACTCCAGTGCCAGGTGCCTGGACAGGTGGCCATGAGGGGCAGTGACCTCCTAGTGCCCCCAGCAACCCCTGCTGCTTGTGTCCCAGGCCCTGCTCAACCCTCTCCCAATTTTTGGAACCACATAAAATATTAAGATAAAAATAATTCCCAGGAGGCAGATCCTTTGGTAATTATGTGCAGGTGTGGAATCACTCCTGGCTCCCTGGCTGCCCACCACCCTACCTCCCATGTATGGGGGGTGATCATTCCAAAGCCAGCCACCCATTAATCCCTGTAACGGGCCAGGCCTGCCCGCCTGCCCGCCCGCCTGGCAGCCCACACTCAAAACCCAGCTCCCCAGGAAAGCAGGGGAGCGCGCCCAGCAATCCCATGGGGCCAGGCCTGGCGCCATTTGCAAGGGCCTCACGCTCACCCTGCGAGGGAAGCTCTGTGATTCATACCCACCTCCCAGAGCAGGAAACTGAGGCTGTGAGCAGGGCTATGACATGCCCAAAGTCACAGGTAATCTGGGGGCACCCCACCCCCTGGTCCTGCAGAATGCGGCTTCTTCCCCGTCTGCATCTCCCAGCAGAAAGAGCAGAGACAGGCAGGGAGTCACCGGAGGAGGAACCAGGCTGGAGATAGGCTTCAAGGAGCAGCTGGAGAATTCATCATGGTCCCCAGTCCCTGTAGGGCTGTTTTACATCTCTGTCCCCAAGGACAGAGTCCTGGCCTGGGAAGGGGCAGGGTCACAGGAAGACAAACTCAACTTGCCCTGTGGAGAGCAGCTATCCCCATCCTGAGCCGCTGTGAAGAAGCAACTGCCTCGTGCTGGGAGGTGTGCAAGCTGGGGCTGGCCAGCCATCCTCTGCGGGGACTATCTTAGCTGGATTGGTGGCTGGCTGACCTTCCAGCACCCCTGCAGCAGGGATACCCAGGGTCCCTTGTTCTCCTCATCACTCCAGGTGGCCCCATTCTGAGTACCCTGGGAGCAGCAGCCACCATGCCCGCCATGACCACAGAGTCTATGGAAGGCCACATCCACTCGGGAGCAGCCAGGCCCCCGACAAGCCCTCCTGCCAGCTTCCACCACTACCCAGGGTCCCCAGCTCCCAGCCTCATCGTCCTCCTTGCTGCCCCAAACACCCCTACACCTTTGCCTGGCTCTTCTCCCCCTGGGCTGCCCTGCCCTGCCCTGCAGACACCCATGCAGCCTTCTCACCAGTGGGAACACGTCTGCCCCTGGGAATCAGTCCTTCTTCTATCAACCCCAGCAGTGGCCACCCCTGCCCTGGAAGCCAACAGTGCCCCTCTGACACCCTCCCATCATCCGTCTCACTTCACTGGAGCTATCTGACATCCCTCTCAAGGACCCCCCGTGCCATGTCCACTTGTGTGTCCCCAAGCCCCTCTGGCCCCCGCCCCCACCCTGAGGCTTGGAGACTTCCTGCCCAAGCCAGTCTCAGCTCCTGCATTCGCACCACCTCCATAGGAATGGTGAAGACAGTGGGCTCATTCTGGAGGCGATTCCTTTCATCCGCTGTCCAGCTCTGGTGCTGGTCAGGAAAGGGCTGTGCCCAGCTCCCCTGCCCGCTGGAGCTCCCAAGACAGCCTCATGGAGGACACCCCATTTTGAACCTTTAGGCAGAAAACAAGACCCTCATAGGACAGACAGGGAAACTGAGGCTCCTGCCGCCCATAGGCAGAGGCAGTGTCTGGACCCGAGATCAGTTCTCATCTCCCTGTAGTACTCTGGCCACCCACCGTGGGCTCACCCCTCCCTTCCTCCCCGCCTTCCCTCAAGGTTAAGCACTTGAGCACAATGCGGGCACAGGGCACCCCTTCATTCATTCATAATCTCTACATGTGTGGGGTACAGCAGCCACAAAACGGGCACAAATCCCTGCCCTCACAGAGCTGGTGTTTTCCTGGGGAGGGTGGATAATAAACAGATGAACAAGTAAACCCGCGATGTGGCAGACGGGTGAGGGCCAGGAAGAAAACCAGGTCAGGTGATGGTGCCCCAGTGTGTGAGGCACCTGTGTAATTCTACACTTTCTCATAGCTGCTTGGACAAAAGCAAGAAGAAACGGATGGAACTAATATTAACAATATAGGTGATTTAACCTATTAGGTCCAAATATTATCATGTCAACATGCCATCAATGCAAAAAATGATTAATAAGTTATTTTGTCGTTTTCATGCCATGTCTGTGAAATCAGTGCATACTGGACATTATGCACACCTGGACTGTCACTGGGCACATTTCAGGTACTCAAGACTACACATTGCTTGTGGCTGCTGTATTGGACAGTGCATGTCTAGGGGACTGCGGAGCAGCTAGGGGTGTTTCTCATACAAGGGTGGTCGGAGAAGGCCTCTCGGAGGAAGTGATTTCTGATCAGGGCCCTGGAAACAAAGCAATAAACCAGGCAGCTGAATGGGGAAGACTTACCCCAGGCAGAAGAAACAGCAGGGGCAAAGGCCCTGAGGCAGGCTCAGGGCAGCAGCTGGAGCAGAGTGAGCAGGAGGGAGACTGGAGGAGACCTGGCTCAGTCAGGGCTGTGGCCTCTGTGAGAATTCCACTTTTCCTCTCAGCAGGCGGGAGCTATGCAGGGTGTTAGGCAGACAGCTTGGCCCCAGCCTGGCTCAGGTTTGAAGAAAGCACAGGGCATCACTGCACAAGCTTTAGCCCCAGATGGCCAGGTGTGAAGTTCACTGCACAGTGCCAGGCACGTGGTGGGCATCCTCTAAAAGCAAAAGTTAGCCCACGCTCCATGAGTCTGATTCTTCAGGTAACACACATCCCAGGTGCCAAGGCTCTGGGCTTCTCTACTTCTTGAAAAAAGGGGTTGGGGGGATCTCTTGGCCTCCCACCCTCCAAGCTTTTCTGACTTTGGCCTATTTCCACATTCCTGGAATTGCTGCAGGTGATAAATGGCTCTGCAGCCAGGCTGTCCTCAGGCATTCTGACATGCAGCCTCCACTTCCTCTGCCCTATGGTGGGAGGGGGCTGGGCAGGGCCTCTGACCCCACCAGGAAGCTGCAGCACCCTATCCTGGCCTCAGGGCTCCCCACCCCCACCCCATCGTGCAGGGACAACCCAGCCTCTGATTCCTGACTCCTGAGCATAGGGCCATGGGCAAGGCCTTCTCCCCTCTGGTCTGCATATTCTCTGCTCTGTACAGAACCCACGGCCTCATTCATCCAATAAATACTTAGTGAGTGCCTGTTCCTAGCCCATACTGCTGTAGCTATGGGGATTAAAGAATGGACGAGACAGACAGAGGCGCCTGCCCTGTGGAATGGGCCTTCCAGGTTGTAGAGGTCACTTAGCGACCCCCTAGTCCTCATTTCATGGGATACTCAGAACCCCTGGTCTCTCTGACCGCATGTCAGGGAAGACCCTCTTCTTGCCCACCCTGCAACCCAGAATGGCATCTTCTCAGGGCTTCCCCACTCTGGAGGGAAAACCCCATACGAGAGTTTTAGGCTAGAAGCAAGAAGGACTCACTGATCACCTGGGGAACAAACCCTGAAATAGGAAAGGAAAATGCATTTTAAAAATATGCATTACTAGAAAAAAAGAAAAGAAAAGGTGTACTGGCCAGATCCCATCTGTTAATAGCAGCTAACTCTTGGGGAAGGCTGCAGGATTCTGAGTCTTTGCTGGTCTTTTACTGTCCTATTTTCCAGGTTTTCTGCTATGCATATATATCTACTGTATACTCAAGGGTTTAACCAAGAAAGACAATAAAATGTGATAAAACAATCCCAGTTTTAAAAACTAGCACCCCTTGAACCTCCTGGCATAAGTGCGTCTGGCTGGCAGGACCAGAAACTCACGAGACGGTGCCACTGCTCAGACTGACCCTAACCCGGGAAGCTGGGAGATTGGGATTGGACGCCAGAGCAGGGCCTGTGGAAAGGGAGAAAAGGCAGGACAGCCCTGTGAGGGAGGCAAGGGCACAGCCAGCCGTGAAGGGTGAGGTCAGCGGAGGGCATGGGGGTCAGGAGCCCCAGGCCCTGCACTGGTCCTGTAGGCACTGGGAAGTCACTGAAGGCATGTGAGCAGGAGAGGGTGGTGGTCTAGAAGGAACAGCAAGGCCTCTCCCAAGTTCCTCTTCCATTCTCCTTTACGGCATTGCAGCCACACTTCTTCAGAAGTCCTCAGCCTTCTCTGAAAGGGGCTCTCGGGCCCAACAGCCCAGGTTCAAATCCTAAGTTTACACTTCCTAGCTGCGTGTGGTGTCCTCAGCCTGTGAAAATACCAACCTTGTGGTTGGCTGAGAGCCTTAGGTGAGTTAAAACATGAAAAGCACTGGAAACAGGGCCTGGCATACAGTAAGTGCTTAATAAATGCTGGTCACTGTTATTCCCTCCCCATAGCATCAGCAGGTTTTAATCTCTTGTATCACTTTGAAAGTTTCCCTAAGGCAAAGACCGGCTCAGACTGGGTCTGTCACCAGGTAGGTGCCGAGAATTATTTGTCAGACAAAGCAGTAAGCAGCCATCTTGCCTTCCCTCCAGAGACAGAGTCCAAGGCCCCCTCCTCTCTTTATCTGAGGTGCCTTGCACAGGCCAAGCCCATGGCTGCTGGGAACCAATACCTGGGGGTCCCGTGAAGATAGGGCCACGACTCCACTCAGCTCTTTCTCTATCTCTCTTGTCTCCTCCGGAACTCTGTGAGGGAGGCGACTCTTATCTCCACCTTACAGAAGAGGAAACTGAGGCTCAAAGGCGTGAAGGGCCTGCTCTAGACGAAGCCCACCAACCCAGTCCTTCTGTCAAGGGTCCCCTGCAGTGCCTTGTGCAGGCCTGGCACCTACTGGGCACTGTAATACATCTTCCAAGGCAAAGGAGACTCGGCTGGAGAGGGCGGAGCCCGGGTGGGGGTAGGGGTGGAGAAAAGAGAAGCCCTCTGGTTTTCCAGGTAATGAAGCCGGCCAGGAACACCAGGTGAGGAGCAGCAGAGATAGCAGGGGCGCCTCTGGCCTTTCATCTGGAGCCCACGGCCCGGCCTTCCTCCCCAACTCCTCAGTGGGGGGCCCCATGAGCGCTCACCTGGAGCTATAAACGGGCTGGTTCTGAGGCCCACCTGTGCCTGGCAGGTTTGCCAAGACCAGAGAGCAGGAGGGTCCCAAGAAGGAAGCGTCGCTCACCTCCGGCTCCCCATGCCAAACTTCTGAAGCCCTAAAAAGCTCCCAGACCTTCCCTCTGCCAAACCTCACCTGCCTGCCTGTCAGCCACCCCCTCCCCCAGCCCAGCTGGGGTTGGAAGCCTGGAAGCCTGGCTGGGTATCTGTTAACCAGAGACCAGACCCCTCCAAGCCTCAGTTTCCACCTTGGGAAAGGGCAGGGAGAGCATTCCAGGGTATGTCAAGGAGACAACTCCAGTCTGGGGGTGTTAATGCCAAGGGTCCACCCTGAGGTCTGGCCAGGCCTTCCCAGCTGTGGGGAGGAAGCTGGCATCCTCACGCCCAGGGCTGTCAGCTGCTCTGCGGTTCTGAGCTGGAGTGGAGTGCAGCAGGCAGGCTGGCTGGGTGGTCCCTAGGGAGGCAGCCGGGAAACCAGGCCCTGACAGCAGGCTCAGCCTTGACCTGGGGCTGTGTGGATGCTGTCGGCTCCATCCCAAGACAATGACAGGAGGCTGGGAGCTCTGTTTATTGAGCACCTGTTGTATGCCAGAAGCATTAGAGAGGCCAGGCCCCAGGCAGGGGTCAGGAGGCTGGGAATTCTAACCCAGATCTGAAGCTCTGGATCCCAGCAGCAACTGGGAATCAGTTTTCCGCAGGTGGGGCCCACCCAGAGAGGGCACCAATGCAGCTTTCCTTGTGCCTTTTTTCACCGTGCACCAGAGAGCTGAGATTCAGAAGATGGATTTTCTAGAAAAACAGGTATGGAGTGGAATGATGGGTGCGTACCCTGCCCTAGCATAGGGGAGCGATGAGCCTCACCTCACGATAATAGTTGGCCCATGCGAGTATTTTCTTTCCTTTCCTTTCTTTTCTTTTCTTTTTTTCTTTTTCTTTTTTCTTTTTTTTTTTGTCTTCAAAGTGACTTGCAGAACCCAGGCTAATTAATTTTCCCCAGAGCAGTGAGGGCCATCACCTGTCTCCTACCCCAGTGTCCCACCCCAGCCCCCAAGCACATCTGAGGGAAGGAGATAGCAGAGAGGATAATTCAGCTGGCAGAAGCCTGGGGGAGGAATGAGGGTGGGACTGGCCCCCAGGAGGCAGCCCGAGGTGCAGGGGGAGAAGCGGGATTAGAGGAAGCAGGAGGGCTGGGCGCAGGCAGGCCTCCACCCGCCCATCAGCAGCAGGCACCTGGCCCACCTTTGCAGAGTCGCCTCCACCACTGGAACATCCATTGTGCCAGCACCACCTCTGGACTGTGCTCTGCTCAGGGGAGAGACCATCCTGGCCTCTGCCCTAGGTCTGGCAGCTGAAAACATTTGCTCATTCATTCACTCACTTACCTTGCTCATTTAGCTAACCAACAAAAATGGTTAGCCCCTGGTCTGAGCCCCCCGGGCCTTGCATTAGGAACAGGGGGTACAAACAACAATGAAACCCAGTCTCTAGCTCTGGGGAGGGCCCAGTCTATAGCAGGATAGACCATCAGTCAACAGGAATGAGCAGTGGGGCAGAAGGAAGCACAAATGAGAGATGGAGCAGAGGCCCGGAGGCTTGGAGCCTCAGAGGAGTTTCACAGAAGAGGCAACACCTGGGCTTTGAGGGGTAAGTAGGAGTTTGCCAGGAAGATATGAGCAGATAGGGAGGGCATTTAGGTAGAGAAGACAGCAAGTACAAAAACATGGAGTTAGATAGGGTCTGAGGTGTCTGGGAAGCAAGAGGAGTGGAGGGAGTGAAGATGGGGACGGGTTGTCCATGGTGGGGCATGCAACTCTTGGGGCCTCAAGCAGTGCTTCCCAGCTTTCACCCCATCCTACCATGGTGTGCAGAGAGATGGTGGCATGCATTGGCTCGTCTCATCATTGGTGGGAAATAGAAGGCACTGAGGCCACTCGGCCCCCTCCAGCTACCTGGAGTCAGCTCGGTACAGATGCTCCATGGTTTACAATAAACCCAGCACAAATCAAAAATAAACCTCACCTACCAAACATGGTAGCTTAGCGAGCCTCCCTTACACACATTCAGAACACTTACGTTAGCTACAGTTGGCACAAGTGTCTAATGCAAAGCCTATTTCATCATAGGGTGTGGAATATCTCATGTGATGTACTGAATACCGTACTGAAAGTAAAAAGCAGAATGGTCATGTGGTCATTCAAAGTATGCTTTCTACTGAATGCATGTCCAGTAGCACCATTGGAAAGTTGAAAAGTCCTAAGTTCAACCATCATAAGTTGAGGACTGTCTGTACACTAAAAGCTGTTTGTCACTCACTGGTTAGGAAGTTTTGTCTAAAACATTAGTGTTGACTGAATAAGAAGTTCCAAGATAAGGCCCCTGGGCTTGTTCAGGGGTTCAGTATTGTCCCTGAGGACGTAAGTCTTTCTAATTCCACACTCTGCTACTCTTTGCATGCCATGATATCACAAGACCTCATGGTCACAAGATAGCTGCTACAGCTCCAAACATCATTGCATGATAGCAGCTCAAAGCAAAAAGTGAGGAGAGAAAAAAGGGCTTTCTCCACACATGTCCCTTTCTAAGAAAATCATTCCCAGGAGCCCTTGGAGGTCTTTCCCTTAAGCCCTATTGGCCAAAGCGGAGTTTCGTGACCATCCCTGGACCCATCCCTGGCAAAGGAGAGTGGGCCTGCCAAAATCAGCCAAATCCAATGAGAATGTATTCTCAGAATTAGCCACCAAACAGTCACAGCAACAAAATCTGGATTCTTTTATTTATTTATTTATTTTTATTTATTTATTTATTTTTTTGAGATGGAGTTTCGTTCTTGTTACCCATGCTGGAGTGCAATGGCATGATCTTGGTTCACTTCAACTTTCAACTTTCACCTCCCAGGTTCAAGCAATTCTCCTGACTCAGCCTCCCAAGTAGCTGGGATTACAGGTGCCTGCCACCACGCCCAGCTACTTTTGTATTTTTAGTAGAGATGGCGTTTCACCACCATGTTGGCCAGGCTGGTCTTGAACTCCTGATCTCAGGTGATCTGCCTGTCTCAGCCTCCCAAAGTGCTGGGATTACAGGCATGAGCCACCGCACCTGGCCAATCTGTATTCTTTAAACCAGCAAAAACAAAATCGTTTCTGATAAACCCTTACATTTTAAAATACACATTTTTAAAACCTCTTTTCTCACATTCTGCTCCCTGATCCTGCTATATTTTTCTTGTCTGCTCTTAACTCCACATAATCTTATTTTTTTTTTGTTTGCTTTATCTTCTATCTCCCAACTGGAGTATCAATTTCATGCGATGGGGAATCTGTCTGTTCAGATTCATTACTCTATACCTGGCCTCTAGAGCAGGGTCTGGCAGACAGTAGGTGCTCAGTAAATATTTGTTGAATGAAGAAATGAATAAACTAGCAGGTGAGGGCAGGAAGTAATGGGGTAGAATCTGGAACAATCAGTGGGTCCAAGGCACCAAGGACCTGAGTGTCCAACGAGAGATGGGAGCGACTTAGGGTCTGATTGAGCGGGGGCTAGACAAGCAAGGTTAACTGCGAATTTGGGGACTATTTCCTCTTGGCAGAAAGTGTCAGGGCTGGACTGGAGGGGCACAGCTGGGGCCAGGAGGAATTGTTGCAATAGTGCAGATTGGAGTGGTTATCACCTGAAACAGGCAGGTAGTAAGCAGAGTGATTTTCCATTCCCTTCCATGTTCAAGCCTCTCAGATGTTGGCTCCAACACTTCTTCCCAGAATGTCCTTCTCAGACTCCACACCTAAGCCCTCTTCACCATCAGGGCCCTGCTCAGTTCCTCATCCTCCAGGAAGCCCTCTACACTGCCTTGAAACAGCACAGGGCCTGTGTTGAGCCTTGCATCTGAGCCCTAGTCTGTGACTTCTGTTATATATTCACTGGGCTTTTGGGACACACAGCAGGTGTCCGGGCAATGCTGGAGGGAGACAGCTAGAGACCGTTAGAGATCACTTCAGGCTTCTGGATGATGACACTGGCCTTTCGGGGGATGAGGGAGCTTAGAAGCAATGTGAGGCAACCCACGGAGGCTGCTAAAGCAGGCAGGGCTAGGAGGGCCTGATACCCAGCATCCTGGAGTGCAAGGAAGGGCGGGGGATGGAGGGCCTGGCTGAGGACCGCAGAAGAGACAAGAGGAGAACTGTCTGCTGAGTGCCTGCCTGCTGTGAATGCACCATCTTACCTGACATTAAAAAGCCCCACTTTACAGAGCAGAAAACCGAGGCTCAGGGAGCAGTCTGCCCATGGCTACGCAGAGTCCACCGTGGTTCCTGCAGCTGTCAGACTCTTTTCTAGACTAGAGCTTTTCAAAGGCAGTTGTATCGCCCCAGGGGCATGTGGACATTCATGGGGTGTCTATGTCGACCAGTGGTTGGCAGGTGGAGCTACTCCCAGTTTGCAGAGAGCATCCTGGGATGCTGGACATTGGACCTATGATGACCAGTGTCCAGAGTTTCACTCAATTTTCCATTTAAACAGAGTAGCTTTATTATTTGCAAGGTTTTTTAACGCACATGAACTTACCAGGTATGATAGCAGGTATCCAAGGATAGCTATGCTTTCTATTCCTAGGACTTTTCCAAGAATGCTTCACTCTTTCAGAAAATCACCTGCAGCCCCCAGTAACCTATGAACCATCCCTGTGTCTGTCTGTGTTTGCCGTTGTTGTATTCGTGGTGAACTCTATGCATATGTATAAATGTATATTTTTAGCCCTTTATTTCAAAGGATCACATTATTCAGTTAGAGTGTCTTATTTCTCTTAAATCTACATGTATTCATTATTAAACAGGCGCAATCATTTGACAACTTTATCCTCCCTTTTGGAGTAGTCTTAATCAAGCATTTATGTAACGAAATACATGTTATTTTCTCACAGGTTATTTTTCTTATTATTTCACTTTAATACGACAACTGGGGAATTATGTTGTTTTGTTTAAATTATGGGTTGCAAGTAGATAATATTATGCAGAATTTGATTTCTGGAGAGAAAAGGAACCATTACAATATACTTGTTTGAAAGGGGAGACAGCAGTTTGAGCTCTAAGCCATGGGAGCCTAGCCCAGAAGGTGGCTCAAAATGACACTGTCTAGGGAACAGATAGGGGCAGAGGTGAGGATAGGAGAAGATGAAGGGAGCTCCTAAAGCAAACCACAACTTACCAAATTGCCTGGATTGAGCTGAGATGACTATATATATAAAAAGATCTACGAGGTTACAGATGATGATAATTTCCTCCTGGGACACAGTGAAGAAAGGCGTGGGAAGGACGTTGAGTCAGCCCTTGGCCACAGGGTAGCAGTGTTAGCACAAGACAGCTTGGTTGCAGCTCAGACCCTGTGGAGGATGTGGAGGGAAGCAGGCGACCGGGTTTCCACGCAGGCACAGAGCCAGGCATTTGTATGTATAAGCCAGTCAAAGGCAAGTATCTTGTGATCTCCACACTGACTGCACTGTGTTTTACATATGTGCGTAAGTTCTTTTAAAAATTCAATTAGAAATATATGTAAATTGGTCTGTCATACAGACTTGGAATAACTATTGTGTAGGACCCTTTTAGTTGCATGTGACAGAAAACCTAACCTAACCTAGAAGGGATTTTTAACAACTTTTAATTATTTTATTTTGTTATTCTTTTGCTCACATAATTTAAAAGGTATGGATCTGCCTTCAGGGTCAAATGATGTCACTGGCACGGATGTCTCTTACTCCTTCTATGGGGTCTACACCTTCTGTACTGGCTCCATTCTCAGGCAGGCTCTTCTTTTGGGGCGAAGGGAGGACTATAGAGGTGTCAACACTATATCTTCCCAGCTCAAAGTCCCTGGGGGCAAAGACAACACAAAGACCTGGAATTGTTGTAATTTCTGATTGGCTAGACCTCAGGTATGTGATAATCCTCGAACCAATCACTGTGGCTGAGGAAGTGATGCACAGATTGTATGGGGCCAGAGCCACTGAGCCAGGGTGGAACCCACCAGGAGCCTGGGGACTAGCCATTGTATGTAGAGGAGTGAATTCACAAAACAAGATGGGGCATGTGCCAGAGAAGGAGTAATGGGTGCTGCAGAGACAAACACTATGGAGAAAGCCTAGATGATGAGGGTGATGATGACTCAAACCTCACATTTACTGAGAACTCAGTTCATAACGCCTGCACTCTTTGGGGCATTTTCCCACTATTAATCTCATTTAGTCCACTCATTTAGTCCCCATTTTACAGATGGGAGAAACTGAGGCATGGATACTATGGGTAACTTTCCCAATATTACACAGCTGTATAAGTGGTTCAAAGTCAACCCTCCCTCCACCAGATCATGCGGCCACTCTAAGGAGATGGGGTCTTTATTGAAGTTTATTATATAGTCAGGGAGAGAAATTCAGACATGAATGGCTGGTACACTATGGTAGAGGAACAGGCAAACCACCAACCGAGTGGCAAATGGCCTGGGGCACTGAAGGGTGTTTGGAAGAGGAAGGAGAGGCTTCCTAAAGGAGGTGATATTTGAGCCCATTTTCTCATCCATAAAACATTCAAGCTGGGCTAAACTTATTTGGTAAGACTTCCAAATGCTGGACATCTCATAGCCTCCTTTGTCTACTGCCAAAGGTGGAACTGGGTCCAGTTTCCAAGTTTCCTGCCACTACCTGTAAACCTCAAGTGTCAGGGAGCTGGGTGCTACCCAAGGCAGCCCTGCTTGGCCACAGGTGGCGAACAGTGGCACCATGGTTGGAGCCAGGCCCACTTACGTTTGAATCTTGGATCCTCCATAAATTATCTGGTGAGGGTTGGACAAGATCTCTTAGGAGCCTCTCAGGTCTGCCTTTATATCATTACCAACCGTTTTCTGTGCTGGAAAGCTGTGACACTTTCAGAGTCTATTTCAGGCAAAGTGGGCATGTTGACCCTACACAACCTGGCCCCAGACTTCTGTGATTTGAGTTCTCACATCTGCTTTGTAGTGTTTTCTGGAATCTTTCTACACCATCTCTGCCCTCAGCTACTGTGTGTCTAACTCAATTCATCTATTTGCCCCAAAACACTTCCCTGGGCCAGGCCCTGGGGGTACCAGGAAAAATGGGCCATATCACCTGCCCACAGGAGCTCACCATCTTCAGAGGGCTCATCAGGTAAACACACAGCCACAAGACAACAGAATGCCAGCCAGCACAGGCACCTCCTGGCAGCAGGCAGCATCTGATAGTGTATTTTGTTAATTCTGCCATGCACCTGTTTTTCTCTAACATCTCTGAGAAGGAACCTCAGCAGCTCACCATCCTCATCACCAGGTATATGTGGAGTGCGGCTGTCAACTGCCTCTGGAAATAGAGTATAAAGGCAACATTAGTGAAGCAAATGTTTCCATAGGAGGAATCATCATATTTTCTTGAAGAGTGACCACCAAATACTTTACCAGGCCCCAGCGGGGAAGATCTCCACAAACAGACAAAGCTCTGTCACCTTCTGTTACTGAACCATGTGAGTTGGTTGACCACCACACACCAAGCAAGAAAACACCAGCACAGGAACATGCAGAATGGGTGTCAGAAGTTTTTAGAAATGCTGCAGCATCAATGACCTTGATGACACAGACAATACTATATAGAAAACCAGACATCAACGACTGAGTCAAAAATTATTCAAAACACTCAGACTCTGAGTGTAAAAAAGCTTTAGGACTAACCTAACCAATGTATTACTCTCTTTCTTTTTACGCACCAGAGGGATGAATGAAAAAACCTATGTACAGAAGAGCTCTTAAATGAAATAAGAATTCCAAGTGAATTTTTAAGATAAGCATTACGCCAATGCTTTCAAAAGAAATCATTGCATCAAAGTTCAAGTGGCAGAATGTTTTTTCCTCAGATGTGTATATAATAAAGGTGCATCTTACAATCAGTGATGTTTTAGACTCAATGGAATACACCAGACTTTTTTTTAACTTTTATTTTAGGTTAAGGGGTACATGTGCAGGTTTGTTACATAGGTGTTTTGTGTTGTGGGGGTTTTGGGTACAAATTATTTCATCACCCAGGTAATAAGCATAGTACTCAATAGATAGGTTTTTTTAATCCTCTCCCTCCTCCCGCCTTCCACCTTCATATAGGCCCCAGTATCTATTGTTCCCTTCTTTTTGTCTATCTGTACTCAACGTTTAGCTCGCACTTATAAGTGAAAACAATTGGTATTTGGTTTTCTGTTTTCGTGTTAGTTTGTTTAGGATGATGGCCTCCAGCTCCATCCATATTGCTGCAAAGGACATAATCTCATTCCTTTTTATGACTGTGTACTATTCCATGGTGTATATGAACCACAATTTCTTTATCTGTTGATGGGCATTTAGGCTGATTCCATGTCTTTACTCTTGTGAATAGTGCTGCAATGAACACACAAGTACATGTGTCTTTATGGTAGAATGATTTCTATTCTTTTGGGCATA